>NC_000013.11:22158106-23408106 GCF_000001405.40 Homo sapiens | reverse complement strand
CTATTAAAATAGTAAAGAAGACTTTACTCAGGACTACTTTGATAGGCATCAAGACGATTGCAACAGGGGAGAGGGATAGGGACTCAACTCCTAATACAGCACAGACAGCTGAGGATTCACAGCCAATGTGCAGTGTGAGGGGTCACTGCATGGAAAATTACTAAGGGGGAATGTCAAAAGTCAGGGACTCTTGCTGAACTGACTTGAAACAATGATCGGCTATCAAGGTGGGGTTGAGGAATCCGATGGGATGTGGAGGTGATCAGATAGCCGGAGTCAGGGGATTCTGTCTGAACTGACTTGGCGGGATGCATGCACCAGCTGGGCTAGGCAGGTCAAAGGCAGGACCCGAAGACAATGCCGTGTCAAAAAGAGGGCGTGGGGGAGCCTGTCTAATGTTTGGTTAAAGAGAAAGTCTATTTTAGTTCCCCCTGTTGTTCATGAAAGAACAGACATTCTTCTGTCTGAACCATCTAAGTCCATTTCTTGTTGGTTGTCTTTTTTGTTCATTAAGGACCAGCTGAACCATCTGTTGAGACTTGGTGATAGAGGATATTTGCTGGATGCTTCAATAAGTCAGACATTTATGAAAAACAAAAAGAAAAACAGGCCGGGCGTGGTGGCTCACGCCTGTAATCCCAGCACTTTGGGAGGCCGAGGTGGGCAGATCACGAGGTCAGGAGATGGAGACCATCCTGGCTAACACGGTGAAACCCCGTCTCTACTAAAAATAGAAAAAGATTAGCCGGGCGTGGTGGCAGGCGCCTGTAGTCCCAGCTACTTGGGAGGCTGAGGCAGGAGAATGGTGTGAACCTGGGAGGTGGAGCTTGCAGTGAGCCGAGATTGCGCCACTGCACTCCAGCCTGGACAACAGAGCAAGACTCCGTCTTGAAAAAAATAAATAAATAAAAAGAAAAACAAAGATGCATGGGTAGAGCAGACTGTAAACTCAGTTTCTGAGTCTAGATGTTGGGCTTACAGTATCTTCGGGTGGCAGAATGAGGATGGCAGTGGCCCTCTAGTGGCTGTCCTGGCTTTCAGTTTGAATGTCCTTGGTGATGGCATAGACATCAGTGTCACGGTCATGGTTATTTCCTGGAGCAGAGTGTGGAAGATACACTGTGCCAAATGGCTGACTTTAATTTGCAAAGAGGTGAAAAATAGCTCAAAGACAGTGAACACATCTAGAAACTGATAACCTACAAGGGTGTGCTGTAGATTGAAGCATAAAATATCTCTCTACAATGATGTCCCCTTTTTGATTCAAGATAACCAAAGTAAGATTGTTTTCATTGACAAAATGTCTGGTTTCATTAGATTTGGCCTGATTATTTACATAAATGCAAAAAATAATAATTGATGACGTGAGGGGTTTTTTTGCCCATTAATTTTTTAAAGTCAGGTTTAATAGGATACAATTTACCTATAATAAAATTCTCCCTTTTTGTAAATTTATTGTGATTTGAAAATACTAAAATTCATGATACGAATTCATGGTAAGAGAAGTGTTTTATGTGGAATTGGCAGTTATTTAGTTGATATTAGGAGAAATAATACTTAATATTAGAACTTTTTTTTATTATACTTTAAGTTTTGGGATACATGTGCAGAACGTGTGGGTTTGTTACATAAGTATACATGTACCATGGTGGTTTGCTGCACCCATCAATCTGTCATCTACATTAGGTATTTCTCCCAATGCTATCCCTCCCCTAATCCCCACCCCCCGACAGGCCCTGGTGTGTGGTGTTTCCCCCCACCGTGTCCATGTGTTTTCATCGTTCAACTCCCACTTACGAGTGAGAACATGTGGTGTTTGGTTTTCTGTTCCTGTGTTAGTTTGCTGAGAATGATGGTTTCCAGCTTCATCCATGTCCCTGCAAAGGACAGGAACTCATCCTTTTTATGGCTGCATAGTATTCCATTGTGTGTATGTGCCATATTTCCTTTATCCAGTCTATCAATGATGGGCATTTGGATTGGTTCCAATCTTTGCTATTGTGAACAGAGCTGCAATAAACATACGTGTGCATGTGTCTTTAGAGTAGAATGATTTATAATCCTTTGGGTATATACCCAGTAACGGGATTGCTGGGTCAAATGGTATTTCTGGACAGTGAGGAATCGCCACACTGTCTTCCACAATGGTTGAACTAATTTACACTCCCACCAACAGTGTAAAAGCTTTCCTATTTCTCCACATCCTCTCCAGCATCTGTTGTTTCCTGACTTTTTAATGATCACCATTCTAACTGGCATGAGACAGTATCTCATTTTGGTTTTGATTTGCATTTCTCTAATGGCTAGTGATGAGCTTTTTTTCAAATGTTTGTTGGCCACATAAATATCTTCTTTTGAGAAGTGTCTGTTCATATCCTTTGTCCACTTTTTAATGGGGTTTTTTTTTTCCTTGTAGATTTGTTTAAGTTCCTTGTAGATTCTGGATATTAGCCCTTTGTCAGATGGATAGATTGCAAAAATTTTCTCCCATTCTGTTCACTCTGATGATAGTTTCTTTTGCTGTGCAGAAGTTCTTTAGTTTAATTAGACCCCATTTGTCAATTTTGGCTTCGATTGCCATTGCTTTTGGTGTTTCAGTCATGAAGTCTTTGCCCATGCCTATGTCCTGAATGGTATTGCCTAGGTATTCTAGGATTTTTATGGTTTTAGGGCTTACATTTAAGTCTTTAATCCATCTTGAGTTAATGTTTGTATAAGGTGTAAGGAGTCCAGTTTCAGTTTTCTGCAAATGGCTAGCCAGTTTTCCCAATACCATTTATTAAGTAGGGAATCTTTTCCCCATTGCTTGTTTTTGTCAGATTTGTCAAAGTTCAGATGGTTGTAGATGTGTGGCATTATTTCTGAGGACTCTTTTCTGTTCCACTGGTTTATATATCTGTTTTGGTACCAGTACCATGCTGTTTTGGCTACTGTAGACTTGTAGTATAGTTTGAAGTCTGGTAATGTGATGCCTCCAGCTTTGTTATTTTTGCTTAAGATTATCTTGGCTTATACGGGCTCTTTTTTGGTTCCATATGAAATTTAAAGTAGTTTTTTCTAATTATTTGAAGAAAATCAATGGTAGCTTGATGGAGACAGCATTGAATCTATAAATTACTTTGGGCAGTATGGCCATTTTCACGATATTGATTCTTCCTATCCATGAGCGTGGAATGTTTTTTCATTTGTTTGTGTCCTCTCATATTTCCTTGAGCAGTGGTTTGTAGTCCTCCTTGAAAAGGTCCTTCACATCCCATGTAAGGTGTATTCTTAGGTATTTTATTCTTTTTGTAGCGATTGTGAATGAAAGTTCGCTCATGATTTGGCTATTATTGGTGTATAGAAATGCTTGCGATTTTTTCATGTTGATTTTGTGTCCTGAGACTGCTGAAGTTGCTTCTCAGCTTAAGGAGATTTTGGGCTGAGATGATGGGGTTTTCTAAATATGCAATCATGTCATCTGCAAATAGTGACAGTTTGACTTCCTATCTTCCTATTTGAATACCCTTTATTTCTTTCTCTTGCCTGATTGCCCTGGCCAGAACTTCCAATACTATTTTGAATAGGAGTGGTGAGAGAGAGCATCCTTGTCTTGTGCCGGTTTTCAAAGGGAATGCTTCCAGCTTTTGCCCATTCAGTATGATATTGGCTGTGGGTGTGTCGTAAATAGCTGTTATTATTTTGAGATACATTCCATGAATACCTAGTTTATTGAGAGTGTTTAGCATGAAGGAGTGTTGAATTTTATCAAAGGCCTTTTCTGCATCTATTGAGATAATCACGTGGTTTTTGTCATTGGTTCTTTTTATGTGATGGATTACGTTTATTGATTTGCGTATGTTGAACCAGCCTTGCATCCAACATCTACGGAACTCTCCACCCCAAAGCAACAGAATATACATTCTTCTCAGCACTACATCGCACTTAAAATTGACCACATAATTGGAAGTGAAACACTCCTCAGCAAATGCAAAAGAACGCAAATCATAACCAACAGTCTTTCAGACCACAGTGCAATCAAATTAGAATTTAGGATTAAGAAACTCACTCAAAACCGCACAACTAAATGGAAACTGAACAACCTGCTCCTGAATGATTACTGGGTAAATAACAAAATTAAGGCAGAAATAAATAAGTTCTTTGAAACCAATGAGAACAAAGACACAATGTACCAGAATCTCTGGGATACTGCTAAAGCAGTGTTTAGAGGGAAATTTATAGCACTAAATGCCCACAGGAGAAGGCAGGAAAGATCTGAAATTGACACCCTAACATCACAATTAAAAGAACTAGAGAAGCAAGAGCAAACACATTCAAAAACTAGCAGAAGACAAGAAATAACTAAGATCAGAGCAGAACTGAAGGAGATAGAGACACAAAAAAACCCTTCAAAAAATCAAGGAATCCAGGACCTGTTTTTTTGAAAAGATTAACAAAATAGATCGCTAGCCAGACTAATAAAGAAAGGAGAGAAGAATCAAATAGACATAATAAAAAAGGATAAAGGGAATATCACCACTGATCCCACAGAAATGCAGACTACCATCAGAGAATACTATAAACACCTCTACCCAAATAAACTAGAAAATGTAGAGAAGATGGATAAATTCCTGGACATATACACCCTCCCAAGACTAAACCAGGAATAATTTGAATCCCTGAATAGACCAATAACAAGTTCTGACATTGAGGCAGAAATTAATAGCCTGCCAACCAAAAAAAGCCCAGGAGCAGCCAAATTCTACCAGAGGTAAAAAGAGGAGCTGGTACCATTGCTTCTGAAACTATTCCGAACAACAGAAAAAGAGGGACTCCTCCCTAACTCATTTTATGAAGCCAGCATCATCCTGATACCAAAACCTGGCAGAGACGTGAGTTTTTTGAAGTTTGCTTTGCTGGAACTTGTGAGAAGGACTTTTTTTTTTTTTTAAGGTGGAGTCTCACTCTGTTGCCCAGGCTAGAGTGCAGTGGTGTAGTCTCGGCTCACTGCAACCTCCACCTTCTGGGTTCAAGCGATTCTCCTGCCTCAGCCTCCCGAGTAGCTGGGATTACGGGCATCTGCCACCACGCCCAGCTAATTTTTTTTGTATTTTTAGTAGAGACAGGGTTTCATCATGTCGGCCAGGCTGGTCTCGAACTCCTGCCTAGTGATCTGCCTGCCTTGGCCTCCCAAAGTGCTGGGATTATAGGCGTGAGCCACCATGCCCGGCCCTGATTAAACTTTTGAAAGCATCTGCAGGTTAGGAAGCCATGCTAAGAACTTGCTCTCAGACTTTATCTGCAATACCTATATATTTGGGTGAATTCCTCTTTTCTGGGTCCTAAGGTTCCTGGGCCTGCCAGAAAATGACCTTCTTTACTCTTCTGGAAGGCTGGGAACTCCATAAGCAAGGTACCAGGCAGATTTCCCGAGAGGGCTTTGTAAGCATTCTCTCCATAAAGTCAACCTTCATTCCTTAAAACTGTCTGCTCATATCTGATTCTGTGCATATCATTCTCAAATATGACATTCCAGTCAAAGCCTTTGTCATATGACCAAAGTTTCCAATTATGCCTTGTTACAAGGGGAACAGATTCCTATTGAACTTATGCAAATAAATATATAACTATGAAGATGAGTTTCTGAATTCTGGAGGGATTAGGTGGGAAGGCAAAGGTAAATGCTTTATTTCTGTTTACAAAGGCATAATCACTAAATTGCATGGTATAGATTGTGAATTATAGGTAGTTTAACTGTTATAGATAGCTTAACAGAAAAGGAATTTCTTAAATCCAACAGCAATATTCCAAACAAAAACCATTGTCATCATTTATTAGTTCATTCAGTCCCGTGTAATTAATTGTTGTTCTGCTTGATCTAAGGTTAGCAATTTTATGAATCCATAGCTTCTCTACTATATCTCTGGAAAGTCTTTTTTTTTTTTTTTTCGAGATGGAGTCTCGCTCTTTTGCCCAGGCTGGAGTGCAGTGGCGCAATCTCAGCTCACTGCAAGCTCCGCCTTCCAGGTTCATGCCATTCTCCTGCCTCAGTCTCCCGAGTAGCTGGGACTACAGGCACTTGCCACAACACCTGGCTAATTTTTTGTGTCTTTTGTGGAGACGGGTTTCACCCTGTTAGCCAGGATGGTCTCAATCTCCTGACCTCATGATCTGCCTGACTTGGCCTCCCAAAGTGCTGGATTAGAGGCGTGAGCCACTGCGCCTGGCCTCTGGAAACTCTTAGTCTAGTAGTGTGGCCTCAAAGTTAATAAGGAATGCCATCAGGAGTCTGTTCCCAGATTACCTGGCTTAGTTCTTTCCATGGATCTCTGAGACAGTCCCTTTTTGGTGAGGACAAGCACTTCGGCCTGTGATTGCAGATGCTTCTGGAAAAGCATCACAGTAGAAAGTAAAACAAAAGTGGTGCAAAAGCCTTAAGACGGTTAAAGAGCTAATGAAAGTTTATTTGACAAGGAAATTTTGTTATTTCTGTGGCATGTGTGAACCTCCAAAATTTGAGACAGGTCTCAGTTAATTTAGAAAGTTTATTTTGCCAAGGTTGAGGATCCGTCCATGACATAGCCTCAGGAAGTCCTGATGACATGTGCCCAAGGTGGTCACGGCAGAGGTTGGTTTTCTACATTAAGGGAGACATGAGACATCCATCAATATATGTAAGAAATACAGTGGTTTGGTCTGGAAAGGTGGGACAACTTGAAGCAAAGGCATGAAGACTGGAAGTGGGGAGGGAGCTTCCAGGTCACAGATAGGTGATACACAAGTGGTTGCATTCCTTTGAGTTTCTGATTAGTCTTTCCAAAGGAGGCAAATCAGATATGCATCTATCTCAGAGAGCAGAGGAGTGACTTTGAATAGAATGGGAGGCAGGTTGGCCCTAAGCAGTTCCCAGCTTGAGTTTTCCTGAGCGATTTTGGGGGCCCAAGATCTTTTCCTCTTATATGTGTAACATTTTAAAACGGTAACTAGAATTATGACTAAAAATATTACACCAGGACATGTCATGGACAATGCAGGTATTGACACATTTTCTAGGAACTTCTTATAATTTCTAAAATATTTATATTAATAATATTTACCCATTTGAATGTAACCTAGCAAAGGTTAGGTATCTTTTTTATTTGATACGCTTTTTATTCAGTTCAACAAATCGAATAAACTTAATAATTTTTAACACCACTCTATTTACAAGGTGAAAGAACAAATTTGGGAGGATTTTCCAAGGGCCTTATGGGAAAACTCAAGGTCAATTGTAGATCAAGGTTTTGTTTAGGATTTGATTTGGGGAAGGCAAAATTGTCAAAAATATCAAGAGGTTTGAACATTTGACTAAATAGGATGTTAGGTTGGTGTGAAACAATGCTTAGCTACCTATTTAACCAAAGTGACTGGCCGGGCGCGGTGGCTCACGCCTGTAATCACAGCACTTTGGGAGGCCGAGGCGGGCGGATCACGAGGTCAGGAGATCGAGACCATCCTGGCTAACACGGTGAAACCGTGTCTCTACTAAAAATACAAAAAATTAGCCGGGTGTGGTGGCGGGCACCTGTAGGCCCAGCTACTCGGGAGGCTGAGGCAGGAGAATGGCATGAACCCAGGAGGCGGAGCTTGCAGTGAGCCGAGATGGCACCACTGCACTCCAGCCTGGGTGACAGAGCGAGACCCCTTCTCAAAAAAATAAAATAAAATAAGTAAATAAAAATAACCAAAGTGACTGAGGACTAAGCTCTGATTTTTATCTTACCCAAATTCCTATCTAAGGGGTCTAGGGAGTCATGCCATATAAACCATAAATTCTAATCAGATGGGTTATATTTGACCCTATATATTGTGACTTACAATTCAGTCTCACTCTGGCATAACATTATGAGACAAGGGAAAAAGATTTAACCTCAAAATATATTTCCTTGCCATACCTTGAAATTGCCCTGCTAAATCTCTTGTGGGAAAAATCCACATTCTATAGAGAATCCCCTTCCCTTGTTTGTTTTCCTTCCTTCCTTCCTTCCCAGATCCAGGAGATAATTGTAAGAGTTAAAGAAAGAGGAAAGAAACACAAAATGTGGCTTGGCAGTCAAAGACAGGTTTTCTTTAGTTAAAACCTGAGAGGCACCCCTGGCCGATAGCAGTCAGGAGCACTTTCTCTTATAGGTTAAGAGTATATATTGGTTTTAGGGTGAGGGGGCTTATCACAAGCTTGGAATGTTTATGTGTGCGGAGAAGTTTATGGCAGGGTTGGAAGCTCTCTGGTAGGAGGGGAGGTTATCTCAAGGCTGGCATCTTCCTGGCTGGAGGGGGCTTATCTAGGGGCTAGCATGTCTGTGATGGGGGATGTTAGAAACAAGAGCTCAGAGTCACAAGGAAAACGAGCACTCAAAGGATTTCTCAGCAAGACAAATTTACTTCTGCAGAAGGGTGCCACTCACACTTCTGGCCACTGGGAGAACACACCAAACAAAGGAGGGAAGGGGGTTTCATCCCTAACGTGGTTAGTCCCTGCTTCTGTGTCCTATCCCCATAGGCTGGAGTAGGAGTGTACTATCTAAACTGACCCAATTGGCTACTGTTTAAAATTGAATATGGCTAATTAGGTGGGAAGGGAGAGGCTGTCCATTACAGTACAAGACATGTTTGGGCATGTCAGGGCACGGCAAAGGCGGGAAGGGTAGTTTCGGCGGGAGGGGCAGTTTACAGAATGGGTAGCCAGAAGTAAAAGAGGACTCTTCCCAAACAAGGAAGAGATGTGAGTTACAGATTGGGACCGGCAGAAGTTGTTACAGAGCAAGTAGCTTAGGAGAAGGGACAAGGAAGTTGATCTCGAGAACAAAGAACAAAGGAGGTCAGAAATTAAACCTTTGAAAAGGAACTTACTGTATCTGACAGGGAGGAGTTTGGGATGTTTCTGGTTGGAGATGTTATTTGTGGTTTATGGTCATGCTGACCTTAGCCATCAGGCTGATGCCGTTTAGATTTAGGTGTTTTTTTATTAAGGTGAACTTTAGAATGAGGGGCTTGTCCAAGATGGCGATGCTCCTGCTCTATCAATAATTAACTAAGAGCCAGGCATCCATGTTTTTTTTTTTTTTTTTTGAGATGGAGTCTCACTCTGTTACCAGACTGAAATGCAGTGGCGCAATCTCGGCTCACTGCAACCTCTGCCTCCCAGGTTCAAGCAATTCCCCTGCCTCAACCTCCCGAGTAGCTGGGACTGCTCCCAGCTAATTTTTTTTTGTATTTTAGTAGAGATGGGGTTTCACCATGTTGGCCAGGGTGGTCTCAACCAGGCATCCTTTTAAGTCCAATAAAAAACAATTTACAACCTGCTCTCTCTGAAGTCTGTTATCTAAGAGCTTCCTCTGCACAATAAAACTTTGTCTCCACAATCCTTTACCTTAACCTAAACATTCCTTTCCGTTGATCCCAGATCTCAATTGTCCTCAAATAATAATATTTGATAAGCTCAACCAATTGTCAACCAGACAATGTTTAAATTTACCTATAGCCTGGAAGCCCCTGCTTTGAGTTGTTCCACCTTTCTGAACCAAACGAGTGTATTTCTTTTTTTTTTTTTTTTTGAGACGGAGTTTCACTCTTGTCGCCCAGGCTGGAGTGTAATGGTGCCATCTCGGCTCACTGCAACCTTTGCCTCCTTGGTTCAAGCAATTCTCCTGCCTCAGCCCCCCGAGTAGCTGGAACTACAGGCATGCACCACCACGCCTCGCTAATTTTTTATATTTTTAGTAGAGATGGGGTTTCACTGCATTGGCCAGGCTGGTCTCGAACTCCTGACCTCAGGTGATCTGCCCACCTTGGCCTCCCGAAGTGCTAGGATTACAGGCATGAGCCACCACACCCAGCTAAAACCATGTATTTCTTAAATGTATTTTTAAAATTTAATTTAATTTTATTTTATTTTTTGAGATGGAGTTTCGCTCTTGTTGCCCAGGCTGGAGTGCAATGGCGTGATCTTGGCTCACTGCAACCTCCACCTCCTGGGTTCAAGCGATTCTCCTGCCTCAGCCTCCTGAGTAGCTGGGATTACAGGCATGCATCACCACGCCCAGCTAATTTCATATTTTTGGCAGAGACAGGGTTTCTCCGTGTTGGTCAGGCTGGTCTCGAACTCCCGACCTCAGGTGATCTGCCCACCTCGGCCTCCCAAAGTGTAGGGATTACAGGCATCAGCCACCACGCCTGGCCTTCTTAAATGTATTTAACTGATGTCTCATGCCTCTCTAAAATATATAAAACCAAGCTGTACCTCAACCACCCTGGGCATATGTTCTCAGAATCTCCTGAGTGATGTGTATGGGCCATGGTCACTCATATTTGGCCCATAATAAATCTCTTCAAATATTTTACAGAGTTTGACTCTTTTCTTTGATATGACAGTAATAGTATTCAAAAGTAAATAGAGGTGGTAACATAATTGTAAAAAACCTTAGCTCTTAAATGTGAGAGGACTTGGTCCTTTTAAATTGCCAAGGACATGGTAAAGGTTAGGACAGGAAATTATTCTGAGAAGACATAAAATCTTTGTTTCCTAGGTGGATTACTCAAAAGATAAAGAAAACCTTTTTAAAATATGTTACTAAGAGCAGATCAATAATCCAAGAAAACTTTGTCATTTTAACAGAGACTAAAATGCATTAAAAAAGAAACCTTATAAATAAATTAATCCAATCTTAGTGAGCTTTGGCCACATGAGATAAGATTCCTTTTGCAATATTTCTCACAAACCTTTTACAACTTTTTATAGTTATTCAAGTTTTGTCCTATATTTGTTTCTTTCTCATTCTGGAACAACCAGTCATTTTACTTTAGAACAAAATTACTCTCTTTTCCCTTAATGAAAACAGAGTTTGCAAACAAAGTTGTTTCACCTCACCCTTATTAATTGTAATAGTTTCCTTTACAAATATGGATTATAATTTTTAACCATTACCAACCTTTTTTTAACAGAGAGAACTAGGAAGTAGACAACTGTGAATTGTCTGTTGTGTACCAGCATTCTGTAGAAGGCTAGCAAGTTTTATGAATCTACCATCTCACAATTATTATAGGATTATGCTGTCTTATAGTATAATTTTTCATATTTATTAACAAGCCTAAATACATAGGCCCCCTAGACCATATAATAATAAGAAGCCAAAATTATGTAATCTTAAACTTAGGCTTAGTAATTAATGTTTCAGTACTTGAGATTGCTTAGAAATTGCTAATGAATGTCTATTACTTAGTATAACTCTAAGGCTGCCAGTTGCCAAAAAGATTTTAGAAACTGTTTTTAGCAGACATATTATAACATTATACAAAGCTAGCCATCATCTTAACTATTTAAGTTAACTTAACTGTTAACTATTTTCAGTTAACATACACATGTTAGGCATGTATCACAAAATTAAAGAAAAACAGTGAAAAGATTTAAATATGTGGATTTCTATTTGTTTTACTGCTTGTTTGATATATATGAAGTAATGTATGTCAAGCAATTCATTTTTACTGCATCTTTACTTACACATTTGTTCTTAGGTTAAATTTATAATTTAAAAATTAATCTTAAACATCTAGTGGTTATAATTTTACCTTAATTGACCGTAAATCCAAGAATAATGCTTATATTTAATGCTGATAATTCATTTTTATTAAACCAATAATTCCAAAATAGTCTTAGTTATTAAAAATTTACTCAAATCATATGAGCTTGAAAAACATTTGGGTTGGTATCTGGATTTCTGGGAGTTTTAGGATATTGAATTTATATAAGTTCTTTTTTTTTTTTTTTTGAGACAGATTCTGGCTCTGTCGCCCAGGCTGGAATGCAGTGGCACACTCTTGGCTCACTGCAACCTCTGCCTCCTGGGTTCAAGCAATTCTCCTGCCTCGGCCTCCCAAGTAGCTGGGGTTACAGGTGCCTGCCACCACGTTTGGCTAATTTTTGTGTTTTTAGTAGAGACACGGTTTCACCATGTTGGCCAGGCTGGTCGCGAACTCCTGACGTCAAATAATCTGTCCACCTCGGCCTCCCAAAGTGCTGGGATTACAGGCATGAACTACTGCACCCGGCCTGAATTTATATAAGTTCTGATTTATCTCTAAGCCAATGTGAATAGAAATCCTTAAAGGGATTTTATAAGTTAACTTGGCAATCCCATGCAGAGGTAGAAAAATACCATACACACATAACATACATGCATACGTATATAAAGTTACATACAGATGCAAATAGAGACCTTGTAGCTTTCATTCGAATATTGTAGCTACATGTCAGGTAAAAAGAGTAAAATAAATTTCACAGGTTTGTATAAAATACTTGGCTCTCATCTTTGCCCTGCTTCCTAAGTGTTTCTGACAGATAGAATAAGGTAAGGTTACCTGCTCACTACGAGGGCTAATGCTTTCCACCAATATTTATGGAGGAGACTTGTAAGATTTTCATTTGCTCATATATCTGATTGCTTTTGGGGGTCCTTTGAGAGCTCCTGATGTGGGTAGGAGGCCTAAGATTCCGGTGATTGTAGGGAGGTGGGAGGCTTGAGTGGGAAGGGAAAGTTCTGGCAGAAGTGGACAGGTGGATGGTGGAGAAGTAGGGGTTTCAAAGACAACATATTAAAGGATTCAAAGGAACTGAAGGGAAGATCAAAGGTGGTGAAAGGAGGAAAGAGGAGCAGAGGGGATAGGAAGGGGGAGGTCTTAAAGGTGCCCGTTTGGGGAAGCCATCAAAGTTCCAAATTATCCTTAGTAAAATTATGCCATAAGGAAGGAAGTGGACAGAGTGAGTGCATGCCCTAGTGGCCCTAGTGGTGGAGCATACAGCCATCAAGGGCTTGAGAAGGGGGGTTTCAGTGACTGAGAAGCTCCCATACTCTTAACTAATGGTACTTTGCAAGCAATGAAGCCTAGGACTCTGACCCAGCCTCTATATTTAATAAACAGGGAAGCCCAGGACTCTGACCCAGCCTCCATATTTAATAAACAGGGAAGCCCAGGACTCTGACCCAGCCTCCCTGTCGAATGAACAGAGAAGCCTAGGACTCCTCTAAACCAGCTTCTACAGTATACTCAATCTTAAGAATCAAAGTCTGTCTTTACCTGGAGCACTGGCTTAGGAGTTGGACTCATGAACGGATCCCTAATAAATCAGTCAGAACTGAAGAAAAGGCTTCAAAGGTGTGTGTCTGGGTATGAGAGGTCCAAGGATCCAATGATAAGATGAGAGGTCCAGGAGTCCAATGACGAATCTTTGTTTGTTTTCGAGAGGGAGACTTGCTCTGTCACCCAGTCTGGAGTGCAGGTGCGCGATCTCGATTCACTGCAACCTCTGTCTCCCGGGTTCAGGTGATTCTCCTGCCTCAGCCTCCCGAGTAGCTGGGACTACAGATGTGTGCCACCACACCTGGCTAATTTTTTGTATTTTTAGCAGAGATGGGGTTTCACCATGTTGGCCAAACCAGTCTCAAACTCCTGACCTCAGGTGATCCACTTGCCTCAGCCTCCCAAAGTGCTGGGATTATAGGCATGAGCCACTGCGCCCAGCCCTAATGATGAATCTGATCCTATGCAAGTCATGACACTGTAAGTGTTAAAGAACAAATTATTCTGACATTTGTTTAAATGGTGAGGAAGACTTTTTAGGGCTATTGCTACACAATGGGGGTGAGATTGGGCTCAACTCCCAATATGGCAAAGAGAGCTGGGGATTTCTAGTCAAGGAGCAGAGGGTTCAGTGCATGGAAATTCCCAAGGGGAGACATCAAGGGTAGAGGATTCTTGCTGATGGCAGGCCAGGTTGATCAGATATTAAAGGTAGGGGAGTCTTGCTAAACTGACTTAGCAGCATTCTTGCTACAACTGAATAGGTAGGCCAAAGACAGGGCCCCAGGACGAGGTATAGTGGAAAAGAGGGCCATTGGTGATGGAACTCAATCTCCAGCACCTCACCTCTCCCTGGAGATCAGGGGTGAGGCTGAAAGTTCCAGCCCATTAATCACGTGGTTGGTTCGCTTGGCCACCAGCCCCCACCTGGAAGCTATCTAAAGAATAACAAGAAGGCCAGGCACCGTGGCTCATGCCAGTAATCCCAGCCCTTTGGGAGGCTGAGGCAGGCAGATCACGAGGTCAGGAGATCCAGACTATCCTGGATAACACGGTGAAACCTCATCTCTACTAAAAATACAAAAAATTAGCCGGGCGCGGTGGCAGGCGCCTGTAGTCCCAGCTACTCGGGAGGCTGAGGCAGGAGAATGGTGTGAACCCAGGAGGCGGAGCTTGCAGTGAGCCGAGATCGTGCCACTGCACTCCAGCCTTGGTGACAGTGCGAGACTCCGTCTCAAAAAAAATAAAAAAAAATAAAAAAAAGAATACCAAGAATACTGAGGTAGGGCCAAAAGGGGCTCTTTATTAATAACAAAAGACACTCCTATCACTCAGAAAATTCAAGAGTTTTAAGTGCTGTGTGCCAGGAGTCAGGGACAAAGAAGAAATATAGGTTTTTGATGAGATCACAATGGGAGTACTAAAAATTCAGGTGGTAGAGCAGAGTCCAGTGTTCAGGAGAGTAGGCAGAACAGTGGGGTCCACGTAGCTGAAGACAAGCACAGCCAGGGACGAGCAGGTGGGCAGTAGAGGGCCAAGGAAATGAGCAGCGAACACGGGTGATGAGGGACAGGGGAGGACGTGGGCTTGGGGCCATGACCTAGTGCCAGTAACCCAGAAACAGAGCCAGGGCCCAAAGAAGGAACAAGTGGATTAGCCATATTCCACCTGTCCTAGGTTTCAGGAGTTCATGAGGATAAATAAAGTCAGTGAATATTTACACACATATCTCCATGGCTCCAAACTCCAAACTTGCTTGACAAGACCTTAACCTCCATGCTTCTCTCATCTGCTTAAATTCTTCCCCAGCTATTTCTGGGTGTCCTTGGAGAGGTGACGTCTCACATGGGCTTAGGAACAAGTTTGTTCATGTTCTTTCCATTTGAGCCTGTTGGTCCAGGGGCCCTGCCGTGGCTTTGCAGCTGGTGCCCTCTGAAAGACGTTACTGCCCTGCACCCAACTACCCTGTGAGCCCAAGGTGACTGCAACTTGTGGGTGGGGTGGTGAGGGTTGGTGAATGGCCTCTCCCGATGTCTGTGCTTATTGTGTTTTCTGGGAGGGAGGTGACTATGCATGAACTCAGTCCTGCCCAGTATTTCATGAACACTGTGGCTTCATCTTATGTTTTCAGAGGCTCAAAACCCGTCCTTCACATGTGGCCAGGAGAGGGGAGAGAAGGGCCTGTCTTGTCCCTTCTATGGCTTCTCCCTCCTCTTTTTCTTAGATACCTCTGCATCCGAATGAAACAAAACTCTCAACAAATATCCTTCCGCCTCCTTTAGGAGAAAACAAATTGTGTAATGGAAAGAGCATAAACTTTTAAGCCAGACATCCTTGGTTTGACTCAGCTTTGCCATTTGCTAGTCGTGTGGCCTTGAATCAGTTACTTTTTTCATATCATGAGGAAATAATGTTAGGGATTTTGCATGTAGAACACTTCACATAGTATCTGACACAGAATGAGTGCTCGAGAAAAGGCAACCATTGTTGTTATGACTCCCTTCTCCAGAAACAACACAAAGCCTAGTCATTGGAGGCATTGTATTTTCTAAGTGTGTGAATGACTCTCACACCCCAAAGTGCCTGTCATTTCACAGGCGTTCTAGGAAAGGTGCTGTCCACCACTGTCTCAGCCTAATAAGCAGTTAGTTGCAAACCTGGCTGTCTAATCCCACTTTGTTGATTTCAGGGATTTTCTTTTTGCCACTGTCATCCCTCCATATGTCCAAGTATGCCATAGTCTGTTTTGGGGAGAGGCATACCAAGTGTCTTTGGCCATTACATAGGAAATGCAAGATGGAAAGAGAGGGCCCGGTTACAGTCCTGATGAGTACCACACAGTATCTTTAGGAAAAGAGTCATCAAAAGGCAACAGGATGCCTCCTGACCGTCTGAGGTCCTCGTCAAGTTGGGGGGACCCGGTAGACTTGGTTTCCCTCAGCTCCCAGCTCCGGGCTCCATTTTACTGCATCCTGGGAGACAGGAAAGTCAGTCTGCATGCGTGATTCTGAGCCCTTCCTTGGAGTATTTGCAGTCTGCATCTGGTCTGCAAAAGGTGACTCATTGTTGGCTCTGTCAGCTTCTGAAGGGTAAGGGATCCATGTTCCATGTGCACATGAAGGAACTCAGGGAGGAAAGGAGGGAACCCACACTGATGGGCACTTTGCAGTACTTTCCTGCCAATCTGGCATGCTGTACCTGTCACAGTCAGTTTGATTCCCTTTCTCCCTCCTGGATGGAATAGGCGATCATACTGTGTGGAGTATTCTACCGGTCAGGCACCCCACAGTCCAATTAGGATCAATCATGGGTTTATGTGCAAAGGGGGAAACGGAACCATGAGAAGCCATCCTGGAACTTGGGGAAAGTAGTAGCTGTGGCATCATGACCCTCTAGACCCGAGGGACTAGGGGAGGAGCAATTACTTGAACCTTGAAGGGCGCAGAGTCCCGATGTAGAGCAAGCTCCCTGAGAAGGACAGTGACCTTGGGCTGAAGGACATAACCAGGCCCTGGTGACGCTGCAGGAGGCATGAATTCCCTGACCGTACTCTCTTCCTTACTCCCAGCTCCTGTGGGGACTCCTTATGGGCCAACTCCACCTGCAACCAAAGTGACCACAGCCCTGTTGCCCAAAGAGGCCAACCTGAGCCGGAGAGCTGGGTGGGCAGAGCCTCAGGGGCAAAGGGAAGACATTTGGAGTCTGTGGAAAGATGCTTGGATGTTCACCTCCTTCACCCAGAATTGACAGTAATCCTTTGCCTGACTTCCGTGCCTCTTGACCTCTTTTTAAGAATTTTATCATGAAAAATTTCAGGCATGTACAGAGGTATAGAAAAATATCACTGGGAGCATTCACAAACTCAGTGTGCAGATTCCACAATGATTGAAATTCCGCCACATGAGTTTATATTGACCTTTTTCCTTGTGTTGGTATTTTAAAGCAATTCCCAGAGACCCTGTGTTGCACTGGTCCCCAGGCACGGCCTGTGGTGGCGTCTGCACTGAGGGGTGCAGGCGTGTGGTAGTGTTTCTCAGACAGCATGGTGGTCACCTGGAGAAGCCCAGAGTGGCCCAGGGCAGGTTTGGGCTGGAGAAGGAGGGACTCCTGTGTGCAGCACCAGAGCGAGCTCAGTGTAAACACCTGAATGAGGGGCATGACAACACATGAACACGCTCGCTACTTAACATCTGCGGGCACTGGAATCAGTGCTCTTTAGACACGACGAGGGATGGCTGCCTTCACTGAAAAACAAACTGATAGCTTCTTCATGAGAATAACATAAAACAAATGTATTACCCAGTATAACACATTAGGATTTTATTTACTTATTTACTTCTTATTTATTTTTCTGAGACAAGGTCTCACTCTGTCACCCAGGCTGGAGTGTGGTGGTATGATCATGGCTTACTGCAGCCTTGACCTCCCAGCTCAGCTTTCTGAGTAGCTGAGACTATAGGTGTGTGCCCCCACACACTAAATATAAAATTAGTCCCCCAGCTAATTTTTATATTTTTTGTAGAGACGAGGTTTTGCCATCTTGCCCAGGCTGGTCTAGGACTCCTGAACTCAAGCAATGTGCCTACCTCAGCTTCCCGAAGTGCTGGGATTACAAGTGTGAGCCATTGTGCCCAGCCAGGATTTTAAATGATCTCATTTGTTAAATCTCTTAGGGGTGGAATCCCATGTAGAAATGGTAACTTGGAGTCAAACAGACTGAAGATTTTTTTTTAATTAATCAGGAAAAATGATCTATGTGTGAACCTTTACTATAAGTTATTCTTACTTCTAGTATGTTGTGATTTAGAACAGTAGTAAGAAGAAAAATACTGCAGAAATAAAGCACTAATTCTTTTCAGAGCCAAACACAGTTTGAAGCCTACAGAAGCTCCTAGACCAAGTAAAATAGGTTCTATAGAAATAATAAATTCTATACCCTGTAGAAAGAATAACTTTTAAACCCTTGTAGAGTGAATAGAAAAAAAACCAAATCCATTGAAAATTTGTAGAAAATATAAAACTCCATAATTGTAGGAAATATAAATATCAGAAAAGCTGCATAAAAGTGGTCGCATATTATTGTGACTTCTGGCATATGTAGATGCAGCCAAATAACTTGACATTTTGATGTAAAATTAAAATGCTCCCTTGTCCATCCCCCAACTCCCTGCAAAAAGAAGCAAAAAGCAGAAAGAGTAGAACTGATCCTTCTCACAGTAGAAGAAAATGATGGCTAAATGCAGAATACAAAAAGAACAGATTTTAGACATTGTAATTTGTTCTTTTATCTGCATAGAGGATGGAAGCAAATGTGTCCTTCAAAGAGAATCATGTACTACGTATCCCTTGTACACGTATTCCGTCCTTTTTTTAAATTAGAGAAAGCTTAGCTCAGACTTTCAGCTGAGACACAGAATAAGATCTTTCTAAATTCGGAGGTTGAAGTTTGGCAAGTAGAGCACATGTACTTTGCAGATACCATATTAAGTAAAATTAGTAACGTGGATGTAAAGACGACTTTCTAAGTGTTTGCCTTTTCCAGTGACCCTGGTCAGTGGGCAGAAATAAATCATCTTTATATCCACATGTTACTAATATATATATATTTTTTTACAATTCTGAATTTTATTTTGTAGTCATGCTGATTAGTAGACATTCAGTTCCTAGTTATAAAACCAACTCTAAAATTGCATTAATAAGTATTGGGCAACTTAATAAAGCTGTAACCTTTCACATCATTTCAGGAGCACAGTAACTATTTAAAGCCTTCCTGTAACTTAAAGACACAGGCTATATATATACACAGGCTATATACACACACACACATACACACATATATATATACACACACATATATGTTTTAGCTAAATGGTAGAGGGTACTAAGGAGTAATTAACAGATGGGTGTGTCTTTGGTAATTGACACATACAAGTTTCCATTTAAAATCTTATTAATAAATATATAAAGAATGTAAGACATTCAGCTCCATGCCTTGTCCATAGAAAACTCATGTTATGTATTTTTTGAATACATGGATTAAAATTTGGTATTTGCAAATGATACTTTCTTTTGGTTTCTGATTCTTTGGTATTTTATCACCCTGAAATACTATATTAAATTTATTTATTTATTTTTAATAGTTTTAGGGATACAAGTGGTTTTTGGTTACTTGGATAAACTGTGTAGTGGTGAAGTCTGAAATTTTAGTGCACTCATCACCTGAGTAGCGCACGTTATACCCAATATGTAGTTTTTTATCCCTCAACCCCCTCCCACCCTCCCTGCTTCTGAGTCTCCAGTGTCCACTGTACCACTCTGTATGCTTTTGTGTACCCATGGCTTAGCTCCTACTTATAAGTGAGAACATGCTATATTTGGTTTTCCACTCCTGAGTTACTTCGCTTTGAATTAATGACCTCCAGTTCCATCCAAATTTGCTGCAAAAGACATTATTTTATTTGTTTGTTTTTTTAATGGCTGAGTAGTAGCCTGTGGTATGTGTGTGTATATATATATATATATATATACACACACACCATATTTTTATATTTTATATATATTTTATATTATATGTACCATATATATATATATACACACACACCATTTTTTAAATCCACTCATTGGTTGATGGGGACTTCGATTGGTTCCATATCTTTTGTTTTTTCTTTTTTTTTTTTTTTTGAGACAAAGTCTCGCTCTGTCACCCACGCTGGAGTGCAGTGGCGCAATCTCGGCTCACTGCAAACTCCGCCTGCCCGGTTCACGACATTCTCCTGCCTCAGCCTCCCAAAGTGCTGGGATTACAGGTGTGAGCCACCGCTCCCGGCCCATATCTTTGCAATTGTGAATTGTGCTGTGATAAACATATGTGTGCAGGTGTCTTTTTGATATAATGACGTCTCTTCTTTTGGGTGGATACCCCGTAGCAGGATTGCTGGATTGAATGGCAGATCTACTTTTAGTTCTTTAAAGAATCTCCATACTGTTTTCCGTAGAGGTTGTACTAATTTACATTCCCATCAGCAGTGTGTAAGTGTTCCTTTTCACCGCATACATGCCAACATCTATTGTTTTTTGACATTTTAATAATGGCCTTTCTGGCTGGGGTACAGTGGTGTCTCATTGTGGTTTTAATATGCATTTCTCTGATGATTACACACATTATTACTTAATAGTACCTCACCGCCATATTCTCTGGATCCATAGATCATGTTGTAATAAAAAAGTTTAAGGGACAGATTAAGTTGCAAGTTCCTGCTAAGGAACTGAATTCTCTGCACCATGCTGTCCATTGGGTAAACTCCTGATATCACAGAAGCTGCATCACCTGAACTCAAACCACCACCCTACACAGGTGAATGGCAACTTCCCAGATAAATGGTTTAAAAACCAGCCGTCTATGAGGACCAAAAAGAAACGGTCAGGGTGACCAGGGGACCAGCTTATCTCTACAGGGTCTTCCAGCTTCGTAGTGAAAGTGAAGCCCTTAGAATGGCAAGTCCAGGAATACCTTATTTCATTCACAGACTTTTTTTTTTTTTTTTTTTTTTTCTGAGACGGAGTCTTGCTCTGTCGCCCAGGCTGGAGTGCAGTGGCACGATCTCTGCTCACTGCAAGCTCCGCCTCCCGGGTTCACGCCATTCTCCTGCTTCAGCCTCCTGAGTAGCTGGGACTACAGTTGCCCGCCGCCATGCCCGGCTAATTTTTTTTGTGTTTTTTAGTAGAGACTGGGTTTCACTGTGTTAGCCAGGATGGTCTTGATCTCCTGACCTCGTGATCTGCCTTCCTCGGCCTCCCAAAGTGCTGGGATTACAGGCGTGAGCCACCGCGCCCGGCCGACATTCGTTTTTAACAAATCGAAGGTTTGCAGCAGTCCTGCATCCAGCAAGTCTGTTGGCACCATTTTCCCAACAGCAAGTGCTCCGTTAGCGTGTCTCTGTGTCGCATTTTGGAAATTCTCATAATATTTTAAACATTTTCATTGTTATTATATCTGCTTTGGTGATCTGTGATTACTAATCTATGGTGTCACTATTGTAATTGTTTTGGGGTGCCACGAACTGTGCCCAAATAAGACAGTAAACTTAATCGATAAACGGTATGTTCTCTCACTGCTCTACCAACAGGCTGTTCTTGCCTCTCTCCCTCTCCTCCAGCCTCTCTTTTCCCTAAGACACAACAGTATTGAAATTAGGCCAACTAGTAACCCTATAATGGCCTCTAACTCTTCAAGTGAAAGGAAGAGTTGCAAGTCTCTCACCTGAAATCAAAAGCTAGAAATGACTAAGCTTAGTGAGGAAGGCAGGTTGAAAGCCAAGACAGGAAAGCCAGGCCTCTTGTGACAAACAGTCAAGTTGTGAATGCAAAGGAAGTGTTTTTGAAGGAAATTAAATAGTGCTATTCCAGTGAATACAGAAACTATAAGAAAGCAAAACAGCCTTATTACTGATTAGGAATCAATTTGAGTGGTCTGGATAGAAGATCAAACCAGCCATAACATCCCCTTAAGCCAAAGCCTAACCCAAACAAAGGTCTAACTCTCTCCAAATCTGTGAAAGCTGAGAAAGGTGAGGAAGCTGCAGAAGAATTTGAAGCTACCAGAGGTTGGTTCATGAGGTTTAAGGAATAAAGCCATCTTTATAACATAAAAGTGCAAGGTGAAGCAGCATGTGCTGATGGGGAAACTTCAGCAAGTTCTCCAGAAGATGTAGCTAACATAACTGATGAAGGTGACTACACTAAGCAACAGATTTTCAATGTAGATGAAACAGTCTTCTGGTGGAAGAAGATGCCATCTAGGACTTTCATAGCTATAGAGGAAAAATAAATGCCTAGCTTCAAAGGACAAGTTGACTCTTGTTAGGGGCTAATGCAGCTGGTGACTAAGTTGAAGCCAAGTTCATTTACCATTCCAAGGATCCTAGGGCGCTTAAGCATTATGCTATATCTACTCTGCATGTGCTCTATAAATGGAACAACAAAGCCTGGCCGACAGCACATCCATTTACAGCATGGTTTACGGAATATTTTAAGCCCACTGTTGAGACCAACTGTTCAGAAAGAAAGATTCCTTTCAAAATATTACTGCTTATTGACATTGCACCTGGTCGCCCAAGAGCTCTGATGGAGAAGTACAAGGCGATGAATATCGTTTCCTGCCTGCTAACACAGCATCCATTCTGCAGCCCACAGATCAAGGAATAATTTTGACTTTCAAGTCTTATTATTTAAGAAATACATTTTATGAGGCTATAGCTGCCATAGATAGTGATTCCTCTGACGGATCTGGGCAAAATGAATTGAAAAGTTCCTGGAAAGGATTCACCATTCTAGATTCCATTAAGAACATCCATGATTGGCCAGGTGCTGTGGCTCATGCCTGTAGTCCTAGCACTTTGGGTGGCCGAGGCGGGTGGATCAGCTGAAGTCAGGAATTCGAGACCAGCCTAACCAACATGATGAAACCTCATCACTACTAAAAATACAAAATTACCGGGCATGGTGGCACATGCTTGTAATCCCAGCTACTTGGGAGGCTGAGGCAGGAGAATCGCTTGAACCCAGGAAGCGGAAGTTGCAGTGAGCCAGGATCACACCCTTGCACTCCAGCCTGGGCAACAAGAGCAAAACTCTATCTCAAAAAAAAAAAAAAAAGAACATCCATGATTCATGGGAGAAGGTCAAAATATCAACATTAACAGGAGTTTGGAAGAAGTTGATTCCAACCCTTGTGGATGACTTTGAGGAGTTCAAGATTTCATTGGAGGAAGTAACTACAGAAGTGATGGAAACAGCAAGAACTAGAATTAGCAGTGGAGCCTGATGATGTGACTGAGTTGGGGCAATCTCATGATAAAACTTTTTTTTTTTTTTGAGACAGAGTCTCCCTCTGTCGCCCAGGCTGTATTTGTATTTTTAGTAGAGATGGCGTTTCACCGTGTTAGCCAGGATGTTCTCGATCTCCTGACCTCGTGATCTGCCTACCTCGGCCTCCCAAAGTCCTGGGATTACAGGCGTGAGCCACCATGCCCGGCCAGGAATGTACATTTTTAAAGACATAATGCTATTTCACACTTAATAGACTATAGTATAGTGTATAAACATAACTTTTATCTGCACCGGGAAAACAAAATATTATGTGACTTATTTTATTGTGATATTCATTATATTGCACTGGTTTGGAACCAAATCTTCAATATCTCTGAGGTATTCCTGTGCCAAAAAAATGAAATTTTGGCCCAAAAAATGAAAAAGTTTTAGATCCTGCATGAATGCCAATGATTCCTTCATTCTCTGGTCCTCCACAGTCTGAATCCCAACTCCCCTTGGGCCCTGTTTTTTTCACCATTACATCTCCCAAACTAATATAAAGTGAATGGGTGCATCTCTTCCTTAGGCTTTGAAAAATTGTTTTGGAGTTTGCTGTGAAAGGATAAATCAACTCACAACTTTCTCTAATAACTAGTTTATTAATATCTGTCCAATAAGAGAATTATTAAAGAAATGAACACAAAACAGAAAAGTTAAGAAGGACTTCCTTTTCTTCCCCTAATTTAAATTTGTACAGAGATGGTAAGTGGTTATAGTGAGTGGTCATGACAAGCCACACATGTGAACATCACTACATTCGCTTATTTGGCAGTGAATGATGTGGAACACAGAGTGACATACAAGAGGCCATGATCAAGAGGGACTTTCCATAGTTGATGAGTAAATGCATTTCATTCCTGTGCAGTCACTGATGAGTGGAAGTTAAATGCTGAAGATGTCTACGAAGGCGGAAGTCACCTTGCACGGGCTTGGCTAGAGAAAGCCTTCTGCTCTTCTGCCTGAGCACTGATTGATGGGTGGAAAATCAGTAATGTTATTTGAGTCTTCCCATCTCTGATGTCTTTTATTGCTACCTCCTGAAATGTGAAGGAGTGTTTCTAATACCCCATTCATGCACTTAACCACTTAAGTATGAGATCAGTATTCTTCCATTACATGATTTAAGGCTGAAGTTCTAGCTTTTTAACCAACCCTCCCCAGAAAGACCTTGCGATGACCCTTCTTACTGATCTCCATCCTGATTTGTGCACACATTTGCTGGGTTCTGTGCCAGGCACTGGGGTTGGGGAGAGGGTGATGGTGTGAACAAGGGATATGGAGGCATGTTTTCTGCTCTTGAATGTCTCCAGAGGGGGACTTAGCAAGTAAATATGTGGTTTGTGTAATATGGAAAGAGCTGGGATGGGTGGATATACAAAGTATTCAGAGAGAGTAAGAAAGGAGACATAAGCGTCGTTTGTCCTGGACTTATTGCCGTTTTTCCTTAAACAGTGTTGGGGGGAGAGAGACAATTTTGAAGTGACATTTGAATGGGGCTATCAAGGGTGGGCCATCAAAATTGAACATGGAGGGAGGAGCCAGATGCTGCAGGAGGAAACAGAATGGGCTGAGAAAGGTGCAAAAAAAGCAGTACAAAGGCATGAACAGGCCTGCAGAGCTCTGGGGCTGTTCAGGAAGGAGGGATGGAGACAAGGCTGGGAAACATTTGGACATTACGATGCAGGTAACTTGAACTACTAAAAATATCTTGATGCTGGGGAGGGATTTAGTCACACTCGATTATACAATAACTTGATGGTAATATGAAGGGTTGATTGGAGGAGAAAGGATGTGGGGCAGTGAGAACAGCTGGGGCCCTGAGTGGTGGCCTGAGTAAGGGACAGGAGAGAGCTGTGCCAATACCAACAGGAGGTGGCAATGAAGCCAAACGATATTTATCGTGGTCAAACACTTCGACATGGTGGCTGATTGGATGTGTCAGTGGAGGGTTTTCTGAGAATGACCACCGTTTATTACTTGCAATATTAATTTTGTAGCTATAATATTTTCAGATTATTTAAACCAAAATTGGAAAATATTCAGAAAACTGAAAAAGTGACAAAGGCTTAAAACCCAAACATACACATCACAGTTTTAATTACCAATGAATTTAAAAATATGTTTTCTATCCAGCCTGGGCGACATGGTGAGACCTCGTCTCTACCAAAAAAAAAAAAAAAAAAAAAAATTAGCTGGGCATGGTGGTACATGCCTGTAGTCCTATAGTCCCAGCTACCCAGGAGACTGAGGTGGGAAGATCTCTTCAGCCCAGGAGTTTGAGGCTGCAGTGAGCCATGATCACACTACTGCACTCCAGCCTGGCAGCAGAGCTAGACTCTATCTCAAAAAAAAAAACAAAAACCACACACACACACAAAACAAAACAAAACACAAAGAATATGTCTCTCTGCCCTAAATGGTTTTCAAATTTTTGAGTTCTTTATGTAAATTACTTAGCCATTATAGTTATAAAGATTATAGAAATAGTGAACAATCATGATTTGTTTAGATTTAGGATTCGTTGAGTTCAAATATACATTTGAATATTATTATTTGCTTCCCCGATTAAAAAATTCATTTTTGATGATTCAGAAACATCCATTTTTATAATTAATGAGTAAATAAACTTTTTTTCATTTTATAACTATTTAATATATCCAATGCATCTCTATCAAGAGAACATTTGAAATGGTTTGGGAAATGAGCAAAATGTAAGATTTTAACAGATGAAGCTTCAATTCAATTGTAATCATATAAAATCCATTTTGCTTTTTATGGATCCATTCCTAATTTTCCTTCAAAATCTCCCCTGACCTACAAAAAATTAGCCAGGCATGGTGTTGGGTGCCTGTAATCCCAGCTACCCGGGAGGCTAAGGTAGGAGAACTGTTTGAGCCTGGGAGGCAGAGGTTGCAGTGAGCCGAGATCACACCACTGCACTCCAGCCTGGGCAACAAAGCGAGACTCCGTCTCAAAAAAAACAAAAAACAAAAAGCAAAAAAACCTCCGCTGACCTATTTCTAACTGGCGTTTTCTTTGTGTCCCCTCCAGTGGTGGATGCCTGCCAACTACTATAATTGTTCTACAGAACAGCAAATGTGTGCAGCCGTTTATAATCTTTTCTGTATGAGGAAGACTGTAGCATGCTCCTCTTTTAATAATAGGCAAAGAAAATAAATTGGGTGTTAGTCTTCACAAATGCAAAAATCTGTAATTTTGTGGATGGAGTTTCTATGATTCATTTTTCCAAGTTACTGTGGCAAAGGCTCTGCACAGCAATAAAGTAATGATAACCCATTGAACTGTTCATTGACAATATCACCCTAACTCCAAATATTTAGAAATGGGATTTAAAAACTTGTTTTTATTTTAAAAAACCTTTAATGAATGTAAGCAAGAAATAGTAAAAATACAATATGATAAAAACAAATAGTTCCCATTTGTTTTTTATAAATAAACTCATGTTTCTCAATTACTTCTGACCAGAGGATGTTAGTTTAATCAAATCAACGTCTAGGGATTCTATCTGAGACAGCACCTCAAAACAAAATAAAGGGCAGAACTCAAGTGACTGTCAGTAACTGAAAAGAAGTAGAAAGTGTAAGATCACACCCTTTTTGCTGAAGGTATATATCTCTATTCTATAATTCATGCTTGTGTATTGATCCTGTGCAGGCTAGTAGGAGTGTTTGCCTGTGTGTGTGTGTGCGCGCGCTTCATGCTGCCCACGTCCAGCCAGAGTGTTTGCCTGTGTGTGTGTGTGTGTGTGTGTGTGTGTGTGTGTGTGTGCTTCGTGCTGCCCATGTCCAGCCAGACTGTGATATTGCCATGCGCTGGAGAGCACAAGACAGTGACAGGCCTGAAGAGAGACCTCAGGACACTGGGCCCTGATGAGCACTGCGCATGATCTTTAGAATCTCAAGCAAAGGGTTGATTTCAGTCCCTTTACTCCAAAGCTGCAGGCAGCACAGCTTAGGGAAAATCAAGTGGAGCCCTGGGTTCCAATCCTGACACTTGCATTTGCAAAGAACTTTAGACAAATTACAAACCATCTTTGGGTCCTGCGTCGTGATTTATGATGGTGGATGATAATGTCTCATTTTCAGGTTTATCTGGGAATTGACTGTACTAGTGTGGATGTGACGGGTTCTACACCTATTTGGTGATAAATGAGTTAAAATGAGTACTGTTCCAACTATTGAATTTTTTAAATAATGAACCCCAAATTTGTCCATCTCTGGCGCCACAGAAACTTTTACGGATGAAAGCCACTCTCCTATTTGAAGAGTATAGCATGTCCCCTCGGGTCATCTTTTCTTCAGGGTAAATCTCTCTGTTACGTCAATAACTGCTGCATATGGGGATATGTACAGTGATTAAAGGCTTTCAGCTTGTTCAGAGCACAGTTAGGTCATGGCCCTGTGTGTGGTCTTGGGCAATTACAACGTTCCTGACTCTGTCTTTCATCATGTGTAAAGTAGAAACAATAATGCCTCATAGGATTTTAGTGAAGATTAAATAAGATAGTGTTTGCAAAGCATTTAAGATGAAGAAGTGTTTGATGCCTACTAAGTGCTCAACTAGTGACAGCTTTATTATTATTATTGTTGTTATTATTATTAGGCTTGGTTTCGAGTTTCTCACCCTCCCAATTGGAGCTTAAAATGAATGATTTTGTGGCTATTATTTCAGAGACAGTTGCAGGACTGACTTTTCCAAAATAGGAACCCAGCGCCCCATACAGAAATTAAAATCCTTTGTTAAAATACAGATAAACTTGGAAGAGGTATTAGGTATTGGTTGTGAAGAAAGCCCTTTGGTTTCCTTCCTGTGCAAAGAAGCAAGCAGTGCTCAGAGGGCGCTACCAAGGCCGGTGAGAATGGTAAGTGCTGCTGACAGCTGCCCAGTCAGCATCATCCTTTCTAAAGAGGTGGGGGAAGTCAGTTCTCTTTGTAAACACACTCTCCCTCTCTTTCTCTCTCTCTCTCTCTCTCTCACACACACACACACACACACACACACGAGGGAATCCCAGGGCCACTGTGGGGTGAGACCTTCCTCAAGAGCAGGAAGGATGTTGAGGAAATAGTGTGGCCCAAATGGGAAGAATCAACGATGTCATGTGACAGGTAGATCAGGCTGGGAGCTGAGCTCTGGAATGTGCTTGGGGATAAAAACAATGAGGGAAGAAAAGAAAAAAAGAGATTTCATTCCAGGTATAAGACCAAGCAGGAAGGCAGTGTCTGTCCTGCCTGGGGCATAAAGCCATGGTGGTAGCCCAGGGAAGCCCTGTTCATAGAAGACAATATCTGGGCAGTTGGCAGCAACTAATGTCTTAGATAGGTTTCCTTGACTTTAGGACTCTCACTTTTATGTTGAAATTATATTTATGTTTGTGTATCATCCTATTCTTCAATCTCCTTACAAGCAGAGGTGTTGCTGTTATTCCCATTATCTTCAATTTCCCAGCACCCCACAGAGGGTCTGTCCCACAAGCAGTGTGCACAGTTAACGTTTACTCAACACCACAGAATTGGGGACAGGGTGGAGAAAAGAGTAGGGCACATAGGAGAGGGAGGTGAGGTTGAGGTGAAGAGATTTGAGGCGCTCAAGAATCCCTTTGCCTGCTCCCTGTATTTTCCAGCACTGGCCTTGAGTGTTCAGATGCCAGTGCAGAAGGAGAGGGAGAGGAAGAGTAAGAGGCCCAGAGTGAGGGGAGCGTGAGGAGCCCACCCTCATGTAATTCCTGCCTGGCTGCTGTGCCATGAGGTGAGCAGTCCCCGAGCACAGGCACCAGGCTTCTTTGTCGGGACACCAGTGCCTGGCACTGAGTAGGTGCTTCACATTTTATGACGTGAATGAACAGGAGAGGAACACCTCCCAGGTCAGTGCCTCCTGCCACCTCACAATAAGCCTGGGAGGAAGGTGGCACCATGTCCAGCTGTACAGGTGAGAAAGAGAGTTTAGAGCTGTGACCTGTCCACGCTTTCCCAGCAGCAGGCGCGAGAGCTGGGGTCACACCCTCGATTCACTACCAGGGAGCCTGGTAGAGGAGGGAGAGGGGCAGAACATCAGGAACAACTCAGAAAAATAAAGGAAAAGCAGAAGGGATATTAACTGACTGGAAGAGTAGCAAGAGTTGGAAGACAGAAAAAAGGAACAAGTGCATCAGAGTGTATTTTGGCATTTTTTACTCTATTCCCTTTTTATATTATTTCCTTTTTTCAGTGTATTCAGTTTTATGATGGAGTGTTTCACAAGTTTATATGATAAGTTTCCTACTATTGTATCTAGAGCTGAGCTTCTGTTAAAATACACTAATTATTAGCATGCATTCAGTTTAATCTACATGCTGCTATAGCCAGCTCACTCTCTTTCCATATTTTCTATAAAATGTTGCAAGAGCCAGGCGTGGTGGCTCACCCCTGTAATTCTAGCACTTTGGGAGGCTGAGGTGGGCGGAAACACCTGTGGTCAGGAGTTCAAGACCAGCCTGGCCAACATGGCGAAACCCTGTCTCTACTAAAAATACAAAAATTAGCCAAGCATGGTAGTGCTCACCTGTAATCCCAGCTGCTCGGGAGGCTGGGACACAAGAATTGCTTGAACCCAGGATGCAGAGGCCTGGGCGACAGAGCGAGACTCTGTCTCAAAAAAGAAAAAAAAAATTTGCAAGAGAGGATGTTTAATCAAAGGTGGTGATCGACGTAAGAGGAACTGAAAAACCTCATGTGGTTTTAATATTCCTTGAAATGGTGGGTGCAGCTCAAGATGTGTCCCTCCACTATCCGGGGGCCTGAGTCACGTTTTTCCTTTCTAATGCTAAGTCCTCTCGCATTACTCACTGACTTATGTAAGCGTGACTGTATTTCCAGCCCTCACTGGTTAATTTTCTTTGGCAAAGCTGTCTTTGAATAACCCAGGATTTCTGGCAACCAAACAACAAACTCTCATTAAAATGACCAGTAGACTCAAAAGCACCATGTAAAATCTGTACAATCCTGTTTTCTCCTATTTTGTACAGCACTCTAGGGAATTTGTAATGCCCTCTTTGGAAGGAGAAAAGGCAGGAATGCTAACTCAGAAACATGACCTCATTTCCCAAAGCATGTTTAATGTCGCTAAAAATAAAAGCGAAGCAATTGTGTCTACCTGAGCACAAAGAGAAGAAAAGTTTTGTCATTTTTCTGGCACATGGTAATTGAATCTGGCCTGTCCAATAAATTCCATCTGGACCACTGGGATATCCCACGGAGGATCTACTCTTGGGACTACTCTGTGCCAGGCAGGGATGTTGGAGCTGGAATCCAGGAGCCCTGTGCTGGGTTCACTCCTGGCTCAGAAGGAGACAAGGCCAGGAGGAGTGGGCCAGGCGTTGGACGGGAGTCTCGCAGCACTAATGCCTCTTGAAGTATCTGTCACTCCCACCACAGATGCTGGGGCTGAGGTTGAATCTGAAGGAGGAGTGGGTACCGGGGAAGGAAGGAACACATATGCACAGGCCACACAGGAGAGCTCCGAGAGCGAATGTGATGTGCTGGAGCCTGGCAGGAAATGTGGTGGGTAGGAAAGTCAAGTGGAGGGCACTGGATGGAGGGCATGGACAGGATAAGAAGATTTTATTTTATCCTGCTGATGTATCTATTTGGGAGCAAAGATGTCTGTTCTGACCACTCTGGTAGTGGACTGAGTACATTGTAGGAAGAGAGTAAAATGAACAAACCAACCACCAGGCTCCACGGAAAAACCGAGGTTTTTCATTCCATGTTTTCATTCAAATGGTTTTGTTCCCAGAGGTGGTCCAGGAAAAGCCTTTGCATTCACATCAGCTACATTGTGAATTTTTTTCAGGTATAACTCACATACCATAAAATTTGCCATTTTAAAGTGTACAATTCACCTGGTTTTAAGGATGTTCAAAAAATTGTGCACATTGCACTACTAATTCCAGAACATTTCCACCATCCCCAAAGAAACCCCACACCCATTAGCACTGCCTCCTCGTTCCCTCCCCCCACAGCCCCACTAATCTACTTTCTGTCTATGGGTTTGCCAATTCTGGACGTGTCATATAAATGGAATCATACAACATGTGGTCTTCAGTGACTGGCTTCTTTCACTTAGCAGAATGTCTGCAAGGGTCACCCATATTGTAGGATGATTCACTACTCCATCAAATTCTATGATGAGTTTATAGTTTTTCCAACAAGAAAACCAGGTGTGTGCCACCACACCCAGCTTATTTTTGTATTTTTAGTAGAGACAGGGTTTCACCATGTTGGCCAGGCTGGTCTCGAACTCCTGACCTCAAGTAATCCACCCGTCTTGGCCTCCCAAAGCGCTGGGATTACAGATGTGAGTCACTGCACCCAGCCAAGAAGTACATATTTGGCCCTTAGGGCTTTCTGGCCTTGTCTTTATACTGAATCACCATATTCTCCTCCAATTGATGGAGCATACTTACTTACCTCTCCCAAGTAGGAAGAGGCATGCATGACTTCTATCATTCCCTTTTTAACTGTGGTAAGAGAGATGGAACAGCTGTAGAACATTCTCTGTATTTACTACTGATGATGAGTTCTGAGTAATAATTTTTTTTGGGGGGAAGGGAGAAATGGCAATTTATTATCTATTTTTTGGGGCAACTCTAAAATTTAATTCTGTTCCATTCAAGGTATTTAAAATAAGGAGCACACAAGTTTACTTGTTCATGATGTAGCCTTTGAATTGCCTTAATAGATGTCACTTTTTTTTTTTGCAATGTGTATCATATATACCTAAGAGAAATAAGCCAAAGGAACAGCCTGAGGTTCCCCCAAGCCTCTAAGCCCCACACACTTTCAAATTACATGGCAACTTTACTTATCGTGGGGCGATTTCATCAACTCTTAAGACTCATGTTCCTGCTTTCAAGGAGCTTGCGGTTGTGATGGGAAGACATTCAGGCTACCAACAATATAATATTGCCAAAATAAGTTACAAATATTTTTAACGTGTCATAGGATACATTTATGTGCATTCTGATCTTACTTTGCTGCTGGCTCTCTTTCCTCCAGCAAACTGAGCCACTGATCCTACTTCTGTGCCTCAAAAACCGAGCACAGAACGAAACCGTGGAAGACACTTGTGTTCTGTAACCAGCACGTTCCCTTCTCGGAGGCCACTATAGATCTTACTGGAGATGCTTCCATGGAATGAAAGTCATTAGAGTTCAAGGAGACACAGGCCCTAGAAATGCCTAGTTCTGCATTTCAATGCACTGTTGAGCTCTAAAAGGGACAACGCACCTGTCCTCTAGCTGTACGCTCTGTATACCCTTATTGGGTTTGCCTTCTGGCAGAGGCGCCTCTGCAGGCGGGGCGGGGCCTGGCAGGCGGAGCCTGGTGGGCGAGTGGGGCGGGGCGGCTCCTTCGCTAACTGTCCGGATTGGGCAAGACAGAACTTGACTGGGCGGGGCCTGGATGGGCGTTCCCTGGGGGCGGGGCCTGGCGGGAGGGGCGGGGCGGATCCCCAGCTAACGGTCCCGGCGGGTGGGCGTGTCCCCGCGGGCGGCGCCTGCAGGGCCGGGAGTGGGCCGGGAGCGCGCAGTCCCCGCCCCCGCCTGCTCCTCGGCCGCCGCGGCTTCCTCTAGCGTTTCCTCCTCGGCGCGGGCTGCTGCGTACGGGACTGCGCCATGCGGATCCCGCCCTCCCGGCCCGCGCGGGGCCTGTGGACGCGGTAGGGCCGGCCGTGATCGGGCGCCGGCGTCAGGGGCGGGCGCTAGGGGCGCCTGCCGCGCCGCGATGTGGGAGAGGTAACGCGGGTGGAGGCCGCGCGGGCGCTGGGCGGGCGGGTGGCAGCCGCAGCCCGACTGAGCGTCCCTCTGCTTTCCACAGGTGGGTCCCGGTGACCGTGCTCCCCGGCTGCGTGGGCTGCAGGACCGTCGCGGCGCTGGCGTCCTGGACCGTGCGCGATGTGAAGGAACGTATCTTCGCGGAGACTGGCTTCCCGGTGTCGGAGCAGCGGCTGTGGCGCGGCGGCCGCGAGGTAGGCGGTGGCCGGGGGCGCTGGGCTGGGCTCCGCCACGCGGAGGAACGGCGGGCGTCGAGGGCCCGGGGTGGGCGACGCAGGTTTCCGCGGGCGGCGCGAATGACTCCGGCAGCGTGGCCGCCTGTGCTTGTCCTGAGTTGTGGCTTTTCATCACTTGCCTTTTCCGTTTGCATCCCCCACCCCGAACCCCACCCATCATTTCATCTGAATCTTCACTTTCTGAAATTCAGAGATTTTTTTTGGTGGACATTGGAGTCAGAAGTTTTTTTTTTAGACATCATCAATGAAGTGATTTAATCATTACTCATTTATTTCTATTTATGTAATAAGTTTAAGTAGAATGTTGGTAAATATCTTCACCTTTGATATATTGGAAGTTTTTTCTCCATTTTTGATACAGAAATTTGGCACTGAAAGAATCTTTAGACATAATTTAATATAGAACCTGTTATCTTGGGGAGTAAACATACTAAAACTTTTAAAGTTCAAGTGATAGGTTGACTTGATAGGTCAGAAAATTTTGGAAAACAAGAATATTGTTATGTATTCTTTAAGATTGGTTAAAATTCTATAGCTTTCTTAAAGGGAGAGTTCAGTTGAAGACATTTTACTGACAGTTAACTCTTTTAAAACATTTCTTTTTTTCTAATAAACATCTTCATGTGATAACATCATTTCCAGCATTTAAAAGAGTCACAAAGAGTTGAACAGATAATACAAGGAATACTTGAGCGTATAGGATGACATTTCAGGTGTTGAATTTCCTTACTACTCGATACAAATATTATTGGTGAAGTAGTTGGTATCTGTGATTTTTCCTGCTTCAGTGTAATCCTGACCTTCTGTGTACTTGAGTCAGTTTTCTAGTCCTTTGCCCTCCTTGACACACATTTATTACCTGTTTTCATGCTCCTCGGGGGATTCATCAGTCCTTCTGATCAGTTCCCCAAGGTGTTCGTTGGCATGCAGACATTGACTTGATTGAAGTCTTTATTATTTATTTTTACTTTTTTAAAGAGTTCAGCTTTTTACTGAACATGCTGTAAAACAGGTCGGGTCAAAAAGTCCAAAGCCATGTCATCACCAGAGTCGTCAGATTCTTTGCGTCCACTTCCTTGTGCTCAGCTGGAGCAGCGGCAGTGGAGGGGCATGACTGGCCTGTGGATGAACCCCTAGCCGCTGGAGCAGGTCCTCCAGCCCCTACATTGCAGAGGAGGCTCCTGATGTTGACATTGGCCAGGGCCTCTGCAAACAAGCCAGGCCAAAAAGGTTCAGCATATCCCCCGACTGCTTTTTTTCCTTTTTTTTTTTTTTTTTTGTGAGACGGAGTCTCGCTCTGTCGCCAGGCTGGAGTGCCTGCAACACTCGGCTCACTGCAACCTCCGCTTCCCTGGTTCAAGCGATTCTCCTGCCTCAGCCTCCCGAGTAGCTGGGACTACAGGCGTGTGCCACCACGCCCAGCTAATTTTTGTATTTTTAGTAGAGATGGGAGGCGGCGCGGGGCGGGGGGACGGTGTTCACCATGTTGGCCAGGATGGTCTCAGTCTCTCGACCTCATGATCCGCCTGCCTCGGCCTCTCAAAGTGTTGGGATTATAGGCGTGAGCCACTGCGCTCAGCCCCCCGACTGCTTTAATGAGGGCATTGATCTTAACCTCCATGATGGACACCTCATCGTAGTGTAGAATGAAGGCCTAGTGAAGTCTACAACCGCTGAGACAGAGGCATTTGAGTGCCGGGCTTGTGCTGCTGCACCGGGTGCTAGTTGCTGGATGAAGTGAGGGCCTCACCCCAGCATAGCCTTAGCTTCTTTGGAAGGAATGGACCTCTTGGTGGCAGTTGGAGAGGCTGATTGAGGACTTTAGGCAGACTTGTGAAGGAGCAGTTTGTCATTCTTACTCCTTTCTCTATGCCTGCCGACATCTCTTAACCTTCCTCTCCTGGGTCTATACCCACTTCTTTGGTTCCTCCTCTGGTTCTACTTGATCATCTTGTCCCCTAGATGTGGTCACACTGAAAGCCTCCGTTGTGGCTAGCCCTGCCATTTAGAAGTGCTTTTGCAGGGTGTCCCTGCAAAGCATGGATATGGGATGGTGAAAGTGGCAGGGTGTGTTGACTGTTTGGGATTGGGGGTGTGGGTAGACAGGGGTCTAAGTAGGACCCTTTCGTCCTGGTATGAGGTAATGAGGTTCTGGACTGTAGCTGTAAAGGTGAAACCAAAGGAAAGGATATACAAGAGACTTTGCAAAAGTCAAAATTGCCACAATTTGGTACCAAATGGATGTGGATGTGGGGGATGGGTGTAGAATAAGTTGGAAGGTCTTGCCAAGGACGTTGGCAAGCTTTGAGTCAGACCAAGAAAATAAAGACGTAATCATCAGAGATAAGCACATACAGAGGGGGAAGTATGATGACCAGTTTGCTTTTATATATAGTTCAGCTGTTGGTGAGACATAAGGCAGCATAGCATCTAGGAAACTAGGAAGCGGAGAGGTGGGTGCCTTAGGTCCTACTTCCTGTCCTGCCTGTGTATATGTAACAGTTGCCAAATTAATTCATGTATTGGGGACTGATTTCCTATTTCTAGTATGAATGGGATAAAGCTAATTCTAACCAATTCTAAAGTCTCTGCTAGATAGTGATGTTCAGTAGGCAGCTGCAAATCTGGAACTGAAACTCAAGGGAGAGAGGTCAGGCTGGAGATAGTAACTGATGCTGGGCACGTTGCTCCTTCTGTGTTTTGGTAAAATGTGTTGAGAATATGCTTATCATTTATTGAGCCGCTGTGTTACAGATACTGTTCTATGCATGAGGGATTTGTCCTGGTCTCCTTACTTTCTGTACATCATTTTCATGCTAGTCTCCATCTCTAGAACACAAAACTGAGTATGCTATTACAGGTCCCAGATTATAAATACTTTCATGCACGTATTCCCACTAAACCTTAAAGCAAGCCTATAAAAACTAGTTCACTCTTTGCACAGGTACTTCGGCAGGAGGACCATTCTTCACAACAAAAATTTAGAAACAACTCAAATTCTGTGACATATTAATGACTATTATACACCAATTAAAAATGAATTAACTAAACTGTACACAAATTTAAAAAAAAATTTTTTTCAAATAGAGACAGATCTCACTGTGTTGCCCAGGCTGGGGCTTTCTTTTAATAATTGTTTAACAATAGAATGATCATTTATGATGATGTCATTCAACCAGAGAACAAGAACAGTGTTAGTACTTACCTCTGTGCATCTTCTCCCCAGCCTGTATTCCTGTCCCTCTTTCCTTACCCCTTTGTGCTGATTATTCTCTTGCCTTTTTGGTAGTTTTAATAGTTCTATAAATGTGTGCATTTGTGTGTATACTTACGTATGTATGGATATGTGTTATGTTTGTATATATGTGCATATATGTTTGTGTGTGTAGCCTGAATACGTAACCTAAACAATATGCTGTTTACATTCAGTTGTTTTTAAACTTAAGAAACATTGTGTAGGTAGCAACTTAGAGCCAGCTTATTTTATGCAATCATATTATTATTCATCTAAACTAATTTAAAAACAATTTTTTTTGGTCCTCTAATATGTGTTGAGGTCTCATGGAGCTCTGTTATGAGCAATACACTTTGGAAATGTTGATCAGAAGAATGATTTTGTTTATGTTAATGATCCCGATTCATCATTTAAAAATTTAAATTATGTTAATGGAGAAATATATATATTTTTATCTATTTGTAATTAACGAAAAATCTTTTAGTCCCTTAAATTTTTAAATAAAGTTTTTGACTAAATCTGTGTTCCGTGGAATATTCACTTCTCCAGACAACTTCCTTCATGATAAGAAGACTTAACAAGCATTACTTAAGTGAAAAAATTTGAGATAATGTCTTGAATTTACAGTATTAGAGACTGTATTGCTTTTCATACATTTTCTTTTGCTTTTTTTCAGTTATCTGACTGGATCAAGATTGGAGATCTGACTTCCAAAAATTGTCATCTTTTTGTAAACCTTCAATCAAAAGGCTTAAAAGGGGGAGGTATAATATTGACTTTACCAGAAGTATATACCATGTTGGGTTGCACAAAGATTGAGTTTTTTTGTTTGTTTGTTTGGTTGGTTTTTGAAACTGAGTCTCGCCCTATCGCCCAGGCTGGAGTGCAGTGGCACAATCTCAGCTCACCACAACCTCTGCCTCCTGGGTTCAAGTGATTCTCGTGTCTCAGCCTCTGTTCAAGTGATTCTCGTGCCTCAGCCTCCCAAGTAGCTGGGAAAACAGGTGCCTGCCATCACGCCCAGCTAATTTTTACATTTTTAGTATAGACAGGGTTTTACCATGTTGGCCAGGCTGGTCTTGAACTCCTGACCTCAAGTGATCCACCGTCTTTGGCCTCCCAAAGTGTTCGGATTACAGGCGTGAGCCACCGCTCCCAGCCGAGATTGAGTTTTAACAAAGAAGCAGGGAGTAGAATGGTGGTTGCCAGAGGGTGGGGGCAGGGAGAAATGGGGTGTCATTGGCCAAAGGTACAAAGTTTGCTATATGAATAAAGAAGATCTGGAGATCTTCTATACAGTACAGGGCCCATGAATAACAATACTGTGTTGTATTCTTAAAAACTTACTAAGTGGGTAGGGTAGATCTGATATTAATTACTCTTACCATAAAAGTTTAATAAAGCACAACAGAAGAGATGGGAGGAAACTTTTGGAGATGATGGATAAGTTTATGGCACTGACAATGATAGTTTGATGGTTTCATGGTACGTACTTATCTCCAAATGCATCAAGTTGCAAAATAAATATCTGCAGTGCTTTGTATTTGAGTTGTACTCAATAAAGCTGTTTTAAAGATTATGTTTTAAAAATGAAATGAAATCATATCCCATTGGGATAGAGTGAGGGGACATCAGGGCCAGAGGAAGACAAGCGTGGATGGAGCTAGTTATAAGAATGAGTGGGGGCCGGGTGTGGTGGCCCACACTTGTAATCCCAGCACTTTGGGAGGCCAAGGCAGGCGAATCACGAGGTCAGGAGATCAAGACCATCCTGGCTAACACAGTGAAACCCTGTCTCTACTAAAAATAGAAAAAATTAGCCAGGTGTAGTGGCACGCACCTGTACTCCCAGCCACTTGGGAAGCTGAGGCAGAAGAATCGCTTGAACCTGGAAGGCAGAGGTTGCAGTGAGCTGAGATCGCTCCATTGCACTCCAGCCCAGGAGACAGTGCAAGACTCCGTCTCAAAAAAAAAAAAAAAGAAGTGTGAGTGGGATAGGCTGGGCATGGTGGCTCACGCCTGTAATCTCAGCACTTTGGGAGGCTGTGGAGGGCGGATCACAAGCTCAGGAGATCCAGACCATCCTGGCTAACACGGTAAAACCCCATCTCTACTAAAAAATACAAAAAATTAGCTGGGTATGGTGGCGGGCACCTGTAGTCCCAGCTACTCAGGAGGCTGAGGCAGGGGAATGGCGTGAACCTGGGAGAAGGAGCTTGCAGTGAGCTGAGATTGCGCCACTGCACTCCAGCCTGAGCAATAGAAGGAGAGTCCGTCTGAAAAAAAAAAAAAAGAATGGGTGGGATAGAAGTCTGTGGAAACAGAGTCTTGTTTGAGCTTGGTCTCAGTATGTGGTTGTACCAAAATGACGCAAATAAATTTATAGTGACAATTTTGCTTTTTTAAGCAGAGGTTTCTTTATACTGATAAACAGATTTTTGAAATGCTGTGTATTTGAGGCATTACTTCCCATTTTCTTGTTCTTCCTACAGCCCTGTCACTTGTCTGAAGGTGACCTGGTCAGTTGGTCTAAGAATATCTAGTTTAGGCAAGGCTTGAAGGTACTTGAAGTGGACAGCCATTGAGACAGTGACTGCTGAATTTCAGAACAATCAGAACACTGGTTGAATTTGAGAATATTAAGAATGTGATAATAGGCACCTCTGTCTCTGGCTTGTTATTTAATGGCAAAGCAGCCACAAAATAACATCATTTATTTTATTTGCTTTGGAAAATATCAACACTCCTCCCCACTGCACCATGCTTCTTGTTTTTGAATTAATAGTTATTATATTTTTGAACATTTTTTGAGACTTTATTTGTAGTTCAGTTAAAAATCTTGAGGCCAGGCATGGTGGCTCACGCCTGGAATCCCAGCACTTTGGGAGGCCAAGGTGGGCGGATCACGAGGTCAGGAGATCAAGACCATCCTGGCTAACATGGTGAAACCCCATCTCTACTAAAAATACAAAAAAATTAGCTGGGCATGGTGGTGGGCACCTGTAGTCCCAGCTATTCGGGAGGCTGAGGCAGGAGAATGGCATGAACCCAGGAGGTGGAGCTTGCAGTGAGGGGAGATCACACGACTGCACTTCAGCTTGGGCGACAGAGCGAGACTCTGTCTCAAAAAACAAAACAAAACAAAACAAAACAACTTGAGATTTGATACAATTGAATCTGCTTTACTTTCTGCTGAATTGCTTCGTCAGGTAGATTTCTGTACCAGGGTGCTGCAGTGAGATATATGCAACCATAACTTGTATAGTTATATGATGTCTCAGATTCAAGTCACACATTGGTGACAATTCATGGGATTTTTTTTCTAACTCACTTAAAATGTGCTCCGTATTTTAGGTCGATTTGGTCAGACAACGCCACCACTTGTTGATTTTCTCAAGGACATTTTGAGAAGATATCCAGAAGGAGGACAGATTCTTAAGGTGGGGCACATGTCGTGTTCATGTGTTATTTACTTTGATAAAAATGAGATGAAGTAAATTTACTTGAAAGTCCTATTAGTGTTTAAATTTTTAAAATGTTGTCTAGATTCAAATAGCTGTATTATACCTCTGTGGCTGCAGTGTATAGCAGTGTATAGCTCCATTTGAGAATGGAATTGATATAAATATGTGAGGTTTTCTGGGGCAAAGAAATGCGCTAAGCTACTGGGTGCTGTAATCAGCAGTGTCGCTCCGGGAATGTTCTCTGTAGATCATTGTGCAGGGCTTTACACGTCAACCAACCAACCAACCAACCAACCAACCAGCCAGCCAGCCAACCGGCCAGCCAAATACATTCTACGATTAGAGGCTTGAATGCATGCCCATTGGACTCCTGATTTTAGAGGTTTGCTATTTTGGGAGGGTTTATTTAATAGGATAATTATTTTATTTACTTATTTCTTTTTGTAATATGTTTTTTTAGTTTGATTATACTCTTTAAAAAACAGGCTGGGCGCAGTGGCTCATGCCTGTAATCCCAGCACTTTGGGAGGCTGAGGCGGGTGGATCACCTCAAGTCAGGAGTTCGAGACCAGCCTGGCCAACTTGGCGAAACCCCGTCTCTATTAAAAGTACAAAAATTAGCCAGGCATGGTGGTGGCTGCCTGTAATCCTAGCTACTCAGGAGGCTGAGGCAGGAGAATCGCTTGAACCCGGAGGCAGAGATTGCAGTGAGCCGAGATTGCGCCACTGCACTCCAGCCTGGGCAGCAGGAGCCACACTCCGTCTCAAAAAACAAACAAACAATAAAACAACAAAAAAAGAAAAACCAATAATCATCAAAGAAAGCAATAATGGGAGATACTGCAAAAATTAGATTTTGTGTTTAATAAGAAACTTCCTTAATTGTCAAAGTAGACCAGTTGTTATGCATTTTCCTTCCCATTAGCTTGTTTAGTGTTTATTACCTTCAGTATCTTGGCCCTGGTTATATTTTCTAGTTTAGATTGTAAACTGTGAGGGAATCAGGACTAGGTCTCTTTAATTTAAGAGAGTCATGCTCAGGTAGGCACTCACTGAGGACTGTTGTGTCTTTAGTGATCATGGTGAGACTGGGCTGTTGGAGCAGTCCATCTTTCAGCATAGGCACCAGTGGTTCACAGAAAGCGAATTCAAAAACAGTTTTTGTATTGACTTATTAGGAAAGTGAGGATGGAAAGAGTATTGCTACGAGGTGGTTTTGGGGTAGAAAGAAGTGAATAGAATACATTTAAAATAAAGGTATAGTGGTAACAGGAGTAGGTTGTCATCTGTTTAGAAGTGAGCGAGTGGGATCCTTGCTGAGAAATGAGAAAGGTCTATGGCAAACAGCTGAGGGCTACGCGCCTTCTGCTTTGCTTATAGATATATTTGTATTGTAGCCAGTTCAATGTAATCTTTGTTCCTTGGATGTTGTGGTAGAATTAGACTGTTTTAGATTTAATAGGAGTCTTAGAAATCACCAAGACCTACACCACCACCTTCTATGGTATTTGTGTTTGCTGAAACAGGTCCAGAGATCTTAGTGGCTTGCCCAAGACCAAATACAAAATGTATTGTTGCTGTTTCCCAGAGTTAGTTTACAAACAATCTCTCAGGATTGCAATTTAGGGGAAAAGCTTCCTATCCTATTTTTTATTCAACTTGAGAATGAGTGGAACCTGGGACTTAGATTTTATCTTTAGTTTTCTGCCTCTCTGCTCCCTAAAGTACACATAAATAATAAATAGATACCTGAATGAAAACAAGGTCGAACATCTAAAGTGCTATCATTTTGTAAGTTAACATTGTTTTTCACTACCTATTTAATTCTTATTTCCATCCTTCATATTATTATAATATCCTAATGTAAATAAGATTGTTAATTTTTAGGGATTCTCTGGGATTGAATGAGGCCTAAAAAATTAAAATCCCATGAGAAATAGTTAGTTACGTAACAAGGAAGAATCACTAGCTGATAATGAGGCTGCAGGAGGCACGACTTAGCTGTTCATGTTTGGGGTGGAACAGCTGGTGGGTACCACACTCCAGCCCTTTGGGATGCACTGGGTGAACTGAGCACAATCTCAGAACTGACTTTTCACTTCTGCTCCCTCAGTCTCCTTGTAGTTATTTTGTTTCATGTAGTCATCGTACCACCTCTCTACTCTGATGTAGGCATCACTGTTGACATTGTTGTAGTATCAGTTAAAGTGCTCTTCAATTTTTGCCCATCTGTACCTCCAATTTAGTGATCCCAAGGCTCTGGGGAAGTAAAAAAGCTCTTTTGATGATCATGGGGTTGGATCTAGGAGCTGATTCTTGATTCAGATTCTGGAGCTCCCTTCAAACTGAACGGAGCCCAGCGTGATTTTAGTAGGTGTGCAGAAGTGATTGGGGTTGTTAGGATTGGAAATTTTGTTGAGGCAAATCTTGCAGTTTGCCCTTTCCTTTCTACATTACGGGGAGCTGGTCACCCTTCCACTCACCCACCATTCACCAAACAAATGGTAGTGCTTTCTTCTTGATGAAAGGAATGAGTCAGTCCTGACCATCTGGAAGCTTTCAGTTTAGTGCAGGACAAAGACATTTTTATATCTCAGGCTCTCAAGAAAGCAGCCAATTGAAGGGTATATATAGATTGCTACTATTTGGTTTTATTGTTTTTCTGTGGAAAGGTAAGTTTAGTAAGCAAAGGATAAAAAAGGTCTATTTTTGGCAATCACTCAAGCTTAAGTTACCTGCCACACAGGACGATATGTGCAGCTTTTGGAAATAGAATAATTTCCTTTGAACAAAAGCTTTGGGTAGATTGTAAATATGAGACAGTTATAAATAGGGCCCAGGATTAATTTGCTAAGTGATAGCAAATTAAAAGACAAAATTTAAGTGCAAATAATTGGAGAAGGACTTTTCAACCATACTGTCACATCTATGTAACAATTACTTTCAGTAGTAGCCTCACCAGATCTTAAAGGTAATGTTGCAAATAGTGGGTTTCCTTTATTTAAGTATATTAACTTCTTAAATATTATAGATAAATACAAAGATGAGCAGTAGATTACTGTGTTATTAATTACTATTTTTTGGTATATTTTTTGGTTAGGAATTAATTCAGAATGCAGAAGATGCTGGGGCGACAGAAGTTAAATTTTTATATGATGAAACTCAATACGGAACAGAGACTCTTTGGTCAAAAGATATGGCGCCATATCAGGGTAAGAATCAATAATTAGGAACAAATTTTATTGTATGCACTAACAGGCAGTTTTTAATGATTAATAATGCTTTGTTTAATGAACAGTCTATCATTTGTACTTTTTGGCATGTTTATGTCCACTTCTTCAGATGTTTTTCTCTGCTTTTGGTGGGAAGGTGTCTCCACCAGTTGGTATTTTTAGAGAACAAAGAATAAAATCTGAAAACTCAAAATGACAAGCAATGTAATGACCAAAGCCTCTTATTCTATTCAAACAACTTGTATTTTATATTATCAGTAGGATAAAGGGACACCATTTATGTATAGTAACACTTTCCTGCATTTGGAAAGATGTTGTGAAAGGCCATGCTTTTGTGTATTTTCCGCTTTAGGAGTACCCTCGACATTGTTTGGAAGTTGGGTGGGAAGAAAGATTGAAGGAGAGGAGAGAACAAGGAAAATGAAAGGAAACATGATAAGAAAGCCATAAACTAATAAATTATTAATCCAATAAGAACCCTAACCAATAGACTCCTAATATCTCACTTCTACTCCGGGGAGCTTTGGTGTCAAAAAGAATGTTCATAAATTGTAGTATACCTCTGGCTGGGTGCGGTGGCTCACGCCTGTAATCCTAGCACTTTGGGAGGCTGAGGTGGGCAGATCACCTGAGGTCAGGAGTTTGGGACCAGCCTGGCGAACGTGGCAAAACCCCGTCTCTACTAAAAATATAAAAATTAGCTGGGCGTGGTGGCAGACGCCTGTAATCCCAGCTACTCAGGAGGCTGAGGCCGGAGAATCGCTTGAACTCGGGAGGCGGAGGTTGTAGTGAGCCGAGATCACATCACTTCAATTTAGTATACCTCTGAAGTCATTGTCAATGACTGTATGTGACAGAAAGTTACTGAGAAAAAGTGGGATCAAGTCAGACCTTCTGAGACACCTTTTTAAAGAGATTTAAGTCATGTATTTTTAAAAAGATGTTTTATGATTTAGGAGGCCAGTTAACATTTAGTTAAATATCTAGCATTTGTTATGTCTCATATAGTCATTCTTAGCTCACATTTGTCACTTGAAAGTTGTACTTTCTATACTCTATAAAAAGAGGTGTGTGGGACATAACATCAGGAGGTGTGCGTTCTAGTCCTGACTGCTGCTACCTTAGTGACTTGGGCCAGTCATCACAGAGGTCAGATCATTTTTATAATAAGAGGATTAGCCTGCAAGGTATCTTGTCTCTAAGAGCCTGTGACTTAATGTAACATTGGATTCAAGAGACTTCAGGTTAAGTCCTAATCCTACACAGTACTACCCCATTGTACTGCCCCCCAGGCACTGTTACACTCAGTGGCAGCTGTGACCCTCACACTGACTTACTGCTTGCCTGCAAGTGGTATGAGAAAATCTTTCTCCCACATAGTTTGAGGATTATATGAGATAATATATGTGATAATGTTTTATACCTGGTATCATACTGATGACGGTATGTGCTGTGGAACTGCTAAGGTAAGAGTGTAAGGAGAGCCTATGATGTTTTTGCTTCTAGCCTTGACTTCACCTTGTTTTAAAAAACATTTGAAACTGGATTATTTTGCGAGTTTATGCATAGGTATATTTAGAGATAGGCTCTTTAAAAGTGGCCAATTTAAAATAAACGTGGGCTGGGTGCGGTGGCTCACACCTGTAATCCCAGCACTTTGGGAGGCCAAGTGGGCAGATCACCTGAGGTCAGGAATTCGAGACCAGCCTGGCCAACATGTTGAAACCTGTCTCTACTAAAAATACAAAAATTAGCCAGGTGTGGTGGCGGGCACCTGTAATCACAGCTACTTGGGAGGCTGAGGCAGGAGAATCGCTTGAACCTGGGAGGCAGAGGTTGCAGTGAGCCAAGACCCCACTATTGCAGTCCAGCCTGGGCAACAAGAGCGAAACTGTGTCTCAAAAATAAATATATAAGTAAGTAAAAAATAAATGTAGGCCAGGTGCGGTGGCTCATGCCTGTAATCCCAGCACTTTGGGAGGCTGAGGTGGACAGATCACCTGAGGTCAGGAATTTGAGACCAGCCTGGCCAACATGGTGAAACCCCATCTCTAATACAAATACAAAAATTATCTGGGCGTGGTGGTGAGCACCTGTAATCCCAGCTACTTGGGAGGCTGAGGCAGGAGAACCCTTGAACCCGGGAGGCAGAGGTTGCAGTGAGCTGAGACTGTGCCATTGCAGTCCAGCCTGGGCAACAAGGGCGAAACTCTGTCTCAAAAATAAATACATACATAAATAAAAAATGAAATAAATGCAGGCTGGGCATGGTGGCTCCTGCCTGTAATCCCAGCACTTTGAGAGGCTGAGGCAGGTGGATCACCTGAGGTCAGGAGTTTGAAACCAGCCTGGTCAACATGGCGAAACCCTGTTTCTACTAAAAATACAAAAATTAGCCGTGCGTGGTGATGCATATCTGTAATCCCAGCTACTCAGGAGGCTGAGGCAGGAGAATCACTTGAACCTGGGAGGTGGAGATTGCAGTGAGCCGAGATCTTGCCACTGCACTCCAGCCTGGGTGACAGAGTGAGACTCCATCTCAAAAAAAAAAAAAAAAAAAAAAGGAATGTATTATATAAAAGCAGGTGGCAGTGATCTCTGATCTCTTTATTTAACAAACATTTATTGAGAGCCCTCCAGGCTCTTGTGTATTTGAGAATATCTTTCTCTTGCATTCAGATGTGAGCAGTCATCTTGTATCATGGCTTTTCCCCTTTACTGGCACTTTGTTTCACAGCCAGAAGCTCTTAAGGTCAACTTATTTTTATTCATTTTTATATAATGAGATAATAAAAGGCTCAGATTGTCAAATCACATGCACAAGAATGAGAGCTCTCACCCAGTATAACACACTTTACTAAGGATTTCAAGGATACAGCTGATTATAAGACACAGGGGAAGGAAGCACGGAGAGTCCCTCTGTGCTGCACTAGGACACACCTTGGCCTGGATCTCACGGAGTTGGTTTCTGAGTGATGCACACAGACCAGCACTTAACAGAGGGAGCTATTTCAGTCATAAAACATGTACATGATTTTCTCTGATAATCAACATAACTTGTGACATTTTCAAGGGGATTATGCCTCTTAAATATATAAATTCCAAGCTTATTTCCAATAAGCAACTTCTGTAAAGTATCCAGTAGCTAAGGACTCTTCCTAGTAAACACCGTGTATGTGCTTGCCTAGAGGTCTGTCATCAGCATGTTAACAAGGAGATTTGGCTGGGTCATCTCTTTCTTTCTTGGGTATTCCCTGGGGAAAGGGGGAAATAGACTGCAGGCCTGCTCCCAGCTCTTTCCTTCCCAGACAACCTTTTAATTTTTCTCTCAGGATGTTTATTCCTTTTTTTTTTTTCCTTCTTTTTCGAAACGGAGTTTTGTTCTTGTTGCCCAGGCTGGAGTAAAGTGGCGTGATCTTGGCTGTCTGCAGCCTCTGCCTCCTGGGTTCAAGGGATTCTCCTGCCTTAGCCTCCTGAATAGCTCGGATTATAGGCTTCTGCCACCATGCCCAGCTAATTTTTGTATTTTTAGTAGAGACGGGGTTTCACCATGTTGGCCAGGCTGGTCTCGAATTCCTGACCTCAGGTAATCTTCCCACCTCGGCCTCCCAAAGTGCTTGGATTACAGGCGTGAGCCACCATGTCTGGCCAGGATGTTTGTTCCTTTCTTATCTTACTTTTAGAACCAAGAACACATCGTTTTGATCAGAGTAGATACAGGCCATTTTAAAATTGATCTTGGTAATAGAGGCAGAGAGTGAACCAATGAGACTGAGTTGATTACAGCAAAGGCAGAATACTGCTTCTCTCCTAATTCCAGGATGAATATGATCAGAATTATACCTTGATTAAAAACATTAAATGATAACTAGATTCTTCCTGCCCCCGACTTCTCGTTTTCTTTACTGAGGAGGGCTGTCTGTATGCTCTGCCTGGTTCTGCCACTGAGCAGCCAGGGTGTAAGGAAAGCTCCAGATCCCAGACCCCGGGACAGTTGCACTCCTAGGGGTAATTTTCACCATGTTTCCTCTTCCCAGGAGTTGCACTGACGTTGTAGGGTGAGAGACAGCAGTTCTGACAGTCAAAAAACCTTGGAGGGTGGGGGCTCACGCCTGTAATCCCAGCACTTTGGGAGGCTGAGGCAGGTGGATCACCTGAGGTCAGGAGTTCAAGACCAGACTGACCAATATGGTGAAACCCCACCTGTACTAAAAATACAAAAATTAGCTGGGTGTGGTGGTGTGCGATTGTGGTCCCAGCTACTTGGGAGGCTGAGACAGAAGAATTGCTTGAACCCGGGAGGCGGAGGTGCAATGAGCTGAGATAGCATCACTGCACTCCAGCCTGGGCAACAAGAGTGAAACATTGTCTCAAAAAAAAAAAAAAAAAAGTACCTTGGAGAGTGGGGATCTGAGGGGAATTTTATTTTCATGCAAAACACTTACTTATTTGCATTTTTTAAGAGAAGGGCTATGATTTTGGAATTTAACAAATGCTTCCTATAAGCAGGCAGTAAGGGGTCAGCGGTCAGCTGTCCAGTTTTCCAGTTGACAGTGGGAAGGAAGGTGGGTGTCCTTCAGGCAAGGCGGACTGTGTTCCTGGTAATGTCATGTGCGTGTATCCCCTGCTGAAAATTTTAATTTCCTTCCACAGACCTTGTAGTTATTCGAGTTCTTTCTAGATTCTGGCAAGAGGTTCATTCTCGAGCCTGGTGTTCAGTGTTGTGACTTTTTGTGGTCCTTTTTTTTTTTTTTTTGTCTTTGTAGATACTTTTAATGGACATTTGGAACCAGACACTGCTTGTTAGAAGCCATTTTAAGTTAGCTGTTGGGTAGGAACAAGATATTTAATTACTATTCCTGTAATATTTAATATGTAAAATTATATATTACATAAAGACTGACAGTATCATATACTCATACTGCTTATAATAACAGTAATGATAGCTGATGTTTTTAGGGGTCTGCTCTGCTGGGTTCTATGCTGAGCCCCGTATTTGTGCTGTCTCATTGGGTCCCCAGCACTTTTGCAGTGGACAGAGTTCTTACTGTGCAGATGAGGAAATGGAGCCTTGATGGCTTTAGTTTCTGGAAGTGCTGTGGCTGTAACTGGAGAGCTGGGCCTGACATCCTGACTGCAGAGTCCCCACTCCACTCCACAGAAGGCCTTTGCAGCCTTGACTGTTTGCACTTTCCAACTTTAACTATTTTAAAAATAGTAGTCATGCCATTTTTGTAAAACAAACTGGGTCACATCCCCATGTCTGTCCCTGAATTGATGGGAGGATGAGGAGAGGCTTCTGGGGGTGCTGGGAGTGCCCTATATACCTCATGTGGATGGAGATGACACAGGTTCATCTGCTTTGTAGGAATTCATCAAGCTGCAGCCTCAAGATCATCATACTTTATTGTGTATATATTATACTTCAGTACCTTTTTGAATGAAAAATATTAATCATCTTTAAAGTAAGATGAGTGAATATAGTTGAATATATTCAAAGAATGTTAGAGATTCTGAAGGCAGGTCTCACAAAATGGAGTTCCAAAAATATTTTGTGCAGAAATATTTTATAAATATTACTTTTTGAAGGAAATACTTTGGAGATAGTTGATATTATTTTACATAGGTGGTATAATTGCAGTATTATTTAAACATTTGTCACATTAATGGTTTTTAAAATCATACAAGTAATGCCTTGTATAGAACAATCTAGAGGCTGATAAAAAAACTTCAAACACTTACAAGGTGATTATTAATCTTACTAAAGGATTATTTTTCACCTTATGAAATAAGATTTATTTTTTAAAATAAATTGTGTATATTTAAGGCATACAACATGTTAAAAGATATATGTGTGTGTGTATAGTAAAATGGTTATATATTAAAACAAATTGACATATCATCTCACATAGTTTCTTTACATAGCAAGTCTCCATATTTCTTTTTCTTTTTTCTTTTTTTTTGAGACGGAATCTTGCTCTGTTGCCCAGGCTGGAGTGCGGTGGCGCGATCTCGGCTCACTGAAGCCTCTGCCTCTCGGGTTCAAGCAGTTCTCCTATCTCAGCTTCCCAAGTAGCTGGGATTACAGGCGCGTGCCACCATGCCCAGCTAATTTTTTGTATTTTTTAGTAGAGATGGGGTTTTGCCATGTTGGGCAGGCTGGTCTGGAACTCCTGACCTCAGGTGATCTATACGCTTTGGCCTCCCAAAGTGTTAGGATGCTGGGATTACAAGCATGAGCCACTGCGCCCAGCCCATATTTTCATCTGTTTTATGAAATATATGAAATATTTTATATTTATTTGGTAAATATTTTCCATTTACCAAAAAAAGATTTAAATATACTATTTAGAACAAATTTCACGTAGAGTAGTAACTGATTTTCTTGTTTGCCTTATGTTTTTGGGTATCTGAGTAACCTTTAATTTTTCCTTTTTGGATTTTTGGCCAACAATAGTATATTTCTTCTGCTGCTAATTTTTACTTCAGTGTGTGTCTTTATTTTTATTGTAAAAACAGAATTATAGTGTGGAATTCAGTCACTCTATTCACTCCTCTCTATTTTCCCTTCGAATAAGAGATTTTGTATAGAGGATCTCTTGAGATAGAACAGAACACCCTGGTATCTTTTTTGAATTCCTGCCTGCGCATTTTCACACCTAGGGCCAGCTCTCTATGTGTACAACAACGCGGTTTTCACCCCAGAGGACTGGCACGGCATTCAAGAAATAGCAAGAAGCAGGAAAAAGGATGATCCTCTGAAGGTCGGAAGATTTGGAATTGGGTTTAATTCTGTCTATCATATAACAGGTAGAGTATTAGGCTTTTCGGTCTTGGTATTAGAAAATATTATATCTTACATTCTGTAATGTATTTGGTTAACTTCAGAGGTGATACTGTTTAAAAGCCATCTTACCCAAATTCTTCTGTCAGTAGCAGGAGGTATGTCAATGAAATATCAGTGCATACTGAATTTTCTGAAATTACCACAGTAACAATACCAAAGTTTTCCTTCATCATGTGATGCCAAAAGTTAACATCATCATGATCCAGTGGAATCAGTGTAACATATTAAGCCATTTGATGTGGAAATACAGCTTTTGAACACAAAATTTTTACTCTGAAAAATTTCAAAACTGCAACTCTTCAAGTCAAACAAACTGAGTATCACAGATCTTCTTGTACATGTTCTAAATATCAGAAGGTTAAACAGGAAGGTATAATATCTAATGGTATTGAATAACTGAGAAAGTGAAAATCTTTGAGGTGGTTCTGGTATCTCTTATTTTCCTTCCTCATTCTACTCTTTTTAGACTTATAAGCATTCTAAAGATTACTTTGAAATCATATTTTTAATCTAGAAAGAATATGAGGTTTCTGGTTCCTAGTTAACAATAGGAAATACTTAACTCAGTGTGGACATCTCTGAGAGTATATGGCTCTTGTAGAATCAAAGCTCTTAGTACTGATTATAGTTTTGTGATAAAAAATTTTGTAATGGAGTTGGTCCTTTTAGTTTCAAACTGTGTCTTGCAGGAGAAGGAAAGATTGCACAGGCAGGGCTATCACTGTAGCCAAGATGACTGTATACTTTATTATTCATACTGGGACACGTGTGAGAGTGAAGGAGGGTGGTACTATTCTCAGACTACTGGCCTGAATTGGGACTGCCCTGGGCAAGTGGGAAGTAGGGTCATCCCAACTCTAGCCAAATTTTAGTAAGCCTGTTGCATTTACATTCATACATATATATTCTATTAAATAATATTGACTAAATTACAAATCATATAATCAAAATTAAATTATATATTAAAATATGACTATTATCTATGAATATTAATACTCGTGTCCACCTCTTTGTAAGTTATCCCACAAGTCTGTGCCATGTAGTAGTTTGTAAATGTTGTGGGACACAGATGTGAGTAGCAAAAGCCTGGAGGCTTAAGCAGGAATGAACTGTGGCGTGAGAGCCCAGCTAATTGCCCAGCACCTGCATCTCAGTGTGGTTTTGATTGCTCATTGAGAATAAGCACATTTGTGTGGAACATTAACTGGAGGACTCTTCTCTAAACCAAGGATTTGAGAAGGTCATAGGTCATAGGTCATGCTTTTATCTTGTCAGGAGCCACCTGGCCTGATTTCATTCATGGGGGTGCGACTCTGTGCCTTGGGAGCAGGGTTGAGCATTCCCTAGACCCCACTGTCCATGGATTTAGCCATGTGGTTGGTGGACATAACATTTGCTAACTTAAAATACCCACAAGCTTGGGAGTTGGTGATTGTGACAGCTGAAGCTGTGCTTGACGACCGTAGGTATTAAAGATTGACTTCACTGGAGTTGCATCTTGCAGGAAACCCAGGTGCTAAGTAAGCATGTGAGGCAAGCATACATCACATCACCCTTGGGAGATCTTCACCAAAGCACACTGGGGAGGAATTTCTCTCATCACAGTGGGTCTCACACATCTGGTTTTTCTGCCAGTTTTTGAATACTACTCTGTCCTTGGTTGAGGAACAGGTGAAGCAGCTGGTATCAATTTAGAGGCCATGTTATACAAAAGATGGGTATCTTTCAATACTGTAATTAGGCTCCACGTGGTGAGATGCTCCCAGCAAGAGAAGTGCTTCCGCTCCAGAGGCAGAGAGGTTAAGACCCCTTGAGGGAATGTACCTCATGAGCTTCAGGGCAGGCACTCACTGAGCAACACAGTGGGCAGAGTCACCTGCATTGTACTGCTCTCTGTCTCTTCTTACAGAGTCTATGCTGAATTTGTAAAGTTGAGCATAGGATGCAGTCCTGTTCTGTCGAATTGGGCTCACATGGTGGTGGGGGTTAAGTGTATATATCCAAATACTCTGCCCATCTTTTGTGTAGTGAGTTTTTGAAGATGTCTCCTAGGTTTTCACAGTAATCATGCAAAGTCTCTATGCCTGGCATTTGTTATTGGATTGAATCAAAAGAGAAATCATTTTTCATGTTCAGAGAATTACATTTCTGAAGGTAAATTAAGTTTGTGTTTAGATAAATCTGTTTTAGTCATTTAATGGCTCATGCTTTTTCATATATTTATTATAATTGTAATCATAATTGTCCCTAAAATTTCAGAGTTGATCATGACTTAAATTTTTCTTTACAGATGTTCCTTGTATCTTTAGTGGTGACCAAATCGGGATGCTAGATCCTCATCAAACACTTTTTGGCCCACATGAATCAGGCCAATGTTGGAATCTCAAAGATGACAGCAAAGAAATTAGTGAACTTTCAGACCAGTTTGCACCATTTGTTGGCATTTTTGGAAGCACCAAGGAAACATTTATAAACGGCAATTTTCCAGGAACATTTTTCCGTTTCCCTCTTCGCCTACAACCTTCACAACTTAGTAGTAACCTCTACAATAAGCAGAAGGTTCTTGAGTTGTTTGAGTCTTTTAGGGCAGATGCAGACACAGTGCTGCTCTTTCTGAAAAGTGTGCAGGATGTTTCCTTATATGTCCGAGAGGCTGACGGAACAGAGAAACTGGTGTTTAGAGTGACTTCGAGTGAGAGTAAGGCACTGAAACATGAGCGGCCGAATTCTATAAAGATTCTGGGAACTGCTATAAGTAACTATTGTAAAAAGACTCCAAGCAATAACATCACCTGTGTAACATATCACGTAAATATTGTTTTAGAAGAGGAGAGTACTAAGGATGCACAGAAAACATCTTGGTTGGTGTGTAACAGTGTGGGTGGGCGAGGGATCAGTAGTAAGCTTGACTCTTTAGCTGATGAACTGAAATTTGTCCCAATCATTGGAATAGCCATGCCTTTATCAAGCAGAGATGATGAAGCAAAAGGAGCAACGTCTGATTTCTCAGGAAAAGCATTTTGTTTCCTTCCTTTACCACCTGGTGAGGAAAGCAGCACAGGCCTCCCAGTTCACATCAGTGGGTTCTTTGGCCTTACTGATAACCGCAGGAGCATAAAATGGAGAGAGCTGGACCAGTGGAGAGACCCGGCAGCCTTATGGAATGAGTTTCTTGTCATGAATGTTGTCCCCAAAGCTTATGCTACTCTGATCTTAGATTCAATAAAACGTCTGGAGATGGAAAAGAGCTCTGATTTCCCCTTGTCAGTTGATGTTATCTATAAGCTTTGGCCGGAGGCGAGCAAAGTCAAGGTGCACTGGCAACCGGTGTTAGAGCCTCTATTCAGCGAGCTGTTGCAGAATGCAGTGATTTATTCAATTAGCTGTGACTGGGTCAGGTTGGAGCAGGTGTACTTCTCAGAACTTGATGAAAATTTAGAATACACAAAAACTGTGCTCAACTACCTCCAGAGCTCAGGGAAGCAGATTGCCAAGGTACCAGGGAATGTGGATGCTGCTGTTCAGCTCACAGCTGCCTCTGGCACAACACCTGTGAGGAAGGTGACGCCCGCGTGGGTGCGGCAGGTGCTGCGGAAGTGTGCACACCTGGGCTGTGCTGAAGAAAAGCTTCACCTTCTAGAATTTGTGCTTTCTGACCAAGCCTACAGTGAGCTGCTTGGGCTGGAGCTGCTCCCTTTACAAAATGGCAATTTTGTCCCCTTCTCCTCATCTGTATCAGACCAAGATGTCATTTATATTACCTCAGCAGAATATCCAAGGTAGGGGTCCCCCTTCTAACATTCCTGTTCACTCTTAGGGTTCCCCTGCTCCTGCTCACTGTGAGAGTCCTTTGTTGTGAAATTCAATGGTTTTCTATGTCGATTTTATAGTTAGGAAGACTTTTGCAGAAATACATTGTTAAAATACCAAAGGATACATTTTATATTCTAAAATGAAAAAGTATTCAAATGTTTATCAGTTGAAAAGTTATCTAAGCAGCTGTTTTTCTTGGAAATTTCAATAGCAGAACACTGAAAACAATGTTTATAAAGTGCAAATAATAACAAGGCCAGATTAGTCACTAATGAATTATTTTGATAATATTTAAATTCATGAAAAATAGTATATTAAGTAATTCTTTATAAACGAGAGTGTACTGACATTTCAGGAAATAAAATTAATTTTACTGTAAGATGTTGAGAATATTTCTGAATTTGAGTAAAGTACATGATGCCTTCACGTTTTAAAGCAAAGTCTAGATAATATTTGATCAAAAATATTGTAATTTGATTTGATGTGTGCATTATAATTTATGTAAAATAAAATAGTCGGCTTAACTGACTTGAAAATATGTGATTGTTTTTTTAAAATCTTGGAATTGTGGGAAGATTATGATGATTGCTGTTCCTTTCCCTTTTCAGGTCCCTTTTCCCAAGTCTTGAAGGAAGATTTATTTTGGATAACTTGAAACCTCACCTTGTGGCTGCTTTAAAGGAAGCTGCCCAAACCCGAGGTATTATAGTTTAGTATTCTTTTAAATAAACTTCTATATAAAAATACAAGTTTTTTAAAAGTTTTCTGTTATTCATTTTAGACCTATAAATCAACAATTTCTTATGGCTCAAGCTAATAAACTTTTTGTGTTTTAAGATATTTCAGTTGCCAGAATGGCATCTAAGAGATGCTGTCTAAAAGAATCCAGAGGTGATAAGTGTAAAAATCTCTCCTGTCATGGTGTGATGGTGTAGTCAACATCTTATACCTGCATGGTGCTTTACAGTTTTCCAGTGCTTTCCCATTTCTTTTTTCATTTGAGCCTCCCAGCATAACTTGTAGCTTGTTTGGTAATGACAGTGATTATTAAATTTCACAGAAGAGGAGAGAGAAAGGTTAAGATCAAGACCACCAGCCAAGTGCCGAGAGGTCAGGTCTTCCACTTGCCCTGTCCTTGCTCTATTTCTGACACCACTGCCCCTCCATGGTTTTATGTAGTTATGATGCTGGGTTTGCATTAGGCTTGATCAGCTTCTGGGAAGTGTGGACAAATCCAATTAACTCTGTAACAGGGGCAGGAAAAGGGTCTTGCGGGGGTCTTAAAGTGATGGGTGTCTGATAGGTGTCCTTTTAGGAAAAGACAGTAATTTTGGGAAAACAGTCAACATGGTTCTAATTTTAATACTACCTTTCAACTTCTGCAAGCATCCTTTTCCTTGTGAAACTGTTACCTGAGCTTTTTCTAAGTGAGATGTTGTCCTGAAAAGTTCTGGGTTTGTCCTGCTGTTCACATTGTCAAGCATACTCTGTGATGTGTCTTTTATGGAATGTACTTTTTTCTTGTCCAGGATAATGGCTTAGGGAAAGTTGCTAATCATTGTACACCTTTATTCATTAAAATATAAGTGAAATGAGTTGGAATGGGAGAGGCAAGTTAGGTTGGAGTTAAAGTGAGAGTAAAAGAAAATGAGTAGGCAAATGTTGTTTCCCATCAGGGATTTGCATCTATGAGTTGGTAGCTGTGAGACTGACTTTTCAAACGTCTGAGTTACTCATTTAATTGTAATTGTCATCTTCAAAACAACCTTTTTGAAAGTCTAAGCCTGGATTCCTATAAGCCTGCCAATCTTTGCTCTAACGATTTGGAACTCCTTTTTTTTTAATGTTGTATTATATTTTTGTTAAAATTTTGTGTTGAAATATAAGATGCATATAGAACAGTGCACATATCATAAATGTAGGCTTAGTGAAATTTTACCATCTGAACATACCCATGTAAACCTAGATCAGAACGCAGAAGATTACCAGAAGATTACACAGAAGATTACCAGCCCCAAAAGCCCCTCTCTTGCCTTTTTCAGTCTGACCATTCCAGGGTAGCCATGACACTGGCTTTAACAGCATAGATTCACTTTGCTAGTTAATCATGCTTTGTATAGAAGGAGCCATGTGGCATATATTCTGCGTCTGGCTTTTATTTGCTGTGATGCTGGTGAGATTCATCCAGATTGTTGCATGGAGCTGTTAACAGTTCTTTCTGATTGTTACGGTATTTTACTGTGTGGTTTATTACTTTCTTTTAAAGAAAATATTTTTGTTGGTGGCAGATCCTTTCTAAGGTGGATGTGGATTTGGAAATCGGCCAAAAGTTATTCAGGGCCAAATCAGGTGAGAAGGGTAGAAGGTCAGCAGAGCATTCTGTTTTTGCTCAGCATTTTCCAAATATCTTGTGGCACAGAGTGTGGCTACAACTTGCTTCTCTAGCCCTGGGTGGATGGGGCAAACCTGTTATATTTTTAGGGATGAGTTAAATGTATAAATTAATATAGAAAACTTGACATCTTTCAAAGTTGCATTTTCCCACTTTTATATGTCTTCATTTTCTCTACTATGGATTCAAGTTGTTATTTTGGTGTCATAATGAAACACTGTGTTTTGTCTCTGGTCTTGGTTAGTTTTCTTGGCATTGTGACACTAGATGTTCATCTAGTGTTTCTGTTAATCACACATCATGTGTGGGTTAGCACTCCCAGAAATTGTCTTGATGGTCACTTTTCTTTATCTAGATTTAAGAGTTAGGCTACTATTTTCATGATTATTTAATAACCCTCATAACTAGCTGTATTAGTCTGTTTTCATGCTGCTGATAAAAACATACTTGAGACTGGGTAATTTGTAAATAAAAAGAAGTTTAATGGACTCACAGTTCCACATGGCTGGGGAGACCTTAGAATCATGGCAGAAGGCTAAAGCCACATCTTACTTGGCGGCAGGCAAAAAGAGAAGGAAAGCCAAGAGAAGGGGGTTTTCCCTTATAAAACTATCAGCTCTTGAGACTTAGTCAGTACCATGAGAACAGTATTCGCTACCACGAGAACACCACCCCTATGATTCAATTATCTCCCACCGGGTCCTTCCCACAACACATGGGAATTATGGGAGTTACAAGTCAAGATGAGATTTGGGTGGGGACACAGCCAAACCATATCACTAGCCTTTAAACTTTTTTAAACCAGTCATATGGGTATCTTCCCACTTATTTTTATCTGTGTGTTCCAGACAAAAATTAGTTTTTGATATAACTTTATTGCCATTAATGGTTTTAATGTTTTGAGAGCATGATGATATAGGGCCTTACGGGGAACCAGTAAGTGACACCTTGCTTTCCTTTCCTGAGTTGTGAGTCAGTGAAGACATAGTGAAGACATAGCAGAGGGATTGAGCAGATGGATGTCAGAAGCCACCTCTGTCACTGATTATTGTGATATTGGAGATTATAGCTGTGGCAGGCATTGGATTTCTATTGACTCCCAGAGTGAAATGGATTAGCTCACCAGTCTAGTCACAGGTAGCCCTGGAAAGCCACAGACTTCCTTCCAGAGGTCCTGCCCCTACTAAACATCTGTCCCTTTGAGTCCTGCTGAGCATGTGCAGATGCTTTTTCTCAACTTACCAATCATGTAAGTCATCTTGCTTTCTGGTGGTATGGGGCCTATTGGGGGAATTAGTGAGTACAGGAGAAGAAAGGCGGAGTATTATGTTTATGGAGCCCCCTTCATATATGGTAGGGAGCATCACAGACATGTAACTACATTTGATATTTTTTGCTCTACATAATGATTACTCCATTGCTTTGCTGACACAGAGCACTATGGAATTCTGTTTATGAGTGATCAGTAAACACTGATTGGCCAGTCTTGGAAGTACTACTGCATAAAATGGAAACATCATATGTTTTTTCTGATATGGAAACTTTTCCTCTAATTCTGTAGCTCAAACAAAATTTGTCACATTATTTAATAATTGTACCTTTTCCTTGTATTACATTTAAAATCCTTAGCTAAATATTGAGCTACTGCTTGTATTTTTAGTGTTTACTTCTACTGCCCCTTTTATTAGCAGTTAAATATGTTTCACTATATTTCATTTCAGGAAAAACAAAACAGACCTCCACCTTGATTTTCTTTCTTGTATTCTATCATAGTCCAGCTTCCGGAAAGAGTTGTCTTATTGTCTGTACTTCCTCCTTATTTATTATCACTCCAAACAGACTTTTGCTTCCACTGTCATTCCACTAAAATAGTCTGGCTGACGTCACTAGTTAATGATTTTTCTGTTACTCAGCTCAGTGGATTTTTCTGTTTCTTTTACCTGATCTCCCAGAAGCTTGGTATTCCTCTTTGAAGCCCTCAGCCATGATGATACCATTCCTTCTTGGCATTCACTGATTTTGCCTGCTTCTCAGAATTATTTGTGAACCTCTGTTCCTCACTTCACTCCCTAAATACGTGTTAGTGTGGGGGCTCCTTCCTCAGCTCTTTTACTTTGTTCCTTTCCTTGAATACATTCATCCACTCCCATGAAAGTGTTAGTGACCACCATATCTTCAGTCACCACCCTAGTCTTCAGAGAGGTAGTGTAGCAGAGATTAAAAACCTGGATTTTGTAGTTACCCAGATCTGGGCTTAAACTTCACTCCTCTATTGTGTGACTTTGAACAAATTTTCTACCCTCTCTGAGCCCCTGTTTCCTCATCAGTAACATGGTAATACAGTACTATCCTTCTAAGGGTATATCTCAAGGTCCCCAGGATTTGATTACAGAAAATTCAGGATTGCTTCACTGCAAGGATAATGAAATAAGGATTGAGCAGAGGATGGGAGCAACCACACCTTGCCAGTTGAGTTGTATCCAAGTTTGTGTTATTGCAGCAGATCAGGTTATTGAAAGCTTCATTGTAATATTTTACTCACAGCAGGCATTATGCTGAAGATCGAATGATGAATACGTAATACATATAGTTTAACATAATATCCGGCACTTAATATAATACTGACAAATGGTAGCTATTGTTAGCATTTTGCACTTGGAATCCCATAAGTATTTCAAAATCAATATTGCAAAACTTTAGTCTTCATCCTCTCCCCAAATCTGTTTCTCATTTTGAGTGATCCCACTGAAAATAACACTACTGTCCACAAGATTGCTCAAGAATGAATCCTTAAATTTTCTTCTTTGTTCCCCACAGTCTCCAGGATCTGTTGACTAAATTTTCTGTGCCAGTCCCTTGGTCTTACTCCACTGCCTATTACAGGTCCTCTAATTTCTCGTAATGTTGTTACTGGACTCTTGCAGTTGATGTCCCTGTCTACAGCGCTTGGGCTTCATCTGATCATGTCACCCTCCTGCTGCAGGTTTTCCAGTGGACATTGAATCTATCAGGATAAATCTAGCCCTGCTAGCATGAACTAGGGGACTTTCCATGATTGTAAACTTCCATGATTTTGGAGTGCTGTCTCACTGGCCTTGGTGCATGCAAGCGCCCTCTTCTGTTCTAATTGCCCTCTTCTGTTCTAATTATACAAGCACTTGTAGGTTGATGAACTTGAATCCTCCCTATATTTCATGAGAGCAGAGAGACCTGTCAGATTTGTTACCACCATCTAGCACAGTGCCTACTTCAGTGTAGGTGCTCAGTATTTTTTTTCCTGCATGAAAATTTTCTCATAGCTGCCCTTTTGTACATGGTGTTCCTTTTGCTTAGAATACTTTCTTTCCATCCTCTACTTTGCCCAGCTAATGTTTATTCATCATTCAGTACTGAGCTCATGTGTCACCTCCAGGAAGCTTTCTTTGACATCTTGCCCTGTGCCTCACCCCTGCCCTGCAGTCTGAGGTGAATGCCTCTCTTTTGCTCTTGGAACCCAGTACATAGTCCATATGATCCTCTTTGCTTTATTAGAATCATGTTTTTACTGTGCTACACTGCAACATCCTTGAGAGCAAGGGCAATCTTTATTTTTATATTTCCAAGGTCTGGCCGAGAGCCTGCTTGCCAAGTTTGACTGGATAAGTTGATGCTTCAGCTGCTGGGCTGGGTGGGGACCGCATGGAGGAGATGGGGCGCAGAGGCCAAAAGGCAAATCTCTTTCTTAGTGTCTGTGAGTTAATAGTTCTCTTCAAATCAGTGTCTTCTGTAATCTTGTTTATTCTTTACAACCATGAGATAATAGAGCCTGTATCTCCATTTGAGAGATTGAGACATTGAAGCTCAAAGAAATTGAGGGATTTAAATGACTTGCTTGAGTTGCAGAGTTGAAGCTATGATTTTTGTTTTTTTAATTTCCAGGTCTGAATTATTTCTGTATTAAGTTGCTTAAGTAAATGGATGGATATCAGAAATTGGAGAATAGTTAGAAGAGCAGGTAAATGGATTTTGGATGAAGAAAAAGGAAACAAGAACAGTTTAGTGGTACAGATGCTTGGTGTCGGGTCTTATTTATAATTTTTAAAATTTTCATACTTATTTATTAGATGAGACCAAAATCCGTAACCTTTCCTATGAGGCACTTCATTAGCTGGCTCCATTTTCTGGGTGTTATGAAGATGCCTGGTACATGGAAGGTTCTATTGATATTTGCTATTTTTAATCTCCTTCCCTTAGTTCCATGCTTTTTCCTGTTTGGAGGACAGCATGTTCTGTCCCTCCCTCAGGTGTGATACATGTGGCTTCCTTGCCAACTCCTCCATTCACTACCTCTGCTCATCTTTCATGCAACCCATGTGTGCTTCCATGCTCTGTTCTCCATGGCACTCACACACTGGTACCTGTTTAAGTATTTGTAATAATTTATCTGATACTTGCCTTCTCCATTAGACTGTAGGGCCAGGTCTGGGACCATGTCTAGTTGTCCATTTCTATATCTCTAGCACTCAATCAGTATTGCCTAACTAACAAGGTGCCTGTTGCTAAAGTGATTAGAATGATGTTAAGATGAGAAGAATTGAGTTTCTTTGGTTACACCTTTGCTCTCTATCTTAGCTACTAGTTTAGTTAGCCTAAGGGACCCAAATACACAGAAATCTCACAGAACTGTAGCAGTCCAGTTGATTAAAAGTTTCTTGCTTCATTCAAGCAGAGGAGGGATAGATGTTCGTGGAACAATTCTTAGAAGTTTGTAATTATTGTTGGTTACCATGGACAAGCAGTGGAAATAGATGATAAAATCTCTTTTTCTTTATTATAAAGTTGGAATTAATTGTACACTTTGTGTAGGTACTCCAAAACTTTTTAAAAATTAAAAATTTAAAAAATCAGGTTTTTTAATCTAGAATCTCTGAACATGATAGCCTGTGCAAAAAGCTCACTGGTAGCTTATCAAATGACGTTATGCAGCTATAATGTAATTTGCGCATATGAAGTCCATAATTCTTTCTTTGCTTTCTTTCTGAACCAACACTCCTGACTCTTACGTACTTCGATTTAGTTTGCACTGAAATATAGCTTTAAATCTTAGATGTGTATTCTGCTATGTTTGGAGTTTTGTTTCTGGGTTTTCTTTTACATAAGGATCTGTAAAGATTCTACAGACAGCAGTATCTTAAGATACAGAATAATTTCTGTAGCCATCATGTGAAAACTGACAATTCTGACCTCTTCTAAGAATGGATTTAATTGTATTCTAGCACAACAACAACTCTGGGGATATTCAGGTAGGATAACTGAATGTTGTGTTCATTTGAAGCCTGATGTTTTTGTTCATTTGGCTCTTCGAATTCTGTTTTTGCATTTACCTAAGTAGCTAGAAATTATGTCAACAATTTTTTTTCTGGTGGTAATAACTATAATATTAAAGGAGAGAGGAAACCATACTAATACAGATTTTTATTATTACAAATACCACGGTAAAACCATATTCAAATGACTTGGAAACATTCACTTCATAGAACATTTAGTCTCTAATCAAAGAATGGTGTGGGAATCTGTATTTTAAGCTGTGGTATTTAATGGGAAGTTTGATAGTGAATGCACCTCTATTATACGACGCACACAAATATTCCGATTAAAAAGCATAGAGGGGGCCAGGCTCGGTGGCTCACGCCTGTAATCCCAGCATTTTGGGAGGCAGAGGCAGGTGGGTCACGAGGTCAGGAGTTCAAGACCAGCTTGGCCAAGATGGTAAAACCTCGTCTCTACTAAAAATACAAAAAATTAGCCAGGCGTGGTGGCAGGCACCTTTAATCCCAGCTACTTGGGAGGCTGAGGCAGAAAACTGCTTGAACCCGGGCGGCAGAGGTTGCAGTGAACTGAGACCGCGCCACTGAGCTCCAGCCTGGGCGACAGAGCGGGACTCTGTCTCAAAACACACAAAAACAAAAACAAACAAAAAGAACAGAGAGGGAAGTAGATTCTGGGATCTGTGACTGTGAAGTTAGGCGACCACAGCCTTTCTGTTTTGGAGTCTGGCTCAGTGTGCTACGGTTGGTGACGGCAGGGACCCCCGTCCTGGGTGTGCAGAGGAAGGGAAGGTGGCCAGCCTAGCTCTCATTGGGGAGAGTCAGCCGATTGTTCTTACAGTGCCTCGTGTGTCATTTTACTGACTGCCTTTTTTTTTAATAAATAAAAAATTTTTGACTCAACTAGTGGTCCTATTTTCCCCAAGTTCATGTTCCATTTGGAAACTTATAGGATATAAGATTTGCTTTATAGAAATCATTTTTATGATAAATGTTATTATTTGAAGCAGGTGATACACTAAAATTAGTTTAGAAACCAAGTCATTATTATAGTGATAATTCATATAAAAATTTTTGGGTTTCTAGCTTATATTAAAAGTGGTTTATCATTCACGGTTCTTACTATTATATTTTTCTTAAAGCTTTGTCAATGTATCTTACATGTTTTAAGGTGGTATCAAATCAAAGAGGAAAACAAAATCTTGATATAAGTAGAGTGCATAATTAACACATGCCCTGGTACTGTCTGGTTACATCAGCGATTCTCTTAAGACGAAAGCTAAGAAGTCAGAGTGTCAGTGGTGATTTTTTAGGAAGAAATGTGGTCACTGGGGCTAATGTTGAACCACCCTGGCTTGCTGGACTTTTATGCTGGGCCCTGGGACCTGCAGTGCCACTGCTAGGCTGGAGGTGGAGGGAGTCTGACCTGGCAGGAAGGCTGCCCTTTTCTTTCCTTCCTTTTTTAGTTTGGTTGTTTCATTTCTTTTTTTCTATTCTCTCTTCATTTCTTTGAAGAGCGACTGATCTACAGTACACCATTTAATTGAACCTTGACTGTACATTTACAAAGAGATTTGCATCTCTGTGCTCAGTAGGGCATTGTTAGAACTCATCAGCTACGCAAGCTGCCAGTGCCTCTTTCTGTACAAGAGAAAAGTATAAAAAACTGTCACTGTGCTTACAGCTTTGGATGGATTGTTATTGTAGCCAGCTGGAGACTGGAGGAGTCTGGTTGAATGTAGTAAACTCTCAGTTAATTAAAGCATTCAGGACTGAGATTTCTTGGTTAAGTAAATTTTTAAGTAGACTATATATAATATTTCCATCTGTGCTGGAATTCATTCTCAAGGTTAGCACTGAACATAAATGTAAACAATAAAAAATAGTGCAGTCTTTGAGTACTGATTCATTATGTTGATGTTATTATTTTGAACAAATGAGGGATTGAACTGATAATAGTGAAGCAAAAGCTACTCTTGGAAGAGTTCCTTCTAAGTTAAATTTGGTAATTGTTTAAACCTTTCTGCCTCTTGGAATAATTTCAGTACTGTAGCTAACCTCTGAGACAGTGCTGATAATTTTTAAGGCTACAAAAACCATTTCATTTATTAAACTGCTACAAAAATTATTTTGCTGATCCTATTAGAGGTGCTTTACAATTTCTATGGCTTTCTAACCCAGGACATGGAGACTTGTTTCTGTGTTAACATTTATAACTAAAAAGCTGAATGTCTTAAATACAATGGATAGAATTCAGGACCTCAGATTGAACTGACTTAATTTACGTATACCGGTGTCTTACTACATTTTCTCTCTCCTTTATTTTCTTTCATGTTTTTTTCCGTTGAGCATGACCGATGTGTTAGTTGCATGCTATATGTAGTGTGTGTGTGTGTGTTTTGTTGGCATTTAATTTATACATTAAATGAGATAATTTTCCTGAAGGTAGGTATACGTTTTATAAATTGCCAAATTTCATGCAAGGCTATTGGGTAAGATTATCTATGGAATGCATGTCGTGGCAATTATTAACATAGAGCACAAAGTGGTGTATATTTAATTTTTTGTTTTCTGAGTGTTTTGAATTTTAATTTCTAACCCTTTTTTTGTATCTCTAGTATTATATCCTTGTCTTATGATTTGGATATTCCATTATAGTTAAATCTGATTCGGTGAGAATTTTTAAAGAACAATGTTGTAAAATTATATTTCAATAAGACTCACAGATCAAACAGGCTATACTAGTCAAGCTGCTGACAAAATTTTGTAATTTCTTAAATATTGCTGCTTGCATTATCGTAAATCACACAATGTAGAAACTGAAAAATATTCTGAATTTGGGTATTGACACCTTCCTAAAGTTGCAAAAGTGTGCCCTTGCTTATTAAATTTCTATGGCAGTAATTTTTAAATGTCTTATTGTTACATGAAAGGCAATTTCTTGGTAGAAGATAAAGTCATCTTTTTTATACGTAGGCCTCTGAAATAAAGGGTATGCTTTCTTGGATAAAAAAGTAACAATACGCAAAAGTTTCCAGAGCCTGAGGCGGGATTCCTCTTATAATATTTTCCAAACTTGCTCTTTTTATTTATTTATTTTTTTGAGACGGAGCCTTGCTCTGTCGCCCAGGCTGGAGTGCAGTGGCGCAATCTCGGCTCACTGCAACCTCCGCCTCCCGGGTTCAAGCAGTTCTCTGCCTCAGCCTCTTGAGTAGCTGGGACTACAGGTGCCTGCCACCACGCCCGGCTAATTTTTGTATTTTTAGTAGAGATGGGGTTTCACCATCTTGGCCAGGCTGGTCTTGAACTCCTGACCTCGTGTTCCACCCGCTTTGGCGCCCCAAAGTGGTGGGATTACAGATGTGAGCCACTGTGCCTTGCCACTCTTTCAAGAGTCTAGAAGTCATATGTACATAGGGAGAATATTGAATGTTAGTGTCTATACAAGATCGAATTTGAGATGTTTTTTATTTCTCTGGGAAAAATATACCTGTAGATGTATGGTGTTATTTTTTTTCATTTTGTTCCTACTGATATTATAAATGTTATACTCTGAAATACTAAATTCACTTAGAAAGAAACTGTTAATTTCTAGGCCAGTGGTTAAAATCAGTAAAAACTGCCCCCTTCAACCCAAGGAAATATCTTCTGAGTGTTTTAGTTTATCAGACATCCAAAAGTGGAGCTGCTCTGCTGCCTTCACAGCACTGCCCCACGTGCTCCCTTTGTTGCCTCCAAAGTATTTCTGCAAAAATCCCAGGGCTCTGAAGAGCACACTTTAATAATAAGTAGCTAGATAAAGGGTACTTTGAAAAAGTTGTAAATATGCTCTGTATTTGGGCATAAATATAGAGCAGTCTTTAGATCTAGAATCTCATCCCCATTATTTTTCCAAATGAGAGAATTCAAGTCCCAGAAAGATGAAATGGTACTTAAATTAGACATCTGTTTAGTTGTTGAAAGGAAACCATGTAAGTCTCATTGCTGCCTCAGCTTCAGAAAGCTCTGGTCAGCTGCAACTGAGACTCCAGTCTCTGTGCGCTGACTTCATGACCTTCTCTGTAGGTCATGCAGCTGTGTGGCTCCTGGAAACTTGAAGTTAACACAAAACATCCTTCATACAGGTTGGGTGTCCCTAACCCAAAAATCTGAAACCCCAAATGTTCCAAAATCTGAAACAAGTATCTACATGACACTCAAAAGAAATGCTCATTGGAGCATTTTGGATTTCAGATTTTTTGGATTTGGAATGCTCAACTGGTAAGTACAATGTAAATATTCCAAAGTCCAAAAGAGTCCGAAATGCAAAACACTTCTGGTCACAAGCATTCAGATAAGGGATACTCAGCCTTTATTGGGGTTGTGTATCAATTTTTACCTTTAAATAAAAAGATTCTTATATAAATTTTATCTGCATTTTTCCTTGGTGTTTTTATTTGTGGGCAAATAAGCGCTAAACATTGTTTTCCATGTTGATTTCATTTGCAGAACATTATAGGATACTTTAAAAAACATATTTAAATGCATTTTGTATATTTATTTCAAATAAGCATTTTCCAGGCAGAATTATTTTTGTCACAGGTTATTGTAAATATGGATTTATATATAGATTTTCTATCACTATTATTTAAAAATTATTTTAGCCCAGTTTTGCTGAATTTTTACATGTACTTCCAACTCTTAGAAAATTTTCCAGTACTGGCCGGGCGTGGTGGCTCATGCCTGTAATCCCAGCACTTTGGGAGGCCAAGGCGGGTGGGTCACGAGGTCAGGAGATTGAGACCATCCTGGCTAACATGGTGAAACCCCGTCTCTACTAAAAACACAAAAAAATTAACTGGGTGTGGTGGCGGGCCCTTGTAGTCCCAGCTACTCGGGAGGCTGAGGCAGGAGAATGGCGTGAACCCGGGAGGCGGAGCTTGCAGTGAGCTGAGATTGTGCTACTGCACTCCAGCCTGGGCGACAGAGCAAGACTCCGTCAAAAAAAAAAAAAAAAAAAAAAAAAAGAACCTTCCAGTACTGTGTTATTTGTGAGAATAGAAAGCTGTTGTAGTAGAATTATATGTATTTATGACATTTCTGTGTATGATTTACAGGAAGACCATGTACTCAGCTGCAGCTTCTAAATCCAGAACGATTTGCACGTCTTATCAAGGAAGTAATGAATACATTCTGGCCTGGCAGAGAATTGATTGTTCAATGGTATCCATTTGATGAAAACAGAAATCACCCATCTGTTTCATGGCTTAAGATGGTTTGGAAAAATCTTTATATACATTTTTCAGAGGATTTGACTTTATTTGATGAGATGCCACTTATCCCCAGAACTATACTAGAGGAAGGTCAGACATGTGTGGAACTCATTAGACTCAGGATTCCATCGTTAGTCATTTTAGACGATGAATCTGAAGCACAGCTTCCAGAATTTTTAGCAGACATTGTACAAAAACTTGGAGGGTTTGTCCTTAAAAAATTAGATGCATCTATACAACATCCGCTTATTAAAAAATATATTCATTCACCATTACCAAGTGCTGTTTTGCAGATAATGGAGAAGATGCCATTGCAGAAATTGTGTAATCAAATAACTTCGCTACTTCCAACACACAAAGATGCCCTGAGGAAGTTCTTGGCTAGTTTAACCGATAGCAGTGAGAAAGAGAAAAGAATTATTCAAGAATTGGCAATATTCAAGCGCATTAACCATTCTTCTGATCAGGGAATTTCCTCTTATACAAAATTGAAAGGTTGTAAAGTCTTACACCATACTGCCAAACTCCCAGCAGATCTGCGACTTTCTATTTCAGTAATAGACAGTAGTGATGAAGCTACTATTCGTCTGGCAAACATGTTGAAAATAGAACAGTTAAAGACCACTAGCTGCTTAAAGCTTGTTTTAAAAGATATTGAAAATGCATTTTATTCACATGAAGAGGTAACACAGCTTATGTTATGGGTCCTTGAGAATCTATCTTCTCTTAAAAATGAGAATCCAAATGTGCTTGAGTGGTTAACACCATTAAAATTCATCCAGATATCACAGGAACAGATGGTATCAGCTGGTGAACTCTTTGACCCTGATATAGAAGTACTAAAGGATCTCTTTTGTAATGAAGAAGGAACCTATTTCCCACCCTCAGTTTTTACCTCACCAGATATTCTTCACTCCTTAAGACAGATTGGTTTAAAAAACGAAGCCAGTCTCAAAGAAAAGGATGTTGTGCAAGTGGCAAAAAAAATTGAAGCCTTACAGGTCGGTGCTTGTCCTGATCAAGATGTTCTTCTGAAGAAAGCCAAAACCCTCTTACTGGTTTTAAATAAGAATCACACACTGTTGCAATCATCTGAAGGAAAGATGACATTGAAGAAAATAAAATGGGTTCCAGCCTGCAAGGAAAGGCCTCCAAATTATCCAGGCTCTTTGGTCTGGAAAGGAGATCTCTGTAATCTCTGTGCACCACCAGATATGTGTGATGTAGGCCATGCAATTCTCATTGGCTCCTCACTTCCTCTTGTTGAAAGTATCCATGTAAACCTGGAAAAAGCATTAGGGATCTTCACAAAACCTAGCCTTAGTGCTGTCTTAAAACACTTTAAAATTGTTGTTGATTGGTATTCTTCAAAAACCTTTAGTGATGAAGACTACTATCAATTCCAGCATATTTTGCTTGAGATTTACGGATTCATGCATGATCATCTAAATGAAGGGAAAGATTCTTTTAGAGCCTTAAAATTTCCATGGGTTTGGACTGGCAAAAAGTTTTGTCCACTTGCCCAGGCTGTGATTAAACCAATCCATGATCTTGACCTTCAGCCTTATTTGCATAATGTACCTAAAACCATGGCAAAATTCCACCAACTATTTAAGGTCTGTGGTTCAATAGAGGAGTTGACATCAGATCATATTTCCATGGTTATTCAGAAGATATATCTCAAAAGTGACCAAGATCTCAGTGAACAAGAAAGCAAACAAAATCTTCATCTTATGTTGAATATTATCAGATGGCTGTATAGCAATCAGATTCCAGCAAGCCCCAACACACCAGTTCCTATACATCATAGCAAAAATCCTTCTAAACTTATCATGAAGCCAATTCACGAATGCTGTTATTGTGACATTAAAGTTGATGACCTTAATGACTTACTTGAAGATTCTGTGGAACCAATCATTTTGGTGCATGAGGACATACCCATGAAAACTGCAGAATGGCTAAAAGTTCCATGCCTTAGTACAAGACTGATAAATCCTGAAAACATGGGATTTGAGCAGTCAGGACAAAGAGAGCCACTTACTGTAAGAATTAAAAATATTCTGGAAGAATACCCTTCAGTGTCAGATATTTTTAAAGAACTACTTCAAAACGCTGATGATGCAAATGCAACAGAATGCAGTTTCTTGATTGATATGAGAAGAAATATGGACATAAGAGAGAATCTCCTAGACCCAGGGATGGCAGCTTGTCATGGACCTGCTTTGTGGTCATTCAACAATTCTCAATTCTCAGATTCAGATTTTGTGAACATAACTAGGTTAGGAGAATCTTTAAAAAGGGGAGAAGTTGACAAAGTTGGAAAATTTGGTCTTGGATTTAATTCTGTGTACCATATCACTGACATTCCCATCATTATGAGTCGGGAATTCATGATAATGTTCGATCCAAACATAAATCATATCAGTAAACACATTAAAGACAAATCCAATCCTGGGATCAAAATTAATTGGAGTAAACAACAGAAAAGACTTAGAAAATTTCCTAATCAGTTCAAACCATTTATAGATGTATTTGGCTGTCAGTTACCTTTGACTGTAGAAGCACCTTACAGCTATAATGGAACCCTTTTCCGACTGTCCTTTAGAACTCAACAGGAAGCAAAAGTGAGTGAAGTTAGTAGTACGTGCTACAATACAGCAGATATTTATTCTCTTGTGGATGAATTTAGTCTCTGTGGACACAGGCTTATCATTTTCACTCAGAGTGTAAAGTCAATGTATTTGAAGTACTTGAAAATTGAGGAAACCAACCCCAGTTTAGCACAAGATACAGTAATAATTAAAAAAAAATCCTGCTCTTCCAAAGCATTGAACACACCTGTCTTAAGTGTTTTAAAAGAGGCTGCTAAGCTCATGAAGACTTGCAGCAGCAGTAATAAAAAGCTTCCCAGTGATGAACCAAAGTCATCTTGCATTCTTCAGATCACAGTGGAAGAATTTCACCATGTGTTCAGAAGGATTGCTGATTTACAGTCGCCACTTTTTAGAGGTCCAGATGATGACCCAGCTGCTCTCTTTGAAATGGCTAAGTCTGGCCAATCAAAAAAGCCATCAGATGAGTTGTCACAGAAAACAGTAGAGTGTACCACGTGGCTTCTGTGTACTTGCATGGACACAGGAGAGGCTCTGAAGTTTTCCCTGAGTGAGAGTGGAAGAAGACTAGGACTGGTTCCATGTGGGGCAGTAGGAGTTCAGCTGTCAGAAATCCAGGACCAGAAGTGGACAGTGAAACCACACATTGGAGAGGTGTTTTGCTATTTACCTTTACGAATAAAAACAGGCTTGCCAGTTCATATCAATGGGTGCTTTGCTGTTACATCAAATAGGAAAGAAATCTGGAAAACAGATACAAAAGGACGATGGAATACCACGTTCATGAGACATGTTATTGTGAAAGCTTACTTACAGGTACTGAGTGTCTTACGGGACCTGGCCACTAGTGGGGAGCTAATGGATTATACTTACTATGCAGTATGGCCCGATCCTGATTTAGTTCATGATGATTTTTCTGTAATTTGCCAAGGATTTTATGAAGATATAGCTCATGGAAAAGGGAAAGAACTGACCAAAGTCTTCTCTGATGGATCTACTTGGGTTTCCATGAAGAACGTAAGATTTCTAGATGACTCTATACTTAAAAGAAGAGATGTTGGTTCAGCAGCCTTCAAGATATTTTTGAAATACCTCAAGAAGACTGGGTCCAAAAACCTTTGTGCTGTTGAACTTCCTTCTTCGGTAAAATTAGGATTTGAAGAAGCTGGCTGCAAACAGATACTACTTGAAAACACATTTTCAGAGAAACAGTTTTTTTCTGAAGTGTTTTTTCCAAATATTCAAGAAATTGAAGCAGAACTTAGAGATCCTTTAATGATCTTTGTTCTAAATGAAAAAGTTGATGAGTTCTCGGGAGTTCTTCGTGTTACTCCATGTATTCCTTGTTCCTTGGAGGGGCATCCTTTGGTTTTGCCATCAAGATTGATCCACCCCGAAGGACGAGTTGCAAAGTTATTTGATATTAAAGATGGGAGATTCCCTTATGGTTCTACTCAGGATTATCTCAATCCTATTATTTTGATTAAACTAGTTCAGTTAGGTATGGCAAAAGATGATATTTTATGGGATGATATGCTAGAACGTGCAGTGTCAGTAGCTGAAATTAATAAAAGTGATCATGTTGCTGCATGCCTAAGAAGTAGTATCTTATTGAGTCTTATCGATGAGAAACTAAAAATAAGGGATCCTAGAGCAAAGGATTTTGCTGCAAAATATCAAACAATCCGCTTCCTTCCATTTCTGACAAAACCAGCAGGTTTTTCTTTGGACTGGAAAGGCAACAGTTTTAAGCCTGAAACCATGTTTGCAGCAACTGACCTTTATACAGCTGAACATCAAGATATAGTTTGTCTTTTGCAACCAATTCTAAATGAAAATTCCCATTCTTTTAGAGGTTGTGGTTCAGTGTCATTGGCTGTTAAAGAGTTTTTGGGATTACTCAAGAAGCCAACAGTTGATCTGGTTATAAACCAATTGAAAGAAGTAGCAAAATCAGTTGATGATGGAATTACACTGTACCAGGAGAATATCACCAATGCTTGCTACAAATACCTTCATGAAGCCTTGATGCAAAATGAAATCACTAAGATGTCAATTATTGATAAGTTAAAACCCTTTAGCTTCATTCTAGTTGAGAATGCATATGTTGACTCAGAAAAGGTTTCTTTTCATTTAAATTTTGAGGCGGCACCATACCTTTATCAGTTGCCTAATAAGTATAAAAATAATTTCCGCGAACTTTTTGAAACCGTGGGTGTGAGGCAGTCATGCACTGTTGAAGATTTTGCTCTTGTTTTGGAATCTATTGATCAAGAAAGAGGAACAAAGCAAATAACAGAAGAGAATTTTCAGCTTTGCCGACGAATAATCAGTGAAGGAATATGGAGTCTCATTAGAGAAAAGAAACAAGAATTTTGTGAGAAAAATTATGGCAAGATATTATTGCCAGATACTAATCTTATGCTTCTCCCTGCTAAATCGTTATGCTACAATGATTGCCCTTGGATAAAAGTAAAGGATACCACTGTAAAATATTGTCATGCTGACATACCCAGGGAAGTAGCAGTAAAACTAGGAGCAGTCCCAAAGCGACACAAAGCCTTAGAAAGATATGCATCCAATGTCTGTTTTACAACACTTGGCACAGAATTTGGGCAGAAAGAAAAATTGACCAGCAGAATTAAGAGCATCCTTAATGCATATCCTTCTGAAAAGGAAATGTTGAAAGAGCTTCTTCAAAATGCTGATGATGCAAAGGCGACAGAAATCTGTTTTGTGTTTGATCCTAGACAGCATCCAGTTGATAGAATATTTGATGATAAGTGGGCCCCATTGCAAGGGCCAGCACTTTGTGTGTACAACAACCAGCCATTTACAGAAGATGATGTTAGAGGAATTCAGAATCTTGGAAAAGGCACGAAAGAGGGAAATCCTTATAAAACTGGACAGTATGGAATAGGATTCAATTCTGTGTATCATATCACAGACTGCCCATCTTTTATTTCTGGCAATGACATCCTGTGTATTTTTGATCCTCATGCCAGATATGCACCAGGGGCCACATCCATTAGTCCCGGACGCATGTTTAGAGATTTGGATGCAGATTTTAGGACACAGTTCTCAGATGTTCTGGATCTTTATCTGGGAACCCATTTTAAACTGGATAATTGCACAATGTTCAGATTTCCTCTTCGTAATGCAGAAATGGCAAAAGTTTCGGAAATTTCGTCTGTTCCAGCATCAGACAGAATGGTCCAGAATCTTTTGGACAAACTGCGCTCAGATGGGGCAGAACTTCTAATGTTTCTTAATCACATGGAAAAAATTTCTATTTGTGAAATAGATAAGAGTACTGGAGCTCTAAATGTGCTGTATTCAGTAAAGGGCAAAATCACAGATGGAGACAGATTGAAAAGGAAACAATTTCATGCATCTGTAATTGATAGTGTTACTAAAAAGAGGCAGCTCAAAGACATACCAGTTCAACAAATAACCTATACTATGGATACTGAGGACTCTGAAGGAAATCTTACTACGTGGCTAATTTGTAATAGATCAGGCTTTTCAAGTATGGAGAAAGTATCTAAAAGTGTCATATCAGCTCACAAGAACCAAGATATTACTCTTTTCCCACGTGGTGGAGTAGCTGCCTGCATTACTCACAACTATAAAAAACCCCATAGGGCCTTCTGTTTTTTGCCTCTTTCTTTGGAGACTGGGCTGCCATTTCATGTGAATGGCCACTTTGCACTGGATTCAGCCAGAAGGAACCTGTGGCGTGATGATAATGGAGTTGGTGTTCGAAGTGACTGGAATAACAGTTTAATGACAGCATTAATAGCTCCTGCATATGTTGAATTGCTAATACAGTTAAAAAAACGGTATTTCCCTGGTTCTGATCCAACATTATCAGTGTTACAGAACACCCCTATTCATGTTGTAAAGGACACTTTAAAGAAGTTTTTATCGTTTTTCCCAGTTAACCGTCTTGATCTACAGCCAGATTTATATTGTCTAGTGAAAGCACTTTACAATTGCATTCACGAAGACATGAAACGTCTTTTACCTGTTGTGCGGGCTCCAAATATTGATGGCTCTGACTTGCACTCTGCAGTTATAATTACTTGGATCAATATGTCTACTTCTAATAAAACTAGACCATTTTTTGACAATTTACTACAGGATGAATTACAACACCTTAAAAATGCAGATTATAATATCACCACACGCAAAACAGTAGCAGAGAATGTCTATAGGCTGAAACATCTCCTTTTAGAAATTGGTTTCAACTTGGTTTATAACTGTGATGAAACTGCTAATCTTTACCACTGTCTTATAGATGCAGATATTCCTGTTAGTTATGTGACCCCTGCTGATATCAGATCTTTTTTAATGACATTTTCCTCTCCTGACACTAATTGCCATATTGGGAAGCTGCCTTGTCGTCTGCAGCAGACTAATCTAAAACTTTTTCATAGTTTAAAACTTTTAGTTGATTATTGTTTTAAAGATGCAGAAGAAAATGAGATTGAAGTTGAGGGATTGCCCCTTCTCATCACACTGGACAGTGTTTTGCAAACTTTTGATGCAAAACGACCCAAGTTTCTAACAACATATCATGAATTGATTCCATCCCGCAAAGACTTGTTTATGAATACATTATATTTGAAATATAGTAATATTTTATTGAACTGTAAAGTTGCAAAAGTGTTTGACATTTCCAGCTTTGCTGATTTGTTATCCTCTGTGTTGCCTCGAGAATATAAGACCAAAAGTTGCACAAAGTGGAAAGACAATTTTGCAAGTGAGTCTTGGCTTAAGAATGCATGGCATTTTATTAGTGAATCTGTAAGTGTGAAAGAAGATCAGGAAGAAACAAAACCAACATTTGACATTGTTGTTGATACTCTAAAAGACTGGGCATTGCTTCCAGGAACAAAGTTTACTGTTTCAGCCAACCAGCTTGTGGTTCCTGAAGGAGATGTTCTGCTTCCTCTCAGCCTTATGCACATTGCAGTTTTTCCAAATGCCCAGAGTGATAAAGTTTTTCATGCTCTAATGAAAGCTGGCTGTATTCAGCTTGCTTTGAACAAAATCTGTTCCAAAGACAGTGCATTTGTTCCTTTGTTGTCATGTCACACAGCAAATATAGAGAGCCCCACAAGCATCTTGAAGGCTCTACATTATATGGTCCAAACTTCAACATTTAGAGCAGAAAAATTAGTAGAAAATGATTTTGAGGCACTTTTGATGTATTTCAACTGCAATTTGAATCATTTGATGTCCCAAGATGATATAAAAATTCTAAAGTCACTTCCGTGCTATAAATCCATCAGTGGCCGCTATGTAAGCATTGGAAAATTTGGAACATGCTACGTACTTACAAAAAGTATCCCTTCAGCTGAAGTGGAGAAATGGACACAGTCATCATCATCTGCATTTCTTGAAGAAAAAATACACTTAAAAGAACTATATGAGGTGATTGGTTGTGTACCTGTAGATGATCTTGAGGTATATTTGAAACACCTCTTACCAAAAATTGAAAATCTCTCTTATGATGCAAAATTAGAGCACTTGATCTACCTTAAGAATAGATTATCAAGTGCTGAGGAATTATCAGAGATTAAGGAACAACTTTTTGAAAAACTGGAAAGTTTATTGATAATCCATGATGCTAACAGTAGACTAAAGCAAGCAAAGCATTTCTATGATAGAACTGTGAGAGTTTTTGAAGTTATGCTTCCTGAAAAATTGTTTATTCCTAATGATTTCTTTAAGAAATTGGAACAACTTATAAAACCCAAAAATCATGTTACATTTATGACATCCTGGGTGGAATTCTTAAGAAATATTGGACTAAAATACATACTTTCTCAGCAGCAGTTGTTACAGTTTGCTAAGGAAATCAGTGTGAGGGCTAATACAGAAAACTGGTCCAAAGAAACATTGCAAAATACAGTTGATATCCTTCTGCATCATATATTCCAAGAACGAATGGATTTGTTATCTGGAAATTTTCTGAAAGAACTATCTTTAATACCATTCTTATGTCCTGAGCGGGCCCCCGCGGAATTCATTAGATTTCATCCTCAATATCAAGAGGTAAATGGAACACTTCCTCTTATAAAGTTCAATGGAGCACAGGTAAATCCAAAATTCAAGCAATGTGATGTACTCCAGCTGTTATGGACATCCTGCCCTATTCTTCCAGAGAAAGCTACACCCTTAAGCATTAAAGAACAAGAAGGTAGTGACCTTGGTCCACAAGAACAGCTTGAACAAGTTTTAAATATGCTTAATGTTAACCTGGATCCTCCTCTTGATAAGGTAATCAATAACTGCAGAAACATATGCAACATAACGACGTTGGATGAAGAAATGGTAAAAACTAGAGCAAAAGTCTTAAGGAGCATATATGAATTCCTCAGTGCAGAAAAAAGGGAATTTCGTTTTCAGTTGCGAGGGGTTGCTTTTGTGATGGTAGAAGATGGTTGGAAACTTCTGAAGCCTGAGGAGGTAGTCATAAACCTAGAATATGAATCTGATTTTAAACCTTATTTGTACAAGCTACCTTTAGAACTTGGCACATTTCACCAGTTGTTCAAACACTTAGGTACTGAAGATATTATTTCAACTAAGCAATATGTTGAAGTGTTGAGCCGCATATTTAAAAATTCTGAGGGCAAACAATTAGATCCTAATGAAATGCGTACAGTTAAGAGAGTAGTTTCTGGTCTGTTCAGGAGTCTACAGAATGATTCAGTCAAGGTGAGGAGTGATCTCGAGAATGTACGAGACCTTGCGCTTTACCTCCCAAGCCAGGATGGTAGATTGGTAAAGTCAAGCATCTTAGTGTTTGACGATGCGCCACATTATAAAAGTAGAATCCAGGGGAATATTGGTGTGCAAATGTTAGTTGATCTCAGCCAGTGCTACTTAGGGAAAGACCATGGATTTCACACTAAGTTGATAATGCTCTTTCCTCAAAAACTTAGACCTCGATTATTGAGCAGTATACTTGAAGAACAATTAGATGAAGAGACTCCCAAAGTTTGTCAGTTTGGAGCGTTGTGTTCTCTTCAAGGAAGATTGCAGTTACTCTTGTCTTCTGAACAGTTCATTACAGGACTGATTAGAATTATGAAGCATGAAAATGATAATGCTTTTCTGGCCAATGAAGAAAAAGCCATAAGACTTTGCAAAGCCCTAAGAGAAGGATTGAAAGTATCCTGCTTTGAAAAGCTTCAAACAACATTAAGAGTTAAAGGTTTTAATCCTATTCCCCACAGCAGAAGTGAAACTTTTGCTTTTTTGAAGCGATTTGGTAATGCAGTCATCTTGCTCTACATTCAACATTCAGACAGTAAAGACATTAATTTCCTGTTAGCATTGGCAATGACTCTTAAATCAGCAACTGACAATTTGATTTCTGACACTTCATATTTAATTGCTATGCTAGGATGCAATGATATTTACAGGATTGGTGAGAAACTTGACAGTTTAGGAGTGAAATATGACTCTTCGGAGCCATCAAAACTGGAACTTCCAATGCCTGGCACACCAATTCCTGCTGAAATTCATTACACTCTGCTTATGGACCCAATGAATGTTTTTTACCCGGGAGAATATGTTGGGTACCTTGTTGATGCTGAAGGTGGTGATATCTATGGATCATACCAGCCAACATACACATATGCAATTATTGTACAAGAAGTTGAAAGAGAAGATGCTGACAATTCTAGTTTTCTAGGAAAGATATATCAGATAGATATTGGTTATAGTGAATATAAAATAGTTAGCTCTCTTGATCTGTATAAGTTTTCAAGACCTGAGGAAAGCTCTCAAAGCAGGGACAGTGCTCCTTCTACACCAACCAGCCCCACTGAGTTCCTCACCCCTGGCCTGAGAAGCATTCCTCCTCTTTTCTCTGGTAGAGAGAGCCACAAGACTTCTTCCAAACATCAGTCCCCCAAAAAGCTTAAGGTTAATTCTTTACCAGAAATCTTAAAAGAAGTGACATCTGTGGTGGAGCAAGCATGGAAGCTTCCAGAATCGGAACGAAAAAAGATTATTAGGCGGTTGTATTTGAAATGGCATCCTGACAAAAATCCAGAGAACCATGACATTGCCAATGAAGTTTTTAAACATTTGCAGAATGAAATCAACAGATTAGAAAAACAGGCTTTTCTAGATCAAAATGCAGACAGGGCCTCCAGACGAACATTTTCAACCTCAGCATCCCGATTTCAGTCAGACAAATACTCATTTCAGAGATTCTATACTTCATGGAATCAAGAAGCAACGAGCCATAAATCTGAAAGACAGCAACAGAACAAAGAAAAATGCCCCCCTTCAGCCGGACAGACTTACTCTCAAAGGTTCTTTGTTCCTCCCACTTTCAAGTCGGTTGGCAATCCAGTGGAAGCACGCAGATGGCTAAGACAAGCCAGAGCAAACTTCTCAGCTGCCAGGAATGACCTTCATAAAAATGCCAATGAGTGGGTGTGCTTTAAATGTTACCTTTCTACCAAGTTAGCTTTGATTGCAGCTGACTATGCTGTGAGGGGAAAGTCTGATAAAGATGTAAAACCAACTGCACTTGCTCAGAAAATAGAGGAATATAGTCAGCAACTTGAAGGACTGACAAATGATGTTCACACATTGGAAGCTTATGGTGTAGACAGTTTAAAAACAAGATACCCTGATTTGCTTCCCTTTCCTCAGATCCCAAATGACAGGTTCACTTCTGAGGTTGCTATGAGGGTGATGGAATGTACTGCCTGTATCATAATAAAACTTGAAAATTTTATGCAACAAAAAGTGTGAAGATATTTAACGAAAAAAAAGGTAGATCTTGAATGTGTTGTAGCACGAATAAATTGCTGTACTTCATTAAGCTTCATTGCCAATTAGCTAGGAATTGTTAAGCACATTGCAGATTGTTCTTGGAGAATTCTGGAGTTGTTATGAACATGAATACCAACGGAAAACCTTAACTGAATCTAAAAGAAAACTATTTTGAAGATGGTGGTGAGCTGCAAAATAGCTGGATGGATTTGAATGATTGGGATGATACATCATTGAACTGCACTTTATATAACCAAAGCTTAGCAGTTTGTTAGATAAGAGTCTATGTATGTCTCTGGTTAGGATGAAGTTAATTTTATGTTTTTAACATGGTATTTTTGAAGGAGCTAATGAAACACTGGACATATAATTGGTTTAAACATAAGGGGAATTAAGTCTTTGTAGTCTGTCATTTTTTTAAGTGGATCCTCTTGGATGCGTTATTTTCTCATCAGCTGGCTCTGATCATGAATTTGTTGTAATTTTATGTTGTACTCAGTGCATTTAAGAAATGGTAGAGTATTTTAATCCTATTACTTGACTAAGAGTGTGAAGGTAGTACTTTTTAGAGTGCACTGAGTGCACTTTACATCTTTATTTAAATTTTTTTTTAACATCTTATGTTTACAGGCTTCCTGTTTGATGAAGATAGCAACGGAAAACTCAAAATGGTGGCAGTTCTTATTACCAGTTGTTAGTATTGTTTCTGGAAACTGCTTGCCAAGACAACATTTATTAACTGTTAGAACACTTGCTTTATGTTTGTGTGTACATATTTTCCACAAATGTTATAATTTATATAGTGTGGTTGAACAGGATGCAATCTTTTGTTGTCTAAAGGTGCTGCAGTTAAAAAAAAAACAACCTTTTCTTTCAATATGGCATGTAGTGGAGTTTTTTTAACTTTAAAAACATCAAAAATTGTTAAAATCATTGTGTTATCTAGTAGTTTATAATTATCGGCTTATATTTCCCCATGAATGATCAGAACTGACATTTAATTCATGTTTGTCTCGCCATGCTTCTTTACTTTAACATATTTCTTTTGCAGAATGTAAAAGGTAATGATAATTAGTTTATATAAGTGTACTGGCTGTAAATGATGCTAAATATACTTTATGCAATTAAGGGCTTACAGAACATGTTGAAACTTTTTTTACTTTTATTGGGAATAAGGAATGTTTGCACCTCCACATTTTATTGCTTCTGGATGTGAAATCATGTAATTATTTCTGCTGTTATATAAAGTGCCATACTTTTAATAAAGGAAAATGTACATATGAAATCATCGTAATGGGTGTTTCCTGAGAAATAGTTCATTGGAAATCAAACTTAACATCTTAATATTAAGTTTTAATGTGTGTGTATGTGTGTATTTATTGGAAATATTAGGAAAATATTTTCCTGTATATTTTCATGCTGGAATTATAGATTTTTAGGATTAATAGAATATGAAGTGCTTGTTATATACTAGGTTTAGGTGCTCATTGATTTAGTTGAGTTTATGTCACCTTTTTAGGGAATCAGATTAGCTGATATATGTGGTATATATGTGTTTGGAAACAGATACATTAAATATTTTTTTCCTCTAGGTAGAGCTGAATTGATATTTCCATTGCCTCAGGGACAGCTGCATGTCTGGGACTAATTCACACTTTATTACTGACAGATAGGAGTTCTTCATCTTTATAGTTGAGGCACAAGTCTTCAGAGTTAGGCAGATGAGGGCTAAGAGTGCTCTCTGTTCTGGAGCTACCTGAATTCTGTGCCTTCAGCTTTATTTAAAGTACTTGCTACTTCGAAGCTTCAATTCAGCATTTAGATTTTATTGCTTTTGAATATTAAAATTTACACAGAAAACCTCATTTGGCCTTGATAGTTGATCTAGTTGGAGTTTTGTGTTTTTCCAGGCAAAAAAAAACCCCTCATAATTTGATTTTAGAAAGTTAATACAATTATATATAACTTTTTAATGAAGTGCTCCCACCAGGGACAGGCTGTACCTGTAATCAAACGCATTAGTATTTCTGCAGTTAAGGCTATGAGGGTTCACAGTAAATTGAATACACAGACCTGATCAATAGCCTTATGTAATTTGAATCAGCTTTTGCCACCAATAGTTTACAGCAGACTTATTTGAAAATTTTCACTTTTTCAAGCTTTTTAGATACTGAAATTGAGGATAAGGAATTTTGGACCTGAACTATTTTGTTATTTTACGCTTCCTCCACCCTCTTCCATAGTTTGCTTCTTTTAAAAAGAGAAAGGAAGCTGTCTACTGCTGTGTGGATCAGCTGCTCCTGAGTAGCATGCAGTCTAGGAAAGGGATGGAGCAGCTTCTGCACTCGTGAACAGGGTCTTTGCTGCAGAGGCTCCAGGGACAGGGACAGGGCATCCCCAGAGGGATGGCTCGATTGTTCATAGTCTCCGGGAGGAAACAAGTGAAAAACTTGCACCATACAATTCGTTAACGGAGCAGGGAGTGCCGAGAGCCCAAAAATGATTTGGGAAAAATCTTAAAATAGTATTTAACAGAATGAAGAGGAGTTGTTCACAGGTCTGAGTTGTTCACAGGTCTGATTTTGGGATGAGTAGGATTTATTTCTTTCATTGGTGCCAGTTGACATTTTTGGTAGTTTAAATGTTTTGTAGATCTCAAGGATGACATTTATATAGTGCTGGTAGAAAATAGCATATAGAAGCATATTTGAAGTGGAATTTACTATGTGAAGAAGACTGCTAAAGCCAAGTAAGAGGCGATGTTTCAAATCGAAGGGGACACAAAGCTGCATCAGCAGACACAATCTGAAAACCATCGTGCACAAAATTCTGCTCGTTCAGAAGAGCTTCTACCCTCATTCCCTGTTTCCCATAGGAGCACAGACTGAAGTTTTTGGATGACCTAGTGGGGGTTGGCGGGGGGAACCCAACACACATGGCTTGACTCTTCTAATGTGAATTTGACTGCTTTCAGAGAAGGCATCTGTCCATCCTCCTCATGTAGCAGTTATAGAAGTTGGGAGCCTTTAGTTCTGCCTGTGACCAGAGTGGTTTGTGTTTTATTCAGCTGTGAAGTTATTAGGAAGTCCATTTTGCTGCAAACCAGCTATCTTTATCATTATTTTTTATTTTATTTATTTATTTTTTTGAGATGGAGTCTCACTCTGTTGCCCAGGCTGGAGTGCAGTGGCACAATCTCAGCTCATTGCAACCTCCACCTCCTGGGTTCAAGCAAATCTCCTGCCTCAGCCTCCTGAGTAGCTGGGACTACAGGCACCCGCCACCACGCCCAGCTAATTTTTTGTATTTTTAATAGAGATGGGGTTTCACCGTGTTAGCCAGGATGGTCTCGATCTGCTGAGCTCGTGATCTGCCTGCCTCGGCCTGCCAAAGTGCTGGGATTACAGGCGTGAGCCACCGCACCTGGACCACTATCTTTATTATTAAAGCATAATAGTAGTAGATTTTGATCTTCATCTTTTTGACTGTATCTACTTGTCAGTTCATAAACTGGGAAATAAATGAGTGCTATTTTTAGATCCCTAATGTAGCAACACTCAATAGTCTATAGGAGTATCAGTCTATATACCCCGTGATGTACGTTTATAACCATGACTGTATGCCTTCAATGAAAATTTATATGTTTAATAAGACAGATATATGTAATGCATTTTAGAATACAGCTCATCTAAAAGCTTTGATTCTAATGAAGGATAAATTCCTTATTGTGGAGAATGCATTTATCTGTAACAACTTCTTTCAACATTATTCCATATAGCTAAGGATAAAAAAATAGAATTTAAACCTTTTATTCAAAAGGTTCTGTTCTCCACACTTTCTACTTGACTATTTTTATTTACCTCACTTTATCATCTACACACAAATTTTTGGACACATAATATGAGAACCAAGCTAGTTTATAAATGTTTAGTGATCTAGTGATCCCGTGTTTTATCAGCTGGGCTTGAAGACATATTTCGCACAAACAGGGAACAAAATACCAGGAACCATTTACTATGACAATAGGAATGTCACAGTAAGAAAGCAGTTTACTCAGGACTCAACCAAATGGAAAAAGGTAAATATCAATTTATAAGTAAAAGCACCCAACTGCCTGTGAAATGTGAATTACACTGAGTTGAGTTTGCTCTTAACTGCTTGGAAAGCACTGTATTTTTATTTTGCAATTTCAAGTGTTTATGCATTCTGGCCATTTAAACATCAGGGAGTTGTTATGAGCAGGCTATGCTGTTAAATGAACATCTTACTAAGCATTAGGAATAGAGTTCACTTTTGTACTTTCTCTTGATTCTGAGACTATGGAAAATGAATTTGAACTTATATTGATAGTTATTAATATGTCATATCATTAGAAAGTTGCAGTGCTGTTGGTCTCCCTACACCTATTTGAAGATTCTTCTTATAATAAGTAAAACAAAAACAAATGCACCACTTTTTGTGATAGAGGGCATTTTACAAAGTGAGTGGGTGGCCTACACAAAACGAACCTGTCTTCAGAGGTTCAGTGTGTCCTATTTGATTTCTATAGCACCTTACACAGCCAATTGGCACTAAACATGTTCACAAGCTCTGAGTGTCTTGTTTCTATGAAGTTACGTCCAGACTTGTGTCTATCATGTGGAGGCAAGTACCACAGACTAGCCCTTTGATCTTGGTAGAGACAAAACCTCTTTGGGCTTCAGTTTCTTTGTTTGTCAAATAAGTGCTGTACAATTATCACATAGACGGGTGTTTTGGAGACAGCACATGAAACTTTTTCAAAGTGAAAAGAGCTATGTAAATTTAGGGTTACATTTTGGTTTAATTTCAGTAGTTACCATGTGACCTTGTGACTTGTTCTACCTGAGCCTTTGTCACCAGTAACTTGGGGAAAAATAATAGCTACCTCAAAGATTTGTGAGGATTAAAAAAGACACTCTTAAACTGTGAACTCTGAAAAATGAGGTTTTTATTGCTTATTGACTATATACAGAAAGTTTAATTTTGAGTGATTTATTCCTTTAACTACATCTTGAAAACCAGATCAACCTCAAATTCCCTTCAAAACTTGAAAATTTTCTTGTGAAACCTGACTTACTTGCATTAAACTGAAGGGAGGATGTGAGGTTTGAATGCTATAAAGGAAATGCTGTATAGAACTTTGGGGCATTTTAGTACTGAGCAAGGCTACTCTCAACAGGGCATTAGATATCCACAGTGGAGCGTCATACATTAACTCCACACGGCAACTCAACACTCAGTGTGTGCCCACACGGACAAGATAGGGGGAGGCGAGGCAGAGAGAATTCGCAATTGTTCCGGTGAAAATTAATCCAGTGGAAAAACACATTGCTTTTCCATTTTGTCAACTTTTGTGTCTCACATCCACGTGCATTTTGAGATCATGTAGTTTTTGTCCAAACACTTTCACTGGCACATAATTTTTTCTGAGTTCCTCTGGAAGCGTTTACTTCCCATCCACGCTGCCTCAGTCTTTCACGATGTGCAGCTGCTCCCTGGGTGTGAGGATCTGGGGCCGGCACTGCACAGCTCACCGAGAGGACGCAGGCAGCTCAGAGGCAGATGTGGTTGTGCTCCTGGCACGTGGTGCTCACACCGGCCACAGACAGGTACAGCTTCCCATCTGGACACACACAGATTTCGTAGAGGCTCTGTGAGCTGCCAGAGGGACCCCACGTCCCCTGCACCAGCTTGGGTAAGCACACAGTTTCAGCATCAAGCACAAGCTGGTTGGGAGAAGATGAGAGACGAAGAGTTAAGGAAGGGCCACCCTGGTCAGCAGCAAATCCCCATTCTCACAAGATTTCCAATTAGTTTCTTCTCCTCATAGAAAACAAAATAGGCACCTGACTTTATGTAACTCATTTCGTAATTATCCGATTCTTTTAAAGCCCAGTTCTATTTTACATGCAGGCTGGGACTTCACAATTCCTTCCACATTGGAGGGAGGCGCTTTTCCGGTTTGTCATTGTTTGAGTGCAGCTGAGAAATGTGGCCCCATTGTGAAAACATGTTTCACCTTTACAGTTTGTTTTTGTTTCAATAAACTGGGTTGCTTTTCAGTTTTGTGATGCTATGCTTCTCAAAACGCCTTTCAGAATTATTTGTCAAACATATTAGAATTCTCCCGATTCACATTTATCTTGTGACTCACTTTGACTTTATGTAAATCCTCTCCTCCCCATTAGGATAAAGTACAATCCATTAGAATAGATTCATCTTAATAATTTTTACCCATGAATGATGAAGTTTATCCTGATTTTATTCCTGATTTTGTTTTCCTATGAGAGGCAATTAAATTCATCCTATTAGCTGGCAACCATTTCCCTAATTTTTATATATTATTTGAAACTGCACAGCCTCCTATTAGATGCTGAAAAGCAGTAGACACGCAGACTAAGCCAATTAAAATGAAATGAAAACTACTGGATATTCTGGTCATATGATAATTTAGTTAAACTGAAGTGCAAACAAAGAGCCGTAGATTGAGGCTTGGAAATCTTTTTGATAAGGAAATAAAAATCGTCACATCCAGCAGCCAAACGTTGCCCACTCCAGGGCACTCACTTGTTACAAGGAATTAAACTGAATGTGGGTAGGCATAATTCTGTCCTTGCCAAGGAGAGCTCCTTCCTTTATGTTATGTGGCTCTTATCCTTGCCTTCCAATCTATTAACAACCTGCTGTCTGCTGCACGCATTCGCCGGTGTGCACCTGCCAGGTGAGGCTTGATCACACGACCCCACAGCATTGCAGGCAGCTCTGTGCCGTGCATGGTCTGGTGCAGTCACGGTCAAAGAAGTCAAATAGCTGTTAATATGTTTTTCAAGTAGAATCTTTAGGTTATTATCTAACGCCTCATTCTTGATTTTTATTTCTGCATTTCTCTGCTCCTGACATCACAACTTCATAGGTTATGACCTGCAGTGGCTTCCCCTGAAGACCTGTGTTCCACTAGCAGGCTGTCATCTGATGGGTCCTGCCCACACACTCTGGTGCTGTTCTCGCAGCTGGCTTGATGATGGCACCATATCCACCTACACCTTTACTACACGTTCCTATTAATATCACAGTAATGTAGTTTCAAAATGTTGGCACCCATATTCCTACAGTAGTGTCTCAAAACCCTATGACATAATTAAGCAAATATTATATTCCCTATTTGCTGAGACAGGCCTAGAGAGGGCCGGATAAGAGTCCTGAATTCAAACAGGTAATGAGGGAATTTGATCTAGCACTAGGACTCAGGCTTCCTGACTTCCAGGTGAATCCTCTGCCCGCGGCACCACGTTACACCTGTTGGCGGGGGGGGGGGGGGGGGGAGGTGGATGGGTGGGGGGCGGTCTGTGCATCGCCGCAGGTGCGATGATAGGGCCTGGGCTGGGGAGGAGCTTGGAAACCCATGTGCCTTCTTGTTGTACTAACAGCGTCCATGGATGTTTATCCCAGCACATTCACCCGGTGTATGGAGATGCACCTGACTGCAATAACTCAGGCAATCCCTGAGAATGACTCTATGATCCAAGAAGAATGTGTGTTCAGCCTTCTGAGCTAAGGAGTCTGGGAGTGGCAAACCCTGAGATTCAGTCCACATCTGTGAAGGACATCGGAGCGCCTGGCCCATCCCTTGCAACACAGGCCATATGGGGGATCGAGGCCCTTTGTTTTGGGTTAAATGGAAGTTGTTGCTAAGTGAAAATGCTGTATAACCTGCATGCTTTTTAAAAATGGGAGCAGTTTTCCAGTCCAGCTCGCTGCTACTGGACCGCCCTGTCTGTTAAGTCCTCAATAAACCCTATGTCCTGTTCCATGGCTCTGGGTCTCTTCTTCAGCCTTTTGGACGTGGTGCCATCCCTATTGGATTCCACAGGGTCTGTCAGGCAATGGTGGCATGAGTGAACACAACCCATGTCACTCACTGCACTCACTCTTGGTAAGACAGAGCTATGTACAAGACAATTCTTGCAGCAGTGGCTTATTTTGAGCACATTCATACATATGAAAATATCTGGGGTTAGGCCAAGAAGATGAGATCAGTTGTTTGCACAAATCTATAAATATGGCATCATACAATTGGAATGAGCTTATAAACCAAATCCTTGGTTTTCTTCTAGACCATTTAGGAACATCCCTAACATGTCTGATTTTCTGGTTGACCGAAATTGAGCTTTTTCCTTTTTTTTTTTCTAACAAACAGGGTTCCAATATCAGTATTGAGCACTGTGTGCTGTAAGCCTCATTGTGACTTTGGCTTGTGTCAGTGAGGTTTTAGCAGCTCCTCCCCTGCTGCCTGCTGTTTCACTTTCTTTGGTTTTAGTTTTGATTTTAGTTATCTGCTGTCAACTTTGGTCTGGATAATATTAAATGGAAAATTCCAGAAATAATTTATACATTTTAAATGGCACCCCTTTCTGACTAGCGTGATGGAATCTTGAGCCGTCCAGCCCAGGACATGAATCATCCCTGTGTCCAGCATCTCCAGCTGTCTACGCTCCCAGCCCGTGAGTCACTGAGGAGCCATCTCCACGGTGAGATCCACTGTTAAGTTATTGTGGTACTTGTGTTCAAGTCACCGTTAATTTTAATTAATAATGGCTCCAAAGCACAAGAGCATTGATGCTAGCATATTGTCATAATCACTTCATTTTATTGTGAGTTATTGTTCTTAATCTCTCACTGAGCCTTATTTATAAGTTAAACTTTAGCAGAGGTGTGTATGCACAGGAAAACAGATAGTGTATACAGGGTTCTGTACTCTCTGTGGTTTTAGGCTTCCAGTAGGGGTCTTGGAACAAATCCCCTGTCAATAAAGGGGGACAACTGTATTTCTAGACTTGAAGTCCCAGATTTTATCTTTATTGTAGTTGACTTTGAAAAAAACACTCTTATTTTTCATCTTTCATTTTCATTTAAACTGGAAATGCAGCTTAAACGCAGCACTCTGGGCAGTGAAAGGTGACAGTGGTTGTTAGTGGGTGACTCCTAGTGACAGCCATCCCTAGGAAATGGCAAAATGGACATTCTCTGTAAACTGTGAACGTCTGTAGTGTTTTTTTTTTCCGACTTGAAAATAACAAGTCACTAAATCACTTGATAGCATAAATGCCAGTTAAAGAAAGCTGTCTGGATCTAATACAGAATAATTTTAGACTTTCTTGGCCCTTCTTTCAATGCTAAATTGTCTTTTGCTTTCCTTGTACATTTGCTACTCTATGACCTTCACAATGTTTTCCTACAAACTACTAGAAATTTAATACTGATAGCTTTACAGACATGGTACTCAGGAATATCATCAGGACATACAGTAGGAGGCTGATCTGTGAATGAACTCACCATTCCATCACTACTATGAAAAAGAATATCCATTTGAGAAAGCGCCTCAATTTTCCCAGCGTGAGCTTGAATATGCACACCCCTTGGGGCATCCATGCTTAGACTCCGAGTGGGGGATTCTAATCTGAGATGAGGAAAAGAAGCACAAAAAAAAAAAAAAAAAGTATTAAAAATAGCCACTCCAGCAATCCCTCAACTTAGCATGGGAAATATAACTAGTAAGATATGTAAGTCTTCAAGTCATTCTCAAATGGTAACATATTGTGCATTATTCATTGATAAATCTAGAAATAATGTGAAGTAAGATATAAACTTTGTATCAATGAAAGCCTATGAGATTAGTATCCTCTAAAAGCCGATAAAAACATTAGGCAGTCCTAATCCCATGCAGCAGTTTCCGATGGCATAGTTAAGTACTCTGGCATACTATTTCAGAAGAAAATGCCATTTATGAATTACTATACAAAATTATTTTCGTTATGTTGCCCAGGCTAGAGTGCAGTGGCTCTTCACAGTTGTGATCGTGGCACACTGCAAAATCGAACTCCCGGCTCAAGAGGTCCTCCTGGCTTGGCCTCTCAACCAGCTGTGGCAGGCTTGTTTTTTAGTTAAAACACCAATTTATTTAAGAAAAAAAGATAGATTTAAGGACAACACATGCATTTTCCACATGTTCATAAGACAGAATATAAGTTTGGTCTTTTCTTTATTATTATTTAAAAACATTACAGGGCAAATGGAAAGATTTCTTTTGGAAAAAATACTAAACTGATAGAACCGAAAGGAGGGAGGTTGGCCTCAGCTGGCTTTTGGTTTTGTAAAATTTATCAGACTTTCCTTGTGGTTAAGCCAAATATAGAAAGAGAACCAAAAATATAAGAGCCAGAGGAATTCTCTTACTTGCCTCTGCCTGGAAAAGGCTGTATTTCCACCAGATGGCACAATGTGATCATTTGAAACACTTTTCAGCTGCTCAGCCCCAAAGTTTGAAATGCTGATTTCAAGGAAACGCTTAAAGGGCAGTAGGAAGCAGAACAAACAGAAAAAGATACCTAATTCGGAAATCCTACCCATTGTAGGCTAGGGTTTCATGGGAGGAGAGGGGCAGGGAGCAGAGAGAAAGGGAAGTGGCTTAAGAGAGAAGTACCCTGATAATGAATCTGCACTTAAATTGACTGAACATTTATTTAACAGACTTTTTACATCTGATGAAATTGCTCCCTTGAATTGGCAAGTTTTTTTTAATCTATGACTATTTGTTATAGAAGACAAAGTTTCATTTTCTGAGCATGTGAAGTTTGACCTGCCCCACATTTTGAAGTCTTACCTTGAGTATGAGAAAACGCTTAGAGACATTTATGGAATTTATTGGTCAAGTTAGGCTGGGGAACACTTTGGTACAGCTCCATGTGCATGGTCTGGCTGCCTGCCCAGTTTGCTTTTTGTCTTTTTTTTTTTTTTGAGACGGAGTCTTGCTCTGTCACCCAGGCTAGAGAATACAGTGGTGTGGTCTTGGCTCACTGCAACCACAACCTCCTGGCTTCAGGCGATTCTCCTGCCTCAGCCTCCCAAGTACCTAGGTTTACAGGCACCCGCCACCGTGTCCAGCTAATTTTTGTATTTTTAGTAGAGACGGGATTTCACCATCTTGGCCAGGCTGGTCTCGAACTCCTGACCTCGGGATCCACCCGCCTTGGCCTCCCAAAGTGCTGGGATTACAGGCGTGAGCCACCACGCCTGGCCCCAGTTTGCTATTTTGACCTTGGATAATTGTCTACATTTTTCTTGCGTGGAGGAGTGGAAGGAAGGAAGAACACAGAAGCACCTTTGAAGCCTGGTCAATTTCAGGCAAACTATCTGTGACCTTGAAGATCCTTGTGAAAGTGGGTGTTTCCAAGATCAGTCATTAAACGACAACAAAATGACTTCAACCTGATCATTTACTAGTTTTTAACCATGTTATAATGGGACGCTGCTAAGAAGAGCAAACTTCTTACCCTTTGCATTATTTCTAGACTTGGAGATGAGAAATTTCAGTTCAACCCAGATTGAGACACATTTTACCAAAAGGCTGAGATAAGATTGCTCTGAAGTATACATTTCCATTAACACATTGAACAGTACTCAGATACAAAATAACTTGTTTTCTGTCTTTGTTATATTTTAGTTTACCCTCTTTTCTGAATAGGTAAATACATAAATATTATGACTTCAATGAAAAGTAAAAGAGTTTTGAACAGTGTCACAGAAATATATCCAAATGCTTATGTGTGTGTGTAATATTAAATATATATTATATATAAATATGTATATTTCTATATTAAATATTTAGGTCCCATCATGGCAGTTTTCTTCTTAGGACATAAGACACTGGACATAAGGCACTAACTTTGCTTTCAGAATTTGATTCACTCTCTTCTCATTAGTTCAATTAAAGATGTATACAAAAGACTTGGAAGTTGACTTTGAGAGATCTCACAGTTGATTGGTGTATTAGTCAGGGTTCCCTAGAGGGACATAACTAGTAGGATATAACTAGTAGGACATAACTAGTAGTTATAGTAGGACATAACTAGTAGGAAGGGGAGTTTATTAAGTATTAACTTACATGATCACAAGGTCCCACAATAGGCTGTCTGAAAGCTTAAGGAGCAAAGAGAGCCAGTCCGAGTCTCAAAACTGAAGAACTTGGAGTCCAATGTTCGAGGGCAGGAAGCATCCAGCATGACAAAAAGATGTAGGCTGGGAGCCTTTTCACATTTTTCTGCCTGCATTATATTTGCTGGCCACTGATTAGATGGTGCCCACCCAATTAAGGGTGGGTCTGCCTTCCCCAGCCCACTAACTCCAATGATAATCTCCTTTGGCAACACCCTCACAGACACACCCAGGACCAATACTTTGTATCTTTTAATCCAATCGAGTTGACACTCAGTATTAACCATCACAAGTCCACCCCTTGAACCCATACACATCTCCTGAGATCACACATAATCTTCAAATAAAGATAATAAGGTCATAATTACACCCAACATAATACAACTATCCTTCCTACAACTGGAAACGCACCAATCCCCAACCCAAATACTATTACATAAGTTAACAATACTTAAATGCTGCTATGAAGTCAATAAATCTTATGTAAAATGATAAAGGAAAAGAAAATAAAGATATTTTCTTAGTACAAGTGTATACATGCACAAGTATGTTTTCAGCAAAAAAAAGGAGAAAATACTCATAATTACAGTCCCCGTTTCTGAAGCTGGTCACGTGTTCGTAGCTGGTATTGATGACTACCTTCTTCAACTACCCATTCTGTATTCCCTTTGCCTTCAGCAAGCACCTCAGCAGGTCATGGCTTTTTTCCTGGTGGAGTGAGCCAAACCTTCATTCCTGAGAGGTCTGGGCCGTTTGTAGCCCTGCCTGGATTGGGCTGTTGTAGTTTCCCATTGACCTTAATCACAGGGCATGGTAATACTAAGAGATGCCCTAATGGATCTCCTGTATTCCATGCATATTCTTCCTTACCTCTGTGGTGTAGTAGACTGATTTCATCTTTTTTTTTTGAGACGGAGTCTCACTCTGTTGCCCAGGCTGCAGTGCAGTGGTGTGGTCTCGGCTCACTACAAGCTCTGCCTCCTGGGTTCACGCCATTCTCCTGCCTCAGCCTCCCAAGTAGCTAGGACTATAGGTGCCTACCACCATGCCCGGCTAATCTTGGTAGAGACAGCTTTCACTGTGTTAGCCAGGATGGTCTCAATCTCCTGACCTCATGATCTGCCCACCTTGGCCTCCCAAAGTGCTGGGATTACAGGCATGAGCCACCGCGCCCGGCCAAATGATTTCATCTTGATAGTCTGGGTCAATCACCCCAGCCAACATTGGAACTCCCTTCTTAGCCTGTTGACTTAAACATAGGAGGAGCCCAAAGTGTCCAGGTGGCAATCTTAACTTTCAATTTAATGGAATCATTGTTGTGTCTCCTGGTGGCAGCAGTCCTCCCTCTGGAACTAAGATCTCTAGGCCAGCAGAACGTAATGTCGCAGGAACAGGAAGCAAAAATTTTGCTAGTGGATCACTGGGGTGATGGCGAGTGGTGCCACTTCCACTTCCACCCCTTGATTCCTGGACCCATGAGTCCTGGCTATGGGAGAAACAGTACCACATATTGGACGCTGATTCAGAGCATACACGGCCTTCTGGAGAACTCTGCCCCAGCCCTGCAAAGTATTGTCACCTAGTTGGCACTGTAATTGTGACTTTAAAAGAACATTCCACCGTTCTATCAATCTAGCTGCTTCAGGATGATGGGGAACATGGTAAGACCAGTGAATTCCATGAGCATGAGCCCACTGCTGCACTTCTTTAGCCATAAAGGGAGTGCCTTGATCAGAGGCAATGCTGTGTGGAATACCATGATGGTGGATAAGGCATTCCATGAGTCTACAGATAGTAGTCTTGGCAGAAACATTGCATGCAGGATAGGCAAACCCATATCCAGACTGTCTATTCCAGTGAGGACAAACCTCTGCCCTTCCCATGATGGAAGAGGTCCAATATAATCCAACTGCCACCAGGTAGCTGGCTTATCACCCCAAGGATGGTGCCATATCAAGGGCTCAGTGTTGGTCTCTGCTACTGGCAAACTGGGTACTCAGCAGTGGCTGTAGCCAGAATAGCCTTGGTGAGCGGAAGTCCATGTTGCTGAGCCAATGCGTAACCTCCATCCCTGCCACCATGGCCACTTTGTTCATGGGACTATTGGACAATGACAGGGGTGACTGGGGAAAGAGACTGAGTAGTGTCCTCAGAACGGGTCATCCTATCCACTTGATTATTAAAATCCTTCTCTGCTGAGGTCACCAGTTGGTGAGCACTCACATGGGATACAAATATCTTCACATTTTTTGACCACTCAGAGAGGTCCATCCACATATCTCTTCCCCAAATTTCTTTGTCACCAATTTTCCAATCATGCTTCTTCCAAGTCCCTGACCATCCAGCCAAACCATTGGCTACAGCCCATGAATCAGTATATAATTGCATATCTGGCCATTTCTCCTTCCATGCGAAGTGCACAATCAGGTGCACTACTCAAAGTTCTGCCCACTGGGAAGATTCCCCTTCACTGCTGTCCTTCAGGGATGTCCTAGAAAGGGGCTGTAGTGCTGCAGCTGTCCACTTTTGGGTGGTGCCTGCATATCATACAGAACCATCTGTGAACCAGGCCCTAGTCTTCTCTTCCTCTCTCAACTGATCATAGGGAACTCCCCATGAGGCCATTGGTGCAGGCTGGGGAAGAGAAGGCAGGGTGGCAGAAGGGGAGACCATGGGCATTTGAGCCATTTCCTCATGTAACTTACATGTGCCTTCAGGACCTGCTCGAGCACGATCGCATATATACCACATCCATTTGATGATGGAATGCTGTTGTGCACGACCCACTTTATGGCTAGATGGGTCAAAAGGCACCCACCCAGTTTACGATAGGCAGTTCAGGTCACATGGTGACTTGATGACCCACAGTCAAACTTCCAGTTTCCACCAAAGCCCAGTAACAGGCCAAGAGTTGTCTCTCAAAAGGACAGTAGTTATCTTCAGAAGATGGCAGGGCCTTGCTCCAAAATCCTAGAGGCCTCCACTGTGATTCACCTGTAAGGGCCTGCCAAAGGCTGTAAACAGCGTCCCTATCTGCCACTGACACCTCAAGCACCATTGGATCTGCTGAGTCATATGGCCCAAGCGGCAGAGCAGCTTTCACAGCAGCCTGGACCTGTGGCAGAGCATTCTCGTGTTCTGGACCTCACTAAAAACTGGCAGCCTTTTGGGTCACTCGATAAATGGGCCGAAGTAACACACCCAAATGAGGAATGTGTTGCCTCCAAAATCCAAATAGGCCCACTAGGCATTGTGCCGTTTTCTTGGTTGCAGGTGGGGCCAAATGCAGCAACTTATCCTTCACCTTAGAAGGAGTATCTTGACAGGCCCCACACCACAGGACCCCTAAAAATTTTACTGAGGTAGAAGGTCCCTGAATTTTAGTTGGATGTATTTCCCATCCTCTGGCACACAAATATCTCACCAATAAGTCCAGTGTGTTTGCCACTTCTTGCTCACTGGATCCAATCAGCATAATGTCATCAATGTAATGGACCAGTGTGATATCTTGTGGGAGCGAAAAGTGATCAAGAACTCCACCCTTAATATTCTGTTCCTTTAGAACCACTCCTGGTACTAACATCTGTATTAGTCAGGGTTCCCTAGAGGGACAGAACTAATAAGATATATATCTTATATATATATACCTTTATATATATCTTATATACATATCTTATTAGGGACAGAATAAGATTATATATATATATATATATATATATAACCTATAGCAGACATCATTTCATTTAAAAAATTTAGAAGCATTTCTCAAAGTCAGGAAGTAAACACAGATGTCCATCAATGTAAGATATTCCAAGTCCATATCTTATTAGTTCTGTCCCTCTAGGGAACCCTGACTAATACACCAATCAACTGTGAGATCTCTCAAAGTTCAAAACTCTCTCTCTCTCTCTCTATATATATATATACTGTTCAAAACTCTATATATATAGCTATATAGATACAGATATAGATATATAGATATAGATATATATAAAGGGGAGTTTATTAAGCATTAACTTACATGATCACAAGGTCCCACAATAGGCTGTCTTCAAGCTGAGGAGCAAGGAGAGCCAGTCCAAGTCTCAAAACTGAAGAACTTAGAGTCTGATGTTCAAGGGCAGGAAGCGTCCAGCATAGAGAAAGATGTAGGCTGGGAGGCTAGGCCAGTCTCACCTTTTCACATTTTTCTGCCTGCTTTATATTCGCTGGCAGCTGATTAGATTGTGCCCACTGGGGTTAAGGGTGGGTCTGCCTTCCCCAGCCCACTGACTCAAATGTTAATCTCCTTTGCCAACACCCTCACAGACACAACCAGGATCAATACTTTGAATCCTTCAATCCAATCAAGTTGAGACTCAGTACTAACCATCATAATTGGTGTTATAAAAAATACAATTAAGGTGACTTGATTGCTAAGGCAGGAGTAGTATTTTTCCTATGGTACTGAGCTGCTACAAAGCAGGCGAGTTTTAAGTTGTGCTCCTTTTTAAATAAAAATAAATAGAAGTCAGTAATTTTCCAAAGTTTACCCCATATTCATTTTTAATTGAATTTATAGACTATGAACAGTCAAACATGTATGACCTTAATAGTTATTGCTCATGTCATATTAATGTCATTTTTAAAAAAAGAGAAGGCCAGGCTCAGTGGCTCACGTCTGTAATCCCAACACTTTGGGAGGCTGAGGCAGGTGGATCAATTGAGGTCAGGAGTTTGAGACCAGCCTGGCCAATATGGTGAAACCCTGTCTCCACTTAAAATACAAAAATGAGCTGGGCATGGTGGTGGATGCCTGTAATCCCAGCTACCTGGGAGGCTGAGGCAGGAGAATTGCTTGAACCCAGGAGGCAGAGGCTGCAGTGAGCTGAGATCCTGCCACTGCACTCCAGCCTGGATGACAGAGTGAGACTCCATCTCAAAAAAAAAAAAAGAAGAAGAAGAAAACTTACTGAAAAATATGAACAGTGCATCAATTTAAAGCTTTTTCAGGCTCTTATTAAGCCCAAATTTTACAAATAGGATGAGAGACCAGGAAGCATGAATATAAGTATGATAAGAAAACCTAATCTTTTATTTTCAGGAAACAGTTCAGAGGATTATCAATGGCTGAAGAATGGGTAACTCACCTTACATACCATACAAAAATTTCCAATTTTCAAAAACTTGAAATCTAATACATGTACTCAGCACTAAGACTAAACTGAACATGATTTTTATATTTCTTTAAAAATTTCCTAGTATTACCTAATACATGTTTTTGGAGACACCATTTTTTTTCAAATGTCACATTTGGAAAAACAATTTAATATAAAAGAAAATCTCCATATTTATCAGTACAGTTTAAAAATATGTATAGATTTAGGGGGTACAAGTGTCGTTTTGTTACATGAATATATTACATAGAGGCAAAGTCTGGGCTTTCAGTTAACCATTGCCCGAATGGCATGCACTGTACCCATTAAGTGATTTCTCATCCCTCACCCCCTGATCCTCCCAACCTGCTACGGCTATCATTCCACACACTACGTCCATGTGTACACATCACTTAGTTTCCATCTATAAGTGAGAACATGTGGTACTTGCCTTTCTGAGGTATCTTATAGAAGTACAGTTATTAAAATGTCATTGAAAATGAAAACTGGTGAACACTTCCATATTTAACAATATGTTTTTAAAATCTTACTTCATGGCTTCAAGTACAATTATTCTTAAAATTTAGTCCCTTTCTAGTTTTCAAAACACCAAAATCAACCGGATTTACTCCTCTGGAAAAGAATGTGAAAGGCTTTTTGAAGCTGGCATTGAGCATCTTGTGGGTTTTTATAAATTGGCATAGAGACTGTGTTGAATTTCCACAGCTTTGTATTTAAAAGAGGAATTTTAGCTTATAGAAATTTCCCTTTGGTAGGTTCTTAGAAAGGATTCTATGAATATGACATCTGAATGAATCTAGATGCAATAAATTGTCATTGTTTCATTTGCAGGCACCTGGATTACTTGGAGCCAAAGAAGAAGCTAGAGTCCGCAGAGACACAGAAGGTGATTATGGGAGGGGATGGCACCAAGGACATAGGTGGCAGATGCAACCTTGGAAACGATGAGGCTCACCTTCTTCTATAAGGTTGCAAAAAAGCAACGAAAACATGCACATTTACAGCAAATTAGAGAACTGGGCAGGAGAAAAGTTGAAAGGAGTTGTCAGCTGACCTAAGTGATCTGTCCAGAAAGGGTCACGGTGGGGGGTTTGGAGGTCAGAGGAGAAAGAACAATAATTTCAATGAAAAAAATCTATTTTCTAATTTGAGAAATTAGATAGAAAGATAACTGAAAATATGTTGAAAGTGACCTTGCATCATTTAGGAACTGTTGGGTTTTTGTACTCATCTTTAGTAATTTTATCCTGAATACGCACATGAGGTGTTTGGGATCAGAGGCTGATTCCTCATCGAACACCTCAGTATAAGTAGCACATGTCAGCCTCACTTTGCCCTCATCTCTACCCCAGGCCAACGTGCCGAGCACCAAGCCAGTTGTCCTGTAGGAGTAGTCAGACACCTTATAGGTGAAGGCTGAAGAAAAGTGACTTTATCAAGGGGAAGGAGGGAGCTCGCTACCACCCCAGTGAAAAGGTCTCTTGATGGGGTCCACAGACTACAAGTGAAAAACCTCTACCCTCTAGAGAATGAGGAAGACATACATATGAAGAACTATGGCTAATAATTTTCCAAAATTGAAAAAGAACATGAGTTTCTGAAACTGAAGAACTGAAGAAGTTCACTGATACTCAAGTATAAACTAACACATACCAGACACCGTGGTGAAACTGCAGATGGCCAACATTAACAATAAAATCTTAAAAGAATTCAGAATGAAAATCACATGATCTCTAAAGAATCAAAAGTGCACTAATGAGTAATATATTTTAAAATACTCGTGTAAAATTATTGTCAGCCTAGATAGAAATCTGGCTCAGCCTAACCAGCACTTGACTATAAAGGAAACTGGACATTTCAGACACAGGGAACAAATGTACAATCTATAGATCTTCACCAAAAAATGTACTTATGGAAATTAAATAAGAAGAAAAGAATGTTTCCAAGAAGAAGCAGTGGACATTACAAAATGTGCTGGTAAAGCTAAATAGATATGGCCTGAAAAAATAAAGCAGGGAGATGAATAAAAGCAATGCTGAAATAAAACCACAATGAAAGGGAAGTTTGGATGGAAGTGACTAAGTTTTTAAAAATATTATTTGGGAAGAAGGTGGTATTGATGTAGACTTGGTTGACAAGTATTAATTTGTGTCTGTGCATATAAACAAAAGACAATCATTGAAAGAATAAAAATAGAACTATTGGGGGAAATATGGGTGGAGAGGAGGAAAAGTTTATTAATCCAACAAAAAAAGAAAAAGGAGAAAAAATGAAAAGAAAAAGCATGGTAAATAAAACAAAATGATAGAAATGTGGCAAATAAACCAGTTACCATAATAAATATAAATGGGCTAAATTAACCCATTAAAAGAAAATCTCAAACCAAAAAATTTGAAACATAGAGAAACAACTGAAACATAATGCTGCAAACATATTGAAAATAAAACACTTGGAAAATGTAAATCAGTGCAAAAGAAAGTAGGACCAGGTATAGCAATTGTAATACCAGACAAAATAAGGGCAAAAGGGTAACATTACTTATGATTAAAAGGAAGAATTCAGGCCCGGCGCGGTGGCTCACGCCTGTAATCCCAGCACTTTGGGAGGCCGAGGCGGGCAGATCATGAGGTCAGGAGATCGAGACCACCCTGGCTAATAGGGTGAAACCCCGTCTCTACTAAAAATACAAAAAATTACCCGGGTGTGGTGGCGGGCGCCTGTAGTCCCAGCTACTTGGGAGGCTGAGGCAGGAGAATGGCGTGAACCCAGGAGGCGGAGCTTGCAGTGAGCCGAGATCGTGTCACTGCACTCCAGCCTGGGCAACAGAGCAAGACTCCGTCTAAAAAAAAAAAAAAAAAAAAAAAAAAAGAGAAAAACAAGGCAAAAATACTAAGTATATAGAAGATGTTAACAATGTAATTTGCAAGATTGACCTAGTAGCCGCTTACATACAAACCTTGCATTAAAGCAAAAGATAACATGCTTTTAGCATAAACATTTATGAATAATTATGAATAATTATATGCTCATAATGAGTAACAAGGAAAAATTTCTAGCAAGGAAACAACCAAAATGGACCTGAAGATGTACAAAACTTGAAAAGAGAAACTTCATTAAATACATTGAAGTGGAAGTGTAAATAATCCAACTTCCCCAAAATGTACTGGCTCTTTCATTTCATATGTGAGTTTACACCAAACCTTTGATTGCTCTTACACACACTGTTTGAAAGAAAAAGGAGAGGTGGGTACTTAGACCAAAATGGAACTTTCTTAATTTGATAATAGGTATTAATATTTACCAAAAACCTATAGCAGACATAATTTCATTTAAAAAATTTAGAAGCATTTCTCAAAGTCAGGAAGTAAACACAGATGTCCATCGTTACTCTTTCTAGCCAACATTTGTCCCAGCCAAAGTAACAATACAGGGATCTGAGAAGTAAGAAGTATAATAATAAAAAGGATGACTCTTTTTTCGGCACTATCATCATCTTAATGGAAAAATCAGTTGAGTTCTACAATCAAAATATTAAAACTAAGCTGGGTATGGTGGTGTGCATCTGTAGTTCCAGCTACTTGGGAGGCTGAGGCAGAAGGATCATTTGAGGCAGAAGGATCATTTGAGCCCAGGAGTTCAAGGCCAGCCTGGACAATATAACAAGACCCCATCTTCCTCTTTCTCTCTCTCTCTCTCTCGGCATATGTATGTATTTTTATATACATATATATGTAAACTAATAACAATGATCAGTAAAGTTGCTGGCTTAAAAACTATCATGAAAAAATCAATAATAATCACTTTGAAAATTTAACAGAAAAAAGAACCCATTCTCAATAGAAACAAAAACTATAAACACCCTGGTAATGAATTCTAATAATTATGGGCCAAACCTAAATGGAGAATATCATAAAATATTAAAGGACATATAAAAGGCTGTGTGAATAGAGAGATATACCATATTTATGGACAAGAGACTTCACGATTATAAAGGCATGAATTCAGTGTAATTCCAATAAAAAAAAACCAGGAGAGTTTTTCAAAAAACCTGAAAAATTGATTTTAAAATTTACATGAAAAACAGTCCAGGCATGGTAGTTCACACCTGCAATCCCAGCACTCTGGGAGGCCAACGTGAGTGAATCACTTGAGGTCAGGAGTTTGAAACCAGCCTGGCCAACATGATGAAACCGCGTCTCTACAAAAATACAAAAATTAGCTGGACATGGTGGCATGCACCTGCAATTCCAGCTACTCAGGGCGCTAAGGTGGGAGAATCACTTAAACCCAGGAGGTGGAGGCTGCAGTGAGCTGAGATCATGCCATTGCACTCCAGCCTGGATGACAGAGTGAGACTCTGTCTCAAAAAAAAAAATTACATGAAAAATAAATGTCTAAAAACAGCCAATACAACTCTGAAGAAGACATGGTGGGGACACTTGCCCTAGCAGGTACCAGATGCATTGTACAGCTATTAGGGAGATACTGGTTTAAGAAGAAAAAAGCCAGAACAACAGACGAGAATAGGGCACCCATTAAAAATAGCTTTATATATGACAAAAATAGCATTACGGATAAAGAAGGAATGGACTGACTTTTGAGACAACTGGGTATTCCCACTCAGAAAGCAAAAGAAAATTATTTGCCTACTTCACATCCACATGAAAAATAACTTCTTGTCTGATTAAAGAACTGAATACAAAAACAAAAATGTTTTTGAAAGAACTCATTCCCTCCTTAGTGCCCAAGCAGTGGTTTCTAAAACACCCAAGTTCCTGAAAGTTTATTTTCATAGAATACTACAAGGATAAATTAACTTTCATACTGGCCAAATACTCTCCAGAGAAAGATCAGTGTCTATAAATTCATGATTAACCAGTGAAGCATTCACGATCTTCAGCAATCCACTTCTTGTTAGACTTGACCACAACATAATGTAACATTACACATAGGTGTAATGTTGACATTTATAGAGACCCATATGTGGGTTTTTATTTTTATTTTCTCACTTCTCTACGGAATGTTTTTGTACATAAAAACTTGTGTTTTGGTTTAATAATGAACTATGCAAAGATACTACTGTCTATATGTAGTTGTATTTACACAATAAATGCCTGCATTTTAATAGTTATGTATTTATGATATTCTTTATGATTTATGACAATGATGAGCCTTGAAATTAAAGTATTTCACTTGAATTTATGGAATCCATGCTTTTAAATACAGATATAATTTGATACATTGATATTAATATTATTGCCCTATATTTCTTCTCCCATGCATCTGTACTGACTTCTAATATTTTCTTTGAATTGAATCACCTTTCATTAGAACCTTGAAAAAAACCCATACAGTTCTGTAGAACCTATCTCCTAAAAGATGCATAACAGGGCATAGTTCTAAGTACTGCCCACAGCCAGTGCTGGCACCATCCCACAGTAATCCAAATCACTCCTGGGATTTCATTATTTCTGTAAAGTGTACTTCTGTCTTGAAAAAAGATAACTTTTTTTAACTCACGAAAAATATAAAATACACTTCTAAGCTCATCAAGACTGTACTTCACAGAAAAAAAGACTACTAATATCTGAGGTCTACAAGGGAATGGAATGACACTGCAATGAACAGAAATTTGTGAAAGATTATGTTGCACTATAGAGTAACTAATGTCACTCAGATAAGATGGCTATGATTAAACATCTATGACATACCCAATTCAGTCTTCAGGGGAGTCTCAGACTTTTAATTACTGCAGAAGTCAGTGAACTATAAAAGTTCAGTTTGTCCTTAATACCTCTGTTTCAGTAACTTTGTTTAGTATTTTGCATCTTACTTGTTAATCTTAAAAGGAATTAGAAGCTTCTGTTTGTTAAGAAAAAATACTAAATCTTAAAAAGTTCTGTTTAGCTAAAAGAAAATTAAATCTAATATATTTGTAAGTCCTTCTTGAAAAGGGCAACTTATACATTTACATTTGGAGTATTACTTTTCACATAATGTATTTCACATTCTGGATTTAACAGCACTTTATAGCTCAGGAGCCCAAGATGTCATCAGTGAATTCTTGTATGAGCACTGACTGTGCTCTTCTGTTACTGGATGAAACTTTCAATCCTGAAACTGTTTCCAGTTGTTGAATTGATGATATGTACTTTTTTTTCTGACATTTTGTATTTTTTTCCTTTTTCTTGGAATTGCTAGAATTAAGGAAAATAAGCCACACCATAAGTTGTCAGTTACCAGAAGGAATAAATTGTTTTCATTGTTCAAGTTAAGAAGACTTAAGATATTAACTTGTGACAAATAAAATATACATACTTGGAACTAAGGATGTGATTATGCGAACAGTGTTAGATCACTTCAGTGATCACTTGTATTTATAGACATTGATTTTTATCAATGAGCTGTATAAAACCATGAAAACAACAGGAATTTAAAAATTCCTATGAGACTACTTTCAGACCACTACACAAATACAGTTAAAAACTTAGATTAAGTGAATAATTTCCTAGGGAAATACAGTTGGCCAAAATCAACTCCCATTAAAGTTAGAAAGCTTAAACACAATTTTCCATAAAAGAAGAAATACACTATTAATATTAAAACACTGTCTTTAAAAATTTCATCAGGCCCATATGGTTCCAGAGAAAATTCCATCAAACCTTTAGAGACCAGAACATCCCAATACTCCACAAATTATTCCAGAACATTGAAAATGAGGAAAAACTTCCTAATTATTGAACCAAGAGTAACAGGGTTACTTAAACTTTATAATCATAGCATAGCCAGGCACAGTGGCTGACACCAGTAATCCCAGCACTTTGGGAGGTGAGGTGGGAGGATCACTTGAGGCCGGGAGTTCAAGACCAGACTGGGCAACACAGCAAGACCCTGTCTCACAATAATAATAATAATAATAATTGTAGTGCATTCCTGTAGTCCTAGCTACTTGGAGGCTGAGGTGGGAGAATCGCTTGAACCCTGCAGCTGGAGGCTGCAGTAAGCTGAGATCGTGTTCTTGCACTTTAGCCTGGGCAGGCAGCAGAGCAAGAACAAAAAGAAATGCAGACTAATATGAGTTATGTGTATGATATTTCATGGCCAAAGTAGGATTTATTCTCAGAATGCAAGATTGGTTCAGTATTAGAAAATCCATTAATGTAATACCCCATATTAATATATCTAAGAGACATACATGACTATCTCTGTAATTACTAAAGACTGTCTTACTAAATTCAATACCCATTCAACACAAAATAGAAATTGATATGTGCTTTCTTTATAAAACACACATTCACATCATTTTGGTTAATGGAGAAATACCAGAGGCATTTCCACTTTGACTGGAAAAAGGCAGTGATGCTTACTATCTCCATTTCTTTCTCACATTGCATTGAGGACATTGGGAAATCCAATTAGCCAAGAGAAATTGATTAGAGATATTATACTTGGAAAATAAGGTGTAAAACTATACCTATTTGCAAATGATCTGATAGTATACTTGGAAAATCCCAGTGAATCAATCATCAAATGGATCCAAACCATAAAAGGTTTAGTAAGGTAGTGAGATATAAAATTAACACACAGGAATCAATAGCCTTCATATCTAAAACAGTAACAGGGAATAATGATGATGTAATAAACCTCCTTTTAATAGCAACAAATAAATGTGGAAAACACATATGAAGAAAACTTTTCAATGCTCCTGAGAGGTATAGAAGTAGCTTTGAACAAATGGAAAGACACCCCCTGTTCTTGGGTAGATGACTCAACACAGTAAGTTGTCAGTTTTCCCTAAGGTAATTTAAAAACTTAATATAATCCTAATACAAAATAAGTTTTCTGGAAGTCGACAAGTTAATACTCAAGTTCATGTGCAAAAATACATAACCAAGAATAGGCAGACTAATGTTCAATGATGTACAAAGTCTTGTGTGTGTGTGTGTGTGAGCACGTGCACGCCTGTGAGCACGTGCAAGCCTGTGAGCACGTGCACGCATGTGTGCACAACTAGTCCTACCAGACATTAAAATATCTTCTCTGTAATCCCAGCACTTTGGCAGGCCAAGGCGAGTGGATCATCTGAGGCCAGGAGATCGAGACCAGCCTGGCCAACATGGCAAAACCCGGTCTCTACCAAAAACAAACAAACAAACAAACAAACAAAATACAAAAATTAGCCATGCATGATGGCAGGCTCCTGTAATACCAGCTACTCAGGAGGCTGAGGCAGGAGAATCGCTTGAACCCAGGAGGCAGAGGCTGCAGTGAGCTGGGATCCTGCCACTGCACTCCAGCCTGGGCAACAGAGCAAGACTCCATCCGCTCCCCTCCCCGCCGCCAAAAAAAAAAAGCCTATTTAGTTAACAGACTCCTTACTGGCTCATGAATGGAGAGACCGGTGCAATAGAATTACAATTGCAGGAACAGCCCCAAGTGTATAGAGACATTTGGTGGTAAAGGTTGTATTTCAAATCACACGGGAAAAAGTAGAGTTTGTAATAAATAATCTAGTTGCTGGCACATCTGGTTGGCCAACTGGAAAAGATAAAATTAGAATTAGACCTCACACCTTATACCTCATACCTCACACAATAATCAACTCTAAGTGGATCAGAGGTCTAATTGTAAAAGATAAAGCCATGCAAGAAACATGTTAAATTCAAACTTAAAATCCAGATACAATAAAAAAGATTAATAAACATGAGTATGTAAGCATTAAAAAGTTTGCACAGCATAAAGTACAATAAGTCAAAAACCAACTGAAGCTGGGAAAAATTATTTAAAACATATATCAGGGATGAAGGGCTAATATTCCCAATATTTAAAGAAGTCTTAAAAATTGAGAGGAAAAGTATTTTTAAAAAGTAGAAAAAGACAAACAATTCACAGAAAGGAATACAAAAATGGCCTTTAAACATATGAAAAGTTGCTCCACCTCACTCATATTAAGAGAAATGTAAACTATAATGAGATGTAATTTCTAATCTATCAGATTGGCAAAATTTAAAATATTTAAAACACATTGTGTTGGGAGCCATGGGGAAAGGAAAATAGAATTTATTGTAACAATGCTAGTGTGCAAATTGGTATACCTCAATGGAGGGGAAAGTCACCGAAAGGGGAATTTGGCATTATCTGAGTAAACAATATGTGCATTTATCTTTTTCACCCATGGATTCCTCTTCCAGGAATTTATCATGGAGCTATATCTCCAACAATATGAAAATTTACCTGCACAAGCACATTGTAAATAAATCAGGTGCCCATATATAGGGGAGCAGTTGAAAAACCTCTGATACGTGCATACCTGGGAACTTGTATGTGATTTCCGGAGCTCTTTCCTGGCATATGCCCTCTTCTCTGATCCTGTGCCCCACAGACTCCATTAGCCTCAACTCCCCACTCTCGGATCTCTTTCTCCTCCACTCCCAGAGGTTCCCGTGCACTGACTGGATTCCCCTTCCCTGTGCCCTGATTCTGAACATGCCTGTGGGCAGAGAGCTCGGGCAAGTGTAGGGCTCACCTCATTAGTTTCTGTCTTGTTTTGCACTTCGTGCTATCCAGTGTCTGAAAGTGGTTGTTTCATATATTTGTCAAGTGTTCTCCTGGTTACCAGAGATGGTGCATCCAGTCCCAGTTACTTCATCAGGGGCAGAAGAGGACTGTTGCCCTGAACTGCCAGGCTGGGAGCTTGCAGGGGTTCCCCTTCCCAGATCCTTTTTAACAATCTCCTTCTCCCACTTTATAAAGAAAGACATGCTCATTGATTCTGAATCGATTATGATGTATTACACTGGGGTAGAAATACTTCCAGGGGTAATGTGCAAGGGAAAATTAAAAAATTGGTGACAGAATTGACAAATTGAATGACTACAGTGATTACGAGGTAATCATTTGGCAAGTTACACAGTTTCTAATTCTTTACTTTCAACAAAAATTGAAGAAAGACCTAATGAATTGTCGCCGATAGTCATTACAAATAACTTTTAATGGTGTATATTTAGGGAAGAGTTCAGAACGTAGAGTGACTTTTTAAAAAATAAAACTTTTTGATTCATACCTACTTACTTATGTGAACAGGCTCCTTGGGACATCTACTTAAAAAACAGGAAAGATATTGATGCCTGATCTTGACTCCTTCTATTAATAAGCTATATTTATTAGCAGATCTATCAAATAGTTTTTAAAAAGTTCCAACCATTCACTAAAAGATGTAGTTTTATACAATTTTACTTTTTGTTACTATCAAAAATCTTAATATATTGATTTTTTCTTTTAAAAATTATTTTTAATTGATATGTAATAAATGAACATATTTATGGAGTACAGAGTGATATTTTGATACATATACACAATATGTAATAATCAAATCAGAGTAATTGGCATATTTATCACTTCAAGCATTTATGATTTCTTTATGTTGGGAACATCTGAAATTCTCTCCTTTAGTTATTTGAAAATATACAATAATGGGAGGAGGAGAGGATAGGGAGGGGCTGGCTAATAGATACAAAATTACAACTTACATAGGAAGAATAAGTTCTAGTGTGCTATAGCACTGTAGGGTGACTACAGCTATACTGTTTTGATCAATTGTTTTCTCCTTAAATTATGACTCTATCCAAAAGAAATTTTAAAAATTCTATAGTCACTAGAAGTAATTATATATATAATTATATAAATATATTTCTTGTGGAGAAATAGGATAGAGTGATCAATGAAATACTGTCAATCACTAAGTAGTGTATATTGGGAAAAAATTTTGGGTAAGTGAACTGTAAGTATTAGGTCAAGGACAAAAAGAAAACTTTTCTGACTCCATAAGAAGAGCTTGTTTGTATGTTTTTCAGTTCTTTGATGGTGGGCATCAAATATCCATGCTTCTTAGATTCCATCCGTACGTTTTAAAAAGTAATGAAAATAATTTTATTTCAAAATGATTTATGTTATTTAAACCATAAAAGGTCATCATTGCTAAACTGACTTGGTAAATATTTCCTTTTATCATCAAGTAGTGTTCCCATTGATTTTTTTTCTTTTCTTTTTTTTTTTGAGATGGAGTCTTGCTCTGTTGCCCAGGCTGGAGTGCAGTGGTGTGATTTCAGCTCACTGCAACCTCTGCCTCCCGGGTTCAAGCGAATTCTTCTACCTCAGCCTCCCAAGTAGCTGGGATTACAAGTGTGCACCACTATGTATGCCTGGCTAATTTTTCTATTTTTAGTAGAGACAGGGTTTCTCCATGTTGGCCAGGCTGGTCTCAAACTCCCGACCTCAGGTAATCCACCCGCCTCGGCCTTCCAAAGTGCTGGGATTACAGGCGTGAGCCACCGCGCCGGACCCCATTGATTCTTATTAATGCTATTTCTTTCCTAATTTTGATTCTGTCTGCTATTAATATCGCGATGCCTACTTTCTTTTGGTTAGCATTTCCCTGAACTTTAGGCTGCTCCAAGCCCCATCTTCACCATTCCCTGGCCCAGCCCTGGGATCAGCCACTTCTCTAAGAAGTCCCGGTTCCTTGGAGAATGGTATGAGAAACAAAGTTCTGGGGGCCAGTGATTTTATTTTAATTACTTCATGTCTCATTTCTATAATTTCTATTTTGTTATTTCCCAAATCTGCCATTTTTCAAAATATCTTGTCTTTGTCTTACATTTCTATTCATTTTTTCCCTCATTTCTATTCATTTTTTTCCTCATTTGAGCATTTTATTTATACTTGTTCTAAAAATCTCTTTGCTTTGCTCTATGACATAACAGTTCCAGGAGATTATTTGTAGCAGCTGCTAATTCTAATTCTTCTCCATGGTAGTTCAATTCCTTTTTTTTGAGATGGAGTCTCGCTCTGTCGCCCAGGCTGGAGTGCAGTGGCGTGGTCTCGGCTCACTGCAAGCTCTGCCTCCTGGGTTCACGCCATTCTCCTGCCTCAGCCTCCTGAGTAGCTGGAACTACAGGTGCCTGCCACCACACCCGGCTAATTCTTTTGTATTTTTCGTAGAGATGGGGTTTCACCGTGTTAGCCAGGATGGTCTTGATCTCCTGACCTCATGATCTGCCCGCCTCGGCCTCCCAAAGTGCTGGGATTACAGGCGTGAGCCACCGCGCCCGGCCCTTTTTTTTTTTTTTTTTTTTTTTAGTAAACTAGTCATTAGCAGGTATTGTTTTCCTTAAGTGTCTTTATGTCATGTGTGATGGGATAACTTCTTCAATGTCGTTTCTCTCTGTTTTTAAATGGTTCTATGAGTTTCACAGACTTTGGTGCAGTTTTTACTGTTAATTTGCCACCTCGGAGTTCCTATACCGTGAAGTAGTATGCGTTTGCTTCTACCTCGGCCAGGCAACGGCTTGCAGGTCATGATTTCTTGTGGGTAATTTTTCAACCCATGGCCTAAAATAGCAATCTTTCTTGTGACATCGTTGGGCTGATGGGCATATTGTGTGAAATACCTGATTCATGGGAGGTCAGGATTTCGGAGGTTTCTCAGCCAGGGTGTTTCATGCACACTGAACAATCACTTGGAATCTCACTCCCACATCAGCATTAATGTCTCAGCAGCTAGTCTCTATGTATCCTGATTTCTCTATGAGTAGCTTAGCTTAACTCTTCCTCTACTCTGACCATGAGCTGCCTCTTTATTGTTGGGACCTGGGAATTACCCTTTCTTGGTTTCTAACTGAGCTTAGTATTTATAAACACTTACTAGGTAAACTTTCGTATTTGCAAGTGCTTGCAACAGGTGCAAATGTTTCCATCCACACAGTAGTATATGTGTATCTTCCTTAGATAAGTAGATGAACAGACGTGGAAATAATAACTTACTTAATTGACATCACATCCTTATGGTGTTACACAGAATTCAACTCCTCCCTTTTCTGGGGTATCATCCCAGATTACCCTGGGAAGATTTTATATTTATTTGCCTATGCCTCCAATAGAAGTTGTACTTTTATCATAGCAGTTAAATATACTTTTCTAACTTGTTTGCAAGTTTCTTTTCTCAATAGACTGTAAACTCATTGAGGTCAACGACCATGCCTTTTATATCTGGCACATAAACACTTTAATACACTTTTGCTGACTTTTTAAAAAAGAATGAATTACATCATGTGTGAATGCAAGGTTGCTTTAAGGTAGTTTGTCAGCGTTCATACTTTCCTTGCAAATGATTTTGCCATAAGAAATGTAAATCTAAGGCCGGGCACGGTGGCTAACGCCTGTAATCCCAGCACTTTGGGAGGCCGAGGCGGGCAGATCACGAGGTCAGGAGGTCAAGACCATCCTGGCTAACACAGTGAAACCCCATCTCTGCTAAAAATACAAAAAATTAGCCAGGCATGGTGGCAGGCACCTGTCATCTCAGCTACTCAGGAGGCTGAGGCAGGAGAATGGTGTGAACCTGGGAGGTGGAGCTTGCAGTGAGCCGAGATCGCGCCACTGCACCCCAGCCTGGGGACAGAGTGAGACTCCGACTAAAAAAAAAAAAAAAATATATATATATATATATATATATATATATATATATATATATATATATATGCCAACTAAGATATTCCAGAATCTTTTTACTGTAATCAGGCCAGGAATAGTAATGCTGCTGGAACCAGAAATAAAAAGTGGAACATAGTTGATGGCAAGAAGTTGCAGAAGAAGAAGATATGACCATCATATAATCAGTCAGAGGCATCTCAGTGTAAATCAAAGAATCAATCTCTCAAGGATCCGCTGGGTGGTGGAGACAGCAAACTGGATGTACATGGGCTCTGGAGTCAAAGCTGGATTCGATTATGAGTGGCTACCTTTTTAGTTTTGTGACTTACAACATGGAACTATCTAGATCTGAGTTTCTGCCTTTATAAAATGGGGATAAAATTGCCAATCACTTCATAATTAAATGAAACAAATTCTGTGACAGCACTGAGCACAGTTCCTGGCAGTCAAAAGCATTCAGTGAATGTTAGTTCCCACCTCCCATCCTCACCACACTCCTCGAGCATTTCCTTGCAGTTTTGTTATTTTTTTCAATTGCCTTGGTTTTAACACTCAAGTTGCTCAATCCTTCCTCAGTACCGCCTTTTAGAAAGCAAAAGAATACTCTTGTGCCGTTTCTTTTTCAGTAAGAGCCTGCCGTATATACAGTGAGAAGATTTAATGGGATAACATGAGATGAATTATTTAATTGAGATCTATATATTTTTTAAATTGACATTTACTTTAAAAGTGTTTTGGCATTTCTACAATCTATATTATTTTATAATTTTAAATTGGCTTTAATGGGATTATTTCCACAGATTTGAATGATTTTTCTAACCTAGGAAAATAAAATGTTTTTCTTCTCTATAAAAATTCTTTAATGTTAATCTTTTTATCCATTTTCAAAATTAAACCTTGTTATAATTTAATTATAGTCACAATCTATTTTTATGTTACAAATGTTCACTTTGTGGGTAAGATAAATTGAACTCCTATTTGCTTTTGATGAATATTTAATTGGACATTAAATATATAAAAAATGCTGCTTTTCCTAATCCTTTATTATTTAGGGAGAATATCTATGTAGTATAATAACAATTTTTTTTTCCCTTGATAAAAAGACGGAGTCTGGCTCTGTCGCCCAGGCTGAAGTGCAGTGGCATGGTCTTGGCTCACTGCAAACTCTGCCTCCCAGGTTCAAGCAATTCTCATGCCTCAGCCTTCTGAGTAGCTGGGATTACAGGCATGTGCCACCACGCCTGGCTAATTTTTGTATTTTTAGTAGAGATGGGGTTTCATCACATTGGCCAGGGTGGTCTCAAACTCCTGACCTCAGGTGATCCACCTGCCTCGGCCTCCCAAAGTGCTGGGATTACAGGTGTGAGCCACCATGGCCGGCTGTATAATAACAATTTAAAAAGTGATTGTTGGCTGGCCGCGGTGGCTCATGCCTGTAATCCCAGCACTTTGGGAGGCCAAGGTGAGCAGATCACCTGAGCTCAGGAGTTCAAGACCAGCCTGACCAACATGATGAAACCCCGTCTCTACTAAAAATACAAAAATTAGCCAGGTGTGGTCGTGGGCACCTGTAATCCCAGCTACTCAGGAGGCTGAGGCAGGAGAATCGCTTGAATCCGGGAGGCAGAGGTTGCAGTAAGCCGAGAGTGTGCCATTGCACTCCAGCCTAGGCAACAATGTTGGGAACAGGCCCCCCAAAATCTGGCCTTAAACTGGCCCCAAAACTGGCCATAAGCAAAATCTCTGCAACACTGTGACATGTTCATGATGGCCATAACGCCCACGCTGGAAGGTTGTGGGTTTACCAGAATGAGGTCAAGGAAAACCTGGCCCACCCAGGGCAGAAAACCGCTTAAAGGCGTTCTTAAACCACAAACAATAGCATGAGCAATCTGTGCCTTAAGGACATGCTCCTGCTGCAGATAACTAGCCCAACCATCCCTTTATTTCAGCCTATCCCTTTGTTTCCCGTAAGGAATACTTTTTGTTAATCTAATATCTATAGAAACCATGCTAATGACTCGCTTGCTGTTAATAAATATGTGGGTAAATCTCTGTTCGGGGCTGTCAGCTCTGAAGGCTGTGAGACCCCTGATTTCCCACTTCACACCTCTATATTTCTGTGTATGTGTCTTTAATTCCTCTAACACTGCTGGGTTAGGGTCTCCCTGACCGAGCTGGTCTCGGCAAACAAGAGCAAAATTCCATCTCAAAAAAAAAAAAAATAAAAGATTGTCTGTGTTTGACTTTTCAGTTTACAAAATGCTTTTAACATAATATCTTATTAAATCTTTCCTAGAATACTCTGAGGTAAGGATTACTATCAGTAATGTTTAATATGAGAAAAAATAGTCTGGAAAGGTTAGTTTGGCCATGGTCAGCCGGCTTGTCTGTGTAAAGCTGGGATTCCTACTGTACCTTGTATTCCCTATTATACATAATTTATTAAAATATATTAATTGTCCTGCATTCACTTCAAGTTTAAATTCTAAATGTGATTTTAAGTGATAGCATGAACTTTAAGACCATTTAAAATATTATTTGGTTTTGTTATAAAATACAAATATATTATTGGAATGAATAGTTATAGGTGTAAATGACATTCAGTAGCCTAGTGGTAAGGTAAAATACACATAGACACAAAGATTCTGTAAAAAATAATAAATTTATGTATGGAACTGGGTGATTTTTATATATTCAGGGTATTATGTACAGATATACCAAAGGGTGAGGAAAGTATGCTAAGTCGGATAAACTAGGCACAAAAGGAAAAAACTGTATTATTTCGCTCATATGAGAGGCACCCAGATTAGTCAAATCCACAGAGACAGAAAGTAGAATGGTGAGTGCCGGGGTGACCGGGAGAAGAGAATGAGGACTTGTTAAATGGATACAGGGTTTCAGTTTTGCGAGATAAAAAGAGTTCTGGAGATGGATGGTGGTAATGACCACGAAGTAATATGAATGTACTTAAGACTACTGAACTGTACACTAAAAATGGTTAAGATGGTGAATTTTATGTTATGTGCATGTTACTACAAATTAAAAAAGAGATACACTAAATGTTTCCAACTATTTTGCAAATATGGATTTATTGTGCACTTGGTTTTTATAATGTTATTTTCACTACTAATAGTGCATATATCTTTTAAAAATTTAAAGTAAACTGACATTTTCAAGAGTGCCTTTTGCACATTTCACGGCCACATAAGGCACCTTTGTCTTCCACTAAAAAGTGCAAAGGTTTTGCCTTGTTTGCAGATAGTGTAGAGATGGATAATGTAATATATATATGCACATGCTTTGTGTTAAGAATTGTAAAAAACTTCAGGAAACGTATGCTGACACTTTTCAGGAGAAAATAATAGGTTTGTAAAATATATGAATCATAAACCTGTAGCATCTCAATTAACACTTGAGGGATGAGCAGACATTCATGAGGTCTCCTCGGGGAGGGGGGCACCCCAGGGAGATGCAACAGTCAGTGCAAAAGCACAGAGGGGATGGTGTGGGATGGGTGGGCGAGGATATGGCAGTCACTCATGTCTGGGTGACAGGGTAGGGGAGGAGGTCCCGCCAGTCACAGCCCAGACTATGAAGGGCTGTGGGTGCCCAGTGGAGCACTTAGGATTTTCCTATGGCTGATGTGATGTGGGAGCGATGAAGCATTTTAACCAGCTTGCATTTAGCAAAGTCATTTTGATACCAGTGTGAGAGGCAGATTGGAGAGGAAGAAGGAGGAGGAAGGAGGAGGCTGTGAACAGGCACCAAGTGTGGAGTCAGTAGGACTTTTTGACCTCCTTTGGATTTTAATAAATACTATCTAGTTATAAGCGGAAAGTCTTGAAAATAAAGGCAACTGATGAAATAAGAAACAGTCAGGAAGTAGTCACTGCTAACATTATTCCAGCACATACCCTCTTGTCTTCTACAGGAGAGGTTGTTAATATTTGAACAAAAATTCTTACCTAAGGTCTTGAAACGGGTCGGCTCTGACAAGGGGTGTCTCCACTGAATGTTCAAAAAGAGCCCCTTCAGGCCCTAAACAAAAAACAAAGATGTATCAGGAGCAGAAGTAAAATAAGTGACACCAAACAAAATAAACATTTAGCCTAGATATTAAAGAACATATGGATTTTGTTCTTTCTTGCAGAATTTTTGCAGATGTTTGAGTTACAGGTAGAAAAATAGGCCCAACTCTTTCCCTACTTTTCTGAGGCTATCACAATTTCATTATGTTCCTATAAACAAAATATGTTTTTCAAAGCAATTACAAATTAGCAGGCTTATTTTAAAACTAGAAAGCAATATTAGTCTTCAAATCAAAAAAGAAAAAAAGTCCTTCTGAAAATTGCATACACCCATATATTTTAAGTAATAGTAATTTAACTAATTCTCTAGATTTTATGTATAAAAATTGTATCTTGTATTATTTGTTTCTAAGGTAGTCAGGATATTTACAGAAAAATTAAAAGCTTTAAATATTTAAAATGAACCTTCTAATTCCTAGAAATCAGTATGTTCCCAGTTGTTTCATGAGTCTGAGAACCTAATTATATGCAAGGCCCTGTGTCAGCTGGGGTGCAGAAAAACACAGGTGAAAGTGACATGCTCTTTGATGTATCCTAACTTGTTTAATACTCAGACCCCTGCAACGCAGGTAGTATTTTCCTATTTACCCATGAGGAAGCTGAGGAAGAGAAAGGTTAATTAACGTGCCTAGAGTTCCACAGCCGAGAAGTGGCAAGGCTGTAATTTGAATTCAGAGCCCACACGTTTAATCTATATGCTATAGGGGTTTTCATACATAAATAACAATATGTGATAGAAAGTAATGTGCCAGTAGCAAAGTGCAACAAAATTATTTGGAGGGTCATCAATGGGGAAGAATTACTTTAAGGCATCAGGGACTATTTCCTATTTTCACATAGGAAAATGAAGTGGGTCTGAACCTTAAAATAAATAAACTTTTATGAACATATGGAGATTGAGAGCAAGAATTTCAAAAAGAGCAGCAGTCCAGGAGCAGGAAAATGTGCTGAGTGTCCAGGAATAAACAAATAATCCAATTCACTGGAAGCAACGAATTCTACATGGAATACAAACGTATCTTTCACATTATATTTAAATCTATATCCTCTTGAATTTTATGGGCATATTCACAGATATAAGCAGCACCACATTGCTTATATATGTGCATCATGATTTCCCCAGGTTGCTCATGCCTATCTTAGGCCCTGCCCTGCCTAGGGTCCCACCTCTGGCTCAGGTCCTACCCTTGGCTTAAGAGGCTGTGGCTGCCACTTGCAAAGAGTTTTTCTCTCTCTTGTGGTTCCACAGGAATCTCAGGATTCATCCTCACACTGTGCACTTTCCTCTTTAGGAAATACAGAGGGTCCCCGACTTGCCATGGCTTTGTAGAAGGCAAGCCATTGCAAGTTGAGGAGCTTCTATAATGAAACAATTACAAGGTTTATTTTTAAATCAACCCTTGTACTAGTTTCAATATTGGACACTGAAGAAAAATTGCCTGGGTAAAGGTTTCCCAGCCTCTGTGTTGAGAAATCCTCATCCTGGGCAAAAGATCTTTTGAGCAGCCCTTACTAATTTTTTTTTTTTTTTTTTAAGACGGAATCTCACTCTGTCACCCAGGCTGAAGGGCAGTGGCAAGATCTCCGCTCACTGCAATCTCCGCCTCCCAGTTCAAGCAATTCTCCTGCCTCAGCCTCCTGAGTAGCTGGGACTACAGGTGCCCACCACCACACCCGGCTAATATTTTGTATTTTTAGTAGAGACAGGGTTTCAACATGTTGGCCAGTCTGGTCTCAAACACCTGACCTCCGGTGATCTGTCTTCCTTGGCCTTCCTAAAGTGCTGGGATTATAGGCGTGAGCCACCGCGCCCAGCCAGCCCTACAGTTCACAGTACCTTCACATTTTCTCCACAGTATTACTGGCTATATTAGCTTTGTTATTATAATTACTACTTCCTTAGTAATTTTATTTAAATATGAAGATATGATAAAAACCCACGCTGGAAAAAAGCCCTTATCCAAGAAATAATAGCTTGTGGCACAAAAGCAAAACAGACTTAAATCAGAACAAAGTGAAATTTTAAAATTACAAACAGATTTAGTAGGATGATTTACATAAAAACTATAATCAACTGAAATAAAGGAACACACAAAAGTGAAGGTTAATGTTTCATGAAAATTATAATTTATGTAAATTATACTCAGATAAGAAACAGATCTTCGTGTATGCTGTAACAAGTCACATTTTCTTAAAATACCACTTAAGCAAACCTAAACGATAATGGAGATCATTACGTAAAGTTAGGCTATACCAACCACTGGAGTTTCCACAATAAATGTTGCCAGTCAAATTTTAGAGTACAATGTCTGGTTTGCTGATGTGTTGACAACATTTCCTGCTTGGCATAGAGAGGAAAATAATTTAACATACTAATTTGTATAATGATATGTATTCATTTTATCCTTTTCTTTCCTCCTTGCTTCTTCTGATTTGCAAAATAGAAAATGTAAATTTTAATACACCTCAAGTCAATTCCCAAGAAGACAAGCAGAGCTATGCTTAATTTTATATAAGTATATTTACTGTGGTTTATGTAACATTGTTTGAAACCCAAGTAATGCTTTGTTATCACGAAACTAGAGTGAGCTTTATGAATCATCAAAAAACAATGATTTCTTTCCATAACTAAGATATAAAAACAAAAGGAATGTGGGCATAAAGTTTTCTGTAATTATTTTCTCTATTTTTATATAAACAAGATGATATTATGACTGAGAAAAAAGTCAACACATTTAACTTTCTATAACACATACCCTTGTAAAACAAAACTGGAGACTGCAATCTATTCCACTTCCATAGGCAATTTTTATTTGAGCACAGTGTTGGGTCAAAATAAATACAGAGATGAATCTCTAAATTAAATGGTTTTTGGGGCAATCACAGAATTGCAATTTGGGGCATATCTCCAAAGAACAAAGAGAAAGTTGGGAGTTTTATTAGAAAGAGAAACGTCGGTGGGCGCAGTGGCTCACGCCGGTAATCCCAGCACTTTGGGAGGCCAAGGCAGGCAGATCACTTGAGGCCAGGATTTCGAGACCAGCCTGGCCAACATGATCAAATCCCGTCTCTACTAAAAATACAAAAATTAGCCAGGTGTGGTGGCGCACGCCTGTAATCCCAGCTATTCTGGAGGCTGAGGCATGAGAATCATTTGAACCTGGGAGGCAGAGGTTGCAGTGAGCCAAGATCGTACCATTGCACTCTAGCCTGGACAACAAAGTAAGACTCTATCTCAAAAAAAAGAAAGAAATGTTATGTATTGTTTTGAAAGAAGGCTCATTGGCACTAGAGAAGCTTTTGGGAGCTGGCAAGCTCTGATTGGTGAGTGAGGGCAGCAGGTAGAACTCTTGGTGTCACAGCAGGTTGTTTCAGCATTTACTAGGTAACACTGGTCTTAGGGTGACAGCAGGCCATTTCAGCAGCTAGGCTTGAGGAAAATTCAGTTCTTGAAAAAGGTGCTACATGCCCTGAGTGCTTTTTCCCCAGCCCCTCGATTTACTTGGGTATGACAAAATGACCCATTTCATATAATCAACTTTCACAGCAGCGTCAATTCTTTTCCCCCAATAGCTGAATTTATTCAAAGAGTTTCAGTGGCAATAAAACTCAGTAATTAGTTTTTAAATGCATGCCAATTACTTACCTTCTAATGTAACTATAATTAGTGATATTATATTGACATATGATTATGGTAATGTACTTACAGGGAGATATAAAATCTATAAACTGATATGTATTATCTTTAAATAAGAGCAGCAGTTTCTCTACATTGAAATGATAAATGTCCAAATTATATGCTCTTGATTATATCATCACTATTCAGCCTCAAAGTTAAATGCTCCTCAGAACCTATTTGCGTATAATAAAATGAATTTTCCTAAATGATTTCATAAAATGATTCTCAGGAAATGGTTGTTGATCTTCAATTTAATTGCATTTTCTTTATGTTTGCATTCATTTAAATATTCACAATCAAGATGATATAAGAAATATAATTGGTATAATACCTCTTCTTTGTGGAAAATGAAACATATTATTTGAAGTCATATAATCTAAAATTTTAGACAGGAAAAAAGTTCTACTATAAACTATCATTATATAAATCATGCATTAAAATGACCCTGTATAATATGCATTATTTATATAGGAAAGTATAAATAAAAAGGAAAATAAAAGAAAGCCTAGTCTAATAATGTTAACTTTTTTATTTTTAGAATATGTCATTGAGATTAGACATGGTAAATGGTTTGTCCAATTCTACTGTGAAGGAGTAGTACTCAAACAACACCATTCTTCCCTTCTGGATCCTAGAGCATTATATGATGAATGATGCTCACATGAAGATCTGTAATAAGACTGTGGTGCAAGATGGATTGAGACGGTCATGAAGGCAGTTGAAAAGATCATGGTACAGAGCCCAGCAATCAGGGTGCTCTTGGACAGAGCTCAGCAACTGAACGGCAAATAACTCTAAGTTGTTCCATTCTTTGCAACATACTGCTGTTTCTAGGTTCCTTCAATTATAGAAATACATTGAATTCAATATTAATACTTCTGTTCAGACAGTAATATATATCTCAGACATGCATTCATTTTTGTATCAACACTGATAACTATTTGTTAAGATTCATTCTACACCTTCATTGAGCATTTATGGACTGATACGGTCTTTTCAAGTGATGCCAAAAAAATTCCATTTCTCTCGTTCAGCCAAACTTCCGCTTAATGTCACCACATAATGCCTCTACTGCCTCCCGTCCTATTCACTTTGTAACCACTTCAACCTGCCTTTTGCCTTTATTACTCCAATGAAAAATGCTCTCCTTAAGATAGCAATAACTTCCGTAATAATAAATCCAATGACAATTTCTGTCATCTCTCCTGGGTCCAAATTCTGAGAAAATAGTCTCTCTTGACACCAGAAAAACGATTATCGTAATATCCCTCCCACCGCATTGTCTGTCCCTTATTCTCCTTTGGTGGCTGCTCTGCCTTTACTTGGCCTCTACTGTTGGCATTTTTTGGAGCTCAGTTGGTTGATGACACCCACATTTATCTCTAGTCTAGACTTCTGCTCTGAGCAGTAGCTAACTCACATGCCCAATAGCTGACATGACATGCACTTGGCAGTTTTCCCAGATTATCTTCAATTTACGTGTCTAAAATATTAACTGTTGATGCTGTCTGCCCTGCAAATGAATTCTCCTCCTCCTCAGGCCTCTCCGTTACCCAGAGAGTAATGCCATCAACCAAAACAAATATCATCTTTGAGTCTCCTCCTGGCTGCCTGCCATACACCCGATTCATAGGCAAGTCTGTAGCTGTCAGATCTTAAACTGGAGTAATTCACTTCCCTCTCTGACCATTGCTACCACCCAATCCAGGTCACCTTCGCTGATTACGTGTACTACAATTGACATCCTCCTAACTGGTCTTACTGCCTCCATTCTTTCCTCCAACCTCCTTTGTAATGGTTGGATTGATCTTAAGATGTATAATGAATCAAGGAGTACCCTGTTCAAAACAATTCAATGCCTCCCCATTGAACTAAAACAAATCCTAAATTCTTAAAATGGCCAGCAAATCCCTGCATAATCTGGTCCCACTCTATCTCCCTTTATACCAGGCTTTTTTCAGATTCAAACCTGGTAAGATTAAAAAATAAAAATCATGAAATAATATGGCACAGATAAGACAAATAGAGAACTTATCACAATGAATGTCAGTTTTAAATTCCACATTAAAACTCAAAATAAATTATGTTATAAACAATAAATCCAGCCAAACGCCACATACAAAAGAAATTCAAATAATTTAATCTGAGAAAAATTTCAGCTGGGAGAGTAACTTAAGATGCCAAATCACTGAGGCCCTCTTATAGATAGATGTTTAGAGAAGTCTTTGCAGAGGCAAGTGATGTTTGCAATTGATGGAATCATTTTGCAACCCAAAAGGGAAATATCAACATACTTGCAGAGAAGAAAGGTAGCGTAAAATATTACTTGGCTACTAAATTAATCAACAACCTGGAGTTACCCTTTCCCCAGCCTTCCTATGTGAGATAATACATGTCCTTCCAGTTTAAGCCTGTTTTAATTGGGACTCTTGTTCCTTTCAGCTGAAATACCATGGACTGCAGCACGGCGTTGATCGCTGCGTGCAGTGCTGCATCAGACAGTGTTCTGTGCCCTTGGGTATGTGTTTGAAGGATATGGTACTCCTAAAAGCACCTTCCAGATATCTGTCTTCACGTCTTTTTCGACTTAACATCCTTGTTTATTTTCACTTCTTCAGTTGCTGAACACTTTGTTCTCCAGGTCCATTTTTGTCACTGGCTTTATGGGTGACTCTGGCATTTCTACACTATCACTTTTGACTTTATGTGATCTTGCTTAGCTGCACAGAAGGCATAAAGAAATGGAATTGGGACTATTGCTAGATCTTATTTTTTCTTATTAGTGGTGGGAAATGGATACTATTATAGAACTCTGTTTTTAAAGATAATATTGGGAAATGGACTGAGCCTAGCAAATTGTTGCCAGGGAGCTAAAATACACTTAGGGCAGCCAAACTAACAATTTGTCATCTGCCAGAAGTCAGTTCTGGCAATGGTGTAGAATAGTTTTTTGAAGACAACATTTTGATGTTATTCCAATAGTATGTTCTGTAACTTGGGTTAATAAAAGAAATGTTAACTTTGGCCACTTGGTGTCTAATTTTGTGGGGGAGGAAGATGAGCCTGCTTAAAGGCCTAAATTGGTTTCAGACTGAACTGCTGAAATTGTTTAATCGCTTCCATAAATTTCGCTTAAAAACTATTATTCAGTATCCTAGTTGACTAAAATCTAAATGGAAGCTGTTTAAGAATTAAAGAGAGGTTTTAGCTTATTTGAGTAATTAAGAGAATAGCAACAGCAATTGTCTTAATTGCTCAAAGAATGGCAATTTGAGTCAGGATTAGGACTTGGTGCAGTCAGGAGTTTCGAGTGCACCATCTTAAGGAGAGAGCCACCTTATCTTCCCCTTTCACCAGAGCTATGGGCTGCTGTGCAAGTGACAAGGGCGGAGAAAAGAAGCAAAGAATTGGATTTTCTTTCCAGTCCTCAGAGTGAGGCTGCCCGTCTCTTTTCCTATCACTTCTCTTTCCTTGGCTGTCAACTACTGTTGCGTTTGCTGACCTGAGAAACTCCAAAGGCTACCTGGAGTCAATCCACTTGAAATAGGGACCCAACTGTTATCACAGGTAGTGGAGAAAAGTTTTAATGGGAATTTGTGTGGAAGCATTAAAGCTTATAAAAACATTCTTATTGGCTGGGCGCAGTGGCTCACGCCTGTAATCCCAGCACTTTAGGAGGCTGAGGCGGGCAGATCACGAGGTCAAGAGATCAAGACCATCCTGGCTAACATGGTGAAACCCCATCTCTTCTGAAAATTCAAAAATTAGCTGGGCGTGGTGACATGAGCCTGTATTCTCAGCTACTCGGGAGGATGAGGCAGGGGAATTGCTTGAACCCAGGAGGCAAAGGTTGCAGTGAGCTGAGATCGTGCCACTACACCCAGCCTGGCCACAGAGCAAGACGCTGTCTCAAAACAAAACAAAACAAACAAACAAACAAACAAAAAACCCTGGTCATAATGGTAACAAAAAACTGTGAAATTATATGAAATAAAAAAGAATAAGTCAAGTTTTTTGGTGTCACTTTTTCAAACATAGTTGGAGTTGTAGGATGGCTCTATTTAGTCTTCTATTTCTGTTAGGAATTATGGCAAACTTAGCTACTTAAAACGATCCTCATGTGTTAGCTCACAGCTCTGTTGGTTTCAGGTCCTACCCAGAGTGTCTGACCAGGTTCTGTGCTCAGGGTCTCACAGGTGTCAGCAAGGCAGGGCTCTCGTCTGGAAGCCCAGGGCCAGACTCTACCTTCTGTGTCATGCAGGTGTTGGCAGAATTCATTCAGTTCTTTGTGCTTGCAAGACTGAGGCTCATTTCTTGTTTCCTGCTGCCAGCCAAGGGCCTCTTTCCCTTTCTAGAGGCCACCACTTCTTGTCACATGGTCCCTCTTTCTTCCTTCAGCAACACAGCAGTGAATTTTTCTTGCTTTTCCAATTTATCTGACTTCCCCCTCTACTACCAGCCAGATTAACCTCTCTGGTTATAAAGGGCTCATGGGATAGATTGGGCTACCCAGATTACCTTCCTCTTACCATATAAGTGACATAATCACAGGAGAGACATCTCATATTTACAGATTCCATCCACACTGAAAGGAGAAGGAAATATACAGGGCTCAGTGGGGGCATCCTTAGAATTCTGCCTACCCTAGTGGCACAATAGGACATTGTTCACTAAATGTTTACCATTGGCGATAAAGCTATAATTCAATAGTCCCCCCTTATCACAGTTTTACTTTCTGCAATTTTGCTCTCTGAGGTTTCAGTTACCCACCGTCCTAAAATATTAAATGGAAAATTCCAGAAATAAACAATTCATAAGTGTTAAGCACTATACACAATCCTGTATCATTCACCTCGGGTCATCTTATCATGTAGGCATTTTCTCATCTCACATCATCACAAGAAGGGTGAGGACAGTCAAATAAGATATTCTGAGACAGAGAGAGAGATGACATTCACACAACTTTTATTACAGTATATTTTTATAATTGCTTTATTTTATTATGAGCTATTGTTGTTAATCTCTTACTGGGTCTCATTTATAAACCGAACTTTATCACAGTATGTATGTATAAGAAAAAACACAGTGCAGCATATATAGGGTTTAGTACTATCTGCAGCTTGAGGTATCCCCTGGGGCTCTTTGAACGTATCCCCTGAAGATAATGAGGAACAACTGTAATAGTTAAATTGAGGGCATTGTCAGTCATCACAAGAGTGAATATTAATCTTGTGAAGTTAAGGTTACCGATCTTTGAAATGACTATCATGTCATCATCATGGCTGATTTTCACTTCTTTAGTTGCTGGCAAATCTAACTTTCCTGGTCTTTTGTTAGTGGCTTTGCCAGCAATTCCAGTATTTCTCATCATTTCTGACTTCCTAAACCCTACATCTTTTGCAAGACATGCAATTTAATTTCACGATCAATTTGCATCTGCTTTGTTGAATTCTGTATACTGTCCTGTAATGGTGAGAGACCAGTGGCTACAGATCTTTGTAGTATAAAGCACTGAGAGGTGAAATATTCATTTGAGGTCATGTGCTTACTTAATGGAACAGCTGGGATTGGAACTCAGTCTAATTCTCAAAAAGTTACCCATTGTTGGTTGGTGGTGTCTGGCAAGATGGCCAAACAGGAACAGCTCCGGTCTGCAGCTCCCAGCGAGATTAATGCAGAAGATGGGTGATTTCTGCATTTCCAACTGAGGTACCTGGCTCATCTCATTGGGACTGGTTAGACAGTGGGTGCAGCCCACGGAGGGTGAGCCAAAGCAGGGTGGGGTGTTGCCTCACTTGGGAAGTGCAAGGGGTTGGAGAACTCCCTCGCCTAGCCAAGGGAAGCCGTGAAGGACTGTGCCATGAAGGATGGTGCTATTCAGCCCAGACACTATGCTTTTCCCATGGTCTTCGCAACCTGCAGACCAGGAGATTCCCTCAGGTGCCTACACCACCAGGGCCCTGGATTTCAAGCACAAAACTGGGTGGTCATTTGGACAGACACTGAGCTAGCTGCAGGAGTTTTTTTTCATACCACAGTGGCACCTGGAATGCCAGCAAGACAGAACCATTCATTCTCCTGGAAAGGGGGCTGAAGCCAGGGAGCCAATTGGTCTAGCTTAGCGGATCCCATCCCCATGGAGCCTAGTAAGCTAAGATCCATTGGCTTGAAATTCTTGCTGCCAACACAGCAGTCTAAAGTTGACCTGGGACACTTGGGCTTGGTGAGGGGAGGGGCGTCCACCATTACTGAGGTTTGAGTTAGCAGTTTTCCCCTCACAGTGCAAACAAAGCCGCTGAGAAGGTTGACCTAGGTGGATCCCCACCGAGCCTCGACAAAGCTGCTGTAGCCAGACAGCCTCTCTAGATTCCTCCTCTCTGGGCAGGGCATCTCTGAAAGAAAGGCAGTAGCCCCAGTCAGGGAGTTATAGATAAAACTCCCATCTCCCTGGGACAGCACCTGGGGGAAGGGGCGGCTGTGGGTGCAGCTTCAGCAGACTTAAATGTTCCTGCCTGCCAGCTCTGAAGAGAGCAGCGGATCTCCCAGCACAGCGCTTGAGCTATTCTAAGGTACAGACTGCCTCCTCAAGTGGGTCCCTGACCCCTGTGCCTCCTGACTGGGAGACACCTCCCAGCAGGGGTCGACAGACACCTCATACAGGAGAGCTCCGCCTGGCATCTGGCAGGTTCCCCTCTGGGACGAAACTTCCAGAGGAAGGAACAAGTAGCAGTCTTTGCTGTTCTGCAGCCTCCACTGGTGATATCCAGGCAAACAGGGGCTGGAGTGGACGTCCAGCAAACTCTAGCAGACCTGCAGCAGAGGGGCCTGACTGTTAGAAGGAAAACTAACAAACAGAAAGGAATAGCATCAACATCAACAAAAAGGACGTCTACATGAAACCCCATCCAAAGGTCACCAACATCAAAGAGCAAAGGTAGATAAATCCAGGAAGATAAGGAAAAACCAGCATAAAAAGGCTGAAAATTCCAAAAACCAGAATGCCTCTTCTCCTCCAAAGGATCACAACTCCTTGCCAGCAAGGGAACAAAACTGGACAGAGAATGAGTTTGATGAATTGAACAGAAGTAGGCTTCAGAAGGTGAGTAATAACAAGCTTGTCTGAGCTAAAGGAGCATGTTATAACCCAATGCAAGGAAGCTAAGAACCTTGAAAAAAGGTTAGAGGAGTTGCTACTAGAATAACCAGTTTAGAGAAGAACATAAATGACCTGATGGAGCTGAAAACACAGCATGAGAACTTTGTGAAGCATACACAAGTATCAATAGCCGAATTGATCAATCAGAAGAAAGGATATCAGAGATTGAAGATCAACTTAATCAAATAAAGCATGAAGACAAGATTAGAGAAAAAAGAATGAAAAGGAATGAACAAAGCCATCAAGAAATATGGGACTATGTGAAAAGACCAAACTTACATTTGATTGGTGTACCTGAAAGTGATGGGGAAAATGGAACCAAGTTGGAAAACACTCTTCAGGATATTATCCAGGAGAACTTCCCCAAACTAGCAAGACAGGCCAACATTCAAATTCAGGAAATAGAGAGAACACAACAAAGGTACTCCTCAAGAAGAGCAACCCCAAGACACATAATTGTCAGATTCACCAAGGTTGAAATAAAGGAAAACATGTTAAGGGCAGCCAGAGAGAAAGGTCGGGTTACCTATAAAGGGAAGCCCATCAGACTAACAGTGGATGTCTCTGCAGAAACCCTATAATCCAGAAAAGAGTGGGAGCCAACATTCAACATTCTTAAAGAAAAGAATTTTCAACCCAGAATTTCAAACTAAGCTTCATAAGCAAAGGAGAAATAAAATCCTGTACAGATAAGCAAATGCTGAGAGATTTTGTCACCACCAGGCCTGCCTTACAAGAGCTCCTGAAGGAAGCACTAAATGTGGAAAGGAAAAACCGGTACCAGCCACTGCAAAAGCATACCAAATTGTAAAGACCATTGACACTACGAAGAAACTGCATCAACTAATGGGTAAAATGATCAGCTAGCATCATAATGACAGGATCAAATTCACACATAACAGTATTAACCTTAGATGTAAATGGGCTAAATGCCCCAATTAAAAGACACAGACTGGCAAACTGGATAGAGTCAAAACCCATTGATGGGCTATGTTCAGGAGACACATCTCATGTACAGAAACACACATAGGCTCAAAATAAAGGGATGGAGGAAGAGCTGCCAAGCAAATGGAAAAAAGATAAAGCAGGGATTACATTCCTAGTCTCTGATAAAATAGACTTTAAACCAACAAAGATAAAAAAAGACAAAGAAGGGCATTACATAATGGTAAAGGAATCAATTCAACAAGAAGAGCTAACTATCCTAAATATATATGCACCCAATACAGGAGCACCCAGACTCATAAAGCAAGTTCTTAGAGACCTACAAAGAGACTCAGACTCCCACACAATAATAGTAGGAGACTTTAACATCCCACTGTCAATATTAGACACATTAATGAGACAGAAAATTAACAAGGATATTCAGGACTTGAACTCAGCTCTGGACCAAGCAGACCTAATAGACATCTACAGAAGTCTCCACCCCAAGTCAACAGAATGTACATTCTTCTCAGCACCACATCACACTAATTCCAAAATTGACCACATAATTGGAAGTAAAACACTTCTCAGCAAATGCAAAAGAATGGAGATCATAACAAACTATCTCTCAGACCACAGTGCAATCAAGTTAGGACTCAGGATTAAGAAACTCACTCAAAAGCACACAACTACATGGAAACTGAACAACCTGCTCCTGAATGACTACTGGCTAAGGATGCCACTAAATGGCTAAGAATGCCGCTAAATGTCCTGCAATGCACAGGACAGTCTCCCCCAACCTCCACCAAAAACATTATCCAGCCCAAAATGTTAACAATGCTGAGGTTCAATAGCAAAGACATAGAATCACCGTAAATGCTCATCAGTAACAGACTGGATAAAGAAAATGTGGAATACTATGCAGTCATTAAAAAGAATGTGATCATGCATGCCCTTCTAGGGACATGGATGGAGCTGGAGACTATTATCCTTAGCAAACTAGCACAGTAATAGAAAACCAAATACTGCATGCTCTTACCTATAAGTGGGAGCTAAACGATGAGAACATGTGGACACATAGAGGAGAACAACACACACTGAGGCTTACTGAAGGGTGGAGGATGGGAGGAGGGAGAGGATCAGTAAAAATAACTAATAACCTGGGTTAATACCTGGGTGATGAAATAATCTGTACAACAAACCCCCATGACACAAGTTACCTATATAACAAACCTGCACTTGTACCCCTGAACTTAAAGTAAAAGTTTAAAACAAAAAAACAGTGTTAAGATCGACAAAGCCTGCACTACACAATGTTTAGAGAGTCAGACCTTGGATAGAGACAAAACAAGAAGCGAACCATCAAAACCGTGGAATCTCTTGGTTTCTTTAATCACAAAATGTAAGGAAGCCATTAACATACTGGAAAATTGAGAAGAGTTATGGTCTGCTCAAAATTGTACTGTCTGTACACTCACAGTTCATGGTGTCTCTGGCAATAAGAACTAGAAATGTTTGCAACACCAAAATAACAAGGAAAGCATATAGTCATTAGAGGTGGGGTATATTTTGCTCTAGTTAGCTGCACCTCAGAGGAGGAGTTTGGGAGAAAATTGTGCCTCAGGCAAAAAAATTATGAAAGAGAAGATTATAACTTGTCCTTTAAAAGGATAACTTGAAAGCATGTTCTAGAGCAGGGACTCTGGATCCCTGGGCCATAGACGGATACTGGCCTGTGGCCTGTTAGGAACTGGGCCTCACAGCAGGAGGTGAGCAGTGGGCCAGCGAGCGTTACTGCCTGAGCCCCGCCTCCTATCAGATCAGTAGAGGCATTAGATTCTCATAGGAGTGCGAACCCTACTGTGAACTGTATGTGTAAGGGATCTAGGTTGCGTGCTCCTGATGAGAATCTAATACCTGATGATCTGAGGTGGAGTAGTTTCATCCCAAAACCATCTCCCACACTGTGAAAACATTTTCTTCCATGAAACCAGTCCCTGGTGCCAAAATGGTTGGGGACTGCTCTTCTACAGAGAGCGTCAACATGTTGCTGACCTGTTGTTTCTCCTGCTGATTCATGTTAGTCCACAGCAGTGGTTCTCAAAGTGTGGTCCCCAGAGCTGTGGCATCAGCAGCAACTGGGGACTCTCTAGAAACACAGATTCTCAAGTCACATTTCAGACCTGCTGAATCAGAAGCTCTGGGGATGAGGCCCAGCACTATTATTATTATTATTATTATTATTATTATTATTATTATTATTACTGAGACACGGTCTCACTCTGTTGCCCAGGCTGGAGTGCAGTGGCTCAATCTCTGCTCACTGCAACCTCTGCCTCCCAGGCTCAGGTGATCCTCCCACCTCAGCCTCCCAAGTAGCTGGGACCACAGGCACGCACCACTACGCCTGGATAATTTTTGTACTTTTTCTTTTGTAGAGATGGGGTTTCGCCATGTTGTCCAGGCTGGTCTTAAACTCATGAGCTCAAGCGATCCATCCACCTCAGCCTCCCAAAGTGCTGGGATTACAGGTGTGAACCACTCTGCCTGGCCCCCAGCAGTATATTTTAAACAAACCCTCCGGATGGCTCTGATGCATGCATACAGGTAATAAATAATACAGTTGCTTATCAATTTTTCTCACCTGTTCCTCTAATTGATGTCATGGCCCGGAAGGAGCCCTGGGCTAAGGAAAAGTTCATCTTATTGATTCTCTGAGTAGGAGGGCTTGGGTTTGAAGTGAACTAAGCTGTTAGACTATTTTCCCTGCAGATTTCACTGCCCTGCAGTACAATGATACTCTACCAAGAACTCTGCTGTCCTTTGCACATTTAATCCACTTAACCCAGCAATGATAGTACAGTTGATATTATCAACTCACTTTTAGAAGTTAGGAAACAGAAAATAAAAATTAACTTGCTTGAAATTACGCAGCTAGTAATTGCAGAGGTAGGAATGGAATCCAAGTCTACCCAGCCCATATTCTTTATCCTACACAACAGTGCATTTCTGATGCTTAAGGTGCTTTGTTGGACAATTACCAATTTCCGTTAATTAAATGCGCTAGTGTCCTTCATTTTAGTAACAAAACCAGATACATTACTGTCTTAGAGTATGCAACATTAGGTTATGATCTTTATAGTTTGTTAGGGCCTGTAATAGGGTGGAGTCTACTTCCTTGGCCAGGAAATATTATTTCTTTTTCATTTGGGAGTATTGGTAGTATTGTGTGAGACAATAACATTGCTATTGGTTTTCACAGTAGTACAGAAAGGCACTGGGATAGATTTAACAAGTATCTGCCTGTGTCTTCTAGTCTTTGGCAAGTGAATTTAGAATATGTTCTGAAACATTTTTTTCATAAAATTTTCTCTTCTCAGTCTTAAAAATGAGTGCTATGAGACCCCTATTCAACTTTTAGTTCAAAAAGAGAACTTTTTTTTGTAGAAATATGAGTAATTCAAGTACATGATGTGATGAGAATAAAAGAAACTTGGGAAACAGGTACTTGAACTGCACAGATAATAGTGACATTTGATGAGTCTGTGGGTTACTCCAATTAGAAAAAGACAAAGGGTGGCAGGGTGTTGTGGCTCACACCTGTAATCCCAGCACTTTGGGAGGCCAAGGTGGGTGAATCATTTGAGGTCAGGAGTTTGAGACCAGCCTGGCCAACATGGAGAAACCCTGCCTCTACGAAAAATACAAAAATTAGCCAGGCATGGTGGCGGGTGCCTGTAGTCTCAGCTACTCGGGAGGCTGAGGCAGGAGAATTGCTTGAACCCAGGAGGCAAAGGTTGCAGTGAGCCGAGATTGTGCTACTGCACTCCAGCCTGGGCAACAGAGCGAGACTCTGTCTAAAAAGAAAAAAAAAAGAAGGAAGGGAGGAAGGAAGGGACAAAGGGTAAAACTGTGATGGAAGAAGGGTGGGCCAAGATCTGTGGGGAGGATTTTGTTCTTCTAGGAGAGCATCGAGGGAGTTCAACAGAAATGCAATGGAGAAAATGCAACACATTCAAACTCTCTTATCTGCTTGAAAGATTCCACATAAACTTGTCAATAGTACAATGTGTTTTTGCAGATGTGTACTCCATGGAATGTTGTGTTTTTCTCGAGTTAGTACATACCAGTTACTCGAAGTTTATCTGTACCAACCACAACTTCCTTCTCATCTACAGTAAATAGTGGCTTGCCGTCGTTGGAGTTGATCTGAAACTGTTGATTCTGGACTTCTACCATTTTGGGACCTGAAGAATTAAAACAGTTTATTATAAACTGTTCACTACAAGCAGTGTCCAAATCTCTATTTTTACACATGCCACGTCAACCCTACAATACCAAGTATCTAAAGACTTGGTATTTGTTACCATTAGTGGTATTGATTGATTCTGTGATTAAACTTTGCAACTTTTAAGTCTAAATCTATTGTATTATTAAAATTAATTGTGTCAAACATATGTTAACCTATATCAATATATGTACAAATACATTATTTAAGAGTTTCTTCTTTAAGATTTTAAATACTTGCCCAAAATAATATAGTTTTCCTATTCATGGTTAAACTTGTATTCTTTTGGTTATTAACCACCTAAGAATCTTGCATTCTGAAATGTGAGATTTGTGAAAGACCATCTTACGAATGGCTCACTTTAATGGTCAAAGTTAACCTAGAAGATAAATCATATCCTGAAACTTTTCTCTGCCATTATTCTCAGAAGGGCTGCTCACCCCTTACCCCACGGGGAAAACAGGCATCACTGTGGAAGAACACCTTCCTGTTTTTGCCCTTCCCCTAAGACATTTTTGTCTTTGCCATGCCTTCTGTTTCACTTTTGTATCCAAGGTTATGCCCTTCACCTGAGCTCTAGACCCATTGCCTTCCAGCTCTTTCATCTATTCAGCAGGTGTTTTGTGGGTGCTCACTCACCCTGTGCCATCCAGACATGTGAGGGTGAGGTCACACCTCCCACTCACTCAGCTACACACGCACCTCAGGCACTCATAATTATGTGTTCCCCAATTCCTCTTTGATGCTTCCACACTTTCTAACCCAGGCCTCATGGATTAATCTTCCTAGAGCACAGCCTTCATCATCTACTTAAGAAATTAGGAGTTCCCCAATTTGTTTATGTTAGCTTTATATTCTTTTTTTTTTTTTTTTTGAGACAGAGTTTCGCTCATGTCGCCCAGGCTGGAGTGCAATGGTGCGATCTCCGCTCGCTGCAATGTCCGCCTCCCAAGTTCAAGTGATTCCCCTGCCTCAGCCTCCAGAGTAGCTGGGATTACAGGCATGCGCCACCACGCTCGGCTAATTTTGTATTTTTAGTAGAGACGGGGTTTTACTATATTGGCCAGGTTTGTCTCGAACTCCTAACCTCAGGTGATCCGCCAGCCTTGGCCTCCCAAAGTGCTAGGATGACAGGTGTGAGCCACCATGTCTGGCCTATATTCTTATCTGTAAAAGTAAGTTGAGGCTGGGCACAGTGGCTCACACCAGTAGTCCTAGCAGTTTGCCAGGCCAAGGCGAGCCAATCACCTGAGGTCAGGAGTTTGACACCAGCCTGGCCAACATGGAGAAACCCCATCTCTACTAAAAATACAAAAATTAGGCTGGGCGCGGTGGCTCACGCCTGTAATCCCAGCACTTTGGGAGGCCGAGGCAGGCGGATCATGAGGTCAGGAGATCGAGACCATCCTGGCTAACACGGTGAAACCCAGTCTCTACTAAAAATACAAAAAATTAGCTGGGTGTGCTGGCAGGCATCTGTAGTCCCAACTACTCGGGAGGCTGAGGCGGGAGAATGGCATGAACCTGGGAGGCGGAGCTTGCAGTGAGCCGAGATCACGCCACTGCACTCCAGCCTGGGCGACAGAGTGAGACTACCTCTCCAAAAAAAAAAAAAAAAAAGGAAGTTGAGAAAATAAGTCATATGTTATAATTTTTTTTGTGTGTGTCCCCTCTGACCCTAACAGTTCTCATAAAAATTTTTGGATACCTGGTAGACATTAAGTAAAGCCTTTCTATTAATGCATTGATCCGTTTTGGACATGGTCATCCAAGTGTTCTTAATTTTATTAATTTGTATTTAAAACCCTCCAGTGAGTCTTCATTTAAATAAATAAATATTTTTGGCAAGAGTGCCAGTTATAAAGTTGACTTTTTTCTCTATGTTACATCTCCTTTTTTTTTTTAAAAGCTTCACTTTATTTTTTGGTATTTGTAATGTTATTTTCCCCATCTGAGACTCAGAGTTCCTGTTTATCTCTTCTGGGTCACTGATATGCCTATGTATTTATTATATAAACACTGATTTGCATTTAATGGTGACTATCAAGTTATCTGACTTTAAAATTGAGAAATAATTGGAATAATTAATCCAGTAAGAGTTCACTGTTTTGCTCACTAGAGGTTCATCTTACAATTCTAGGAGGCCTTATTAAGTATAAGGGGTTGAACTGTGACAATTTTTTTTCTATAGTTATTATATCAATAAAATAGTCAACAAATAAGTTTATTTTCATAGTAAGTCTGAGCAGCAAATCCACATAAACTGTTCCTCAAATCAAAGAAAATGCAGGAAAGTGAATGGTTCCATTCAATACAAATCTATTGCATGCTTTTTATGTACAAGGTTCTGTGCTAAGCATTGACAATGTGCAAATGAGTGAGATATAGCTCACAGCTTAAAGAATTCTGTGGTTCACTAAAAAGAAAAGCATGTAAGCCTGGTTTCAGGACAATTTGCTAAGCATTGGGATGCAAGCATGAGAGAGTCTTGACTAGGAATCCATGGTCCATCCATCGAGGCTAAGAGCAGCGTCCGGAGACGCGATGCCTGCAACTGATTTGGAAGAAAGAGTTCATGCTTCCTGCTGGGCGCGGTGGCTTACGCCTGTAATCCCAGCACTTTGGGAAGCCGAGGCGGGCAGATTGCCTGAGCTCATCAGGAGTTCGCGACAACCTGGGCAACACGGTGAAACCCCGTTTCTGCTGAAAATATAAAAATTAGCTGGGTGTGGCGGCGTGCGCCTGTAGTCCCAGCTACTGGGGAGGCTGAGGCAGGAGAATTGCTTGAACCCGGGAGGTGGAGGTTGCAATGAGCTGAGATCAGGCCACTGCACTCCAGCTTGGGCAACAGAGCGAGACTCTGTCTCAAAAAAAAAAAAAAAAAAAGAAAACTAAAAAAGAAAGCGTTCATGCTTCCCTGATGAAGGAAGAACAGGGATCTCCAGGTAAAGGAAACTACTTGAGCAAAGGCATAGCGGTGAATAAAATCCCACCTCCATTTTATTAAAAATAGACCCTGCATGTTTAAATTTAAATACGCTTTCCACTTCAGAGGCAACTGCACTTTCTTCAATAGTTATGGAGTTTGTAATTAATCTTCTAACTTTTATTAATATTCTAGCGGTTTTTTTTTTAACCTAGTTGGACATTGATTAGAGCTGAGGATGTAATCGTCTTTTGCAGTAGAGGTCTTTAAGAAATAAAATTTAAATTCTACCTTGTTGATAAGAAAAGAGCTATCTGTACAGCACCATTTTTAATGAAAGGCTTTGGTACAAAGAGAAAAAGTTAATGGTTTTGTGATCTGATTAATTAAGTTTGGGAAATTAGCTTAAGGGTTTTTCTGGTGAAAATACCATCAAATTCTTCCTTATATACAATGTGTCTCATTAGCAAACTTCTTTTGTTCCTCAGGATATCTTTAATTTAAAATAAAATCATTTAGAAACAAATATTGCAAAGTCCTTTTAAAAAAAGGAAACGTATATTCTGCTGTTGCAAATGTGGTATCACAGAGAAAGGACTGGGCTGGAAGCACAAAGCTGTGCTTGTTAGCTCTACTACTTTTGTGGCAAAATCTTGTATTATACAGTTCTACTTCATAAGCCTGGCACTAATGACCTTTACTTGTGTTAAATAAAATAAAATGAAATAAAATAAGAGACCAGGCTTGAGAATTTCCTGAGCAGACAAAGCTAGTTATGCTATGCCAGTGAAACTTAGGTTATTTCTAGTAAATGTCCCTGATAATCATATGCAAAACTTACACAGCCTTCCAAAAATGCTGTAAGATGATCACTTTTTTTTTTTTTTTAAAGACAGGGTCTCGCTCTGTCGCCCAGGCTGGAGTGCAGTGGCATGATCTCAGCTCACTGCAACCTCCGCCTCCCGGGTTCAAGCGATTCTCCTGCCTCAGCTTCCTGAATAGCTGAGACTATAGGCACCCGGCTGACTTTTGTATTTTTAGTAGAGATGGAGTTTTGCCATGTTGCCCAGGCTAGTCTTGAACTCCTGGCCTCAAGTGATCCGCCCACCTCTGCCTCCCAAAGTGCTGGGATTACAGGCATGAGCCACTGCACCCAGCCAGATGATCACTTTTAACCAATCTTCTGCCATCTGGAAACCCTGACTGTAATAATCAATCATTGTAAAGGTTAAACAACGTCCTCATTTCTATATATATATATATATATATATTCCATCCATTAGAACACTATCCTACCTGCCAACTGGTTTCTCAGCCCATCCCATCCTACACAATCTTTTATTCATTCCTCTCTTCATTTATTTAACAAAAATTTATTGTATAACCTATTAAATATAAAAGGGTAGCCTGAATTATGAATTGTGGCATTAACTGAACTGAAAAAATCTAATTTCAATTAGTGAATCAAATTATTATACATGTATTCCTTGAAATATTACATAGCCATTAAAATAATGCTATGAATTTTTAAAATTTCATAGCATTATTAAATTGGAAAAGGATGGACTTCTGGGTGGCTGATGACCACGCTGGCTATATAGTAATCAGTTTCCCAAAAGGTCATCCCCATACTCTAAGGAATAGTTTCACAGCCATAAAAATTCCACACAGACCGGGCACAGTGGCTCACGCCCATAATCCCAGCACTTTGGAAGGCCGAGGCCGGTGGATCACGAGGTCAGGAGATCGAGACCATCCTGGCTAACACGGTGAAACCCCGTCTCTACTAAAAATACAAAAAATTAGCCGAGCATGGTGGTGGGCTCCTGTAGTCTCAGCTACTCAGGAGGCTGAGGCAGGAGAATGGCGTCAACCTGGGGGGTGGAGCTTGCACCTGGGGGGTGGAGCTTGCAGCGAGCCAAGATCGCACCACTGCACTCCAGCCTGGGAGACAGAGCAAGACCCCATCTCAAAAAAAAAAAAAAAAAAAAAAAAAGAGAAAGAAAGAAAGAAAAACACACCCTTGCATTACTTAAAGGCAGAACTGTGAGTTGAGGGAGAAAAATTAACAAGTGCCAGGACTACAACTTCTCACACACCTGCTCCATCACAGGAATTATGGTGAGTGAAGGCCACGGAGAGGACAGATGAGGAGACTTAGTGAGAAGCCACTTAAGGAATGGACAAAAGTAATGCAGGAAATGAATACTAAATGAGCTGGGATAAAAATCCTGATATCAGACAAAGTGGAATTCAAGTCAAAAGCGTTAAATATGACAAAAAAGATTTTTAATGCTAAAATTACAACCCACAACACAGACATAATATTTACAAATACCTATCCCGCAAATATCACAGACACCACCTTTATGAAACAAAAATAAAAGATGTGAGGACCCACAGAACACACTAATAATGCTAGATTTAATACACAACTTTCAGTACAAGACAGGTCAAGTGGAATAACAAGTGAGGAGATGACCTAAAAAGAACTCAACAAGGCAAGTCTTATGACATATACTGACGGTGAAGTCCTGATAATGGAGGATGCACACTCTCCTCAAGTGCCCGGGGCACATTCACTGAAACTGATCACACATCAGGGCACAAGGTAAACAAACATCAATGACTTTCATAACGTAGAAAGACCACACATAATACTCCCTAAACACAATACAATAAATCTAGAATTTGCTGACACAAATAAAAAGCAAAAAGACCCATTCACCCAGAAATTTAAAAGTCTCTCTTTAAATAACTTTTGGGTGAAATACAAACAGAAATTACAGAATTAAGGAAAATTATGACTTGAAAACACTATATTTTAGAATCTGTGGCATGCATGTAAAGCAGTGACAAGAGGAAATTTCATTGTACTAAACATCTCTGTCAATAAAAATATCAACTGGCTGGGCGTGGTAGCTCACATCTGTAATCCCAGCGCTTTGGGAGGCTGAGGTGGGCAGATCACCTGAGGTCAGGAGTTTGAGACCAGACTGGCCAACGTGGTGAAACCCTATCTCTACTAAAAATACAAAAATTAGCTGGGCATGATGGTACATGCCTGTAATCCCAGCTATCTGGGAGGCTGAGGCAGGAGAATTGCTTGAACCCAGGAGGCGGAGGTTGCAGTGAGCTGAGACCGTGCCATTGTACTGAAGCCTGGGCAACACAGCGAAAATTCTGTTTAGAAAAAAAAAAAAAAGAACTAAGTTCGTAATTCAAAAGCCTAGAAATAGAACAACAAAGTGAGTCAAAAGAAAGCACAAGGAAGGAAATAATAAAGATAGAAGCAGAAATTAACAAGGAAGAAAACAGTATAAAAGAGATCTAATAAATCAAAATTCTGTTTTTTGAGAAAATTAGCAAAATAAATAAAACACTAGCTAAGTTGATAAAAATGAGAAAACACAAATACACAACACATGGAATGACAAGTGAAAAGTAACCATTGAATTAGAAGAAATAAAAAAGGAGAGACAACTATGCAGAACTCTGCAAATAAGCTTGAAAACCATGATGAAACAGGCAGTTCCACAGGGAAATAGTGATTGCTAAAATTGATCTCATTAAATGAGAAAGTTTGATCAGACCTGTGTTTATACAAGAAATGGGGAAGTTAAAAAACTACCCCACATAAAAGAACCAAGCACAGATGGTGTCACAAGCGAATTCTAACAAACTTTCAAAAGCTGGATAGTCACAATGCTCTGTAAATTATTCCAGAGTATTGAAAGTAAGTAAGCTTAGCACTGATACTTAAATGAGAAAAGCAAGCATAAGGAAAAAAATACTATAAGCTAGTATTACTCATGAATGCAAAAAATTCTAAATAGAAGTACCAGAAAGAAGCACAGCGCAACACCACATTAAGAAAATAATATACCTTGATAAAGTGAGATTTATTCCAGGAATGCAAGATTGACTTTAAGTGAGGAATGATTAACATCATACTAATTAATCTAATAAAAATAAATCATATTATCTTCATAGATGCTGAAAAAGTATTTGGCAAAATTCAGCACACATTTATGATCAATGAACATTCTAGAAAATAGGCATTGAGGGATGCTGTCTTAACATGGTAAAATGATGTATTTTAACCCTAAGGCAAGTATTTTACTTAATACAGAAAGACTAGAAGCATTTCCACTAAGATTGGAAACAAGGCAAGGATATCCACTTTGTCCACTGCTACTCAACATTGTGGAGCAGAGGTTTTAGTCAATGAAACTTATTTATAAAGTAAAATCAGTTAGAGGTGTGTGATTGAGTAAAGTAACATTGTATATTTGCAGATGATATAATAGTGTATCTGACAAACCCCAAAGTCTCTGATAAAAGTAACTCAACTAATAAAAAATTCAGCAAACTGGCAGGATATAAAATTAACATACAATAACCAATAACTTGAATACATACAAACAAAAGTTAAAATAAATAATAGTGGAGAAAGTGCCATTTACAATAACAACAAAGATGATTAAAAATTTAGAAATTCATTTAATAAGATGTGTGTGAAAAATATATGAGGAAAAATTTGTAATACTTCTGAAAGACACTTGAATAAATGAAAAGACATTCCGCATTCTTGGATAGGGTGACCCAACATTATAGGATGTCATTTCTTCCAGAGTTAATTTATAAATTCAATGCAATACAGTAATAATGCCAATAAACTATGTTATAGAATGAGCAAATTGATGCAAAAGTTCATATGTAAAAACAAACATACAAGAATAGCTTGGAAAAAGAAAACACAAGAAAGGCCAGCCCCACTAGACATTAAAACATACCATGAAGTCTCTATAATTAAAAGAATGTGGTATCTAGGCATGGAAACACGAACAGACTAGTGCAAGCTTGTCCAACCTGTAGCCCGCCGGCTGCATGCAGCCCAGGACAGCTTTGAATTCAGCTCAACATAAATTTGTAAACTGTCTTTAAGCATTATGAGATTAATTTGCAATTTTTTTTTTAGCTCATCAGCTATCATTAGTGTATTTTATATGGGGCCTAAGACAATTATTCTTCTTCCAGTGTGGCCCAGGGAAGGCAAAAGACTGGACACCACTGGACTAGTGGGATAAAGTAATAATTAGACTCTGATAGACATGGAAATCTAGTATATGATAATGACGGCATTTCAAGTTTAAAGATGGACTTTTTTTTCTTTTTTGGAGACAGAGTCTCACTCTATCACACAGGTTGGAGTGTAGTGGCGTGATCTCGGCTCACTGCAACCTCTGCCTCTCAGGTTCAAGCAATTCTCCTGCCTCAGCCTCCCAAATAGCTGGGATTACGGGCGCGTGCCACCACGCCTGGCTAATTTTTGTATTTTTAATAGAGACGGGGTTTCTCCATATGGTCTTGAACTCCTGACCTCAGGTGATCTACCTGCCTCAGCCTCTGAAAGTGCTGGGATTACAGGTGTGAGCCGCTGCACCTGGCCTAAGGATGGACTTTTAAGTAAATGATGTTCAGATAACAACTTAGAAAAGATAAATTTAGATTCATATCTCATACCACACAAGAATAAACTTCACATAAATTAGGGAACTAAGTGTTAAAAAGTGAAATCATACAAACACTACAGGAAAACATAGGTGAATTCCTTTATAACCTTGGTACAAGGAAGTCTTTCAAGCAATGACTCAACATCTAGAGGCAATGAAAAAAAGATTCTATGTTTGAATACATAACAATAACAAGTAAAAATAAAAGTGTTACATGATTTAAAATACCTGATTAAGTTAGACGACAACTTAAAAATTGGATAGAAAAATCTTAGCAACATATACCCTGGGCAGAAAGTTAAAATGCCTAATTGGTAAAGAATTCTTAACTACTGAGGAATAAAAAATGACAATTCTGATAGAAAAATGGAAAAAGAGTCATGAGATAATTCACAACAAAGATACAAAAATGGCCCTCAAACTTATGAAAAAAATGTTCAAACACACTCATCATTACAGAAATGCAAATTAAAGCAACACTGACATGCCATTTCTCACCTGTGAGACTGGAAATAATTTAGACACATTGTGTTGTCTGAGGCTGTCAGAAAATATACTCTCCTACACCGCCGCTGGGAATCTAAATTGTTACCATCTTCTAGAGCACAATTTGATAAAACTGAACAAAACTAAGTATGTACATATCCACAATCCCACTTCTAGGAATCTACCCTGAGGATATACCTCCAAGAAAACAAAATACAGCCGGGCACGTGGCTCACGCCTGTAATCCCAGCACTTTGGGAGGCCGAGGCGGGTGGATCACGAGGTCAAGAGATGGAGACCATCCTGGCTAACACGGTGAAACCCCGTCTCTACTAAAAATACATAAAATTAGCCCGGCATGGTGGCGGGCGCCTGTAGTCCCAGCTACTCGGGAGGCTGAGGCAGGAGAATGGCGTGAACCTGGGAGGCGGAGCTTGCAGTGAGCTAAGACTGCGCCACTGCACTCCAGCCTGGGCGACAGAGGGAGACTCCGCCTCAAAAAAAAACAAAAAAAACAAAAAAAACAAAAAAAAGCAAACCAAAAAAAAAAACAAAATACATATGCAATTGTTACTCTTTGTGACATAACTGCACAACAGTGAGAACAACTTAAATGTTCATATATATGGGTGAATAGCTGAATAATCACGGCAACTCCACATAATAGGGTACTATGCAGCTGTGAAAAATAATAAGGAAGATGTTTATGAATTAATATGGAGTAATTTTGAGGGCCATACTATTCAGTGAAAAAGTAAAGTTCAAAAGACTACCTACCGTATGCTATCCTCATGTAAGTATGATGGGAGCCTAAGAAAACATATATGTGGTCATTTTTTGCAAATGAAATGGAGGATGGATAAACCTAAAATGGAAAAGACTGGCTACTGAGAGGGTGTGGGTGAGCAAGAGGTAGGAAGGGGCTGGGGACTGAGGCAGACGGGATGAAGAAGTCACACTTTCTTGACTATATCTTTTTGTTCAGATCTGAGTCTGCAACCAATAGTAACGATGCATGCACCCCACTGCAGCACACACCCTCCAAAATAGCCACTGTGTTATCCTGTCCTTCAAATAAAATTCCCTTTATCTTTTTACAAACTGTGGTTTTCAAAAATATCTTATCTCTGTACTTTTAAACATAAGCAAATATTTTTGGATTGACTATTGACTAATATTCAGAGCAATTACACAAATTCAGCATTATCCTTGGAATGAAAAACTGGTTTGGAAGATAATTTATTCTATTTCCCTTTTTTCCAAAAGTACATCTCATGGTGCCAGTTGCTTTTTTTCTGAAGGAACATCTATTTTTTGACTGGACATTCTGGCTATAATACATTATCATATAAAGTTAGTTTTCTTCTCTTTATTTGGGGCACTGGAAACTGCACTCATATTGGTTTTCTTTCTAACATATTCTTTTCAGTCAGTCTTTCCAGCCACTGCAGCGGCTAGTCTTCCTGAAGATGAGTGTTTTTTTTTTTTTTAAAGCGTTCAATATCCTCAACTGACAGTAACTTGTCTCTTGGCCCATCAATGCTGTTTATTTCAGTATCTTTCAGTTTGTGGCTTTCCCAGGGCAGCCCTGGGTTCATTATACAGTTGGGCCATGTAGATTTTCTGGAAGTCTTCCTGGCTTAGAAGGCAACTGGTGCTGAGGGCAGCAGATTTGGCTCCCTCCTCCTCCACAGGCATGCTGGGCACCTCCTTGGAAAGTCCCTGCTGTTTTTCACAGAAGAGTGACACACGTCAACCCACCCACCATGGGCATCTCCCTCCTCCTCAGGACTGGTACTTCCCCACCCTTCTTTACTGTTCACAACATTCTCTTTCTTGACTTCAGAATTCCCCCTCCTGAAATGTAATCTGTAGCATTTAGTTATCCATATTCTTGCACTCTTGCTTCTTTTGAGGCCTCTGTAGGCTTGTCTCAGAATCTCTTCTGTAGTATCTGAGAATTTGGCACTCAGAAGAACAGAATCAAAATCCTAGCAGAAATGATCACATCTTTATGTTTGTGTATTCCTCACTGGGCCAAAACTGGGGGGTTCTTTAGTCACAATGTGAGGGTATCAAGTTGTTACTTTTTTTATAGCATTGATTCCTACTGTCATGACACCCCAGGGCTCCTCTCCCTTACAGAATTGTTGGCCACCTACTTGTGGAGCAGACAGAAGGATCTGATTACTTCTCTTCGATTAGGCTGCAGAAATCTCCGCACGAGAGGATCAACACAAAAGAGAAAAAGCCCATAAATTTCCACCAATCTGGAGATTAGGTTCCTGGGCATCAGCCTCACTTCATACCTCTCCTTACAGCTCTCCAGCTGCTTTAGTCATTTTTCTGCAGAACTTTGAGGATCATTAATCAAGTAATGGCTGGAAATTTAAATATCTCTGCTACTGTTCTTTTATTTCTTCTTCTTCTTCTAGTATCAGCACTTCCAAAGCCTGTTCCAGCCTTGCGTTTGAAGCTTCTCCTCCCTGTGGCATCTACGCTGGAAGGTCCTTCATACTCAGATCCTGAGTTGCCACCCCGTTTCCTTAGAAGAATTTCAAAGCAGCAGCCTGTATCTTGGTGACTTTAGTGAAACACACACTTAAGATAACACTGACAGTTTGGGCAGCATTCCAAATGTTTCTTCCATTGAGTTCAATCATTACACACAAGGATATTTTAGCTGTGATGGCATTGCTGTCTCTTAGGTGTGCGTGGAATTCTGAAATCCTATATTCACTTTATTGTTCTTGTATTTTACATTTATATTCTTGATATCAGCCACACTCTGAGTGTACAAGCCTTCTGAGAAGCTTGTAACTGCAACTCTTTGAATGCTGTGATTCTTATTTCAAAGGAAGATCAAAGATTTGCAAAATGTCATTGAAGTTCTGGATCCAAGACGGTGTGGCTGTAGCACAGCAGATCGTTCAGCAATTGAAAAAAGTGACTTGGATTATCTGGGTGGCAGTGACCAATGTGTGCTACAAACATCACCAGCTCCCCCAGGGGTTGATTTCGTTGTAATTTGTCAATCTCCACATCAGGTCTGTAGTGACCATGCTCCTGTAGACACTCCTCAGAGTAGAGGCCAGTGGTCCTGGTGGATCAGATTCTGTTCGTGCATCAGGCTGCTAGGCAGTTGGGACAAATTAGCTGCAGCCTGGCTCAGTGGGTCTCAGAAAACCCAACTGCCAAACTTCATCAACTTGTGTGGGCACAACTTGCATCTTTCTGGGTGTGTCTCATATTTAAGTTTAACAAAATTGATTTTTCTTATTGGAAATAGAAAGAAAGTGAACAACAGTAACCAGAGCTGTATTTATCAGTGGTAAGATTCCACTGTTGTTTATAATTTGGTATCTTTTATTTCACAGATTTGAAATGCTAGTTACTAGTGCTTGCTTTTCAATGTTTGACTTTCTTTGGAATTTGTGTTAGTTCATTATTGCATTGCTACAAAGAAATTCCTGAGGCTGGGTAATTTACAAAGAAAAGGTATTTAACTGGCTCATGGTTCTGCAGGGTGTACAAGCATGATGCCAGCATCTACTTCTGGTGACGGCCTCAGGAAGCTTCCAATCATGGTGTAAGGAAAAGAGGGAGCAGGTATATCTTATGGCAAGAACAGAAGCAAGAGAGAGAGAAGAGAGAAGAGAGAATTTAAATTTATTTATTTACTATTCTTTTATTTCAATAGCTTTAGGTGTACAAATGGTTTTTGGTTATGTGTGTATAGTTGTGATGTCTAGGATTTTAGTGCACTCATCACCCAAGTAGTGTACATAGTACCCAATAGGTAGTTTTTCATCTCTCACCCACTTCTCACCCTCCACTTTCCCCTCTTCTGAGCCTCCAACGCTCATTTTACCACTCTGTATGCCTTCGCATACCCATAGCTTAATTCCCACTTATAAGTGAGAACATGTGGCATTCGATTTTTGATTCCTGAGTGTTACTTCACATAAAATAATGGCCTCCAATTCCATCCAAGTCACTGCAAAAGACATTATATCACTCTTTTTCATGGCTGAATATATTTCCATGGTGTATATATCCACACACCACAATTACATATATCATATATATATATGTGATATAGCACTTTTTTTTTTTTTGAGACAGAGTCTTGCTCTGTTGCCCAGGCTGGAGTGCAGTGGCGTGATCTCGGCTCACTGCAACCTCCACCTCCCAGGTTCAAGCAATTCTCCTGCCTCAGCCTCTTGAGTAGCTGGGATTACAGGCGCCTGCCACCATACCTAATTTTTGTATTTTTGGTAGAGATGGGGTTTCAACATGTTGTCCAGGCTGGTCTCGAACTCCTGACCTCAGGTATATCACATATTCTTTATCCACACATTGTTTGATGGGCATTTAGGTTGATTTTATATCTTTGTGATTTTGAATTGTGCTGTGATAAACATGTGTGTGCAGGTGTCTTTTTGATATAATGACTTCTTTTCCTTTGGGTAGATACCCAGCAGTGGGATTGCTAGGTTAAATCTACTTTTAGTTCTTTGAGAAATCTCCATACTGTTTTCCATAGAGGTTCTACTAATTTTACATTCCCATCAGCAGTGTCTAAGCATTCCTTTTTCACCACATTCGTATCAACATCTATTGTTTTTTGACTTTTTCATAATGGCCATTCCGGCTGGCATAAGGTGGTATCTCATTGTGGTCTTAATTTGCATTTCCCTGATGACTAGTGGTATGGAGTGTATTTTCATATTTGTTGGCTATTTTTGTATCTTCTTTTGAGAAATGTCTATTAATGTCTTTTGCCTACTTATTTTATTTATTTATTTTTTTTGAGACGGAGTCTCACTCTGTCTCCAGGCTGGAGTGCAGTGGCACAATCTTGGCTCACTGCAACCTCCACCTCCCAGGTTCAAGCGAATTCTCCTGCCTCAGCCTCCTGAGTAGCTGGGACTACAGGTGCGTGCAACTGCACCCAGCTAACTTTTGTATTTTTAGTAGAAACAGGGTTTCACCATGTTGGCCAGGATGGTCTTGATGTTTTGACCTCGTGATCCTCCTGCTTCGGATTCCCAAAGTGCTGGGATTACAGGCATGAGCCACTGTGCCCGGCCCCTTTGCCTACTTTTTAATGATATTATTCATTTTTTTTTTCTTGCTGATCTGTTTTATTTCCTCGTAGATTCCAGATATTAACTTTTTTAAAAATCTTTTTTCCCAAGTTAGATATTAGTCCTTTGTCAGATGCATAATTAGTACATATTTTCTCCCATTCTATAGGCTGTCTGTTTACTCTGATGAGTATTTATTTTGCTGTGCAGAAGTTTTTTAGTTTAATTAGGTTCCATTTATTTTTGCTTTTGTTGCATTTACTATTGAGGTTTTAGTCACCTAAATCATTGTCCAGAAGAGTTTTCTATAGATTTTCTTCTAGAATTTTTATGATTTCAAGTCTTAGATTTAAGTCTTAAACCCATCTAGAGCTAATTTTTGTATATGGTGAGAGTAGAAATCCAGTTTCATTCTTCTACACGACCTAGGCAATCCAATTTTCCCAGCACCATTTATTGAATAGGATGTGTTTTCCCCAGTTTATGTTTTTGTATGGTTTGTCAAAGATCAATTAGTTGTAAGTACTTCACTTTATTTCTGGGTTCTCTATTCTGATCCATTGATCTATGTATCTACTTTTATACCACTACCATGCTGTTTGGGTTACTACAGCCTTGTAGTATAATTTGAAGTCCGGTAATGTGATATTTTTAGATTTATTCTTTTTGCTTAGGATGTATTTGGCTATTCAGGCACTTTTTTGGTTCCGTATGAATTTTAGGATTATATTTCCTAATTCTGTAAGAATGATGCTGGTATTTTAATAGAAATTGCATTGAATTTGTAGACTGCTTTGGTCAGTATGGTCATTTTGCAATATTGATTCTTCTAATACATGAATATGAGATGTATTTCAATTTGCTTGCATCATCTATGATTTCTTTCAGCAATGTTTTGTAGTTATCCTTGCAGAGATCTTTCATCTCCTTGGTTAAGTATATTTCTCGGTATTTTTTTTTTGTAACCATTGTAAAATGAATTGACTTCTTGATTGGATTCTCGGCTTGGTTGCTGTTGGTGTATAGCAGTGCTACTAATTTGTGTACATTTATTTTTGTAACCTGAGACTTTACTGAATTCATTCATCAAATCTAGGAGTCTTCTGGAGGAGTGTGTAGGGTTTTCTAGCTATAAGATCGCATCATTGGCAAACAGAGATACTTTGATTTCTTTTCCAATTTGGATGCCCTTTGTTTTTTTATCTTGCAATGATTACTCTGGCTAGCACTTTCAGTACGATGTTGAATACAAGTGGTGAAAATGGGCATCCTCGTCTTGTTCTGTAATAGTTCTTAGGGGGAATGCTTTCAACTTTTTTCCTTCCAGTATAATGTTGGCCATGAGTTTGTCATATATGGCTTCTATTATTTTGAGATATATTTCTTCTATGCCTAGTTGGTTGAGGGTTTTTATCAGAAAAGAATGCTAGATTTTGTTTAATGCTTTTTCTGCATCTACTGAGATGATCATATGGTTTTTGTTTTTAATTCTGTTTAGGTGACGAATCAAATTTCTTGACTCGCATATGTTGAACCATCCCTAGAATGAAACCAACTTGCTCATGGTGAATGATTTTCTTGGAGTGCTGTTGGATTCAGTCAGCTAGTATTTTGTTGAGGATTTTTGCATCTATATTCTTTGGGGATATTAGTCTGTAGTTTTCATTTACTAATATTTTCTTTCCTGGCTTTGATATCAGGGTAATACTGGGTTCGTATAATGAGTTAGGGAGGATTTCTTTCTCCTCAGTCTTTTGAATTCAGATGTGAATCTGTCTAGCCCTGAGCTTTTTTGTTGTTTTCAGCAGTTTCTTCTATTACTGATTCAATCTCATTGCTTGTTATTGGTCTGTTCAGGAATTCTATTTCTTTCTGATTCAAACTAAAGGAGTTGTTTGTTTCCAGGAATTTATCCACTTCCTCTAGATTTTCTAGTTTGTGTGCACAGAAGTGTCTACAGGAAACTCAAATGATCCTTAGTATTTCTGTGATGTCAGTTGCACTGTCTCCATTTTCATTTCTAATCGAGCTTATTTGAATCTTCTCTCTTCTTTTCTTGATTAATATAGCTAATGATTTTAAAAAATATTTTCAAAAAGTCAGATTTTGTTTCATTGATCTTTTGTATTTTTTTTTTGTTTCTGCTCTGATCTTTGTTATTTCTTTTCCTATGGTAGCTTTGGGTTTGGTTTATTCTTGTTTCTCTAGTTCCTTGAGGTGTGATGTCAGGTTTGCAATTTGTGATATTTCAAACTTTGATGTAGGAATTTGGGCTATAAACTTTCCTCTTAGTACTGCTTTTGCTATATCCCAGAGGTTCTGATAAGTTGACTCACTCTTATTCACTTTGAAACATTTTTAAATTTCCATTTTAATGTCATTGTTAACCCCAAAATCATTCAGGAGCAGATTCTGTAATTTCCATACATTTGTATAATTTTGAGGGTTTCTTTTGGAATTTATCTCCAGTTTTATTTTGCTGTGGTCTGAGAAGATACTTGATATTATTTTGCTCTTAAAAAATTTATTGAGACTTGGTTTGTGGCCTATCATATGATCTACCATGGAGAATGTTTCATGTGCTGATGGGAAGAATGGATATTCTGCACTTGTTGAGTATAATGTTATTTAAATATATTTTGTGTATTTGTTCTAGAGTACAGTTTAAGTCCAGTTTTCTTTGTTGACTTTCTGCCTCAATGATTTGTCTAATGCCGTCAGTGGAGTATTGAAGTCCTCCACTGTTATTGTTTTGCTGTCTATCTCTTTTCTTAGGTATAGTAGTAATTTTTTATTATCTATCTAAGAGCTCTGGACTTAAGTACGTATATATTGAGGATTGTTATAGCTTCTTGGTGTACTGATCCTCTCATCATTATATAACTACATTTTTTGGTTTTGTTTTTACATTGTTGCTTTCAAGTCTGTTTTATTTGATGTAAGAATAGCTACTCATTCTCACTTGTGGTTTCCATTTGCATGAAATATTGTTTTCGACCCCTTAACCTTGAGTCTATGAGAATCCTTCCATGTTGTCTGCTGAAAACAGCAGATATTTGGTTTGTGATTTTTTAATCCATTTTGCTAATCTGTATCTTTTAAGTGGAGCATTTAGACCACTTACATTCAATGTGAATATTGAGATGTGAGGTACTGTTCGAGTTATCATGTTGATTGTTACCTAGTGACTGTTTTTCCTTCATTGTGTTATTGTTTTATAACCCCTGTGAATTTTGTGCTTTCAGGAGTTTCTATTCTGGTGTGTATTGACCTTTTGTTCAACATTTAGAATTCCTTTCAGCATTTCTTTTAGGGTTAGTCTAGTGCTGACAAATTCCATCAGCATTTGCTTGTCTGATAAAGACTTTATTTTTCCTTCATTTATGAAACTTACTTTGTCTGGATACAAAATTCTTGGCTGACAGTTGTTCTCTTTAATGATACTAAAGATAGTACCCCAATCCTTTCTGACTTGTAAGGTTTCTGCTAAGAAATTTGCTGTTAGTCTGATAGGTTTTCCTTTATAGGTTACCTGATCCTTTTGTCTCACTGCACTTAGAATGTTTTCCTTCACATTGACTTCAGATAGCTTGATGACTATATGCCTTGGTGATGTCCTTTTTGCAATGAGTCTCCCAAAAGTTATTTGAACTTCTTGTACTTGGATGTCTAAATCTCTAACAAAGCCAGGAAAGTTTTCCTAAATTATTCCCTTAAATACATTTTCCAAACATTTTGTTTTTTCTTTTCTCTCAGGACACCTAAGATTGTTAGTTTGGTTGTTTTACATAATTCCATATTTTGTAGAGATTTTGTTCATTTCTTTAAATTTGTTTTTCTTTATTTGTGTCTGATTCAGTTAATTCAAAAGACTTGTCTTCGAGCTCTGAAATTCTTTCTTCTATTTGGACTAGTCTATTTTTAAAACTTTCCACTGCATTTTATAGTTCCCTAAATGTGTCTTTCATTTCCAAAAGTTCTGACTGGTTTTTGTTTTTTGATCTATCTCTTTAGAGATTTTTTTTTACTCATAACTGAAATTAAAAAAAAAATTTTTCAGAATAAAAAGAAATGAACAAAGCAAGAAATATGGGACTACGTGAAAAGATCAAATCTACGTTTGATTGGTGTACCTGAAAGTGATGGGGAGAATGGAATCATGCTGGAAAAATTTCTTCAGGATATTATCCAGCAGAACTTCCCCAGCCTAGCAAGGGAGGCCAACATTCAAATTCAGGAAATACAAAGAACACCACAAAGATACTCCTTGAGAAGAGCAATCCCAAGACACATAATTGTCAGATTCACCAAGGTTGAAATGAAGGAAAAAATGTTAACGGCAGCCAGAGAGAAAGGTCAGGTTATCCACAAAGGGAATCCCATAAGACTAAGAGCAGATCTCTTGGCAGAAAGTCTACAAGCCAGAAGAGTGTGGGGGCCAATATTCAACATTCTTAAAGAAAAGAATTTTCAACCCAGAATTTCAAACTAAGCTTCATAAGCGAAGGAGAAATAAAATCCTGTACAGATAAGCAAATGCTGAGAGATTTTGTCACCACAAAGCCTGCCTTACAAGAGCTCCTGAAGGAAGCACTAAACATGGAAAGGAAAAACCAGTACCAGCCACTGCAAAAACATGCCAAATTGTAAAGACCATCGATGCTAGCAAGAAACTGCATCAACTAATGGGCAAAATAACCAGCTAACATCATAATGACAGGATCAAATTGACACATAACAATATTAATCTTAAATGTAAATGGGCTAAATGCCCCAATTAAAAGACACAGACTGGCAAATTGGATAAAGAGTCAAGACCCATCAGTGTGCTGTATTCAGGAGACACATCTCATGTGCAGAGACATACACAGGCTCAAAATAAAGGGATAGAGGAAGATCTACCAAGCAAATGGAAAGCAAAATAAAAGCAGGGGTTGCAATCCTAGTCTCTGATAAAATAGACTTTAGACCAACAAAGATCAAAAGAGACAAAGAAGGCCATTACATAATGGTAAAGGGATAAATTCAACAAGAAGAGCTGACTATCCTAAATATATATGCACCCAATACAGGAGCACCCAGATTCATAAAGCAAGTCCTTAGAGATACATAAAGAGACTTAGACTCCCACACAATAATAATGGGAGACTTTAACACCCCACTGTCAATATTAGACAGATCAATGAGACAGAAGGTTAACAAGGATATCCAGGACTTGAACTCAGCTCTGTAGCAACCTGACCTAATAGACATCTACAGAACTCTCCACCCCAAATCAACAGAATATACATTCTTCTCAGCACCACATCACACTTATTCCAAAATTGACCACATACTGGGAAGTAAAGCTCTCCTCAGCAAATGTAAAAGAACAGAAATCACAACAAACTGTCTCTCAGACCACAGTGCAATCAAATTAGAACTCAGGACTAAGAAACTCACTCAAAACTGCTCAACTACATGGAAACTGAACAACCTGCTCCTGAATGACTACTGGGTAAATAATGAAATGAAGGCAGAAATAAAGATGTTCTTTGAAACCAATGAGAACAAAGACACAATGTACCAGAATCTCTGGGATGCATTTAAAGCAGTGTGTAGAGGGAAATTTATAGCACTAAATGCCCACAAGAGAAAGCAGGAAAGATCTAAAATTAACACCCTAACATCACAATTAAAAGAACTAGAGAAGCAAGAGCAAACAAATTCAAAAGCTAGCAGAAGACAAGAAATAACTAAGATCAGAGCAGAACTGAGGGAGATAGAAACATAAAAAACCCTTCAAAAAATCAATGAATCTAGGAGCTGGTTTTTTTGAAAAGATCAACAAAATTGATAGACCGCTAGGAACACTAATAAAGAAGAAAAGAGAGAAGAATCAAATAGACGCAATAAAAAATGATAAAGGGGATATCTCCACCGATCCCACAGAAATACAAACTATCATCAGAGAATACTATAAACACCTCTACGCAAATAAACCAGAAAATCTAGAAGAAATGGATATTTCCTGGACACATACACCCTCCCAAGACTAAACCAGGAAGAAGTTGAATCCCTGAATAGACCAATAACAGGCGCTGAAATTGAGGCAATAATTAATAGCCTACCAACCAAAAAAAGTCCAAGAGCAGACGGATTTACAGCCAAATTCTACCAGAGGTACAAAGAGGAGCTGGTACCATTCCTTCTGAAACTATTCCAATCAATAGATAAAGAGGGAATTCTCCTAACTCATTTTATGAGGCCAACATCATCCTGATACCAAAGCCTGGCAGAGACACAACAAAACAGAATTTTAGACCAATATCCCTGATGAACATCGATGCAAAAATCCTCAATAAAATACTGGCAAACCAAATCCAGCAGCACATCAAAAAGCTTAGCCACCAAGATCTAGTTGGTTTCATCCCTGGGATGCAAGATTGGTTCAACATATGCAAATCATTAAACGTAATCCATCACATAAACAGAACCAAAGACAAAAACCACATGATTATCTCAATAGATGCAGAAAAGGCCTTCGACAAAATTCAACAGCCTTCATGCTAAAAACTCTCAATAAACTAGATATTGATGGGATGTATCTCAAAATAATAAGAGCTATTTATGACAAACCCACAGCCAATATCATACTGAATGGGCAAAAACTGGAAGCATTCCCTTTGAAAACTGGCAAAAGACAGGGATGCCCTCTCTCACCACTCCTATTCAACATAGTGTTGGAAGTTCTGGCCAGGGTAATCAGGCAAGAGGAAGAAATAAAGGGTATTCAGTGAGGAAAAGAGGAGGTCAAATTGTCCCTATTTGCAGATGACATGATTGTATATTTAGAAAACCTCATCGTCTCAGTCCAAAATCTTCTTAAGCTGATAAGCAACTTCAGCAATGTCTCAGGATACAAAATCAATGTGCCAAAATCACGAGCATCCCTATACACCAATAACACACAAACAGAGAGCCAAATCATGAGTGACCTCCCATTCACAATTGCTACAAAGAGAATAAAATACCTAGGAATACAACTTACAAGGGATGTGAAGGACCTCTTCAAGGAGAACTACAAACCACTGCTCAACGAAATAAAAGAGGACACAAACAAATGGAAGAACATTCCATGCTCATGGATAGGAAGAATCAATATCGTGAAAACGGCCATACTGCTCAAGATAATTTATAGATTCAATGCCATCCCCATCAAGCTACCAATGACTTTCTTCACAGAATTGGAAAAAACTACTTTAAAGTTCATGTCAAACCAAAAAAGAGCCTGCATTGCCAAGACAATCCTATGCAAAAAGAACAAAGCTGGAGGAACCACCCTACCTGACTTCAAACTATACTACAAGGCTACAGTAACCAAAACAGCATGGTACTGGTACCAAAACAGATATATAGACCAATGGAACAGAACAGAGGCCTCAGAAATAACGCCGCTTATCTACAACCATCTGATCTTTGACAAACCTGACAAAAACAAGCAATGGGGAAACGATTCCCTATTTAATAAATGGTGCTAGGAAAACTGGCTAGCCATATGTAGAAAGCTGAAACTGGATCTCTTCCTTACACTTTATATGAAAATTAATTCAAGATGGGTTAAAGACTTAAATGTTAGACCTAAAACCATAAAAACCCTAGAAGAAAACCTAGGCAATAACATTCAGGACATAGGCATGGGCAAGGACTTCATGACTAAAACACCAAAAGCAATGGCAACCAAAGTCAAAATTGACAAAAGGGATCTAATTAAACTAATGAGCTTCTGCACAGCAAAAGAAACTACCATCAGAGTGAACAGGCAACCTACAGAATGGGAGAAAATTTTTGCAGTCTACTCATCTGATTTACAGCACTAAATGCCCACCCCTGTCCATGGGGTGGGGGAATGGGGTAGGGATAGCATTAGGGGAGATACCTAATGTAAATGACTAGTTAATGGGTGCAGCAAAGCAACATGGCACGTGTATACATACATAACAAACTTGCATGTTTTGCATGTGTACCCTAGAAATTAAAGTATATAAAGGGCTAATATCCAGAATCTACAAAGAACTTAAACAAATTTATAAGAAGCGAATCAAAAACGTGGGCAAAGGATATGAACAAACACTTCTCAAAAGAAGACATTTTTGCAGCTAACAGACACATGAAAAAATGCTCATCATCACTGGTCATCAGAGAAATGCAAATCAAAACCACAAAGAGATACCATTTCACACCAGTTGGAATGGCGATCACTAACAAGTCAGGAAACAACAGGTACTGGAGAGGATGTGGAGAAATAGGAATGCTTTTACACCGTTGGTGGGAGTGTAAACTAGTTCAACCATTGTGGAAGAGAGTGTGGCGATTCCTCAGGGATCTAGAACTAGAAATTCCATTTGACCCAGCGATCCCATTACTGGGTATATACCCAAAAGATTGTAAGTCATGCTACTACAAAGACACATGCACACCTATGTTTATTGTGGCACTGTTCACAATAGCAAAGACTTGGAACTAACCCAAATGTCCATCAATGATAGACTGGATTAAGAAAATGTGGCACATATACACCATGGAATACTATGCAGCCATAAAAAAGGATGAGTTCATGTCCTTTGTAGAGACATGGATGAAGCTGGAAACCATCATTCTGAGCAAACTATTGCAAGGACAGAAAACCAAACACTGCATGTTGTCACTCATAGGTGTGAATTGAACAATGAGAACCCTTGGACACAGGAAGGGGAACATCACACACTGGGGCCTGTCGTGGGGTGGGGGAATGGGGGAGGGACAGCATTAGGGGAGATACCTAATGTACATGACGAGTTAATGGGTGCAGCAAAGCAACATGGCACATGTATACATACGTAACAAACCTGCATGTTTTGCACATGTACCCTAGAAATTAAAGTATATAAAAAAAAGTTTTTCATGTTAGTTTTCACTTTTTTCTTGTATTTCCTTGAGTAACTTAATAATAAACACTTTGAATTATTTATCTGGTATTTCAAAGATTTCATTGGTTTAGATCCACTGCTGGAGACTCAATGTGAGCTTTTGCAAGTTTTATAAAACCCTGTTTTTTCATATGGCCAGAATTATTTCTCTGGTTCCTTCTCATTTGGGTAACTATTTCTTCTAATTAATTTTGCATTTATTTTTTGATTCTGCTGGGATTTTTAAAATTCTTTTTTGCACCTTGAGGATATGACTTTAATATTTATAGGTTATTGTCAACTAGCTTTGGCTATGGGTACTTTCAGTGGTGAAGAGTCTGTATGAGTTCCTTGGTTATAGAGAATCTGTGTGATGGCTTTCTAAGATGTTGGTTGTAGTAGTGACATGCTGGGTGTGTGAGCAGGTTCACTGTCTCCTGTGGGGAGCTTCCCATTTGGTTCATGGTGTAAGCTGCTGCCCACTGCTTCTTTCAAAGTGTGCTTTCTTTCAGCTTTTTAAATTAAGTTCCTGTGTTGTTTCTTGGAAGCAAGTTCACAGCATAATTCTCTACAAACTGTTATGTCTTTCCAAGTAGGAAAGGCATGCTAATAATGCCTCTAATCTTCCATCTTGGAAAAAAACCCTTAAAACCCCGACTCTTAAACAACCAGGTCTTTTGTGAACTAACTGAGTGAAAACTTACTCATGACCAAGGGGATGGCACTAAACCAATCATGAGGGATCTACCTGTATGACCCAAACACCTCCCATCAGGCCCCAACTCCTACATTGGAGGTTACGTTTCAACATGCAACTTGTAGGGGACAAATATTCAAACCATATCACTCTTCCCTTGCTCCCCCAAATCTCACATTCTTCTCACATTGTAAAATACAATCATCCCTTCCCAAAAGTCCCCCAAAGTCTTAACTCATTCCAGCATGAAGTCCAACGTCCTAAGTCTCATCTGAGATTCATCTCTTTCCACTTTGAGTTTATAAAATACAAACAAGTTATTTACTTCCAAGATATGATGGTAGTAGAAGCATTGGGTAAATGTTGCCATTCCAAAAGGGAGAAATCAGTCAAAGGAAAGGGGCAATAAGATGGCACCTCAAGGTGACCAGCACCACTCCTGTGGCTTTACAGGGTGCAGTCCCAGTGGCTTCTCTCATGGGTTGGAGTTGAGTGCCGGTGGCTTTTCCAGGCTCAAGATGCAAGTTTCTGGTAGCTCGACGATTCTGGGGTCTGGAGGGCAGTGGCTCCCTTCCCATAGCTCCACTAGGCAATGCCCCAGTAGGGACTTTGGGGCTTTCACCCCCACATTTCCTCTCAGCCCTGTTCTAGTACAGTATCTTTGTGGGGCCTGTGTCCCTGCAGCATGTTTCAGACTGGACATCCAGGCTTTTCTACACGTCTTCTGAAACCTAGGTGCAAGCTGCCAAGCTTCCTCTTGCATTCTGCGGGCCTGGAGACTTAACACCATGTGGAAGCTACCAAGGCTTATGGCTTGCGCCTTCCACAGCGATGGCCTGAGTAGTATCTGGGGCCCTTTGAGGCACAGCTGGAGCTAGAGCAGCTGTGATGTGGGAAGCAGTGTCCCTGAAACCATGGTTTCCTCTTAGGCCTCTGTGCCCGTGATGGAATGGGCTGTCACGAAGATCTCTGAAATGTCTTCAGGGCCTTTCCCCCATTGTCTTGGATATTAGCACTTGGCTCCCTTTTAGCCATGCTGAGCTCTCTAGTAAGTGATTGCTCTGTAGCCTGCTTGAATTCTTTCTCTACCACAGTGCCAATCAGCAAATTTTCCAAACTTTTCCACTCTGCTTCCCTTTTAAATATAAATTCAAATTTTAAAGTTTTTTTTTTTGCTCTTATATCTGATTGTAGGTTATTAGAAGCAGCCAGACTGCTTCTTGAATACTTTGCTGCTTAGAAATTTCTTCTGCAGTACACGAAGTCATCACTCTTAAATTCAAACTTCCATAGGTTCCTAGGTTGTGGACACAATGCAGCTAAGCTCTTTCCTAGGGCATTACACAGGTGATGTTTATTCCAGGTCCCAATAACGTCCTCATTTCCATCTGAGACCTCCTCAGCCTGATCTTCACTGCCCACATTTCTAACAGCATTTTGGTCACAGCCACTTACTAAGTCTCTAAGAAGTCCCAAACTTTCTGTCATCTTCCTGTCTGAGCCCTCCAAACTCTTCTAACTTCTGCCTGTTACCCAGTTCCAAAGCTGCTTCCACACCTTCAGGTATCTTTATAGCAATGGCTCACTCCTCAGTACCAATTTTCTGTGTTACTCGATTCTTACACTGCTATAAAGAAATAACTGAGGATGGGTAATTTATAAAGAAAAGAGGTTTAATTGGCTCACAATTCTGCAGGCTGTACAAACATGGCTTCAGCGTATGCTTCTAGTGAGGGCCTCAGGAAGCTTCCTATCATTCCAGAAGGCAAAGAAGGAGCAGGTGCATCACGTGGTAAGAGTAGGAGCAAGAGAGAAGAGAGAGGTCCCAGACTCTTTTAAACAACCAGATGTCATGTGAACTAATGGAGTGATAACCCACTCTTCACCAAGGGTATGGTGCAAGCCGTTTGAGAGGGATCCACCCTCATGATACAATACCATCCATTAGGCCCCACCTTCCACATTGGGAATCACATTTCACCATGACATTTGGAGGGGACGCACATCCAAATCATGTCAGAATTTAATTGGGATTTTTGGTTTTGACTGTATTGAATGCAAATTGTTTTCAGTGGTTTTGTAGAAAACACTTATTCACTTAATTAAATGAGATTAATATGGCTAGTTCACATAAATTACATTTTAATACCCAAATTGGCAAAATTTAACTTCTTCCAGGAAATATGAGACTAGAAGGGTTGCAACTGTGGGAAGTCATGTACGGAAGAAAACCTTGGATTTGGTGAGCTTGGTGCTATTTCCTAGCTCAAGGTTCTCAATATAACAGAGACTTTCCAACTAAAGATTTACTAGAAATCACTAATTAAATCACTTTCTCAGGCATGAGACACCAAGGTTAAAACTAGAGATTGAGGCGAACAGTTCAAACCAAAGAGATTTTGATGTGTAACTTATTTTATTTTTATTTTTAGAGATGGTCTGACTTTCTCACCCAAGCTGGAGTGTAATGGCGTGATCATAGCTCACTGAAGCCCTGAACTCCTAGGCTTAAGCAGTCTTCCTGCTGCAGCCTCCCAAAGTGCTGGGATTACGGGAGTGAGCCACTGACCCAGCCTTTTTAAAAAAAGAAAAACTAAACAAAACAAAACCTTTAAAACCCCTGGTAATTTCTTGGTGACAAAAATGAAATGGAAACTATATTTGAAGCAACTAGAACAGTTACTAGCATGCCATAATTTCAAGAAATCTGATTAGAGAGGAGGGCCAGTGGAAACAGCTGGCTGAGAGAAGTAAGCCCTCAGTCTTTCCTGTTTTGACTTCTCTACTAACTAGCTATGTGCTCTTGAGCAAATCTGCTTTTTAGTCCTTCAGTTTTTTCATCTATGAAATGAGAGGCAGGTTTATATTATATCTAAATTCCCTTGCATAATATACGAAAATCCACACCCAACAAAAAGATAAACAGAGGAATGTGTACTTGTACTAATTAACTTTTTTGTTTGTTTGTTTTGTTTTGTTTTTTTTGAGACACAGTCTCACTCTGTCGCCCAGGCTGGAGTGCAGTGATGCGATCTTGGCTCACTGCAAGCTCCGCCTCCCGGGTTCACGCCATTCTCCTGCCTCAGCCGCCCAAGTAGCTGAGACTACAGGCGACCGCCACCACGCCCGGCTAATTTTTAGTATTTTTAGTAGAGACGTGGTTTCACTGTGTTAGCCAGGATGGTCTTGATCTCCTGACCTCATGATCCACCCACCTCGGCCTCCCAAAGTGCTGGGATTACAGGCGTGAGCCACCGTGCCCGGCCGCTAATTAATTTTTATAGGAATATAAGAAGATTCTTCTACTTTTATAGCTTCTAAGAAATAATTACATAGTCTTTATTATTATTACTTGATAGCATATAAGGTAGCCCATAGTCATTCAACAAATATTTGTTGGAATGAATGAGAAAAAATGGGCAAAAATTCCTCAAACACTTGAAAGCTATAGGCAGTTGAAGATTTTCAAGAAATGATGGTAAAGATAAATGATAATACTGTATAATTTATCAAGAAAATATAATTTGTTTTAAATACATCTTAAGAACGTATATGCAGGAAAAACTGGAGTTCATCTCCTGATCCACAGAGAATTTCACTGGACTTAGTTATTAAACAAAACTTCCAGGCCAAAGAGAGATACAAGTTATGATCAAGAATAAGTTATAAAGCAGAGGATAAAGTACAGAACATCTTGTATTAGTATAAGAAAAAGGAATCATCAGATTAACATAAGGCTGTAGTTTCCCATGTAACATTATTCTGTTTTGTAAAAGTACCATTAAAAAGAGAGACATTGGAAGTTTGTGTTGGCAGTACACCTCTCATTTATTTTCTGATAATGACAAGGGCCATCCAGTTTCCTAGACTTAGCAAATCTATCCAATGTTAATAGTATAGTGAATATATATATCTTCGTTATTCTTATTCTCTTTTTTTCAAACAAAGGGTCTCTTCCACCACAGAATTGAATTCCTAGGCTCGAGTGATCCTCCCTGTCTCAGACTCCCCAGTAGCTGCGACTACAGACGTGCACCACCACACCTGGCTAATTTTTAAAATTATTTTTTTAGAGATGTTGCCCAGGCTGATCTTGATCACCTAGATTCAAGCAATCCTTCCATCCTGGCCTCCCAAAGTGCTGGGATTACAGGGGTGAGCCACCATGCCTGGCCTGCATTCCTTCTTACCAGCTGGTTTGCTCTTCTGATATTGCTTTCATCTGTATTTCTTCTTGCTGACATTTTTCTCCCTTTGCAGGATTCCATGTGACCTCACTCCCATGTGACCTTATCCTCTGGCCTTAGTTGATTGGATGGGTGTACATAGCTGACTGACCCAAAGGAATGTGGTGGGACAGATGAATTGGGCTAATTAGAGTACTTTGTGGATTTAGAATTTGCGTAATTGAAGACTAAACTGTTTGATGTTGATAACTACAGCCGAGCAGGTAAGAATCAGGGAGGCCCTATAGGTTCTGTACAGTGAGAAGTGATACAGCCAAGTGAAAATGGTGGCAAAGATAAACTGGAAAGGAGGAGAATGGAGCACATGGGGAGGAGAGAAAAGAGAAGAAAGAACGGGGAGGGAACTGAATGTATTCGTGGCTCTCAGCCACTGGTCTCTGTGCTCTTTGAGGCCAGCTACTTGGGTTCCTTCCCTTTGGTTGCTGCAAGAGTCTTTGGTAACCCACAATAAACATTTTGTTTCTTGTACTAGCTTTAATTGTCCTCTATTTCTTGGAACAAAAATAACTCTAATCAAAGCACTTCAGGCTGTCCCCTCACCCCCCACCCCACTCTGTGGTGCTAGTCTGTGGTCAACACAGCATGATATTTAGAAAATTCATATTTTGTTCATAAGTAGCTTTGATTTCTTTAGAAGAAAAAACAATGCATTCATTTAGCACTATTCATGGACAACATGCATGCAAAGCACCATGATGAAGCTGGACTCACCGACTTTTAACCTGCCTGTGACCTCCCCTTCTGAGTTGCGCGCATTTACAGTCACATTCTGGGTTGATTGTAGAAGCAGAGATGAGTCCTAGAAAGAGATTTATAAAATTTGCAAAATAGGTGCTGTTTAAAATGATTATATCTTTATAATTCTGTGTAAATTTAGGATTTTTATAAAATTATTTATCCATTGTTACAGATCCTGGAAATCCTATAAATTTGTGGCTAAGACAATTAAAAATTCCTGAATCATATTTTTTTAACATTTTGAGTATTTATTGAAAGATAAAAGAATAACAATCATAAAATGAGCTCCAAACGCAAGATAGGGATAGAAAAAAATATGAATTATTTAGACAAATATGCAATTTAACAGAGCTATATGGTCACAGCTATGTCAAGGAAAGACACCTACAACAGTGGGGTTCTAGGTAATAGAAATGCCATATACTTTTTCCTGCTACTCTCTATTTCCATATTTTTGTAATACATTTGTGTTTTTATAATGTGTAAAGTAAACTTTATCAAAATAAAAAAATCTATGTATACAGCAGAGTTATAATTACAGACACATTTGTGGTATTGACTGCTTTGTTCTTGCTCTCCAGATAAAAAATAAACTAAGCATTTAGCTTAAGACATTAGAAAATACACAATAAAATCGACATCAGAGAACAGAAAGAAAAATAAATTTCAAAGCACAATTTTATGTATCAGTAAACAATAGTTTTGAAAAAGCACATGCAGTCTGAGTTGATTATTTAAAACAAACAGAATTATACCTAAACAAAAAAATTTTTACTTTTTTCCCCACTGCAAGCTACTTTAATTCTTTGAACAATTTTTCCATGCAGGTAAACTATTACCATATTTTCCTATTAAGAAATATTTTCAACAGATTTTTTCTACAATAAAATTTACTAAAAACATTTGGTTCATTAATTTTTGTCTATATGAATGCTGTCCATTGTGGCTTTTGACAGTCTGAGTTTTCTTTGTTGATCACATTTCTACCAAGATCAATTTTCCTGAGTCAAATTTTGTATATCCAGATTTTGCCAATATTTGACTCTACTATTGATTTAAAAAAAATCAATTTTACCATGTACGTTTTTCCTTCTGTTGCTTTTATTTTGTTTGGGTTTTTTAAAAATCACATTTTTTTCGCTTTACTTGTCTCAAAACTTTTATAATAAGCAGGTATGAATTTTGAAGTTAGATATGAATAAAAACCAACTGAAAAAGCAAATTCCTCTGTCTCCCAAGACAAAATGGGCAGTTTGCTTCTTTTGAGCTTTAAAGGTAGAAATAGCTGCCTTTCTAAAATTTAAGTGAAGCGAAATGTTGACATGCCCTGAAAGGACTGCTAAGGTTGGGGGAGCCTGTTAATGGGCCTTGAGAGGCTCTGTGACTCCAGACTAATATCCCAGGGACCACTAAGAGTAAACTGAATTTCTAGATTACTGGCTACCTTCACAACTCTGATGTCTCCAGGATGGGAGGGTAGTCACACCAAATGCCATAAAAATAAATGCTAAATAATAATTCTTTGAGGTTAAATGGAATATCTATCACTTAAGTAGAAAACTATTTACAAAGTGTCCCAAATTTTGCACATTTGCATTGCAAGATTTTACTAGTAACATGAGTAGGTGAACTGTTCTTTACCTCACTAATGGAATAAATAAATGAAAATTGAGGTTTGTTTTTTTTTTTTTTTCTTTTCTGTGACAGAGTCTGGCTCTGTCGCCCAGGCTGGAGTGCACTGGCACGATCTCGGCTCACTGCAAGCTCCGCCTCCCGGGTTCACGCCATTCTCCTGCCTCAGCCTCCCAAGTAGGTGGGACTACAGGTGCCCGCCACCACGCCCCCTAATTTTTGGTAGTTTTAGTAGAGACGGGGTTTCACCGTGTTAGCCAAGATGGTCTCGATTTCCTGACCTCGTGATCCGCCCTCCTCGGCCTCCCAAAGTGCTGGGATTACAGGCATCAGCCACCGAACCCGGCCTTTTTTTTTTTCTTTTTGAGACGGAGTCTAGTTCCGCCGCCCAGGCTGGAGTGCAGTGGCGCCATCTGGGCTCGCCGGAAGCTCCGCCTCCCGGGTTCCCGCCATTCTCCTGCCTCAGCCTCCGGAAGAGCTGGGACTACAGGCGCCTGCTGCCACGCCGGCTAATTTTTTTTGTTGTAGAGAAGAGTTTCACTGCGTTAGCCAAGATGGTCTCCATCTCCTGACCTCGTGATCCGCCCGCCTCCACCTCCCAAAGGTCTGGGATTACAGGCTGAGCCACCGCGCCTGGCCAGATTGTGCTTTTTGATTTAGGCTACTCTTGATAATACTACACTCAGAACTACAATGCTCATTCCTTTTCCTGAAGAAAAAAAGATAAATTACAGCAAGGTTCTCTCCTGCATGTTATAAACACCGCAGAGTGTAACACTTAAATTTGCCACACAAAAATGCAGGGAGAGAGGAGTAGGTTGGTTTTCCATCTAAAATTAAAAAAATTTTTTTTTGATAGAAATTTTTTTTGGAAAGGAAAACTCGGTGTGTAGATCTCGCTTATCTTTTTGAGTGTATACTTACATTTTTTATTTAAAAAATGTTTTTTAGAGGCAGGGTCTCACTATGTTGCCTAGGCTGGTCTCAAACTCCTGGGCTCAAGTGATCCACCCGCTTTGGCCTTCCAAAGTGCTGGGATTACAGGCGTGAGCCACTACATCTGGCCTATTTTTTGTTAAAAAACTTTTTTTTTTTTTTTTTTTTAAGAGATGGGAGTTTCACTCTGTTGCCAGGCTGGAGTCCAGTGGTGTGAGTATACAGTTCACTGTAGCCTGAGACTCGTGGATTCAAGTGATCCTCCCACCTCAGCCTCCCAAGTAGCTGGAATTACAGGTGTGTGCCACCACACCCAGCTGATTTTTTTTTTTTTTTTTAAATAGAGATGAGTTTTAACTATGTTGCCCAGGCTGGTCTTGAATTCCTGGGCTCAAGTGATCCACCTGCCTCAGCGTCCCAAAGTGCTGGAATTACAGGTGTGAGCCACCATGCCCGACCGATTTTTAAATTTTTAAATAGAATTCCTATAATATACGAATATAATATACAAATCACCTACCTCACTTTTAAAATTCTACATTTTTTTAAAGACAAGTAGAAGGGTGACTTTATTCACCAAGTGATCAAAAGCAGGCTGCAGAGGACAGGGATTTAGATTGGGAAACTCTTTGTATTCTATCAAACTCTCTTCTTTACTGGCTACCTTAAGGCATTTTTGCTGGGAAGAAAAACCTTAATAACATCAAGGGCAGTTTACCTTAGCCTTCCTCCCATCCCATTGTACCCCACCCTACCAGCCAGAAGCAGAAGTCTTACGAAAAGGTTTTGAGGAAAATATCCTGTCCTGGTTTACTCCATGCCAACGAATTCTTCAAACACATCCTTGACCCGGGACATAGAGTTCAAATCTAGTTCATGTGTTTTGTCAGGCTACTGGTCTCCTTTCTTAGGAAGACTCCTGACTGTGCCTTTTCTGTTTAAAGATGGTAGAGGTGACAGGTGTTCTCCTGCAAGATGGCCAAGGTGTGGGAAAGCAACAGATCTTTGATTCTGGCAATCTCTCGCACCGTATGCAGGGCCAGGCCTGGGTGGGCATACTGGCAACGGCTTTTGGAAACCTAGTGAGGGAGGAAGAAGGGAGCATTGGTTTCTACAATAATTCTCTCTAATGGGATCTTTTTCACAGTTTCTCGGGCTTGCTCAGCAGAAGAGTAAGTCAGAATTGCCATGAAGCCCACATACAGGTTGGGAAAGTGGCTCAACAGGGGCTCGATGACTGGGTAACTGCCAGTGAAGCAATGCTGGTACATCTTGTGGTCAGAGGGCACATATTTTTTCAAGATGCCCAGTAGGTCTTCATCGGCTTCTCGGCAGTGGATCATCATGGGCTTCTTTAAGAGAGACGGCCAGCTGCAGCTATCTTTTAAATACCTTCTGCTGCTCTGGGACATGTGTGGTGCACATGTTGGAGTAATCCAAGCCCATTTCTCCAAATGCCACAGACTTGGGGTGTTGTAAGGCTTTTAAAATACTTCTTTCTTGATAGTCATTATAATAATGGGCAAAATGAGGGCAACAGTCAAAGGCTATCAGCCAAAGGCTGATCATCTTTCAACGGATGCTCCCACAGCCTGTCCCTTAGGTTTTGAGGATTGTCGAAGCAAGAAATGCAACCCTGAAATTCCTTGGGGAAGGTGTTGCTATACATTTTTCTGAATTTGGTAAAGGTGCCTTTGAAAGGCAGCCTGGAATACAGCAAGTCCAAGTGACAGTGGGTATCAACAATGAAACCCTGTTGCTTTGGCTGCCAGAGGGTACTTGGCAGAAAGCTAGATGCATGTCCTCCATAAGGACGTTGTAATGTCTCCTCTTGATACACTCCCTCCTCCTTCGCATCTGCTTCCACATTTCTGGAGTAGTGAAATAAGGAGGAATTCTTGGATCTGCCTTCCTCTGTCATCTTCAGGTCTCTGGACATGTTTTGGGCACTCACTGGAAAACTGGTGGAATAATCACTCAGGAAGCTCTGGTGGCTGCTCCTCTCATTCTGGAATATGTTGTTGTTGCTGCTGCTGCTGCTGAAGCTGCTCTTCCCAGCCTGGAATGTGTTACTGCTGCTGCCCAAGGAGGGATACCAAGAAGACTTGGTATTGCTGAACCAAGAGCTGGTGTAGTCATGCCAAGGACTATAATGAGGTGGAAAAGTGGTATAGTCAGTGGCGTAGTACAGAGGCTCTGACACTCCAGGAAGACACAGTGAGAATGGCTTCTCTTCAGAGAATACGACTGTGGTTCCACCTACATCAGATCAGTCACACCCTAAAGAGGGGCGCTCAATCACCATCTTGTCTTTGTGCTTTTGGAACATTGAATGGGAGCTCTAGTCTTCCGGGAAAATTTAAAGGTGGAGAGTTTTTTCACAAATGACTACTTTGGTTGCTAAGTCGCTTTTGGATTATTGAATGGGGGTTATAATCACCCAGAAAATTTAAAGGCGGAGAGCTTTTTTCATAAATGACTCTACTTTGGTTATTAGGTCGCCCCTTACTGAATTTCTTAGGAGGATTAACAATCACCCTCTTGTCACAGGAGCTGCTCATCTCTGGGGCTGACTCTTTCTCTTTTTGAGGAGCAAAGATAGTGGCATTCCTGGCTCGTCCTTCTCCGTAGTAGAGACACTCTCCTAGGCTTGATTGTGAACTAGTGACAGCCTCTTCCTTTCCTTTTGGCATGTCATCTCCCAGGATCTCCTGGAGAACCCTCACATAAGTCAATTAAGCGTCGCTATCTTTAGGTCTACCCTACCTGTTCTGGAACTTGTTTGGTTCCTCAGTTTCATTTTGACCCTCACTTCCAGCTGCAAATTGAGGGTTCATGAAATTATAGGAGCTACGTTTGGAATTAATTTTAAGGCTGTAGATGCCCTCCTCCAGAGAAGCCATTTCTTTTAGAAAGGGGCTGGCAGAATGCATTGGGGATCACAAGGACGAAAGGAACCCCAAACGCTCCAAATTAGGCAGTCTTTGTAGCCAGTCCTAATCACGCCAGTGGCTGAGGAATGGGAGGAGAAGGAGGAGAAAGAATTTCTGTGGCAGGATGAACCTTAGGAAAAACCTTGGTGTGCAGGCCACAAAGTACTCCTTTTGGGCTTTCAGGCCTTTGGGGCCTCTGTCCCCTTCCAAACCACGTTACTGAGCTCCCGGGGCACCTGTGTTTGCTGGGGAATCCTACCTAAGTGCCACTCCAGTGGTACTTTTCCGGGTGCTGATGGGCCCCAGAGCTGGAGGGCCTTCACGCCACTCCGGCGCCTCAGGAATGTTTCCTCCTTTTTTCAACTCTTTATCACAGTTCTTGGTGTTCTAGAGATGCCAAAGCCCTTCCATGATGATTTCAAAGCGCCTTGGAGAAGTCGTAACGATCCAGGCCCTGTATGGTGTCTGAGCCCACAACATACTCCTAAGGCTGCCCCAAATGGTCACCTGAATCATATTGTTAAGGAAGTAGATGTATTAACTTTTCTCATAAAATGTGAGAATCCCATGGGTTTACAGTGCTTGTGCGCACTGGTTACAATGTGTCAAGGCAGTTCACAAGGTAAAGATCTAAAACAACCACGTTTTAACCAGTGCTTTTGCTTTTTCAAGGAATTAAAATTCTATTTTTAGGGATTATTTATGTCCAGGACATGATATACTTTAAGAAGATGAATCCGAGAAATAGTTAACTTTTCTATAAGAAATACCATGTTACTTTAAAAACACAAAGGCTTCTCATAATTTCAAATGAATTAAGCAACATTTTTGGATGGCTCTGTTTTTTGCACTTTTTGTTGAAGATAAAGTGGCTTTATGAGCACAAAAGTGTTATACTTTCTTTGTTATCGTAATCCTGATACGATACAGTGATCCTGATACGGCGGTTTTGTTTATACTTTCTCTGTTATCGTAATCCTGATATGATATGTAATCCTGATACGGTGGTGTTGTTTTAGAGAAGATTGCTTGTTTTTATATACACAATTTTCTTCAAAAGGAATTCACTAATTTTGCTGTTGGATGCAGGTAGGTTTACGGTTCACTCAGAGGAAACCAAATATCTTCCAGAGTGGTAGGGAATTATGTGATGTTTCAAAAGGAAAATAGTCTTAAGAGCCCTTGGGAGCTCTATCTAGGATGTCAGAAATTCTCCAACTAGCTTTGTGGAAGCAGATGGACCTATCAGCTTCTTATGGTATCCAATGATGTCACCTTAACACTTGTTTCTGCAATGTTAGAAAATAATTAGCATGATAATGAGTTAACACTTTATCAATTAAATTGAGCATTGATCCTTTCATTTTATCCTGTATTTTATAAAGTAGGCACCATTATTGCTAATATAGGGATGAGGAAATTGAGATCCCAGGGAATAAATTATAGCTGCCTCAAAGCCACACACAGCTGCAGATGACAGTTCCGTGGTGGAGCCAATCTTTAGATGCCCACTTCCAGGCTCTCTCCACCATTCTCCTGGAATGGGAGGACAGGGTTCTGGTGAGAGCAGTGAGATCCACTCCCAAGCGCAGAGAAAGTAAGCTGTTCTGGGATTCACTTCCTGTCATCTAATCCAACAGTCACTTTCAAACCCTTTTCTTTTTCTGCTTTCCACGACAGGGGTTGCCTGCTTTCTCAGACTGTCTTGAGGCTAGGGGTACCCACGGGACACAATTCTGGTCAATGGGAGATAAGCTGAGATCTGCAGAGGGTGGAGCTCAGGGTTTCTAGGCAAGCTTTTGCATTCCTTGTGAAAAAGGCACATGCACCAGCACTGCACATTTCCCGGCTGTGTGTCTTGGATGTGGCCTCATAACTGTCTAGTGATTATGAGGGGCAGGCGGGTGGCTGGTAGATACTCTGGCCTTAACATGGTTTAGTGCTGAACCAAAGCTGCAGCTGCCCCCTCCAGCTTCCTGTTATGTGAGACTAAAAGCTCCTATTAGTTTATGCCACGGCTAGCTGGGTATTCTGTGTTCACACGGTAAAGCTCTTTTAATTGACAGAGCAGAATTGACTCTGTATCTATATTACCAACAAAATTGTATTCATAACTGCTATAATGAAACCTCTTATATTGAATTATACTTGCTCTTTAATCTATATTTTTAAGAAGTACCTTAAAACAATCAACGTGTACATTTTTAATAAAAACTGATGTTTTTTGTGAAGTCCAGAGACTTTATTTTCCATTTTCTAGGTAAGAAAACTGAAGTTTATAGATTGTGAATGTGATTTCCAGGTTTTTGTTTTTGTTTTTTGACTTTTTAAAACTATTTTTATTGTATTAAAATATAAATATACTATGTATGTAAGTTATAGATAGCACAAAATTTACCATTTCAACCATTTTTAAGTGTATAGTAGATTGACATTAGGTACATTCACAGTATTGTACAACCACCACTATATCATTTCTAAAATTTTACATAAGGGATTTTCAGTTTTTATCATTAGCTAATGATGCCTTTTAGAAAAATTTTACGCCATTTAGAGAATGACAGCAAGGTATAAGGAGAACATTTTATTTTTCTATTCATCTCAATTGAACTCTGAATGTACCTGTTTGAATACAGCTGTTGTGTCAACACTACACCTTAGGGAGTAGGTGAAAGAATCATAGAACGTAGAACTTTTTATTACTTTTCTCAACAGTGCATGACATATAGAAGGAGCTGTGAAAGAAAGAGGTGTATAAAAAGACCATTAATAATGTAAGGGGTAATTGGTATGGCCCAAAGATAGATCAAAACTGCTATAGGAGTTATCAATACCCTATGAGATTGATGTTTTAAGATACTTTTTGAAAATGTAGATTAGAGGGCAAGTACAATTCACCACTTCATTTATATACATAATTAACTACTTCCAACTTGAACCTAATATGGGAATGGCAGAAACTAATTTAATCATTGAAGCAGCAATCCTATATCAAGAATTCTGTCAAACAGTATGTGGAAAAATTACATTTATTGGCATAAAGTTATTTGTAATATTTCCTTACCATTCTTTGAATGTCTGTGGGATTCATAGCAGTGTCCCTTCTACCATCACTGATATTGATAATTTGTGCCCTCTCTTTTTAAAATATTCAGTCTGGTTCAAGGTTTATCAATTTTTATTGATCTTCTAAAAGAATCCATTTTTGGTTTCATTAATTTCCTCTATTGTTTTATGTTTTCTATTTTGTTGATTTCTTCTCTCATCTTTCTTTTCTTCTTTGACTTTTGGTTTATCATGAAGAGATGCTGAATTTTATCAAATGCTTTTTCTGCATCTATCGAGATGACCAAATGGTTTTTGTCCTTCATTCTATTGATGTGATGTATGGTGTTTATTGTTTTGCATATGTTGACTCATCCTGGCATTCTTGGGATAAATGTGTTGTATTTGGTTTGCTAGTATTTTGTTGAGGATTTTTACATTTGTGTTCATCAGAAATATTGGTCTGTAGTTTTCTTTTTTGTTTTGTTCTTGTTTGGTTTTGATATCATGGCTATGCTGGTCTTGTGTAATGAGTTAGGAAGAATCTCCTCTGCTTCAAGTTTTTGAAAAAGTTTGAGAAGGACTGGTATTAATTCTTCTTTAAATGTTTGGTAGAATTCAGCGGTGAAGCCTTCTGGTCCTGGACTTTCCTTTATTGGGGAGACTTTTTATTACTAATTCGATGTTGTTACTCATTATTGGTCTGTTTAGATTTCCTGTTTCTTCTTGTTTCAATCTTGGAAGGTTGTATGTATCCAAATATTTATCCATTTTCCCTAGGCTTTCAAACTTATTGACAAATACTTGTTCATGGTAGCCTCTAATGATGATGTTTTGTATTTCTGTGGTATCCATTATGATGTCTCCTTTTTCATTTATGATTTTATTTGTTTGGATCTTCTGTCTTTGATTTTTGGTCTAACATGTTCTTCTTCTAGTTTCTTAAGGATGAAACTGAGGTCATCGATTTTCTTCTTCTTCTTTTTTTTTTTTTTTGAGATGGAGTCTCGCTCCGTCACCCAGGCTGGAGTGCAGTGGTGTGATCTTGGCTCATTGCAAGTTCTGACTCCTGGGTTCATGCCATTCTCCTGCCTCAGCCTCCCAAGTAGCTGGGACTACAGGCACCCGCCACCACGCCCGGTTAATTTTTTGTATTTTTAGTAGAGACAGGGTTTCACCGTGTTAGGATGGTCTCGATCTCCTGACCTCGTGATCCGCCTGCCTCGGCCTCCCAAAGTGCTGGGATTACAGGCGTGAGCCACCGCACCCGGCCAATTTTCTTCTTTTTTAATATAGGCATTTAATGCCATAAATTTCCGTCTAAGCACTGCCTCAGCTACATCCTCCCAAATTTAATGTTATTGTTTTCTTAATTGTCATTCAGTTCAAAATACTGTTTAATTTCCCTTTGGATTTCTTCTTTGACCCATGGTTATTTATAAATTTTTATATAATTTCCAGTTATTCAAAAAATTTTCAGATATATTTATGTTATAGTTGTCTTATTAAACCCACTATGGTCAGATAACATGTTGGAAGACTTGAATGTTTTTAAATTTATTCAGATTGTTTTATGGTTCAAAATATGATCTATCTTGATAAATGTTCCCTGTGCACTTGAAAAGAACTCTGTCTGCTGTTGTTGAGCAGCATGCTCTGAAAATTTTAATTATATCAAGTTGGTTGATAGCATTGTTCAAGTCTATATGCTTACTGTTTCTATATCCATTTCTCCTATCAGTTATTGAGAGAGGGGTGCTGAAATCCCTGAGTCTAAATGTGAATATTTCTATTCCTTTCTTACAATCTATCAGTTTTGCTTCATGTATATTGATGCTCTGATAGTGGATTCATGAGTGTTTAGAACCATAAATATTGAAGAATTTATTCCTATGTCATCTTAAATGACCCTCTGTATCTCTAAAATATTTATCTGTTTGCTGTGAAATCTACTTTGTCTGTTTTAATATAGTCACTCCAATTTTCTTTTAATTAGTGTTAGTATAGTATAGGTTAGTACAGTATGGTATAACCTTTTACTTTCAACCTATTTGTGTTTTTATAATTAAGGTAGGTTTCTTCTAGATGGCATATAGTTGGACCTTGCTTCTGTGTTCAGTTTCACAGTCTGTCTTTCAGTTGGGGTGTTTTGACCATTTATATTTAATGTGATTATTTTAATGTGACTATGAATTGGTTCAAATATACCAAATTGCTATTTGTTTTCATATTCAACTAATTTTCTCTTTGTTTCCTTTGCCTCCTTTTGGATTAATTATTTATCATTTCATTTTTATCTCCTTAGTTGATGTATTAGCTATACTTTCTGTTTTACGAGTTTACTTTAGATATACTAAGCATCTTTAACTTATTAAGGTCCATCCTCAATAATTTTTGCCACTCACGTGTGATGTGAGAACATTATAGCAGTACCTCTATCTTTTTCTGTTACGGTCTTTGTTTCATTAGTGTCATACATTTTATGCCTATCCTGTTATAACATCCCAAATACATTGTTCTTTTGGCTTTGAGCAAAGTGTCTTCTAACATTTTTTAAAATTATTTTTTGTATAACCACATACTTATGAGTTCTGGTATTTAAAATTTTTTTCTGGTGAACATCTAGATTTTTCTTCTAGCATCATATTCTTTTTGCCAGAAAGGCTTCCTTTAATATTTCTTGTGGTGCTAGTCTGCTGAAGTAACTTGCTTTCAGCTTTAGTAAGTCCAAAAAAGTCTTTATTTTGACTTTGTCTTTTAAAGATACTTTTGCTAGGTAAAGAGTTCTAGGTTGGCCTTTTTTTCTTTTAGTACTTTAAAGTCGGTGCTTCAGTGTCTTCTGGCTTTAAATGTTACTGACTAGAAGGCTGATGTCATATTTTTTTCACTCCTTTGTATGTTATATATCCTTTTTCTCTAGCTACTTCTAAGGCTTTCTCTTTAAGATTTTTCTCTCTTGTTTTTAAGCAATTTAATTACAATGTACCTTGTAGTTTTCCTTGTTTCTTTTGTTTGGGGTTCATTGAACATGTTTTATCTGTAGGCTTAAAGATTTTATCATGCTTGGAAAAAAAGTACACTTTATTCTTTTTAAATAATATTTGTCCTCTCTTCTTTCTTCTTCTTTGGAGATGCCAGTTACACATACATAAAGCCCCTTGACATTGTCCCTCTAGTTACTGATACTCTGTTGCTTTCTTTTTCTAGAAAAAGAAAGTTACTGATATGCTGTTGCTTTCTTTTTCTAGTCATTTTTCTCTGTGCTCCATTTTGGAGAGTATCTATAGCTATACTTTAAATTGTTATTAATCTGTTAGTCCCACCATTGGCTTTTTAAAAATTTCAGTTGTTATACTTTTCATCTCTAGAAGATTCTTTTGTGTTTTTTCTGTCTTTCCATATTTTATGTCTCTCCTTAACATGATTATGCTTTCCTCGACTTTTGTGCACAGATGAAATGTAGTTTTTTAGAACTCTGTTCTGGGATGGAGCAAATCACTTGGAAAAAGCATGCCACTTTCAAGGATTCCTGTTAAGCTTTGTTAGAATGGACCAGAGCAGGATTTTTTTCCTAGTGTTGATCTTGTACCACTTCTGAGCCATGCCCTTCTGTATTCTACCTGATGCCCATAATTTATGAAGTTTTCCACTCTGACTGGTGGGAATATGAACTGTTCCCCACCCTGTGTGAGCTCCAGGCATTGTTCCTTCTGCTCCCTTAGAGTGGGTATTTCACTAGTCTCAAGGTAGCTTCCTCACACACACACACTGGTAAATATTTATCCATAGACTTGGTGGGGGTGGGATGAGGTGAAGTCTCTGCCATCTCTGGAGCGCTGTCCACGTGCAGCAAGCCCCTCCTCTGCAGTACTCCGCCTTGCAAACTGCAGCTGCCTTGGATTCCTTGGCCTCCCAACCCTGTCTCTTCAACTCAGGGAGACCACCTGTGTCTGCATTGGCTCCCCTCCCTCATTGCAGCCTGGAAACTCTCTTCATGCAGTGAGTTAAGGCAATTTGAGGAGTCACTCTTGTTTTTCCTCTTGCAGGGATAACTCTCCTGAGCTGCCCATTGTCCAATATTTGAAAACCACTGTTTCATATATTTTTTTTTTCATTTTTTAGTTGTTTAATGCAGGAGGGTAAACCTATTCCCTGTTATTTCTGCCCTGTAATTTCTCTTCTGATTTTATAATTTCATGTTATTTTAAGGAAAACTCCTTTAAAAATAGCTTTATCTCTTTGAGAATCTTAAGTGTGTTTTTCTAGTCATTTTCAGATTGACTTTTTATTTAGTTGGATATTGATCTTCCTTTATGTAAAGTTTATTGGGCTTTTTTTTTTTTTTAGATGAAGATTTCATCATATGAAATTTCAAGTTTTATGTTCCACTGTGTGGATGTGTCTACCTTTTGGCTCTTACCAGTCTGTCTAAAGTCTGTCCTGTTGTTTTCACTTGGTCCACAGGGCCTCCCAGTCTTTCAGTGGTGGCTTAGGGCTTCTGTCCTCATGACATTCAGGTTCTGGACTGGCATCTTTGTAGCCTCCTCCCCTCAGGTATGCTGCTTTATTCAAATAGTTGTAGCTACTTTTTTATATGCTGCTTTATTCAAATAGTTGTAGCAACTTTATTCAAATAGTTGTAGTTGTTTTCTGTCTTCAGCACTGTCTTATGCAATGGGCTTGCCTGGAGTCCCAGTGAGGTGCCCTTTTGGTCCCTGTCACACTGTGGGCTTTGGCTGTAAGCTAAAGCTTCTTTTCAGGGCTGAGAACTTCACAGATGATCATTTCAAGTAAGGCTTTATTACCACGTATTTGTTTCATTTAGTTTTTCATCATGGCTCTGTAGTTTTTTAAAACCCTTTTTGTTTAAAGGAAATAATTGTTATGTGTTTGAACTAATGGGCATGGTGGATGGGTTTAAGCCATGAATTCAAAGTATGAATTCAATACAGGCCCTCATGTATTACTTTTGAGGGGTTACTGGGTGATCAGATGTTAGAGGCCAGAGTAGCATGTTGAATTATATTTATAAAGAAGAAATTCTCTCAGCTCATCAGTACACATAAGTGAGTTATGTGTCAAATTTTGCAAATTCATAAAGTAATTTCTTTTCTGTAATTTTATGGAAAATTGCTTCCTAGACTCATCTTTGAAAAGGAAATTTATAACTAATATATCAATCCATACAGAAGTTAGGAAGCATAGTTTTGTTCTGGGATGGCTCTTATTGGAAACCATGTTAGTTATAAAACACTGTACAGCTCTGTTATCACATAATATTATTCAAATTGTTACTGAATTTTATGTGTTGATTGACATACTCATTAATGCCACATTCTAAGACTTTAATATGTGATTATCTAAGATATTCGCTATAATTTTGCTTTTTTTAAAAGCATACTGGAGATGAAAAAGCCTGATAAAATATAACTGAGAGTTATTATTATTATTATTGTTATTATTTTTGGAGACGGAGTCTCACTCTGTGGCCCAGGCTGGAGTGCAGTGGCATGATCTCGGCTCACTGCAAGCTCCACCTTCCAGGTTCACGCCATTCTCCTGCCTCAGCCTCCCAAGTAGCTGGGACTACAGGCGCCCGCCACCACGCCCGGCTGATTTTTTTGTATTTTTAGTAGAGACGGGGTTTCACTGTGTTAGCCAGGATGGTCTTGATCTCCTGACCTTGTGATCTGCCCGCCTCGGCCTCCCAAAGTGCTGGGATTACAGGCGTGAGCCACCACGCCTGGCCAACTGAGAGTTATTATTAATTCCAGAATATTAAATTTGCTGTGACCTAGTCACCTGATTTCAGTCACTGGACCATTCTACCAGTCTGATTCTTCCCAAAATATGGCAGGAGATCAGCCAACACAACTCTGGGGAAAAAAGAAGACCAAGTTCTAACACTTGAATGCTTCATTCATGTCTGACTTCCCCTTTTACAAAAGGGAAATCCTGTAGGACAGGATTGTTTCACACTGAAATGCCATCACAATTAAGGTAAGTGTATGACATAAGGTAAGGGTAAGCCTCACAGAATCAGGCTCTTACCTGCCTATTATACTGCAGGTCATCTTCTGGCTCCCACTGCCAATAAGATAGCCCCAGAAGTAACATAACAGCACCTAAAACTACTTATGTACTTTTCACTTACTGGGATCTCTCTTTGTGATATTTATGTGTTAGTCACATGCCATGTCATTTTGCAATTGGTAACAGAGCTTGGCGAATGTCTGGTTCAGGAGTGTGTTTTATGTCTCTAACAAGACCTCATGTTTCTTAGTAAGTCTTTTGTTTCTTTTCTAATTCTCCTATAGTGGCTGGTACAGCCTCTGCAGTTAGGAGATACTGAAATACCCTTTCATATTCAGAAATATGAAAGGAAAATGAAGACTCTGCTCTTCACATAACTAGAAAGTTATAGCTGGGTGAAGTTTTAACTTTTTGTGCGTCAGGGAGGTAATGCCATTTATCAATAATCTAGCAAAATGTTCGTGCCTACTATAATGCTCATAGCATCACTTAAGTAAAAATAGAACATATTGCCAACATTGTTTGAACGTATTTGCACTTTATTCTTGGCTGTCCTTCTTATAAGCTCCATGGAGGTAAATGAAGAAAACCTTGATTTACTTTTAAAGTCACATAAGTATTTAATAACAATGCTGAATCTACTTGTTCAGAATCTTACAGGATCATAATCTGTAATTAGTATAATAAGTGCAGAACATAATACAATGAAACAAATTTCTTTCTTTTTTTTTTTTGTTTTTTCTTCTTTTTTTGAGATGGAGTTTTGCTCTTGTTGCCCAGGCTGGAATGCAGTGGCGCTATCTGGGCTCACCACAACCTCTGCTTCCTGGGTTCAAGCGATTCTCCTACCTCAGCCTCCCGAGTAGCTGGGATTACAGGCATACGCCACCATGCCTGGCTAATTTTGTATTTTTAGTAGAGACGGGGTTTATCCATGTTGGCCAAGCTGGCCCCACCTCAGGTGATCCGCCCACCTCAGCCTCCCAAAGTGCTGGGATTACAGGCGTGAGCCACCGCGCCCAGCTGAAACGAATTTCTTTCTAAGCTTCTTAGATAATTTTGAATACCCTAAAATAAATATATTTAAGTTAGTTGATCTAACATAAAGAAGTTTAAATTGTTCTTGGTAAAAATTTTCATTTCTAAAACCTTTAGTTTATTATGGTCTAAACTACTGAGGCCACCAAATTCAGATCTGAAGCATATTAAATTGAAATATTTTTAGAAGGTAATATCAGAGATAAATTCTGCAATAGTCAAGCTTTTTATAAAGAGCATATCATGAATATGTGCACATGTATGCGCTTTAAAAATCTTCTCTAAACTGTACTGAATTTTTGTGCTTAAACATGATTTATTTTTCATAAAGCACAAATTATTTGTCTTAACATTTTCTTACCACTCTGGAGTGTATTTCTTTGGCATACAATGGGAATAAAAATTCTGATTCCCCTTCCAAGCGCAGTCCATCTTTTGTTACACACAAGTGGCCCATTCCTGCCTGTTAAAAAAAAAAAAGAGACAATGCGTATATTTTTATTGCTTGCTTTTTCATTCCTCTTAATATTGACTTAAATCACACATGTATTTCCATATATTGCCTACCACCTTTTCTGCATTTCTCCTAGTGTATTTAAAACTTTGCATCTTTAATTGAATATTCAATGTCATTAAATCTTGTATAAATACAAAGAGCTCTTTAGAAAACATATATAAAATTTCAAGAGTCATTTTATAATACTCAAGAGCCCATCACCATGTAAGAAAAAGAATCCATTTTTTTAAAAAAAATTAAATTAAGGTACAATAAAATTAATTGTTTTGAGGTGTACAGGTCTATGAGTTTTAACACATATATAGATTTGTCTAATCATCAACACAATCAGAATACAGTATAGTTCCATCACCTGCCCCAAAATACCATAAATACCATCATCTGAGTTCACTCTGTAGTAAATATTTATTGAACACTTCTTAAGTGAAAAGCAAAACAGGAGGATATAGAGGTCTGTTCAAGGTGCCTGCTCTCAAGGAGTTTACAGTCATGAAAGATTACCAGATTGGATGGAAGACATGATTCTGGAGGTCACCAATGACCGCTGTGCTGTTAAAACTTGTGGGCATTTCCCAATTCATGCCCTTTGCATTCTCAGGGGCATTTGGCACTGGACCCCTTCCTCCTTGAAACACTGTCCTCCTTTGGTTTCCATGATGCTGTGCTTGTTTAGTTTCCTCCCACCTGCAGAACCACATTCTTCATCTCCTAACAGGCTCGTCCTCCCTACCCAGCCCTTGACTACCGGCTCCCTCAAGTTCAGTCTTAGGCCCTTTCCTGCGTTCATGCTATGAATTGGCTTCCATTACTATTTCAGTTTGGAGGCTTATCCATTTTTTTCCAAATTTTAAAAATCATGGTAAAATATGTTACATACATTTTACCATCTTAACCACTTTTAAGAGTACAGATCTGTGCTATTAAGTACCTTTGTGATGTTGTGTGACCATCACCACCAATCATCTCTAGAACTGCTTTCATCTTGCACAATTAAACACTATACCCATTAAACAACTAACTCCCCATTCTCCCCTCCACCCAACCACCTGGCAACCACCGTTCTACTTTCTTGTTTTAAAGTTTTAATATGTAATTGAGACATTGTAATTGTACACATTTTGGGGTACAATTTGAAATATATGTATATGGCTATAAGGTCAAATCTTATAGCGTTTCTGTCTCTATGAATTTGATTATTCTAAGTACCTTATGTAAGTGGAATCATATCATATTTATCTTTTTGTGGCTGACTTATTTCACTTAGCATAATGTCCTCTAGGATCTTTCACGTTATAGCATATCATGACATTTCTGTTTTTTTAAGGCTGAATAATATTCTACTGTGTGTACAAACCATATTTTGCTCATCCACTCATCCCATTGATTGATACTTGGGTTGCTTCCACATTTTGGGCATTGTAAATGCTGCTGCTATGAACATGGGTGTGCGAATATCTCTTTGATGCCCTGTTTTCAATTCTTTCGGTATAGAGCCAAAAGCAGAATTGATCGATCATATGCAAATTCTATTGTTAATTTTTTGAGAACTGCCATACTGTTTACCATGGTAGTTATTCAATTTTATATTCTAACAGTGCACAAGAATTCCAATTTCTCTGCATCCTCCCTAACACTTGGTATTTTCTGTTTGATAGCAGCCATCCACATGGAAGAATCCATTTTTATCTGTATTTTATTTTAAATAGTCTGTTCTGAGCTTCATACCCATATATCTGATTGCCTAACTGTCCTCCCCTTCTGACTGTCTTTTTTTTGAGATGGAGTCTTGTACTGTCGCCCAGGCTGGAGTGCAGTGACGTGATCTCAGCTCACTGCAAGCTCCGCCTCCTGGGTTCACACCATTCTCCTGCCTCAGCCTCCCGAGTAGCTGGGACTACAGGTGCCTGCCACCACGCCTGGCTAATTTTTTGTATTTTTAATAGAGACAGGGTTTCACCGTGTTAGCCAGGATGGTCTTGATCTCCTGACCTCATGATCCGCTCACTTCAGCCTCCCACTGTCTTAAAAGCATCTGAATTCAACCAGTTGAGCTTTGATCTTCCCGCTCTTCCCCAAATAGAAAGCATTATTTAAAAAAGGAAAGCAGGACAATCCAAAGGATGAAACAAAGCAATAAGGGACATTTTACGTTGTGACAGGTGAATTTCTAGGATAGAGATATGTTACCCTGAACTGAATATTACCTGCTAGGCAATAGACTTCTACTTTCAAAGACATCATCAGTTGAAAGCTCCATTAACAAGAACCAAATTAAATATGTGATTATGCCTTGTGGTTCAATCCATAAACTACGATTCGAACTGACATTTGGGAGTGGTGGCATTAGCAGTGTGCATGTGGAAGCCCCACACACTGCTAGGTGCAGCTACCTCCCATACTGGGTAGATGAGCTTTTCTGAGCTTTTTTTTTTTTTTTCTTTATGGAATCTCGCTCTGTCTCCCAGGCTGGAGTGCAGTAGTGAAATCTTGGCTCACTGCAACCTCCACCTCCTGGGCTCAAGTGTTTCTCCCACCTCAGCCTCCAGAGTAGCTGGGATTACAGGAGTGTGCCACCTCGCCTGGCTAATTTTTGTATTTTGAGTAGAGATGGGGTTTCGTCATGTTGGCCAGGCTGGTCCTGAACTCCTGACCTCAGGTGATCTGCCCACCTCAGCTTCCCAAAATGTTGGGATTACAGGTGTGAGCCACCGTGCCTGGCCTTCTGAGCTCTTTTATACGTGTGATGCACTGGGAGATTTTGTTTGAAGAAAGGGCTCAGAGTCTAAAGAGGTTGACAACTGCTGTTTGGGATTTTCTCATGGGATCCAGCCAGGCATTTATAATATAGTTTATAAACTTAAACCAACATTAGTAAATTATAAAAATCGATCATGTATGCATAATAAGCCACTTTTTAAAGCAAACATTTCCATTAAAGATTTTATGGCCTAGAGTTAAACAAAGCAGAATTTCAAGACTACAAATTCTGTTCCAAAAATTTGCTGCCAAATTTCTGGGTTCAAGTAAACATATGGTGGCAGTTTTCTGGACTCTATTTGTTATATCACCAAAAAAACCCTAATGTTAATCCTAGCTTCTGTGGTAGCTAATTTACATAGTCAGATTGCCAAAGCTGACTGTTCATTGTCATTTCTTTCTCTGGCTGTTACTTTCCTTATTTGAAAAACATGCAGGAAAATACTAAAGCTACTCAAAAAAAAAAAAAAGAGAAAGAGGGACTCATTCCCAGCTCATTCAAACAGGCAGCATTATCCTGACACTCAAACCTGGCAGAGACACAACAAAAAAGAAAACTTCAGTTCTATATCCTTGATGAACACAGATGCAAAAATCTTCAACAAAATACTAGCAAATCGACTCCAGCAGAAAATCAAAAAGCTAATCCACCATGAAGAAGTAGGCTTTATCCCTGCAATTCAAGGTTGCTTTAACATATGCACATCAATAAATATGATTCATTACATAAACAGAACTAAAGACAAAAAGCACATGATTATCTCAATAGATGTAGAAAAGGCTTTCAATAAAATTCAACACCCTTTCGTGCTAAAACTCTCAATAAACTAAGTATTGAAGGAACATACTTTAAAATAATGAGACTTCTATGACAAACCCACAGCCAATATCATACTGAATGGTTAAAAGCTGGAAGCAGTCCCCTTGAAAACTGGCACAAGACAAGGAAGGAGGCCCTCTCTTACCACTCCTATTCAACACAGTGTTAGAGGTCCTGGTCAGAGCAATCAGGCAAGAGAAAGAAAGAAAAGGTATCCAAATAGGAGGAGAGGAAGTCAAAGTAATCCTGTATGCAGATGACATGATTCTATATTGAGAATAACCCATAGTCTCTGCCCAAAAGCTCCTTGAGATGATAAGCAATTTCAACTAAGTTTTGGGATACAAAATCAATGTACAAAAATCAGTAGCATCCCTATACATTAACAGCACCCCTAAGCTGAGGGCCAAATCAGAAGTGCAGTGCCATTCACAATTGCCACAAAAAGAATAAAACACCTAGGAATACAGCTAACCAAGGGGTGAAAGATCCCTACAATGAGAATTACGAAACACTGCTCAAAGACATCAGAGATGACACAAACAAATGGAAAATATTCCATGCTCATGGATAGGAAGAATCAATATCATTAAAATGGCCATACTGCCCAAAGCAATTTACAGATTCGATGTTATTCCTATCAAACTACCAATGACATTCTTCACAGAATTAGGAAAACTATTCTAAGGTTCATATGGAACAAAAAGAAAAGAGCCCGAATTAGCCAAGACAATCCTAAGCAAAAGGAGCAAGGCTGGAGTTATCACATTGCCCAACTTCAAACTGTACTACAAGGCTACAGTAACCAAAAGAGCACAGTACTGGTACAAAAACAGACACAGACCAAAAGAACAGAATAGAGAGCCCAGAAATAAGGCCACACACCTGCAGCCATCTGATCTTTGACAAAGCTGACAAGAACAAGCAAAGGGGAAATAACTGCCTATTCAATAAATGGTGCTGAGAGCTGGCTAGCCATATGCAGAAGAGTGAAACTGGACCCCTTCCTTACACCATATAAAAAAAATCAACTCAAGATGGATTAAAGAACTAAAAGTAAAACCTAAAACTATAAAAACCTTGGAGGATAAGCTAGGAAATACCATTTAGGATATAGGAACCAGCAAAAATTTCATGATGAAAACAGCAAAATCAACTGCAACAGAAGCCAAAATTGACAAATGAGGCCTCATTAAACTAAAGAGCTTTTGAGCAGCAGAAGGAACTATCAACAGAGTAAACAGGCAGCTGACAGAATGGGAGAAAATATTTGCAAACTTTACATCTGACAAGAGTCTAATATCCAGAATCTACAAGGAACTTAAACATACAAATGAAGAACAAACAACCTCATTAAAAAGTGGGGAAAGGACATGAACACTTTTCAAAAGAAAACACACATGTGGTCAAAAAGCACATGAAAAAATGTTCAGTGTTACTAAATGGAAATCAAAACCACAATGAGCTACAATCTCACACCAGTCAGAATGGGTATTATTAAAAAGTGAAAAATAATAGATGCTGGTGAGGTTGCAGAGAAATAGCAAACACTTATATGCTGCTGGTGAGAGTGTAAATTAGTTCAAGCATTGTGGAAAGCAGTGTGGCAACTCCACAAGGAACTAAAAACAGAACTAACATTCAGCCCAGCAATCCTCCCATTACTGGATATATACCCAAAGAATAAAAATTGTTCTACTATAAAGACACATGCATGCGTTGTGTTCATTGCAGCACTATTCACAATAGCAAAGACATGGAATCAACTTAAATGTCCATCAACAGTAGACTAGATAGGCTGGGCATGGTGGCTCACACTGGGATTACAGTTCCTGTAATCCCAGCACTTTGGGAGGCCAACGCAGGTGGATCATCTGAGGTTAGGAGTTCAAGACCAGCCTGGCCAACATGGTGAAAACCCATCTCTACTAAAAATACAAAAATTAGTTGGGTGTGGTGGCGCATGCCTGTAGTCCCAGCTACTCGGGGGCTGAGGCTGGAGAATCGCTTGAACTCGGGAGGTGGAGGTTGCAGTGAGCCAAGATCGTGCCACTGCACTCCAGCCTGGGTGACAGGGCAGGACCCTGTCTCAAACAAACAAATAAAGAAACAGTAGACTGGATAAGGAAAATGTGGTACATATACACTATGGAATACTATGCAGCCATAAGAAGGAATGAGATCATGTCCTTTGCAGGAACATGGATGGAACTGGAGGCCAATTATCTTTAGCATACTAACACAGGAACAGAAGAACAAATACTGCATGCTCTCACTTATAAGTGGGAGCTAAATAATGAGAACACATGGAAACATAGAGGGGAACAACAGACCCTGGGACCTAATTGAGGGTGGAGGGTGGGAGGAGGGAGAGGTTCAAAAAACAAACAAGCAAACAAAAAACTATCAGGTACTGTGCTTAGTACCTGGGTGACGAAATAATCTGTAAACCAAATGCCCAAGTCATGAGTTTACCTATATAACAAACCTACACATGTATTCCTGAACCTAAAATAAAAGTTAAAATATTTTTTAAAAAGAAAAAAAGTAGGAATTGACATAAGATGACCTGTTTCCTTTCACTTGCAAGATTCTGTTATTTAAATAAAAAATAAATCTATAAACTTCTGCAAACAACAAATCACCAAATAAATGCTTGAAATAAAAAGAAGATGCCTAGCTTTTTGTTTAGTTTTTTACAAGTCGGACAAATTCAGGTGTAATTTACAAACAATAAGATTTACCCTAAATACAATTTCATGAAATAAAGTTCACTAAATAAAATGTCCCTGAAAGTAAATATTTCTGTGAATTTTCACAAGCTCATATAGTTGTACAACTCATCAAGATACAGGACAGCTCTACCACCATAAAATAATGCCCTGTGGCCGGGTGCTGTGGCTCATTTTGGGAGGTCTAGGTGGGCGGACAGCTTCAGCCCAGGAGTTGAAGACCAGCCTGGGCAACATGGCAAAATCCCATCTCTACAAAAAATACAAAAATTAGTTGGGTGTGTTGGTGGGTGCCTGTAGTCTCAGGTACTCTGGAGGCTGAGCGGGGAGGATCCCTTGAGCCCAGGAGGAAGAGGCTGAAGTGAGCTGTGATTGAGCCACTGTACTTTAGCCTTGGCATTGGAGTGAGACCTTGTCTCGAATAATAATAAATAACAATACTAATGTCCCGTGCCCCTCTGCAGGCTCCTTTCTTGTTCACCATGCCCATTCCTTGGTAGCCACTGATCTCATTTCTGTCCCTGAAGCTTTGCCTATTCCAGGACATAACATAGATGGTGATGCAGTATGTAGCCTTTCCAGATAGGCTTCTTTCACTAAAATACTACATCTGATGTCCATCCACGTGGATGTCAGTAGCTTGTTTCTTTCTATGGGTGAGTTGTATTCCATTGGTTGTGTGCCAAACGGTTTGTCCATTCAAGGACATTTGAGTTGTTTGTTGACAATTATGAGAAAAGCTGCTACAGACTTTTACATACAGTTTGTATGGCGGGTCTAAGGTTAACTTTTTAAGAACAAGAACTGTCAAAATGTTGTTTTCCAAAGAGGCCACACCATTTTGCATTCCCATAAGCAATATAGGAGAGTTATAGTTGTTCCGCATTCTTGTCAGCACTTGGTACTGCCAGGTTTTTGTTTTTTTTTTTTTTCCCATTCTTAATAGGTGTATAATGAATTTTTTTCTTTCTGGGATTTTAATTTCTTTAAAAGAATTCATCCAAATGATTATGGTCACAAACATGATTTTCACAAAAAGATTGCTCACCTACCACATCAATGCAGGACAGATGTGGACAGGCAGCCAACACATTGTGCATTACCTAAGCTCTCCTCTTTGAGCTGCCTCATGATGCCATCTTCATTTGGAACAAGGGGGATTCATGCCAAAATTAGGAAAAAGAGCCTCCATTTTCTTTTTCTACATTATTCTAAAAATAAGACAAGCAGGTAGAAAAACAATGCACTGTGAAGATAAAAAGAAAAACTGACATGATTCATTGTCCTAAAATTTGCCAGCTGCCTCATTCCGGGACAGCTTCCCACATATAAAAGGAAAAATATCCTCAAATTGACTTGCTGAACCCTCCTTGTTTTCCTTTTTGTTGACAGCTCAGTTTTCTTTTTTGTTGTACAACCATCACCCCTTCCAGAACTCTTTTCATCTTCCTAAACTGCAACTCGGTACCCACTGAACACTTTGCATTTCCTCCTGCCCCCAGCCCCTGGTAACCAACATTCTACTTTCTGTCTCTATGAATTTGACTACTCTAGGCACCTCGTGTAAGTGGAATCTGAAATATTTGTCCTTTTCCACTTATTTCACCTTATTCTAGTTCCTTTGCCTTTAAATATAAGTTTTTAAATAAGCTTGTTGATTCTACAAACATTTGTGCTGGGATTTCAATTGGCATTGTGTTGAACACAAGTGTCAGCTTGGGAAGAATTGACATCTTAATATCAAGTATTCCAGTGCATGAACACTGTCTATTTTTCCATTTATTTAATTTAAGATGTCTTTCATCAGTGTTTTTTTTTTGCTCTCAGCCTACAGATATTATACAGTTATAATACATACAGATATATTTTTCTTGGTTTTTGCATAATTATTTTATGTCTCTTGGTGACATTATAAGTGATTTTAATTTTTTTTCATATCAGCTTTCATTTAGTCAGTATTGATTTGGTATATGCTTTTTCTTTTATTTGCAAACTGTTTCAGTTATTTTCTTTTAACTGTCTCTTATAAGCAGCATAATAGACGATCTTTTTAAAAATGCAAATTGATAATGTCTTGTAGTAATAGTTTGATGTTTATAGTCACTGTAATCACTGGGTGAGTAGAACCCCCACTGCCCAGCACTGAAATCCCCCAGTGCGGGGTGTTGGAGCACAAGTGGAACAGGAAGGGCATCTGCCTGAAGGAGAGGGTGTGGCAGAGGTAGGAGAATGGAAACATGAATGGGATTGACTGAATAAGTAAATGAATGAACAATGGGAGCCAAGCTCCTCATTGTAGGGGAAGGAAGGTACAAACATAGAAAGGGAGAAAACCAGGTTAAACCCTGTGATATTGAACAGAAATTGAAATTTGTCTGAACTCACCATTTTCTATACATATATAGATAGGCACAGAAATAAATGTTGATGTATGTAGGGGTGTGTGTGTGTGTGTGTGTGTGTGTGTATGACATGTCCTCTCAGAGGGCCTGGGAGCAGAATCACAAGAGCAGTGAGCATATCTGGCTCTGGACTCATTCTCCACTAAAAGGAGCAAGAGCTCCTTGGAGAAACAGCTAATTCCAGGGCTGGAGTAAGGAAAGGACGAGGTGAGCATGGAAGATCTTGTGTCAGAAAGGAAGGGCTCAAAGAGTGTTATGGACAGTGAAATGACAGAAAAGCCTGCTCAGAAGGGCTCCCACAAGCCAAATCAGAGAAAGTTTGAGCATCAAAATAAATGTCAGTAAAAGACTATGAGAGCCCATTGGATAAAATTGGAAATTATGAGTCCAAGTGGATGTGCATAAATTAATGAATAAATTGAAAGGTGCATGAAGAACAAGACACTTAAGTAGTTTCAAACTACCTCCTCACGAAATAATTATAAGTGGGAAACTCATAATTTTACAGTGAAGCCTGGCCCTTTAATCAGCTGGTGAAAGTGATGAATAATACAAAATAATGTTTCAATTTCAGGACCCTTAATGTAATCACATCTGCAAAGTCCCTTCGGCCATGGAAGGTAACATTTGGGTGTTAGGATGTGGACTTTGGGTGTTAGGATGTGGACATCCTTGGGGAATCACCATTCAACCTACCAACACTCACTCACTGAGGATGAGGTGGTGGAAGGTGCTGAGGTTCTTGTCAAACTTCCATGAGTATTTACACCAGCTGGGATCTAGTTGAAGTGCAGACACTGATTCAGTGGATCTGGGGTGGGAACTGAGATTGTACATTTCTCATGAGCTCGTAGTGGGTGCTGCTACTGCTCCAGGGACCGTGCTCACTGGCAAGAGCATAGCAATGGTTCAGAACCTTGACTGCACGTTGGAAGCACCTGGAGAGCTGTAAGAATCAGACACCTGGGCCCTACTCTCGGAGGTTGAGATGAAATTACTCTATTGTATGATCTGGGCATTGGGAATTTATGAAGCTTCCAGGTAATTCTATTGTGTAGCTAGGGTTGAAAACCTTGAGTGTTGTGTGAGAATTTTCTATGGCCTGTGCCTGGCTTAGTAGGAAAAAATGTACTCGCTAGTTAGCAGTGCTTGCACTGGTGTGGGGTGTGTGTGTGTGTGTATGTGTGCCCTGTTTGGGGTTGGAATTTGGGGTTGGTGGGAGATTTCCATTCTGATGCATTTGCCCATGTAGTGTAGGCTCACTCTGGGCTAGAAGTAAAGATAAATGAGATCTAATTTTTCCAAACATTTCACATATTGTGCTCTGTGCTGGGGGCCCATTCCACCAGCACTTGCCCCCTCCTCTCTGTATTATGCGTGTCTAGCGCTGTGCCTGGAACATCATAAATGCTTGTTGAATTCTACTGTATTAGACTAGATCCCCATCTGGAGGCATTCATACTTCGGCAGGAGAAAGAAAGAATAATAAGAACTGTAGTAGATGTGTATACTATAATGTAGAGAACAGTGTGGAATGGGAGGAGCCTGTAGTTTCACCTTATTAGAGTGGCTCTTCAACTAACACATATGTTGGAGTAAAACCTCAGAAAATATTGGGGTTTTCGGGTTTTGTAATTACAACAAAATCAAATACAATTGAAAATTACCTGATTGAAGCTACTTCAATCTGTATAGACTGACTCAGAAACAGCAGGATCTGTTACCATCGTGCAGGCTTCCTACTGTTCCAGTCACATACATAGAAAATGGAAACCACTAAAATGTCCTATTAGATACCAGCATGACACATACATGCCTGACCTAAACAAAAGTTAGATCCACAACACCTTTGATTGAATCTCCCTCTTATCTTTTTTTTTGAGATGGAGTCTTGCTTTGTTGCCCAGGCTGGCATGCAATGGCGTGATCTCAGCTCACTGCAACCTCCACCTCCCGGGTTCAAGCGATTCTCTTGCCTCAGCCTCCCGAGTAGCTGGGATTACAGGCACGCACCACCACACCTGGCTAATTTTTGTATTTTTAGTAGAGACGGGGTTTCACCATGTTGGTCAGGCTGGTCTCAAACTCCTGACCTCATGATCTGCCCTCCTCAGCCTCCCAAAGTGCTGGCTGGGATTACAGGCATGAGCCACCACGCCCAGCCCCTCCTATCTTTAAGTGGCAACAAAATATGTGAGGCAAAACCATAAGCTATGTCAATGCTCTAAAGACCAAAAATGGAAATTTCTATGTTTTTCCTATTATCTGAAACGTGACTATTTTTCTATTAACAAGTAATTTCTTTAAAATAATAGAATCTAATATATACATTTTCACTGTTGAACTAATCTTTAAAATTTTATTCTTTTTAACTTAATGCATTTGTGATAATTTAAAGTCATTGGCAGGGAACAAAAGTAATAATGTAAAATTAATTTTTCAAATATCAACCTAATTTATTAGTCATTATTAGTCTGAATGCTTTAAATTATTTCATCTATAGGTGGAGAATGTAGGGGCATAAAATATGGGCCTCTATTTGTACTCTTTTTTTTTTTTTTTTTTTTTTGTGACAGAGTCTGACTCTGTCGCCCAGGCTGGAGTCAGTGGCATGATCTCAGCTCACTGCAAGCTCCGCCTTCCAGGTTCATGCCATTCTCCTGCCTCAGCCTCCAGAGTAGCTGGAACTACAGGCGCCCGCCACCACACCCCGCTAGTTTTTTGTATTTTTAATAGAGACAGGGTTTCACCGTGTTAGCCAGGATGGTCTCGATCTCCTGACCTCGTGATCTGCCCACCTTGGCCTCCCAAAGTGCTGGGATTACAGGCGTGAGCCACTGTGCCCAGCCTATTTGTACTCTTATTCTGGGCCCCCGAAATGTTGAGAAGCCCATTCTGAATAAGGAGTTAGTCATAAAAAATAGGAAGAACATATACCTTTTAAAAAAGAGATAATAATATAAAAAATGCCCATGGAAGTTTCAAAGTATAAGAAATGCTTTTCTTTCTATTTATTTAGAAACAGACTGTTGCTCTGTCACCCAGGCTGGAGTGCAGTGGCATGATCTCAGCCCACTGCAGCCTCCACCTCCTGGGTTCAAGCGAGTCTTATGCCTCAGCTTCCTGAGTAGCTGAGACTACAGGCACACGCCATCTACGCCTGGCTAATTTTTTGTATTTTTAGTAGAGACAGGGTTTCACCATGTTGGCCAGGGTGGTCTCAAACTCCTGGTCTCAAGTGATCTGCCCACCTCAGCCTCCCTAAGTGCTAGAATTACAGGCATGAGCCACTGCGCCTGGCCAAGAAATGCTCTTCTTAATCAGAAGGGGGGAAAGAACATTTTTGTAAAAAAAAGTGCTGATTGAATTAGATACCTATATGGAAATAAATGAATCATAATCTCTCTCACATCATACATAAAAATTAATTCAATATGGATTGCACATAGAAATGTAAAAATAAAACAAACTTTTAGAAAAGGACAAAGAACATCTGCATGTCTGTGAAGAAGGCAAACATTTCTTAAAGAGGGCACAGAAAACCATTTTAAGAACATCACTTTGTCAAAGGACACATTTAATAGAGTAATGAGACAATCCACAGAGTGGAAGAAGATGTTGCAATACGTGTACCTAAGACTAGCATTCTGAATATATAGCATACTCCTTCAAAAATATAAGACAACAGATAGACAATCGACGGCCCTTCATAAGAAAGAGTATCCAAAAATCTGATACATGGGGAAACATCTAGGCCAAAACTACAAGGAGGCAGATTTAGGCTAAACTTAATTTAACAACACTTAATACATGATAGATACTCAAACTTATCACCTTCCACTTCAGCAATCCCTCCTTAGTGCTCCCTAAATCATTTCCCTGAAAACTAATCGAACAAGTTATTTCCCTCTTTAAAAGTCTCCGATGGCTTTCAGTCAGTGCACAGGATAATATATGAATGGGTACTAGGGCATACATAGTTCTTACATCTGGTCCCTGACTATTTCCACAGGTTCCCCTGTCCTTTGTTGAACTCTTTTAGCCACAGGAAACTTCTCACTCAGCAACCTCTTGTTTTCTGTATACAGCATCCTCAAATCATCTAAGTCCTGTGTGCAGCCTTTCCTAACCTCCTTAAACCATTTTGAGTCCCTCATAGGATCCCTACAAAGGTTTGAGCCTATCTCTCATATAAGCCTCACCACATTGTGCCACATGTATGTAAACTTCTATTCCACAATGGGCTTTGTAAATAGTATTTGTATTTGTAGCGCTTAGCACTGTGCCTTATACATCATAGAACCTAAGAAAACTGTGTTCAATGACTGAATGGCCCTGGCAGCTCTAAGATCCACCATAGACAGCACAGTGCTTATATTAGGTGCTCAGTATATATTTTTTAAAATTAATAGGTTAATAATTGGCATTGCTTCAGAATTCACAGGCCTAAGATGATAAATAGTGTATAGTAAGTGACTCTGCATTTTAGTTTGTGTTATATAGTCCTAATTCAAAAAAACTTTTAACTTGTGCTTTCATAACTTCACACCAACAATTCCTAGGTAACATATAATTATATCAAACCCATTTTCTTTATCTTTAATTATCCTAACAACTATTCTTTTCTTACTTCAGGGTTTCGTGTTTTTAGTCACTTCTGGTAGTTTTCTAAACTTTCATTTCTTGCTAGGATGTTAGTAACAATTTTAGGCATCAGACCTAAGTTGCAGTTTATAAAATTCTTTTCCTTGTAAAAGGAATAATGATTGCATGCATGAATGCTTACACATTTTAAATCTGACACATCCTAAAACATTGCTGTAGATGAATAACATAATTTTCTCCTTCAATGATACGATTTTTATAAAATTTCCTCTCAATGTTACAGTGATCCTGGTTGCTCATATATGCAGACAGGGAATTCCTAGGATTTAGCGGGAAGGTTAAAGCATATTTTCTATAAAGATGGATTCTGAAAATAGTCAGTGATTGATTTGGCTTATCTATCTTCTAATACTCACAAAGAGACTAACTCACTCCCCTTTCCATAGCAATTTCAATATTTTGTGAGATTTTGACCTTTTGTTTATTCTGAATCATTCAGAAGACTGGACATGAATTTTCTTGTTGGTTAAGCATAAGAAAGGGTAAAGATTGGTGGAGTTGATCATCTAAATTGTGAGGAGTGGGAATTTGTGACTCTAGAAATATGCACAGAAATAAATTTGTCAATTTATTTATTGAGCTTATATTTCATTTAATGAAATTGCTATTTCCCAGAATGTCACTATAGAGAATAATTTAATTTCAACTGAATGATATCTTCTAATTGACTCTCAGAAAAAGTCAAAAATATATTCTTGTATTTATTTTTTTGTTTATTTACTTATTTATTTTGGGATGGAGTTTCGCTCGTTGCCCAGGCTGGAGCGCAATGGTGCGATTTCGGCTCATCGCAACCTCCTCCTCCCTGGCTCAGGCAATTCTCCTGCCTTAACCTCTCAAGTAGCTGGGATTACAGGCATGCACCACACGCCCGGCTAATTCTGTATTTTTAGTAGAGACGGGTTTCTCCATGTTGATCAGGCTGGTCTCAAACTCCCGACCTCAGGTGATCTGCCTGCCTCGGCCTCCCAAAGTGCTGGGATTACAGACGTGAGCCACTGCGCCCAGCCATATTCTTTTATTTTTAATTGGTAAATATTGGCCTGGCGCGGTAGCTCAGCCCTGTAATTGCAGCACTTTGGGAGGCCGAGGTGGGCAGATCACGAGGTCAGGAGATCCGGACCATCCTGGCTAACATGGTGAAACCATGTCTCTACTAAAAATACAGAAAAAAAAAATTGACCGGGCGTGGTGGCAGGCACCTTGCAGTCCCACTACTTGGGAGGCTGAGGCAGGAGAATGGCGTGAACCCAGAAGGCGGAGCTTGCAGTGAGCCGAGATGGCGCCACTGCACTCCATCCAGCCTGGGCGACAGAGCGAGACTCCGTCTCAAAAAAAAAAAAAAAAAAAAAAGGAAAAGAAATGTAAACCTAGTTTCAGTAAAAGTTAGTTATCAGACAGAGCCAGACTCCATCTCAAAAAAAAAAAATAATAATTGTGTATGTTTATGGGGTTTAAAGGGATATGGTGATACATCATGTATACATTATAAAATGATCAAATCAGATTAATGAACATATCCATTATCTAAAATATTTATTTCTTTGTTGTGAGAACATTTAAAATCCTCTCAGCTATTTTAAAATATACAATATGTTATTACTATAGTCACCCTGCTATGCAAAATAAAATAAACCTAAAAAATATCCTCCTCTTCTAGAGGAAGAAAAATTCCTTTAATACTACCGCAGCTATAAATAAACAAAATCCCCTGAAATCCCACTTGCTGGAAAACTTGTTTTCTGATAAATATGAATACCTCTATTTAGACATTAAAAGTAATTCTAGAAATGATCCCAAATCATTTAGGATAAAAAGCTAATAAAAAACCTATGGCCGGGCGTGGTGGCTCACGCCTGTAATCCCAGCACTTTGGGAGGCCAAGGCAGGCATATCAGGAGGTCAGGAGATCGAGACCATCCTGGCTAACACGATGAAACCCCATCTCTACTAAAAATACAAAAAGTTAGCCAGGCGAGGTGGCAGGCACCTGTAGTCCCAGCTACTCGGGAGGCTGAGGCAAGAGAATGGCGTGAACCCAGGAGGCAGAGCTTGCAGTGAGCTGAGATCGTGCCACTGCACTCCAGCCTGGGCGACAGATCAAGACTCCATCTCAAGAAAAAAAAACAACCCATAAAAATATATAGCATATAAATATTATATATGTAGTATTTGTTAAAAAAAACTATGCTTTTTGGTATTGAGAATTCTATGGTGGGAAAATTATGAGCCAAAATAATATATATTTATACTAAATAATATATATATTTATATTGTTATTTTGGCTCATAATTTTCCCACCATAGAATTCTCAATATCAAAAAACAATAATTTTCCTGAGTTTTTCCTATACTCAAATGGATATACTTATTTCAACAAAGTAAGGTTGTCCCTATCAACCATCATTCAAATGCCTTGGTCTATTTGTATTAATACAATAAAAGCAGCACAATACCTGTCATGGAAGGAAATGAACACAAGTAAGTATGGCATGTCCAATCTCTGTTCAATCAGCAGTTATATTTGAGTGTGTGCAGAAATATTGGTCACTCTCTGATATTGATTTTTAAATTAACAATATGTTGAGTTTACTACCCTTTCCCAACAAATTTTATTTTTTAAGTTTATGAATTTAATATTTATCATTACTACCTTAATAAACAACTTAAATAATTTTAGTGTTACAGTTTATTTTACATTTATGTTAGTGAAGCATAACATCTTCAGAAAAGTGAACAAATTGTAACTCTACTGAATGTACCAGTTTATATCCCCACCAACTCTTTCTGAAATCTCTTTATGTTCCAGTGGTATATTTGGTGTTTATATGCCATAAGGGTTGAATTATTGTAGTTTTATAAAGAACTTACATATATCTTCCAGTATGATGTGTGATTTTTCTTCTAGCCCATTTTCTAGCTAGTTGAGACCAAAATATAGATGTATAATGAACACTAACATGTTTTCTTACTAAATACATATATTATAAACTTTTTATTTGTTTCAATAGTTTTCCTTTAATTCTCTGGGTTGCATAAGGTAACACTAAAATTACTTGCAAGTTTTTTTCTCAAATCATCTTCCATTAATCTACTTCTATTCCTTATTTAACTCTGTTGTTGCATTTGTCAAACTTTCAGAAAAATGCCAAATTACAGTAGTGATATCAGACATACTTTTCTTGTTCTTGGCTTCAGTGGGAATGCCTGTGGGCTTCTGGTAGTATGTTCTTGGCTGCTGGTTTGTTGTAAATATTTTGTATCATGTTAGGGAAGTATACTCATCAGCTACTTATTCTCACTACCACCATTTATGACATCTCATATAGGGCCATTGAGTAGGGTTGATTTTTGAATCAAATGGAATGGATATAAATCCTAACTCTCATTTTCTGGTTGTGCGATCTCAGTAAAAGCATTTAATTTCTGACATTTCAGTTGAAGTGTACCTGTATTTGTTGAGTACCTATTACATGGTAGCAGTATACTAGATGCTAGTAAAAATAATAAAAATAGACAAGCCTACTTTCATGTCTTGTAAAGTAGAGCTGATTAAAAGATGCAGGAGAGCAGCTACCATAGGACAACAACTCCAGACACAAGAAGAGAATCACGGGACAGAAAAGACTCAGGAATTCTCAGATGTTATGTTCATTTAGCAGTACAGATGATACAACTGGAAAATCAGAAAAGATTGACGTGGCGCCTTATAAGGATGACACACAACTTCATGAAGAATTCGTGTTTTTAAAATATGCATTTGAAAATTTTCATAATAGACTGTAAAGGCAAAAATTAATCGGGGGACTGGCATATATATATGAAAACAATGATAAATTTATTATAATTGGAAATGTTGGGTTCTAAAACACTAGCAAAAGAGGCAACAGAAAGGTAGATACAACATGTAGCTCTGAAACAGTCTCTATTCATAAGAGCTTATAGTATGATAACAAATGCATAATAACTAATAGGAAACATAGTTATTCAATAAACTGTGTTCAGGAAACTATTTGAGGATAAAAATCAAATTAGAACCTCTCCTCATATGAAATATTTGGAACAGTAGTCTCTTAATTTGGAAAAGGAGACATTGTAAAGAGTATTTATATACCCGGAGTGGTGGTACTTCCCACATTCTAACACACCACACAAAGGTTATCATCATCATTATCATCATGCTCATCATTATAATTGTCATTTATGACTACCCAGGAATTAAAAACACATTTCCACATAGCTGAATGTGCTTCTCAATATATTATGAACAGTGTGGTGGAACCCAGACCAGATGATCAAACAGAATATACTTTAAGATTAAATTAAGACTGTCAGGATGACTGGCGTAAGTGTACAATCAATCAATTAGTCCACATCATTTTATGTAATTAACAACAGAGAACTATATTACAGTTGTATCATCAACTGTACTGATGCTTTTGCTACTAACCTGGACATTTTACATACAAAGAAAAGTCAATGTTAGACAACAATGTATATATACCTCTCAGCAAATTTTGGAAAGCAACAACTTTAAGAAAATACATATTTTATACAACAGTTTACTCAAGTGCATTTGCAAAGAGATGGAAAAATTTGTGAGGGAATATCATGGTCCATTAAATATCATATTCTGTTAACAAAATAATAGACTAATAAATTTTTACAGTTATATTGGCTCCATCAACCTGTCTGCAAACCCTTCAGTAATTTTTTGTTATCAATCTAGTAATAAATTTGTGTCATTCCTTCTTGGTCATTGCTAACTTCATATACACATACACCTGTGAAAGTTATCTTTCATATTTACACTTTTTTTGAATCATAAAATATTTATTGGGTACCAAATTATACATATGGCACTGTGATATGGCTCAGGATTCAAAAAAGTATAGTGTTCTATTGGCCCCTGAATTCCTCTGACATAAATAGATACACCCGTAGTATAGACAAATTCAGGGGTTCTGAATGGGACTTGAATAAAGAGTATTGGAGAATTTGGAGAATGCCTCTCAGAAGACGTGAGATTTGCACTAGGTCAAGCTGGAAGGGTGCATCTTGAGAGAGTTTTAGGTATTTAGTGGAATGTCCATGATAATTCTGTCATGGAGAGATTACTCTGGAGAAACATGTTCAAGATTCTAATATGTTTCATTGCTAAGAAAAGGTAGATAATTATCCTCTTTTACATATCTCGTTTTCTGAGTACTGTCATCTTTGAAATTCTGTTATTTCACATTTTGTGCACATAGTCTTGTAAGCTACTGAACATCTCAAATTGGTCTTCCACATTTGGCCGTTATGTATAGCCTACATCTTATTGCTATATGATGATGGCTACTATCCACAAAATATGTCTTTGTTTTAGTTTTTTTTTTTTTAACTCTCAGCTTACTCTATTAACACCTACTAAATCATCCATGCTGGGATCCCTATTTCCATATTGTACCAATGGGGTGGTGGTTTTTGTCTGAGTGTAACTTTTCACATTATTTTTATAATGAGAAGTTTAACAGGGTAGCAGGTACTTTTTCATGTTATACTAAAAATAGAAATAAAGAATAACTTTCGCCAAAGGATTTCATAATTTTGTGCCAGGCTTAAACTGAGCATTTAATTAAAATAAGTAATCACTAATGGTTCTTGTTCTCTGAGTGTGTGTGTGCTATGGGAGAATCACAGATTGAACATAATCCTAATTAAAACCGAGACCCTTACCCAGTCTGAATCCTAAGCTAATATTCTTTTCACTATTTTTACAGTATCTCAAAGTAGGCTTTTCTAAATAAAACCTAATCAAGTAAATAAGATTAGTTGGTTTGTAATTTCAAGATATTATCTTTATTAGCATTTGTGAGAAAAAAACTATGTTACCAGAAGACATTAACAGTTTCATATTATTGGTAGAAATGGGAAGAAAGTGAATAGATCTGCATCTGGAGCCCATTAATTTTGTTATAAGAATATTCCCTGTGACAGGAAAGTGAGCTGCAGTTCCAGTTCAGGCTGATGAACGTCCCTCCTTGCAGCAAGAGCCTGAAGCTTAGGAGACCAAGTGTGCTGTTGCCTTCTTTATTTCCCAATTGCTGTAATATGGTTAAATCACTCATAAAAATTATAATAAAAGAGAAAATTGAAGGCATATCCCTGGGATAAAAATTAAAACTATAGTGCTATTTGTATCTTTAGACACCGATAATAATGGGATTTGTATCACTGATGTCCATGATAATGAAATTCCTCTGTACTTGGAATAGCTTTAGGTTTATCTTCCTCCTCCAAACTCAGTCCTAATAATATCTTGTCTTCTAATGATTTTTGGACTGGAAAGCACTGATATAATACCTTTTAGAAAGACATAAATAATTTGAGAAAATGCCAGGGTACTGGTTAAAAATGCTACAGCGTTGTATTTTTCTTTTAATCATAGTTCCATTCATTTGAAAAACAAATGGGATGGAGATGCAGGTGGTTTAAGGCATCAATATCACACTGCTGAAAATCAAATGGCAGTGTGAGCCGGGCATCATTAAGGCAGGGATGGAGGAGAACAGCAGGGGATAGGGTTGGTCTGGGCACCAGACACATCTCTGCCACCAGCACAGTGCAGAGAAAGGCAGTTGGAAGACCAGTGGTAAAATGTTTCTAAATGGAGCCACCAAGAATGTCAAATAGGCAGAGCAAAGAAGTTGATGTGTCTTCCTTTGTTTATGTGCCAGATAATACTGCACTGCTCTTCCTTCCCACATATTGCTTTCCCTGGGGAGATGTTACTGAAACAGCAGGGGTTTGGTTTAGGTCCTGCTGTTTGCTGCACAGAAAGCCAATGACTGAAGTGACAAGGAAGAAGGCTTTAATTGGGTGCTGCAGTCTGGGAGATGGGAGCTCAGTCTCAAATTAATCTCTCTGATCAACTAAAACTAGGGGTTTTTATAGCAGGGAAGAAATTTAACAATGTGTAGGAAAACAGGAACTAGGATGGGACAAGGAAGCAACCATGATGAACGTGGGGTCAGGCATTTTATTGTCTGGATGTGGTGACCTGGTAAGTTTCAGTTCTTTGATACTTTGAGAGGTCTGAAGGCCCTTTCCTGAGAAAGGAACTCAGATAAAACAAATGTAAGTTTCAAGCTTTAAGACCAGAAGGGTCAATTTCTGTTTATCCAAAAAACTATCTATGGAACAACTGGGTCAGTTTCAGAGAGTTCCTTTCATGGCCAAGTTTGTTAGAGGCCTTCCTGCAGCTGAGGCCACACTGCCCTTCCTTAGGAAGCACACAGAAGCCAGCCCCAGGGAGCAGAGCAAAACCACCCCTAGGCTGAGCCTCGGTAGCCTACAGGTGGCTGCATGCAGCTGCCTTAGGGGCACCTGCCAGCCTCTCGATGAAGGCAAGCAAAGTGGAATGGGGAACAAAGATATCTTAAGATACACTATAGCACTAGTCACTAAAAATATGATAGACAGTCTTTTGTTCAAATAACTATCACAGTAAGTTTTTTAAAAAAATAAAATCTGTCCAATCTGATGTTATTTATAAAATATATTTGTAAAGTGTGTTCATAACACGCTCCCAGAAAGCATTTTAGTAGAAGTCATTTTGGTTTTGGATAAATTTGATCTCTTTAAGTTCAGTAAATGATCAAGGACAGATACAATATAATTTTAGTAGTTTACATTGTCATCTTTTCTTATTTATTTTTGAAACGGAGTCTCACTCTGTCACCCAGGCTGGAGTGCTGTGGAGCCATCTGGGCTCACTGCAACCCCTACTTTCTGGGTTCAAGTGATTCTCCTGCCTCAGCCACCCAAGTAGCTGAGATCACAGGCACGTGCCACCACGCCCAGCTAATTTTTATATTTTTATATTTTTAGTAGAGATGGGGTTTTGCCATGTAGGCCAGGCTGGTCTGAGTTCTTGGCCTCAAGTGATCTGCCTGCCTTGTCCTCCCAAAGAGCTGGTATTACAGGCATGAGTCACCACGCCCCCTGTTGTCTTTTCTTAAATTAATTAATCCTATAAATTGCAACCCTAATTATTTGCCAGTGAAACCACTGCAAAGATATGGGTACTTTGCCAGTGAGACCACTGCAGAGATAGGGTAATAAAACTGACAGCTCCGTACAGAAAGTTTCCGTGTGTTGTATGATTTCATTCAGGCATACTCCTTTTGCTTCCCTTTCACCAGTTAAGAAATGGAATGCCTCTATCTATATCACATCAACACTGTCAGCAAAAAACATTACAAAGGAGATAATATGGGAAAGAATGTGAAATCCGAGTCAAGGACTCCTGCTACTCATGCTGTATTCCCTGAGTGTAATTTAAACTTTAGATGACCCTAAAGTTTGCAGTGTCTGCAAACCAAACCTGCTCTGCAACACGGACTTAGCTGGAGCCCCTCCCCAGACCCAATCCACCAGCCTCTCTTGGGAAGCAGCTTAGCAGTATCCATTTCTAAGAGCCTTCCCAAGTTAACTGGAGCCTCTCTTCTCACTCCCTCATATCATGCCCATGCTTTCACATCCTGTCTAATTTGCCTTTGAGGGGTTCAGTTATTCTTCTACTAATTTTTAAGCATCTGTGCTTTTTCTAGGTTACTTTGCCTCTTTCTATACTCATTTGCTAAAATCATATAACAACAACTATATTGAAATAAAAAGAATACATCCCTTGGTCATTTAATCTCTTATTTATCAACTCAAGAAATACTTACAGAGCATAAGTTTTATGCTACCAGGCTCAACTGACATGATCCTACGGGGTTAGCAGACATTTAACAACCAGAAAATTGTGGTGTGCTATGCTGGGAAAAATAAGTCCGAGTCTTACAAAAGAGAATGTAGGAGGATCCTGTCTTAGACCAGAGGTGATCAAGATAACCTCAGCAAGAAAGTATCATTTTGAGCTGAGACCCTGTATTAGTCCATTCTCGCATTGCTACAACGAAATGCCAAAGACTGGGTCAATCACAAAGAAGAGGTTTAACTGGCTCATGGTTCTACAGGCTGCACAGGAAGCATAGTGGTTTCTGCTTGGCTTCTGGGGAGGCCTCAAGAAACTTATAATCATGGTGGAAGGCAAAGCCCTAGCAAGCACGTCTTACATGGTAGGAGCAGGAGCAAGAGAGAGAGGGGAGATGCTACACACTCAACCAACCAGATCTCATGATAACTCTATCAGGACAACAGCACCAAGGGGATGGTGCCAAGCCATTCATGAAGGACCTGCCCCCATGATCCAATCACCTCCCACCAGGCTGCACCTCAACACTAGGTATTACAATTCAACAGGAGATTGGGTGGGGACACAGATCCAAACCATAATGATGTGACTGTACGTGTGTGCCTGGGTTGGAGTGGATGCTCTAGATAGAGAGAAGAGCATATACCAAAACACTGAAGCAAGAGAGAACTGTCTGCAGGATTGAAAGCCAATGAGCAACAGGAGGGCAGTTTAGAACAAGACTGCAGAGGTAACTGTGCCCAGCCTGCGGTCAAGAAGCTGGTGTTTCTTTTGTTTTTCAGTGCAATAGGAATGGATCCACTCATGGATTTTCAATAATAAGTAAAATCAGATAAATACAGTGAAGGCATTTCGTCTTCCCAATTCCCACAGGCAGAACTTTGAAACAGCCAGAAGTGATGTGCAGGTAAGTGGGAATAATGATTAATCACTTGGTCTCTATGGTGAAAGGGGGGGTCAAGCTCTCCTCTCCACTTTTCTACCCCCTCTCCCCGGTTTCTGACTTATATCCTCACTCTGGCAGACTGAAAAATCAACATGAGATTACTTAAGTGGTGGATGCAGGAGGGACCTTTCCTGAGAGAAACACTCTGCCCTTCTCTGCACCGCAGGAGAGTGATGTGTGTGGCTGGAAAGTTAGGAGAAGCACAGGCTTCTGGCTCCTCTCCTCCTTCCCCAGGGATCTACTTACCCACGGATTTCTGGTCTGCTGTGGGTATAGGCAATCCCACCAGGAAGAATGTCACAATATCAAGTCCTTGCCTCGCAGCAGGCATCGGCAATTTTCCATGCTGCCTGTGACTTGATGGGTCATCTTTCTAATTCTGGGGTGCAAGACGTTTGGCCAAATCCAAGCCAGTACCCTCCAATCAGCTTTTTATCAGTAATACAGATGGTATTTTAAGCTATCCCTACCAGATTTCTTTTTGTTCCTTTCAGTTGGGTTTGAATTTGGATGGGGAAAAATTTGTATTTATTGGGTCCCATGAAACCCCAAAAGGACTTTTTTCGGACATGGTTCAAGGACAACAAGTCTGTGTACTGCCTTCATCGTACCACCTTCTGAGTTGGTTTTCCTGATCTTCATGGATCCTGATATCTGCTAGGATACACTTAGCTTTGAAATCACTGAAATAACGATACATAAAGCTGATGCCTGTCAATCTCAAACTCATGGGATCATTATGAGGATAAACTGAGTTAGCAGGCATGAATGGATTGTGAAATCTATTTATTTTTTATTTTTTGAGACGGGGTCTTGCTCTGTCGCCCAGGCTGGAGTGCAATGGCATGATCTCGGCTCACTGCAAGCTCCGCCTCCCGGGTTCACCGCATTCTCTTGCTTCAGCCTCCCGAGTAGCTGGGACTACAGGCGCCCGCCACCACGCCCGGCTAATGTTTTGTATTTTTAGTAGAGACAGGGTTTCACTGTGTTAACCAGGATGGTCTTGATCTCCTGACCTTGTGATTTGCCCGCCTCAGTCTCCCAAAGTGCTGGGATTACAGGAATGAGCCACCGCGCCCAGCCGTGAAATCTATTATATACTAAATGGTAAGTCACAAAAATAAAAAAGACAGTCTTTTAAACACAATCTTTTTTCACAATAAATACTACATCAATATATACACTGATTTCCTCAATTATGATGAGCTAAAATGATCACTCATATTAATGCATCAAAGAACATTTTTGCTGTTAAAATGAAAAAATAATTTCATTTCAAAATATTTCAAAAAAGAATAATTTACTTCATAAACAAATAATTTCCCAGTAGGAAGTGGTTAAAACATACATGATTAGATTAGGCTAAATGTTATCTTATTGCTGCTTCCCTAGTTATTTAAAATATATATCAATATCCAGTAATAAAAGATTAAAAGCTAACCATTTCTCTGTTAATAAATGGTCAAGAGTATGGGTCATCAGGTACGTTTATTTAGGTAATTTTAGAGTTTTTCTCTTTGCTTTGTTTTTGTCAATATCCAGCAAGAGAAATTAAACACTTCACATAGTGTAGTAACATTGTACTAGTTTTCTATTTCTGTGTAACAAATTTCCAATGAATGATCACTAACTGCTTAATGACAAAACACAGCAGTTAAACAATATAGATGCTTTTTGATTTATGAAGAGAGCTGAAAATGCATTTAATACACCTCACCCATCTAATGCATAGCTTGGTTTAGCCCACCTTAAATATGCTCAGAACCCTTACATCAACCTACAGTTGGGCAAAATCATCAAACACAAAGCCTATTTTACAGTGTTGAGAGTCTATAAAATGCAAATGGGATTTCAGAAAATACCACTACAAGGGTGATATTTTAATAACCCTCCATGACCACTGTGCATTCACAGACAGCCTGTGGTCACTTGCATATCTGCATTCTTTCCTAAGTTTTAAAAATCCTTTTCAAATGATTATGTTAATATAAGGCTGAAATAAATGTCACTAAAATGCCATCTAATAACATTTTCCCAGCTTCCTATGAATAATCACTAATTGTTTAATGACAAAACATTTATCTAAGGAAATATCTACAAAGGCTGTCTAGCAAGGGTTTACTTTCTTGCTAAATGAAAGATTCTTAATGGGAAAGTCCTTAATGGAGAATTCCTAATTGCTAGTTTCCAAAATGAATTAATTTTAAATCCTTGTTAAGGATAGATCTACCAGGGTTTCCTGACCTCCTAAAAAGGGCAATGTAACTTATTACCACAATAAATTAAAACAAACAATACTTATCAACGAAGTATTTTATAGAATTATAAGCTTAATGATAACATTTAGTATTATGATTCTTCCTTGATCACTTATATCTTTTTTCCCAAATAAAAGTGCCCCCAAGATTTAACTACTAGAGTTAATATAGTTAGCTTAGAATCATTCATCTTACCTTCATGATAACCTAAAGTTACATTCACTAAATGCACTAAAATATTTTATATGCAAACAAAGGTTGATAACTCTAAAGGTCTTCTAAAAAATCAATATCATTAAAAATTAAAGATGTCTTATTTTAACATACAGATATGACCCATGTATATTATTCTATACTCATGAACACTATAACTAAACTAATATTGCATAGTATTTTTATAGAATGAAAATATAATAAGGAAAAAGCATAATAAGGTACTCTACTACACTGATTTAATAACCGTGTTCCTGACTGATTTAACTATTATGATGGCTAACGGAATATTTTAGAATCTTTATACTCAGCATCAGTTGTTACAATGTCCTAAATATTATATTCAACAGATGTCTTTCCTGGAAATTGTGAAAATTTATCTTACATCAAGTTTTAATTCTAAGAGTAGAATTGGATTTGTGAGATACTAGTAATTTGGGCTCTTTCTAACCCCAGCTGGGCAGATAAAACCAGGCTCAGCCTTATCTGAATTCAGATTTATTCTCTTGGTCAACATTTTGCTCTAGTCTTCTCTCTTTTAAATTTTTAATATTCTTTGGTGTCCTTATGCGTTCATCTTGTGATGTTTTACTGGCTTTCTCGTCTAATGTTATCTGGGCATTTTTGAATATATCATTTGTAGTTAGTTTTACTGTTTTCTACAGTGAAACATTAAAGTATGATGAGGTGTTGCAATGACAGTACATGTAAAATAATAAAGATGCCATTGCTACACTGTTGAGGATCTGAGCAGAGAAAGCCATGCCAAACTTTGTTAATTTGAAAAATTATGGTTTTCCCTATATTCTGACTAACAACTGAATGCATGATAGAAAAGCAATTACACTGAGTTTGGGTAAATAATTATATGGTAGTTGTTACAAGTTCAAAACTATGCAGATCTCTACAAATGCTCAAAGCCCTATTTAACTTTACCATTTCAGCATCAAAGGGCTCAAAAAAGTTCTTTTATAGACGTATTACTTCTTTGGGATGTTAATGTTCAAGAAAATACATTGGTTTATATATGAAAATAATAAAAAGAAATTGGTTTCCATTCTTTTGGATAAATACCTAAAAGTGGAATTGTTGGATCATAAGGAAGTTTGATTTTTAATTTTTAAAGGAATTTCCATACTGTTTTCCATAGTGGCTGCACCATTTTGCATTCTTATCAACAGTGCACGAGGGTTCCAATTTCACCACACCCTCGCCAGTATTTGTTGTCTTTTGTTTTTTGATAATAGCCATCTTGACAGGTGTGAGGTAGTAGCTTATAGTGGTTTTGATTTGCGTTTCCCTGATAATTAGTGATGCTGAACACTTTGGCCATTGTATGTCTTCTTTGGAGAAATGTCTGTTCTGATGTTTTGTCCATTTTTAATCAGGTTATTTGTCTTTTTGCTCTTGAGTTATAGGAGTTCCTTATATATTTTGGAAATTAACCCCTTATCAGTTATATAGTTTGCAAATATCTTCTCCCATTTCATGGGTTGCCTTTTCACTCTGCTGATTATTTTCTTTGCTGCAGAGAGGCTTTTTAGTATAATGTAGTCCCATTTGTCTATTTTTGCTTTGGTTGCCTGTGCTTTTGATATTCAAGAAATCATTGCCAAGATCCATGTCATGAAGCTTTTCCCCAAATGTTTTCTTCTAGAAGTTTTACAGTTTTAGGCCTTATGTTTAAATCTTTAATCCATTTTGCATTCATTTTTATGTATGGTTTAAGATAAGGGTCCAAATTCATTCTTTTGCATGTGAAAATCCAGTTTTCCCAGCACCATCTGTTGAACAGACTATCTTTTCCTAATTTGATACTCTTAGCACCCTTGTCAAAGACCAGTTGATCACACATGCATGGATTTTTTTCTGGGATCTCTATTCTGTTCCAGTGGTCTATATGCCTTTCTTTATGCCAGTACCATACTGTTTAAATTACGATAGCTTTGAAATATATTTCAAAATCAGGAAGCATGACGCCTCTAGCGTTGTTTTTCTTTCTCAAGACTGATTTGGCTGTTTCAGGTCTTTTGTGGTTCCACATGAATTTTTGGATTGTGTTTTCTATTTCTGTAAAAAATATAACATTGGAATTTTGATGGGAATTGCACTGAATCTACAGATCACTTTTGGTACAATGTACATTTTATTAATACTAAGTCTTGCAATTGATGAACATGGGAGGTCTTCTCATTTGTTTGTGTCTTTAATTTTTTCATCAGTTATTTTATAGTTGTCACTGTATAAGTCTTTAATCTTCTTAGTTAAGTTTATTTCTAGATATTGCATTCTTTTTGATGTTATTGAAAATGGCATTGTTTTCCTAATTTCCTTTTCAGATAGTTTGTTGTTTATCCAAAAGAATGGAAATCAGGAACTGGAAGAGATATCTGCACTTTCATGTTCATTGTAGCACTATTTATAGTAGTCAATCAAGATGTGGAAAAAAACCTAAATGTCTACAGACAACAAATGAATAAAGAAAATGTATATCAATACCGTAGAATATTATTCAACCTTAAACAAGAAAAAAATTCTGCAATGTGAGACAACATGGATAAACCTTGAGGACATTATGCAAAGTGAAATAAGCACAAAAGGACAAATATTGCATGCTTCCATTTATATGAGGTATCTACAGTAGGCAAACTCATTGAACAAAGAGTGGAATGGTGGTTACCAGGAGCTGAGGAAGTGAGAATGGGTGCTATTAAACAATGGACTTCACATTTCAATCAAGCAGGATGAGTAAGTTCCAGAGAGCTGCTGTACAACATTGTACCTATTGTTAATGATATCGTATTGTACAATTAAAATCTGTTAAGAGGGCAGATCTTGTGTTAATTGTTCTTGAAATAAAATTTAAAATAAATAAAACATGAAATCTTGTATTTTAAAATCTTTCAAATCAGTAAGAATTAAAGCATACGTTAATTTACAATTTACTGTTTCAAAACATATAGGATAATTACAAAAGTAAGAAATCAAACTCATGCACCTAAGGTAATTACGTCATTTATGTCATTCCACATTGAGAATAATGACCCAAAGTCTAACCAGCATCTTCCAATTAAGGCCTGGCATTTTCTGTAGCTTAGTGACTTTGGGTATCTTGCCTTTTGATTCCATAAATGTTAGTGGTAGTTTTTCTTATTTTGTTAAAGACAGCACTAAAGAATCCTGAATACTCGCTACCAATTAGCAACAGGTTCCTAACTGAAGCAAATGCCATGCTCAATGACCATATCTCACTAGAAAGGGCAGGGGATGGGCAGCTGCAGTGATGGCCGGAAAGGCTGTGCTGATCTCTGTGGGAAGCCCTTCTCCATCAGTGAAATGGACTCAGCTGCTGGCACAACTTAATTTAATCCAAATTTATAATACCTCAAAGTTGTTTTACATGCTACATGACAAGAGTATAAAGTAGACATATTGTCACTTTACAGTCAAACCGTTTACAAAATTAATTCACCCATATTTCATAAATAATGCACATCATTCATTCCAGATAAAGTCTGTCCTTGTTCAGCACGTGCTGGGCTTCTCGTCACTCCCAGGCCCTTCCATGGGCCTCCTACCCAGGACACTGCCTCTCTTAACCTTCTGCATAACTGACGGTCCTACAGCAGGCTGATGCAGGGCTCTCTATTCAGTTGTCTCTGGCAAATCCCATAGTTTATAATTTGAGGACTTTAACACTGCTTCACTCTCCAAAAAATGTTAGAGTATTTTACATTTAGATACTAAAATGTATATGATGTGCAAAAACATGCATCCTGTTAGTTGTGCTACTTTCATGAAGTAACATTGTCCAGTGGAACTAAGTACTATTGTGATGCTGTAGAAATAGTGATTTTATGAATTTTAACTAAGAAATCACAATTTAAATTGGATTAATTTGAATATATTTATATAATTGTTCATGTATTTATAATATATGTAATTTAACAGCTTATATCATATATCTATATTGATTACATTCATATTAATATATCAAATATGCTAACACCATTTCAAACTATATTTTGATTTGATTGGTATTTTACCTCTTTGCATATGTAAAAACATAAATATTTATTTATGATGTCAATAAAATAAATAATGTATCTACTGGCTAGAACTATAGTGGGATAGAAACAGTTGCATAGAAAGTGAAGAAGAAGAATAATAGAAGGTGTTTCAGAATGAATGACTTCAAGCATTGCTCTCAGAAAGAGCCTGTGCAGAGGTGGAGGTTGCAGTGAGCCAAGATTGCACCACTGCACTCCAGCCTGGGCAACAGAGTGAGACTCCGTCTCAAAAAAAAAAAAAAAAAGGAAAGAAAGAAAGAGAGAAAGAGGAGAAAGAAGGGAAAGAAGGGAATGAAGGGAAAGAAGAGAAAGAAAGGAAAGAAAGGAAAGAAAGAAAAGAAAGAAAAGAAAGAAAAGAAAGAAAAGAAAGAGCCTGTGCATATATCACACCTTCAGATGCATGTAAGCAACAGACTGACCTGCCTGCAATGTTCTCTGCAATATTTTTATCTCACTGCAGCTATCTTGTAAAATTAAGACATTCTACATTTAGCATTTTTTCAAAAGTACACAAAATATTATCAAAGAATACAAAATTATGTAGCTGTCTTTAAAACATAAGAATGTTTAAAATAGAATATGAATTCCTCAGGATTGATGTTTTTACTGTACATCAGCATAGGGTTTTTAAAAAATGAAAGTGTAACTTGATTACCACTGTAAATAAAAAAGTTTTTAAATGAGTGTCATTTAAATATTTATGAATTAATGAAATTAAGAAAATGATTTATACCATTTTACAAACTGAATTAAATAATCAGCAAATAATCCTGACTCAATCAACCACAAACTAAAGACTATTACAATATTCCCACTATTTCGAGATGACTAATGAAAAAAATTACAGCAAAAACACAAAACCAACACACTATAGTTCACAATGAGGTTTAAGGAAAAGGGAAAAACGTAAATGCTACATACATATTTTGCTCCTGAAATTCAGAGCCAGACAGCAAAGAAATGAATGTTAATTACAAAAGGAAACTCCTATCAATACAATACAGACTAAGTGATACAGTGAACAAAACAAGAACATGCTTACCAGAAAATAATGATACTTACTGGAGAAAACCACATCACTTTAAGAATCCAAATTGTAAGAGCTAAATTCACAACGAGGATGATGAGTAAAAGAAGAACAAACAAGTAGAGACAGCGCTTTCTCCAGCCATAAATGCCAATTTTGTAGACATACTGATTCTCTGGCCTCTCTATGCAGATGCCTTCTGTGGCTGTAGTGTACTGCTCACGCACCATCTGCCACGGAGTGTGTTCACGAGAGGAGAGAGAAAGAGACAGAGAGGGAATGAGGGAGGCAACTTGTTTAATACTGATTTACTATGAGCCTGAAAACATATTTTTCATCCCAGTCATAGATTTCCAAAATTAATGATTTTTAAAAAGATAATTAAATATTATTTTGAAACATGTCACTGTGTTTCAATCACAGGGAGATATTTAATCTGCCATTTAAAATATTTTATATATGATAAACGTTTGAAATCTAGTGACCATATTTTCAAATGTTAATAAATTCAGATGTTAATAAATTCTCTGTATCTATCTATCAGAATTCTTCAGGGTTAAACTTGGAATTGAAACATTAACCTAAAATAATCAAGTTACCGAGTTCTACAAAGGTTAATTGGGAGGAAAATCAAACTGGTATGTGTAAATTTAAAAAGGAATCCGCAGCCAGGCGCAGTGGCTCACGCCTGTAATTCCAGCACTTTGGGAGGCTGAGGTGGGCGGATCACGAGGTCAGGAGATCGAGACCATCCTGGCTAACATGGTGACACCCCGTCTCTACTAAAAATACAAAAAATTAGCCAGGCATGGTGGCAGGCGCCTGTAGTCCCAACTATTCAGGAGACTGAGGCAGGAGAATCGCTTGAACCCAGTAGATGGAGGTTGCAGTGAGCAGAGATCGCGCCACTGCACTCCAGTCTGGAAGACAGAGTGAGACTCCATCTCAAAAAAAAGAAAAAGAAAAAAAGAAAACTTAAAAAATTATTCATTTTTCCCTTTATACAAATAACAGAAGTACTTTTTAGCTATGAAGCTAAAATTGGAGATTATGACTTTCCTGATTGTAAATGTAGTAAAAAGATGAATCAGAATATAAATACTCTTCTCTGGGATTTTTTGTGCAAAAGTCACACATTTATTTTTAGGGGTGATTTGGAGTTGTCCTTATTAAAAATAAGTTATGGTCTAAAACAAATCTTTAAATCTCCTTCCAATTTAACAATAGGCGTTTTCACATATTCTGATTATCTACAATGAGGCTATTCATCACACAGTATTTTCAAATATCCAGGACTGACAGCCAACATTATTCAACCCCTAAATGTTTAATGATTTCGTAAGCACATTATTCATTGACTCATTTCTTTGAACTCCTCCAGTCTTCCTTATATTAGAGCCAGTGGCTCGAACCAAACTACCAGATGTATTCCTGATGGTTCTCTCTTCCCTCAAGCCCCATATCAGCAAGTCCTATCAATTCTACCTTCCATATATATCTGAAATCTGTCTACATCTCTACATTTCCATTGCTACCACACTAGTTTAGGTTACTCTGAATGCTCGTAACTACACTGCTGAAAAGTCCACTTTCATTCTTTCCCTTCTTGAAAACCATTCCCCACCCAGCAGTCAATGTGTAAAATGTCAGTAAGCTCCTGTCACTCTATTTTTCCAAACCTTCTGATGGCTTTTCGCCACAGTGACAATGTCCAAACGCCTCTATCACCCACAAGACCCTATATGAGCCGGACTTCGCTGATGTCTTTGGCTTCATCTACTACCACTGTGTCCTTTGCTCACAAGACTGAAGCAAAGAGTAGATACTCTTCAACAGACCAGGCTAATTCTCACCCCAGGACCTTTGTCCTGGACTTGGTCTGCCCCTGCTGGTCCTGCTCATCTTTCAGTAGCAGCACACATGCCATCTCCTCAAAGCAGCCTCCCTCTCTGGACACGCAGTCACTCTCAACCTCTTCCCTCTATTATATTGATTCCAAAGTGCTTATCATTTGAAATAATGGCTCCAGAATTCCTATAAAGGACAGACTAGGAGAGTGCAATTGGATGGGGAAGGGTGGCCAGGGAGTCTGAACCAAAAGCAAGCACAGACTTACAATATTGCTACAGGTGAATACAACTAGCAAAGTTTTCTAAGAACACATGTGAGTATATTTCTATTTCTACATATTCCCAGTCCTATATATATAGTTTCCTATTGTTGCTGTAGCAAATTATCAGAAACCTAGTGGCTTAACACAATTTTATCTTATAGTTGTGGAGGTCAAAAAATAGGTCTTAATGAAAGCGTGGGCAAGGCTGTGTTTTTCTGGAGGGTGGAGGGGAGACGTTGCTTGCCTTTTCCAGCTTCTAGAAGCTGCCCACGTTCCTTGCTCGAGCCTCTGCTTCCATCATCACACACCCTCCTCTGGCTCCGATGCCTCTGTCTGCCCCTCACAGGGACCCCCGTGATAACACTGGGCTTGCCCGGATTACCCAGGATGGTCTTTCCCTTTCGAGAGCCTGGGCATAACCACACCTGCAGAGCCTCCTCTTCCACGTAAGGTGACCTCTTCACAGGTTCCAGGGGTTATTAGAACACGAATGTCTGTGGGGGCCATTATTCTGTCTACTAGATAATGCTTTTGTTCACCCTTACATAACACTGAGAAAACTTCAGTATCCATTTAAGACAATTTTATCGTGGTTTGCTGGAGAGCTGACAGCAATCCTGTTATGAGGCCAGCTCTTAGGTCCCCTAATCAGCACCTCTGCCATCGTCTTTCACCTGGGTCACTGCAACAGCCACCTGACTATCCCCCTGCCTGTGGCTCTAAATCTCCTACAGTCCATTTCTAACATCGAGGCTGGAGTGGTCCTTTCAAAACATGCATCGGCTCATGCCCCACCTCTGCAACAAACCTTCCCGTGGCTTCCCATTTCACTCAGAGTAAAAACCAAACTTCTCACCCCGACGGACATGGTTCTCTGCCTTCATCCAGTCCCTCTCGCCCTGACTCCTCCTGCTCCAGGAACAGTGGTCTTACTCGGCCAGGAGTCCCCCAAGTGTGACCCCACCTCAGGGACTCCACAGTTATAATTCCCACTACCTGGAAGGTCTCCCGATGCCTGCATGGCTCCCCTCAACTCTCTGTGCAAAGATCGCTTATCAACGATCTTCCTGATCATTCCTATTTCAGTAACAGGCCCCACCAACACCACCACAGAGCTCCCCATGCTCCTCTGACATTTTTTCTTCTGTAGCACTTAACTCCCCAGGCATACTACATATTTTACCTACATATTTTATTGTAAATGCTCACCCTCCACCTATAAGCCCTGAGAGGGTGAGGTTTTCAACTATTTTGTTATTTTGTTTTACCCTCGGCCCCTAGAGCAGCAGCCAGCATGTAGTATGTGCTTAATAAACATTTGCTGAATTAACTACATACAAATGTTGAAAGGAAAAATTCCCAGTTTTTTTGTTTGTTTGTTTGTTTTTTGAAACAGATTCTTGCTCTGTTGCCAGGCTGGACTGCAGTGGCGTGATCTCAGCTCACTGCAACCTCCGCCTCCAGGGTTTCAAGTGAGTCTCCTGCCTCGGTCTCCCAAGCAGCTGGGATTACAGGCACATGCCACCACGCCCAGCTAATTTTTGTATTTTTAGTAGAGACGGGGTTTCACCATGTTGGCCAGGCTGGTCTTGAACTCCTGACCTCAGGTAATCCACTCGCTTCGGCCTCCCAAAGTGCTGGGATTACAGGCATGCACCACCACGCCCGGCCAACCCAGACATTTTTTATTTAAGCGTACAACAAGCAATAAAATAGGTTGAGTGTTACTTCAGAATTTCCTCAACTTTTTATAATGAGTTAATTTGAAGCCTGTGCATAAACAGAGTACGTTTAGTGTGATTAGTTGTTTAGGACTCAGAAGAAGACTCAGCAAGATCTCCTTCAGTCTGGTGAGGCTTGCCCAAAAATGGGGAGCCTGGGGAATGTGCTGTCTTTGGCTCTTGAGTCCCCCCACATCTGCCCACCTGCCCTGCTGACAGCTTGAGTAAGAAGCTGGACCCCACATCCCTGGAAGAAAATACTGACCACACACTGCTTTTCGGAAGCTGGTGACCTGCTTTCTAGTCCTCCCATATTTGAGCTGTATTTACCAATCTTTGTTTTTTTTAAGTTTGCCAGCTGTAATTCTTTTTATATCGTTTTATGACAGCCTTCTTTAATGTTTTGAAAGTGCCATCTACCAGTGTTCACTGCATTGCATAAAAAAGTCCTTTTACTCTAGATAAGCATGAGTTAAATCACTAGGTGAAACACTCAATTTAAATATTTCTCTAAAAAGTTGATTTGTTTATATTTCTCACAACTCACAAGTGGCTTTCATTTTTATTAGACACTATATTAAATTTTTGCCAGGAGAGACTTTCAGAGGCTATCTGGTTTAACCAGCTTCCTTTAGGTATTTACTCAAATTAGGCTTGAGAAGAATATCAATGCTTCAGCACTTGGAGGTCAGGCAACTGCATTAGTGGTATTCATGTCAGCAAGAAATTGCATTGGAATAACACACAGCACTTTGTGGTCTTCTTATAAACCCTTTACAAAACATAATTAGTGAAATAAGTATATTAGAACTTAAAATCTATATTCCAAGATAAATAATTCTAATTTTTAATGTATCATGAACAAAATTTATTTTCATAGACTTGTTCATTAAAACAAATTTTGTCATTAAAAATTACATTATTTCTCCTGCTAACCATCCTTCAAAGTATGTTGGTGCTATATTTAATTTTTTTTTTTTTTTGAGACGGAGTCTCACTGTGTTGCCCAGGCTGAAGTGCAGTGGCACGATCTCGGCTCACTGCAACCTCTGCTTTCCAGGTCCCCGTCATTCTCCTGCCTCAGCCTCCTGAGTAGCTGGGACTACAGGCACCCGCCACCACGCCCCGCTAATTTTTTGTATTTTTAGTAGAGACGGGGTTTCACCATGTTAGCCAGGATGGTCTCGATCTCCTGACCTCGTGATCCGCCTGCCTCGGCCTCCCAAATTTTTTTTTTTTTTTTTTGAGATGGAGTCTCGCTTTGTTGCCCAGGCTGGAGTGCAGTGGCACAATCACGACTCACTACAACCTCCACCTCCCGGGTTCAAGCGATTCTCCTGCCTCAGCCTCCTGAGTAGCTGGGATTACAGGTGTGCGCCACCACATCCAGCTAATTTTTTATATTTTTAATAGAGACTGGGTTTCACCATGTTAGCCAGGATGCTCTTGATCTCCTGATCTCGTGATCTGCCTACCTCAGCCTCCCAAAGTGCTGGGATTATAGGTATGAGCCACCGCGCCCGGCCATGCTATATTTAATTTTGATTGCTTTTCAATGCATCTCTCAGGTATAGTTTTCAATCCTTTAATGGATAGGGCTCCAGATGTGAAGCACTATACTTGTTTTGGTGTAAATATCTGCTTTCATATGCTTCTGAATTCATGATCCCCAGTTTGTTATTTAAAACAAAATGACCTTAAGGACAGATAATCTGTCTTCTACATTATGTGATTATTGTCATAGCATATAATATAGTGAATCGAACATAGTGTCTTCATGATATTCTTCATTTCAACCAACATTTATTGTCATGCCTAGTTTGGGTAGGCCATTATCAAGAGTCTGAGACACAAAGATGATAAATGCAAGGATAATGCCCAAAATGAGTTAATATCATATGATTTTTGAAAAGGTGAGTTTGAGAAAGAACAAAACAGACCTTTTAGAAATGACATTTAATTCTATCTAAGAACTCAAAGAATGAGTTATAATAGTTCGAAGTTATCTGTCTGATACTGACTTTGGTATGCCACTTTTGGTTTCAATGTTTTTCTGGTACAAATTTCCACCACTTTGCTTTCAACAGTTCATTCAACACGTATCTACAAAGCTTTTTTCAGTGTTACGTCTTTTTTTTTCCATTGGGACTTTTAAAAGTTTCTTTACTTTTAGTGTTTTCCAGATTCAGAATGATTTCATTTCATAAATTTGAATTAATTTATTCTGTTCATGAGTCAGTGTCTGTTTTCAATTGAACTTGTCTTCAGTTATAGAAAACTCTTGGCAATTGCTTATTTAACCATTGTCTTTCCTATATTTTCTCCGGTTACTTCCACTGGGGCTTCAATTAAGATATATTTAGACCTCCTCATTCACCAGTCATGTTTTTTAAACTTAGCTTTATATTTCCACAGATTTATCACTCTGTGGTGTTTTCTAAGATCTACCTTCCAATATACTAATTCTCTTTGCAGCTGTATGCAATCTGTCAGATAAGAGAGTAAGCCATCTTTCTAATCTTCATGGGAGATTCACCTGAGTGTTAGCGATGGCATTCTACCTGCCTTGGGTAAGGTCCTTTCCGTTCACAGGGCTTGCTGACTGAGGGCTTAGCAAACCTCTTATAGCACTTATGATGTCAATCTGAAAACTCCTGAAAAATTACTTTCCACAGTTTCAAAAACTGTCTTTCATAAGCCATGTCACCTAGCTCTAATATCCAGATAGATAATTTCTTACTAGGTAACAAGCACCATCATGGTGCATCGTCCCTCCAAATGACAAGGTAACCCACGTGAGAAGTCAATTACAACGATGTGACTAGGTGACCGTGACCAGTATCAGTTATGTGCACATAATAGGCAATCAGTAAGTGCTTGTTGAACACACGAATGCATAAGGAGTGGGACTTACCCTACAGGTTGTGATGATACAGCTTTGTGCTACAGTAACAAAAAAAAATGAGCTAGTGACAGATAATTCACAAGTAAAAGAAAATGGAGAGTCTAGAAACAAGCCCATACACACAGATCATAATAAGGCAATGAAAAGTGAGAACTAAGAGGCATCCAGTCTATACAAGTTGCTCTTCCAGGAGGTGAGCTGGCAGGGAAGGAGCAAGCTAGTGGGATGGTTAAATTCAGGCTGCCTATGTTATGCTAGTATTGGGAATGACTGCATGGGTTTTACTTCTATTTTCCTTTAAACTTCCAAGAAACATCTCATCTCACGTTAATTAGTGGCAGTAATTCTCAGTGTGTTTTCTGCCTTACTGTTTGCATCATAACTTACATCATTCTGAAAGAGCTCCAACATTTCAGAAAGGAGGAGTGGAGAGGTGCCTGCCCTAGGAGATGTGTGGCACAAAGAACACCATGGCAGATAAATTGGGAGAAGTATTTGCCTTAAAGATAGGACAAGGTTAATATCCTTAAAATATAAATAATCTCAACCAAGCAAAAACAGAAAAAAATCCAATAAAACTCAAGCAATGAATACACGTATACATCAAAGAAATACACGTGACGAATAAACATACCAAAAATGTTCAGCTTCACCCTGAATTAAAGAAATGCCAATAAACACCATCACTGCAGCAGTTTTCAAAGATTAAGGGAAATTTAAAAACTGATAATAGATAATATTGGCCAGGTGTTTGAAAAAGAGACATGCTGCTCCTCTGATGAAGAAAGTGAAAGTTAACAATAACCCCCCCAAAAGATATTGGGCACTAAGTATTAAGAACATCAAACAAACAATAGTAATTCCAATTCTAGTAACTTACCCAAAGGAAACAACTAGAAACAAAAACTAGAATTTGTGCCTAAAGATCTTTAATTTACCATTATCTGTACTGGGGCAAAACTGGACATTAAATGAAGAAGGATTAAAATTAGAGTAATTAATCCATCAAATTACTATAGTATTACAAAATTAGTATTTTGGGTATGTGAAATATGTTTGAAAAACATATAACAACCTAGGGAAATTCTAGTGATATAATGTTAAATGAAAACTTAGAATATATACATATTAAAATATATACTCATAGGAAAAATACTGTAAGGAAACTAAAAAATTATTAATAATTTCCTCCTATAATCCACCTTTTTTCATTTAAAATAGTATTTCCCAAATTTCTTTTGTATTTTTTCAATTTATAGAATTGATATATATATTTCTTTTGTAACAGTAAATTTAATAAATTTACCATACTCATCCCAACTTCATTACTGTATTTAGGATGACCAAATAATTTCAAGAATAGTTCTCCTTTATCTTTTAGTCAAATTGCTCAGCACAGCACACTAAATATAGCAAAATAGATGGATCATAATTATCAATTTCATCCAAAGTTATAATCAGCATAATTCTCGAATAATAATACCCTTATTATACACACACACACACATCTAGATTAAAAGATCATCAAATCATTCTCTCTTCTTTACAATAGGACTGACTTTTAAAATAAAATGGCAAACTCTGCCATTTTAAAAAGTTCCCTACAAAATACACCAAACCAACAGAATAAATGCCCTTTAAGTATCTAACAGACCTGAAAAGAGAAAAAAACAAAACAAACAAACAAACAAAAACCTTTATTTAAACGAGCAAGTGACTAAAAGGGAAAAAAAAAATAAAAACAAGCTCAAACCCACAGGCCTACAAATGTTAGCTTATAAAACTGGTCTTGTTTTGATTTTTACTTCAGCTACAGGCTCATTTTAAAACACAGTTTTATATTTACACGGGTAGGCAATTCAGACAAACTCTTCTCATTGCTCTGTCCTGGTTTTTATTAGATGCTCTCAGAAATCAGAAATCTAAAGCTTTTATGGTGTCATTAGGTTAGTACTTGACTAAAGAATAATACCAACATCCAGAAACATTAACAAGTTAGCAAAAACAAGACACAGAATGGCAATAGAGCAAGACCAGCATTTATGGATACCTAGCCTCTTAACCAAGACCGGTTGTTATTTGGTACCAAATTTCCTCTAGCTCTTGGCATGATTTATACCTACCCTCAATCTCTGACTTAGTGCTCACATAGCTAATTGTTAAGTTAGTAGTTGGCTGCAATGAAAGCTGAGTTAATGTTAACAAAGAACTATATGGAGGAACTGTTGGAAGCTCAGCTGCAACCCTGTGTCTACTTCAGTATCCTATTACAGTGGGCACCTACTGTTTTCTTCTGTGTCCTATTACAGTCGATGTCTACTTTTTTCTTCTGTATACTGTTATAGTGGGCACCTACTGTTTTCTTGTCTGTCCCTAGAACACTCCTCAGCTCCCCACGGTTGTGGTCCAGCTATCGGTCATGTGGACACATGTCCAGTAACACAGGTGTGTATGTGGTACATGCTGACCAATCAGGGTATGTCATCAATCCAGACATGGTGAATACCATTAGGAAGTCATGGGACACAAGCAAGCCAGTGTCAGTTGTCCCAGAATTAATATGAATGCTCCAAGAGAGAAGCTGGCCTCTGCTATCAGAAGTTAATGGACCTAACACTGCACTGCCAACATTCATCCCTCCGCCACTTGGAGAGAGCTTGCCAGAGAAGAAATCAGGAAGAATGAAAGAAGAGGGAGAGAGTGTGAGAGTAGGGGTGAAATCCTAACAACATCATTTGAGATCCTAAATTCAGCACTGTCTAATTTATTTTATAAATTAGTAAGTTTCATCTTCACTTGAACTTCTTCGACTTGGGTTTCCGTCACTTGCACCCGAAACAGTCCTGGATAATACACATAGCAAGAGGCATAAAGGCAGGATGGCTTATGATGGTAAACCATGGAGTAAGAACACCTTCTACCAACATGGTAAGGAATGCTTGCAACTATTTTTGACCTATTTTCCTTCTGCACCAAACAGGTCCTTCTAAAGAACAGGCAAATCTTTAGATAGAAGGATGTATTTCCAGAAGTTATTTTGCCATATTTAGCTTTGGCTAATATCAATCAGAGGGATCACATAACCTCCTTGCTTCCAAATCCAATATTCACTTTCCTATTTTATTTCCCTCACTTTTTAAAATTTATTTCACTCTTCATTTTATTTGAAATGGTTGGCTATTTCCTCCTTGAAAACACTTTTTTCTTGTTTTCTTAAAATCAGTATTCTCCTAATTTTACCCTCTACCTTTCTAGACTTTAATTCTCAGGCCCTTTCATAATCTTCTCTTTTTCTCTGGCCTCTAAATGGTGGATTTTGCCTGAACTGTTCTGGGACCATCTCTTCTCTTCCTTCAATTTTTCAAGGTGATCCTATTCATTATCATGTCTTTAAATACTATTTACAGGCTGATGGTTCCCAAATTTATATTTCTACCTAAAATATCTCTGAACTCTCTACTCTAATCTGATAATTGCCTGTTTGACATCTCCACTTGGTATTTCGAACTGCACTTGTTAAAAAGTAACGTAATTTTCAATAACTTTCTCCTCACCTCCTGAATTTCCCCCCTTCTCTTCTCTATTCCCATCTCAGTCCATGGCATCGGCCATTCCCAGTTGATCATCTCAGAAGCATGAGTGCCATCACAATCTCTCTGCCACCTCACGTCTACTTCATCAGCAAGCCCTGCCTGCCACATCCTGAGGACAGCTGTGCTCATCCTGGCTTCCCCATCTGCACTGCCCCTGCTCCACTCCAACACTGACGGTGCAGCCTCTTCAGGGTCTCCTCCACCCACTCTGCCTCTCTTAATCCAATCTCCACATGGCACCCAACAAGAGGACCATTGCTGCCCTGTTTAAAGTCACTCGTGGCTTCCCACTGCATGTCAGATGAAGCTTCACTCCATCTGGTCCAGCCAGCCTCTCCAGCTCCATCTCACCTCACTGTGCCCTTCCCAACAGCACCAGCCTTTCCATCCCTCAAATGGAATAAACTTTCTCCTATCTTATAGTCTTTGGACACGTTGTTCCCACTGCCGGGAAAACCGGTCCATACCACGTGGCCACCACTCTGTCCTCCTGACCTCAGCCTTCCATAAACACCTGCTCTTGTCCCTTTTATCCTGTACAATCTGCAACTGTGTCCTGTTCATTTCCTCCAAAGTTCCTTTTAGGACATAATGATGCATTTATTTGTTTACTTTTTATTGCCTGGTCCTCATTAGACTCACCTCCAGGAAGACAGGAAGGGTGTCTGTTTGCTTATTATATAACTGGCACCTAAAGTAGGGTCTGGCACATAGTAACAGCTCAGTTATACGTATTTGTTAAAGGAAGGCAGAATAAAGTATATCCTCATCCACAATGTATTGGTCAAATAGATTTCCATGTTTAGGATATAGCATTACAATTAAAGACCTAAATTATTCTATCTTTACTCATACTTCATACATCTCTCATAACTGTTCTTTAATAAAGACCCTACCAGCCGGGCGCCATGGCTCACGCCTGTAATCCCAGCACTCTGGGAGGCTGAGGCAGGTGGATCACCTGAGGTCAGGAGTTTGAGACCAGCCTGGCCAACATGGTGAAACCCCGTCTCTACTAAAAATACAAAAAAATTAGCTGGGCGTGGTGGCAGGCGCCTGTAATCCCGGCTACTCGGGAGGCTGAGGCAGGGGAATCATTTAAACTCCAGAGGTGGAGGTTGCAGTGAGCCGAGATCGCACCATTGCACTCCAGCCTGAGCAACAAGAGTGAGACTCTGAGACTCCGTCTCAAAAATAAAATAAAATAAAACAAAACAAAATAAATAAAATAAAATAAATAAAGATCCTACCAACTTCAACAGAAACTCCATGAACAGCTGGGAAAAGAATCGAATGAAGGAGAAAATGATAGAGTTACATATTATTACTTCCAGACCCTTTAACTTCTGTAATAGTATGATTGATGCATATGCCATGATTCATAGGCTGAAACTTCCTTCATTTTTTTTTTTTTTTTTGGGACGCAGTCTCACTCTGTCGCCCAGGCTGGAGTGCAATGGCGCGATCTCGGCTCACTGCAAACTCCGCTTCCCGGGTTCACGTCATTCTGCAGCCTCAGCCTCCCGAGTAGCTGGGACTACAGGAGCCCGCCACCACGCCCGGCTTATTTTTTGTATTTTCAGTAGAGACGGGGTTTCGCCGTGTTAGCCAGGATGGTCTCGATCTCCTGACCTCGTGATCCGCCCACCTAAGTGCTGGGATTACAGGCGTGAGCCACCGCGCCCGGCCGACACTTCCCTCTTTTTACATCTCAGTGTCCGAGTACGCTACTCTGTTTCCTAGCATATATGTTAATCCGTAAGCACTGTCTTTGAATAGTGTATTTTAGGGCTTGACGTCATATAAAATTCTACCTTCATATGATGAATGTGTTGGATCGGGAAGGAAGATTAGTATCTGAAAAGCATTATTCCTACTTTTGCTTTTCAAATCTACTAGCTGAGGCCACTTCCCTTTTGCTATCCTATAAACCAGACTGAATGTCAAAGACAAACCTTATTTAGCTCTACAAGGATAATTTTATGATGATCAACTCTGCCAAGTGATCAACTCAAATGGCGGGCTTCTCCTCACAGCTGGGGACTGCTGGCCAGCACAGGTCTAGGATGCATCCCAACATTTGGTGGAATACATTTGTAATGCTCTACAGCAGGGCTCTGTGGTTTTGACATCTGGTCTTGGGCCAAGCAGTGGTCCATGGAGTCATGTTTCTTTCTGACCCCTGCACCCGATACCTTGACAACTGAAGTTCTCCTTGCTGTCTCTCCTCTTCCTTTCCTTCTTCAGACTGGCATTCCCTCCTTCAACTCTACTCCAGTCTGAGGTCTTACTAAAGCTCTCGGGAAGATGGTGTAGAAGATTTATTCATAGTTTCTGAAAATAAGACTTCCAAACAAAGTGGCAGATTAAAGGCATGCTATTATTTTGGCTCATAAAATATAACTGGAATTACTATGGCTGATCTCTGCTTTTAAAATATACAAATTGATTTCGATGTCAAATGAAGAAGATGATTTATGTCTTGATTTAATATGTAACTTTTTAGTAGACTATATATATAGATGTATTTTTTAAAGTTTCTGTTGTTGATTTTGTGTTCTGTTATCCAGAAAATATTTGCAAATTACTCAGAAAGTACCTGCAAACATGTGGCATGTTTGATTGCACAGTATTTTCTGAAGGTTATTATCAACAGAAAAGTTTCACCAAATATAGTTTTCAATTATTCAAAAAACTCTTTAACACACGAGGATTTTACAGGGCCATTTATTAGCATTTTCCTAATATCGTCAGTGATATAATAGTTCTCTTCAAAGTCCTGTGATGCTGTGAATGAGGCTTGCAATTGTGAATCTGACTTCTTAAGGTTTATCTGACTCCTGTACCTGCTGGCTGTCTTCCTCACAACAGGTGGATTGTAAATATAGTGGGTCAATTACAAGAATTTAATGTCATGAGAATTATAAGTTTCATAAAGGTTATCATGCCTCACTTACTATAATTATTTCAAACAAAGCCATTTTATTACGGCCGGACATATAACTTTCATAACCAATCCAGTTAACTTTGTAATTGTGATGCACCCCCAATATATGCAGGTAGCATATGTGTCTGGAGGCCTATGTTTTCTTAAAATTTATCCCCAAAGCTCCAAATGGAAAATACAATGCTCCCAGAATAATGTTTAGCATAGAGAAGTCATTATGCTTGCTATTACTGCATAGCATGTATAAAATTTATGGTTTTGGAATCCAGGCAATCTTAATATTTCAAAGATGATATATTTACAGAATATGATGATACTACATCCATCTTGACAAAGTTCTGGAGATTACTACTACAGACGTTACTCATATCAAGTCAGAAGAACTCTATAATGCCATATATTATTAATATTATCAATCAATCAAGACTCTCAAATACCAATTTACTAAAATTATTATATAATTGATCTATAATGTTCATGTACTTTCCACATATACTCATACAAAAATATTTTAAATAGAGCCATTATACTAAAATTATTTTCAGTATTGATTCCCCTCATTATTAAACACTTAAACGTTTATTTTATATTTTTATTCTTTTAAAATAGTTTGATAGCAGAATATTTAATCACACTATCAATGACCTCTAAGTTGTCTATGTTGAGACTAAAGGGGTAATTATTTAGTTGTCCTTTGACACAACCCTTTGAGCATAACCACTATTTAAGGTAGACTTTGTGCAGCTCTGAGCCTGAAGGAGCGGGCAGGGGGGTGAAGGAGTAGGGTAGGGGAGTTCAGTTCTGCTGATAGCTTTAACCTATTTCTCTAATTCTGAAACCAAGAAAATTACTCTTAAGTTCAAGTCTTTCTCTCTTGTCTCTTATCTTATTCAACATCCTCCCAAATTGCATCTATCTTCTCATACTATTTGCCCCACCTCCATGAAAGCAAGGTGATAGTTTTCTCTGTTAAGCCCTTTTTGAGGCCAGTCCCCATGTCCAGAAATCCTACCAATATCTGTTGACTGAATGCATGAATATAATGTAACAATGAAATCTCTACCTCAACTATTTTTAATTGTTATTCTACAGGACTACATGTTGGTCATATCTACAGAAATAACACAAGTAGGGAAAGAAAATTATTTTCCAAAAAAATTTCAGGAAAAAGGCCAGGCGCAGTGGCTCACGCCTGTAATTCCAGCACTTTGGAGGCCAAGGCAGGTGGATTCCCTGAGCTCAGGAGTTCGACACCAGCCTGGGCAACACAGTGAAGCCCCATCTCTACTAAAAATACAAAAAATAGCCAGGCGTGGTGGCATGCACCTATAGTCCCAGCTACTCAGGAGGCTGAGGCCAGAAAATTGTTTGAACCCAGGAGGCGGAGGTTGCAGTGAGCTGAGATCGCGCCACTGCACTCCAGCCTGGACGACAGAGGGTTTGGAACCACCAAACGGTCATTTCCCTGGTCAACAAATATGTAAGTGGAAAGGGAATATTTGATAGCTGGCAGAACTGCCACATGGGGAGTTCCTGTCCCTGTGTAGTGAGAGGACGGGGGATGACCGCCCGTCATCTCTCCACATCCTAGGAAGAATGGCAGAGATTAGTGCCTCTCTTGAAGAACAAAAGGTTAGTGGTCTCCACCATATTCCCATTTAATTCACCAATCTGGCCTCTAGAAAACCAGAGGTATCGTAAAGAATGAAAGTGATCTGCCTCAAAGCCAGCTGCACAGCTGCTGTGCCGGGGGAGGCATCCTTGCTCCTGTAGATTGGCGTGGCACCAGGCATGTGTGCCATTGAACTGGCACAGGCATCTTCCTCCCATTTATCTCACATAGAGGAACTGCAGAGCTTCATAGGCCCATGAGCTAGGCTGCAGTATTTACTTGCCACATTCCTATCCTCAGAAGGGATCTAGGCCATTTTGGACATTCTCAGAACAGCATTTGTCCACTAACTTCATGATACCATGTGGACCGGACTAGATGAGTGAATGCGACAAATATGTTAAAAGCCTTCTTAGGCTGGGCATGGTGGCTCACACCTATAATCCCAGCATTTTGGGAGGCAGAGGCAGGCGGATTGCTTGAGGTCAGGAATTCATGACCAGCCTGACCAACATGGTGAATACCTGTCCCAAAAAAAAAAAAAAAAAAAAAATTAGGCAGGCGCCTGTAATCCCAACTACTCCAGAGACTGAGGCAGGAGAATAGCTTGAACCTGGGAGGTGGAGATTGCAGTGAGCCGAGATCGCTCCATTGCACTCCAGACTGGGTGACAGAGCAAGACTCTTATCTCAAAAAAAAAAAAAAAAAAAAAAAAAAAAAAAGCCTTAGTAAAAGATGTGTTCAGACGGTGAGAGAGAAATCCTACCAAGATCTGAACCTGCCAACTTAGTGGTTTTTAGGATCTAGTGTTCTAGGGCATGCAGGGAAATCCCCTGCAAAGTAAAGAATTAATTATTGTATCTTGCACTTACCACCACTGTAAAGGAAAAATGATGCCTCCTAGACCACTTCAGGTTCTGGCCTTGGAAAAATTAACCCATTTACAGAATGACAGCTTTAGTGTGGCCAGAACAGGGCTCTGCATCAGGGCTGCACATACTGCAGGCTGGACCTGCTGGTGCCCCTGTGGGGTTAGATGCATCCTTGATGGAAAGAAGGTAATGTGGCATTTATGGCAAGCTGCAGTGGAAGAATCACAGCATAGGCCTCCAGGAGTTTGGAATCAGGCCATGCCATCTGCAGCAGAGAAATATATGCCATTTGTAAAACACTTCTCCGAGTGCTACTGGGTGTTGGTGGAAGACAGAGCACCTGGTCATGGGACAGCATAATCCCATGCACAGAATTTCACATCATGACCTGAGCTCTGTGAGATGCACCAAGGCCTCAGGTCAGGAGCCAGCAGCAATCACTGTTAAGTCAGAAGTGGGGCACCAGGGATGAGGCAGGCAGAGGGAACATGTGCGAGGGACCCAGAGTCCCGGTCACCCACCACTAATGCACCTCTCCTGGCCACACAGGGGTGACCCTTATGGCCAGCCTTCCAGGGAGGAAACGGGCCACATTTGGTAGGCCTCTGTGGGTGCAATCCACAGAAGGCCGGCTGCCACACTGCAATGGGTGGCCCTGAAAGATTGTGGTGAGAGAAAACCTCCTCGCTGACAAAGCTACAGGCAGCGCACCTGTGTATCCACTTCCTGTGGAAACAGAAATCACCTGAGGCTGAGGTTAGACTATACATGGTCTCATGGATGGTGGTGAATGGCTTGGGTGGAAGGGGAGAGTTTGGAATAGGGAGGACAGAGAAGTCTGAGGAAGAGGCTTGTGGATGGACCTATTGGGCATCAAGGAGGAAGATCTTTTACCACGTTAACAGCCTCCAAGCCGTCCACTGTAGAAGGGGCACCATAGCGAGAGTGGCTCACCCAGTTGACACAGCTGGCCCATCACCATCCACTCCAGGGCTCCCACAATGGGGTCATATACAGAGCAGCCCAGAATGGTGGCAGGGAGGGAGGCCATGCATGGGCCCAGTAGCTAGGCCTCCTCTTGGCAAGGCTGATCCAGCCACTGCCCCTGCTGAATGTCTAAACTGTCCACAGCAGACACTGATGCTGAACCTGGATACAGCAGCATCCCTCAATAAGACCAAGCAGCCACTCGGTGGCCAGGGGGTTACATCATCTTGAGGGGAACTAACAGGTAGGCTGGGGTGGATTTTTCTTTTCTACCTGCAGGGCCTTGGCCAGCATCACTATCCAAGAACTTACAGAATGTGTGATCCACTGATGTGGAATCCCATAGGAGATGCCAACAAGCCAAATGACCCACCTTATGGCAAAGGCAGAGGGGCGCTAGGTACATGAGCCCGGGATCCCCTGTTCTTGCCACTTTCTGTATTTCCCAGCAGCTGCTGGCCTGACAGGGTGATAGAACAATCTTTTAAAGCTGCCGTTGAGGCCCCCGATCCCCTGTGAGGATGGGGGATACTTCAGAATGCAGTTCTGTACATCCAAAATCAATGACCATTATGGCGCTCCATCCCCAGTGGATAGGATATATCCCTCTGGAAACCAATGGTGAGCGTAGAAGTGGTCATGTTTGCCAGCTGGGAAGTATGTGCCTCCCATCCCCATTACCATGGGCTCTGTGGATCTGGAAGTCTGCTCCCAGCAGGGAGTGCTTCTACCAGAGGACACAATGTGAGTCCCAGTCATCTTCAAGCTGCTGCAATCGCTTCACCTCCTCAGGCTGGATACCACTGGTGAGGACACGATGCACCATTCTGACAAGAATTGTCTGGGAAGAATATGTTTGTCACCCAGGCGGACCAGCAAGGCATTTGCTGGTATTCCTCTGGCCATTTTGAGAGCAAATGCTCAGCCATGTGTGAACCACAAGTGCATTGGGACTGGTTAGGGGTTGGTGACCAAGGCTAAGACCCTTCAGAGTTGAATGTCAGGGTCACCCCAAGGCTACTCAGACCAGCCAGGGTGTTAGATGAGAATGAAGCAAATGCTGAATGGGTAGGTGAAGGCGGTGGGAGGGAAAAAGGATGGGTAAGTATCAGCTGTAGTCATGAGACCATCTGCATAAGGGGAGGCTCTAGTTCCTGCCATTAATATTCCCTCAGTGTTCCCCCAGGAAAAGAGATCAATCAAACCCTTGGAGGAGCTGTTCCCAAATTAGGTAAACAAAGCAAGAGGATCTGAGTGATGCGAGGGGTGGACTCGTGCTATGTCACGCCCATCACCCTTCAGAACCAAGACACTCCTTCCTTCAGTTGTGGAAGTGATGGCTGATGACGAGAATGACTTCAGAATGCACTAAGCTGCCTCGCCCATGGCTGTGTTTCCCCATGAGAGGCACACTCCAACGTTTTATCAGTGCACTGGGTGAAAGCCCGGCCCCTCTCTGGATTTGGGAACAGCCCTGCAGGCCTCCAGCTCTGTGGCAGCTACAGTACTATTTGACATCTCCTTCTGCCCACTTTGCCGCCTTTGCTGTCCTACAGGGATTTTTTTTCTTTTTTTCAAGATGGGTTCCAATACATGGCACGCATATCTCCAGCTTGGAGTCTGTTTCCCAGGGAACCTGTCGAAGCAATTGCTGTTGGAAAAATTGGAATTTAAAAGTGATCGGGGACCGGATGCAGTGGCTCACGCCTGTAATCCCAGCACTTTAGGAGGCCAAGGCGAGCAGATCACGAGGTCAGGAGATCGAGACCATTCTGGCCAACATGACGAAACCCTGTCTCTACTAAAAATACAAAAATAAGCCAGGCATGGTGGCAGGTGCCTGTAGTCTCAGCTACTCTGGAGACTGAGGCAGGAGAACTGCTTGAACCCAGAAGGCGGAGGGTGTAGTGAGCCAAGATCGCACCATTGCACTCCAGCCTGTGATCAGGTATGCTGATGGAATTCTCAGAATACCATTCAACTTTATCTATGTGAAAGTTGTCAGGATCACTAATGTTAAGAAAACTCTGACAAACAGAACCAGGGAAGGCCATAAAGAAAAATTTTTTATGCTTGTATGCTGATAACAAAAATTATCACAAAAGATTGCAAAAACCACAACCTTAAACACTTCTGCGAGGACATCTGCCTACAATCTCATACTGGTGTTACTCTTGTTATTGATCTCTGTAGCCAAGGATAATAATTTCAGAACAATTATGTAATCCTCATAGTCCCACTGCAATGCTCTATTCACAAATGAACATCTTTTCTTTGGGAGCTCGCTTGTTATTTAGGTTGACACTATCTCACATCAGGTTCCCTGGAAGCAGCCTGAGATGCGGATTCTTGTTCAGGTGTTGTATTAAGGGAATGCTCTCAAGAGGAAGGCACCAGGCAATGAGGGAAGCCGGCTAGGTTAGGAGAGGAAGATGGGCAAGGTGTGGGCTGAGGCCAAGGACACTTCTTAGAGAAGTGAGACAGGGAGAGAGAGAGAATTAAAAAGACCCCCTTACTGGCCATCCAGAAACCAGTTCATTATGTACTAGCCCTGTGAAGGGGACCAGCCTACATTGCAGTACCATTTATCCTGTATAGACATGACTCTTAAATTTGCTGTTATTTACAAAGGAGAACAGAGTTTAGAATATTCTTAAATTAAAATTACACATGAAGTTTGTGTTTAACCAAACAGCAAATAAAGTAGCCTGTAATCTATTTTATAAGTATTTTGATTTTTATACTAAGCCTAAAATTTTTAAGCAAATCAACTATCACTGCCCCCTCTAGAAAAAAAAAAAACCTTCAATTTGCCTAGTCCCTAAAAATTGTGTATAACTAAATTCTAACTCTGAAAAACATTCACACAATATTAAATTAAAATTTTAAGAAAAGGAAGTTATTTCAATGTATCAACTATACTGTGCTTCTAAATGCGTAAAGAAATTCTTGAGGTACACTTAAGTTTTTTATCAAACGTGGTATATATGTGTTTTTCCTATGGCCTGGCAGTTCATTTAAAAAGTTTCAGATGGCCTCAGGGCCATTTATTCACTTCCTTATTATCACCTTTGCTTTGAGATATGAATGGGATGATTTAAAGTGACTTTCAAATGTTGCCAAAATACAAACATTCAAATGCATTCCAGTATGGAGACAACACACTTATATTGTTTCACCAAGATTAACATTTTAGAGTATTTTATGTAGGCTGGGCATGGTGGCTCATGCCTGTAATCCCAGCACTTTGGGAGGCCGAGGCGGGTGGATCACGAGGTCAGCAGATCGAGACCATCCTGACTAACATGGTGAAACTCCGTCTCTACTAAAAATACAAAAATTAGCTGGGCATGGTGGCATATGCCTGTAATCCCAGCTACTAGGGAGGCTGAGGCAGAAGAATCACTTGAACCCGGGAGGTGAGTTTGCAGTGAGCCGAGATCATGCCACTGCACTCCAGCCTGGGCGATAGAGCGAGACTCTGTCTCAAAAAAAAATAAAAATAAAGGGAGAATATTTTATATAAAGTTTTCGTTACAATCAAAAATGTTGAAGAAAAGGAAGATTTTCATGGGAAAGGTAAACAGTCACTTGCCTTTCTTTCCTTCATAGACCTTACCACTAGGGATAGGCAGGCAGCCACCAGGAATGCCAGGAGGGCTATTTGTATCCTGGAATGCACACACCCCTTCTGAGCAGCCATGGCTGCGTGCAGAGAACGTTCTCCACAGAAACAGCAGAAATAGCCTCAGCCTGGAGTCTCCTGCCTGCTTAGGGCTCCTTTCTGGTACGCCTTCTTAGGGGACTGTGAGAAGCAGGTTCAAGTTCCTGACCAGTTACCGTCATTTTCCCGAGGTCTTCCTGACTTCCCCGCAGTGTGGGGTCAGGATAAGAGGGTGCATTGATGGGTGATGCCGATGGAAGCTACTATTTACTAAGAAGTCAGAAACTTTCTAATTGCCTTATATAGACTAAATTTGATACTTGTTAAAATGGTAGCTGCTACAATGCAACTCCTCTCACCTTACAAATGAAGAAACTGAGACATAGAAATTAAGTAATTCACACAAGGTCAAATGGCAGTCTGGCTCCATAGCCTAAACTTTTAATCATAGCCTCTTCATTGATGTTAGACTTTCCAGAGATGTTTCTCAAGTAAAATTAATTGAGCATTTTAAAAACAGAGTTAAAGAAGTCACGAAGGTGAAGCTAGGTTTTAAGGTACTCTTCACTGCCGCCTCCACTGCCCTTAATCCATTCTCCATGTCAACTGCAGTGATCCTTCCAAAGCACCCATGTGACTGGGCTGCTCTCCTTTTCTAGAGGTTCAAAGGTCTCACTGGTGCTTAGGATGAAGCACAAACGCCTTTGGGCACAGCAAGCCCTCCTGTCCCCATTCCTCAGTGGTCCTACCCACCAGTCATACTGAAGTCGAGCAGGCAGTGAGATTTTCACAGGTTCTGAGAAAAGTCTTGAGACCTTTACCATTCACAAATTACTAAATACTCCTGTACCAGTGTTCCCATAAAACTATCTACAGCATAACATATAAAATTAAAAATGAAGCTGGAATCCAAAATGGCCAAAGTAGCAAGTGATGGATCCTGCAATCCTCATGAGAACGTCGTAGAACTATCTGGCCCTGCAGTAGGTCTGGAGAAGAATAAAGCCAGACAGGTGCTATAGAGGCTGAGAGAAGGGGAGGGAGGGAGGGAGAGACAGGAAGGTGTCATGAAGGTCAAGGTGGGTTCTGAAGGAGCAGGAGAGTAGCAGAGTCATCCTCAGGACGCTGTAGTTTCTCCCCTCCCACTGGGAAACCACAGCCCTGGTGCCTCAAGCTGAGAAGACACAAGCGCTGTGATGAGCCACAGATTAGGGAGTGGAGGGAGATCCTCAGGCCCTATAAGTTATGCAAAACTGAACACATTGGGAACCCACTATAATTTACAACTATCATTTAATTTTTAATGCAATTTAATAACAACTTAGTTTAATGACTAGCAAGTACATTTTTTAAAGGACAATATGGAACAATTTCATTTTCCGCATTTTAACTGCAAGCTTAGCTGATATCTTTTGGACACCTGAATTTGTTAGTCTTTGGAATGCTATATCTAACTACATTGAAATGCTACTTTTCATTTGTCTTTGAAAGACAATCTGAAATGAATCCTAGAACCTATAAAACGAACCCCAACTTGTAGCATTACTTTTTAAATTCCACAAAGGTGCCTTTTTGTACCTACAAAATGTTTGCAAGAAAATAAGCAAAAAACAAACGGTGTATTCCGTAGTTCGTTTTTGTACTGGTCTGCTGGCAAATCTTTCAGTCAGCTGAGTTATATTTTTCCGTATTATTTTTTTCTAATCCTTCCTTTAAAAAAATTGTGTTTGCTAGTTGTCATGTATTAATTTAGAAAACGCAAAGAAAGAACTCATAACTTCAGTAAGCTGAAGCATTAGCACATGTGTACTTTTACCCCACTTATGTTTATTTTTTCATACATATTTTGAGCAGTATTTTATATTTTCCAGATTTAGGGAAAGAAACATTCTTCCCTTTTCACTCCAAAAATAGTGAAGGAGTCAGGTTGCTATTTTGCTCTTGTTTTGTTTATTTCCAACTTATAAAACCACTGGACTTTTGTTGTCATTCATTTTAGTTTATTTCTTAGTGTCTATAACAAAACTATCAAGAAAATCTAAAGCAAATGTAATTCTACCACTAAAGTTTAAGAGCAGAATTAGAAGTAGGTGATCTTAAAGATAATACTTTGTTTAAATTAACTACAGGATCCAATTCAATGCCCAATAATACAGAAATGCTACCTTTGGCATTCTACAAATTAAAAATGTTAGAAATATAGGATTATGCTAAAAATATGTAGCATATTTGTAGTCAGAATAACTTAGTTGAAATGAGAATTTCATTGATACTTGATATGTCATTATGTTGTGATACACCAATTTATTCAACATTATTTTAAATTTATTATTATGCCACCAAAGAAGAAAGAATATTAAGAAACCTCTTAAGCGTTTGGTTTTTAGGTAGTACTTTGTACTGATATAAAATCTAAGTTAAAACTGAGCACTTACCTTAGATATTAAGAAAAGCACACTGGCGAATGAACTACAGCTGGCCCGAGCTCTACCACAGACAGAATGTTTCAAACTTTTCTATGACTTACAGAATGAGAGCAAAGGATGAAGCTTCAGCAACTGTCCCTGGAGAAAGGGCTCTCACGAGTTTCGCCCTGTCTCATGTTTCATCCCCTCACATTAGCAACAGACGTGTCTAATTTTACTCAGTGACATAAACAGTTCATACCACACTTAAAATTTTTTGGGCACCAATTCCAGGACACAGCTCTTCGCATGCCAAAAACAAACCAAAACAAACAAACAAACAAGAAACCAAACTCTTCTTCTTACAAAACCAACTTTCCAACATTTAAACCCTAAAGCATGATAGTTTAATGTAATTATAACTTTCTTAAAAAAACTTTACCTCAAACAAACAGCAGAAAACTTCTAAGACTGGTTTCCATTAGAAACTAATGTTGATAAAATTTTACGAAAAATCTCTTCAAATTAACATGCAAGTTAGAACTTGTGACTATTACCTATATACTAGTCTCATCCAAATGAACGGCATATTACCATGTAACAGTGACTCTTTAAAAATCACTTTCCCTAAGCCTCTTTAAGTGAAAAACTTTTAACATCTGAGGAGAAAATCTTAAACAAAGATCACCATAATAGAAGGTAAACAAACTCTGCATGTTAAAATTATGACAGTTCTTTTCTAGTAAACTAACATTTCTATTGTGTTTAACAAATTATGTGAATGTAACAAATGTGACCTTAAATTGTCTTTATGTTTATTTAAGAGTAATTAGGTCATTCCATTTTATAAGGTGTAAAGACAACAGAATAAATATCGAACTTCTGAATAATTTTAATATTTTATTTTGCATTATTTTTATGTGACCTGGTTTGCAGCAGGATTAAAACTTACTAAATTATATACTTCATATTTGCATTTTAGTACTAAACCTTGAATATAAGAAGCAGTGCCTTAGTATACATGCACACAGAGATGGGAACAATCAGATACTGGGGCCTGCTTGAGGAAGGAGGGAGGGAGAAAGGTGGGGTTCGGAAAACTGTCTATCGGGTACTGGGCTTACTACCTGGGCGATGAAATTATTTGTACATCAAATCCTGGTGATATGCAATTTATCTGTGTAACAAACCTGCACATGTACCCCTCGAACCTGAAATAAAAAATGAAGAAAAAAAGGAGCAATGCAATAACAATGCATATGCTTCATTCTCATTTTATTTTCTTCTCAGGAGACTTTTCTCTTCATTCTGCTTATTTATACTCTACCATAATTTCTTTTGAAATTTGATACTTCTATCATACCAGCAGCTGCAGGCCTTAAATTACAAGCTGATACAGCTTCAAATAATCTTACATTTGTAAGACATTTTAAAACCTTTCATGAATTCTCTGCACATTAGTACTTCTACTTTGGGAATTCAGCTAGACATAAAATTATAGGACAACTATCAATTTTAAACAAAAATAATATATTAAACAATAATGATATGAAATGTATTTTTGTATGAGTGTATGTCTGAAAAGTCAAAGTCTGAAACTGCTAACTCAATATTCTGATTGAAATGTCATGCATGTAAAGGTTACAATTGAGATACCTCTTCATCAATCGTAAATTGGTTTTGTTGCAATGAACTTTTCAGTGTTTTGGGAACTGCTTTGTAAAAATGTTAGTCAGGTGATGTGTTTGATCCCCACTCATATTTACAGATTCATTTAATACTATCCACACCTATGTTTAGTAGGGCAGAAGAATCACATAAAGAAGCCTTTGATTTTATCAGTTAGTTGAAATTATTAAAGCAAGACCTTCAGTTTGTAATGTAGGCAGCTTAAGTTTGTAACTCACACACACACATTTTGAAATGTTCTCAAAGGAATCATAATACTTTAAAGCTCCAAGAGACCTTAAAGAAATCTAGTCTAACAGTCATTTAGGTGTAAAATAATTTGTTCCAGATTACAAAGCTAGTAAGCCTATGGGTAGAAGTGACTTTGAAAGTCCTTAGGCCTAATTTGGTGCTTGGGTGCTCCACTGTAAACGTGCTCCAACCATGGTCCTACGAACCTATGGGGACCTTTCTGGCTTCCCCCTCATTCTCCCTCTGCTTCCATTTTTGACTACTGCAGTCATCAGTTAGCGCTGACCTTTCTTCCTGACACCATCTCATCAAGCTCTTCCTTCAGTTTGGGCATTGATAACCCTGTTTCTGGCTTAAGTGGTTGGGTTCGGGGGATCACTTTCAGAACCAGTGAAAACAAGGAATTTCAGTAGTGATGTCGTCAGTTTTGGAGAAATCATTTCTATTTTGAGATGAAGTAAGAGGTGAGGTTATCTGTAGAGAGAGAATGTGGAAATAGGGGAATGAGAAAGTTCAACATTTGAAAATAACGGAGTATTTTAATGATTTGGGTTGTCAATTGACTAGTGAAACATATTAGGCCATGTCCAAGGCCCAAATGAAGTTATAAATATATGGATAGTAGTCTCATTTTAATAGTTCTCATGACGTTATAAGCTAACTGCAGTCATGGATTACTGTGACTAAATCCCTCAAAACTGCTCAGCCTTTCCTCCAATACAACACGCATTGTCTCCCCACAATTCCTCCAATACAACACCCACTGCTCTTTTGTCCATCTTTCCTTCCTCGGTTGACGATGCCATCCCCCAGAATGTCACAGAAGACAGACTTAGGGCTCTCCCTCACTCACCAGTCTACCAGTCACTAACTTCAGTGGATTCCCTCTGCAGAACCTCCTGCTCTGCTTGCCTTCCCTCCTTGCTCCTGCCTGACTTGGAGATTCACCTTCTCTGGCATCACCTATTGCTATAGCCAAGTACCTACTTCCTCTGCTTCCGGGAACTGCCAGCCCCCATCCTACACACCTAGGGACTGCCAGAGGAATGATGAGAACAGGTAATTCTGTCCATATCACTCCTTGGCCTAAAGCCCTTCATCAAGCCTCCAGGTGCAGGACCAAGTTCTTGACCTGACACACATGCCTTCAGTGATGGGCCCTGTTCATCTCTTCTGTGCCTTGTCCTGGGGAGTTTGGAATCACAAAAGTGACAATGCCCTTGGGTGCCTGGCTATCTTTGACTAGGGTTACCTCCCATCTTTTTCTACTGATGAACTATAATTTAACTTTTAAAAGTCTGCTCACAGGCCGGGCGTGGTGGCTCATGCCTGTAATCCTAGCACTTTGGGAGGCCAAGGTGAGCAGATCACTTGAGGTCAGGAGTTCAAAACCAGCCTGGCCAACGTGATGAAACCCCACCTCTACTAAAAATACAGAAAAAAAAAAATAGCCGGACATGGTGGCAGACACCTGTAATCCCAGCTACTTGGGAGGCTGAGGCAGGACAATCGCTTGAACCTGGGAGGTGGTAGTTGCAGTGAGCCGAGATCACACCACTGCACTCCAGCCTGGGTGACAGAGCAAGACTCTGTCTCAAAAAAAAAAAAAAAAAAAAAGCCTGCTCACATGCCACTATCAGTTTTCTATACTTAAAAAAAAACGGACACATATTAATTGTATATATTTACTGGGTACAACGTGATACTTCAATACATGTATACATTAAGTAATGATCAAATCAGGATAATTTTTTATCCCGATTTATCCTGATTAGCATATCCATCACCTCAAACATTTATAATTTCTTTAAGGTGGGAACACACAAAATCCCCTCTTCTAGTTATTTTGAGATACACAATACCTTTGTGTTGACTATAGTCACCCTACTATGCAACAGGACACCAAACCTTTCTAATTCTAACTTTTTACCCACTGACCAAGCTCATCCCTTTCTTCCCCTTCCCCTCCCCATTCTCTGGTAATCATTGCTCTACTCTCAACTTCTAGGAGATCAACTTCTAAGGTTTTGCATATGAGTGAGAACATGCAGTATTTGTCTTTTCATGCTTGGCTTATTTTACTTAACATGATGTCCTTCAGGTTCATCCATGTTCTCAAAATGACAGGATTTCCTTCTTTTAAAAGGCCGAACAGTATTACACCATGCATATATACCACAGTTTCTTTATTCATTCATCTACTGTTAAAACACATAGGCTGATTCTATATCTTGGCTATTGTGAATAGTTCTAAAATAAACATGGGGATGCAGATGTTTCTTTGACATACAGATTTCATTTCCTTTGGATATATACCCAGTAGTGGCACCACAGAAAACCTCTAAACCACAAAGGTAAACAACAAGGGAGGAAGGAAGAAACAAAGAATCTACAAAACAGCCAGGAAACAATTAATAAAATAGCAGGAATAAGTCCTTACCTATCGACAATAACCTTCCATGTAAATAGGTTAAATTCCCCAACTAAAAGGTATAGTGTGGCTGAATGGATAAAAAGACCCAACCGTATGCTGCCCACAAGAGACTTATTGCACCTATAAGGACACACATAGACTACAAGCAAAGAGATGGAAAAAGATACGCCCTGCAAATGGAAACCATAAGTAAACAGGGGTAGTTGTATCAGAAAAAATAAACATTAAGTCAAAAACTATAAAAAAAAGATTAAAATGGTCATTATATAATGATAAAGGAACATTTTCAGCAAGAAAATATAGCAATTATAAATATATATGCACCCAACAGTAAAGCACCCAAATATATAAAGCAAATATTAGATCTATATGTACTTTGAAACTTAACTGTAGTTACTTGTATTTTTGTTGTCATTACTTGTCTATGCTGTCCTCTCTACCAGACCATAAACTCTTTGTTCAATGTCTACATGTAGTGAGCCGTCAATGAACTAAACTCAAGTTACACCAGCTTTATTAGTTTTTTTTAAAATGATATTAATTCCATTAAAAAACTTGAGCTATCATAGTATATGGCTGACATTATAGGAAGTATCCAGAAGAGGTCAGTATAACAGTAATAAAAGTTTGGTTTTGGGGACAAATTAAATGTGAATGCAAATTAAATTATTTTGTAAGTAACAAACTTTAAAAGCTTTCAGAAATACTATGTCAATTATTTGCCTCTTTAATTAAAGTTACAATCTTCAAAATAGATGGCCATAGATCTTTCACATAAACAAAATGAGTAATCAAATGATTTTATGTTCAACTGAAAACTAAGAGTTTTCATCTGGATTGTAATTACTTGGATGATTCTCACTCATATTCTTTGATTATTTATCAATAGGAATCACACAGTGAACACATTTTAACTAATATAATTAATATTCCCTGTAAATTGTTATATCAATTAAATATTTGATCATTAGACTACTAAATGTATTTTTTTCATGGTACCTTTGGGGAATTGGAAGTCAATATTTATAAAAATTGAACTCAGTATTCTAAAAGAAGATAGAGGGGAGAAATTCATATGTAATAAATAAGAAATCATTGAGATGCTGGAGAAATTAGGTGTAAGAAAGGCTAAAAGAAAAAGAAAACTCAGATTTCAGGGGAGAAAATAGAGTACTACCTAAAATTTCCGTATTATGTTATACACTGGCTTCCATGAACTCATGACCTTGAATAATTTGTAAGCAACAGATATTGCAACTCCATCAAGTATAGATTTCTTGGGCAATGATTATTTGGGCAGAGAATGTAAGTGTGATGTGTGCATATCAGAATCACAGGAAATATGTTAAGAGTAATTATCAAAGTAGAATCTATGCATGGTAAAAAGGAAATCAATCAGAAAGGCTTAGAATAAAATCTCCTGCTTAGAATAAAATCTCTTCTTTTCCCCACTACACCTCTACCTCCATGTGTCTGAGGTCACTACTTAGCTCATCCTTTTCATACTTACCTCTTACCTTTAATTAGCCTCCTATTGCTATGTCTCAGTGTATTAACTCCAGACATGATCTATCCAATTTGTTCACGCAGGTTTTCATCCTGCAGCACTTTCCTCCTTTCTCCTATGTAGTTCTATCACCTCTTTCAGCTCCTTCTGTGGTCAACTTGGCAATTTCACAGTCTACTTACATATTTATTTCTTGTTTCAAAATTATAGAGAGTATATCCTGACCCTCGTGCTCTTTAACTGAGTGCACTGTTGCTGCGGCTGCTCCATCCTCCACCTGTGACCATGGTGCACGCCGCTCTCGTCTCCAGCCCTCCTTTCAGTTTACCTGCACTTTTACATGGTCAAAGCTGATTCCATTCCATTCCATTTGAAAACCATAATGGCATCTCCTGTGATTTGACCAGCTTGATTAAAAAAATAAAAATGCAACAAACGGTGTTCACATTTTTATAACTATGTTTCCTTTCATAGACAAATACTGATTTTATAACCAGTGCCACTCAGTGTTTCTATTACCAGTTCCAAATGGAATCTACTTTTAAAACTATCCCTCTGAATATTTTAATTGCTTCATATTGACATTACGGCTTTTCCCACACAGCTTTTATTGTTGGAATTTCTGAATTCCTTTGTTTTTCTCTGTTACAAGAAGAAATTATGTGAAATATGTCTCTGACATTCTATCTTAGTTGTCTCCTGACTTTTATTTTTAATCTACTATATGGAATCGATTCCATTTTTTTTCCTTGAAATGTACTTGCCTTCATTTTCCATTATAAACAGTTTCTGTCATGGTTGGATCATGACTTTCTCGTGTGACTAACCTCCACTTCCCTTGTTTTTTAACTATCTTCCTTTTCGTTTCTTGTATTGTTTACCTCTATCACATCCTCAAGCTTCGGCCAAACTTGTAGTAATCATGACCATTGTACACAATCTCCTTTTTCTGCGGTATTGGTGTGATGCAGGCTCTCCCTCTTCCTGTCCCCATCTGCAGGTTGAGGCTCCCACAGCTGTGGCCTTGAGTAGGTGTCAGTGTTCTCTTGAGCTGGGCTAATTGTTCTCTGGACCTTCACTCATGTTCTTTCATTTACTCCCTTGCTTTGATGGAGTGCAACCTCAATAATTATTCAGAAAGGAGGGTTGGGAAGCAGATTGTCTGACACTTTTGGTGTCTGAAAATTTATCTATTCTGCTCTCAAATTGGTTAATAATTCATTTCATTTAGCATAGAATTCTGGATTGAAATAGTTCCTACTGAACTTTGAAGTCCTTGCTGCACTGACATCTATCATTAAGAGTTCCTGCAGAGACGTAATTCTGTCCTAATTTTCATTTCTAGTTTACACTGAGTAAGATATATTACTGTTTAAAGGTATCTGTGCCTATCTTTTGGTAAAATTAATATTATTCCCAATTTATTTCCTTTTACATTCATCTGACATTTTATATATCTGATGTGATCAAAGAGAAGACAGCATGCAGTTATAAAATTTAAATGTATTTGTTCTTATTGCAAACTAGTTATTATCAAGTAAGAATACTAAAGTTATATTACATGAATGTTCCTAAATTTCTTTACCTTGACCAGAAATTTCTGATGATGGGTTAGAAAGTGGATGATGGTAGCAATTATGAAAATAATAATAGATGACATAAAGTAAATTTGGAGGAAAATAGCAGAACTGAACAGAGAACATCAGAAGTCTGGATATAGAGAAATAGAGTGATCTGTGCCCAGGAACTTTGAAAGTATGTTGGCCATTGAAAATCTTTGGAAATCTTCATTTGTGTAAGAAACACTCCTTCTCTGAGATGATTTCTTCCATTATAGTAACATTCCTGGACTCTCTTCAATTTTTCTTCCCAAGAAAAGTGGATTTATGCACCTCATCTGTGAGCTGGAGTAAGAAAGCAGGCCTGCATGTGTGACTCCTCCTCCTTCTTTAGGGACCTGGCTTCATGTCTGCAGAGAGGACACTTTTTGCATGGATCTTTGATGCTGAGAGTTTAAGATGCAGTCTTCCCTTTGGAGACCCATGATTTCCCAGCGCTACCTGGTGGGTGAGTGGGTAGATCCTTGCCCAGAATGTAACATTAGGAGTCCACCACTGCTGCACATCTAGGATATATTCTCTAACAGCTCCATTTATAAAATAACTGACAGAGCTTCACTGGCCTCATTCTTTTGTCTGTTTTTCAATTGGTTCAGAAAGTGGGCGGTAAATAGAGATATGATTTTTCTCAATCTTCTCAAACACAAAAAATATTAATATCAGCATTTGACAACCACATATCTTTGTTGAGAATCTACTACGTAGTAGGGGCTATTCTGTATCAACATGTGTCCTTCTTTAACCCTTTTCTCCCACTTCCTCCTTTCTTGCAGGACTGGTGTCCCCCTAAGCACCTTCATCCTACTCCTGGCCTTCAGCATAGGCTAATCTGTGACTGTTCCTTGTCTATAACCTGTTCATCCATCACTTGATACTAAGTTTGATGGCAGAGACTGAGTCTTGATACCTACATATCCTTAGTCTCTAGATGCTCATTAATTATTTGCTAAATTAATGAAATGATCAGTAAACCATTAACTTTAAACCATAAACTTTCTATGCTTAAGTAGCTTTCTTTCCCACTGAGGAGGCAGATAGCTACATACTCAATAATATGGTTAGCAATACAATTTAGACGTGAACTAAGGGCTGTGGAAGCAAATAAAGGAAAACTTTAATGTATTTGGAAGAGACCTAGTGGTAGTTGATTCTCCAACAGCACAAATCGTTATTACTAATTATTTTAAATTTTCTAATATTTGTATGTATTTTAAATATGCATACTATAGTAATATTTGAATATAATTTATAAATGTATAAAAGTCAACACATATTGAGATATGTCAGTGACTTTCCTAAGTGTTATGTTTTTTATTAATTCATGAACAAACGTGGAGATTGCCAACCTAAACCTTAAAACAAACCAACTTTCTTCTTTGAAAAGAAGAAAAAGAGAAAAGAGAAAACCACATATTCTTAGAGCTTATTGGACATCTCCCTCAAAGGCTCCCTGGAATACAGACATGAAATCACGCAATATCGCAATTGCAACATTGCAAATGCCTCAGGGAATAAAAGTATGGGTAAGGAGAGGTTAATCCAGGAGTAAGAGGTAGTGGAGATGACTTGTGATCAGACATTCAAGTCCAAAGGCAATCTTCCCACTACAGGAAACCTGACTCCTTTCAATTATACGGTATGGGTCTCAACCCTGGCCTCCCTGATTTTGAATAGCATCCTCAGTGTTGATGACTTTGGCTCAGCCTCTTAGATCAGAGGTTCCCAACCCCCAGGCCATGAACCGATACTGGTACATGGCCTGTTAGGAACCGGGCTGCACAGCAGGAGATGAGTGGCTGGTGAGTGAGCATTAATGCCTGAGCTCTGCTTCCTGTCGGATCAGTGGAGGCATGAGATTCTCATAGGAGTGTGAACCCTATTGTGAACTACTCATGAGAGGGATCTAGGTGGCATCCATCTTATGGGATTCTAATGCCTGATGATCTTATCTGGAACAGTTACATCCTGAAACCATCCCCTATGTCCTCCATCTATGGAAAAACTGTCTTTCACAAAACTGGTCTCTGGTGCCAAAAAGGCTGGGGACTGCTGCCTTAGATCCCAAAAAGTCAGATGCAGATGCCTTATAGCCTCCTTGGTTTGACAGCTTGGCTGATATCCTGTACTCTGATTCTGATTAACATTACATGGCGTTAATTTCAAAATCTTCTGTTCTCTATCTTTCCTTAGAGATAACAAAAATCTCAGGCTTTGAAGTCAGCTGAGCTTTAAATTTACTTTCTTAACAGCAGTGTAATGTTAAGTAAGTTATCTTCTTCAATGGTCAATGTTCTCCTATTAATGTTGGGAATAATACTATCTCCCATTTAAGGTTAATTAAATAATTAAATAAGATAATGTACAAAAGGTGTCTGACATGTAGTAAAATACATGTTAAATGGTTAGCTATTATAATTATTCCTTAATGCTGAGTGAATTTATCAAAAAGAAATAAGATACATGACTTACAGATTATGATACATGTAGCCTTTATGATAAAAGTATCTTGGTTTACCTAATGATATGCCTGATACGATAAAGACATTTTGACTTAATGGTGTATCTTACCATTTATGTGCTCAATTAGTAATTAACTCTCATAGGCAGACCATAGCATAGCACTTTTATACAATCAAGCCAAATTATACTATTTTCTTTATAGTTTAGCTTTCAAATCGACATCATGGGTCAACAGCTTCCTCTGCTATGATGCATGCAGGTCATTAGGCTTGACCACACACAGGGGCACGGTCATAGGCTGAAGGCAGAGAAGCTAGACTCCCATGCAGCTGCACTTGTCTTGCTCCTGACACTACCTCTCTCAGGTTACTTCTGAGGGTCACTGCGCTCCTCACCTCTCATCCTCATGCCAGCTACTTAGAAGTCTTTACCATCCTGTTCCCTCAAGAAATCTTTGTCCTCTGAAAATGTGTGCCTGGATACCAGAGGCACCATAACAGACATGCTGTGTCATGAGGTCACAAAGGTGGTGGCAAGACAATTAACGTTGAGGCTGGGGGAAAAGACACCAGAAGAAGAAGGCAACAACAGGAAGAGGAGAAGCAGCAATTCAGGTGGCTTTAGCTCCTTGTGTTTGAAGACTCATAGGCAGGGACATTTCATGGACACATAGACAAGCTCACGTCTTTATCATCCCTCCTTCTACTCAAACTTTCTTTGCATTGATTCTCTGCCATATGTGCCAGTTGGCTCCAGCAAACATCTTACATCATTTAATTTAAATCATTTCAATTAATGTGTGTATACTACCCTCACTAAGCTAATGATCACAAAGTCCATTTGTTTTCATAGGAAAGGAGGATTCCAATTAAAGGAAGAAATGAAGGGTTTGGCCCTAAGTACATTAAATATATCACCCAGCCCAGTTCCTTAACATGAAAGAAATAAAGCTGTTTGATACCAAGAATTAGATTCTGTGGGATTTCATGTGACTCAGGACAGGCCAGGCCAATCAGATATTCTCTTGTTCACAGAGATTATTTTAGAAGGATTCAATCCAAGCCAATTAGGCTTAATTAGAGCAAATTCCACTACTTTTATTTCTGCCACTAGAAAGACACACTTTCTTCTTCGCTTGCCCTGAATCGGATAGTGCTTGAAGCCTGGATTTGTCAGCAGCCACACAAGCCAGCCAACGCAGCAGAGAACAGGGCTGAGGACAGAGAAAAACTGATGGCCATGCTTAGGCCATGGATCAAGGCATGCCCAAACCAGCCCCAATCTTGTGCTTCTCCGTTATGCCAGTCAATAAATTGCCTTTGTTGTTCAAAACTGTATAGTTGGTGTTTGATCATTTGCAACACGAAGAATCCAATACAAGTTTGAGGCAAACCAATGCAATAATCTAAAGAAGTTGCGTGTGTGTGTGTGTGTGTGTGTGTGTGTGTGTGTGTGTGTGTGTATGAGAGACAGAGAGAGAGAGAGAGAGAGATGGAGTCTCTCTCTGTTGCTGGGCTGGAGTGCAGTGGCAAGATCTCGGCTCACTGCAACCTTTGCCTCCCTGGTTCAAGCAATTCTCCTGCCTCAGCCTACTGAGTAGCTGGGACTACAGGCATGCACCACTATGCCCAACTAATTTTTGTATTTTTAGTAGAGACGGGGTTTCACCATGTTGGCCAGAATGGTCTCGATCTCTTGACCTCGTGATCCACCCGCCTCGGCCTCCCAAAGTGCTGGGATTACAGGCGTGAGCCACCGCGCCGGCTACCTTTTTTTTTTTTTCCACAGGGTGATGGTGGTGTTAGTTCCTGACAAATGGAAGAATGAGGGAGAATGCAACCAGAAGTAGAAAGAAGTATTTAAAAATGAGGAGAGAAGGTGGACACAAATTTGAATGACTCCCTGCCATCAGTCATGCAAACCGAACTTACAGGTTATGGAAATCCACATCATCAGTGTTGGCTCACATGAATGAGGAGGATTGTTCAGTGTTCTCCTGTGCTCTGGGTGGGAAGGGGGTCAAAAATGAGGGTAGAGAAAGATTACTAGGTTTTGCAAGAGAGGACTAGTGGGAAAACTTCAGATGACAGTTCTAAATTTAAAAAATATATTTATATATATATAAATTACTAAACCTTATGGATGAGTTCTTGACTTTCTGATATACTGTATCTCAACAAATCTAAGAATGATGATTATAAGAATACCATTAATTTTGTGCTATTAAGAAAGGAAATTCCAATGCAAATTAAACCATATTACTGAATGTAATATGCCTCACAATTTCAGAGCTATTAAATGTGAGAAAAATGGGCATCTTAGATTTGGTAAAATATGATAATAACACAATGGAGTGCATATTAATAGCAGATGCCTATCAATCATGCCTTATTTAGATAATTGTTATCAATGATTATCTCTGTCATGTATGTGAGCAGGCCTTTGCTAATATTAAAAAATGTTTGTCTGCTAGAATAGATGACAAATGTAGTTCTTGTTGAAGACAGAAAAGTAATAGATTTTTAAGTAACTGCATGGAAATGTCCATTATTGTATACAGAGGTTACAGTGATGCAATTAATTACCAACTGTCCTCAAGCCTGTACTGAGAAGCTGCGTTATGTACTGAATTAGCTGTATGGCAAAGGCACGAGCACCCTGCTGGGGCTACTACTGCTGTCTTTGGTCCAACAGGCACCAACTAGGTGCCAAACACTGTTCCAGGGCTGAGGATACCACCATGAACAGGACAAAAGAGGTCTCTTGTTCTAGAGACTTCTTAGAGCTTATATTATAGTTTAGGGAAAACAGCCAGTATGTATGAAAATTTCTCATATTTAAATATGAAAAATAAGACAATTTTCTATAGTGACAAATTAAGGGAATAAATAGGATCACTAGGAGTATATTTTAAATATAATGGTAAAGAAGGTTTTTCTGGCACATCAAGTTAAAAAGCTTCTGCACAGCAAAGGAAACAAACAACGATGTGAAAAAACCAGTCACGGAATGGGAGAAAATATTTGCAAACTACCCATCTGACAAGGGATTAATAACCAGAATATCTAGGGAGCTCAAACAACTCTATAGGAAAAAATATAATAATCCAATTTAAAAAATGGGCAAGGGAGCGAGGCGCAGTGACTCATGCCTGTAATCTCAGCACTTTGGGAGATCGAGGCACACGGATCATCTGAGGTCAAGAGTTCAAGACCAGACTGGCCAACAAACATGGTGAAACCTCGTCTCTACTAAAAATACAAAAAGTTAGTATGGTGTGATGGCACGCGCCTGTAATCCCAGCTACTCAGAAGGCTGAAGTAGGAGAATCATTTGAACCCAGGAGGCAGAGATTGCAGTGAGCTGAGATGGTACCATTGTACTCCAGCCTGGGTGCCGGAGCAAGACTCTGTCTCAAAAAGAAAAAAAAAAAAGGGCAAAAGATTGGAATATATATTTCTCAAAAGAAGACATACAAATAGCAAATAGCATATGAAAAGGTGCTTAACATCATTGATCATCAGAGGAATGCAAATAAAAACTACAACAAGATACTGTCTCACCCCAGCTAAAATGGCTTACATCCAAAAGACAGGCAATAACAAATGCTGGCGAGGACGTGGAGAAAAAAGAACCCTTGTGCACTGTTGGTGGGAATGTAAATTAGTACAACCACTATGGACAACAGTTTGGAGAAAAAGACTAAAAATAGAGCTACTATGAGATTCAGCAATCCCACCGCTGGGTATATACCCCTAAGAAAGGAAATCAGTCTATTGAAGAGGTATCTGCACTCCCATGTTTGTTGTAGCACTGTTAACAATAGCCACGATTTGGAAGCAACCTATATTCATCAACAGATTAATGGAAATGTGCCACAAAGAAAATGTGGCACATGTACACAATGGAGTACTATTCAGCCATAAAAAAGAATGAGATCTTGTCATCTGCAACAACATGGATGGAACAGGAGAACATTATGTTAAGTGAAATAAGCCAGGCACAAAAAGACAAATATTGTATGTTCTCACTTATTTGCGGCATCTAAAAATCAAAACAATTGAACTCATGGAGACAGAGTAGAAGGATGGTTACCAAAGGCTGGGAAGGGTAGTGAAAGTAGGGGCAGGGGTTTGGATAATGGGTTAAAAAATAGAAAGAATAAGACCTAGTGTTTGATAGCACAACAGGATGACTATAGTCAATAATAATTTAATTTTACACTTTAAAATAAAAAGAGTATAATTGGATTGTTTGTAACACAAGGGATAAATGCCTGAGGGATGGATACCCCATTCTCTATGATGTGATTCTCTCACATGGCATGCCTGTATCAAAATATCTCATGTACCTCATAAATATATACACCTACTATGTACCTACAAACCTTACAAATAAAAAAGGTTTTTCTGTGATGACACACGAGCTAACACTGAATAATGAGATTGAACCAACCATGAAAAGTGCAGAGCAGACCTCCCATTTCCCCTCTGGCACACAAGAAACTCAGGAGTTGCCACTCCATCCTAACCACAAGTAAAAAACTGAACAAACAGAAAAGTCCCCAACTTTTCTTAGACCCAGAAGAGGAATAAGGTCATAGTGTAGACTGCTATGGCAAATTTGAGAGACAGACAGACAAATACAGGGAATCACAACTTACTGGAACAGAGGCTGGGCACGGTGGCTCAGGCCTGTAATCCCAGCATTTTGGGAGGCTGGGGCGGGCAGATCACGAGGTCAAGAGATTGAGACCATCCTGGCCAACATGGTGAAACCTCATCTCTACTAAAAATACAAAAATTAGCTGGGCTTGGTGGCGTGTGCCTGTAGTCCCAGCTACTCGGGAGACTGAGGCAGGAGAACCACTTGAACTCGGGAGGCGGATGTTGCAGTGAGCCGAGACTCTGCCTCAAAAAACAAACAAACAAACAAACAAAACTCTCGGTAAACTAGAAATAGAGGAGAATTGATAAAGAATTTGTACAAAAACCTTCAACTAACATCATATTTAATGTTGAGAAATGAAAAGCTTTTACACCAAGACCAGGGACAAGGCAAGGAAGTTCCCTCTCACCGTTCCTTCTCAACATTGTGCTGGAAGTCCTAGGTAATGCAATAGGACAGGAAAAGGAAATAAAAGGCACATAGATTAGAAAGGAAGAACTAAAACCGTGTTCACAAATGACAAGATTGCCTATTTGGAAAATCAGAAACAACAGAAAACAAAACTGCTAGAACTAATGAGCAATTATAGCAGGGTTGCAAGATACAAAGTTTATATATAAAAATTGACTGCTTTAATAAATGCCAGCAATGAACAAGTAGAATTTGAAACAGGCTGGGCACGGTGGCTCATTCCTGTAATCCCAGCACTTTGGGAAGCCAAGGCAGGTGGATCACCTGAGGTCAGGAGTTCGAGACCACCCTGACCAATTTGGTGAAACCCCGTCTCTACTAAAAAAATACAAAAATTAGCTGGGCGTGGTGGCAAGCGCCTGTAATCCTACCTACTCAGGAGGCTGAGGCAGCAGAATCGCTTGAACCCGGGAGGTGGAGGTTGCAGTGAACGCACACAGTGCCACTGCACTCCAGCCAGGGCAACAGAGTGAGACTCTGTCTCAAAAAAAAAAAAAAAGTTTGCCTCCTACTGAAATGAGTATTTTAGAATGGGGAATCTCTTAACTTTTGCATTAAAAAATTCACTGTTCATCTCCTCCCCATGGTTTTGTTCTTTTTTATCCATCCCAACATTTGTAGTTCAAAACTTAGTCCAGGAAATCTCAGGCATATATTATTTGCCTTATCTCATATATAACATAATTATGGACTTGAGAATAATGCTGCAATATTCATTTTGTTTATCCTCTTTCATTGTTCAAAAACAGCCTGAAAACACTCTTTACCCAAATGTTTTAACATTATGATGAAATAATTTTATTAACATTTTCTACAAATATGAAATTAAAATAGGCCCCCAAACAAGATTAATTCAAATAGTTCATTGCTAGGCTGATAATAATTTTTCTATTTTCTGTTTCTAATAAACTAGTCATAAGTGTAGCTGCCATCTCTCTCAGAAAGTCCTTCTTTGACATAACCCTCAAATAAGTATCTAATCTTGAGCTTATGCTCAAGGGAAAGTGCAGGAGAAGGTGCAGTGGGAGGGGAGGGCCACAGGAGAGGGAGAGGGCTGAGTAGGTGAAGGAGAAAATGGGAAGGGAAAGGGTGTGGAGCAGGCTGCCCTGAAGAGGGAAGGGTACATGCTGGCCCAGATGGAGGGTGTCACTGGAGAGGGCAGGAGCAAATCAGCTTCCACCTGAGTGCCACCAGAGTAGCAGGGAGGTCATCTGCTGTGAGTGGTAGGGAGCAGGGCTGGCAGGAGGCCGGAGGAGAGCAGTGGAGTTATGGAATTGCTTCTAAAGGGAGTAGGAGACGGACTGTGTCAAGCTTAATGGGACAGCAGAGTGGCACCTCTCCTGTCTCTTGCATCCTTTCTTGCCGAATGATCTCTGCACAGGCCAGTTCCTATTTCCCTTCTGCCATAACGGAAGCTTTCTGAGCCCTCACGAGAAGCAGATGCTGGTGCCATGCTTCCTGTACAGCCTGCAGAACCATGAGCCAAAGGAAACCTCTTTTCTTTATAAATGACCTGGCCTCAGATATTCCTTTATTCCTCTGCAGTTTAACTACCTTAATGAATTACAGCCTCTCTGGGCCCAGTTTCCTTCCGTGTTAAATGAGGTCCTAATTGCAGAGTGTGTATGAAAGTGACATGAAATGAAACACCTAAAGTGACTCTTAAAGTAGGAGTTCCATCAACACAATAAACAGAGCATCTTTCTTTTCAGAGCAAGTGCTCGAAGACAGAGGTAATGGTACAATGATATTACATGTACCTGTGATAATTAAACTATCTGGAGAATAATCTATTGCATATTTTTGGCAAGTAATTTTGGATTAAGGGGAGTTATAAACAAATAATACATATTTTTGGCAAGTAATTTTGGATTAAGGGGAGTTATAAACAAACTGAGTCAACAATCTTAAAGAAAAAAGACAGGAAAACAAAAACCTGGTTACCAATTGAGGCGACTGGTCAGGACAGCAGGGCCTACCAGGAGAGAAGAGAAAAAGAATGCAACCAGAACTTAATATGCAGGGGGCATTTGCAACTACAATTTCTGTGCATCACCATGCCTTTAAAATGCAAGGCAACCCCAAGTGTAACACAATCCATGGAATTTCATGCAAATAATTCAATGATTTTCATAAACATTCCTTATAAAAGTATAACTTTATTACTTAGTTTTAGCCTTTTTATATCTGGTTGCTAGTTAGGCCTTTGTCTTCAATTCAATATGATTTTAGTTAAATTTTTCATGTTTAAAAATTTTCCCTTTTCTTATTCAGGTAACTTACTATATCTTAGTTTTGAAAAAGAGTTTAGCAACAAATATTGAATAAAGTCTACTAGACAAAAAACAGTGTATTTTTACAAATTGATATCTGATTCATGTTACTTGTCCAGTTCAGCTTTCATTATTTAATTACTGATGTAGCTATACTTTGATATAATGGAATGACTCAAGGTTTTGTACCTGAAGCAACCAAGCCCACATCCATGCTGGGATTTAATTTAGGTGATCCCACTCAGGGGTCCAGAACTGGGTCCCCTCTTCAAACCAAGTCTGAATTAGGTATTAACCTAATTGAAATTGAGTCCAAATTAGGTATTAGGTCCAGACATTTTTCTAGACAGCAGATCTGTAACTATTACCAGATTCTCAAAGGGCCCCAGGACCTTAAATTACCTTGGAAAGTATCATTTTACCCTTTTCTTACTTTACCTGCTGTTTCCTATTCCGGCATAAATATTTCCCTCATATGTAACAAAATGAAATGTCAAAATGCATGTTGCTAAGGTAGTTAATTTTATTTCCTAATTTTGAAGATGTCATGTTTAGAAATGTATATGCTAGTTTACTTTAACCAGGGATCCCTGTATAGAAAACATTGTATTGTTACCACTGTCAACACACAACCAATTTTTTTACTTCACATTTAACTACAGAAAACCTACGAAAATTGGCATTCAAAAAATACAAGGTACCATCACTTAAGTATGAATTATTGTACCACTATTATCATGTCCATATAAATCATTTTCCTACAATTTTAGAATAAGAAATAAAATTATCTTTATCTTTTTTAGTTAACTATAACCATGTCCCTAGACATTTATGTATTTTACCCACAGTACAATAAGGTCTCTTGTAGGACACAGTCTTATTTTTTAAATTATTTATTTATTTATTATTTATTTATTTATTTTTGAGACGGAGTCTTACTCTATCGCCCAGGCTGGAGTGCATTGGTGCGACCTCAGCTCACTGCAACTTCGCCACCCAGGTTCAAGTGATTCTCCTGCCTCAGCCTCCCGAGAAGCTGGGACTACAGGCGTGTGCCACCACACCCAGATAATTTTTGTATTTTTAGCAGAGATCGGGTTTCACCATGATGCCCAGGCTCGTTTTTAAGAGACGGAGTCGTGCTCTGTTGCCCAGGCTGGAGTGCAGGGGCCTGATCTCGGCTCACTGCAAGCTCCGCCTCCCGGGTTCACGCCATTCTTCTGCCTCAGCCTCCGGAGTAGCTGGGACTACAGGCGCCTGCCACCACGCCCGGCTAATTTTTAAAAAAATATTTTTAGTAGACACGGGGTTTCACCGTGTTAGCCAGGAGCCAGGATGGTCTCCATCTCCTGACCTCGTGATCCGCCCACCTCGGCCTCCCAAAGGTCTGGGATTACAGGCGTGAGCCACCGCGCCCGCCCAGGATACAGTCTTAAGCAGTAAACATCAAGTGAGAGTCTGACAAATAATAAAAAACCATTCCTAAGATAACATAATGATGCTGATTAAAATGTAATAGTGTGTGTATATATGTGTATACATATTTAAATAAAAATGATCTTAAATATTACCAACCCACAATTTATAAAATGTTACTTTTAAAATGGAGTATTATTATCCTGGTTATCTCTGAGAGGTGTTTTAGTAGTTTTAAAATGTAAATAAATTATTTGTACAACGTGAAAGTTTATTGATTTTATAGTCTGTTATGTAGACTAGCTAGGCTATGTAGCTCTGATCATTTGAATTTATTAAATGAGCTATTTATCACTACCTTTTTTCTGAGATTTAAGAAAGATTGACAGAGTACAGTCGTGGCACATGTGAGGCCACGGTGTTAAGTGTATCATACACGTTAATTATTTACGTGTAACATCCACTAAATATTGTGTCTGTCTGATTCAGCAAAAACATTAAAGATGAAAAGAACAGAGGACTTAAGTACAATATTTGAAGATATAACTGCTGTATAACTTTAAAAGTTTACTGTAAGATATTTTAACACATGTGGATGGATGCCTGCTTGCTAGTCAATTTGGAAGCATATTGTCATGAAAGGAAGTTTTAATACCAGAGACACTGAACCTGTTAGCAAAAGATTACGTCAACAAAAACGAAGATTTTAGCTTATGTGTACTTTTGGAATAGAATTGTGCAATCTCTTCTTTACAGCTTCTTTACAGTCTGTTCATATCAAAGGAAGAAAAGCATGGGAAGACCCATATTACATTGAAAAATGTAAATACGATTCCATTGCTTTATTAGCACCAATTTACCTGTGTTAAGGAACAGCCAGGAGTATTAGTACATGAATAGTACGGATATACATGGAGCGCCAGCATTACAAAATCCGCCTGTACAATATTATCACTGGATGAGTAGATGTTTCACAGATCAACTGGCTGGTGCCGTGCTAACATTCAGAAACATCAGAATACTCGGTAATGATGTAAGAACAAGCAACTTGCTAACGCTGATGTAACCAAGTGACAGCATGCAAATATGTAAATATTAATTAGTGGTACTTAATGGAGGTAATGAGTATAAGGGTGGTGAGGATCATCAAGTTATTATGTAATCCCATTGAAGACGACAGAGCCCCGCTGCTGCGCTTCAGTTCCCCTCTAAAACCCCCAAGTAACCCCTACGCAACTTTGCACTTGGTGCAGACACTCCGCTTACTCAGTGTTACAGACTCCCCAGCAAGCAACCCAGGGCAAAGTTTTTGGCAAAATCATTTGCAGAGAACCAATTCACTCTGATTCTCTCACACCACACACACGCACACAGGAAGTTATTAAGTCTCATTGCAGAATGAGGATCAGTTAGTGAAGTCTTTGGGCAAAGAAAAGCCAACTGTCTAAATTACATTTTACTCTTGTCCCTGAGCCCCCACAAGGGGGCAGGGGAAGGAAAGTGCTGTCTGGGGCAGAGAAGGCGAGGAGAAAGAGGGCACGGGTGGTGATGGAGTCCTAGGAGGAAGGCTGGAACCGGCATAGGGACGTCTAACAACAGAGGGGTTAGTTTAGGAGGTTGGAGGAGAAGGAAGGGACCCAGGAATTGGGGGAACTGAAGGCGAAGTGGCGGGCCGTGGCTATTCTCTTTACCTGCTGTACTTCTTGGAGTCCCGGGGCGCAAACAGCCGCTGCATTTCCCTTCATTCCCGACGGGATGACACCACAGTCTTCTCCCCAGACAGCGCGGGCCTCTGCTCCGTCCTTCCTCAGCGACCGCAGCGACGACTCTGCTCCAGGGCGGGGGAGCAGCTTCCCAAGCCGCGGGCGCCCACTTCCCCGCCCGGACTCCGGGCGGTGCTGGCCGGGGCGCGCGGGGAGGCGGGGACCAGGGACCCCCCAGGAACTAGCCTGGGCTGCTGCACCGCTGCCAGGGCCGTCCTGCGCCTAGCCGAGCCCAGGGCGCCGCCGGCTGGACGCCCGTCAACTCCCACTGCGCCCGGCCCCCGAGCGCGCCCGGCTGGATCCGGCGCGCCCCTCCGCCCCAGGCGCCGCCAAGTCCCAGCACTATGCGCCCCTCCAGATGTCCGAAAGCGCCTCTCCAGGGCAGCCTATGTCCCTCTGTGTCCTTCCCGCGACGGGCCGGGCCCACCACTCCACACCTCCCGGGTCCTTCCATGTCCATCACCGTGTGCCTCTCCAGCATCCCCCCTCCCCTCCAAGTTCCAACATAGCACTCCTTCACATATTCCCCGCGTCGCTTCAGAGGTTCCTCCAGCCACTGCCCCGCCCCTCCACTTTTCCAGTTTCTCCAGTTCTATCGAGGCGCGCCCCTCCAGCACGTCCCCACCCCTCCACTCCCTCCCCGCGTCCCTGCACTCCCTCCCCGCACCCCTGCACTCCCACTCCGAGCCCCTCTGTGACCAAACACCGCGCCTTTCCAAGCGCTCCTCCTTCGCGCCGCCCCAAGATTCCCCTCCATACCCTGCACTCCTTCCGCACCCACCCACGCACCCCTGCGCGCCTCCACCCGGCGGCCTCTCCACCCTCAGACTCGCCCCCGCGATCCAGCGCGCGGGGCACTGGGCAGGGACATTTCTCGCTCCCACGCGAGTCCTTCGCTGCAGACGCTGGGTGCCTTCTTTCCAACCCAACTACTCCTGCTGAACGCATCTTGGGCTTGGAGCGCGGGACCACAATCTTTACACTTCTGGCCCTCGTCCTTTACTGTCAGAAAGGGTCAGCACCTGAGGAGATTTAGATAGTCCCTCTGGAGGGAGTGGTTCCATTTGCGAGCCTTTAAAAGTCTTGCCACCCAGCCTGTCCCCCGCAAACCCCTTGGGTTTATCACAGTTTACTCACTCTCGCGCAATGCTAGTTCTCCATCCGCCGCTAGGAGGCACCCCGAAGGGTTTGCTGTGGTGAAAACAATGCTGCATGCAGTTTATGCTGCACTTTAGTTAGCTCTTGGAGGCGAGCTGGGAAATAGTGACTGCTGATCCATGGACAAAGAAGCCGCTTTTTACTATGTTCTATTTTCAAGGCCTGAAGAAGTTCTCTGTAGCACATAGTAGTCTGGAGTTGGTTCCTGCCGGTGGGTTCGTGGTCTCAGGAATAAAGCCGGGACCTTCGCGGTGAGTGTCACAGCGCTTTTAGATGGCACGGACCAAAGAGTTGGCGGTACCAAGGTTTATTGTGAAGACCAAAACAACAAACGTTTCACACTGTGAAAGGAGACTCCAGCCAGCATGGGGGGCAACTTTTATTCCCTTATTGTCTCTCCCTCCCCTGCCCCGCCCCCATGTTGCTTTTCTGTCCTACCAGAGTGCCCTTTTTTCAATCCTCCCCATGATTGGCTACTTTTAGAATCCTACTGATTGATGCGTTTTACAGAGCGCCAATTGGTGTGTTTTACAGAGCGCTGCTTGGTGTGTTTTACAGAGGGCTGATTGGTGTGTTTTACAATCCTCTTGTAAGAGAGGAAAGTTCCTCAAGTCCCCACTTCACCCAGGAAGTCCAGCTGGGCTCACCTCTCAATACAGTTTTCTAATTAGTGCTTGTGTATTTAACTCACTTATTTATTCGTTGACATTCTCCGTACACATGCATCACGGGGGAGCATCTTGGTTTTACCAGCTTTGTGTGAATGGTATGGGTATCTGAAGATGTTTGGTGAGTGTGCTAAGGAGGTAAACTTTCAAATATATTCCCGAAAGGATCATGCTGGTGTATTTTATGATTTTTTACAGTAAAAATCTGGTACCATATTTGGGACCAAGTAGAAACATAAAGATGTTGGACCGTTTTAAAATGTTTTTAATGTAACAGAATGGATAACTGCAAGGCAGAAATGTTTACAACTTCTAGATTACACTTTTTAAAAGCAAACTTTTGCAAAGGTAGAAATTGAAACGAGAAAAGCCAATTTTCCAGAAGTGTCCAGTGCAATACTTCTCTAATTACTTCTCTCTCTTATAGTTGATAGACAGTGATAATCATTTTCTAAAAATATCCCCCTCAAGGAGCAAAGGATAAACAAGATGGATATAGAGATATATTATTAAGGGTATATTAATAATTTCCTACATATTTCACAGGCAGCAAATGACAGATATTGTGAATTATTACTCTAAAAATGTCCGTACTAATCAGTAAAGGCTGCAGTTTAATATTTCTGCCAAAGAATTCAAAAGTTATTAATGTGTTTTAATTGCCAAAACTAATCTGATCTCAGAGCCAGAACTTCTCCTTTGTTGGCTTAGAAATAAATTATTAGCAACAGTTTGTGCTGGTGATGACGATCGCAGTGGGGATCTAGAGAACTTATGAGTCCCGTGATAAAAAGCTAAATATATCCGAAGTGGTGTATGAAAACAACCAGGGGTGTGGGCAAGGGATACCATCTCCAGACTGGACCGAACATCTTACCAGTAATAAGAATTTTGAGCAACTCAATACATGTATGTTTATTTATAAGTTATATGCGTTTATGAATTTATTGTATATTTTCTGTGAATGCCAATATATTGTTTATATTGTAAAACAGAAAGATAAATTTTAAAAGGATATATGAAAGTACATATAAATAAGAAAAGCAAGGAGGCTGAGGCAGGAGAATCGCTTGAACCCGGGAGGTGGAAGTTGCAGTGAGGCGAGATGGTGCAACTGCACTTCAGCCTGCGCAATGGAGGGAGACTCCATCTCAGGGGAAAAAAAAAAAATCAAAGAAAAGCACTGGAATGGTGACATGCAGATCTCTCTGTAGATCCTCTCCCCGATGAAACAACTCTACCTGATCGAACTATTTTTATTTTATTTTGAAATTTATTTTTAGCTGTAATGAACTTTATTTTTTAAAATTCTGATGATGTAATTGTTTTTTTTTTTTTTTTTTTTTGAGACGGAGTCTCACTCTGTCGCCCAGGCTGGAGTGCAGTGGCGCGATCTTGGCTCACTGCAAGCTCTGCCTCCTGGGTTCACGCCATTCTCCTGCCGCAGCCTCTGATGATGTAATTTTTAAATTTCAATAGTTATGTGGATGAATTGTAGAGTGGTGAAGTCAGAGGTTTTAGTGCACCCATCACCGAGCCGTATACATTGTACACAATATGTAGTTTTTTATCCCTTGCCCATTTTCTGGCTTCTGAGTCTCCAATGTCCATTCTACCACTCTGCATGCCTTTGTGCACCCATAGCTTAGCTCCCACTTATGAGTGAGAATATACGGTATTTGCTTTTTCATTCCTGAGTGATTTCACTTAAAATAATGGCCTCCAGCTCCATCCAAGTTGCTGCAAAAGACATTTTATTCTTTTTTGTGGATGAGTAGTATTCCATGGCATATATGTACCACATTTTCTTTATCCACTCATCAGTTGATGGGTACTTATGTTAGTTCCATATCTTTGCAATTGTGAATTGTGCTGCAATAAGCATATGCGTGCAAGTGTCTCTTTGATATGGTGACTTCTTTTCCTTTGGAGTAGATACCTAGTAATGGGATTGCTGGATTGAATGGTAGATCTACTTTTAGTTCTTTGAGAAATCACCATACTGTTTTCCAAAGAGGTTACAATAATTTACATTCCCACCAGCAGTGTATAAGCGTTCCCTTTTCACTACATCCACACCAACATCTGTTGCTTTTTGAGTTTTAATAATACCTACGCTGGCTGTGGTAAGGTGGTATTTCATTGTGGTTGTAATTTGCAATTCCCTGATGATTAGTGATGTTGAGCATTTTTTCGTGTTTTTGGCCATTTGTACATTTTTCTTTTGAGAAATGTCTATTCATGTCATTTTCCCACTTTTACATGGGTTTTTTTTTTTTTTTTTTTAGACGGCATTCTCGCTCTTTCGCCCAGGCTGGAGTGCAGTGGCGCTATTTCGGCTCACTGCAAGCTCCGCCTCCCGGGTTCACGCCATTCTCCAGCCTCAGCCTCACGAGTAGCTGGGACTACAGGCGCCCGCCACCGCCCCCAGCTAATTTTTTGTATTTTTAGTAGAGACGGGGTTTCACCGTGTTAGCCGGGATGATCTCGATCTCCTGACCTCGTGATCTGCCTGCCTCGGCCTCCCAAAGTGCTGGGATTACAGGCGTGAGCCACCGCACCTGGCCTTTTTTTTCCTTTTTGATTAGTTTCAGTTCCTCATAGATTCTGGACTAATATCCTTTGTCAGTTGCATAATTTGCAAATATTTTCTCCCACTTTGTGGGTTGTGTGTTTACTCTGATGATTATTTCTTTTGTGGTGCAGAACCTTTTTACTTTAATTAGGCCCATGTATTTATTTTTGGTTTTGCTGCATTTGCTTTTAGGGTATTAGTCATAAATTCTTTCCCTAGAGCCATGTCCAGAAGAGTTTTTTCCTGAGTTTTCTTCTAGAATTGTAATGGTTTCAGGTCTTAGATTTAAGTCTTTGATCCACCTTGAGTTGATTTTTGTAGTTGGTGAAAGAGATCCAGTTTCATTCTTCCACATGTGGCTATCCAGTTTTCCCAACACCATTTATTGAATATGGTATGCCGTCCCCAATTTATGTTTTTGTATGCTTTGTTGAATAATAGTTTGTTATAAATATTTGGTTTTATTCTGTGATTTCTGTTTTCTTTTTTTGATGGAGCCTCATTCAGTCCAGGCTGGAGTGCAGTGGCGTATTCTCGGCTCACTGCAAGCTCCGCCTCCCGGGTTCACACCACTCTCCTGCCTCAGCCGAGTAGCTGGGACTACAGGCACCTGCTACCACACCCGGCTAATTTTTTGTATTTTTTAATAGAGACGGGGTTTCACCAAGTTAGCCAGGATGGTCTCGATCTGACTTCGTGATCCTCCCGCCTTGGCCTCCCAAAGTGCTGGTATTACAGGCGTGAGCCACCGCGCCTGGCCTGTTTCTGTGATTTCTGTTCTGGTCCATTGGTATATGTATCTACTTTTATATCAGTACCATGCTGTTTTGGTTACTGAAAATTGTTGTTGTTGTTTTTTAAAACTAACTAAAGCCTCTGGAATCATCCTAAGGGCATACAGCAAATGGAGAAATATTTATTTCTAAAATCTAACAAATATTGGTAAAAACAGTGTGAGTTTGTGGCATTTGAACCACTACCCACTCAGTCCCCACCCCCAACTCAGTGTGATGGAAGCTGTACTCTTGGTAGGTGTGGCCAAGAAGATAGACTCCCTCTACCCCAGTTACCAGTCCAGGATTTTGTTTTTTTCCAGAGGTGGTTGGCCTCCATCATTCTCACACCTAGTCCACCAAAGCATGTATGTAAACTCCATTCTAGTCAAGTGTGGATGAAAGGACTGGGGCTTTACCCAGCCACCTGCTACCCAGCCACCACCGTAAGGTAGAAGTTCTATTCAAATTGTGTCAGGTGAAGAATACTGGACAACTACTACCCCTGCCTTAGCCCACACATGGGGCGGAGGTTCCATATTGGGAGAGGCAAGCTGAAAAGACCAAGGGCTACTAACCCCACTCAGTGTCCTGCTCACGAAGCAGGGATGTCACTCTGAGAGAAGCAGCCTGTTGTCCCCACCCCCAGCTCTGGAGCAGTGGAACAAAGTTTCTTCCTAGGGCGAGAGGGAGGATTTAAGAATAGAGGACTTCATAGCTGATTTTATTTGAAACAGAATGGGGGAGAAGTTCACTATGAAAAACAATGGAGATCTTGGCAGTAAGCAATTAAGAGAAGACTGCTAGCTTTATGATAACAAAAAGCTAAATGGTAGACCAGCTAGAAAATTAAGAGACCATCAGGAAAAAAGTCGCAAAAAAGAGTCCTCCTAGACTTGTAGGAGGTCTCAAAGACTACCCATGAAAAGGGGACTGGGCTGTAATTAAATTAAATTATGGAACAGTTTATGCTCCAGATGTTGTCAAAAATATTAGAGGAATCAGCTAACAATTAGTAAAGGCTAAGAACTGGTGTAATACTAATAAAGGCAGATCAGCCAGACGCTTAACAGGGAGATCAGGGAGAGAAACAAACAATGCAAACCTAGCTAACATCACAGGAATATGGGGAGGGTTGGTCAGGAATATTGTATACATGCCCAAGGTTGCCCCATATGAGTTTCTGTTACAAGCTACATGCAGAGGGGAAAATCAACTTCTCTGAAATAGTCTAAACAAATCATTAAACAAGTAAACAAGGAAGCAAAGAACAAACCCTGGGGATGGAGGGGAAGGAATTAGAATCCAGAGTTTCTATGATACACTATGAAAAAATGTCCCAGTTTCCCAAAAAAGATGAAATATGCAAACACACATACATACACACAAACCAGTAAAGTGTAACCCATATCCAGCAGACAAAGCAGGCAATAGGAATGGTTTCTGAGATGTTAAACTCAGCAGAGACTTCAAAGTGTCTATTTTAAATATGTTCAAAGAACTTTGAAAACCATGGTTAAGAATTAAAGACCCTCCAACAGAATCAAAGACGGGTAGGCCTGACTTGCAAGAAACACTAGAAGCTTTTCAGGCCGAAAGAAAGACATTAATTCAAATACACACACACACACACACACACACACCACACACACACACACACAGCACTAGTAAATGTATTACATAGGTAATTGTAAAAGACAGTATAATAGTATGCTTCTTCTTCTCTTAATTGATATGCAAATCAATTGCACAAATCAATGTGTATATAATTCTATTGTTGGGCCTGTAATATATACATGTGTAATATACTTGATAATAAGGAAAAGAATACTTTGAGATAAATGAAAATAAAACAGAATATATGAAAACCTATGTGATGCAGCTAAAGCAGTGCTTAGAGGAAAATGTTTAGTTATGAATGCCTATACTAGAGACAAGAAAAATCTCAAATCTCTAACTTTACCTTTTACCTGAAGAAACTTGAAAAATAAAAACAAAAAATATAATGCAAGTAGAGGGAAGGAAGTACTAAGATTATATTAGAAATACATGAAATAAAAATAGTGGAAAAATAGAAAAATGATAGAAAAAGGAACTAATATTTATAAAAGATTAAACTGAGAAACTTTTAGATAGACTGATATGAGAGAGACAGACAGACAGGCACACACACACAGAAGGAATACTCAAATTATAAAAATCAGTAATAAAAAAGGAAACATCATTATCAACCTTAAAAAGCAAAAGGATTATAAGGGAATACTATGAACATCTCTATGTCTAAAAACAACGTAACTTAGATAAAATGGACAAACTCCTACAAAGATAGAAACTGCTGAAAACTGACTCAAGAAGAAATAGAAAGTCTCAATACAAATAGAAGTAAAGAGATCGAATTACTAAATGGAGAAACTTCCTAGAATGGCCCATGCCTCTATAGATTCACTGGTGAATTATACCAAACATTTAAGGGAGAATCAATATAAATTTTTTATGAACTCTTACAAAAGATAAACAAGGAGGAACACTTAACAATTTATTCTGTGAGGTGAGTATTACCCTGAAATCAAACCACACAAAATCCTCACAATAAAATAAAACTACAGGCCAATGTCTCTTGCAAATATAGAAATAAAAATACTATGAATATTAAATATAAAAATTACTAGCCAACATAATCTAGGAGCATATAAAAGGCATTATACACCATGACCGGCTGCTCCAAATGCAGTGGTGACACAAATAATTGATCACAGCCGGTTACAGATTTCTTTGTTCCTTCTCCACTCCCACTGCTTTACTTGACTAACCTTAAAAATTTTTTTTAAAAGTTTAAAAAGCATTATACACCATGACCCAATGGAATTTATCCCACAAATGTGAAGCATCTAAAAACCATCCATTGTAATTAACCATATTTAGAGAATAAAGGACAAAAAACAAATTATCATCTTAATAGACATAGAAAAGCCATTTGTCAAAATGAAACATTCTTTTCTAATAAAAATATCCAACAAACTAGAAATAGAAAGAAGTTTCCTCAACTCAATAAAGGGCATTTATAAAAAACCTATAGCTAACATCACATCATACTTAATGGTGAAAAACTGCTTTTTTTTTTCCCAAAGAAACAAATATTAGTAGATCTAAAGGGAGCAATAGAGAGCAATAAAATAATAGTAGGGCACTTCAACACCCTAATTTCAGCAAAGGACAGATCATATAGATAGAAAAATCAATGTACAGCCAAGAAGCATATGAAAAAATGCTCAACCTCGCTAAACATCCAAGAAAGGCAAATTATATTGACATAGTTTGGCTGTGTCCCCACCCAAATCTCATCTTGAATTGTAGTTCCCATAATCTCCACGTGTCTTGGGAGGGACCCAACGGGAGGTAATTGAATCTTGAAGGCGGTTACACCCATGCTGCTGTTCTTGTGATAGTGAGTCCTCACTGGATCTGATGGTTTTATAAAGGGCTTTTCCCCCTTTTGTTTGGCACTTCACCTTGCTGCTGCCACATGAAGAAGGATGTGTTTGCTTCTTCTTCCACCATGATTGTAAGTTTACTGAGGTCTCCCCAGCCATGCTGAACTGTGAGTCAATTAAACCTCTTTCCTTTATAAATTACCCAGTCTCTGGTATGTATTTATTAGCAGCATGAGAATGGACTAATATGCGTATGATCTAGCAATCCCACTACTGGGCTTATGTCTGAAAGAAATGAAATCAATATGTCGAAGAGGGACATCTGCACTGTCATGTTTGTTGCATTAGTATTCACAATAGCCAGATTATGGAATCAAGCCAAATGCTCATCAACAGATGAATGGATAAAGAGATTATTATATGCAATGAAACAGTATTCACCCACAGAAAAGGATGAAATCCTGTCATTTGTGACAATACGGATGAGCCTGGAGGACATTTTGTTAAGTGAAATAAGCCAAGCACAGAGACACATATATACTATAAGATATCACCCATATGTGGAATCTAAAAAAATTAACTGATACAAGTTGAGAGTAGAACAGTGGTTACCAGAGACTGAGGAGAATAATGAGAATGGGGAGAAGGGGAGAAGGTGGTCAACAGGTGAACTGTTACAGTTAGACAGGAGAAATAAGTACTGCTGCTCTTTTGCACAGTAGAGTGACTATAGCTAACTATAATGCATTGTATATTTCACATATCTAAAAGAGAAGATTTTGTCGTGAATGTTCTCATGACAAAGCAATGATAAATATTTAAGTTGATAAATATGCTAATGAACATGATTTGATTATACAGTGTATACATGTATGCAGACATCACACTGTACCCCATGCATATGTACAATTATTATATGTCAATAAAAAATAAAGTTCATTAGCTTCAAAAGAATGGACAAGCTAGTATCAAAAGTCATATAGGAATGCAAGATTACCAAAACAGAGAAAGTAATATGGAAAAAGAAGAACAATGTTGAGGCCTCATGATTTCTGATTTAGCAACTTACTACAAACCTATATGGTACTAGCATAAGACATATACATCAATGGAACAGAACTGAGTTCATAAATAAACTCTCACATTTGTAGTTAATTGAGCATTCAATGGGAAAAGAATTGTTTTATCAACATATGTTTATAAAACAACCGAATATTCACACACAAAAGAATAAAGTTGGGCTCCTTCTTCCTACCATACACAAAATTTAACTAAAAATGTATCATATGCCTCAATGTAAGAGCTAAAACTAAAAACTCTCAGAAGAGAACATAAATTTTTATGAACTTGAGCCCAGCAAAAGCTTGTTATGCACATCAAACTCAGTAGTAACAAATGAAAAAACAAATTAGGCCTCATCAAAATAAAAAATGTTTCTGCAGCAAATTATACCATCAAGAAAGCCAAAGAAAACATGAAAATGGTACAAAAGATTTGCAAATTCTATATCTGATAAGGAGCTCAATAAAAGGATGAGCTAACTGAAAATGAACATTTCTCCAAAAAAGATATACATAGGAAAGGATACTTGAAGCATTAGCCATTTAGAAAACACGAATCAAAACCACAATAAGATACCACTTCCAGCCTCTAGAAATGCTATAGTAAAAAAGACAAATAATCACAAATTTGCGAGGATGTGAAGAAATTGGAACACTCATATATTGCTGGAGGGAATGTAAAATGTTGCAACCATTTTGGAAAACAATTTGGGAGTGCTTCAAAACATTAAACATAGCCTTGTCAGACGACCCAGAAATTTTCTTCTATTTATCTATTCAAGAAAAATAAAAACAAATCCATAAAAAAACTTGCATACAAATGTGCACACTAGAAGTATTCATAACAGCAAAAATGGGGAAATAATCCAAATGTACATCAACTGATGAAGGAATAAATAAAACATGATATATCCATACAATGGAATATTATTCAGCAATAAAAGGAATGAATTACTGACACATAATACAATATGGATGAACTTTGAAAACATTATACTAGGTGAAAGGAGTCAACGACAAAAGATCAGATAGTATAATTAATAGACATAATATGAAAAATAGACAATTAGGGGCTAATAAAAATGTTCTAAGTTGAGAGTTTGGTGCCTGCTGCATAACTGTGAATATAGTAAAGCCTTTTTCATTCTGTACCTTAAATGGGTGAATTTTGTGTGGTATGTGAATTATATTTCAGTAAAGCTGTGAAAAATGCATATACATAAAAATATTAGCTTTTGTTTTTCTCTCATGCTCCAGTGAGTTGCAGAAGTCAGAAAAGAGAGGATCAGGAAGCCATCAATTCTGCTTTTACCTGTACATTTTTTTCTTATTCTTTCTTATTTAGTTAAAACGAAGTAAGAGTCAGCTCTCAGGTCATTTCCGTAAAATCCATCCCCTTTCTTATTTGTTTATTCCTTTGATGATGTTCAAGGTTCCTTTTTTTTTCCCCTTCAACACTATATTTTATAAGACTGTCTGCAAGCCAAGGGCTCTTCTTGTACCTACATTTGTATGTAAATTGGTACAGGTGATGTGTTAAACTATAACTTTAAATTTGTGACTTTAAATTTCAGTTGAACATCATGCTGTGATGAAAGAACATTGAACTTTATGCTAGAGGTCCTGGTTAATCCAAATTCTATTCTTAGATCTAACAATCTTTTCTGTGGTAACAGCTACCTCTGTGGGCCTAAGGCTTTTCATCAGTGACTGAAATGCTTGTTAAAAAAAAAATCCCTAACACTAATTTTTTTAAATTGATGTTTAAAAATTTCCTTTCTCTATTTTTTTCTTCTCAGCTTTTTTAGTATTCAGGAATGTGTTACAAGAAAGGCTAAAGGTTTGAATGGTCCTGTGTTTCTTAACTGTACAACATGTGGGCTCACTGCACCTGAAATTACTATAGTTCTAAATGTCAATGATTCTGAATATTAATAACTTTCAATTATGTAAAGACCACATAGTATAAGGTTAGGGGGCCCTCTGGGTGTAGAAACTGTGGGTTCTGATCTCTTTCTATTTGGTCATTGTATGATCTTACGACCTATGGCAAGCTGTATAAATTCTTTTTTTTTTTGAGACAGTTTTTGTTCTTGTTGCCCACGCTGGAGTGCAATGGCTCAGCTCACCACAACCTCCGCCTCCCTTGTTCAAGCGACTCTTCTGCCTCAGCCTCCTGAGTAGCTGGGATTACAGGCATGCGCCACCACGCCCGGCTAATTTTGTATTTTCAGTATAGACGGGGTTTCTCCGTGTTTGATCAGGCTGGTCTCCAATTCCCGACCTCAGGTGATCCACCTGCCTCAGCCTCCCAAAGTGCTGGGATTACAGGCATGAGTCACCGCGCCCAGACTGTAAATTCTTTATGCTTCTTTTTCCCCGTCTAAAACATGAGGGTAAAAATTAAGATGTAAATGATAGGAATGTTTTAAGAAATAAATGAATTAAGGTATGCAAAATATAGAACACAATACCTAGAATTTAGTAAGTTTTTTTTTTTAGAAATGCCAACATCTTTTCTTTTTTTCAAATTACACTTGCTAGTATGGGCCACTTTTCATTGGCTCCTCCAAAGGAAAGTTAATATTAAAGCAAGTTATGTAGGTAATTAATTTCGAAAAAATTCCTTTAATGTTTTATTAGAAAAATTAATGTTTGCCCTTGATTTTTTTTTTCTCATTTAAACATGTAGTGCCCATATGGAAGTGCCGGGAAGGGAAGAGCATGGCCCCTTTAAATGATACTGAAGGGAGAAAGGAAGTGCTGGGTAGAGGAAGGAGTGACCCCTAGCTAGGACTCCACCCCCACGGACCTAGGTGAGGACAGATGAGACCACCCTGGCCTGCCACGCCCCCATCCTGTGCCTAAAAATCCCGAGACCCTGCAGGCAGACACATAGGCGGCTGAACAGCAGGAGGAGCACATCAGCAGAGGAATACACGGGATGTGGAGAGACAGGTATTGGCATGCCAGCAGGCCACCAACCACCGATGGCAGAAGCAGAATGACGCCTGCAGGTCACACTGATGGACAGAAGCAGAACCATGCGGAGTTTGGCTGGGGCAGCCGAGGAGAGCCCAGGATGCAGAGTGGCCCAACTCCAGCGGAAAACTATCTTCCTTCTGGCTCCCTTATCTGCTGAGAGCTACTTCTACTCAATAAAACGTTACACTCATTCTCCAAGCCCACGTGTGATCCGATTCTGGTACACCAAGGCAAGAACCTGGGATACAGAAATATCTCTGTCCTTGTGATAAGGCAGGGGTCTACTTGAGCTGACCAACACAAGCTGCCTACAGATGGCTAAACTAAAAGAGCACCCTGTAGCATGCCCACTGGGGCTTCAGGAGTTGTAAACATTCACCCCTAGACACTGACTTAGGGTGGGAGCTCCACAGCCTGCCCATCTGTATGCTCCCCTAGCGGTTTGGGCAGCGGGGCACTGAAGAAGCGAGCCACACCCCTATCATCCGCCCTGCGAGGAGGACAAGGGAACTTTTCTGTTTCCGTGTCAAAAAGTTCCTCAAGACAAAACCTGATGAAACTATTCAATAGAGACTTTATGAGCCTTTAGACTCAAGGAGAACTGTTTCTGGGCCTGGGTAACTAAGTAACACAAAATCGGGGAGTAGCTCCCCACTACCTGGGGTCAGAAGTTGTGGGAGAATCAGAGGCAGGTCTGTGACATGGTTAACAGCAGGCTGAGACGGATGGGTAGACGCATCACAGTGACTGCAACAGACGGTTTTCTTTGGAAGCATGAGTGTGCAGCCCTGAAGGCTGTCCAAGAAATAGCTGCTGATAGTTAATGCATGGCAAAGGGGGATTTAAATCTCCTTACAAGTTGTAGCCAGTTTATTTTTGAGCTATATATATTTGGATCTGAGTATTCATGACTCATCTCTCTGACTGAAACCTATGCGTATATATTAAAATCTCAAAAGCAGAAGTTTGAGTTACATAAAAAGCAGACTTTGATTTCACAATAATTGTCAGACGCATGGTTTGAAAAAGTGGCTGGTGAGGATGACAGGACACATCCTGAAAATATTAGCAGTGAGTTTTAATAGCATGATTATGTTTTGTAAGGCAGTGAGTTCAGAAATATTTAGTTTTCTGTCATGTTATATGTCAACCATTGCAGTTTGGCTTCTCTGCTGCTCTGTTTCATATTTTTTCTCATTCCAGGACCTAGGTTAAAGGAGAACCTCTTATTTGAGATGTGCCAAGCATCACAGTTTTGGATTTATTTGGGAAAAATCAAGGGAGCTGGTGGAAACACACAATAGATCTTAAAGCTTCTGTTCCACCTGGCATATGTTAACACAAGTATACTCCTACACCAAGGCAAGTCGCCTACCCATACCTGGTATCAACAGAGCCTGGATGTATATGCTTATCCTTCACAAGATGCTGCAGTTCACTTGTCTGCAGATGGGCTTGTATAATCCTCTAAATTATTTAGAAACTAAAAGTAAGGGAGAATGATGACCGGTTCAGAACAATAGTGCAGTCTACCACACAGGTCAGTATCCAGCTTGTATTCTTCGATTTTCCTTGCTTTTATTTTCTGTCTTCAAAAATCAGCCAGTTTTACATTATTTCAAAACAAAAAGCTTTATTTGTTTTATCATTGAATTAGCTCAACTCATGTAGCATGACGCTTCTGTTTCCAACAGTTACACATTCTGGTTTTTTCTAGGACACTGGTTTTTAAGCTGAGACAGGCTTCCTTAAGTTTATGGGTCACTTGGTACTGACTCAGAAATAACAGTTCTCTAATTGATTCATGGCCTTTTATGTACAGATTCTGCGTGATTTTCTTGTTAACTCTACCTATGATATTATAAATCATAATTCATGGGCATAGGACCGTGTTTCAAGTTAAATACTATTTCTGTCGTATTTTAATAGTGCAACAAATATATTAGATAATAAATAAGAATGCTTCAAAATATTCCTGTAGCTATCAAATATGATAGATGTTTCAGATAGTCTTCACGTCTTAATTTTTATAGCTAAACTTGAATTATTTCAAAGCATTTCTCTTTGCTATAAATAATGAAACTAATGAGCAGTGCAGTGAAAATTTATTTTAGAGTTCCAATAGTCCACCATTAATAATCAATGTCTTTGGCCGGGCACGGTGGCTCACGCCTGTATCCCAGCACTTTGGGAGGCCGAGGCAGTTGGATCACCTGAGATCAGGAGTTCGCAACCAGCCTGGCCAACATAGTGAAACCCCGTCTCTGCTAAAAATACAAAAAATTAGCTGGACATGGTGGCAGGCACCTGTAATAATCCCAGCTACTCGGCAGGCTGAGGCAGGAGAATCACTTGAACCCGGGAGGCAGAGGTTACAGTGAGCCAAGATCACACCATTGCACTCCAGCCTGGGCAACAAGAGCGAAACTCTGTCTCAAAAAATAAAAATAAAAATAATAATAATAATAATAATAATGTTTTCATGCAATGTCTGTGTGGCCACTTCCTTTTCTATTTTGTTCAACTCAGTTATTTTGTGTAACGAACTTTGCCCATTTGTCTTTGAAATTTATTCCATGGCCATAGTAACTTTTGGCTTTATTTAACATTTTAATTTTCAAAGTTTTCACGTCAATTTTTTACTCTAATTTCTTAATACCAATTCCAGGTGATCTGTTAAATGATTTGTTGTAGAGCAACAGATTTTGAAGTTTCATTGAAATATTATAATGTTCTTACCTTTCTATAGACCTAATACATTTTTCTTCATTTTATTTAATTCAATCTGATTATGTGATAATAAAAGCTAATAACCCAGGTTCTTTAAGTACATCAACATATTGGGAGAAGTCAGACATGTTCTGAAACAGAATGGACTTTTTATGGCCTAACACCATTTGTGTTTTACTTTTTCAGTATACTAAGTGTACCTCAGTGTCTAAAAGTAATTATTGCAACTTAAACTGTATTATTTCTAGACAAATATTTATCCAATAAAATAGTATTAATATGTCTTTAGATATTTTCCTGTAAGTTTTTTACATTTATTTCTGTTTACCAAGTAATTTTGTGGGCTTTTTCATAGGAGAAATCCCTTTTTCTCAAATTTCATAATCTTAATTTAGAATAGTTAAAATTATTGCCATGATCTCATGCCAACTACTTAATTTTACTAAATCTTAACTCTATCAATTTTCATATAATTAAAAAATCATTTTAGCAAATTTCTAAAGACACGCTACTGCCATACACTGTCACTGCCATTCGTTCTCAACTCTCTTCTCTTTCCTGCTTCTCCTTTTTATATCAATAGACAATTTCATTTCAACTTTCTTTCCTAGTCTCTTGTGTTTTTGTGTCACTTCCCCCAGTTTTTCTTCACTTTCTGTTTCTTCCTTTTTTTCCTTTACTTTGGTCCATCATTCATTTTTCATCCCCATTTATTTATCTAATATCATTCTTGGGATTTTTATCTACTTGATGTTTTCACTCAAAAATTACTTGATCGTTTTCTTTGTCCTTTAATAATTTATGATTGCTATCACAGCACACTAAAATCTCTGCTGTCTTCTAATGTGAGGGACGCTTTGAGAGGGAGCAAGTCTTCATTATGCCTGTCTGATGGAAACCAAATCTGGCAGACCAGAAGAGAAACCTAAAGTCACTGAGTAAATGGGAAGTTCAGGTATTAGCACTTTAGATAAAAAAGAAAAAAAAATCATTAAGACTGAAGGAGGTAATTTTCTTTATAACATAAAGGTAAAAGAAAGACATGGCAATTGTGGAGAAAACACAAACTGCTTAGAGGATAGATTTCAAAGACAGAAGAAGTAAATTACAGGAGTTCAGAAACAGAGAAAAAGAAAGTAGAGCTGCTAGAGAAAATGGAGCAGCAGGAAAAAAAGAGGAAATTTCTCTTAAAGATGCAAATATTTAAAGTTTTACCATTTTTAGCAAAATTAAAGAAAACAATTTTAATTTTTTTAGATATTACAAAGATAAATACTTGACAGCATCCAGAAAGAAAAATAACTAGTTAGTAATGAAATTGGGGAGGTGGAGGTGGGTGGATCACGAGGTCAGGAGATGGAGACCATCCTGGCTAACACAGTGGAACCCCATCTCCACTAAAAAAAAAAAAAAAAAAAAAAAAATTACCCAGGTGTGGCAGCAGCGACCTGTAGTCCCAGCTACTCGGGAGGCTGAGGCAGGAGAATGGTGTGAATCCAGAACCTGGGAGGTGGAGCTTGCAGTGAGCTGAGATCGCATTCCAGCTTGGGTAACAGAGCGAGACTCCATCTCAAAAATAAAAAATAAAATTAAAGAAGTAAAATAAAAATAAATATTAGAAGGTAAACAGATTTGCAGGTTTAGGACAGTATGATTTTTGACTTCTGCTACTATACCACCTATGCTTGATAACGAGAAATACCAAACGTGTGACAACTATAAAACTACACCATCATATATTATCTCTAGACATATGCGTCAATATTTTTAAAAAGCAGACATTGGGGCCGGGTGCAGTGGCTCACACCTGTAGTCCCAGCACTTTGGGAGACCGAGTCAGGCAGATCACACGGTCAGGAGATGGAGACCATCCTAACACGATGAAATCCTGTCTCTACCAAAAATACAAGAAATTAGCGAGGCTTGGTGGCAGGCACCGGTAGTCTTGTGTCGGGCATTGGTGGGTTCTTGGTCTCAACTGACTTCAAGTATGAAGCCACCAACCCTAGTGATAAGCGTTACAGTTCTTAAAGATGGTGTATCCTGACTTTGTTCTTTCTGATGTTCAAATGTGTTCCCAGTTTTTTCCTTCTGGTGGATTTGTGGTCTTGCTTGCTTCAGGAGTGAAGCTGCAAACCTTCTCAGTGAGTGCTACAGCTTTTAAGGTGGCACATCTGTAGTTGTTCATTCCTCCCGGTGGGTTCTCGCTGGTTTCAGGAGTGAAACTGCAGACTTTCGCAGTGAGTGTTACAGCTAATGAAGACAACGAAAACCCAAAGATACATTGAAAAGAGCAAAAGAACACAGCTTCCACTCTATGGAAGTGGACTGGATTGTCACTGCCACCAGTGCAGCCGGCTTTTATTCCCTTATCCGGCCCCACCCACATCCTGCTGATTGGTCCATTTTACAGAGAGTTGATTGGTCCATTTTACAGAGAGCTGATTGGTCCGTTTTGACAGGGTGCTGACTGGTGCCTTTACAATCCCTGAGCTAGACACAGAGTGCTGATTGGTGCATTTATAATCCTCCAGCTAGACATAAAAGTTCTCCAAATCCCCACCTACTCAGGAGCCCAGGTGGCTTCACCTAGTGGGTACTGCACCAGAGCCACCTGAGGAGCTGCCTGCCACCAGAACTGCCCACCAGTCCCGCCCTGCATGCCCACACTCCTCTGTCCTTGGGCAGTTGATGGGACGAGGCACTGCGGAGCAGGGGAAGGTGCCAATGGGGAGGCTCTGGCCTTGAGGGAGCCCGTGGCTTGGGGCTCAGGCATGGCAGGGGGTCAGGCATAGTGGGCTGCAGGTTCCGAGCTCTTCCCCCGTAGGAAGGCAGCTGAGACCGGCGAGAATTTAAGGGCAGCACGGGCAGGTGGCAGTGCTGGGGGACCTGGCACACCCTTCACAGCTGCTGGGCCGGGTGCTAAGGCCCTTACTGCCCGCCGGTCTGCCGCTCTGCGTGCGGGACCTGCTGAGCCTGTGCCCACTCGGAACTTTCGCTGGCCTGCGAGTGCCATGGACAGCCCCAGTTCCTGCCTGTGCCTTTTCCTCCACACATCCCGCAAGCAGGGGGAGCCAGCTCCGGCCTTGGCCAGCCCGGAGAGGGGCTCCCACAGTGCAGTGACGAGCTGAAGGGCTCATCAAGCGTGGCGAGAGTGGACGCCGAGGCTGAGGCGGCACCGAGAGTGAGCGAGGGCTGCTAGTACGTTATCACTTCTCAGTCCCAGCTGCTGGGGAGGCTGAGGCAGGAGAAGGGCGTGAACCCAGGAGGCAGAGCTTGCAATGAGCCAAGATCGCACCATTGCACTCCAGCCTGGGCAACAAGAGTGAAACTCCATCTCAAGAAAAAAAACAAAACAAAACAAAATACAGTTTTTGTGGGTTCCTCCATAAGAAACATAGAACTTTATGTTATTTAATATTTTTATAATATTCTCTTCACTGCTGTCTCCCAATGTCTGCTTTTTTTTTTTTTTTTTTTTTTTTTTTTTTTTTGAGAGGGAGTCTCTCTTTGTTGCCCAGGCTAGAGTGCAGTGGCGTGATCTTGGCTCACTGCAACCTCCGACTCCTGGGCTCAAGCGATTCTCCTGCCTCAGTCTCCCAAGCTGGGATTACAGGCATTTGCTATTACGTGGAGCTAATTTTGTGATTTTAGTAGAGACAGGGTTTCACCATGTTGGTCAGGCTGGTCTCAAACTTCTGACCTCAGGTGATCCGCCTCCTCGGCCTCTCAAATTGCTGGGATTACAGGCATGAGCCACCATGTGTGGTCTGTTTTTTTTTTTTGTTTGTTTGAGACGGAGTCTCCCTCTGTCACCCAGGCTGGAGTGCAGTGGCGTGATCTCTGCTCACCGCAAGCTCTGCCTCCCAGGTTTATGCCATTCTCTTGCCTCAGCCTCCCGAGTAGCTGGGACTACAGGTGCCCACCACCATGCCTGGCTAACTTTTTGAATTTTTGGTAGAGACGGGGTTTCACCGTGTTAGCCAGGATGGTCTCAATCTCCTGACCTCCTGATCCACCCACCTCAGCCTCCCAAAGTGCTGGGATTACAGGCTTGAGCCACCGTGCCCGGCCCTATTTGGTTCTTTATGTTGATAGGGAAATGTATTTTTCATAATGATAATTAGATTAAAATTCGCTGTATGACTTCCAAAATCTTAAATTGTGAAAAATAGGACTAGTATAATTGGCTGCCCATCTGAGGGGGGAAATGAAGGGGAAAAAGGGGAAATAATTGTTTAAAAAATAAGCATCATTTAACAAAAGCGCATCAAAAAATTATAAGTACAATGGCAATATGATGGACTCTGGATTCTCTAATTCAAAATTTTTCCTATCCTCTTCTAACAGGAAGAGGCAGGAAAGCTCAAAACTAGATTCTCCAGTCTCTGCTGAAGCTGACTTCTCAATGTGATGAGGTTCCAGGTGACATATGCTCTCAGACACCCAGTAAAGCCTTTGATTTGGGACTGAGTCAGCTCAGCTGTTTGAGACAGAAGTTGGAAGCAGGCCACTCAAGTTTGTTGACACGAATCATGACATGGAAACTGAATCATGTATTTGATAGTGGTGATAACCCGTCATTAGGAAATATGAATGCTTTTGAATGACCATGGATCATTGAAAAAACAAGGACATTATGTACTGAGCTATAAGGTGAAACTCAATAATTTACCAAAAGTAGAATTTTCACAGTTAAAACATGGTAAGAATCTTACTTAAAATTGTCAATTAAAGTGGAATAAAACTAGAAATTAGATAGCAAAAATATCCAATTAAATGGTTCTTACCCAAAGGGGCAGCGCTCTGACCTTCTTGGGGAGTATTTGGAAGCGAGTGGGGGCATTTTGGTTGTCGGAAGCCCCCACCACAGTTGGCATTGGTAGGCAGGGCGCAGGGGGGGGATATATATCCTGAAATCGATGGGAGAATCCTTCTCTCTCAGGGAAGTTGCCCTTTACAAGTGCAAAGGGTGGCTGATAAGGAAACACTGTCCTAAGCACTGGAATTTTAAAGAATAAAGCATTAAAAAAAGAGATTAAGGCCAGGCGTGGTGGCTCATGCCTGTAATCCTAGCACTTTGGGAGGCTGAGGTGGGCGATCACCTGAGGTCAGGAGTTCGAGATCAACCTGGCCAACATGGTGAAACCCTGTCTCTACTAAAAATACAAAAATTAGCCGGGTGTGGTGGCAGGCGCCTGTGATCCCAGCTACTCTGGAGGCTGAGGCAGGAGAATTGCTTGAACCTGGGAGGTGGAGATTGCAGTGAGCCGAGATCATGCCACTGCACTCCAGCCTGGGCAACAGACCGAGACTCCGTCTCAAAAAAAAAAAAAAAAAAAAAAAGAGAAAGACAGATTAAATGATGTGCAATTACAAACTATTAATATGATGGCAAATGACATGAACAGGCAGTGCATACACAAAGAAGCATAAATGGCCAATGGATGTAAGGAAAACTATCCCATCATTTTACTAACTAAAGAATTGCTAACAAAAACAAGATGTATTACTTAATTTTTCTTTTAGCAGATATTGAAAAACATGATGATATTCAGTGTTATAAAGATTTTGGACATGACCGGGCGCGGTGGCTCATGCCTGTAATCCCAGCACTTTGGGAGCCCGAGGCGGGCGGATCACGAGGTCAGGAGATCGAGACCATCCTGGCTAACACAGTGAAACCCTGTCTCTACTAAAAATACAAAAAAATTATCCGGGCGTGGTGGTGGGCGCCTGTAGTCCCAGGTACTCGGGAGGCTGAGGCAGGAGAATGGCGTGAACCCAGAAGTCAGAGGTTGCAGTGAGCCGAGATTGTGGCCACTGCACTCCAGCCTGGGCGAGAGAGCAAGACTCTATCTCAAAAAAAAAAAAAAAAAAAAAAAAGGTTTTGGACAAAAGACAGTTTCATAAGCTATTAATATGAGGTTTTGTTTGTTTGTTTGTTTTTGAGACAGAGTCTCGCTCTGTCGCCCAGGCTGGAGTGCAGTGGCGCTACTCGGCTCACTGCAAGCTCTGCCTCCCGGGTTCACACCATTCTCCTGCCTCAGCCTCCTGAGTAGCTGGGACAGGCGCCCACGACCACGCCCGGATAATTTTTTTGTATTTTTAGTAGAGACAGGGTTTCAACGTGTTAGCCAGGATGGTCTCGATCTCCTGACCTCGTGATCCGCCCGCCTCGGCCTCCCAAAGTGCTGGGATTACAGGAATGAGCCAGGGCACCCGGCCAATATGAGTTTTTAAAATTGAAACAATGCTTCTGGAAGACAAATTAGTTGACAGACAAATCCATCAAAAGCTTTTTAAAATACGTTTTGGAACAGTGATTCCATTAATACTACCAGGGATTTTTCTTAATATAATATTTTGACAATGTTGCAAAGATAAACTTTGAGATTGTCATAGCATTATTAATTGTAGTGTAAATTTGTAAACAACTGAAATGTCCAATCAATAAGGCATTGATTAAATGAATTAATATATAGCTGTACAGTGGAATGTCAGTAAAATGATGAGGTAAGTTTATGTGACTTGAAGAGGTGTTTATGATGTATTGATAAGACAAATATGGACCCCTGTAATCCCAGCATTTTGGGAGGTCAAGGTGGGTGGATCACGAGGCCATGAGATCGAGACCATCCTGGCTAACATGGTGAAACCCCGTCTCTACTAAAAATACAAAAATTAGCCGGGCGCAGTGGCAGGCACCTGTAGTCCCAGCTACTCGGGAGGCTGAGGCAGGAGAATGGCGTGAACCCGGGAGGCAGAGCTTGTAGTGAGCGGAGATAGGGCCACTGCACTCCAGCCTGGGCAACAGAGTGAGACTCTGTCTCAAAAAAAAAAAAAAGAAAAAAAGAAAGGATTTGTGAAGCAATTACATACATGTACATAACAAACAAAAATTAAAATGACAATATCAATGATAGCATTAAAATTAGGTTATTTATTCTGTTTGTTAATATAGAAAATGTTGCATGCATTTCTACTATTCTAGTAAGAAAATCTTAACATACTAACTAGCTAACTAAATATGTATGTATATATATGGGTATATACATATGGAAAAATATGGAATTTTGATTCCATTACTTTGAGAACTTAATTTTCATATGTAATATATAAGCACACTTATTTTATAAATCATATAAATAACTTGATCTTATTATAGAGCATGTTGAAAATAGAGATATGAAAACAAATTGCAACATTGATTAACCTAATTCAAGCACTGCTAGCATTTTTGGAGTATCATTCTAGTTTCCTAGTTTTAGTATTAGTATACATATATTAAGAATATCATTTTTCTGGCTGGGCGCGGTGGCTCATGCCTGTAATCCCAGCACTTTGGGAGGCCAAGGCAGGTGGATCACGAGGTCAGGAGTTTGAGACCAGCCTGGTCAAAATGGTGAAACCGGGTCGCTACTAAAAACACAAAAATTAGCTGGGCATGGTGGGCGCCTGTAATCCCAGCTACTCAGGAAGCTGAGGCAGGAGAATTGCTTGAACCCGGGAGGTGGAGGTTGCCATGAGCCGAGATTGTGCTGCTGCACTCTAGCCTGGGCAATAGAGCAAGACTCCTTCTCAAAAAAAAAATATATCATTTTTCCAACTGTTGGGAATAACTTAAAGGAGGAAAATGTGCTTCCCTTCTTTCCACACTGAATAACATTATAGTAATGGCAAAGTGGGCCTTCACCTGCTCCTTTGCTAACTATACTATGCCACCATTCATACCAGAATGCAATCACACTAGCCTTGAAAACAACCAGGGGAAAAGTGGATCGGTAAGGTTTAGGCAATTATCTCATTTTTCGCCTTTTATTGCAAGTGCCGTAACTACCAAGATCCCAATTTTAGAAGATCTAGTCCATAGCATTTGATAACAGGCCAAAGAAGAGAGAAAACTGCTGATGTACACGCTGCTTTCTGAATATGGGCTGGTGTGTGTTTTGTGATCCAGAATTGGAGCTGAAAAATCCTTGACCACACTCCCTAAGCCCGGGTTCCTTGGGTAATTTGCATTGTGAGTGGAAGCCATGGCATATTTATTATGGAAGAAGAGCTACAAGAGTCCATATAAAAAATAATTGACATTCAACCAAGTCACAAACATCTGGGTAAAAATTATGTTTTGTTGTCTCCATCAGCAATTTAAAGCAACAGCAAGATGAATCCTTGTAAAGGCACACACTCGCTCTCTGGGTTCTGTTGAAGTTCTAGTTTGTCATGGGTACTTGTTGAGCTGGATGGGAAGAAGTCACACCTACCCACACATGCACTGCAAGATGCATGACATTGACACTTAACAAAGTAAAGTGGCCACAGAAGTCAAGCAGATGCAGCATGTCAGCATGTTTACTCTTGACCTCCAATGCCCAGTGTCAGCTGGAGTGTTTACGATGTTTAGGATGGGGATGGGGACACAGTTTCCTGGAAATGAATCTGTGAGCATGGTGGGGTTTGCTGGAATGGAGAAGCTCCATTTTGAGCTGTGTCATGAGCCTTCACTTGAGCTTTCCACACTCTACAGGACGATCCTGCACCTCTCTCTACTTGATGTTTACCTTTCTGGGTATAGGAACAAACGTCAAGATACCTTGTTTCTTGAACCAAATTTAGAGTCAGCAAGATGACCTTTCAGCAAGAAAAAAGAAGAGACCCAGTGCTTCAGCGTTTATGAGCAATATCTTTGCTCCATTTAATGGCAATTTGAAAGTAACTTTCACCACAGCTTTTGCTCAGGATTCTCAGTAATTTATTCATTTATTTTTGTAGGAATGAAAGGTAAAATTGCCAAGATATGTCTATGGCCTTCAGACCCAGAGTAAAATATGCTTTGAAATGAACCAGAGTTTCATCTTACTTTTGAGTCAGTAAACTTGGCCAGAGTTCATTCTTCCTATTTTATTTTAAAGCGTCTCTTTCATTTTCCTATTCCACCTCAGCTATAAGCTATAGCAAAATGTGCACATTATAGTTATCATTAAATTATTAAATTAAATTACCATCCAGGACAAGAAATGTAACAGACTGCACTCTGAAGCTGGGACAATGATTATATAATATATCCTTTCTTAGGTGATGAAATATTTTTAAGTTTCTTCATAGAACTCTCAGAGCTGCATCTGATGAGATTATGTACTGATAATACTGCCCAGATTCTGGTTCTATTTTAAATTCTGAAATAATTCGTGACATTTTGTAAATCTAAAAAGCTCTTTGAAGTAAAAATTTGAACCAAACTTGAACATTTTCAGTATGTTAATCAATTCTGCTGGTTCTTTTTCTTTCCCTTGTTTCTTTTTTTTTTTTTTTCCAGAAAATGATTTTTTTAAATACAAGTAACTGCAAATAGGAAACCAGAGGGGGAGCTCCAGGCTGGGACAAATCACAGCTACCCCTCCCCAACAGAACGGGGGAGGAGGTGGCCCCTACACCCTTTATGGTAGATTAGGGCCCCCTTGTTTATTCTGCTGCAGCATCCTACAGGCAGGGCCCCACCTTCCTTGGGACTGGGGTAGCCGGTCACCCCGCCTGCCATCCCCCAGCCCCTCCTCCCCAAGAAGAGCATCTTGGGGGAGGGGATCATGGGCAGAACAGGAGGCAATGAGGATGAACATCTGGCGCTGGTAGCAGCGGCAATGATGGATGTCGAAGAATGCGACATTGAACAAAAAACAACACAACTATCCAGAGGTAGTTTGTGAACAGAGGAAAAATGGAACCAGAAATTTGGGGGTCAGGGAGGAGCAGAAGGGAGGCTGGGAGCGGGCAGGGTGAGCTCCTTGTTGCTGGTGCCCCATCTAAGGAGGGGGAAATGGCCAGTGGTGGAAGCAAAGTAGGGTTAGGGGAGCAGCCCCAGCCCACCTCAGGTGGCAGCCACAGGGCTCATGGGCCTCACCTGGACAATAAGTGACTGCATCTCCATCACCACAATATTACTCAGATCCCAGGCAGAGGGTGAGGGGGCTGCAGCCACAGTGAAGAGGGAGTAGGGGACTCACCCCTCCTGCCTTCCTGTAGCCGAAGCAGGCTGTCCAACCTAGTGCAGGGACTAGGGAAGGTGGGGAAGGATGAAAGGTGTGAGCCCCACGTCGTGACAAAGACAGTTTGGCTGGGGGAATCCTGGGGGCCAGCACCCCCCTCCATTGGCCACACCTGCTGCTGCCAGGGCAGTGGGGTAGGGTATGCCAGATTGATCTGGGGCTCTGGCCCCTTTTCAGGCCAGGGGAACCCTCCCAGTCCCCACTATTGGGAAGCCAGAGGGAATAGTGAAGGAGCAGAGAGGGTGCCCCCAAACCAAAAGCCCAGAGAGCAATGTCCCCACCACCAAGAGAGTGGGGATGCAGCAGTCCAGGGTGCGGCTAAGTGGGATGTTAGCCTTGTCCAGGAGGGCATGTGTGTATGTGTGGGTGGACAGGGGGAGCTGGGAACTTAGGCCAGGGGAATGCTCCCCACTCAGCCCAAGGGCGCCATGCAGCAGCTGATGTGCTGTGTAGTGTGGTGGTGAGGGCACAGGTGGAAGATGGGGGTGGCAGCCAGAGGTGGTGGTGATGGTGGGCCTGGGGAAGGGGTGGGGGTGGGGGCGGTGGGAGCAGAGCAAAGCTGTCCCATCCCATGCACGGGTCACTGCTCCTCCCCCGAGGACTCCTGCAAGATGCCCTCCTCTTCCTCCTTTTCCAGTTTTGTGGGTCTGCCCCTTGGTTTCCTTCCTGGAGTTGTGATGGTTTTCTGGGACTTGGCAGCGCCTTTGTTTTTGCTTCCCTTTGGTCGCCCAGAGGTCTCTTAGGTGTTGGCACTTCTCTGGGCTCTTTCGGAGGCTGCTTGCGTGGCCTGCCCCAGCCCCGCTTCTCAGTGCCATCCTTTTCCCACTTGGAGGCCAAGGGCTGGCTGGACTTCAAGCTCAACTCGCTCATCTTCCCTTCTCTAAGGAGCAGGTGGAAGAGTGATGGCTGGGATGGCCTTCTTGGAGCTGGGCCAACGCCAGAAGTAGCCCTGGCTCGGAGTCCCAATTAGAGGACTCAGCTGGTTCTTAAGAGTATATTTTATGCCTTTCTGGTTTTCAACTGGAAACGTTACTAATGAATATGAAAGCTTTTCCTGTGGTTTTCTCTTGCATTTAGAAGTTCACTCATGATTACATTTATTTACCTCTTTGTTAGAAATGCTTATATTAAATAACATTATAGATCATCTTCATATTGGCATTTTTATAAATTGATATAAATCCATATAAACACATATGGAGAGTTTCTTTCCTAGTTTTTACTTCTGAAAATAAAGATTAAATTTACTTAGATTTTACCTTCCACTTTTAACTACTTATTTTAAGAATTTTATAAAATAGCTAAAATATAAAAATACATTTTAAATACTAATGGGTATTAGCAATTAAAATGTAAATAATACATTTACATAGGCAAAATAAACTTATTTCATCTCTATTATAGCAATATCTTGTTGTAAGATTATTTTCTCTTGATTGAAAAACCTGTAGGAAGGTAGATTTGGAAATTAAATAGCATTTTATTTTAAAACAAAATAAAATACAGAAAACAGCACCAAGTATAAATATACAATTTGATGGGTTATCACATTGTGAATGTCCACATATGTAACATCCATCCCGAAAAACAGAAATGTTCCAAGTATTTGGGGAAATCCACCTATGCTCCCTCCCAGACATGACTCCCCCTTTCTTACTCAAAAGGAACCACTATTTTGATTTCTAATGCTATGTGTATTCCAGTTTTACCTGTGTCGGAACTTTAAATAAATAAAAATCCCATGATAGATAGATGGTAGATAAATAGATGCAAGATAGATAGATTTGTGTCTGACTTCTTTTGCACAATACTGCTTATAAACTTCATTTATACTGTTGCTATGTATTACATTGTATAGTTGGAACACATTTTGTTTTACTGTTGATGGGCATTTGATTTGTTTTCAGTTTCTGGCTAAGTAAACAGAATGTGTGTTTTGATATACCTGCACAAGCTTTTCCGTCGTGTGTATACCTAGGAGTGTAATTGTTGGTTCAGACTGGATAATGTTGGTTTCAGGATTCCAGTACCAATTGTTTCACTAACAGTACGGTTACTGAAAACAGGTTTTCTTAGTCCGTTTGGGCTGCTATAACAAAATACTGTAGACCTGGTGGCTGATAAGCAATAGAAATTTATTTTTCACAGTTCTGGAGGGTGAAAGTCAGAGATTGGGGTGTCAGCATGACAAGGCTCTGGTGAGGGCCTCCTTCCTGGTTTGCTGATGGCTGTCTTCTCCCTGAAAGGATTTTCAGGGCAGAGAGCAGCGAGAGGGAAGCCAGCTCTTTCATGTCCTGGTACCAATCCCATTCATGACAGCTCCATTTTGGAAGTACACAAACATTCAGCCTATAGCACATGGTAAAATTCCTTGGCAGTTTATTCATTAAATTTTGTTTATTAATTATGTAAATCAATTTTATGATTCCCATGTCAAATTTATAACTCAAGGCATGAACAGAAAAGTCTAGCTTTTGCCCCTGTCACCTTCACTGGGTTCCTTCCTTCCTCTGAAGCATCACACTCCAAAGTAGCTCCCACAAGTGCTACTCTATGTATTCAGTCAACAAATTAGCATGATGGAGGTCAGAAATTGGTTTCTATTTCTAAAATGGGTTTTAGAAATGGTGTTTACTGCTGAAATTCATGGTGTTCAAGGTATATGGATTGGCTAGATACATTTTAAAGATATTTGCATAATTGTGTGAATACACTAGAAAAATACTGAGAGCCAAGTAGTCTAGGAGTGGAGCTATGAGTTGGATCTGTAAATGGTCCAATGTTCAGCCACTGATTTGGAGCATTATTGGTGTCTGAAAGTTTGGTTAACAGAGTTCCACAATTAGGATATTGTCACATTTAGCCTTAGGTGAATGTTTTGGGGAAGGTACTGTGGACTTCATACAATTTGCACAACTGAATATAAGACTATTTTGTGCCCATTTTGTAATGAGTCTGTATGTGTGTGTGGGCAGATTTTCATCTAAGACTAGTTTTTTTTTTTTTTTCTGAGACAGAGTCTTGCTCTTGTTGCCCAGGCTGGAGTGCAATGGCATGATCTTGGCTCACTGCAACCTTCATCTCCTAGGTTGAAGCAATTCTCCTGCCTCAGCCTTCTGAGTAGCTGGGATTACAGGCGCCCACCACCACACCCGGCTGATTTTTTGCATTTAGCAGTGATGGAGTTTCACTATGTTGGTCAGGGTGGTCTTGAACTCCTGACCTCAGGTGATCCGCCCGCCTTGGCCTCCCAAAGTGCTGGGATTACAGGCGTGAGCCACCGCGCCAGGCCGAGACTAGCTTTTAAGTGAAGGCTGTAACACTCACTTGCCTTGTTGTTGGCTACCAATAGTTACCAAAAAGAAATGTTGCTGCTCCCACTGCCTGGAATGCCTTCATGAACCCCTTTATCTGGGAAATTCCTACTCATCATTCAAACCATTCAATAAATATAGTGTAAATGGAGACTTGTAAAAATGACAAAAAGAACACTAATCAATTATTTTAATGAAAAGTATGGTGTTAATGTCATTGAAAAAAAATTTTTTTTTTTTTTTTGAGATGGAGTCTCACCCTGTTGCCCAGGCTGGAGCACAGAGGCACGATCTCAGCTCACTGCAAACGCCGCCTCCTGGGTTCACACCATTCTCCTGCCTCAGCCTCCCCAGTAGCTGGGACTACAGGCACCGGCCACCACGCCCAGCTAATTTTTTTGTATTTTCAGTAGAGACGGAGTTTCACCGTTTTAGCCAGGATGGTCTGGACCTCCTGACCTCGTGATCCACCAGCCTTGGCCTCCCAAAGTGCTGGGATTACAGGCGTGAGCCACCCTCCGCGCCTGGCCATCATTGAATGTTTTAATAGTAAAATACGCATCTGAAATCCCTAGGCACAGATCTAATCTAATCATCTGATCTAAGGTAATCTAATCTAATCCTAGTCAGCTTTAAGGAAATGTTAGCAAACCATATAATTAATTGATGTTTATAAAATCTTATTCCTGAAAATTCTACTTACTAGGAACCATCTTACGATAGTGGGCTTTTTAAAGATAAAAATATAGAAATATTACATGAGTCACATTTTTATTGGTCCTCAGCAAAATTCATTTCATGAAATTGTATTGTTTTCCAGATCACTCCCCAGAGGTTAAGATCAAACATCATCAGGCTGTGTCTGTGACATTCTGAGATACAGCTGGAGGGAAGAGAGGGGCTATGTGCTGGGTTTTGGTAGAATTATTGCTAGATAAGAAATTAATTGCTGCCCAATCAGTCCTCCTGACAGCTGATTGACAGGAACAAACAAATTACCCACAGAAGCAGGGAAGAGGATATTCTGAACAGGGATGCTACCCGTGTAGAAGAGGTGGAAAAGGCGTGGGGAGAAAGGATGGCCTGGGTTGAGTGATTGAGGGAGCCAACCAGGGACTTCTGATTCTAAATTTGGATTTTAGTTTCAAATTGAGGGCTTTTAGTTTAATAACCAGAGCTCAGTGTCAACAAACAGAGTCTAAAACTAGAAGAGCATTTAAATCAACCTCAAGCATCCCCTCTACTTCTACTTTCCTATGTTATTCTTTGGTGGTAGGACTTGAATTCAAGTCTTCAAGTTATTTTTCTATAAATTTTTCCACCTCAAACTGAATTTCCCTATTTGAAAACCTAGTTAGAAGATCTCAATTTCCAACTTTTGGACAAACTTTTAACTTACATAAAAGCACTTTTTGTTTTAATATTGCAATCCTTAATTATAAGTGTTAGAGCTAATCATTTACTTATAATCTATAAAATTAGTCCAGGTTTTGAATCAAATTGAATTCTTATTGCAATTGCCATCTTAGTCTTTCACAGCTTAATTAACTAAGCAGATTTTAATATATTTTAGTCTATCGTTTCTAAAAATTAACTTTCATGATGTGTTAAGAATCAAATAATTACTGTCAAGTTGCTGCAAAATGAATCATTACCATTTTAATGTAACTACACTAAACAGCAAAAGTTATTGAGCTTTAAAGTGCTTCTTAAAAATTTTAGTTATGAAATCCATCAATGCTGACATCTTAATTTTGTTCTACTCAACTAATGCTTTTATTTTTATGTAATTATGAGCTGTCAAAGATCCCTTCCGTAACAACAGATTTTATTCGCTTCACTAAACATAATGAAATCCATGCGCGAGTGAATTTCACAGATATATTTAAATTTGGCACCAGAAATTCTTATTTCTAATGGTGTCTAATATTTCAAAACATGAAGGTTCTTTTAGAAGCAAATCATAGAATCATTTAAAAAACACAGTTTAAAAGACACTAAAGATGATATTTAGCAGATTTTGATAACTGCAGTCTGGACCCTAAAGAAAATATTTAGCTCATTCAATGGTTTCCAAAAGCAGCCACTCGCATCAAACATTCCGTGAGTTTGAGAACCATTTCAAGATTTGGGGGCTCTGAGGAAGGGAGAACTTCAGGAAGCACTACCCCTTTGCCACCTCTCTGGCACCGTATGCTCTATCTTCTTTTTCCCTCTCAGTCCTCCCCTCTCCCAAATTTCTCTCTAGAGTTTCAAATACTTCTTCCTCTCTTGCGTAGAATGGGTTCCTCTTTCTCCAGAAATTCAGCTCCAGTCAGCATCCAGGCTCTGAGCCAGGAAGGAACATAACTTCTACCCTAGAACTTTCCTCTACAAACACATTAAGCTACTCCTCTGAGCAAAAGCCTTCATCTTAGCATGATCCGTCTTACTGATGGTTTTAGAAACTTATGGTAATACTTGATCCTTTTATAATTATAATAGACTTTTATATCATCTTTACGTTTTCACTTAACTATATAGATTAAGCAGTGAAAACCTTAACAGAAGTCTGGCTTTGTAGATTAATACTTATCTGCTGCAGAATACCCCTACTCCTACTCCTTCCTTTGAACAATCATCTTGTATTGACAATTCAAGGTAAGTGTATGGGATTTATTTTTGCTACTTGTGCATAGGCTATCACTTCCTTTTTTTTGCTATGAGAATGCTCTATTAGGCAAAACCACATACTATTGGGTCTGGAATTGGTGGGTTCTTTGTCTCACTGACTTCAAGAATGAAGCCGCGGACCCTCGCGCTGAGTGTTAACAGCTCTTAAGGTGGCGCGTCTGGAGTCTGCCTCTTCTGATGTTCAGATGTGTTCGGAGTTTCTTCTTTCTGGTGGGTTCGTGGTCTCGCTGGCTCAGGAGTGAAGCTGCAGACTTTCACGGTGAGTGTTACAGCTCTCAAGGTAGTACGTCTGGAGTTGTTCTTTTCTCCTGGTGGGCTCGTGATCTTACTGGGCTCAGGAGTGAAGCTGCACATCTTCGCGGTGAGTGTTACTGCTCATAAAAGCAGCGTGGACCCAAAGCATTAACAGTAGCAAAATTTATTGCAAAAAGCAAAAGAACAAAGCTTCCACAATGCAGAAGTGGACCCGATTGGGTTGCCAATGCTGGCTCGGGCAGCCTGCTTTTATTCTCTTATCTGGCCCCACCCACATCCTGCTGATTGGTAGAGCTGAGTGGCCTGTTTTGTCAGGGCGCTGATTGGTGCGTTTACAATCCCTGAGCTAGATACAAAGGTTCTCCAAGTCCCCATCAGATTAGTTAGATACAGAATTTGGACACACAGGTTCTCCAAGGCCCCACCAGAGCATCTAGATACAGAGTGTCGATTGGTGCATTCACAAACCTTGAGCTAAACACAGGGTGCTGATTGGTGTGTTTACAAACCTTGAGCTAGATACAGAGTGCCGATTGGTGTATTTACAATCCCTGAGCTAGACATAAAGGTTCTCCACGTCCTCACCAGAGCAGCTAGATACAGAGTGTCAACTGGTGCACTCACAAACCTTGAGCTAAACACAGGGTGCTGATTGGTGTGTTTACAAACCTTGAGCTAGATATAGAGTGCCGATTGGTGTATTTACAATGCCTGAGCTAGACATAAAGGTTCTCCACGTCCTCACCAGAGCAGCTAGATACAGAGTGTCGATTGGTGCACTCACAAACCTTGAGCTAAACACAGGGTGCTGATTGGTGTATTTACAATCCCTGAGCTATATATAAAGACTCTCCACGTCCCCACCAGACTCAGGAGCCCAGCTGGCTTCACCCAGTGGATCCCGCACTGGGGCTGCAGGTGGAGCTGCCTGCCAGTCCCGCGCCCTGTGCTCACATTCTTCAGCCCTTGGGTGGTCGATGGGACTGGGCGCCGTGGAGCAGGGGGTGGTGCTCGTCAGGGAGGCTCGGGCTGCACAGGAGCCCATGGAGGGGTGGGAGGCTCAGGCATGGCGGGCTGCAGGTCTCGAGCCCTGCCCCACGGGAAGGCAGCTAAGGCTCAGTGAGAAATGGAGCGCAGCGCCGGTGGGCTGGCACTGCTGGGGGACCCAGTACACCCTCCACAGCCGCTGGCCTGGGTGCTAAGTCCCTCATTGCTCGGTGCCAGCAGGTCGGGCTGGCTGCTCCGAGTGCGGGGCCCGCCAAGCCCACGCCCACCCGGAACTCCAGCTGGCCCGCAAGCGCCGCCCGCAGCCCCAGTTCCCGCTCGCGCTTCTCCCTCCACACCTCCCTGCAAGCTGAAGGAGTGGGCTCCAGCCTTGGCCAGAAAGTGGCTCCCACAGTGCAGTGGGGGGCTGAAGGGCTCCTCAAATGCCGCCAAAGTGGGAGCCCAGGCAGGGGAGGTGCCGAGAGCAAGCGAGGGCTCTGAGGACTGCCAGCACGCTGTCACCTCTCACTATGAAAATGCTTTGAAATGCAACAGGAGGAGATGTGAAGACACAAAGAACAAGTGTGTAGTGACACATGGCTATCAGAACACACTAAAGAATCCACACTGCTTCCCCTCTATCTAGAAAAGGAAGGCTCTAAGTCACCTCCTCAGCAGGAGGAGGTATTTATTCTTACTAAATATAAGATAGTTATTACACCTACAGTTTCTATCCTATTTAGAGTTTATTTGAACTTTGAATTGTGACAAATATTTAATGTTTCTGGTCACTTCTTTTGAGTTTGAGCGAAGTACAGGGCAAAGAATGTATTCAACTCAGACAAAAAAGCCTGACATTTTGTCAGCCTAGCTCTGCCACTATAAATGTTGAGTCCTGCATCTCTCTCAGCTATGGTTCCCAATAAGAGAATTGAACTCGAATAAGATTCTAAAGACTAGACTTCAGCAGTCTTTGAGATTTTTAAACTTATAAAGAAAATTTTGTGAAAGTGGGCATTATCTGGACAGGGTCTGTAACCTTCATAAAATTCTTCAAAAAATTCCTTTTTTTAAAAGTAACTTCATATCCACTGTGTCAGATTCTCTTTCAGATATCTTTGCATTATAACAGTCACTTTTGAAAAGTGGATTAAAGGCTTTGAAGCCTCTAAACTGGGCTGGAAATTTAGGAGGTCATATGGCTTAGCACACTACAACATATAGACATTCAAAAATATTTTATGAATGCATACAAAATGTTATTAAATATACTGAGAATCTGGCAGTAAATATGGTAGGAGACAAATAGTTGTAAGTTATTATTTCAGTCTTTGTATATAAGAATCACTTTTACATACATATGAATTCGTAACATGAAATAACTTGAATTAGAAGTCACGAAGTTTCTTGGTTATGGGGTTTTAAGCTATGTCTTTCTGCAATATATAACATGTATATTCAGTTAACCTAAAACTTTTTTTTTTTGGAGACAGAGTCTTGCTCTGTCACCCAGGAAGGAGTGCGGTGGCACTATCTCGGCTCACTGCAACCTCCATTTCCTGGGTTCCGGTGTTTCTCCTGCCTCAGCCTCCCGAGTAGCTGGGATTGCAGGTGTGTGCCACCATGCCTGGCTAATTTTTGTATTTTTAGTAGAGACGGGGTTTCACCAGGTTGATCAGGCTGGTCTTGAACTCCTGACTTTGTTATCTGCCTGCCTCGGCCTCCCAAAGTGCTGGGATTACAGGCGTAAGCCAACACATCTGGCCCAATTCAGTGAACCTAAAACTTCTTCACCATGAATTGTCATGAATAGTTTTCAAAACTGACATAATTTCATATTGAAACTATAAAGTTTTATTACCTTTAATGATGAAATAAACTCTGAACTTTTTCAAATTCTTAATTTATGTTATAAAGTTTTACTCAGTGCTCTTTTGTGGTTTTTGAAAAAAAATTTTTAAATGCTTTAAAATAATCCGTAACAGAATAATTATATTTTTTATGTGGAGAAAATAGGTGTAATATGGTTTTACTGTTCACTTTATTGGCTTCAATTTGAGTGATTTAAAGCAAATTGCCCAGACATGTGGCTCACACCTGTAATCCCAGCAATTTAGGAGGCTGAGGCAGGATGATCACTTGAGGCCAGGACTTTCACACCAGCCTGGGCAACAAAGTGAGACCCCTATCTCTATTAAAACAAAAGCAAAACAAATCAAAAAATCTACTTCACATACTTTGAAAGCATTTTAACCTTGGTTTTATATTTGTTGTCAATTAAATACAATTAAGCAGATAGTCAAGCGGTACCTACTGCTACATGTTGTAAAAATGTGCTGGCCAGAAGAGAAAAAACAAAAACATTCCATGTGGGAAATTTCTCAGACCTGAGTTTAACCACTCACTTTGGAGAATAAGCAAATGAAAGGTAGTGTCAGATTTCCAATGAGGAGTTTTTAAAAGAATATAGTTAGGATTTCATACACGGAGAAAAAGTAAAGTGAGAAGCATGTTGAATATAATTAGATTGTGTTACTGAATATGTTAGTGAAACTCCAGGGGTTGGGACTAGGTCCTGCTGCTCAAAGCACAGAAAGCCAATAACAGAGATGAAGAGTACTGCCAAGGAAGAAGCCTTTCTTCGGTTGCTGCAGCCAAGGACATGGGGGCTCAGTCTCTCTAATCATGTCTCTGACTAAAATTAGGGGTTCGTATAGCAGCGAAAAAAATGTAACAATGTGTAAGAAACCGGAACTAGGGAGGAGCAAGAAAGCAATCATGGTGAATGAGGGGCCTAGACTCTCATTGTCTGGATGTGATGATCTGGTGAGTTTCAGTTCTTTGATACTTTTTGTGAGAGGCCTAAATTTCATTTGCTTAGAAACGAGCTCAGATAAAACAAATACAAGTTTCAAGCTTTAAAACCAGAAGGATCAATTTATATGCTTATCAAAAGAACTATATATGGTACTATTGGGTCGGTTTCAGATATGTTAGGTTTGGAATGGATGGTGAATTAGAGATAATTTTGTGCTGTTCCCTGGGACATGGGCATGAAACATTTATGGTATTACTCAACTTGGTCTTGTTAAGTAAGCTAAAACGATTTGTACAGGTGACTCTTCAGACTTAACTTTTCCTTTAATACAAATAATTAAAGTTGTGGTGCTAGCAGCAGTGAACTCTCACCATCCTGGCAGGTGTCCTCACAATTACATCCAGGGCTGACAACATCCTTCTGAAGGCAGCTCACTCCAACTCTGGGCTATTCTGCTCTTGGGGGGAATCAGGGCTGGCTCTACTGCCTTCTTTTTCACTTTGCCCATTACATTTAATAAACTGGGTTTGCTTTACATTGTAAAGTGCCTGCTGTGGAATTCTCAATGTAATTGCTTCATGAGGTTAGGTTAGGAAGGCTGAAAATAGAAAAATTTTAATTTGTTTACTTACTTTAGAAGTTAGCAGAAACATGGCTACTACTCTTAATTTGCATTTGCTCAGCAGGCTGGAGGTGGGCCCAGTTATAAACAAGTAAATATAATACACTAGTGAGTTTAAGAATCTTGGTAGACTGCAGAAAGAAATGACTAAGAAATAATGTTATTGGCTGGGTACGGTGGCTCACGCCTGTAATCCCAGCATTTTGGGAGGCCGAGGCGGGTTGATCACGAGGTCAGGAGATCGAGACCATCCTGGCTAACATGGCGAAACCCCGACTGTACTAAAAATACAAAAAAATTGGCCGGGCGTGGTGGCTCACGCCTGTAATCCCAGCACTTTGGGAGGCCAAGGCGTGCAGATGACGAGATCAGGAGATGGACACCATCCTGGCTAAAACCGTGAAACCCCGTCTCTACTAAAAATACAAAACATTAGCTGGGCGTGGTGGCAGGCGCCTGTAGTCCCAGCTACTTGGGAGGCTGAGGCAGGAGAATGGTGTGAGCCCGGGAGGCGAGATCGCACCACTGAACTCCAGCCTGGGTGGGAGAGCGAGACTCTGTCTCAAAAAAAAAAAAAAAAAAAAAAAGAAATAATGTTATAATAGAGATTTGCCTTTTGAAATAGATCTTGGAGAATGAATTGAAAATGACCAGGAAGAGGAGAAAAAAATGATTAAGTCAAAATTGGATCAGAAGGCCAACCTGAAATTAGTAAACTGTTTGTTAAATTCCTTAGCACTTTCTATTCAAATCCCTATCCCATGGACCCAGTGGTGGTCGTAATTTTGCATGCAAGATTAGAAACAGAAGTGTAGGCCAGGTGCTGGTGGCTCATGCCCGTAATCCCAACACTTTGGGAGGCCGAGGCGGGTGGATCACGAGGTCAGGATCCTGGCTAACACGGCGAAACTCTGTCTCTACTAAAAATACAAAAAATAAGCCGGGCGTGGTAGCAGGCGCCTGTAGTCCCAGCTACTCGGGAGGCTGAGGGAGGAGAATGGCGTGAACCCGGGAGGCACAGCTTGCAGTGAACTGAGATTGTGCCACTGCACTCCAGCCTGGGCGACAGAGCGAGACTCCATCTCAAAAAAAAAAAAAAAGAAAAGAAACAGAAGTGTAAGAAAGTTTTTGTTTGTTTGTTTGTTTGTTTTCATGTGGTGGTGCCTTCTGCACAGGCTAAACAATAAAGTAACATTTGGATTTAGGAGCCATGTTGTTACTGATTCTATTTTCTTTGCCCTTATTTTTCTTTACCTACTTGATTTGAAAACTTAGCTCACGAATTTTCAATTTTTGCATCTTAAATTTTTTTATTTAAGTTGATTATATTTTACTACCATTGCCTAGGATTTGATATATTGAGTTTATTAATTTTTTTTAATCTTGGGCATTCAGGTCCTAATATTTTTTCCATTCGAATCATAATATTTTCATGAACTTATTGGTTTTTGGAAGTACATTATTAATTGTTTGAACAAGAATTAAAATTTCCTAAATCTATATTTTTATAATTTTTTTGGTTATTGGAACTTTAATTTTATTAGTTTTGGGTTAGGTACTGAGGTTTGCATAATAAGTGCTCAATATTTGTGGGGAATTATTTTGTGGCTAGTTCTGAGTCAATCTTTGTGACTTTTATGTTTCCTTAGAAATTGTGGTTTCAGGGCTCTCTATATAAGACTATCATGTTAAAAATATAATTGCATCATTCAAATCTATATCCTTAGTAGTATTCATTTTTGCTTGTTAAGTCCATTTTCACTGAAGAATTACATATGTTCAGTTTCTTTTTTCTTTATCCTTTATTGATAGGTTTTAGTAGGGTCAGGATTGCTATATCTTTTTGGTAAAATTTTCCTCTGTTATAAATCTTCTTATAGCTAATAATATTTTCATCTCAAATTTTATGTTATTTGAAATTAACATTGATACAATGGTTTTGTTGGTGATGGTATTCGCTTGTTGAATATTTTCAACTTTTATTGGCCCCTTGTCTTTCTCTTTCACAATGTTTCAGGTCATCTTTGTAAATATCAACAGATTAAAAATAAATTAAATAAATAAATAAATAAATAAATAAATAAACCCCTGCCGGGCACGGTGGCTCACGCCAGTAATCCCAGCACTTTGGGAGGCCAAGGTGGGTGGATCACGAGGTCAGGAGATTGAGACCATCCTGGCTAAAACGATGAAACCCCGTCTCTACTAAAAATACAAAAAATTAGCCGGGCGCCTGTAGTCCCAGCTACTCGGGAGGCTGAGGCAGGAGAATGGCGTGAACCCAGGAGGCAGAGCTTGCAGTGAGCCGAGATCTCGCCACTGCACTCCAGCCTGGGTGATCTTCAGAAAGAAAACCAAAAACCCGACCTTTACTGGAAAATTGAATCTATTTCTATACACTGATTATTAATACACTTAAATTTATTTTCACTATTTTGCGTTTTCCACTTACATTGATTTATGTTGGAATAATTGTGTTTCCTTTGTGTATAACATGTCTGTTTCCATTATTTTAGCATTTACTTTCCAATTTTCAAAATGTTTACTGAATAGAGTCTAAATCTAATCAAAATATCTACCCTTCTTTCGCAAAAAACAAGAACTCTAAAGTATTTTAGGTCACAATTACTCCTGCCAATACCCTTTTCTCAATTATTCCATATTCACTTTAAAAAATACCCTGTAGTTGTTGTTATTGATAGTCAGTGATTATTTAAACTCATAAACAGATCAATCAGTTGCTTTGCATTCCAAGCCTTTCTTCTGGGTTCCATTCACTTCTTGTTGAAGAACAGCCTTTGGTATTTCTTTCTGGGAAGTTCTATGAATGGTAAATTCTCTTTGTATTTGATTTATCTGAAAATGTCTTCACTTGGTTTCACAACTGGATAATTATTACCTGAGTTTAATAATGCTAAGTTGGCTCTTGTCTTCCCTAAGCATTTTGAAAATTATTTTCCTCCTTTTTGACATCTACTATTAATGAGGAGTATAATTACAAGTTATAATTTATTTGTAGATGATCTCTGTTTCCTTTACTTACTGCATTTTGAACTTTGTTTTTGTCTTTAGTGTTGTGCGTTTTGTGACGTTATATTTAACGGTGGAGATTGTATTTATTTTATCGCTTGGAACTCATCATGTTCATCTTGCACCAAATTGGGAGCTGGACTTGAACCCCTGCAAAAAACTAGATGCCTCAGAGGGGTTACACTAGCTCTAAAAAAGGGACTCAAAAACATAATATAAATTTATACTAATTCTCCCAGGAAATGCTCATTTCAGAATTCTTATCCTTCATTTTGAATAAGATTAGTTTCAGCAAGGTCAGTGACCTTGCCTTAAGTCACAGAGTTAATGCGTGGCTGGGTCCAGCTTTGTTTCATATCAAAGCTTGTGATCTTCCTTTTCTGCATTGATTCCCCGTGCATTATACAGTTCTCTGTGTCCTCATTTCCCCCTAGGGGAAATTTCCCCAACAAAAGAAAGACCAATCTCAGGAAGATCATTTTTCCAGTAAAAGTGAAGGCTTGCTATACATCAATTGCTTTGAAACAGTTCTATGAGTTTTGACATTTGGATAATATTCAAATCCCTGTTCAGATGTGGACTATTACCACCACCCCCAGAAAACTCCCTGTGTGCCTACCCCTCATAGGCAACCACTGTTCTGAGTTTTTATATTAAGGATTAGTTTTCTTATTTTAGCAGTTTATATAAATGGAATCCATACAGTGTCCGTTGTTTTGACTAAGCCTTCTGTCACCCAGCATAAGGCATTTGAGATTCTTTCGTGCTGTTTGTATATTAGAAGCTTGTCCTTTTTTATTGAATAATATTTCATTGAATTAATATAACACGATTCTAGGAGAATTGCTAAGCCATGGTATGTGTGTTTAATTTTATAAGAAACTACCCAATATTTTTTTCCAGAGTTTTACTATTTTACATTCCTGCTTACAATGCATGAGAGTTCCGATTCTTCTCATCCTCACCAATATTTAGTGTTGTCAGTCTTTTTAAATTTTAGGCAGTCTAATGGGTATTTAGCTATATCTCATTATAGTTTCATTTGCATTTCTCTGATGACTAATGATGCCCAGCAATTTTTCATGTGCTTATTGGTCATTTATATATGATGCTTTGTGAAGTATCTATTCAAGTCTTTTCCACATTTTTTAGGCTGTTTGTCTTTTTATTACTGAATTGAAGAAACTCTTTATATAGCTCATCTTTGTCAGATAAACGAATATTTCCTCCCAATCTGTAGCTTTCTTATTTGAGTTTTTAAGGTTTCTATATTTGAGCAGATTTATTTTTCATTTTGAGAAAGTATTTTATGGTTTTTAATTTTGGTCTTCTACTAAAGAATGCTTTGCCTGCCCCTATGTCATGAAGACATCCTATTTTCTTTTAGAAACTATACTGTTTTAGCTTTATTTTTCAGTCGATAGTCCATTTTGAGTTTGTTTGTTTGGCTTGAGGTAGGTGTCATGACTCATTTTTTTCTCCATATGGACATTCGGTTTTCCCAGCTCTGCTTGTTTTCTTCTCCCTATTGCATTGCTTGGGTGACTTTCTTAGAAATCAAAAGTCAGTAGAGACATGGGTTTATTTCTGGGCTCTCTTTTCTGTTCCATTGATCTACTTGTCAATCCTCTGCTAGTATCACATAATATCTTGATTACTACAGATTTATTGTTAAGTCTTGGAACCAAATAGTACAAGTCTGCCCACTTTATTTTTCTTTTTAAATATTGCATTGAATATACTAGATTTCTGCATTCTAGATGGTTTTATATTAATTTTAGAATCAGTTTGTGAATTTCTCTACAAAAATGAAAAATGCCAAGCAAGATTCTTATTTGGATTGCTTACAATATAATTAAGATTTAAAATTCATTACAATAGCAATAAAGGCACCAATAAGTGGAACTTGACAAACTGATTGTACTTACAATGTAAAGAGCCATGGAAAACCAAGACAAATTGAAGAAGAAGAAATGAGGTTCATCAAATCAAATATTAACACTTGTTTTAACAGTAGTATTGTGTTATAGCTAGGGAGACCATAAATAGATCTAAAAGTATACGAAAATATAGGATGGAAGAACATAACACAGCAGTGAAGAAATCTAGACTCTTCAACAGATTGTGCTGAGGCAGTTGACTTGTTACATGAAAACAAGTTAAAATAGATTCTATTCTTACCTCATATTCTGTACTAAAATAAATACCAAACGGTCTGTGATCCAAATGTAGATACAAAAATTTAAAGTATTTTGAGGAAAACAGCCGAATAAGCTTGATGACTTTGTGATAGCAAAGATTTTCTTAAATGAGACATAAAATTACAATTCATAGAAGACAATGGCAATGAATTTGACTACATTTACCATGAACATTTCTATGAGTCAAAAGATACCATAAAATGTAAATAATGCTATGCATTATTATATACGTAAATTTATTATATATGTAAATTTATTATATACGTAAATTACAAATAATTATTATCTGGAAGATGTGAATAATGCCTCTAAAATTAGCCAAAATAACTACAAAAAGGCAAACAGTACAACTGACAAATGGACACAATAGATTGTCGTAGGTTGTCTCCAACGGTGGCCACCATCAATTCCCGCCTTCCCTCTTCATGTGCCTGCTGCTCCACTCACTGAGACATGGGCCCTATTTTTTTCCCCTTGAACCTAGGCTGGCTTTATGCATTGCCTTAACCAATAAAATACACCATCAGAAATGATAGTGAATAAGCAATTGGCAGAAAAGGAAATAAAAAGGGCCAACAAAATGAAAATATGCTCAACTTCACAATAATCAGAAAAATGAAGATGGAATACCTAATGATGTCATTTCACACATGTTGGACAGGTACATTTATAAAGTCTGACAATATGAAATGATGGTGAGGGTGTCATACACTGCTGGGGGAAACAGAACTTGGTCCAGACACGTTAGAGAACAAGTTTGGAATATCCAGACAAAATGAAGATGAACATTTGTTCACACTCAGCAATTGCTGTTCTTTGCATATGCCCTGGAGTAATGGAAACATGCATGAGAATGTTTAGCTTGACATTGTTTATTAAAGTGAAAAATTGGAAATCAACTAAATGTTTATCATCTGGATAAAATACATTTGTGGTACTTTTATACAAATAAAAAAGTAACATGTAGCATAATCACTTCCTTTGAATGCTTTTACAGGTGCTGAGCGCAATTCAAAATTGTTTTCATGTATTATTTTATTTTATCCTCATCATACCTCTAGGAGTACTAATCATCATCATTATCATCATCATTGTCCTCATTTTACAGAGAAGTGAGTGAGAGAGCTGGGATATGACTTCAGGAATCCATATTCTTACTAACTACATTATGCTGGTTTTGGAGAATTGTAGAGGACCTCTGAGGAATCTTCCTGAGGAATGCTCTTTGCAAAGCTCTGCTCCAGAGGTGACTAGATGATGGCACACCCCTGTTCTTGCCTTCCTGGCCTCCTGTTAATATGCAGTCTCTCAGACCAAGATTGATTCCTAGGGTACCTATGTGAGAAAAGGCAGATATGTGTACAGACAAGAGAATGGTAGCTTACTTGGGACGATAAACTGCTTGTTATATAAAATTTTTGAGGGTTGTAAATTAACATTGCACACTCTGAAAAAATGTAATTTTATTAAATTAAAGGAATAACATAGACTCTTGAGTGTAAGAAGAGATAATAGACTTAATATAAACAACCCTAATAACATATTGGCTTGTTGTAAAGGTTCAATGAAATTGTTTATCAATTGCCTGGTGCATGGTAGGCATTTGATAAACATTCTCATCTTTAAATTTTCTGTTTACAGTACTTTTGTTTATTTTAACACCTCAATAACCCACGGACTTTCATAGAAAAGCCCTTGAGGTCTGAATTTATGAATTTGTATGTGCTGATTTCAGCATGTTCTAAGTATACAAGCAAAGAAGCAAGAAATAATAATGGTTTTGAGTAGTTGTGCAAAGTCAGCAGCCAGAGAGATGTCTAAGAACAAGTAAAAGTTTATTAATAAGTAGGGGAAAGTGGAGGTCACTTATTGGCCAAGACCAAATAAATTTCAGAGATAGTTAATAATTCCTATCAGCAGTATACCCTTGAAAATAGTCATGAATTTCTGTCACCTTGATAGAATATTTGTTGCTGTTTCAGATGATGGCGAACAGCACTGAACAAAACAAAAACCTCAGCCACCATGAAGCTCAGCGACAGACAATAAACACATACACAGGTAAAATATATGTCATGTCAATATTGAGAGAGAGGGTGACAGGTGTCTTGCTGGAAAATAAAACAGGAAAAGGTGTTATGGTGTGAGGATGGTGCCAGGAATTACAACTGAAAATTAGGTAGGAAGGTTCCGTGGAGAAGCGGCATTTGAGTAAAGACCTGAGGGGTGGGTGAGAGTGAGGGAAAGACAATTTCTGAGGAGAGAGAATAACAAATATAGAAGAATTCCTGTTAGTTCCAGGAACAGCAAGAGGTCAGTTTGCTTGACTGCAGTATCCAGGAAGTGAGTGGAGACGTGGACGTCTCAATCACGCAACACTTTGCTAGCCACTGAAAAGACATTGGCTTGTTTCTGAGTGAGATGGAAAACCATGGAATGATACCTCATGGACTGGATTACATTCCTTCCAAATTTGTATGTGGAAGCTCTAGCCCCCAGAGTGAATGCATTTGGAGGTCAAGCCTTTGGAGAGATAATTAAAGTTAAATGAGGTTCTATGATTGGAGCCCTATTCCAATGGGACTGGAGCCCTTATTAGAAGAGATTGAGACATGTGAGAGATCACAGGGATTCACGTGCTCAGAGGAGACCATGTGAGGACACAGGGAGAAGGTGGCCACCTGCAAGCTAAGGAGACAGGCCTCGAGAGAAACTGAACCTGCTGGCACCTTGACATTGGACTTTCAGCCTTCAGAACTGTGAGGCAACGTTTTACTTGTTTAAGCCACCTAGGCTGTGGTATTTTGTTATGGCACCTCTAGCTGATGTATACAGATACTGATAAGCTGGTATAATCTAGCTTAATTTTTAAAAATGGCATTCAGACTGCCTTGTAGGGAAAAGAGTGCAACGATAGGAGTAGGGTGACAGACGTTTATTGCAATGGTCCAGGTGGGAGGGGACAGTGGCTTGGGCAGAAGTGGTGGTCATTGTGGAGGAGACAGCAGTTAAGGCTACTTTTTACAGTTGGTGCAGTCTGGTGATGGGTTGGACGTAGGGTAAGAGAAAAAGAGCAGAGCTAAGGAGAATTGCATATTTTGGCCCCCAAACAAATGGATGTCTGGAAAAGCAAGTTTAAGGGGACAGATGAGGAGTTTGGTTTTTGGACATTGAGTCAATGCAGAAGTGTCAAGTAAGTAGTTAGATAGATGAGTCAGGAATTGAAAGGAGAGGCAGAGATATAAATATGGATGTTTTAAGCCATGACACTGGATTGGATCAATAAGTGATGGACTGAAGTTAGAGAGAGAAGAGGCTGAAAGCCTAAGCCAGAGGTCACTGGTGAACGCCAATATTTAGAGTTTGGGGACATGAGGAGAGAGAGGCAAGTGCTGTGAAAGAAATAGCTAGTGAAATGGAAGGAAAATTAGGAGAGAGTACTCAGGGCCATATCCTAGAGCTATGTGAACGTGGTGTCTTTTGGATCAGGGAGTCGTCAACCAGTGTGAGTTAGGCTAAAAAGTCAGTGGGATTATAGCCCGGAATTGGCCACTGGATTTAGCTTCATGGAAGTCATTGAAGAGTAGCGGAGTGGTAAAGGCAAATGTTCAATTAGAATAATTTCAAGAGAAAATAAAATGAGAAGAATGACAGATAATGCATATTAATAATTTTTTCAAAGAAATTTGCTGTAAATGGCACTGGATAAATGAGGTGATAGGAAGAAAAGGAAAAGACTCAAGAATAATTTTAAGATAAGAAAAATAATGGATTATTTTAGCTATAAATCCAGCAAAAAATAATAACAAAAGACTAAGGTACATGTATCAGTTGGTGAGAAGTGTCTTTAGAAGATGGAAGACTAAACTCAAAATTCAGAGAATTTGCAAACACTCGATGGTGAGAGGCTGGAAATTGGTTATTGATCATCAGAATTAGGCAGGCCTAGGCTGAAGTTGAGACTCTGCCTCTTTTAGCCTTAAGTAATTTGTTAATGTCTTTACACCTAAATTTTCCTCCTTTGTAAAATGGCTGTTGTGAGCACTGAATTAGAGAATGCATGTAGATACCTAGTCTCTGGCATACATTAAGTGCTCCATGAATGCTGTTTGCTTTTATGAGTGCCTCTTTCTAAATGAGATAAAAATAGAAACAGCGTGTTTTAGGGGGAAGCTTTGGTAATTCACTAGCAGAAAGTAAGATCACTATTAGTTGAAAATCACTAGTAAGACAGAGGGCTTGAATGAAGCGGTTTCTGGCCCCACAGCACTTTGACAGCAGAGAACTGAGCCACGGAAGGAACCCAGCAGAAGTCATCTGGAAAGCCATACTAGGAAATGATAGGAAAAAGTGGGTTTTGGCTAAGGAGAGCTTCTAAGAGGATGGTGGAGGCAGCACCTTGGCGCTCCTGATGGAAAGGCACCACCGGAGAACTAAAGAGCCGCCCAGCGACAGACAGGAAGAGGAACCCCAGACCAGGGGCCCGGACTCACCCACAGTGGGAGAAACTGCTTCCTCGAGCTTTCTTGATTGGCTGACTGTGGAATGATTTTAGCCACTGAGAGTGAAATTTATGGATCTGAAGAAAGATGCCATTTTCTCTGAGGGGATTTTTGGGAAGAGCAAGCTTCAAGGGTGAGGAATTTATGTCTTGGAGCATCTGTGTTCATAGATAGAATTTGAGTCCCATTGATATGATACTTACATATATAAACCCCTCAGATATGAGATATATATAATCTTCTGCTATGTATCGTATATATTCCTGTGATATGTATTCATATATATTAATATATATTCATATATGTATTTATTATAGGTCTCTCCAGAATTGCAATTTTTGGTAGAATATGTCTTTCAACTTCAATGCTGATTAGATCAAGCTAGAGCTGGCAAAAAAGCAGCTTCGTAGGGGGTTTCCATCTACTGTACTACATTGACTTTTAAGATTCTCCTGGCTAGGCGGCCTTTCCATGTCTGTGCTCCTAGTAAAACTCTTTCTCTTCTTCAAGCTCTTCCCAGCTCCTCATCCTCTATGAGGTCATTTTGGATTCCTCTAGTTCTTACTGAGGGTATTTTCTCTAAGCTATTGATTAATTATTTGCATCATGTGATTTCAATGTCATATGCCATTATATATTTCACAAATTATTTAGTCACTTTTAGTATCTTGCTTGCTTCTTTCGGTGTGTTCATCTAGCTAGGTTTGAATTCCCTGAAACAGTGATCATGTCTTAACTTTATTTTGTATTCTTAACTGTCTTGAGACAATAAATGGTTAAAGCTTTGGTTAGGTAATTGGCTTATGTGAAACAGAAAATACATTGTACATGATCTCTATAATAAATTGTGCAGCTAAATTTTTGCTTTAAGAAATAATTTGTTTCAACACTTCTAAAATGATCTTTTAAAGAGAAATGATTATCACATTGATATTATAGATGTGTTTTGCTGAAATATTTTTCTTGTTGCTTTATAAAATAAATCACACATAAGAACGGGAAATTTTTTTCTGAACAAATGTCAACAAAACATTGCTAGTAATTAGAGTACTATTCTATTCTGAGAAATAGAACAGATTCAAACATGAGGCATCAAGATAGAGTGGCATCTGGTGGAATGGTATCTCAGTCAGCCTTTCCTGTGATTTTTACAAGAGTGGTAATTTCTTTTTTTTCTTTTTTTTTTTTTTGAGACAGAGTCTCCCACTGTCGCCCAGGCTGGAGTGCAGTGGTGCAATCTCAGCTCACTGCAACCTCTGCCTCCCTGGTTCAAGTGATTCTCCTGCCTCAGCTTCCCAAGTAGCTGGGACTACAGGCGCGCACCACCACGCCCAGCTAATTTTTGTATTTTTAGTAGAGACGGGGTTTCACAATGTTGACCAGGATGGTCTCGATCTCTTGACCTCATGATCTGCCCACCTTGGCCTCCCAAAGTGCTGGGATTACAGGCGTGAGCCATGGCACCTGGCCAAGAGTGGTAATTTCAATAATTGAAATTATTTAATTAAATTTTTCATGAGGCTCAAACTTCCTCAACATTTTAAGGCCATTTCCAAGGCAAATTTCAGACATTTGTTATACTTTCCCTGTTTCTCTCCATATATGTTTTTCCAGACATACGAGAATTCTGTTGTGAATCTCTTCAAAAAAGATGATAAAAAGTAACATTGAGGCTCCAAATAAACACTTCCTTACTGAGCAGTTTGTTCATTCACTCAACAGTCATTTATTGAATGCTACTGTGGGCCAGATGGAATGATGCTCAGGATGGAGAAGGCAAAGTCCCCAACGTTAGCAAATTCATTTAATAAATGAATTAGAGGTTTTCAAAGGTTGAAAAACAATGCTTTGTTAATTGGTAGTGTCAGGGAGAGTTCACAATTTTAGTTATGGTTTCTGCGTTATGGATTATTAACAATTCAGCTGTAGGAAAGTTCTAAAATTACATGTTACTTACTCTCTAAATCTCTCTGTTTTGGGCCTTCTTTAAAATAGTAAGATACTTTCCCTACATAGTTCTATTATGAGCTTTTTTTATGCTTAGCACTTCTGGCACCAACCAATCAACACCAACCAAATCTCTGAATTTTTGAACATCAACTATATGCCCTATATTTTCTTTTCTTTTTTTTTTTTAAGATGGAGTTTCGCTCTTGTTGCCCAGGCTGGAGTGCAATGGCACAATCTCAGCTCACCGCAACCTCCGCCTCCCGGGTTCAAGCGATTCTCCTGCCTCAGCCTCCAGAGTAGCTGGGATTACAGGCATGTGCCACCACAACCAGCTAATTTTTTGCATTTTTAGTAGAGACAGAGTTTCTCCATGTTGGTCAGGCTAGTCTCGAACTCCCAACCTCAGGTGATCCGCCCACCTCGGCCTCCCGGAGTGCTGGGATTACAAGCATGAGCTACCGCGCTCAGCCTGTATGTCCTATATTTTCATTTAGTTCCTATGCTAATTACCTGGAGTTAGTGCTGACCCAGCAGGCTGCCTGTACTTCACATGCCAATGCAAGTATTGGGTGCCTGGGCAACCCACATTTTGTCCAACTTGGCTAGAAAGTCAGGGATTCCCACCGCCCTCCTCTTAGGTTAATAATTTCTTAGAATGGCTTACAGAACTCAAAGAAACACTTTACTTAGCAACTACTGGTTTATTATAAAGAATATTATCAAGGATACAAATGAACAGCCAGATGAAGAAGTACACAGGGCTTGGTCTGGAGGAGTCTCTGCATAGGAGCTTCTGTCCCTGTGGAGTTGAGGTTCACCACCCTACAGCATGTGAATGTGTTCACCAACCCAGGAACTCCAAGTCATGGAGGGGTTTCATTATGTAGGCATGATAGATTAAATCATTTGCCTTTGGCGATTGAACTCAACCTCTGGCTCCTCTCCTATCCCTGGAGTTTGGGGTTGGGGCTGAAATTTCCCACCCTCTAATCATGTCTTGATCTTTCTAGTGAACTGTCCCAACCTTGAAACCCTCTGGGGTCCCCAGCCACCAATCACTCATCAGTATATCAAAGACTGTCTTATTACTCTGGAGATCTCCAAGGCTTTTAAGAGCGGTATGCTGGGAACTAGGGACAAAAACCAAATATTTATTTTATTGTATCACAAGCACACATCACACTTTAGTGTACTATCTGCTCCTCTCCACCTTTGACTGTAAGCTCTGTAATTACCGGGTTCACCACTTCATCACCAATGTGCATCAGTGGCAGGCACATACATACTAGTTCTGTAAAAAGTGTTTGGTTAGTGAATGGTTGCATGTATGACTAAAGATATGCCTCTGTAAGACCTGTCACTTAAAAGCTGTCTGCTCTTAGAATGTAGTTACAACTTTATGATTCTCTCCTTCATTTAAAAATGTCAGTATTCCTGAAGCAAAGTAAGTCTTTTTTTTTTTTTTGAGATGGAGTCTCGCTCTGTCGTCCAGGCTGGAGTGTAGTGGCGCGATCTCCGCTCACTACAAGCTCTGGCCTCCTGGGTTCACGCCATTCTCCTGCCTCAGCCTCTCGAGTAGCTGGGACTACAGGCGCCTGCCACCACACCTGGCTGATTTTTTGTATTTTTTAGTAGAGATGGGGTTTCACCGTGTTAGCCAGGATGGTCTCGATCTCCTGACCTTGTGATCCACCCGCCTCGGCCTCCCAAAGTGCTGGGATTACAGGCCTGAGCCACCGCGCCTGGCCAAAGTAAGTCTTTTAATTGTGTTTGTCAATTTCCACATTTATCCCAGGGTCCAACAAATACCTAATTTAACTTGAATACTAGTAAGGTTTTTCTGTAGGTATTACTGTGTCTCCTTGCATGTGTTTTGCTGTTCGGAAAGTTTTCTGTCATAATTCCCATGGACGTGGGGAGGTCTCCAATTTTACCTGGATTTAAATGATTTAATAGGATATGACCAGATGTGCTCAAATAGTTTAAACAATATGTATTGTGCTACCAGCTGTGCCTCTATTAAATCACCAATTCAAGGTAATAAGTATGCTGCTGTTGTATGTTCACTTTCATTAAAATCTCTAGGCAATTCATCTTTATTAATTTGTCTTTTTTCCCCTCAGAAAATGGCCAAAATTCAGACTTCCTGTCTTCTGTAGAATAAACATCTAATAGCTCTTTTGACGGCAGTCTTCATTCACCTTGCAATGGAATGACGTATTTTTCTTTGTATCTTTATCATTACTTAATATTTATTGTATTCATGCTTATAATTCACATACATTGTAGAAATTTTAAAAATAAAGTATAAAATAAATTGTAATCCCAGCACCTGTAACATTTTAATGTACTTTTGCACCTTTTTTTCTATGCCTTTAAAACGATCTTTATTAAAATTTCCTGTTCAACTACTCAGCTGTAAGAAGGAATGAAATAGTAGCACTCGCAGCAACCTGGATGGAGTTAGAGATCATTATTCTAAGTGAAGTAACTCAGGAATGGAAACCAAACATCGTATATTCTCACTTGTAAGTGAGAACTACGTTATGAGGATGCAAAGGCATAAGAATGATACATTGGACTTTGAGGACTAGGGGGAAGGGTGGGAGTGGGGTGAAGGATAAAAGACTACACGTTGGGTAAAGTACACTGCTTGGGTGATGGTGCACCAAAATCTCAGGAGTCACCATTAAAGAACTTATTCATGTAACTAAACAACATCTGTTCCCCAAAAGTCTATTGAAATAACAATAAGAAAAAGGAAAAACAATTCCCAGTCAGCATTCCATCTTGCCAAATGACCAGTGTCATTTTGGAGAAAGCAAAAAATCATTTGTTAAAGTTAAATCCAGGTACAGTAAAACTCCTTTGTGTCCCGTGTGCATTAAAACATTTCTATTTCCCTTTGCACTCCATGGTTCTCTATCTCTACCTGCCTTAAATTTTTGAAGGTTAAAATCACTGGAGTCACACAGGCAATAACTTCGGGGGTTCCGTTGTCCATTTGTGCATGGGAAAATATGCAAAGCCATTTTCCTATTGAAATGTGGCATTATCTTTGGGCAGGTAACTATGTCTCCACAAGCTTCTTGGCTTTCCTAAGGGCAGCCAACCCCAATCCAGCTCCAGTGTCTTCATTCACAAGTCCTCATTCAACTCTCAATGCTAAATGTGTACCTTCCAAATACTTACTGGATGTTTTTAGCTTTTGTCTCCAATATTCATCAAATCTTGATTGTAAAGATGACAGAGCCTGTTTTATGTGCACGATATTCTAAAATATGGCCTTGAACCATGTCAGATCATTAGAGAGCTTGTGGTTATCTGTTCCATGCTGACTCTTGTAGAATTAAATTTAATGAAATCAAAATCAATTTGATGCCATCAGACCACGAGGACTCTTAGAATACCCTATGAAAACCCATCATTTTATCTACTATAATGTCTCTGAGAGCATAGTTTGTTACATAATAACGTTCTTATGAAGGACTCAGAAACAGCTGTATTTCTCTGCAGCTGGTTTGTACTTACCTTGTGAAGTTTATGAGTTGTTTATCTGGGGGACGTTTCCTTTCTAGGTTGGATGCTAAAGCTTTGTGCAGAATAACTTCAGGATCTCTGTTGTCTACTTGTACATTAGAAAAGCTGCAAATAATTGTCTTAATAAAATTTTGCTTTGCCTCTGGGCTTCACTCTGTTCTGTCCCATTTTCCCACTCTTATTTTTCTTTAGTTCATATCATTTTGTGGTATTATAAACCTTTCATTATAAGCATCTTATAAGCTTTCTTTAAAGGCTTTTGAAGGGAGATTTTTAGCTGAATAAATAAACTGACTTCAAGATTTTTTTAAAAAAAATGACATGTAATTGGAAACCTGGTAACTCCATGGAATTTGGTTTCAGAGTGTTGCTTTCATTTTTCATATTTTTGTGTATATTTTTGAGAGTAAATATATAGGATGGACTTCAGTTTTCTAACATCATGAATGTGAGTTGAAATTTATAGTCTTGGCAGATGTTTCACACATGACCACCTCCACCCACAAATAATATAATCCTAGAGTTTGAAAAGGACTCTTCATGTCACAGAAGTTGAATTACAGGCCTTAGGGAGCTTGACTAAGGTACCTTGGGTTTTGGCAGGGGTAGAATTAGAGCCTTGGTCCTTTGACTTCAGCTTACTCCCCTTCCGCTGACATCTCTTTTCAGTAACTATCAGTTCCATTCCCGAAATATTTCATGAATACTTGAAACATCATGCTAAGCACCAAAAGTTCTCGATCCCTCAAAGTCTTCTATCTGGGAGGAGGTAAAATGAAAACCAAATACTAAAACCTCGAAAATCTAACACACCAATTCTCTTAAGCATTGTGGTGAGTGCTATGAAGTCTCAAGAAAATAGATCTCACCTGTTTGAGAAATTGAGAAGGAACCACATAGTGGGAGGGAGGGGGCGGTGGGAATCTTGGTGCTGCGTTTTATAGGTTGTTTTCCGATTGGCAGAAGTTGAGGGTAGGGAACAGGGTGGGCAGGAAAACTCAGATGGTGAAGTAAAAGTGAGAACACACAACACAGCCTAAGAGGAAGGGGCCCCCGCACACCTGGAGCACAGGAAACTGTCTGGAGTCGGTTTCTGCTGTGGTCTTGCTGACTTCCAAGAATGGAGTCCCGGATCGTCACAATAAGCGTTACAGCTCTTAAAGATAGCAGGTGAGTATTACAGCTTTTAAAGATGGTAGGGACCCAAACAGTGATGAGTAGCAAGGTTTATTGTGAAGAGCCAACGGACAAACCTTCCACAGCTTGCAAGGGTATCAGAACGGGTTGTTGCTGCTGGCTGATGGTGTGGGGGGCAGGCAGCTTTTATTTCCTTATTGTCCCCTCCCATGTTCCGTTTCTGTCCTATCAGCGTTTCTGTCCTATCAGAGTGCCTTTTTTTCAATCCTTCCCATGATTGGCTACTTTTAGAATCCTGCTGATTGGTGTATTTTACAGAGTGCTGATTGGTGCGTTTTACAGAGTCCTGATTGGTGTGTTTTACTGAGTGCTGATTGGTGCGTCTTACAATTCTCTTGTAAGACACAGGAAAGTTCCCCAAGTCCCCACTCGACCCAGGAAGTCCAGCTGGCCTCACTTGTCAACATGAAATATAGTAATGTATGCTTCTAGTGGGTGTTCACCTTCGGTGAAGACTGCTGGGGTCAGACGGTGGGAATCATACAATCAATAAGTGAAAGCTGCAGAATGCTAAAGTACCTTAAATCTATGCGGCTCACCTCTCAAAATGCATCCAAATTACCCAGGGATCTTTAAAGTGCTGCTTATGACTCCGGCCTCAGTGAAACTGAGGGTCAGCCTTGCTGGCATGCTCCCGACTGACCCCAGCGCTGGCCAGTGGCAAGGCTCTAAATTCTAGTTCGTAGTATTGGTGCCTATTAATGCTGCTCCAAGGAGTACTTCTTGATCCTTTGTGTTTAAAAACGATGTTTTCCCAATCCCCAAGGCCCACAGGGCTGGAGACAATTCTTCTGCAAATAAATTACATTTTAATGTACTTTAGTCGTTGGAGTTCTATGTCTAAGATTTTACTTACAAAAGTGGAGTGGATTGCAAACATAACTTGCAACCAATTACTTTGGTCCTAAGAAGCCATTAAAAAGTTTTGAGAATAAAAATAACATGGTCAAGAATGCATTCCAAGAAGATAGATCCGGCGGCAGTAAGTAGGGCAGATTAGAAGGGTTGAAGAAGTTAAACCTTTTTAAGGTAATATTCCATCCTTGTAACGTGTTATTAGGGTAGTGGTATCTTTGGATAAGATGGTGAAAATGGGTATTGAAAGGAGAGCTTGATTTGAGAAATATAAGCAGGAGTAGGTAGTGTATCGGATATAAAAGTAAAAATAAAAATCGGATTTGAGCAATCTTGAGGATTTAAGTTTTTTAAAAAAGGAGTTTGGATTTCATCTAATTCCTGATTGTGGTGGACACTTATCTCTGTCTACCCATCTCTTTTGCACAGCTTCCAGGGACAGGCGGGCCCCATGCCCATCTCACCATCCTACCCCACACCCTATCGCAGTAGAAGATTCCGTTCCTTCTCTATTCTTCCACGTTCCTTTTTACAGCACTTAACGTGTAATTGTGCTTTTTCTTTCTTCTTTTTTTAATTCATAAGATTCCATCCCTCATTTGGCAAAGCCTTTCTCGGGCCAAGAACAGGATTTATTGTTGCAAACATAGGGCCCTGCATCTGGTACTTGAAAAATGTTTTTTGAATGAATAAGTGTAGAAAAAGACAGCATTTCAGCTCCTCATCTGCCTGAGGCCAGGCATCCAGGGGTACCCATGTTGAAGCATCAGTTGCTTCACGCTGATATGAACTGAGGCCCTGGGATGTCAGTGGGAGGCTGAGAAGTTTGGAGTCGGGCAGATCTGCCATTTACAAGTTATGTGACCTTGGGTAGTTATTTAACCTTTCTGGGCTTTTGAGATGGGTAAAAGCTCTATAACTTTCCTTTAAATGGAGATAAAAATGCCGTCTTTCTTTAAAGACAGACTTTGTTTTGCTATGTAATATTTTACATTTTTTAAACTGCCACCCAGGGATATAACTGTGAGTAGATTTGAGTACTTAAGTGGACCTTGAAAATGCAATAGAACAACAGCAATTTCAGAAGGCATATAATCATACAAAATTATTGACATTGGAAAGGAAAAATAGAGACAATTTATTTTTCATCATGACACTAAGTGTCCATCAAAACATGTACAAATCTCCCTGAAGGAAAAGAAAGACATTTAGTGCTGTGACCATCCAAGTCACCAAATTTAAATGTAATAAAGAGAATCAGGAATGAACTCTAAGTAGCTGTCATGAAAATGTATAACAATAAAAGTCTATTGAAACAACTCCATATCCCTACCTACAAACAGCTCTCTACTAAATGTAAGAAATAGTCACATTATTTCTTAAAGTATAATAATAATAAAAATTTAAAAAAAAGAAATAGTCATATTATTCCAAGAAGATTTCTTCCTATAATAAAATGTCACAGTGGATATAGAAAATGTAAAATGCTCACCTTCAAAACCTAACTTTTGGACTGAGAGGCTTTCATTTCTTATCGCATAGGATAGAACATTTTGAAGCCCATAGTATTTGAAATGCCATTTATATTCATAATAGTCAGTACTTTTAAATTTTTAATAGGTACTTTCATTTCTAAAGAGAAGGATTCATATATAAAGACCATCACACACTTGTCAATATAGAGTTTCCAAAGAGTAGTTAAATAAATACATGAAGAGAATCCTTCATATTTGTAGTTAATTGCCTTGGAGTTAGCTTGATTTTTCTCATGTCTCTGCATGTGCAATTATAAGAGGAAACACTGAAATCCAAGGAAATCAGGATTCATCTTAGTTTTGTGTATAATATATGCAGAAACAGCATTGTTTAACAACCTTGGTCAGGGGCAATGAGCCAGATTCTTCCCAATGCCTTAATTAATCCCTGATACTAAATTAAGTTCTTTAAGTTCACTGGAGTGCAACTGCGGCTGATAACATTGCAGCTGCTCTCAGTGCCTCCCGGGGAAAGACAGCAAAGCTAGAGTCTATCTTCTGAAACATTATCAGACGTCTATATCATTCTCTGCTTTTTCAGTGGCTCAGCTCTCATAAGGTCTCCAAAGTATTGATAAAATGCTATTTTAAAATAAGTTACATTTGCAAAATTTGGGTGGTTTTACATTGTTTACAAGAAAAATTATATATCCATAGGGCCTTTGACAGCTGGAAGTCATCTATCTTCCCAATCTCACCTACTTCTGCTCTCTGTTGTCTATACTTTAATGAAAATGGGTGCCCTGCATGTGACCTGCTTCTGGGTTTTTGAATATTTGTTTTCTTTGCTTGGAGAACTTTTCTTCCTCTGTTGTATGAATCCTCTGGATCCAATTCCAAGGTCACTTTGCTATGAAGCCTTCATGTTCTCTTCTAAACAGGGTGAGTTGCTTACCTTACTGTGTCCCCATAGAGCTTTGAGTACATTTCGCACCACGTGCGCTACATTTTAATTATTTATGGTGGTCTCTCCATGGCATACTGGGGGCAGGAACCATGTCTTATTAATCTATTGATCTCCAGTACCTTATACAGAATTGGCATATCCTAGGTGATCGGTAAATGTTTTGTTAACTAATTACAATTTCAAATTGATATTTTTAAGGTTTTACAAATTTAAGTGGTAACAACACTTCCTTTACCATCACCATCCAACATACACAGAGCACTAAGGCTTTACACGTGTCATATCACTTAATTCTCAAAACACTACATTGATAAGTTACTAATGCTTTTTCCAATACCATTCTTTCAGTTTTATAATTACAGGTACTTTTGCAAATATCTTTTAAATGGCATCTCAAAATATTTCGCTTCATAACCAAATAATTTTAAGTTTCACCAAATTGTTTCTGAGGGGTGTGTGTGTGTGTGTGTTTCTGTGTGTGTAATATTCATAGCAATTCTCAACCAAAGTAAGTCTTTTCTAGCCAATATTATTACACCTTAGATCACTTTTGCCTAATTTATACATTTGGTTGTCAGTTTTCAACTTGTGTGAAAATGCTTTTCAGCTATAGATCATTGAATTATCAAATTGAAAATAATGATGCAGGCTGGGCACGGTGGCTCACACCTGTAATCCCAGCACTATGGGAGGCAGAGGCAGGTGGATACTTGAGGCCGGGAGTTTGAGACCAGCTTGGCCAACATGCTGAAACCCCGTCTCTACTAAAAATACAAAAATTTGCTGACTGTGGTGGCACATGCCTGTAATCCCAGCTACTTGGGAGGCTGAGACACGAGAATCACTTGAACCTAGGAGGCAGAGGTTGCAGTGAACTAAGATCACACTACTGCAGTCCAGCTTGGGCAACAGAGTGAGACGGTCTCAAAAAAAAAAAAAAAAAAAAAGGCTGGGCGGCCGGGTGTGGTGGCTCACGCCTGTAATCCCAGCACTTTGGGCGGCTGAAGCAGGTAGATCACTTGAGGCAGGAGTTGGAGACCAGCCTGGCCAACATGCTGAAACCCCGTCTCTACTAAAAATACAAAAATTTGCTGAGTGTGGTGGCACACACCTATAATCCCAGCTACTTGGGAGGCTGAGACATGAGAATCGCTTGAACCCAAGAGGCAGAGGTTGCAGTGAACTAAGATCACACTACTGTAGTCCAGCCTGGACAACAGAGCAAGACTCTGTCTCAAAAAAAAACAAAAACAAAGGCTGAGCGGCCGGGTGTGGTGGCTCACACCTGTAATCCCAGCAGTTTGGGAGGCCAAGGTAGGTGGATCACCTGAGGTCAGGAGTTCGAGACCAGCCTGGCCAACATGGTAAAGCCCCATTTCTACTTAAAACACAAAAATTAGCCAGGTGTGGTGGCAGGCGCCTGTAATCCCAGCTACTCTGAAGGCTGAGGCAGGAGAATTGCTTGAACCTGGGAGGCAGAGGTTGCAGCGAGCCAAGATCGCGCCATTGCACTCCAGCCTGGGGGACAAGAGCGAGACTTTGTCTCAAAAAAAAAAAAAATGCCGGGCAAGGTGGCTCATGCCTGTAATTCCAGCACTTTGGGAGGCTGAGGCTGGCGGATCACAAGGTCAGGAGATCGAGACCATCCTGGCCAACATGGTGAAACCGTCCCTACTAAAAATACAAAAATTAGCTTGGCGTGGTAGCACGCGCCTGTAGTCATCACAGCTACTCAGGAGGCTGAGACAGGAGAATCGCTTGAACTTGGGAGGCAGAGCTTGCAGTGAGCCAAGAACGCGCCACTGCACTCCAGCCTGGTGACAGAGCGAGAATCCATATCAAAAAAAAAAAAGAAAAGAAAAGAAAAGAAAAGAATGATGCAGTTAATTTCTTTATTGATTTGCAAACATTTATCAGCCACCTACTGTGTATTAGATACTAGAATACAAAAATGAGTAATTATGGTTCTTATCCTCCTGAATGTTTCAGTTTAGAACAGAGAATAACTTTTAGGTTTAGAATAGTTTCAAGAGAAGGAAAAACATCTTTGCTTGAAGGTTTTGCCCCAGGATGAGAACTATGTTTTTTACTTTTAGCACAGTCAGTTTCAAACATAAAGTTTGCCAGAGACTAGAGAATTTATAGTGTTTCACAGATTCTTCAATGTTCACTGTATGTCTTTATGTGCTCATTTAACATCATTTCACAGACATATAGCTACACTCATTTTTCAAGAGCACAAAAGAAATGTTAGCATAAAACGAAGTGCTGTGGAAATGGGTTATTAACTTGTAAATTTGCTCTTACCAAAGGTTCAGTTCTAGAATTTGTAACCCTGGAAATGGAATATGATCAGCTAAACCCAGGGAGGCCTTGGGAAAGCTGGCTCAAGGTAGCTACTGTATACTTTAAACAACTGAGGCTAGTTTTCAAAGTACAGTGGAATGATAATTCAATACTATATGTCATAGTTTATAATCTACAATAGTTGGTAAATTATAATTATGGCCTCCAGTATCTAATCTCTGATTTACCAAAGTTATTTGAAATTTAAGGCCATGCCACTTTCATTCTCGCCCTATGGGAACATTTGGCCTCTATATAACTTGTTGTCTTTGCCCTGGAAACCCTTCCTACTCTGGACCCTGCCCTGTCCCCTTACCCTTCCTTCTGCTGTCCTTTGGCTGAATACCACCCTAGAATTCCTCTCCTGAAGGTCATTATCCTCTCAGTGCCTAGTAACTTACAAATTGTTTTCCATCAGGATGCAGTTAGCTGGTGGCCTTTCATAAACAAATAGTCAAATATGTCAGAGGTGTGGAGGCCGGCCGTAGGGTAGTGTAGAAAGTGCTCCAGGTGTGGAGGCTGGCAGTAGGGTAGAGTGGAAACTGCTCCAGGTGTGGAGGCTGGCAGTAGGGTAGGGTAGAAACTGCCCCAGGTGTGGAGGCTGGCAGTAGGGGAGTGTAGAAACTGCTCCAGGTGTGGAGGCTGGTAGTAGGGTAGAGTGGAAACTGCTCCAGGTGTGGAGGCTGGCAGTAGGGTAGTGTAGAAACTGCTCCAGGTGTGGAGGCTGGCGGTAGGGTAGAGTAGAAACTGCTCCAGGTGTGGAGGCTGGCGGTAGGGTAGAGTAGAAACTGTTCCAGGTGTGGAGGCTGGCGGTAGGGTAGTGTAGAAACTGCTCCAGGTGTGGAGGCTGGCGGTAGGGTAGAGTAGAAACTGCTCCAGGTGTGGAGGCTGGCGGTAGGGTAGTGTAGAAAGTGCTCTAGGAGTGGAGGCTGGCGGTAGGGTAGAGTGGAAACTGCCCCAGCTGTGGAGGCCAGCGGTACGGTCATGTGGAAAGCTGCTCCAGGTGTGGAAGCCAGCGGTATGGTCATGTGGAAAACTGTTCCCGCATGCTCCTTTCCAGCTCTGAGTTCCTCTCACCTCCCTGGGTTCCCAGACTGCAACACAGCTTCTTACTACTCTGTACTAGATTTCAGGAATTCCTGAGCATTTTTTTCAAAATGGTAGGAGAGTCTTTCCTGGGAGAAGAGTGTTTGTGGAAGCTCAGAAAAGCCTGTTGGAAAGAACTGAAGCCATGCCTATTGCTGTGGGTGAGTTGAGCTGCCAGTGGGTATGGCTGTGGGGTCTTCCAGGACAGAATGCATCCAAGAATGATGCAGGCTTGGGATGTGACTTATTGCACTACAGGTAAAGGGACAAGAAATCCAAGAATAGTGGCAGTTACTCAGAGTCGTCGCCAGGCCAGCTCCTAAATGCACATCTGAGATTCGGGGACAGAGAGGTATGTTAGGAAATTGGGAAGAGCTGGGGCATTGACCTCTGGAGCCCTGGAGCCACAGCATGTCCAGCCTGAGACTTGGGAGCCATGGCTGGGTGGGGCAGCTAGCCAAGGTCCTGCCACCCTGCGCTCACCATCCCACAGCCTGGGTACCGTGGCAGCTCCAGGAACAGCCTGGGTTTGTTGGGACAGTATGAGCAGCAGCTATGCTCCTGTTCCTGTATTTGCTGGCCATGCTGGGGCACAGTGGGGTAACTCCCCATGTTGGCAGGAGCCACAGAGATTTTCCAGGGCCTTTCATCTTTGCTTGCTGGAGAGAAACAGGGGACCTGCTTCCTGGCTTTCCAGAGGGGGATAGTGTTACTGGCAGAATTATGGCAGACCTCTCGCAAGCACACACAGTCCACTCAATGCCTTGGTCCGTAACAATTACAATGTTTGCATTAAGGCGGAAATGCAAACCCAGAGGAAAGAGAATCTTTGAGTAAATCTCAACTGGAGACTTACTTGTGACTTATTTCAATCCCATCAGCAGCAGCAGCAGCATCTCAGCTCAGAAAAAGCCACAAGATCCTGTGGCAAATTATGGGTCAGGCCACCGGGAGACGAACATGCCCTTTGTTGTGCGTCTTTTAGTGGCATAGGCATGTGGCAGGCACACAGCTATGGAGCCCTCTAGCAAGGAACATCAGAGTCCACAGGACCAGATAATGGCTATGGCTATGGAGGGCAGGTTTCAGCTGCGGCCCCAGTGGTGACAGCACCCACCATGCTGGGGACTGTTCTCCACAGCCCTGTGGAGCTGAAACAGCCATGCAGCCCTGAGAATGGCAGAAGGTAGTTTCGAAATGAGCTTAGTTCTGAGAGAAGGAAGAACAGTTTCCAGTGATTCCAAGAAATACTCACAGCTGGGGGTGAGGGAAGGGGCAGGATCTGGCAGCATCTGAAATCCCTGTGAGAGCAGATGTGCTAGAGCCAGTATAATTCAGCCTCTGCTTAGGTTGGGAGCAATCAGGAAAGACACAGAGTGGGATTCTCTTTTTTTTTTTTTTTTTTTTTTTTTGAGATGGAGTCTAGTTCACCCAGGCTGGAGTGCAGTGGTATAATCTTGGCTCACTGCAACCTCTGCCTCCCGGGTTCAAGCAATTCTCCTGCCTCAGCCCCTGAGTAGCTGGAACTACATGCCTCTGTCACCACACTCGGCTAATTTTTGTATTTTTAGTAGAAACGGGGTTTCGTCATATTGGCCTGGCTGGTCTTGAAGTCCTGACCTTGTGATCCACCTGCCTTGACCTCCCAAAGTGCTGGGATTACAGGCATGAGCCACCATGCATGACCAGGATTCTTTACTGTCTCCAGTAAGACCTATGAATTGTAAGTGCTGAGAATCTGAGAAATAACCCTGGTGTCCGTTTATCTAAAGCACCATGGTCCACGTGGAGGATTTGAGAAGCCAACTTTCTTTTTTTTTTTTTTTGTCACCCAGGCTGGAGTGCAGTGGCACAATCTTGGCTCGCTACAAGCTCTGCCTCCTGGGTTCACGCTATTCTCCTGCCTCAGCCTCCCGAGTAGCTGGCACTACAGCCAGCCGCCACCACCTCTGGCTAATTTTTTTGTATTTTTAGTAGAGACAGGGTTTCACTGTGTTAGCCAGGATGGTCTCAATCTCCTGACCTCGTGATCCACCCGCCTCAGCCTCCCAAAGTGCTGGGATTACAGGCGTGAGCCACCGCGCCTAGCCAGAAGCCAACTTTCTGATCTTATACACCTCGCTCAGAAGGAACCTTCCAGATCAAGAGAGGAGACCCCCTCAGTGAGACAAATAAGAAAGCCCATTTTTCCTTCTCTCCCAGTAAAGAGCTCCTGAGATTGTTATGGGATGTGAGGTCCTCTAGTGATGCGACAGAGAAACATGAGAGGGCATTGTGAATGTTATTTCAGTAGGATAGAGGCTTGACCTGTACTAATCCTGTGAGCAGAGCTTCATATCACCTTACCCAACTCTCATGATGTGGATGTGCCTCATGAATCAATAACATGTCCCAAGTTTCTGCAGGTCAAATAGTCGCTGTCTTGACTACGGTATTCTGGTCTCTACAAGGAAAGAGCTGTCTGGCAGTCTCACACTGTGGAGGATGGCACTAGTGTGTAAATGGTGTGATACCTACCTTGCATTAACTCCCACTCTAGAAGTACTTTGGTGATCAAGATGGTAAAGTCTTTGCTCTCCTGGAGTTACATGCTGGTGAGTGGATACAGACAACTAAATAAGTGACGCAATAATTTTTGATAGTAATAGTTGTCAGGAAGAAAAGTAAACGGGGAGAAGGGATCAAGTGAATTTGGATTTTAGCTCCTAGCAATGCCTTTTGGATAGCAAATGGAATTTCAGACTCTCTGGTGAGGCAGTGGAGTGAGTATGAATATGGTGGCCTCCAGATGGGGACACCCTACTAATGACTTGAGTATAGAATAATGTAGACAGCCACTAATCCGCCTTGTTCATCCTGTATTATTTAGGACATAGGCTTAGTATTCTACCCATATTTGTATGTGCAATAAATATTATCCGGTAGATGAGAGTAATTAGTGAATCACCATCCTCTTCTGTGTCTGGATTTAAAGGACACTTGAATTTGGGGGAATGCAAAGAAGAGAAGGCAGAGGCCTTGACTAACAATAAAATTTCTCTCATTCCTTTGGAATTACCAACCTACGATGGAAATAGTTTAGCCCCAAAGAAACATATCCTGTACTTGAAAACTTTCTTGGCCATAGACTACGGTGATTGTTCCAACATTTATACAGAAGTATTAACAGTAACTACCATTTGTAATAACTATAATTATAGGTCCTTTATAAACATTAACTCTAATACTTACAGCATTCCACTTAATAATCTATAATCCAAGACTCAGAAAGGTAAAGGAATTTTCCCATTTACTTTGCTAATGGATAACGCAAATAGATTACAATTCATATCAAACTGATGTGCCTGTTTCTCCTGCCTACCATGTGGTACCTTCCATTCAATGGAGCCATTCCAGTCTCCTCTATTGTTTTCTCCTCTCAAACTTTGTTCTGTCAGTGTAGGAAAGAAGGACTTGGTAAATGCTAGTTTGTTCCAATGAGGAAAAATTGCATGAGTTAAAAATCCTTCAATTGGTCAATTCTGTCACTTTCCACCTACTAAACCATTTTGTGAAGAAAGTTTACAAGCTTACTTTGATTTTATCCTCTTTAATGTTTCTGTTGAGATATCACCACATTTTGTAATAACCCAATTTAGCTACAGGAGGAAATAGAAGATGCAAAGTGTTTGAATAACTGACATGCTAATCATTCAACTCAGATGGATTGTAAGTTGCCTATGTAGCTGAAGCTCAGTCTCTCTATATACTGCAAAGAAAAGTTTATATGGTTCTAAAAACTGGGGGGTAAAACTTAGACTGTCTACAATATATAACTTTAAAGAATTATACCATAAATAAGTGATTCAAAATAAAACATGCAATCATTTCTCCCTGAGTCCAAAATCTTAACACCTTGAGGAAAGATTTGTGAACCAGCAATGCATCCAGAATGATAATAAGCTATTTGAGTTTTACGGCCAGCACTTTTCCTGCAATTTGCCAAACTGCTGTATTCAGAAGGACATCATGAGTTTATTTTAAATTGATATATTCCTACATCTTCTGTTCTCCTAGGTTCTCACAGTTGATATTTAAAGATAGGGGAATTTTTGAAAATAGGAAAATAGAGCTATTCTGTCAACCTGTCTCTCTTCATATAAAGTCATACATTTACCTGCTTAGAGCAGGGTATGGGTGGGTGGTCACAGTGACTTAAGTTTAGGGTTTAGCAGTTAGGACCTGCTCAGGATGAGGACATGTTCAACTTTTCACTTAACATTACAGTAAATTGGGGATGGGGAGTGATTTTGTTTAGTCATACACTGTGGGATAATAAATTAACTTCTTTTCCGTGGTAACACATTTCCTCCTTTTGATAGAAAAGTAAATTGTTTGAAACACCATCTTACACATCTATCTCTTCCACTAGATTGTTAATTCCCTGAGAGTAAGAACAGTATTAAATTCCTTTCTATATCTTTGCCATCTAAGACAGATCATCACATGAAATCTCCTCTCAAAAAAAAAGTTTATCAATTGAATTAATAAGGTGGAATAAGACTATGCCAACATATTCAGTGATTTATTTAGCCTTCTGAATACTTTCCCATCTCAATCCATGGTAACTCTTTTTCTTCTTGCCACTCAAGCAAAACAAATAAGCAAGCAGACAAACAAAGACACTGCCATTGCCCACATCAGAAGCCTGGAGTTATTTTTGAGCCTTCACTTTTTCTCATACCCCACAACCAGTCCATCAGCAAATCCTGTTGTTTCACCCTTCACCATGTACCCCAGCATTCTACCTGTCTTCATCTTTCCTGCTATCACTGGATTCCCTGCTCTCCTTTACTGGGATTATTAAAACTGCTTCCTAACAGTTCTGTTCTGTCCTTGTCTCCCTTTGGTCTACTCACAAGGTGGCAGGGTGTGTGATCCTCCAAAATCTTCATTCAAACCATCCCATTCCTGTAACTCAGATCATGCCAATGGCTTTCCATCATATTCAGAGTTAAAGCTAACATTTTAATTTTTATTTCATGTATTTTTTATTTTTTATTTTTTAGAGACAGAGTCTCACCCTGTCATTCAGGCTGGAGTGCAGTGGTGGGATCAGAGCTCACAGCAGCCTCCAACTCCTGGGCTCAAGTGATCTTCCCACCTAGCCTCCTAAGTAGCTAGGACTACAGGTGTGCACCACAATGCCCAGCTAATTTTTTTTATTTAATTTAATTAATTAATTTATTTATTTATAGAGACAGGGTCTTACCCTGCTGCCCAGGCTGGTCTTGAACTCCTGGTTTCAAGTGATCCTCCTGACTTGGCCTCCCAAAGTGCTGGAATCACAGGCACCAGCCACTGTGCCAGGACTTGTCAGCATTTTTAATAGGACAGAGGGGCCCCACATGAACCTGTGCCATATGACTTCATGCCCCACCTTGATTCCCTGTATTTGCTCAGCTGCAGCCACACTGGCCCACATGCAGTTTCCTGACCATGCCAGGCTCGCTTCCTCCCCAGGGCCTTTGCACTTGCTGCTTTCCTTCTGCCTGCAAAACTCTATCCTCGATATCCATATAACTCATCCCTCACTTAACCAAAGACTTTCCTTCAATTCACCTCCTCAGTGCAGCTTGCCCAGCAACACTGCCAAATTTCAATACCTCTCCCACCCAACTTTTCTTACCCTTCTTCCTGCTTGTTGTTTCTTATTTATCACTTATTACTATCTAAGATTCTATATTTACCTGTTTTTAGTTTGTGGTTCACTAGAAACTTCCCTAGAAGCTCCAAGATGGCAGAGATTTTATCTGTGTTTCCATGATGTGTTAGGAAACGTATCTTCTGGCAGAATTCAACTTTGTCGTAGTCTCTTTTGTGCTGCTGTAACAGAATAACAAAGACTGGATAATTTTGAAGAAAAGAAATTTATTTCTTATAGTTCTGGGGGCTGGAAAATCCAAGATCAATGTGCTGGCAGGCTTGGTGTCTGGTAAGGGCCTGGTTTCTGCTCCCAAGATGGTACCTTGAATGCTGCATCCTCTGATGAAAGGAACAGCATTCCTCCTATGGCAGGAGAGAAGAAGAGCAGAGTGATATGACCTACTTCTGAAAGCCCTTTCTTAAAGGCATTAAACTCACCCTCATGGGTGGGTTTACAGCCCAATCACCTCTTAGAGGTCCCACCTCTTAATACTGTTACAATGGCAATTAAATTTCAGCATGAGTTTTTGAGAAGACAAACATTAAAAACTAAGTTTGCTCCCTCCAAACATCATCCTAAGTTAGCATCTTCAGGAGACAGAAAAACTGTCCTCTAATTCTTCTGGGAAGAAGTACAGAAGGTCAACTTACAGCAGAAACATGTTCTATGTGACCATCTCAAGGTAAACCTATATTTGCTTTATGTTTTGTTCCTACTTCTCATTGGCTGGAGGGAAAGTCACCTTGTTTGTAGACAGCCTATGTTATCACATTGACACAGTGAACAAATATGGAGTAACTAGGCATACAGTATGTCCCTTCTAAGAATTTCTATGGAGAGAATCACAAAAGACTCTAAGTGTCAGGGCCAAATATTCCAGAGACCCTAATACAGAAGCACAAATAGGAGTGGCTGGCAGGGTCGGATGCACGGAAAAGCAAAAGCTGATAACGGGGCAATCAGAACAGAAGGCAATCCTAGTGCATTTATGGCTTGGAGATCTTGACCCAAATCGTAAAGTTTCCTTGCTTTTATTTTATTTATTTATTTATTTATTTTGAGACGGAGTCTCGCTCTGTCGCCCAGGCTGGAGTGCAGTGGCGCTATCTCGGCTCACTGCAAACTCCGCCTCCTGGGTTCGCGCCATTCTCCTGCCTCAGCCTCCCGAGTAGCTGGGACTACAGGGGCCAGCCACTATGCCTGGCTAATTTCTTGTATTTTTTAGTAGAGACAGGATTTCACCGTGTTAGCCAGCATGGTCTCATCTCCTGACCTCATGATCCGCCCGCCTCGACCTCCCAAAGTGCTGGGATTAAAGGCGTGAGCCACAGCGCCCGGCCGTTTCCTTGCTTTTAAATAGGTGAAATAAGGGTGTTCATATCTCCTGGAGAAAAGTATAGTTCCTTTTCCCAAAGGAGATGCGGGGTGTATACCCTCCTCTGTCTCCAGATATAAAAACATGGCCTTTAGGAGAAGAAGATGTCAGAGTTTAACATGATTGTAGTTTTCTGATCAGACTGACTGCATCCAACATGTTGATTGTCTTAGAGACAGAAGAAAGAATCTCTTTCAGCGCATAGGTTCTTGGAACAGTGGGTTCTGGATTGAGGATTTTAAAAAGGCAGATAAAATAGGGAATTCATGCTTAGAAAGGGACTTTAAATATATCCTAACCTGCAGTAGATAATACATTATTTTCAAAAAATGTCATGACCCAATTGGGAAAGAGACATGTAATAGAAATTACAAATTATGGAATAATACTCGAAGACAATCTTCATGGGTGAAAGACTGGATATGGTTGATACTTACTGTATCAGCATCCTCAGAAGACAAAGGATAGGGAGAGAATTGGCCGGGTGCGGTGGCTCACGCCTGTAATCCCAGCACTTTGGGAGGCCGAGGCGGGCGGATCATGAGGTCAGGAGATCGAGACCATCCTGGCTAGCATGGTGAAACCCGTCTCTACTAAAAATTACAAAAAATTAGCCAGGCATAGTGGCGGGAGCCTGTAGTCCCAGCTATTCAGGAGGCTGAGGCAGGAGAATGGCGTGAACCCGGGAGGCGGAGCTTGCAGTGAGCCGAGATCGCACCACTGCACCCCAGCCTGGGCGACAGAGAGAGACTCCGTCTCAAAAAAAAAAAAAAAAAAAAAAAAAAAAAAAGGATAGGGAGAGAATTAAGCTCTGAGGGCTCAATGAATCCGTTTTGTGTCAAGAGTAAATAAAAAGATCTTGCTGATATGCAAAAAAGTTAAGTACAGACTAGTTTAAAGGTAAGAGTGGGAGGAGTTACTGATGCCCAGATTATCCTAACAGGGGGATTGCTGTAGAGTTTAGGCGTGAGGTTATTTAAGATTTGGGTCTGGGAAGAAAAAGTGTATGATGAAAAACTCATAAGGGCACTCCTTTCTCTTGAGCCTTTGCTCTCCAGAGAACTGAAGGCTGCTACCACTTCCTCATAATAAAATCCTCACTAACAACCCTTGGTCCTGACTGAAATTTCCCTATGTTCTTCCTCAAGGTCCTGAACTTCCTTTATTTTGTTCCAAGAGTTTTGTATTTATGCTTTATTTTTGTTGTCAAAATTCATGCAGTAATTAACTGGGATACAACTTTAATTAATGATTGGGGTTGCTGACTTATTCCAAAGAGCCACTGCTTCAGAGGCTGCCTCAGTAACATCAGGAATGCTGGGATGCCCGTGGAAGACATTTCCACCTTTCCATACCAGCAGCAACAAAATTTCCTCCCTTATTTTGTTAACAGTTCATTTGAGTCCAGACCATCCTATTGTTTCCACAAATGGGGCTCGGGCTTGTCTGAGAGTGGCCCCAGCACTGAGATCATGAGCTCATCGTTCAAACTCCCTCTTGGGTAGAATCTGACCTTGGAATATTCTCTGTACGCATGATTTGGTTTGTATCCTATTTGTCCTTTTGAGATTATGAACATTGTAACAGTCTCTAATTTTCACTTCCTAAGGTTTTCGGCCACTCAAGGAATAGTCAGTTTCTCTGGTGGTGATATTCATGTTCTATACGCCAAGATCTCTTGATGGGCATGCGCATTTAGCGTTTGAGGTTCTGATAGGTGAGTGTAGCCTCACCTTCAGGGGTAACTTATTTTTCTATTTCCTACAATTTTCTTTTCTTTTCTTTCTTTTTTTTTTTTTTTTTACCATATGTTCTCTATTACAAAAATCAGTTTCTTCTGAAATTACAACCCTTACAGCCATACTGCACGTATACATCCAAAGCTGGTACCACTTTGAAAGTGTGGGACTTCTTTAGACACTTGAGTCTCATTTCTCATGTTGTATGAGACTTCCTGCAGGACTATCTTTCACAGTACAGTAACACTGACGTGGAAGATTTCATTGTTATGTTCATGGCACTAGACATGATAAAAAGGTGTATTAGTCCGTTGTCATGCTGCCGTGAAGAAATACCCAAGACTGGGTAATTTATAAAGGAAAGAGGCTTAATTGACTCAGTTCAGCATGGCTGGAGAGGCCTCAGGAAACTTACAATCATGGCAGAAAGCAAATGAGAAGCAGGCACCTTTTTCACAGGGTGGAAGGATGGAATGAGTGCAAGCAGGGGAAATGCCAGACGCTTATAAAACTCTCAGCTCTCGCGAGACTCACCCACTATCATGAGAATAGCATGGAGGAAACTAGTCCCATGATCCAATTACCTCCACCTGGTCCCGCCCTTGACATGTGGGGATTATGGAGATTACAATTCAAGGTGAGATTTGGGTGGGGACACAGCCAAACCACATCTGAAAACCTCTGTTGGGGACATAGGGTCCTCCATAACCCTGCTGTTGGTGTAGTTCTGTCTCAGGTACGGAGCTCAGGGAAAGTGAGGCAGGAGACACTTGCTGCATTTGGCTGCATGGCGATTATAGACCTCAACGAGAGCCCACTCTGAGGAGTGGCAAGGGCAGAAGCCAGCCTGGAGTGTGGCAAAGAGAGAATGAATGGTGGGGAATTTGAAACATTAACTATAGGCTGGATACAGTTCTCGAGAAAAGGAGAGGGGCTGGGACCCAGGGCTGAAATGAAAAGGTTCAGTTTTGATAGGCTCAGGGAAACATTTTTATCCGTATCAGGAGAGGGGACAGAACATATAAGTATAGATAAAGGGTGGGACAAGGTATAGTTTTCCGGTTGGCTCATATCACTTTTCTCAGTGAGGGAAAAGTGCGGTCCCCAGGTATGGGAGGGGGCATGCCTGCCTGAGTGTCTCTTGGGAAGCACATGACTTCCCTGAGCCTCAGTGACCTAATCTGTAAAGTGGGAATGCTAATCCTGTTTGTAACGAGGATTTTTCATCTGTGTAAAAAATTTAGGCTGGGCACGGTGGTGCACGCTTGTAATCCCAGCATGTTGGGAGGCTGAGGCAGGTGGATCACCTGAGGTCAGGAGTTCAAGACCAGCCTGGCCAACACGGTGAAACCCCGTCTCTACTAAAAATACAAAAATTAGCCTGGCATTGTGGTGCATGCCTGTAATCCCAGCTATTCAGGATGCTGAGGCAGGGAGAATCGCTTGAACCCAGGAGATGGAGGTTGGAGTGAGCCGAGATCACGCCACTGCACTCCAGCCTGGGTGACACAGCGAGACTCCTTCTCAAAAAAAAAGGAAAAAATATTTAGCTCAGTTTCTCGCGTAGAATCATGCAGTAAATTCTGGTGATTTTTTTTTTGTCTTACCTATAGACACTGTCACTCTCACCATTAACGAGAAGGAAACTTTGTATTTCCATACTTCAATATAGGAGAGGCCGAGAAGCAGGATGAGTGTTGGTGTTTATGGTAGAGGGAAAACAAATGGGAAGGTTTGGTGGAAATTGTATTTGTTCACACAAATCTGGTATTAGGGTTGACGGGGCAGACAAATGTCAGGAACTCTTGGAATAGTGTGTGAATAAAAATGCAAACAACTTGCAGTAAACCATGTAGAGAGACTTAGCATTTCTTTATTATTAGTTGACACCTATTAATTAGAGTTGTAAAATATTCGGCCAGGTGGGGTGGCTCATGCCTGTAATCCCAGCGCTTAGGGAGGGTGTGGTGGGCGGATCACCTGAGGTCAGGAGTTCGAGACGAGCCTGGCCAACATGATGAAACCACGTCTCTACTAAAAATACAAAAAAAATTAGCTGGGCATGGTGGTGGGTACCTGTAATTCCAGCTACTCGGGAGGCTGAGGCAGGAGAATCACTTGAACCCAGGAGGCAGAGGTTGCAGTGAGTGGAGATTGCACCATTGCACTCCAGCCTGGGCGACAGAGTGAGACTCCGTCTCCAAAAAAAAAAAAGATTCAGAATTTAGACTGTTGTGGGTGTGTGTTGGATTTTGTTGAATTTGCTTATCAGAAAACAAACTTGTAATTTGGAAAGTTACTCAGTGAAACGAGAGTATGTGACAGACCAGAATTCATCTGAGTCAAGAGAAGATTTATATACTGTTTTTCACTGAAAAGGGCTTCACTGCCAGTAGTAAGAAATGAAAGTGTCAGAACTGTGGTTACAATTTTTCTACATGATTAAGATTTATCTGCCCCCCAGATCCTGAAAAGCTAAGCTTCTTGAAAATATTCTAGTGAAAGCAGCCACTCCTGCTTTGTATATAGGCTTAGCAAGAAAGTCGAGAATAGGCACTATCTTATAGCCTCGGCCAGGACACACTTCACCATTAAACTAAGCTGCTTTTGATGTTTGAAGAAAAATATACCTGGCCATTTAAAAAGTTACTTTTCATTTTTCAAATAGATGTCAAAAGTCCTAAATACTACAAGAAGGTATTTCAAAAAATACTGATACGCTTCTGTGTTTACTCTGACAAGGAACTACTTTTCTATTTCACTGTTTGGGTACATGTTTTGAGACATGACTTTGAACACAGATCACCAGACTGCAGGACATAGGAAACTGGAGTTTTTTTTTTTTTTTTCATTCAAGTTAATCAAAGAATAAAAGATCTCAAATTATAGATGGTGGCAGTGATGTGACAGGCAACATGAGATCTGCAGGGCATACAAAGCTGTTTGCCATTTATGCACTAGGATGTCCAAACTATGCTTCTGTTAATCAAACATTCAATATAAAATATCTGGCAAGGTGTGGTGGCTCATGCCTGTAATTCTAGCACTTTGGTAGTCTGAGACGGGTGGATTGCTTGAGGTCAGGAGTTCAAGACCAGCTTGGCCAATATGGTGAAACCTCATCTCTACTAAAAATACAAAAATTAGCCCAGCATGGTGGCACGCACCTGTAATCCCAGCTACTCAGGAGGCTGAGGCAGGGAGAATCACTTGAATCTGGGAGGTGGAGGTTGCAGTGAGCCAAGATTGTGCCACTGCACTCCAGCCTGGGCAACAGAGTGAGACTCTGTCTCAAAAACAAAATTATAAAATAAAATATCCAAGACCTTAAATGGCACCATTTTACTGCTCTCATGGTTCTGCCTTTCTATCCTTCCCTGTACTGGACAAAACCTTGACCAATTTTGTCCTATTTACCCTAATATTTATTTCAGAATACTCATTAGAAATTTAAAAGAATTCCAACTACCAATCAATGCCATTGAAATCAATGAATATTGCCCAAGCCCTGTGGACTTCACCAGGAAATAAACAGCTATGGTAGAGATGATCTCAGCCTCTTGCCCTTCTCAACTCCTGCCCTGATCTGTTAAGGGGACTTTCTGTCAGCATCTGCAGGAGGTTTGTCTCTTCCTGTCCTGTCCCTATGTCCTCAGTTCCTTTAGAGCCTGTGGCATTGATTATTTTGTCCTCTCCCTCTTTATCACCCTTGTCACTTTAGTATTTAATTATGCTCAAGAATCTTAAAACATCTGCCATTTTTGCCTCTATTTTCTCTTTAGCTATCAAAGGAAGCCCAAAGTTCTTTCTCCATGTCCAAAAAACAAGAGAGTCTAAAAAGACTGTTCTTCTCTTTATAATTCCCATTCAGTTCTAAATCTGATACCTGCTGTGGCCTTCACCAATCCACTAAAATTATCTCCATTAACAACCTCCTAGCTGTGAAATTCAATGGATGTTTTCAGTCTTAATCTGACACCAATGGGAATAAACATTCAAGAATACCCTCTTAAAGTTGACCAAAGGTTATGAGATAAAGGAGAAAGTATTTCCAAATAAGGTCCACCATTTTACCCTGAAAAACCACCATCTGACAAAACCCTGTGTAGGTTTGGTGAGTTTCCTGTCCTTCTGCACTGGGCTATGAGCACTGGTTAAGTGTTTATAAACTGTCTGAACGGGATCTACTTTTCCTTCTGGATCTTTTATTCCTTCTCAAAATGAACAACTGGAGGTTAAGATGTATGCAGTACATTTCTCTTTGCTCATGAAAAATCATGTATGGCGCTGTCATCAGCTTGCTGTGGTATGTGTGGTCAAGTTTGGTCAAGTGAACTGTCCTTTTTACAAGAAAAACTGGTTCCATGGCCCCTTCCCATGTGTGGTTGGGGAGGCTCCTATAATTGCCCTTTTTACCTTTTTACTTGGACATGACCTGATACCCAAATGAGCCACTGGGTGGGGTTGTAGAGCTCAGTGGTTCAAACAGACTGCAGGTTCTATCTAGACCCTGATTGCCTGGGTGGATGGCTCATTCTGCCACTTCCTACAGATACAACCTCTCTGTGCCTCAGTTTCTTAATCTGTAAAATGGAGAGAGATAGTAGTAGGTTGCTATTTCTGTTAAATTAGATAGTTCATGTAAAGCATTTAGAATATCAAGTAAGCACTCAATCAACTTTAGCTAGTGCTAGTATTAGTATTAGAATTAAAATCAGAGTTGGAATGAAAAGGGCATCAGAATAGTATCAACATTATTACTGAGGGCTGACTTTAAGCCCAAGAGTGAAATCTCATGTCTAAATGTTGGAAAGAAAACAAGGAAAAAAGAGGTTGAAAATGGAGTAGAAACAGGTGGGGCTACAGCAGATGACAACTATTTATGTGGAGAGTACTTTAATCCGGGTAATGAGTCAGCATCTATCTGTCTTTAAATTACAAATGTATGTTTTACAAAAATCACTTGTCTTCATCATCAAGAAAATACAATGAGTTTGAAATACAAGAACTCAAGTATAAATCTTCTCCATGTCTTCTGGGTGCTTTTCATGCCCTACTCTGTGGAGTAACTTACCTGCTGACATTTGGAATAGCAAATTAATAGCTGTTTTTAAAGGCTGACAAAGCCATTTCTATTCTTCCTGGTTTCTGAAGGACCTGAGGTTATGGGTAGCTCTTTCAAAAATTACATTTCCATAAATCATACTAAGTCGTTAGTTTTCTATTATGTAAGGCATTGCTCTTTGTGTAAATATGAATGCAAATTTTCCACTAAATAACTGTGTGAAAGTCTTAGCAATGACTCATTTTCCTCATCTACAAAACAGGGGGCTTGTACTAATTGGATGATCTCTCAGGTCCTTTGTGCTGCTATTATTATCTATCTGACACTGGGTGTGAAGCAATTAAACAGATGTATCCTCAAGTTACTGCTGAGTTATCGCTGCTGGTAGGCTTCTACAATCACATGATGTAGGAAAAAAGCATGGCACAGCAACAAGGAGGTTGCTGTTGGTTTCCAGCTTAAATTCTAAGCAGATAGTGTCTTTTTCTTCAGAAGGAATTTAAAATGCTTCTGGTATTGCCATGATCACAGAACACTGTGCTGGAAAGAGCAAAGAGGCAAAAAACAAACAAACAAACAAAAACAATGGTTTACATTACAGAAGAGAGCTGTAGCATCAGGCAGCTAAACTATTACCTGTGACTGGCTGCTGAACAAGACAGTGATCTGAATGCACACCTAATTATTCCAGATTTTCATCCAAATAATGAAAGAAATACGAAAGTAGGAAAAAGCTCTAATTAGCTAGCGCTAGAAACTGGGGAAAGGGAGTTGGCATTAGACTTTTGTTGAATTTCTTTAAATGAGGGTCTAAATGAGATTACTGTGGAAGAAAAGTCAACTTAATTCCAACCTTATAGGAGGGAAAAACACCTCTCTTAATCAAGGGACTTCAAAAGAATCCTAAAAAAGTCCTTTCTCTGTACACTGATGACTATTTAAATTAAAAATACAATCACTTGAAAATTTAACATTCTCTAAAATAACTATTTGGTAGAGAGGAAATAAGTGCAATTATTGATAATTTAGAAAAATTAATGAGAACACTGCATATAAAAACTTAAAAGACGGCCTGGTGCGGTGGCTCACTCCTGTAATCCAAGCACTTTGGGAGGCCGAGGTGGGCGGATAACAAGGTCAGGAGATCAAGACCATCCTGGCTAACACAGTGAAACCCCGTCTCTACTAAAAATACAAAAAAAATTAGCCAGGCATGGTGGCGGGTGCCTGTAGTCCCAGCTACTTGGGAGGCTGAGGCGGGGAGAACGGTGTGAACCCGGGAGGCGGAGCTTGCAATGAGCAGAGATCGTGCCACTGCACTCCAGCCTGGGCGACAAAGCGAGACTCTGCCTCAAAACAAAAAAAAAACAAAAAAAAAACAAAAAAAACAAAAACTTACAAGACATAGCAAAAACAGGACTCTAATGAAAAGGTATGTCTTTAACTGTTTTCACTCTTTAACAGGAAAAATGAAACAAAGGAGAATTTGGTTTCATTTTTTCTTACCACTGTATTAGTAGCATTCTTATGTAAGGGCCAAGGGAAAACGTTCCCTTCTTCCCCTGAAGGGTCCCTGAAAATCAGCTGGACAAAAGGCAGATCAATAGGTGAAAAGGCATACAGTCTTATTGTATCTTAATTTTATTTCACATGGGAGCCTTCAGAATGAAGACTCAAAGATAAAGGGGAAATTGTCCATTTTTGTATTGAGGTTCAACAAAATATGGACAGCCATGTAGAAATTTGATTGGACAAAAAGGGCATGACCTAATGCTAACAGACTGAGTGGGGAAACCCAGCGAGGCTTGTCCATCTAGATTCTTCCTGGCCTCTCTGAGCACCGTACCTTCCTTCTGGGTGTGGGGCAGAACCCTCTCTGGAATGGGGGTACTTTTTTTTTTTTTGAGAGGGAGTCTCCCTCTGTCGCCCAGGCTGGAGTGCAGTGGTGCGATCTCGGCTCACTGCAAGCTCCGCCTCCCGGGTTCACGCCATTCTCCTGCCTCAGCCTCCCAAGTACCTGCGACTACAGGTGCCCACCACCGCGCCTGGCTTTTTTTTTTTTTTTTGTATTTTTAGTAGAGACGGGGTTTCACTGTGTTAGCCAGGACGATCTCAATCTCCTGACCTCGTGATCCACCCGCCTTGGCCTCCCAAAATGCTGGGATTATAGGCGTGAGCCACCATGCCCGGCCTGGAATGGGGGTCTTATAACCTACTGTCAAACAAGGTAGGTCTGAGAATTTATTTATGACCAGATTTTACACAGAAACGCAGCGAGAAAGTTAGAGCACTATTTTTAGGTGTTATGGTTGGGTTTGGGGAAGATGGGTTCTGGTTTCTATGACCCTGACTTGGTGAAGAGGGATTCCAGTTTCTGGGGCTAGGCCCAGGGGAGAATGAGGAGCCAGAGACAGGAGGGCGGGAGAAGGTCAGAGAGAGCTGCTTCTGAAGCCTTCATTTAGGGTATCGTTCTCTGGGCCCTAACACTGACTCCTGACACTCTTGAAGCGTCCTTCCCTTAGCCAGCAGGACGCTGCACTCACCTGGCTTCCCGCCTGGGTCTCTTGCCATGCCTCCTCTGTGTGTTCCACTTGCTGGGTCCCCTCTGCGGCCCCTGAATGCTGGAGCTCCCCACAGCTTGGTCCTGGGCCCCAACTGCCATGCAGTCCAAGTGGTTCCATCTCTTCTTAGGGCTTTAACCATCCTTGCTATGTGACTGTACTCACCATTATGTTCTGAGGATAGTCCCTGCACTGAATAATCAAATGTTCATTTCTGTCAGCTCCACATTCGCCACCTTAACCCAAGTTTTCACCATTTCCTGTTTAAAGTAATCTCAGGACTCTTCTCTGGCATCTTCTCATGTCACCCTCTGATTGATTCTCTACGATTAGTAACAGTCAATTTTTTTTTTTTTTTTTGAGACGGAGTCTCGCTCTGTCGCCCAGGCTGGAGTGCAGTGGCACGATCTCTGCTCACTGCAAGCTCCGCCTCCTGGGTTCACGCCATTCTCCTGCCTCAACCTCCTGAGTAGCTGGGACTACAGGCGCCCGCCACCACGCCCGGCTAATTTTTCTGTATTTTTAGTAGAGACGGGGTTTCACCGTGCTAGCCAAGATGGTCTGGATCTCCTGACCTCGTGATCCGCCCACCTCAGCCTCCCAAAGTGCTGGGATTACAGGCGTGAGCCACCGCGCCCGGCCAGTAACAGTCAACTTTTAAAGTATGCACATATAAGATGCTAGTACTCTACTTCATTAAGGCTCTTCAATACGATCACATTGCTTCCATGATAGAGGCCGAAATCCTTTATGCAGCTCAGAAGCTCCTTCACGATCTGGCCCCTGCCCCCCTCCCCAGCCTTATTTGAGACCTTCTTTCCTTCCTCCCTTTTTGTGTCTTCTTTTGGTTTCTGCAATGTGCTGTGTGAAATGTGCTAACAGCTCGACTCAGATTTTTATAGCATATTCCTTTCTCCTTCATTAAATATACAAAATTCTTTATTAAAATTTATCACAAATCTAAAGTGTTTGATAGATTTTTTTCTTATTTTTATTCCCAAAGCCAGTTACTAGAGTTCATGCCCACGTACACTTATATTTGCTGAATATCATGCTTTGAATTACATTTATAGCTTTGTAAGTAGTTTTCTATTTTTGTACACATTACATTGTATTGCTTAGAATTATGTACGTAAGACAGTATATAGATTTATGCTTTTAACTTTATAGCTAATAAAATGCATAGATGAATTAGATTGAAGTAAAATAATGTCATTCCTGACTGCTTTTAGTAGTCCATCTTGCAGTAAGAATTCGACTTTCTCAGTTTGAGATATTCCTCTCACATGTTAAACATGCTGACTTAAATTTTGAAACTTTTTTTATTTAAAAGACTTATTTGTCTAATTGGTTTGACAATGAAGATTGGCTTTGCTAACTAGCTTACATGGTGAACACAGTGAATACTTTCTATTAGTTTAGAAAGCTTATTTCCAGATCCAAGGTTTTGACAAAAGGTATATTTAAAACTATTTGATAAAATAATTTTTATCAAAAGTATGTGTAAATATATTTATTGCTGCATTTCATTGTGGTGGCCAAAATGTGGGTTGCCTTCCCGTAAAGGAATGGATGAATCCATTACAGATTATAGTATGTCCACACCGGTGTTTCTCAGCCTGGGTGATTTTGTCCTCCAGAGGACATTTAGCAATGTCTGGAGGCATTTTTGGTTGTCACAGTTGGAAGGCGGCAGCGGTGCTCCTGGTTTCTAGAGGATAGAGGTCAGGGGTGATGTTAAACACCTCCTAATGCACAGGGCAGCCCCCAACGCAATGGTTTCCATGCCTAAAATCATACTGCTCATGTTACAAAGTCCTGATCTGCAGCATGAATAAAATACTCATTAAAAAATATAGGCCTGGCATGGTGGCTCATGCCTGTAATCCCAGCACTTTGGGAGGCCAAGTTGGGTGGATCACCTGAGGTCAGGAGTTCAAGGCCAGCCCGGCCAACATGGTGAATACCCATCTCTACTAAAAATACAAAAATTAACCAGGCGTGGTCGTGGGCACCTGTAATCCTAGCTACTTGAGAGGCTGAGGCAGGATAATTGCTTGAACCCAGGAGGCAGAGGTTGCAGTGAGCCGAGTTGGCATCACTGCACTCTAACCTGGGCAACAGAGAAAGACTCTATCTCAAAAAAAAAAAAGGAAAAATTAAAACTATATCCGTTGTCTTGAAAATGTTTTTCACAAGGTACTGTTGAATTAGAAAACCAACATGCAGAAAAGTATGTATAGTAGGATGCCAATTTTTTAAAACAAAGAGCAGCTGTCTCAGTGCGTTTGTTTTTGTCCATGTCTGTAGGGATTCTGCAAGCACAGAGAAAACCCGGGAAGACACTCAGGAGAGCCTTACCTTGTTTATTGCGTGTTGGGAAAACCCGATGTAGGTGAAGGAAGAAAGTCTAAAGAAACCAGAAAAGGAATTGAAAAGACTATTATGTGTTGACATGAAACTTTGTGCGTTCAAGTATAAATACATTTAAAAATTAAAACCTTTTCATATCTGTATACTGGTTTTTATATCATGTGACAATTTAAAGAATAAAGTAAAAACAGTGGTCCTGGCTTTGTGAGGATTCCCACATGATTGGAGGAGACGTATGGCTTTTGTAGAGGCAGCTTTACACAACAGCACTGAGAGTGCAGGAAGGCAGGGTGCTCCCCAGACCTCCAGGGAGTTCGTCCCTAAGAGGAAGGCGGTTAGCGGAGGAGTGCTTTCCTGCTTCCCCAGGAGAATGGCGGGGGCTCAGGAGCCGGCTTTAGAGGTGACAACATGGGCACATTTGCCTGAGGAGGAGGAAGAAGGGAGCACCAGAGAGGTGAGAAGCCTGCCTGGGGGAAGAGTGGGCGATGCTGCTGAGAGTGTGAAACTGGCTCTCCTAGGGAGGATTATTTTGAGCCAGCATTGCTGTTGGAGGCATGGTTACACTCTTGATCTGTCGTCCCTCCAGAAAAGCCTGCAACAAACAGCTGCTTTTCAAGACTTTGGGAGGGGGCTGTAGTTTCTCACCTCAGCTCCAGCTAGTGTGGGATGAGGGCCCACAGGCCCCAATGCGCGTGTTTCAGAGAGAGGAAAGGAATCTAGTAGGGACCAGAACACACCCACAGAGCAGAGCACGTGGGGGCTTAGGGGATGGAGAGCTGAGATGGCTGGGGTTTTAGGACTTTAGGGCTAAGGGACTGGAAATTATATGCCTTAAAATAATGGTGAGATTTAAAAACTAGAGCCAAGAGATATGGGCCTTCTAGGGCCAGAAGTCAAAACAGTCATGGAACCTTCAGAGGAGAGAGAATAACAAAATCCCAGGCTGCTAATTAGCCTCAGCGTCTCCTTATATTAGATTTTTTTTCTCTGTCTCTGATTTGCTCAAAAAGAGTACTGAATATGTGTTTAACCACATTTGTTAGGAAAATCAATGCCAAACTATGAAAGAGCACCATGCTCGCCATGATTCATCTGAGCTACATGACCTTAGATGATGTGTCTGAGGCTGACATTAGCGAGTCCCAATTCCTCAGACCATGAGTTGGCCATAATTCAGCATGTGACAAGTGTCTGCTGTGTTCCAAGTGCCCTGGCTACAGGGTGAGGAAGATGCCACGCTGGTCCTTACACTGCTTCATGTTGTTGGAAGACAACGCCTGCACTCCACTCCCTGCATAGGAGGAGGTGATGCTGTTAGGAATGATGCAGAATAAAAGGCAGAGTGGACTCACTGTAAAATAAAAAAGACAGATGCAAAGGTCCTGTCACTGGAGCTATTGCCCATGCAAGGTCTCTAGCCCTGGAATGAGGAGGGTCAGGGAAAAGGCGACCATACCGAATTATCAACAATATTTTATGATTATCTGTTTTTTTTTTTTTTTTTTGAGATGGAGTTTTGCTCTTGTCATCCAGGCTGGAGTGCAATGGCACAATCTCAGCTCACTGCAATCTCTGCCTCCCAGGTTCAAGCGATTCTCTTGTCTCAGCCTCCCAAGTAGCTGGGATTACAGGCGCCCACCACCACACCCAGCTAATTTTTGTATTTTTGGTAGAGACGGGGTTTCACCATGTTGGCTAGGCTGGTCTCAAACTCCTGACCTCAGGTGATCCACCCGCCTCAGCCTCCCAAAGCGCTGGGATTACAGGCATGAGCCACTGCGCCTGGCCTATTTTATGATTATCTTCTTGTCCAAGGAGATGGGGTGTGCCTTGCTAGGTAAGCATTCTCCAGTCCAGTGTAATTGTATTCATTTTCAAGTTTTGAAGAAATACAGGAACCACTCCATAATGTGTATTCAAAAGCATCCCTGATGTGTTTTCAATAGCATCCCTAATGTGTACACATCCATGATGTGTATTCAAAATCTCCATGTTGGGTGGAGGCACTTTCTGTGTTGTGCACAAATGTTTCATATATAACAAGTGAAAGACAGTTTTTCTTTTCTTTTTTTTTTTTTTTTTTTTTGAGACGGAGTCTGGCACTTTCGCCCAGGCTGGAGTGCAGTGGCCCGATCTCGACTCACTGCAAGGTCCTCCTCCCGGGTTCACGCCATTCTCCTGCCTCAGCCTCCCGAGTAGCTGGGACCATGCCCGGCTAATTTTTTTGTATTTTTAGTAAAGACGGGGTCTCACAGTGTTAGCCAGGATGGTCTCGATCTCCTGACCTCGTGATCCGCCAGCCACGGCCTCCCGAAGTGCTGGGATTACAGGCGTGAGCCACCGCGCCCAGCCCGAAAGATAGTTTTCTTTGTGTAAATGTATTTTTATTCACTTTTTGGCCTATTATGAGTTTATGTGAAAGCAATACATCTGTAGTTGCAAAAAATTCATGCAGTCTGGTTTGCTGTATATCATTTCCACCCTCCTTTTAGGGACTTAATTGAGTTTTCTCATAATCCAGGAAGGACACAAACCCTTCAAATCCATTCATGTGATCTTGTCTATGCATTTCAATTCATTTCTAAACAGGGCTCATCCATCAGAGTTTTATAGACCATTATTATCAGATATATAATCAAAGCAGAATTGTCACTTTTGGTAAAGGTTCGGTTTATTTTTTGCTATTTGTACATGACATCCTTCCCACTTTGTTTTGTCTTCCCAGTAGTTCTGGTGTTTAACAATATTCATTATGATTATTTATAATACCCTCTAATCATTCATCAAGTAATTATTGGGATGCTCTTTCAACTTATGTAAAGAAAATGTAGAACATAAATCTACTTAAAAACTAAACCTCAGTTGGGCCAGGCGCGATGGCTCACGCCTGTAATCCCAGCACTTTGGGAGCCCGAGGCAGGTGGATCACGAGGTCAGGCAATCCAGACCATCCTGGCTAACATGGTGAAACTCCATCTCTACTGAAAATACAAAAAAATTAGCCGGGCGTGGTGGCGGGTGCCTGTGGTCCCAGCTACTCAGGAGGCTGAGGCAGGAGAATGGTGTGAACCCCGGAGGCGGAGCTTGCAGTGGGCAGAGATCGCACCACTGCACTCCAGCCTGGGCGACAGAGCAAGACTCCGTCTCAATAAATAAATAAATAAATAAATAAATAAATAAATAAATAAATAAAAATAAATCTCAGTTATCACAACTCCTTTCAGAATGATTCAAAGAGTGGAATAAGAAATAGGAGAAACAAGTTCTTTGTAGGTTTCATAAAGTACAAGAAACAAGTTCTTTGTAGGTTTTATAAAGTACAAGAAACAAAAACAAAAGGTCTTTAACAGTCTTTCTTTAACAGTCTATATATTGCGCAAAGTTAATACATGGGGAAACTGAGTTGAATTTATACATATATAAATTATATATGTATATTTCTGTGTAAGGAGTTTAAAAACTACAGGGTTCTTAAAGAAATCTTTTATAAATAAGTGGATAGGTTAAACTAACAATATTAAGTTATATCATGCTAACGCAAGTCACAAGAAAACTAGGGTGACTATATTAATATGAAAAAAGTTGAATTTGGAAAGGAATATTGTCATGCATAAAGAGGGACACTTGGAAAAGACACAGAGGTCAATTCAGCAAGAATGCATAACTATATTAAATGTGCATACATCCATAATAAAGCTTAAATATACATGAAGAAAAAACATACGTGCCTAAAGAGAAAAATAAACACTTCTCTCTCAGAAATTAATAGAATAAGGACACAGGTAATTAATAAGATATAAATTAATGGAATAACACTATCAATCAACCTAATCAAATTGACTTTTGTGGTTCATGCTATTCAAGAGAAGCACAATACACCCTCTTTACAAGTGCACCTTAGATTTTCACCAAATATAGACCATATATGCTGTACTATCAAACAAGACTTGATAATTTAAAAATATTAAATTACAGAGTATTTTCTCTGCCCATAATAGGATTATATTAGAAATTTAAAAATAAAATATCTTTTAACATCTCCAAGTGTTTGAAAATTAAGCAGCACAATTCTAAATAATCCATGGGTCAAAGAAGATATCAAATGGGAAATGATAAAATATTTTGAACTAAATGATAATGAAGAAACACAATTGAGAGGGAAATGTATATAGCTTTAATCTTAGAGGCAAAGATTTAAATATATAACCCTAAAGCACAAGCCATAAAAGAAAAAAAATGATACATTGGTCTTTGTCAAAATTAAAAACTTATCTTTCTCAGCTGGGCGCAGTGGCTCACGCCTATAATCCCAGCACTTTGGGAAGCCGAGGTGGGTGGATCACTTGAGGTCAGGAGTTCGAGACCAGCCTGGCCAACATGATGAAACCCATCTCTACTAAAAATACACAAATTATCTGGGTGCAGTGGTGCACGCCTGTAATCCCAGCTACTCGGAAGGCTGAGGCATGAGAATTGCTTGAACCCAGGAGGCGGAGGTTGCAGTGAACCGAGATTGTGCCACTGCACTCCAGCCTGGGTGATAAAGCGAGGCTCAGTCTCAAAAAACCAACCAACAAACAAAAAACTTCTCTTTTTTGCCAACCTTTGTTTTAGCCCAGTGAGACCCAGTTTGGGACTTCTAACTTCTCGAACTGTAACAGAATACATTTGTATTGTCACTAAGTTTGTAGTAATTTATTATAGCAGTAATAGGGAAATATATATAATTACACATAGGACTCATATCCAAAATATAGAACGTCATTCTATAACCCATTTATGAGAAGGCAAGTGAGCTAATCTAAAAATTAACAAAATATGTGAACAAATACTACATAAATATGACATATGAAAGATGCTCAGTGTCATTAGTTGTCACTAAAATGTGTAAAATGCTACTGTACATCTATCAAAATGCCTAAAATTTAAAATTCAGACAATAACAAGTTTTGAATTGGAAGTGGGACAACCGGAACATGTAAATTACTGGGGAATGTGCAATGGTACAGCCACTCTGGAAAATATTCTGGAAGTTTCTTATAAGGTTAAACGTGCATACTTATCATATGACCCAGCAATTTCACTCCTAGATATTTACTGAAGAAAAATAAAACTATATGACCCATAAAGCCTTGTGTGAATATCCTATAAAAACTCATATAAGCTTTATTCATAATAGTCAAAATCTGGAAATAACATGAAGCATCATTTAAACAGTAAATGGATAAAGAGACCGTTGTATATACAATGAAATACAACTTAGCAATGAAAAGGAACAAAATGGTGTTACATGCAACAACATAGATGAATCTCAAAAACATTAAAGTGAGTGAAAGAAGCCAAGCATAATAGAGTATACACCATTCATGTGAAATTCTGTAAAAGATAAAACTTGGCAGGGTGCGGTGGCTCACGCCTGTAATCCTAGCACTTTTGGAGGCCGAGGTGGGTAGATCACTTGAGGTCAGGAGTTTGAGACCAGCCTGGACAACATGGTGAAACCCCATCACTACTAAAACTACAAAAATTAGGTGTGGTGGCAGGTGCCTGTAATCCCAGCTACTTGGGAGGCTGAGGCAGGAGAATCGCTTGAACCCAGGAGGCAGAGGTTGCAGTGATTCAAGAGCACGCCATTGCACTCCAGATTGGGGATCAAGAGTGAAACTCCATCTGAAAAAAAAAAAAAAAGATAAAACTCATTCATGTCACAGAAAGCAGGCCAGGGATAATGCAAATGAGTCCATGGGAGTTTTGTGGATGATAAAAATGGCCATAACTTGATGTCTTGGTATTCACATAGGTGCATGAATTTGTCATATTGCACCAAGCTATTCACTTGCAATGGGTCCATTCATGTTATATAAGTCATAGTCGTAAAGTTTGTTCAACAAAACGAAAGTCTAAATGGCTAGAAGAGAGAAAAGAAACTTCCTTCTTTCTTTTATCTAGAACTTTCCCCTCTCTGTACTTTTGTGCTTACACGTAAAGGGAGCATATGTTGGTTTTAAGCTCCTTCTTTCCATCTCACCCAAAGTGTGCAGAATTTGGCAAATGTTCTCCGATTTTGCACTGTGGAGCTGTGACAGACCCTATTTTCAGTATAGATAAACTTTTCTTCCCTACTTTTGACTGCTTTTTGTGCATTTTGGCAGTTTGTTCAGGAAGGGGAGGAATACAAATGAGTACTACTTTCCCTTTTTCCCATATAGCTCCAACAAAAGTGAAAAAAAAAAGTCTTCTTAAAATTTAAATAAAAGGTTTTGGTTAATTGTCCCTAATACTTAGCAAGATAATAATTGATTCATTGCATTACAAACACATTACATATTATGTGTGGAGTCAACAGCACACGCTGAAGACAAAAATAAAGTTATTATGCAGAACTGTTATGCCAGTGGGAAAAAGATACTGCTTGGATTTAAATTTTGACTCCATGTTCTTCTTTCAATATGGATTTCTCACTGTACGTTTGCCTTCCTGTTCCTTTCCAGATGAGCTAAGCCACTTGGTTGCTGCTGCTGGCCTGGCTATTGGTCTGCTTTCTATCTTTGTGCTGAGGTACAAAGTGCCTTTCCTGAAAAGGTTCTAGGATTATGATCTTTTAGGCAACTGTAAAGCCATATTTCTCGAATTTCAGAAATCCTTTAAAATTATATCAATACATTTTTAAAAGAAGAATAAGAATGTAATGTCTCAATCAGCCCTTGCCCAGAGATGTTCCTTTATGTTTTCACAATCATCTTAAATATTAAGTTGCTGGGCAATTACTTAGTTGAATAGACTTAAGAAGAATTTTTGTGTGTTTCTTGGATTAAAATCTATAGACATAACATACTGAAGGGGTGCATTTGTGTGTTAAAGCTTCTTGGGACCAGCCTGGCCAACATGGTATAACCCTCCATTATTAAAAATACAAAAAAAAAAAAATCAGCCGGGCTTGGTGGTGGGCACCTGTAATCCCAGCTACTCGGGAGGCTGAGACAGAATTGTTTGAACTCGGGAGGTGGAGGTTGCAGTGAGCCGAGATCGGGCCACTGCACTCCAGCCTGGGTGACTGAGTGAAACTCCATCTCAGAAAAAAAAAAAAAAAAAGCTTCTTGAAACAAAATTCTTAGGCAGTGCTAAATAATTTGTCATCTGCTTATTTCCTTTAAATTGGAAATTCTCATATTATTTTTAAAATCATGAGACTAAAATAAATGTGCTTGTACAAAGTACTGATTTATTTTGCTTGAAAACTTTCAAATACTCTAAATCTGAAATAAAGTTGAATTATTCCTTGATAAAACTTCTACATTATTCACTGCATTCTCCGTAGGTTCATGAAGCTATAGAATGTCAACGACATTTTTAAGGGGCACTATGATACTGTAACAGCACATTTCTAAAAGTACCAGTGGTCCTTCATCAAGACTTCCAACTCTTCCAGCTGAAAGATACGGTTTTTCATTTGCTCTGGTCTGAATGTTTGTGTTTCCTGCAAAATAAGTATGTTGAAATCAACCTCCAAGGTGATGGCATTAGGAGGTAGGACCTTTAGGAGGTGGTCATGGGAGTGGAGCCCTCATGAATGGGATTAGTGCCCTCATAAAAGATGAAGAGAGATCTCTCTCCCCTTTCACCATGTGATGAAACAGTGAGAAGGCACCATCCATGAAAAAGAAAGTGAGCCTTCACCAGACACTGAATCGGCTGGCACCTTGCTCTCGCACTTCTCAGCCTCCAGAACTGTGAGAAATAAATTTCTGTTGTTTATAAGCCACACAGTTAAGGGTATTATAGCAGCCCAAATGCACTAAGACACACCTGTTACCAGCTGACAGTCATCCCAGCTGGATCTGGAACATTTCTCCTGTCTGATTTTACTTGAGGCAAGTTTCTGACAGTCTTAATTTACAGCCCATTAGAGAGGACTGCAGCAGGTGTTTCTGCTCCTATCTGCCTAACAATTCCCCACACCAGCCAAATTGGCTTTTGATGTGTTTATGCAAAGACTGCTTGGAGTAATATATTGCAACATAATAGAGAAGGGAAAGGAATTTGGGCTGAGAAACTGCAAACTAAACTAAAACAAGGAAGATATTATTTTGTTGATAGTGAAGAGAAAATTTGATATTAACTTTCATTGTTGTAGTGAATTATTAATATGTGTTCGGTAAAAACAAAATAAAACAAAAACAAACAACTCTTATTAGAAGTTTATCTCTGAAGATTTGGATCATGCTGTTACACTGTGCTTTGTTTACCAGTTTTCAGGATTTAGAACGAAGAGGACTGTGTTTGAGACTTTGCCCTGACTGTAACTGGCTGCTCATTGTTGGGAAATTTATGTCATTCGTTTCTCCCTCAATTTCCTTATCTTTAGAATATAACTTAGTTAAACACATAGAGCTAATTTTCTAATTGAATTTGTTTGATATTCTTTAAGTGAGGTTAAAAAAAACCCCGTAGTAAAGAGAAGAACACTAATATATAAAAATGCAAAGAATTATAGTAATTGTATTTTCACTTTTCCAGCACAGGAAGTTGATAGGGAACTTTGACATACATAGCATAATTATTTTATTTTTAGCTGTGAAGTTTAGCTAATATTTTTAAGTTATTTTGTTGCCAGGAGATTCTTCTCTTCACATTTCATAAACATTGTGATAGTTTTCACATGCCCTGGAATAGGAGCTATCCATTATTTGAACTGCTCAGACCGAGGTTATTTGAATATCACTCCCCATACTCCATTTATCTTTTTCTTACAGGTGCTTCCACTTTTTCACATGATCACAATTCATGGGTCATTTGACCCAAACTGTGTCGGTGAGCCTACTTCCTGGTAGTTCACCCACTAGGTACCAGAGGAGTGTTAGGGAAATGCCTCTCTGGTGATTGAGGTCATAATGAGAGGTGAAGCCAGCTGGACTTCTGGGTGCAGTGGGGAGTTGTGGAACTTTTCTGTCTTACAAGAGGATTGTAAAACACACCAATCAGCGCTCTGCAGCTAGCTAGAGGTTTGCAAAATGCACCAATCAGTGCTCTGTAAAATGGACCAATCAGCACTCTGTAAAAAGGATCAATCAGCAGGACATGGGCAAGGACAAATAAGGGAATAAAAGCTGGCCACCCCCCACATGCTGGGGACCCTTGTATGCTGTGGAAGCTTTGTTCTTTTGCTCTTCACAATAAATGTTGCTGCTGCCCACTCTTTGGGTCCCTACCACCTTTAAGAGCTGTAACACTCACTGCTGGGGCTTCACTAACCTAAGAAAGTTTTTCTGGACATCAGGAATAGAGATGCTTATGAGGCACCCAGAGCAGGATTATCATGAATAAATGTGTAACCCTTGGGCAACTTATTTAACTTCTCAAGGCCTTTCTTTTAAAAATTTTAATAGTAGTACCTATCTTTGGAATGGTCAGGTCATTTAGGATACTAAATGAAGCTTACAAATAGGAGCACATTGAATTTTAAACCTAAAAAGAAAAAATGAAGCTAAATGAAGAATCCTCAGAAGTTATAAAAGATATAATTTTAAAGTTATACAATGGCACTTTAGGATTTTTCTACTTGAGTTAAAAATATGCTGTTGGAACTCTTGTTCTAATTGGGTAAATTGCATTCTTTACTAGAATGGAATTAAATTCAGATTTTGTAGCATCTAAATTTGTGAAACTTTCTCTAAATTATAAATAGTGGTAACTTTCCTAAGTTTTTTCTTACAAAAAAAGTTATTGAAAAAAAGGCATTCTGAATGGAAGCAAGTAGACAGTACCTGTAGGAGTGTGTGCTGAAATATTCACATATTTCAGTACAAAACCTAGAAGTGAGAATGTTCTCTATTTAGTAGAATTTGTTTTCAGCTGATAAGTACTTCAGTACTTGTAGATTTTATTTTTTAAGTTAAAAATATTATGGCCCACATAGAAGAGCCAGTGGATTGGGGTAATGATTTCAAATGTTTTTACCGTAATTTTAAAGAAGAATAAAGAAAATTTTATAAAAACATTTAAAAGAAATTCATATTATAAAACATATTCTTCAGGAAAAACTAGTGACATTATATTAAAGACTGATATTACGAAGAAGCAAGTGTGTGAATAGCAAGAGTGATTTTTCTGCTTATTTTCTAAGGCTCAGATAATCAACGTAAGCACTTTTTAAAACACTTACTTTGGAATGAAAATGTTTTCTTTATTTTGAGAAAGCAATTTATTGTTTGGCAATTTCTGAGTGAACTTAAAATGGAATTATTTGACCCTGCAATCCCATTATTGAGTATATGCCCAAAGGAATATAAAACATTCTACCATAAAGACACATATACATTTACGTTCAGAGCAGCATGATTCACAATAGCAAAGATATGGAATCAACCAAAATGCCCATCAATGGTAGACTGGATAAAGAAAATGTGGTATGTATACATCATGGATGGAGTACTATGCAGTCATAAACAGAACAAGATCATGTCCTTTGCAGGAACATGGATGGAGCTGGAGGCCATCATACTAAGTGAGCTAACACAGTAAAATAACACAAAATACCACATGTTCTCTCTTACAAGTGGGAGCTAAACATCAAGTACATATACACACAAAGAAGAGAACAACAGTCACCAGGACCTGCTTGAGGATAGAGGGTGGGAGGAGGGTGAGGATCAAAAAACTACCTATCAGGTCCTATGCTTATTATCTGGGTGATCTGCACCACAAAACCCTATGGCACACAATTTACCTGTATAACAAATCTTCAGATGTACCCCTGAACTTACAAGCTGAAAAGAGAAAATAATTTATCTTGCAATATAGTTTTAAAGTATTTGAAAAGCATTATACAAAAGTTTTAAAATAGAACTATAGGGTCAGCAATATAATAAGCCAATCTATTGGTATTTCAAATTATTTGATTTTTGAAATACTTTCAAAATATGAGTATTTCGAAAATACTTTCAAAATATAAGTATTTCAAAAAGTAAATGACTTGAATTTTTTTTTTTTTTTGAGATGGAGTCTCGCTCTGTCACCCAGGCTGGAGTGCAGTGGCACAATCTCAGCTCACTGCAACCTCCGCCTCCCGGGTTCACGCCATTCTCCTGCCTCAGCCTCCAGAGTAGCTGGGATTACAGGCACGTGCCACCATGTCCAGCTAATTTTTTGTATTTTTAGTAGAGACAGGGTTTCACCGTGTTAGCTAGGATGGTCTCGATCTCCTGACCTCGGCCTCCCAAAGTGCTGGGATTACAGGCGTGAGCCACTGCACCTGGCCAATAATTTGAATTTTTAAGACAGATTTTCACGCTTGAACATGTTCCAATTTGCACAAAAATTAAGTGACCTTCCTGTCTATAGATTTATCTCATCACCCAAGTCTCCCGGGTTTAATTATCTGTAAGTGGACAGGCAAGTTCCACTCATAGTTCTTATTTTCCAGAAATATATATGATAGTGTGACAGAAACTGGTATTTGGTGACCAAACCCTTCTCCTCTTCTCCCTTGATAAACTAGACTGCCTTTGTGTAGCCTCTCTTGTGGTTTGGTGTGGCCATAAGACTGAATTCTATTGGTTGATTACAAGTACAAGTAATGTACATCACTTCCAGGCATCATCCATAAAATCACCCATATTTGCTCATTCATCCCCTTTTCTTGCCTTGTGAAGAAAAATGAAGACAACTCTAAGCATGATCTTTTGGGCCCCTGTTAAGAGTGGCAGAGCCACTCCCTGAAACGGGTCTGTGTCTATGATTTTGATTGAAGATCCTCCCAACCAGGGAAATACGCATCTGTTACCTGAGCAAGAAAAAGAAAAAATCATAAGGTTAGCCCACTGAGATTTTGGAGTTTATTATGGAAGGCAGTATTTATTGAATAGGTGTAGAAGTGGGTATCCTGAAGTGGGTACTTACTGCTGTAACAAAACCTAAACTATGTGGCACTATCTTAGTGGTTGGGCCAAAGTTAGTAAGCCTGTGATATGGAAGGCTAGGAAGATAGAAGCCCAAGTTTTACAGAGGTGAACATTTGTAAAATTGTTGTTTGCCATGAAATTGAAGGCAGATCATGTGCCTACTGCATGATTTAGTAATTACTATGGACCAGTGGCTGCTGAGTGTTTCCCACTCTTCTCTTTCCTCAAATAGAAGTACTCATGCCCTTGCTCTTTTGCTGTGTATTGGATGTCTCTGTTGGAGTGAGCAGATAATTGGCCTTTTTAGTTCATAGGTTCCTGTACTGCAAGGAGCCATATTCATACTTGGTGGAGAGGACTCTTTATCATTCAGGAATTCTGTACTTTGTGCTAGATGCAATACCTAGATAGAACTTTTTCTTCCTTCGTAGATCATCTGCCTTTAATTCACTGGGACCAACTTTATTATGTCTTTTATTCTGGTTGTCATAAATATCCTGGAATTTCTTGTCAACTCTGCTCACTGGAATTCATGGTTCATTATCAGCAATATCCTTAGTAACCTCGACCCCTTTTCTAAGCCTTTCTGCTATTTTTTGATCTAACAAGAAGCCACTTCTTCCATAAGAACACCCTGTCAAGGGTACTCTTTTTCTTCCATAGCCCTTGAATCATTGGGCCTACAGATGGGATAAAAGTCCTTGTAGTTCCTGTTGTTAATTAGGAATTAATTTTGTTAATTACAGAGTAGTTTCTTTCGTTTCTCCCTAAAACACTGGTTTGAATCTCATATTATCAGATTGTATCATCCATTGTTACTCATTGTTACTAACTCATGGGTCATTCCTCTAGGATTTAACTCCTGACTCACTCTCTCTAATCCTGCCTATTTCCTAATTCCCCTCTTTAGCTTTCAGCTGCTTTTCTTTCTTTTTTGGATCAGGCCCATTGACTTACAAATATGCTGTCATCTCTTCCACTAAAAAAGCAAAAAACCAAAATTAAAAAAGCAAATGCAAAGAAGCAAAAAACCAAAATTAAAAAAGCAAAAATGGGATCTCTTGATCCCATTTTTGTCAACCTAGTTTTTAAAACTCTCATTTACAGCAAAACTTCTGGAAGGAGTTGTCTGTATTTTCTGTCACAATTTCCTCCTCCGCATTCTCACTTGAATCCATGCTGATCAGATTTTAGCCCTTATCAGTCTGAGGATACTGATTGTGATAAAGTCATGAACAACTTATACGTCATTAGATCTAATAGTCTGGTATGAATTAGAGATTGTTTCATGTTTTTTTGATATTCATATACAGAATTTACCAGCCCTATTTATTTCAGAGACCATATGCTGTGCTTTACAATGCCATCTTTGTTACAAATTAAGTGTCCATGTATGTGGGTTCATATGAGGGCTCTCCCTTCTGCCTTTTGGTCTGCCAATCTCTGCGCCCAATACCATACTGCTTAATTACTGCGGCTTTAAAATACACCTTGATATTTGTTAGAACAAGTCCCTCCACCTTGTTCTTTTTAAAGAGACTCTTGGCTACTCTTGGTCCTTCACATCTCATATAAATTTTAGAACTAGCTGCCTTTGTGAAATAGATTTCCTCTACCTTTGTGAAATAAATTTCATGGCTGGGCATGGTGGCTTACGCCTGTAATCCCAGCACTTTGGAAGGCCAAGGCGGGCAGATCACAAGGTCAGGAGATTGAGACCATCCTGGTGAACATGGTGAAACCCCATCTCTACTAAAAATACAAAAAAGGAGCCAGGCACGGTGGCGGGCGCCTGTAGTCCCAGCTACTCTGGAGGCTGAGGCAGGAGAATCGCTTGAACCCGGGAGGCGAGGGTGTAGTGAGCCGAAACTGTGCCACTGCACTCCAACCTGGGTGACATCTAGATTGCTTCAACATCAACATACTCTCTTCCTGGGCATGCTTGGAGGATCTAAGATTGTGGTAAAAGGCATTTATTTACAGAAAATAGAAACTTCTCTTGTCCTACCTCTGCTATTAGAAAATGAATCCGGCCGGGCGCTTTGGGAGGCCGAGACGGGCAGATCACGAGGTCAGGAGATCGAGACCATCCTGGCTAACATGGTGAAACCCCGTCTCTACTAAAAATACAAAAAATTAGCCGGGCGTGGTGGTGGACGCCTGTAGTCCCAGCTACTCAGGAGGCTGAGGCTGGAGAATGGTGTGAACCCAGGAGGTGGAGCTTGCAGTGAGCCGATATCGCGCGACTGCACTCCAGCCTCCTGGGCGATAGAGCAAGACTCGTCTCAAAAATAAATAAATGAATAAAATAAAATAAAACAAAATGAATCCTTGACTAATTGAATTGTATTATTTTCTTCTTCTTAAAATAAGCCTATATTTATTTGATGCTTACTATGTGCCACACACTTTCTTAAGAACCTTACCAGTACTATCTCATTTAATCCATTTAACAAGACAATGAGAGTCCCCAGTTTGCTCATGAGAAAATTGAGGCACTGAGAGGTCAAATAATTTTATCGAGGACCAAGATGTGAAGTGGTGGAGTCAGGTTTCTATCCTAGATAGTCTGGTTCCTGAGCTCACTCTCTTTGCCTTGGGCTAACATGCCTTGCTTTGGGTTTAGACTATTCTATTTCTACTGTATTGAATTGACTCTTTTGCTCAGTTATCATCCATCTTTCTCAGTTTCTAATCCATGCCTTTGTAGTCAAATTTTCCTTGATTACTGCTTTGTCCAAATTCTGTTTCAACATATATACTTTTATTCTCACTCATTTATGAATAGTTTGTAATGTTGGTTTTGAGGTTTTCTTTATCCACAAGTTATTTAGAAGAGTAATTTGACATTTCTAAGTGGAAAGTTTCTTTTGGGCTAACCTTTGGTTGTTTACTGTCTGGTTTGATGATATTGTAATCAGAACATGGGCTACTGCTTTGGGAACTTCATTTAGATTTTTTTGGTAACCTAACACTTGGCTAACTGTTGTAAAAGATCTATGGTGTGTATATATATACACACACACACACACACACACACACACATATACGTGTATATATATACACGTATATATGTGTGTGTGTGTGTGTCTGTGTGTATCAAATCAAGCTGAATATTTGTGATATTCAAATTCTTTATGTTGTTTTTTTCTATCTGATTTTCCATTTTCTGGGAGCTAGTTGTTTTCCTCCTCCTTGGCTCCGGTTTTGCCACTTTCTCTTTGTATTTTTGAAAATGCTTGCTTTATATATTTCAGTGCTACGTTGTTTAGTCTTTAATTTTGTCAACTTCCTGACAAAGTGCATTGTCGTCAATATAAGGCATTGGTCCTCATCACAGTAAATACTTTGACCTTGCATTCAATTTTGTTCTATGTACATTTTTCCAAGCCAATTTTCATTTTTATAGCAGTTGCCTGACATGCCTCTTTCCACCTCTTCATTTTCCAATCTTCGTGCCATAACCACGTCTGCTAATGAGCACTGCTGTGTTCCCCATCTTGAGTTATACTTCATCCCTTCCAGTCTCTGTGGGGCCCCTCACTGATCCACAGTGACTGGAGGTCAATGAAGTTTTGAGATAAAGCATTTGCTCTTTCAAGCCGGTAGAATATAATTTAAGACACGTCCCTGTGTTCTGTTCATCTCAGCTTGTATTTTCAGTGGGGTTCCTCTTTCATAGTGGTCTTCCAGAACCCCTTAGTACAAAAATCACTTTCTGAAATCTTTCTCTGGCTCCTGCAGGGAAGGAGGGGCATAGATCTGTTCTACTTCCAGGCCTTCGGCATGGTGCTTTCTTTCTCTTATTTTCGAGTACTTTTTCCATCATGCCTATGTTGTGTTTTAATAGGTAATAACTTTCAAATATGGACAGATTTATTCAGAGAAAGTCTGCATGGCTGCATTCTTGGTGCACTTGGGAACCTGCTGAAATCTTCACTTTCTTTCTGTACCTGGTTGGCAAGTCAGAGTTCACAGTTCTAGTTTCCTTTTTCTCCTTTACTCAAAGTAGTAGTAATAGAAATTATTGGAACAGAAAAAAATAGTAGAAAGTTATTATTCCTCTGATACTATTTGGTACAACGCTCTATTATAGCACCTATACTGAGTGTTGTCATTCTTATTTTATCAATGTCCTCCATTACATTGTAAGTCCTTAGACAGCAGGAAGTGTGCCTGGATCTCCTTCATGGCCCTGGTGTGTAACATGATGCCTGGCACAAAGCATTCAGTAAACATAAATGAGCCATGTGTAAACAGAGTAATAATTTCACAGAGACCTAATATCAAAGGCCACAGGTGATGTGAATATAATGAGTCAGTTCTCCTTGCTTCTACCCTCAGTCCCTAATAGTCTCTTTTCCAGACCAACAGCCAGAAAGATTCACCTAAAACTCAAGACCGATGTTGCTTCTCTGCTCTAGCCTTGCTTCCTAGGGACTTCCTATCTCACTCCCAGTAAAATCTAAAGTTCTTAACCTAGGCCTATAGCACCCACCATGATGCAGCTATCATCTCCCACCTGCTGCTTGCATCCCTTGCTCTGGGTCATCTTGCCCCCTCTGATCTTCTTTAAACAACTAAAGCCGGCTGCAGCCTCCAGAGACATCACTCTTGGTCTCCCTTTTCCCGGCACATATTCCCTGCTCCGTATCAGCAGGGCTTGGTCTCTCTTTATCCATGTCTTTGCTCCAGTGCCTTCTTCCCTGACAGTCTTATTCAAACACAGTCTCCCTGCATCTCTGGCTCTTGCACTGTGTTGATTTCCTCACACTCTGATGCCACCTGACATATTAAATATTTATTTGTTTACTCCCTGCTGGAACGTAAGCTCCATAGCAACAGACAGGTGTGGTCTTCCATGGCTGTATCGCAAGTGCCTGGTGAGTTACGGGTATCATTTGTTAAATAAATGAATAAAATTATTTTCTTGGTCTTGGCAGCTATTGTCACATTTCCTTCAGTTATGTATACTGAAAACATAGCCACGCACGTGTCAGGAAGGAGCAGGCACACTGGAGACTCCCCCCTAGACACCCCTGGAAAGTGTTAGGGCTTGCGGCCATGGCAGGGCAGACTGGCAGCTATGTGCCCCAGCAGACTCCATCGGAGCACACAGAAACAGTCATGTTTTTGGTCATCTATGGACAAGCAAGAACTACAGGCTTGAGGCATAGAGCCGGGAAATGACTCTAGAGAGCAGGCGCTCCTCAGGTTTCCTGTACATGGCAAAATAGTAATCACTATGGGATGGGTGGTGGGAACAAGCTAACAACGCATGTGTGTATTGAGTGAGACCAAGGCTAGGAGAATGAAAGACAATTTTTAATTTGGTGTCTGCAGAATGTCTTCTTCCTGTGTTCATGTAGCCATGGACAGTGAAGCATGTGAAAAATTATACTTGAGTTTAGCTCAAACTTAAGTCTGTTTTACTGCTTTTATTTTATGTATTTATTTATTTTTATTTTTATTTTTATTTTTTGAGACGGAGTCTTGCTCTGTCGCCCAGGCTGGAGTGCAGTGGCGCGATCTCGGCTCACTGCAAGCTCCGCCTCCCGGGTTCAAGCCATTCTCCTGCCTCAGCCTCCCAAGTAGCTGGGACTACAGGCGCCCGCCACCACACCCGGCTAATTTTTTGTATTTTTAGTAGAGACGGGGTTTCACTGTGTTAGCCAGGATGGTCTCGATCTTCTGACCTCGTGATCCACCCGCCTCGGCCTCCCAAAGTGCTGGGATTACAGGCGTGAGCCACCGCGCCCGGCCTGTTTTACTGTTTTTATTAGGTCAGGGACTTTTATGACCTAATGCTTGAGCCCCCATACTCTCTTTTCCCCCTCAGTTGGCAGTGCCAGGATAAGCTGGTTATTCACAATATCAATTCTTGGATTGATTTAGGGTCTCTACATTGTGTATCCTTAACAGATGTTTAATTGAGTTGAATGAAAGCTTAGATAGAGGCAGCACAGAATTGTGGGAAGATAATAAAAATGGTCTGTTTCAGTTCTAAAATTCTATAATTTTGTCTTCTACACTTAAAAACTTGAACATTTGTTTTTCGGTGTTAGAAGATGAAATTACAGAATTTTAGAAAATATTTATAAAGTGATATTTTGACACAGAGGGTTAATTTTCTGATGTATTGGTAATCTGTAAGGAAAACTGGAATTAAAATAGTAAGTGAGGTGATAATGATGGCCTTCCATCCTAAGGAAATGCTGCCAGCTTTACCCTGGCAACTCTGTCTGGCATTTATTGAGAACTTACAACATGCCAAGTACAACAAGGGCTTTGAATGCACTTCATTAAGGGTATTTTTTAAATAAAGTGTATTAGTTAATTATGATGTAATTAAGTATTAGTTAAGGGAATTTAGTGTTCTTATTAACTAATGCAACTGAGAATTAGGTGGGATTATTAACTCTATTTCACCCTGAAGAAACTGACGCTCAGAGAATAGTTTCTCTAAGGTTATAAGGCTCGTCAATGGACGAGCCGGGATTATGTAGGTAATTTAAATGTGGAATTTGTGCCCTAACTTGGTGCTTCTCTTTTGCAATCAGTACGTTAGATGCCTTGAGAAGACCTGGAATTCTGACATGCTTAGCAAGTTTCAGAAAAAACTTAAAGGAACCAACTTATTTAGGCCCTGAGAGCTTTCTAAAAATTCTGAAACAAAAGGCAGATACGCAGAGTTCCACGGAGGTGGTGAGAGACATGAAGGGCGGGCTGGGCACGGTGGCTCATGCCTATAATCCCAGTACTTTGGGAGGGCGAGGTGGGTGGATCACCTGAGGTCAGGAGTTTGAAACCAGCCTGGCTAACATGGTGAAACCCCTGCCTCTACTGAAAAAAAAGCACACACAAAAATTAGCTGGGCATGGTGGTGTGTGCCTGTAGTCCCAGCTACTCAGGAGGCTGAGGCAGGGGAATTGCTTGAACCCGAGAGGCGGAGGATGCAGTGAGCTGAGATGATGCCACTGCACTCCAGCCTGGGTGGCAGAGCGGGACTTTGTCTAAAAGAAAAAAAAAAAAAAAAGAAATGAAGGGCAAAGCAGGCCTTCCACAGATTCTCTTTGAAAGAATGATCGCCAGCTATTTTTGTCTCTAAGTATTAATGTAATGATTCAAGAGAATAGACCATATAAACAAAAGAATGATAATGTCAAATTTTTACTTCTTTTCTAAAAATAATAGAATTCGTATAAAATGAATTAGTTTTCTTTAGTGTATTCTATAAAAAGTCTGTAATTGATATTTGAAATAAACTTTTCCAAATTATTTTAAAATCATCATACAGAATGAGAGAATCTTAAAATTGAGTTATAGAAAAAATGTTAGCACATAGCATCTATAATTTCTCCTTCAGAAAAGAGTTTTATGAGAATCTGGCAAAAAATAAAAAACATATCAAAAGATATATTGAAGCTGAGTTGTTCACTTAGACTATCAATATATTGAAGAAGAACTTTTAAGTATTGTACACAATGCCTGAGAAAACTTAAAGAAAGTTTTTTATTTTTAATTTTCTAATTGTTAAAAAGCAAAAATCATAGCTTAAAAAAATCTTACAGTTGAAAAAAAGGGTAGACTTTCCTAATTTGTAACTTACTATTTACAGTTTAGCTACCATTTTACCTTTTGAAGCTTCTCCAAGATAATTACTGTGACTTTTTAAAATTGCAGACTTACCAATTGAAATTTGTTTGTGATTATAATTATGTCTACTAATGTATTAGGCTGCCCTTCTAGGCTGAAAGTTATTTTCTGAAACTAGCACCAAAGCTAAAAAGAACAGTGATCAAGAGGTATTTGTTAAGTAAATAACAGAATTATAGAAAATAGTTTTATAATCTATTATCTACTTGTTACTGTTTGTTTGTTAGTAGTATTTATTAAATCACTTAGCCATTCTTTGCACAGTGTTCAGTGCTAGTAGAAAAGAAGATAATTTAGTGTATTGTTGATTTGTGTAGCTGAGTTCAGCCTAAGTGCAGAAAGAAACGCCGCAATGCACACTCTATATTGCAGATATGGAAGTGTGTATCTTGGTTTCCTTGTGCCGTTCTTGATACATGTTGGCCTCAGCAATAATGCTGAGTACTCTTATAGTTCTCAAAGGGTATTCACATTTATTCTCATTTATTCTTTACAACAAGACCAAGGCAGGTGAATTTTTTGCACAAGTTAAGCGACTTGCTCAAGGTTGGGCAATGAATTTATGATAACTTGGGACATGAACCAAAACCTCTTAACCTTGTGCTTTCAAACAGAAAGCAGAGCTGAAAGTAATTTTTCTGTGGTCTAAAATGGGTATGCTGTGGCTTCTTCTAGGCCCTCGTTGCCTGATATATTTAGAGATATCTCAATAATTATCAGGAGTCAAAGTTGGATGTTCATTTCAGTATTTTAAAATTTACTCTATAATTGAAGTAACTGGTGTCTCTCACAAACATATAAATGTGTAGACTTTTTTGTAAAAATGATGCAAGGCTTTTGAATTATTCAAACTTTTTATACATTTTTAAAACAAAAAATTATTTTAAAAAAATTCATTTTTGGCCGGGCATGGTGGCTCACGTCTGTAATGGCAGCATTTTGGGAGGCTGAGGTGGGCAGATCACTTGAGGTCAGGAGTTTGAGACCATCCTGGCCAACACGGTGAAACCCTGTTTCTACTAAAAATACAAAAATACTAGGCATGGTATGCGTGCCTGTGGTCCTAGCAACTCTGGAGGCTGAAGCAGGAGAATCGCTTGAACCCACGAGGCAGAGAGAATAGCTTGAACCAGAGCAAGAGCTGTTGAGAGAAATTGACTACGATTTTGTAATTCTAGTCCCTTTCAATTAGCAATAGTGAGCCAAGATCACACCACTGCACTCCAGCCTGGGCAACAGAGCGAGAATATGTTTCAAAAAATAAATAAATAATATTTTATTTCTATGGAGATTAGCAATGTTTGCAATAGGTTGATTAAAGAAAATAATCAGTGGAATGTTTTAGAATATTTGCATAGAGTAACATGAGCAATGTTTGGCTTTCCAAATGTAAGATCAGTATTTAAGTACATTCACCAATTAGGGTGATCAGCTGGTCAGCACATCCTTCTTTGAACTTCATGGTATAACAAAACAAATGGGTTGCTGTCTAACGATGAAGAGCTATGTAGCAGACAGTTTGCCCCGCCCCCCCTCCATCTCTTTCTTCCTCCTTCACTTCCATTTCTCTGTCCATCTTTCTATCTTATCTTTTCTTTTTTGGTCTTTGTATCTCTGTCTTGCGTTCTTCCTTTCTGCATTTCATTTTTTAAAACACCTATTGGTAATACTCCAAATCCTAGCCAACTTGTTCAGTTTTACATTAAAGAAATGGTCTTAGCAAATCCCACACAAAAGTGAGCATTCTGGTAACCCTTAGATTAGGTTAAGACTAGACATATATGTGTCTGTTTAGAAGATGCTTGTTATTTTTAAACAGTGTATTCTGAATCTACTGGAGGAAGATAACATAGAGAGTTTTCCATAAGTCACTGACCATGAAACTATTTACATTTCTCAGAACTGTATTCAAAAGAATACCAATATGGAAAATGCACATCTATTAAAGTTTATGAATGACATTATGCAAATGCTGAAATTTCTGACTTTTTAAAAATACTTGATTTGTCATTGTCCCCTAGACACATTCAAGTCTTCCCTAATGATTGTGGCTTTATCTGTGCCTTCGGTGTTTCTAACAAGTTTTGCATTACATAATTTGAGATGATTATATATGCTTCAGAAATGATTGTTTTAGCTTCATCATTGATTTTATCTTCTCTATATTTCAAATATGTTGCTGACTGGGTGCAGTGGCTTACGCCTGTAATGTTAGCACTTTGGGAGGCTAAGGCATGCAGATCACGAGGTCAGGAGATCGAGACCATCCTGGCTAACACATCCCTACTAAAAATACAAAAAATTAGCTGGGCGTGGTGGCACCCACCTGTACTACCAGCTACTCCGGAGGCTGAGGCAGGAGAATTGCTTGAACCTGGGAGGTGGAGGTTGCAGTGAGCCGAGATTTTGCCATTGCACTCCAGCCTGGGCATCAGAGCGAGACTCCATCTCACACACACACACACAAAAATATATATATAATATATAGTATATATAATAAGTATTTATATATAATATATTATTATATGTATTTATATATAATAATATACTATATTATATATATTTATATATAATACATTGTATTATATATTTATATATAATAATACATTATATTATATATTTATATATAATATATTTATATATATTAATATATTATATATATTTATATATAAAATATATAATATAATATATAATATATTTTATATAATATATTATATATTATAATATATTACATATAATATATTATATATTATAATATATTACATATAATATATTATATATTATAATATATTACATATAATATATTATATATTATAGTATATTACATATAATATATTATATATTATAGTATATTACATATAATATATTATATATTATAGTATATTATACATTAGAATATATTATATATATAATATATATTAGAACATATTATATATATAATATATTATATTAAGAATATATTATATATATAATATATTATATATAAGAATATATTATATATATAATATATTATATATAAGAATATATTATATATATAATATATTATATTAAGAATATATTATATATATAATACATTATATATTAGAATATATTATATATAGAATATATTATATATTAGAATATATTATATATAGAATATATTATATATTAGAATATATTATATATAGAATATATTATATATTAGAATATATTATATATAAGGTATATTATATATTAGAATATATTATATATAAATATATATATTAATAGCCAAAACTATTAACATATATATTATATATGTTATTATATATATTATATAGAATATATGTATTATAATATATATAGCTTCACTTGATTATTTTTGTCTGATTTGTATGGTTCTAAACAATTTATTTTTAAATAATTACAAATTCATAGGAAGTCAAAAACAAAAAATGTACTGGGATGTCTCCTGTACCTTTCACCTAGTTTCTTCCATGGTAACCTCTTCCATGACTATAGTACAATTTCAAAATGATGGAATTGACATTGGCACAACCCACAGAGCTTATTCTGATTTTACTTAAGTGTGCTTATTTGTGTGCATGTACAGTTTTGTGCAATTTTATCACATATGTAGATCTGTGCAAGCAAAATCACAGTCAAGACACAGAATAGTTCCCATATCACAGGGTTCTCTGTTCTTCCTCATAGATCCACCTCTCCCCACTCCTTCCTTACCTCCTGGCAACCACTAGTCTATTCCCTGTTTTTGTGATTTTCTTATTTGAAGGATGTTATATAAATGGAAGCATAAGTTATGTAAACTTTTGAGAGTGGCTTTTTTCACTCAGTATAATTTCTTATGATCCGTCCAAGTTGTAGATACCAATCTTCTCTCATTTTTATTGCTGAGTAGTATCCCATAGTAGTGATGTATCAGGGCTTGTTTAACCGTTCATTAAAGGGCGTTTGGATTGTTGCTAGTTTTTGGCAATTACGAGTAAAGTCGCTATAGACACTCATGTACAGACTTTTGCATGAACATAAGTCTTCCTTTATCTGGGATAAATGCCCGGAGTGTAATTGCTGGGTTGTATGATGGTTGCATGTTTAGTTTTATAAGAAACTACCCACTGTTTTCCTGAGTGGCTGTGTCATTTTACATTCCCACCAGCCCTGGATGAATTTAGTTTCTCTGCATTCTCATCAGTGTTTGGTATTTTTTTATCTTAAACAATCTGATAGGTATGTAGCGAGATCTTATTTTGGTTTGTGCATTTCCTTAATGGCAAATGATGTTAAACACCTTTTCATGTGCTTCTTTGCCATCTTCTTTGGTGAAATGTTTCTTTATTTTGCTTATTTTTTAATTGGATTTTTGTTTTTTACTGTTGAGTTTTGAGAGTTCTTTATATGTTCTAGATATAAGTCCTTTGTCAGTATATACATGGTAATATGGAATTTTTTGTTTCTTCCAGCCTTGTAGCATGTCCTTTTACCCTCTTTGCAGGGTCTTTTGCAGAGCAAAGGTTTTTAACTTTGATGACCGGCAGTTAAATTATATCTTAACTGCAACTAATATTATTAACTTTAGAAAATTTCACTTGATTACAATATATCCTTTAAATTTTGTCAAACTAATTCTTTTCTTTTCTTTCTTTTTTTTTTTTTTTGAGTTGAAGTCTCATTTTTCTCGCCCAGGCTGGAGTGCAACGGCATGATCTCGGCTCACTGCAACCTCTGGCCTCCTGGGTTCAAGCGATTCTCCTGCCTCAGCCTCCCGAGTAGCTGGGATTACAGGTATGCGCCACCACGCCCGGCTAATTTTGTATTTTCAGTAGAGACGGGGTTTCTCCATGTTGGTCAGGCTGGTCTTGAACTCGCGACCTCAGGTGATCCGCCCTCCTCGGCCTACCAAAGTGCTGGGATTACAGGCGTGAGCCACCAGGCCCGGCCATCGTCAGTATTTTTGAAATGCTCAATCTCTCTCTTATAGAAAAGAAACAAGTAATTTACAAAGATATTACTCCTTAAATTTTCAAAAGTATTAAATTCACTTTTATTCAAATACAAAAGAAAGAAAACCTAAGTCAAAATACGACATATATTGAGTTTCAGGAAATATTTGTTTGCATCAGGAAATTTTGGTTCTTTTTTTAATTTTTTTATTTTTTTGAGACGGAGTCTTGTCTGCCACCCAGGGGCTGGAGTGCCCAGGTGCAATCTTGACTCACTGCAAGCCCCGTCTCCCGGGTTCACGCCATTCTCCTGCCTCAGCCTCCCGAGTAGCTGGGACTACAGGTGCCCGCCACCGCGCCCAGATAATTTTTTGTATTTTTAGTAGAGACGGGGTTTCACCATGTTAGCCAGGATGGTCTCGATCTCCTCACCTCGTGATCCGCCCGCCTCAGCCTCCCAAAGTACTGGGATTACACGCATGAGCCACTGCACCCGGCCCCGAAATTTTGGTTCTTATGAGATACCTTTCAAAGAAAGAAAAAGGTTTTGAAAAACATTAAGTATTAAACTTACCATTTTTGAGTTATAGGTTTCAACTTTATTGATTAGCTCCATCCCGTGAAGATAATCAACCCCTTTATATATTCCCCTATTTATCTTTTTCCAAAATTTTAATTTTTATTACTTTAACCAAAGTAAAGTGTGTAAAGTTAATAACACTTTACCTTCAGACCAGGGACATTCTGGGCTGCAACCACAATTCCCACAGTTGTGTTGGCTGGGTTTTCTTCTGGCAGCTCTGCCATGCATATTCTGTGTTGTGAAACTGCCTCTCCTATGACCCTCTCATGCACCAAATTTAGTCACTCGACAAAAATCAGTGGCACTGCCTGTTTTTATGCATGGTCATTACTTGAAGAGTACCTGTACCCCTCTGGAGTTGGAGGCAGCAGGGCCCTGTCTTATATCTCAGTCTTTTCCAGACCTTAATTCCTCACAGTTACGTCACAGTGTGAAGCTGAGACTGTTTTTTTTTTTTTTAAACAATGGAGATATTTCTTAAGTGTTTTCAATGGTATTTCTGTTTTGCTTTTTCTTTCTTTCTTTCTTTCTTTGATGGAGTCTTGCTCTGTCGCCCAGGCTAGAGCGCCGTGGCGCGATCTCGGCTCACTGCAGCCACTGCCTCCCGAGTTCCAGTGATTCTCCTGCCTCAGCCTCCCGAGTAGACTAGCTGGGATTACAGGTGCGCGCCACCACGCCCGACTAATTTTTGTATTTTTAGTAGAGACGGGGTTTCACCAAGTTGGCCAGGCTGGTCTGGAACTCCTGACCTCAGGTAATCCGCTCGCCTCGGCCTCCCAAAGTGTTAGGATTACAGGCGTGAGCCACCGTGCCCAGCCTCGATGGTATTTCTTAATTTTGGTAACCCAGCTCCCCCTCCCAGCCTTTCCCTACAGCCCTGTTGCCCTTTAGTCTAGGACATGTGGCTTCTTCTTCAGCAATGGGTGGAGAGTATAAAAAAAAAGTAGGATAGGCAGGAAAGACGTAGACACAACAAAGTCCCTTCAACTGCTGGGGCGAGGATCCAGAGAAAAGAAGAAGAAAGGAGAAAAATACCTTGGTATCTACCTTCTCAAGGCTAAAATCTCTGGGATGAGGGAGAATGGAGTCACAGTGAAACAACAAGGAAGGTTTAGATGAAAACAGTTTGGTGGAGAGGAGCTTTGCTTGCTGCCTATTGGGCGCGTTGCCTGGGGAAAGTACCATCCCCTAGTGAATCCTCCTCAGTCAGCACGCTGCCAGTCTGTATAGTGCCAGATAGTGGTTAAAAAGGATAGGCAGCCTGGGCACCGTGTCTTTGGCCTGTAATCCCAGCACTTTGGGAGGCTGAGGCAGGCGGATCGCTCGAGGTTAGGAGTTTGAGACCAGCCTGACCAACATGGAGAAACCCCGTCTATACAAAAACACAAAAATGAGCCGGGAGTGGTGGTGAGCGCCTGTGGTCCCAGGTACTCAGGGGAGGCGGCTGAGGTAGGAGGATCACTTGAATCCAGGAGAAGGGGGGGAGGTTGCAGTGAGCCGAGGTTGCACCACTGCACTCCAGCCTGGGCGACAGAGTGAGACCCTGTCTAAAAATAAATAAATAAATAGGTAGATAGATAGATAGATAGATAGATAGATAGATAGATAGATAGATAGCAGATAAACCAGAAATGACCTCTGCTCCACTAACCACCGCCCTCCTGTGGTGTCTAGTAAAGGCTAATATTCCCTTGTTTACTTCCAGAGCCCCTAGCCAAATATGGTCCAGATAGCTGAGAGAGCCTGAGGCTGTTGGACTTGATAGGGAGGAAGACAGGGGGTCCCCACAGTGAGGGCAAAGTGACCTGCACCACTGGGACAATGAGGATATTGTCCAAGGCGAGGACTTTGCAGCCTGATCAGGAGTTGAGGCGGAGGCCTGCTGGGTAGGGGCAGACGGCTGAGATCTGAAGAGCACAGACCTGGAGTGAAGCCGGCGGCAGCCTCTTCACCACACGCAGGGATCCGGCCTGAACTGCTTGCCTTGTTTTTTTGATCTTAGTGTTAACGCCTCCAATGTTTCTCTATCAAGTAAAATGCTGCCTTTACGACGACTAAGACCTGTACGTTGGCCGGGCGCGGTGGCGCATGCCTGTAATTCCAGCACTTTGGGAGGCCGAGGTGGGCGGATCACAAGGTCAGGAGATCGAGACCATCCTGGCTAACACGGTGAAACCCCGTCTCTACTAAAAATACAAAAAATTAGCCGGGTGCGGTGGCGGGCGCCTGTAGTCCCGGCTACTTGGGTGGCTGAGGCAGGAGAATGGCGTGAACCCGGGAGGCGGAGCTCGCAGTGAGCCGAGATTCCCCACTGCACTCCAGCATGGGTGACAAAGCGAGACTCCGTCTCAAAAAAAAAAAAAAAAAAAAAAAAGACCTGTATGTTTGTTTATAGTAAGAAAGCATCTATTAACTCCTATTTTCTTGAGAGTTTTCATCAAGAAGGTATGTTGAGCTTTTTCAAAGGCTTTGCCAACATGTTGAAGATAACTCATGTGTTTCTTCCTAGAACTTAATTATAAGCCATGAACAGTTTTGTTCATAGTGAGCCAATCTTGCATTCTTTTGATTCCCACTGCGCCATGGTGTACTATTCTCTAAATTTTTCTTATTTACATCAGTCTCCGTTGCACTGCTTTGTAATTTTGTCATTCTTCTTACTTAGTTTAGGTATTAATGCTACACTTGTTTCACAAAAAGTATTAGAAAACTTTTCTTCATTTAAAATGTTCTTGAACAGCCTATAGAGTATTGAAACTCTTTGGGCCTTAAAGATTTGGTAGAATTTTCCTGTGAAAGCATCTGGGCCTCATGGTTTTTTTGTGAAGTAGTTTCATAGTATCGTGATTTCTTCTAGGGAAGTTGGTTCGTTTAAATTTTCTATTTATCATGGGATTAATGTTGGTAATCTGCTTTCTCCAAGAAAATTACTAATTTCATGTTTTCCATTTTATTTATGTAGAAGTCTGCACATTTTTTGTTATTTAAAATATTTCTTGGTTTAATGGTATTCCTCTATGTCATTTAAAAAACAAGTATAATTTGTGCCCATTTTTCCCTCTTTATGATTGATTTAACAAGTATTTTGTCTTTTTGTTAGTTTTTTCAAGAATGTAGGATTTACATTTACTTATTGTCTACTATTTTTATACACTCTACCACATTAATTTCTGCTTTTATCTTCATTATTTCTTTTGTTTTCTTTAGGTTTAATTTGTTGGGGTTTGTTTTTCAGCGTTTTAAGATGAGTATTTATTTACTTTGATTCTTTTATTTTTGCTGGTGTTTGGTGTTATGAATTTTCTTCTAATTACATTTTTAAATGTATCTCATAGATTGTTTTATTTAATGCCATTGTGAAAGGAAAATATCTTGGGCCCCCAAAATCACTGAGGAAAACTCAAGCCGGGAACTGCTTGGGGCCAACCTGCCTCCCATTCTATTCAAAGTCACTCCTCTCCTCACTGAGATAGATGCATATCTGATTTGCCTCCTTTGGAAAGGCTAATCAGAAACTCAAAAGAATGTAACGGTTTTTGTATCTCCTATCTGTGACCTGGAAGCTCCCTCCCTGGCTTCCAGTCTTCCTGCCTTTGCTTCATGTTGTCCCGCCTTTCCAGACCGAACCAATGTACTTCTTACATATATTGATTGATGTCTCATGTCTCCCTAAATGTATAAAAACAAGCTGTGCCCTGACCACCTTGGGCACAGGTCCTCAGGACTTCCTGAGGCTGTGTCACAGACACGTCCTCAGCCTTGGCAAAGTAAACTTTCTAAATTAACTGAGACCTGTCTCAAGTTTTTGGGGTTCACACTATATTATGATTTTTAAAAGAAATTTTGTAATTTCAGTTTGTATTTTTCCTGTCACTTATGAGTTATTTAATAGGCTTTTTAGTATCCAGGATAAAAGAGCTTTCTGATTTTTATTCTTCTTAATAATTTCTAACTTCATTGCATTGTGGACAGAATTATTTCTTGTAGTATTTCTACATCATGAAATTCACTGATGTCTTCCTTATAGCTTAATATGTAATCAATTTTTGTGAATAACCTGTGAATGTATAGCCATGGAGCTACCTCACTGTCATTGTTCTATGTTGTATAAGCATCCTTTTTCCTTATTTATTGTTTGTTCATTTGACCTGTCTTGTGCTGAGAGTGGTGTACGGAATGTCTCCTGTTATGAGTGTGTTCTGTTTCTTTGTCTCCTTGAATCTCCCATATTTTTTGCATTATAAAGGTGATCGCTGATGTCATTTGGTTCATTAATTTTCCCAAAAGTTATCTTCCAAGCGTGAATTATGGCTTTTAGCATTAAAATACGCCTTTCGCTGGGTGTAGTGGCTCATGCCTGTAATCCCAGCACTTTGGGAGGCCTAGGTGTGTGGATCACTTGAGGTCAGGAGTTCGAGACCAGACTGGCCAACATGGTGAAACCCCATCTCTACTAAAAATACAAAAATTAGCCAGGCCTGGTGGTGGGTGCCTGTAATCCTGGCTACTCAGGAGGCTGAGGCATGAGAATCGCTTGAACCCAGGAGGTGGAGGTTGCAGTGAGCCGAGATCATACCACTGCACTCCAGCCTGGGCAACAAAGTGAGACGTCATTTAAAAAAAAAATGTGACTTTGTCATCACATGTAGTGTTTTTGTCTCGAATTCTACTTTATCTGATATCTGGATTACTTCCTTTATTTTCTTATTATTTCCATGTTCCTGGCATGCCTCTACCTATTCCTTTATTTTTAAGACTTCTGAATCACTTTGTTTTAGGTTACCTCTTATATATAGCATAGAGTTGGGTTTTGTTCTATAAAGCAAATTGAAAACTGGCTTTCTTGGCTTTGAACCCATAACTCTGATGGTGTCCCTGCAATCCTGATAGCATCACCCTTGAAGTTACTGCAGAATTCTGAGTCTCCTGAACTTGGCACACAGGCCCTGGGGACAGCAACACTACCTCTTCATTGCTGCTTACCTCTTTCCTCTGGGTGCTACCTCTGAGCCATCTCTTCCTGTAAGGTAGGAAGTAGCCATGTAGGGCTACTTCCAGTGGCATTAAGCCCCTCCCCTGAGTTTGCCAAGGGAAACAGGCCACCAACTCTGATAGTTTAGGCTTTTCCTACAAAGCGTCCCTCTCACCACAGAATTGGATGTCGAGGGTGGTGGGGCTGATATGCCTATGCCTGACTTCTCTGTCTCTTTTCCTCCCCCTCCTCCTGCCTCCCTTAGGACAGAAAGTCATCAGGTTATGAGCTTTTCTTTCCCCAAATGCTGTCTTTTACATAGCCTTGGGAAACAACTTTATAGTATATATTCATAGGAGAAAGAAATAACTTCTTTAAAGTTTTTGAAGAAACTCTATGGCCTAATTCCTCTAGGCATGAGTTCTTTATATGTAAAATAATTTTAAAACTCCTTTTTTCATAAAACCTGCTTTGCAACTCAATTGCCCTGCTGCCAACTCAAGCAAAAATCTAATTTGACAGTTAAAGCTGAAAAATGAACCTCATTGATGTAGGGCCCAGGATCTGCTCTCTCTATAAGTTCTGAAATACTTTCCTTCGAAGGACAATGAGATTTGCTATTACTTGAAAATACATGTTAAAAAACTTAAAATTATCTTCGTACTGGGGTAATTACAGTGAATTGTGCGGTCTGTTGGTTTTGCAGGAATTAGTTAAATTATCTGCACACAAATACGTCCCTTTTTACCTTGCCACAGTGTTTGAAATTCCCACTGTTTTTTTTCACAGTTTTCAGGTAAAGGAAGTGTTTCTGGGAAAAATTGTTAAAGGCCTCTTCTGGGACAACTTAATGTGAGTCAGCAATGCAATGTTGTGAATAATTGATGACCAGTAAATATCTTTGTACTTGCCACTAATTTGTACAGAAGAAGCAGGAATATGACCATCATTACATTTATTTCTAAGATGAAGAGATGACGTTGGGGCAGAGGCTCTGCTCTAACGATGAAGAGTTGACATTGATCATGTTAATCACATCGAACACCAAAATCAAAACTAAAATTTGTTATTGGAAGTAAATGTGTCCTTCTTGAATGTTAAATTTGGCCTCTAGGCCATAGTATTTGGTTGAATTCTGATGTCTGATGTATGCATGACACTGGTGTGACAATGCGTTTCAAAAGCAACACTGATGGCCTTTAACAAACTCGCACACATCTTTCCAGCCCTTAATGACACTGCATGTAGAGATGCTAAGAGTTTAGCAGGCGAATCAGAAAAATCACCTTATCATCTCTACTTCACTCTTTTGTTAACTTGAAAAGCTCCATTTTATTCCTCAAATTATCTATATTTCTTTTAATGTAGGCAAGTTTCAAAATCTATATCAATGAATCAGATAATTATTCATATAATAAATATTAAAATTACATTTTTTGCACGAGAATCAGAACGACGGAGCTGTGGTTAATATTACTATATTTGTATAGCTTAAAGAAGTTCTCCTAAATGCTTAAGAGCATGTACTACCAGTTAGAAACGCCATTTATTTTTGTGTTTGTGTGAGTTTAATGACCTGGTACTATTGTATTATATGTCACTAAGAAAACTCCTCCAATTATATCCAGTTATAGCCAAGATTGAAACTTCTTCAAGGTGTTTTAATCTAAAAGAAACTTGGAGTATTAAGCACTATATTTGTTTCTCTTCCTGTTTTTTGGAATTGCCACTATACTTGTTCCTGGGCCAAACTGAGGGTCGGGCTGCTATTTCTCGGCCCAATAATGAGATGCAGATGAACTGGGGAGGAAGAGAGTTTTTATTTCTGTAATCAGTTACAGGGAGAAGGCCTGGAAATTATCGCCAGACCCACTCGAAATTACAAAGTTTTCCAGAGTTTATATACCTTCTAAGCTAAATGTCTATGTGTAAGTGTGCATTCATCTAAAGACATGTGATTAACCTCTTTTGATCTATAACTAAGATCTGAGTTCTGAAGACCTTCCTCTAGAGCTTCAGTAAATTTACTTAATCTAAATGGCTCCAGGTGCTTGAGTGATTACCCTTATCTTGTCTCCTGCGAAATCACAGAGGTTTGAGGAGTTCCTTTGGACACCCAATAAACTTGTTTGTGGAGGCCTGGGGAGTTTCTTCAGACCCACAATAAAACTTATTGAATCCTAAATGTGCCCTGTTAAGAATTCCTTGTTATTTTGTCATGCTTTGAGGCCCAGGAAAGGCCTAGGCAAAACTTTCGATGGGCTTTTGTTACATCCCAGCCTTTGTGTAAGGGCGCTGGCTTTTAATATTTAACTTAGTCACTCAGTCAGTACTGAAACAGTTGTTAGTGAGTCCTGGCCTGCCACATATTGACTTAAAAAATCCACCATTGACGGGCACCCGCATTGATTCCGTGTCTTTGCTCTTATAAATCGTGCTGCAATGAACATAAGAGTATGGGTGTCTTTTTGGTAGAACAATTTCTTTGTTATTTGAGTTTTTTTTTTTAACTTAAGTTCTGTATAGATTCTGGATATTAGTCATTTGTTGGATGCATAGTTTGCAAATATTCCAACCTCTTTCTGTATATTGTTTACTCTGTTGATAGTTTCTTTTGTTGCGTAGAATCTCTTTAATTAGATCCCACTTGTCAATTTTTGTTGGTGTTGCATTTGCTTTTGAGAACTTAGTTGTAAATTATGTGTCTAGGCCAGTGTCTAGAAGTATTTCCTAGGTGTTCTTTTAGGATTTTTATAGTTTGAACTCTCAAATTTAAGTCTTTAATCCATCTTATTTTTTGTATAGTGTGAGAGGTAAGGGTCCAGTTTCATTCTTTTGCTTATACTTAGCCAGTTTTACAAGCACCATTTTTTGGACAGAGTATTTTTTCTTCCATTGCTTATTTTTGTTGACTTTGTTGAATATAATTGGTTGTAGGTGTGTGGCTTTATTTCATGGGTCTCTATTCTGTTCCATTCATCTATGTATCTATTTTTGTACTAGTGCTCTGCTATTTTGGTTACAGTAGCCTTGTAGAATAGTTTGAACTTAGATAATATGATGCCTCCTGCTTTATTCTTTTTGCTTAGGAGTGCCTTGGCTATTTGGGCTCTTTTCTGGTTCCATATTAATTTTAGAAAATATGTTTCTAATTCTGTGAAAAATGATGTTGGCAATTTGATAGAAACAATGTTGAATGTGTAGATTGTTGTGGAAAGTAAAGTCATCTTAACAATATTGATTCTTCCAATCCATGAGCATGGAATGCTTTTCCATTTGATGGTGTCATCTATGATTTCTTTCAACAGCATTTTATGGATCTTCTTATAGAGATCTTTTACTTCCTTGGTTAGATGTATGCTTAAGTATTTTATTATTTTTTTTGGTGGGCATTTTAAAGGGGATCACATTCTTCATTTGGTACTCAGCTTGGACATTATTGGTGTGTAGAAATGTTATTGATTTTTCTATCCTGAGATTTTGCTGAAGTCGTTTATCAGGTAATAGGAGTCTTTTGGCAAAATCTTTAGGGTTTCCTATGTATAGAATCATATCAGCAAAGAGAGATAATTTGGCTTCCCATTTTTCTAATCGGATGCCTTTTTTTTGTCTTGCTTGATTACTCTTGCTAGGACTTCCAATACTAACTTGAATGGGAATGTTAAGAGTAGACATCTTTTTCATATTGCAGTTCTTGGGGAAAATGCTTCTTACTTTTGCCTGTTCAATATGATGTTGGCTGTGGGTTTGTCATAGATGGCTCTTATTATTCTGAGGTGTTTCTTCAATGCCTAGTTTCTTGAGGGTTTTTTATCATAAAGGGATGTTAGATTTTATCAAATACTTTTCCTGCATCTATTGAGATCATCCTATGGTTTTTGTTTTTAATTGTGTTTCTGTGGTGAATCACATTTATTGATTTCTATATGTTGAACCATCCTTTTATTGTGTGAATAAAGAACACTTGATCATGATGAATTAAATTTTTGGCCAGGTGTGGTGGCTCATGCCTGTAATCCCAGCACTTTGGGAGGCTGAGGCAGGCGGATCACGATGTCAGGAGATGGAGACCATCATGGCTAACATGGTGAAACCACGTCTCTACTAAAAATACAAAAAAAAAATGAGCTGGACATGGTGGCGGGCACTTGTAGTCCCAGCTACTCAGGAGGCTAAGGCAAGAGAATGGCGTGAACCTGGGAGGCAGAGCTTGCAGTGAGCTGAGATTGCGTCACTGCACTCCAGCCTGGGTGACAGAGCGAGACTCCGTCTCAAAAAAAGAAAAAAAAAATTTTGATATGTTGCTGGATTTGGTTCGCTAGTAATTTATTGAGGATTTTTGCATCTATCATCAGGAATGTAGACTTGTACTTTTCTTTTTTGTTATGTCCTTGTCATATTTTGGTATCAGGATGATACTGGTTTCATTCAGAGTTAGGGAGGAGTAGGCCAGGTGCGTTGGCTCATGCCTGTAATCACAGCACTTTGGGAGGCCGAGGCGGGTGGGTCACCTGAGGTCAGGGGTTCAAGACCAGCCTGGCCAATGTGATGAAATCCCGTCTCTACTAAAAAATACAAAAATTAGCCAGGTGTGTTGGTGGGCACCTGTAATCCCAGCTACTTGGGGGGCTGAGGTGGGAGAATCGCTTGAACCCAGGAGGCGGAGGTTGCAGTGAGCTGAGATCACACCATTGCACTCCAGCCTGGGCGACAAGAGTGAAACTCCATCTCAAAATAAAACAAAACAAAACAAAAAAACAGAGTTAGGGAGGAGTCACACCTCAATTTTTTTGAATAGTTTCAGTAGGATTGGTAGTAGCCCTTCTTTGTACATCTGGTAGAATTCAGCTGTATCTAGTCTAGGGCTTTTTGTGGATGGTAGACTTTTTAGTACTGATTCAATTTCATTACTCACTATCAGTCTGTTCAGGATTTCTGTTTTTTCCTTTTTCAGTCTTAGTAGGTTGTGTGTTTCCAGGAATTTAACCTTTTTCTCTAGAATTTCTAGTTTGTATGTAGGTATATACTTACAGCAATCTCTGGGAATTTTTGTATCTCTGTGGGATCAGTTGTGATGTCATCTTTTAAATTTCCCATTGTGCTTATTTGTTCCTTCTCTCTTTTTTCTTTGTTAATCTAGCTAGTGATCTATCAATCTTGTTTATCCTTGCAAATAACCAACTTTTCATGTTGTTGATCCTTTGTATGGTTTTGTAGGTCACAATTTCACTTAATTCTGCTGATTTTAGTTATTTCTTTTCTTTTTAGTTCCTTTAGGTGCAAGTTTAGGTTGTTAATTTGAGATCTATCTATCTTATTCATGTGGGCATTTAGCATTGTAAATTTTCCTCTTAACACTGCTTTTGCTACATCTCAGAGGTTTTGGTATGTTGTATCTGTTAGTCCATTTGGTATTTCTATAAGGGAATACCTGAGATTGAGTGATTTATAACGAAAAAAGTTTGTTAGGCTCATGGTTCCACAGGCTGTGCTGGCATCTGCTTCTGGTGAGGGCCTCAGGAAGCTTTCAGTCCTGATGGAAGGTGAAAGGGAGCCAAGGACTCACATAGTGAGAACAGGAGCAAGAGAAGGGAGAGGTTTCTGGCTCCTTTACACAACCAGCTCATGCATGAACTAACTGAATGAGAACTCACTCATCACCAAAGGGATGGTGCCAAGCCAATCATGAGGAACCCACCCCTATGATCAACACCTCCCACTAAGCCCCATTTCCAACACTGGGGATTACATTTCACCATGAGATCTTAAGGGGACACACATTCGAAACCATATCATTTTGTCTCTATTTTCATTTGTTTCAAATAATTTTTTGATTCCTGCCTTAATTTCTTTCTTTTTTTTTTTTTTTTTCTGAAACAGAGTCTCCCACTGTGGCCCAGGCTGGAGTGCAGTGGTGCAATCTTGGCTCACTGCAAGCTCTGTCTCCCGGGTTCACGCCATTCTCCTGCCTCAGCCTCCCGAGTAGCTGGGACTACAGGCGCCCGCCACCATGCCGGCTAATTTTTTTTGTATTTTTAGTAGAGACAGGGTTTCTCCATGTTAGCGAGGATGGTCTCCATCTCCTGATCTTCTGATCCACCCGCCTCAGCCTCCCAAAGTGCTGGGATTACAGGCGTGAGCCACCATGGCCGGCTAGTAAGTTCTTTGTATTAATTCGTGTGATCTTGGAAATGTCTTCTGAGGTAAACATTACAGTCATCCATAATTTGTAGCTGAGAAAACTGGGACTTAACAAGGTTCAAGTGACCTGGTAAACTTCATGAGAATAACAAATGAAGCAGTCGAGCAACTGGAAGCTAAAGTCGTACCACTTTAAAAATACACATGCTTAAGCACTGGTCTTCTTGACTTTCTTTTCCATTGATCAGCCACAGTGAGCCGAAATGCTCATGAAAATGAAAACCCGATCCTATGATTTCACTGTTGCCTTTCAAAGGCTTTCCATTTCCTTTGAAATCCGTGTTTCTTAACATGCTTCACAAGCCCTTCTTGGGAGCTGCCTCTGCCTCCTCTCCAGCCTTTCTGAATGCACTCTTCTCCTCAACCTATTCTTCTGGCTACGCTGTATGTTTAGTTATTCCAAACTTTTCCCTCTTGGTATGATTTGGATCTGTGTCCCTGCCAAGCCTCATATTGAAATGTAATACTCACTGTTGCACGTGGGGCTTGGTGGGAGCTGTTTGGATCATTGGAGTGGATCTCTCATGAATGGCCTCACACCATCCTCTTGGTGTTGAGTGAGCTCATGTGAGATCTAGGTCTAGTTGCTTAAAAGTGTGTGGCACCTCCCACTCTCTCTTGCTCCAGTTCCCACCTGTTCACCCTTTATCTTCCTGCATGATTGTAAGCTTCCTGAGGCCTCCCTTAGATGCTAGTGCTATCCTTCTGGTACAGGCTGAAGAACCATGAGCCAAGTAAACCTCTTCTTTTCTTTATAAATTACCCAGTCGCAGGTATTTCTTTATAACAATGAAAGAACTGCCTAATATACACCTCCCTTTTCCTAGAATGCTCCGCAACCTGCCGTCCTTCTTTTTACTCTTCCCTTGGCTAGCTTCTATTCACCTGACCAGTTTCAGCTAAAAATTATTTGCTGTCAGTTCCTTTATGAAATCTAGAATTGATGTGTTACAGGTTCACACAACACTTGTAATACTTTTTCACTATATATATATATGTGTGTGTAGTTTGAGAATTGTGTTCTTCGCTATACTGAAAGTTCATATTAGGTGAGGCCAATGTTTATCTTGTTACCACTGCTTTCTGCATGCCTATTGTGGTACCAGGCTATAGAAATACAGTTGACTCATGCATAGCATGGATTTGAAGTGCCTGGGTCCACATATATGCAAATTTTCTTCCAGTTCTTCCACACCTGAGACAGCAACTTCAACTCCTCCTCTTTCTGCTCCTCCTCAGCCTACTCAGTGCAGACAACAAGCATGATGGCCTTTATGATGATTCACTTTGACTTAATGAATAGTGAATATATTTTCTCCTCCTTATGATTTTCTTAATTCATTTTCTTTTCTCCAGCTTACTTTATTGTAGCAATATAGTATATAATACATATAACATAAAAATATGTGTTCATTGACTGTTTACATTATCAGTAATGTTAAGTTTTGGGGGAATCAAAAGTTTTACACGGATATTTTTTATTGTGTGGGGAGTTAATGCCACTAACCTCTGCACTGTTCAAGATTCAAGGGTCAACTGTATCTCTTGGATGGTTTAATCTTATAGACTTATTATTGCTAATTAGTGATAACTATACAGATGAGTATAAGGACTACGTATGACAAATAAATTTGAATCTCACCATAAAGCTACAATAAATAAGATTCAGTTCCATTCAATAATAAGAGAGCAATAAAGGATGCCAGATTAAATATTTGTCAGATGAATTTCTAGACATATGAGTAGTTGAACATAATCAACTGATACGTAAATGTTTCCTGGGCTAATTGGTGATGATAATAAATATCCTGATTCTTCATAGGGCTGAGAGGAAGATAAAATGAGAGAAAAGATGTAAAAACACGGTTAAAATGCTTGAAAAATAAAGATAATATACATGGGAAAAATACAGAGTCATACATAAATATAAGTATTTATCCAATAAATACATGATAAGTATCTGCTATAGGAATTGTCGTTTGAAATAAATCTGAAGAATCTTCATTTACTTATTGAAGTCTATATTTTTGTTGGTTCAGCATCTTATCTTATTTATCTCATCATCTATCTTTAGAGTGTTCGTTTGGAATATTACATCTTGTATTTTAATTTGAATTACATTACTAGTTTCTTCACAATGATGTTGTCAAATAATCTTTAGAGGCATTAGCATCTCTTAAAACTAGAGGAGGCTGGGAGAGGTGGCTCATGCCTGTAATCGTAGCACTATGGGAGGCCAAAGAGGAAGGATCACTTGAGTCCCGGAGTTTCAGACCAACCTGGGCAAAATGATGAGATACCATTTCCATAAAAAAATTTAAAAACTAGCTGGGAATGGCAGTGCATGCCTATAGTCCCTGCTACTCAGGAGGTTGAGGCAAGAGGATCCCATGAGCCCAGGAATTTAAGGCACCAGTGAGCTACGATCATGTTATTGCACTCCAGCCTAGGCAACAAATTGAGACCCCATCTTTCAATTTTTTTTTTTTTTTTTTTTTTTTTAGAAAACTAGAAGTTTAGGATTTTTTAAATTCTCACTTTCAGCTTATGCGTGTTATTGTTTCTAAAGTGCATCTCCTGTAGACAGCATATCCTTGAATTTTTAAAAATCCATTTAGCCAAATTATGTCTTTTGATTAGGGAGTTTAATCCATCTATAAAGTAATTACTGCTAGGGAAGGACTTATTACTGCTATTTTGTTAATTGTTTTTTTGTATTGTATCTTTATAAACATTTATTTTTGATTTTTTAAAATGTTTTTCAGAGACAGGGTCTCACTATCTTGCCCAGGCTAGACTTCAGTAGTGGCTATTCACAGGTGTGGCTGAAGCATACTATAGCCTCGAGCCCTTTGGCTCAAGTAATAATCCCGCCTATAAATTTCCTTTAAATTTATAGCTTTAAATGCTTACATTAAAAGAGAAGGATGATCTCAAAACAACAGCCTAACTTTATTTATTAAAGAATTTAAAAAGAAGAAAAAAATGAAACCCAAAGCTAGAATAGGACGGAAATAATAAAAATTAGAGATAAATGAAATTGAGAATAGAAAAACAGTAGAGAAAATTAATACAACCAAGTCAGTTCTTAAAAAGAATCAACAAAATTGACAAACTTTTTGTTAGATTAAGAAATAAGAGAAGATTTGGCCAGGCCTGTAATTCCAGTACTTTGGGAGGCCAAGGCCAGCGGATCATGAGGTCAGGAGATCGAGGCCATCCTGGCTAACATGGTGAAACTCTGTCTCTACTAAAAATACAAAAAATTAGCCGGGCATGGTGGCGGGCACCTGTAGTCCCAGCTTCTTGGGAGGCTGAGGCAGGAGAATGGCATGAACCCGGGAGGCAGAGCTTGCAGTGAGCCAAGATTGCGCCATTGCACTCCAGCTTGGGTGACAGAGCAAGACTCTGTCTAAAAAAAAAGAAATAAGAGAAGATTCAAATAAATAAAATCAAAAATAGAAGAGAGGAGAACACAATAAATTTTACAGAAATAAAAAGGATTATAAGAGAATACTATGAACAATTGTATGCCAACAAATTTGATAACCTAGATAAAACAGACAAGTACCTAAAAACACACTCCATCAAGACAATCATAAAGAAATAAAAAATCTGAACAGACCTATACTTGGTAAGTGGATTGAATCGGTAATCAAAACTTCCAACAAAGAAAAGTTCAGGACCAGATGGCTTTAGTGGTGAATTCTACCAAACATTTAGAAAAGAACACCAATTTTAAATTCTTCCTAAATAATTTAAGAGGAGGGAAAACTTCCAAACTCATTCAGTGAGGCCAGCATTACACTGATATCAAAACCAGACAAAGACACTATAAGAAAAGTATTTTTGATGCAAAATACTTCAACAAAGTATTGGCAAACTAGTTGAATTCAACAGCACATTAAAAAGATGGTACGCTGTGATTAGGTGGGATTTATTCTGGGAATTTAAGAATGATTCAATATAAGAAAAACAGTCAATTGATCATCTTAATTGATGCAGAAAAAGCATTTGACACAATTCTACACCATTTCATAATAAAACACTTAATAAACTAGGAGTAGGATGAAACCTCCTCAATATAATGAAGATCATGTATGAAAGCTCACAGCTAACGTTATATTCAATGATGAAAACCTAAAAGTTTTTCTTCTAAGATCACGAACACAACAAGAATGCTTTTATCACTTCTATTAAACTTGGTACTTGAAGTCCTAGCCAGAGTAATTAGGCAAAGAAAAAAAAAGCATCTACATTTGAAAGGAGGAAGTAAAATTATCTCTAAGATAATTCATAGACGACAAGATCTTATATGTAGAAAACCTAGGGATTTCACTAAAAGAAACCCAAATTGTTAGAACGAATAAATGAATTCAGCACATTTGTAGGATACAAAATCAACACTCAAAAAACAGATGCATTTATATACCCTAACAAGAACCATTGAAAAAAGAAATTAAGGAAACCATTCAATCTACAGTAGCATCAAAAATACAAAACATAAAATGTAAAATTAAGTTTATTAGGAATAAACTTAACCAAGGCGGCAGAAAAACTTACACTGAAAACTAAGAAACATTGCTAAAAAAATTAAGGAACACACAAATAAATGGAAAGACATTCTATAGTCATGGATTGGAAGAGTTAATATTGTTAAAATATCAATACTATCTCAGTGACCTATAGAGTTAATGCAATGCCTATCAAAATCCCACTGGTATAGAATACTGCATCTTAAAATTTGCATGGAATCTCAAGCAACCCCAAGTAGCCAAAGCATTCTTTTTTTTTTTTTTTTTGAGATGGAGTCTCACTCTGTTGCCCAGGCTGGAGTGCAGTGGCACAATCTCGACTCACTGCAACCTCTGCCTCTTGGGTTCAAGCGATTCTCCTGCCTCAGCCTCCCAAGTAGCTGGGATCACAGGCACATGCCACCACATCTGGCTAATTTTTGTATTTTTAGTAGAGACGGGGTTTCACCATGTTGGCCAGTCTGGTCTCGATCTCCTGACCTTGTGTCCCACCTGCCTTGGCCTCCCAAAGTGCTAGGATTACAAGTGTGAGCCACTGCACCTGGCCAGCCAAAGCATTCTTAAAAAAAAGTACCATGTTGTAAATCTTATACTCCTTGATTTCAGAGCTTATTACAATGCTACAACAGTCAAAACAATGTGGAACTGGCATAAAGACAGACATATAGATCAATGGCATACTATAAAATCTCCAAAATATACCCTTGCATATACGGTCAAATGTTTTTTGACAGGGGTGTCAAGACCATATAATGGCAATTTTTTTTTCAACAAATGATATTGGGAAAACTGGTTGACAACATGTAAAAGAATGACGTTAGACCCTTACTTAGATTGTATATAAAAATTAATTCAAAATCAATCAAAAGCCTAAGCATAAGACCTGAAACTACAAAACTGTTAGAAGAAAACACAGGAAAAGTCTTAATGACGTTGGATTTGGCAAGGATGTCGTGGATATGACACCAAAAGCATTACCAACAAAAGTAAAAATAGGCAAATTATATTACTTCAAACTTAAAAAACTTGTGATCGTCAAAGATCACAGTCAACAGAGTGAAAAGGACACCTATGGAATGGGAGAAAATATTTGGAGTCATATATCTAATAAGGGATTAATATCCAGAATGTATGTATATATGTAAAACCCCTCTACAATGAATAGCAAAACCAAATAACCCTATTTAAAAATGTGCAAAAGACTTGAATAGACATTACTCCAAAGATCATATACAAATAGCCAACAAACATATGGGAAGATGCTCAATGTCACTGATCATTATGGATATGCAAATAAAAACTAAAACCACAATGAGATATTACCTCACACCCGTTAGGATAGCTATTATAAAAAAAGAGTGTTGGTGGGGATGTGGAGAGAATAGAAACTTGGTGCACTGTTGGTGGAAATGAAAAGTGACACAGCTGCTATGGAAAATATTGTGGTGGATCCTCTGATTTTAGAGAAGTTTTGTCACTTTAAAGAATAATTTTATTTATGTCCAATTGAAAAACGTCAATCGTGATAACTTTTAACAAATCTTATTTTAGGGTCATTAAATAGTAACTATAAGAAGATATTTGCCCCTAGGCAAGTGACAGCTTCTCAACACTTAAAAGAAAAAGAAATAAGCATAGTGGTTTTTGAGTTTAGGGGAAATAAAAGATTAACTAGGAAGTCATGGATGAGTTTTGAAAAAAGGTTAAGATATGCTCCTTGATTTTAGATATATGTGTAACGCAGGACTAACAGATGCATAAAACAGAAAAATGTGAAATAAATGCAAAGATCATTTGACAAGAAAATAAAGTTGAATTAATTTGCTGTATTTTGATTGGGAAATGTATCGTAGTTTTTCAATTAAATAAGAAATTAATTGAATATCTTACTGAAAGTATGTCACAGCACTTTTAAAAAATCTATTTCACTTTTAATTCATGTATCACTATTAGCTTCATTAGCAGCTGGAACAGATGTTTCTAGATTGAAGTGTCAGCAATTTGGATGCTGACCAAAACTTAGACTCATGTTTGGCTTGAGTGAAAATAGAGTTCTTTGACAGCCTCACTGCCTGGAAAGATTTCTTGCAGAATGATTTTTTTTAGTTAATACTACGAGCAAGTTATTTGAAACAAAACTGCTATCTTGGTATGATACATTTAGTTTTTGAGGTAAAAGAGAGATAATCTAAGTAAGTGAATGCATATAATATATCAGGAAATAGTGAGAGAGGACAAAGTAAGAAACTGGCCATGCAGGCAGTTAGGGTGGGTCCTTGGTAAAACTCTTTTATACAAAGAACACCCTGAAAATCAAACTGCAGGCCTCAGATAAGAAACAGCCCATGTCCTTGGAGGGAAATACTTCTCTGTGAACCCGTATGAACAAATTCCACTCCTTTTTTGGACACATTTTTCTCTCCTTGGGTTGCCTTAGTCTCTTACTTTTCACCTACTGGTCTCTGACTTTTCACCTATTTTACATATGCCTACCTTTCTGTAATTAGCCATGGGCTAAGTCTTCATTTACATAGGGTGAATCATCACTTTAGCCCTGATGGCGTGGGCCAAGGTCCCAAACCAAGCCTTCACCTCTACCTCCAATTGGATCTTTACACTATCATACCTTTCTCTAAGTGATGGTTTCTCCAAGATGGCCTACAAACCAGTCAGCACATTCCTCCCCTTCTAGCCCATAAAACCCCAGACTCAGCCTTGTAGTTGGCAGCCCTCTCTGCTGTGAAGAGCTTTCTTTTTCTGATTAAACTTTTGCTCCAACCTCAACCTTGTGTCCACGCTCCTTAATTTTCTTGGTGGTGAGACCAAGAACTCCAGGTACCACCTCAGACAACAAGACTGAAACATTGTGGTGCATTGGCAAGACTGCAACAGTAACAGAGTTTTGCTTTACAGTGGGAGAGAGGTTAAGGTCATGTACTTTGGTAACTAAAATAACTGGTCCAACTTCTAGCTCCGTTGCTTTCTGGGTTATCTTGAGGCCTCTTAACTTCTTCTCTGCTTCAGCTTCCTCTTAAAGTGATCACAAGGTCTGGCTTAATAGGGTTCTGGTAAGGATTAAAAAAAGATAGGTTCACAAACTCTATACTATGGAGCCTGGCATGGGATAAGTGTCCAGTACACATGAGCTCTGATGAGCCCTTTTCCAGGGTATGAACTGCCATGGTGTCAGTGGGAACAGAGACCCCCAACTCTGTGGTTATCACCTTGCCTACTGCTGGTGCTATCAGCCACTTCCATAAACCTTTGTGAATCTTCACAAAATAATTTGAGCTTACTCTGCCATCTCAGGATATCTTAGAAAGGCATTAAATAGGTTTCTAAATAGCTGTCTGTCATCCTGTAGTGCTTTCTTCTACAACAATGGAATCATCTAAAAATAATTTTTCTTCATTCTGCGGATGTCACTGTTTTATTTTATTTTATTTTATTTTATTTTATTTTATTTTATTTTATTTAAGTCAGCAACTGCTCAGGGTGGATTTGTGCTTCTGAATCCTCTATTGTGGGCTGTATTTATTATACCAAAAAATAATTGAGCACTGGTGGGAGTGGAATAGTGAGTCATTTAAGACAAGTTAATTCATCTGTAAATCTTGTGCAAATCACAATCTGTGTTTGAATGAAGTGTGGACTGCTTTTAACTTTCCTTCTGGTATTACTTACTTTAAAGTGTCTGATATACAACAATTGGACTCACAAAAAGGAATATAAGAGAAAGAATATTCACTCCTTTAAAGCAGTTTTCACTTCACAGAATTTAGAGTTTTCCCATAATAAACTGCCATTAGCACCTCTGTGCTTTCTAGACAGTTAATTTCCAGGCATCAAATCTACAGGGCAAAGAATGGAGTCTAAGTGTGAAGATCACCAACTGATGATGAATTTGAAATAAAGAAAGTATCCCCTGAAATGCTAATGGAATTCAACAGAAGGAGGATTACACTTGTTACAATTGCAAAATTGTTAAATCTGGAGGGGTGTGGGATAGGGGAGGAAGGATACACAGGGAACCTAAAACTATTATGCTTTTAGCTAAACATCTCCAACATTTTAAGATGTAAACAATAAAACTTACACTTTTATTATTTTGTTTCTTTTTCCAAACCATGTGCCTGAAGGATCAGGTATGAGCTCTTTTGTTATTAATTTGGAGCTCTCAAATGTGGTCCCAATATAATGTGTCGCTTTATAACTCTTCCTTTACAGAAGCCTTCCAATCTAACAAAATTTATGTGTTTATGGTTTTACAACCTCAGCCCAGATTGTTTTTGGTCATCATTTTCTACACTGTGCTCCCTTCATATAGCTTGTCTTCCTACATGTCTTCCTTCCTTACAGGTGCAGACCCTTCCTCAGTTTACACTTCCTTCCTTTACCCTGAAGCCTTCCCATTTTAACCTATGCCATAGGTAGTTTGCTGAAACTGAAACTTTCAATCAGGTCTATAGGGCAAAGAAATGAAGCTTATTTTCTATACCACTGATGCGGCATTATCATATGCTGTCTCACTGGGCTACTAATCTCCTGAAATGTCTTATCTTTTTTTGATTATATTCAAGTTTCTTCCTGGTAAGGTTCTCAAATGAAAAAAGGCAGGTGCAAAATGCTACATATGGTATAATCTCATTTTGTTTAAAAAATTATACATAATACATATATAACATATGTATAAATTACATGTAGTATATGTACATTTTATAAATGTGTATATATTTATTATATGTATGAATAGAAAAAGATATGGAATAATATACATTAAAGTCTAATTTCTGAGTGTTGGAATATAATTTTTATTTTGCTCAAAGGCATTTCTAAGATAAAAATAATTTTTTACTAAAATACTTTTTAAATAGTAAAAGTCAATTACTTTTATGTTATAAAATAAAATATGACAGATATTTTAAAAAAGAAATATATGAAATAGACACTAAAAAGTAATATTATGTATGAAGGTCATTAATAATTTGTAAAAGTATAATTCAGAAAAAGTTATAATAATTCTCAACTTGTAACCCAATAACATAGCTTTAAATACAGAAAGTGAAAATTGAGAGACTTAAAAAGAGCTATAAATACATGTAGTGGAAGATGTTAACACATCTATTGAATTAATTATCTCTTTAAGTAATTAATTTATGAAGAGACCAAAAAAATTTGAACAGCAAAACTAATGTGCTTTGATTGACCTAATGAAAGTATATAAAACCTTTCAACTAATAATTGGAAAATATGCACTTTTTCAAATGTGCATTAACGCTTAGGAAATTTAGCCACTTCCTTGTTTTTTTGTTTTGAGACAAGGTCTCGCTCTGTCACTCAGGCTGGAGTGCAGTGGTGTGATGTCGGCTCACTGCAACCTCCGCCTCCTGGAGTTCAAGCGATCCTCATGCCTCAGCCTCCGGAGTAGCTGGGACTACAGGTGCTCACCAGCACACTCAGCTAATTTTTCTGTTTTTAATAGAGACACACAGTTTCTCCATGTTGGCCAGGCTGGTCTAGAACTCCTGGCCTCAAGTGATCCGCACGCCTTGGCCTCCCAAAGTGCTGGGATTACAGATGTCAGCCACCATGACTAGCCACAAGAAAAGAAAGTTTCTAAGCATTTCTAAGAAGTAGTGTCAATCTAATCATGTTCTCTTACAATAGTGCTATTAAGTTAGAAATGAGAAAATAAGACAGCAAAATCCTATTTGTAATCTTTAAAAAAATAGAAATTAGAAAATCTGTACTAAAGTATCTTTTCACACATCTTACCCATCTTATTAAACAAATGTTGGAGAAGAGTATTTCAAGGGAAATTTATAGTTTTAAATGCTTATAAAAGAGGAAATAACTGCCAATGAAGAGGCTAAGTGTGCAGTTTAAGAAACTAGGGAAGAATAAAGTAGAAGAAATGAAGTAATACAAGTACAAGCAGAAATTAATGAAATGAACTCAAAGAATTAATTACAGAAAATTAGCAAAACCAGAACTTGGTTCTTTGCCAGATAAGAAGTGTGAACTCTTGGCAAGATTGCATAGGAAGAAAATAGAAAAAGCACAAATAAATAATATTGAATATGAAAAAGGAAACATAACTTCAGGTACAGCAGAGATAAAACTCTGAGAGACTACTTATGAATAAGTTAATGACTAATATGTTTACAAGTTAGATAAAATAGACAATTTCCTAGAAAAATATAAAGGAAAAAATTGATTTAAAAGGCAATCAAAAACCTACATAGAAAGACCTATAGTAATTAAATAAACTGAGTGTTTACTTAAAAATCTATTCATACCAACAACACAATCCCCCATTATTTTACTAGAGAATTCTACTAATCATTCAAAGAACAAGTACTTTTTTTTTTTTTTTTTTGAGATGGAGTCTCCCTCTGTCCCCCAGGCTGGAGTGCAGTGGCGCTATCTTGGCTTACTGCAATCTCCACCTCCCAGGTTCAAGTGATTCTCCTGCCTCACTCTCCCAAGTAGCTGGGATTACAGGCTCCCACCACCACATCTGCCTAATTTTTGTAGTAGAGACGGGGTTTCACCATATTTGTCAGGCTTGTCTCGACCTCCTGACCTCAGGTGATCCACCTGCCTTGGTCTCCCAAAGTGCTAGGATTACAGGCATGAGCCACTGTGCCCGGCCCAATACTTACATTCTTATATAGACTTTTTGAGAGAATGGAAAAGGAGGCAGTGCTTTCTCACATTATTTTATAAGACTATTCTAACATTGATGCCAAAAGCTGAAAATGGTAAAACAAGAAAGAAAAATTCTAGTTCAATCTTGCCTCTCATAGATGCGCTAAACTTCACAAAATACTAGCAAATCCAGCCTCAACGTCCATGTATAAAAATCATAGGAAATGTCTTTAGGGTTTGGCTTTTTATTTACATCCAATTCAGGAATCACTGGGCACTGGCTTCGGGCACTCTGTTCCCCAAGCTAGAAATGGAGTGATAGACAAAGTTGATACTCTTTTTCCCCTCAGGGATATGATTCTTAAATTGTGTCTTATCTTAGTAATTACTTTAGCATGACAACTGGCTGTTCCTCATGAATCTTCTCTCACCTTGTTCTGTACTTTGTTTTTTATGTCTATTTATTCACATACTACATTTCCTTTCTCATTCTTTTCCTTGGTTTTTTGAAAGCTGATCATTCTGGTTTTTATTCCCGGAGTTTCTTTGTTATTTTCAGATATTTATGTGTACACACATACATTTCTCTCTCTGTCTGTCTCTCTTAGCGCTGGGCTAGAAATTCCCTGTGGGAAAAAAGAAGACGAATGTGACGGCATCCACTCTTCTCCCCGCTCATGTTATCTTTGTTGATATTATCTAGATTTTAAGTCTGCCTTTATGTTAAGTTATTATTGTTTACATTATTTAATCTTCCTCGTCAGAGAGTATCTTGGTAGTAGCAACATTTAAACCAATTATCTGGCCTAATTCCTTATGCTTCCTTTCTTCTCTTCTCCTGCCGGCCCTCTTGGTCCTGCCCTTTGTCCATAGTCACAGACTATATCCATTTATTGATTTCTATGAAAATATTCCACAAGACCTGAACATTTCGTGGGGGCATGGAATGTAAACTTCTGGGTGCTACGAGATGTCACACAGGCTTCCACCCGTGTGCTGACTGCACCTCACTTGCTCCAAAGTCAGTGCTTCTGTCACATCATGTCATCATGTCCCGTGGCCATGAGCAGGTCCTGGGAAGTGCTGCCTAGGTACCAGTTTCCTGCTCCTGACAAGCAGTCCTGCCTGTCTGATCTCACCTTTCCCAGGAATCTTGTTAAATACAATGTTCTACCTCTGCCCTTGGCAGTGACTCCAGGACAGTGTCACCAGGACTGCCCATTTCATCCCTGTAGTAACACTAGGAAGTGAGTCCTAGTTGCCAGCCTAGAGTGGAGTGGTGGGAACAGTAAAGAAGTGAGTGCATGGCCATGGAGAAATGAAAAACAACAACGGTCATTCTGCTTGTTATTATTGCATACACCAGCATTTCTAAACAACGTCAGTGATAAAAATAAACTAGCCTTCCATTCTGGGCCGATTACTCCACCTTCCTTGTCATTGGTAAGTCGTTGGTAGGTACTTTTATGAACCCAATACACAGAGGGGGAATTAGGCTTAGAGAGGGTGTTGCCTCCCTTTCCTAGGTCTTATAGCTTGTAAGGTGTAGACGCCATAGAAACCCCATCTTGGATGCTAATCTGCCATGATGGCTTCTGACTAACCCATTCCGGGAGGGTCTCTAGGATTTCCAGTTTATCTATTGTTCCTTGTGTTCCTTGTGTAAGAGCAGGGACTTACTATAAAGCCTAAATTTATTTACCATAATTCCCAAGGTGTAATCCCTTGATGTTACCGTACTTCAATTGACCTAAGCCTCCCTTGGGAAGCATGTACACACTTTCCCTGCGGTATATAAGCCCTGGGTCTGAAGGGTAATGGTGCGGGGATCCACCATCTTGTCCCGTGACTGTCCAAGACACAGACATGATGTCTGTTTGTAAGTCCTTATTAAATGTTTATTTCTAAGAGACTAGATTTGTCAGCCTCCTCCTTCGAACTCTCAGCTTCCTTGGACTTCTGGGAGTAGGCTTGCACAGACCTGACCAGTGTGGAAAATAAGGGAAAGTACCGTATTTGTACCAGGTATAGCTAATTCCAAAGTACTTAACAAATATACTATTGTGCCTTTTTGATGCCAATCAGGATTTTCTAATAAGGGCAGCCCTTGGCTTTTCTCTGCCCCTCAATTAAGTGCCATTGAGACATTATTGGTGAAAGCCACTGCAGTCTGATCGCAACTCTAATGGAGTTTCACAGTCAAGATAGTGCATTTGTATAATTCACTAGGAAAGTAATGCTAGTTGCAACTCATTATTGCCAAGAACTATTGACCAATTAGTTCCAATTCATTTAAAGGGGTAATAGAAACTTAAGCTTTCCGAATTCATAATAAACTATGGCTCTTGAAAGGAGAAGAGAGAAAATCAGAACATAATTAAACTGGTTCTGTCCAATAAGAAGTTAATTTTGAAATCTGAACAAAAACTTAAAACGGCAGATTTCTGTGTTTTGAAAAAAACAATTTGCCAAATACCAGTTTATACTCTTTATAGTTCTGAAAGCAAACCAAACCATTTATTCAATTTTAAATGATCCACAAACTTCTACAAGTCAAATAGGAGCATCTTAGTAATAGAGGACATGATTTATGTGCTACATGCCCAAAATATAACCACATGAGATTGATTCTGTTTTATGGTGATGGCAGAAAATATGAAATTAGTAAATTTTTGTTGCTTAATTTATTTTTTGAAAATAAAGATTGTTGTAGAATGGATCTAAGCCATCTAAATAAAACATTTATGGATTTCACTAACAGCTTTCATCATTATTATTCATTAGGAATTATTAGGATGACTATTTTAAATTGCTTATCTAATTCTTTGTTATCTTGCATTTACACACATATCATAACACGGTGAACTATTTTGCCTTGGAACCTGCAGGAATCTGGAATTCCTAGAGACCTGGATTCAAATCCTCCCCCTTGTACATGCATGAAGGTAGGGACTATGTTTTTTTCATCTCTAAGCTGAAGGAAAGCAAGATGGAACTAAGCAAAATGTCTGTGAAAATTAAATATGATCTCAATACATTTGGGGTCTCAGCTGTATCCCTGTATTAGTTTCCTAGGGCTGCTACAACAGAGTACTACAGAATGCATGGCTTCAAACCACAGAAATATGTTCTCACTGTTCTCGAGGCTAGAAGTCCAAATTCAAAGTGTCAGCTGCTCCCTCTGAAGGCTTTGGGGAAGGGTCCCTCCTTATCCCTTCCCAGCCTCCGGTGGCCCCATGCCTTATAGCTGCATCACTACACCCCCAGCCTCTGTCTTCACGTTTGCTGCTTCCTTGTGTCTGTGTCCTGTGTTTTCTCTTCTTCTTAAAAGGATACCAGTCATTAGATTTAGGACCCAAATTAATCCGGTATGACCTCATCTTAACTGATTACATCTGCATTACCTTTGGAGATCCTATCTCCAAATAAGGTCACATTCTGAGCTTCAGTGTTGAGAGGAATTTTGGGGGAACACTATTGAACCCTCTATACTTATCCAATTCCTAATTCTATTATGTTTTTATCTATGCTGTAACATGGTAATCTCCTTTGCCTTGGAAGGTGCATGACTTTTGGGTTCCTAGAGACCTGGATTCAAACCCTCCCCTTGTACATGAACGAAGGGCGGTGTAACTACTTTCTTCATTTGTGAATTGGGGAGAAGCAAGAGGTAAGGCACAGAAATTATATAAAAATGAAATTATACTTGATATAAGATTATGCATGGCACATGGAAGGAACTTAAATATTATTTTCCTATTAAAATTTAGAACATTCTGTATTAAAATATTTATTAGAATGATACATAAGTTTGTAGACAGCCTCATCTTTGATAAACCTAGTAAAATAGCATTGGTCCCGTCTAAATAATGACTGTTTTGGAAATCTCACTTTTAAGAAGTTCTTCCTTAAATAAAATGCCTCCTTAAGTTATTTGAACCATTATTAACTGTTCCGCCTCATAGGCTTTTATTGAGGAAATAAAGCACTGTAGTAATTTTTCTTTATTAAATAATTTAAATTTGTAACTGTATAATATGTAATATTTCAAATGAAAATAACATTATATATCAGACAAATGTCACATCAACCAGATTTGACAAATCTGGTTTAACATTTATCATATTTTTACAAATGTTTTAATTATTTTGCTTCAATTTAAGAAAATAAAGATTTACATATGCAGTTTAACTCCACATTCCCATCAGATCCCTTTCTTTTCCTTTTTTCTTTTTTTTTTTTCTTTGAGATGGAGTCTCACTCTGTCACCCAGGCTGGAGTGCAGTGGCGCGATCTCAGCTCACTGCAACCTCTGTCTCCCAAGTTCAAGGGATTCTCTACCTCAGTCTCCCAAGTAGCTGATCTTAACAGGCACACACCACCACAGCCAGCTAATTTTTGTATTTTTAGTAGAGACGGGGTTTCGCCACGTTGGCCAGGCTGGTCTCAAACTCCTGACCTCAAGTGATCCACCTGCCTTGGCCTCCCAAAGTGCTGGGATTACAGGCATGAACCACCCCAACCAGCCCCATTGGATCCCTTTCTTTCCATTCCTTAGTAGGCAGTTACTCACAGAGTTGTTTGTCACCAGCTCACACAACTCTAGACATGAAGTAAACTACTATGTATAAAAAAAAATGTCGTCTATGTATGTACTCAAAAGAGAAATTGCTTTTTAAATGTATGTGACTAGTCTTAGTACACTTTCTTCACATTTTTAAAAATGCATGTTCTGGCTGGGTGTGGTGGTTCACGCCTGTTATCCCGGCACTTTGGGAGGCCAAGGCAGGTGGATTATGAGGTCAAGAGATCAATACCATCCTGGCCAACATGGTGAAACCCCATCTCTACTAAAAATACAAAAATTAGCTGGGCGTGGTGGCACGTGCCTGTAATCTCAGCTACTTGGGAGGGCTGAGGTAGAGAATCTCTTGAACCCAGGAGGCATAGGTTGCAGTGAGCCGAGATTGCGCCCCTGCACTCCAGCCTGGGTGACACAGAGAGACTCCATCTCAAAAAAAAAAAAAAAAAGAAAAAAAAGAAAAAAAAAAAAAGCATGTTCTCTGGACTTTTCGTTTCAGCAACTTCACTGGTCTCCATTGTATGAATGCTATTGTGCCCTTGCCCAGTTCCCAACTGAGGGACAATTATTACAGTCTCCCTTTTCTTCCTGCCTCACAGCAAGTTCTGTAATGAACACCCCAGCATGTTCTCCATATGAATGTGTGGTCATCTCTAGACCTGCAATTGTTGGATTGTTGGATAGTCTCATCTTTAATTTCATGGCTATTACTAAATTGTTTTCCAAAGTAGAGGTATGAATTTACATTCTCACCAGAATAATACAATTGCTGTTCCCACACGTTCTTATCTACATTTGGTACATCAAACTTGTTTTTTTCAATCAGATGACTATAAAATAATATCTTTTGGATTTGATTATAAGAGAGTTTGAACAATTTTTAAAATCTGTTTGTTGGCAGTATAGTTTTCAAGTTCTGTGGATGCCCACTGTATCCCTTGAAAGTATATTGGCTGATACAACATTGGCTAGTTTGTCTTTTCCTTGCCCCCATTTGTATGAGGTTAATAAAACATATATGTATTCTGTATAATATTCCTGTATTGGTCTTGCCTTGCAGATATCTTTCTCCAATCTGTGGCTCATCTTTTCTGGTCTTCACCACAGTTAATAAGCCATCTCCTGGGGCAAGTGTCTTTTTATGTATTTGGATTTCTCCTTTCAGTACTGATTTTCTCTTGGTTTCTCCTCGTGCACTAGAATCCTGTCTTTGTCAGAAGCTGCTAAGTGCCTGTCTTAGTCCATTCGTGTTGCCATAAAGTAATAACTGAGGTTGGGTAATTTATAAAGAAAAGAGGGTTATTTGGCTCACAGTTCTGCAGGCTGCACAAGAAGCATGGCGCCAGCATCTGCTTCCAGGGAGGGCTGCAGCCTGCTTCCACTCATGGCATGGGGTGAAGGGGAGCCAGCCTGTAGAGATCACTTGGTTAGAGGAAGCCAGACAGAGCATGGAGGTGCCAGGCTCTTTTTAATAACCAGCTGTTGTTGGTACTAATAGAGCAAGAACTCACTCACCCTCCCCTGTAATAATCTATTCATTGGGACTCACCCCATGATCCAAACGCCTGCCCTCCCCACCCCCTGCATTAGGTCCCACCTCCAACAGGGATTAAATTTCAACATGAGATTTGGAGGGGACAAATATTCAAACTATTGCAGTGCCTTTTAGTCCTTCTAGGGCCGGAGCTTTGGCATGGTTGACTAAATGAGAATGAAAGCCTGGTGATCTGGAACCTCGTTAAATTGGACCGAGTGTTGCATTCTCTGTGCTCATGTTTTGACTGAGATATTTCTCTGGTTCTAATCTGGTTTTCAAATTCTGACTTCTGTCTCGCTGCTCGCTGACCCTTAATTTTTCCAGAGCTTACCTTAGTAGCCAAAGAGTTTCAGAACTTCTCGAATTTGAACCTAATTTTAGGTCTTTGCACAACTCCAGGCAGGGCTGAACCGAGGAGGTGTCACTTACATACACAATGTGTGTTTGGTCAAAACAGATAATCTTTAAATGGCTAACAATATAATGCAAATTATTTCCCTTCATATGATAGAAAGCAAATAAAGTAATAAAGTTTAATTAAACACAGTCCTATAGTTAAATCTATAATAGCAATCTTTGCCTGAAGGCACATTCCAGCACCCAACCCACTTCTTTTTCTCCTGGTGATATTAAATGACTTTATTCTTGAAATAGACCAACTATCCCTGAAAGGATAATAAATTAAAAACAAATGATTCTTTGCTATTTTAATTATCCTGGAGCTTGTATTTGGAGCACTAAACCTTCACACATTCAGTCCTATCCACACTGAATTTTTGGTCAGAAATAATATGTTTAGATAATAGAATATTTTGTTAGAAAAAAAGCTAAAAAGACATTGAGTTTAGTGTTTTGATCAACTTATAATATCTAATATTCGAATGAAAGCTTGTTGCAGTTTTGCAAATTTTTATTAATTTTTTTGGATTAATTTTTTTATGGATTTTTATTAATGTCTATTTTACTGTCCAGTATTCCTGTCCAGTATTTTCAGCTCTTGCTCACATCAAGAGATGAAGAAGCCTGGGCATGGTGGCTCAGGCCTGTAATCCCAGCACTTTGGGAGGCTGAGGCAAGTGGATCACTTGAGGTCAGAAGTTCGAGACCAGCCTGGCCAACATGGTGAAACCCCGTCTCCACAAAAAATACAAAAAAATAAGCCAGGCATGGTGGTGGGCACCTGTAATCCCAGTTACTTGGGAGGCTGAGGCAGGAGAATTGCTTGAACCTGGGAGGCAGAGGTTGCAGTGAGCCAAGATCGTACCACTGCACTCCAGCCTGGGTGTCAGAGTGAGACTCCGTCTCAAAAAAAAAAAAAAAAAAAAAAAAGATGAAGAAAATGAAGAATTTGGATGTAGCATATCACTGTTTTGTCTAGTATTAGAAAACCTTACAAAAATTAACGAGTTGTGTAGTTTATTGATTTCTTTGAGATCCACAGCATAATTTTAATACGAGTGTTTGTTTTGATCTTTGAAATGAGGTAAGTTCTTCCATGTGTGTCCAGAATTTCCAAAAATACGGACATATTTACCTGTATCTGCCTTCAGCTGTGCCTCGTATCTGTTCACCATTTCTCATTTCTTTTAGGTAGTCTCTGCAAGTGGTAACCAAATGGCCTAATTAGAATGAACTTCTGCAAAGTCATCAACATTCAGGAAATGCTATAAATAGATTGATTTGATTGGTTAGCTGTTTAATTAAATAATGTAACTCTTCTCTTATTCATTCAGCAGGTATTCTTTGAACTATTGTTATTTGATACATGCAGGTCAACTGAAAAGAAAGACAATGGCTACACGGATTAGGTACGTGTGTATTTCCCATGATCCAAATTTGTTTAGTTACTGAGTTTGGATTGAGAGGGTTTAGATAGCCACAGATGCCTGTATTTGACTGTTTAATGATAGTAGATATGAGACATGCTTGCACAATCACAATTAGATACCAAATTGCTTTTAGCTGACCCAGTGTGCAATTACATATTCTAATTGTGTTGCAACAACCTTTGCTATTCTACATTAGTTTTTGTTAGAGTGAAGAAAAAAATTATAATTAATAAAGGTCAGATTTTCAGGTCATGCTTTTAGCTTGTTGGCTTGGATAGATTTACTTTTTCCACAGAAACACCAAGAAACCAGGCAAGAGATGTAGATTTGCAACAACACTGGGAATATAAATTGATTATCTTTCTAATCTCTTTAAAGAATCATGCCTCATTTAGACCCATTTACACCAAACAGAAATGACTGATAGTTGGCTGGCTTGTCTTAGACCAGAAAGACAGCAACACAAATAGCAAGGCAGGGAGTAAAGAGAGGCCTCTATCGACTCACTCTGTATGCCCCCCTTATTAGTCCATTCTCACATTGCTATAAAGAACTGCCTGAGACTGGGTAACTTATAAAGAAAAGAGGTTTAATTGGCTCATGGTTCCACAGGCTGTACAGGAAGCACAGCTTGGGAGGCCTCAGGAAACTTAAAATCATGGCTGAGGGTGAAGGGGAAGCAGATATGTCCTGCATGGCAGGAGCAGGAGGGAGAGGGGACAGGGACAAGGGGGAGGTACTACACTCTCTTGAGCAATCAGATCTCGTGAGAATTCAGTCACTATCACAAGAACAGGAAGAGGGAAACCACCCCCATGATCTAATCACCTACCACCAGGCCCCTCCTCCAACACTGGGGATTACAACTGGACATGAGATTTGGGCGGGAACACAAATCCAAATCGTATCACCCCCCCAATTAGAGACTTGGGATTTGAATCAACAAAAAATCCTGCAGTTCACTTTTTATGTGGATAGTACATTGGAGGCAGATAATTTTCCCACTTCTGCCTCCTTGTCAGTTCTTTATTCCTTTGAATCAGAATATAACAGCGTCCAGTAATGCAGCTAGCCCATGTGTGAAATGAAGCAAGAGTGGCATAGTACACTCTGAGCTGTTCAGTGAAAAACAGGCATGGACAGCCACAGGAAGGGTGGGGCTTCAGGCCACATTAAGGTATGTACTTTCATTTATTACTTATAGCTAAAAATCTACTTTAAGTGCTTTCAAATTACTTGAAAGAAATTTCCTTTTTACCATTCACTTAGGCAATAGAAGGAAGGAGAAAATCTTATCTCGTGGAACTATACTATATAAACACCTGAAAATGTCAAAGATTTGTTTAAAGGGTACAACTTACCCTTTAGCTGAAATAAAGTTGGGAGGACAGACTACTGCTTTCAATGACGGTGCACTAGGTAATTTAGAATCCCATCCCTCACCCTGCTGAGAAAAGTAGAAAAGCTAGGTGGGGAAAACCTCTTTGAAAGCACAGAATGCCTAAAAATATATTGAAAAATTACCTACCAAAATTTGAGACACAGAAGTTCAGAAAAGGGATCCCTGTTTCTATGGGGTTGTTTGCTGATTGCGGATTATAGAAATGTACAGATGGAAGGCTGGGTAGCATCTCCGACAAACTCCCAAGGCTGGGTGAGGGACTGAAATTGGAAGCCAGAGGTCATTAATATAATGATAGAGGATCCTGGTAAAACCTCCAGGCTTTTGAGTTGAGATGCTGAGAGCTGAAGCTTACAAATAAGAGTAACAGGGGTAACACAATCCACGCAATGACTGCATCCACACTTTACGTGACCCAGTGTCTGGTGAGGTCCTGTACCTCTAGGACCCCAGTCAGGAATCCTCTCTGGAGGAAAATAGCTCTAACCAGATATAGGACTGCATCAAACAGTATAGGTGACAAGACAGTGTACATTAGAACCCACTCAAATGATAAAGGAGCCATAAAACTTCAAGTTCTAATATAAACCAATACAGACTTCAATATAACTGTGATCATTGCAGTCAAAGATGTGAAATACAATACTGAGAGTCTCAGCAGAGAACTGTCAACTCTAAAAAGTACAATCAAGATCAGTTTTTAAGTCTGAAACATAAAATAACTGAAATTAAGAACTCAGTCTACAGTTTTAATAGCCATTTATTAATACACAGATAAGAATGGGACTATATTTGTGTATAAATATACATATATGTGTATGTGTATATTATATAATATATACACACTGTATATATATGTATGTATCTTTCTACATATAAATATAGAGAGGGAGAGATGGATGGAGAGAGAGACACAGAGAGAGAAGTACCAAAGACAGTAATTACATCTAGAATTTGTGAGAAAGTCCAAAAGGTATCCAAAAGAGGTGAAAGATAAAATTGGATGGTAGCAATATTTGAAGTTATTATGGCTGAAAATTGTATAAAACTGGAGAAAGTCAACCAATCATGGACTTAAAAAGGTCTACAGACAATAAATACAATAAATAATGATATAAATCACATGTAGGCACACGATAATAAAACCATAAAAACGAAGACAAAAATAAAATGTTAAACTCAAGAAAATATACATTTTCACTATAACAAGGTTTTAGACATACACCTGGCTTTTTTTTTTGGTAACACCTTTACTGAAATATGTTTATTTCAGTATTTACCTATTTAAAGTGTGTAATTTAATGATTTTTTAGTATATTTACACAGTTTTGCAACCATCAACACAACTTCTGAACATTTTATACCCCATATCCTTCAGCTGTCACCCCTAATCCTTCTGTCCCCAAGTCCTATGCAGCCACTCATCTACTTTCTGTCTATATCATTTCCTGTTTTGGAAATTTCATATAAGTGAAATTATATAATCTGTGGTGTTCTCCGACTGGCTTCTTTCACTTAGCAAAACGTTTTAAGTTTCATCTATATTGTATCAGAACTTCACTCCTTTGTATGGCTGAATAATATTCAATCTTGTTTATCCGTTCATCATTTGATGGGCATTTGGATTGTTTCTACATTTTGACTATTATGAATAATGCTGCTGTGAATATTTGTTTATAATTTTGGGGTGAACATATGTTTTCACGTATCTTGGGTAAATAATGAAGAAGTAAACTCACTGAGTCCATGGTAACTGTATGTTTAGCTTTTGGAGAAACTGCTCAAACGTTTTCCAAAGTTGTGGTTCAATTTTACATTGTCATCATCAGTGTATGAGGGTTCTGGCAACACTTACTGTTACCTATTTTTTTTTAATATAGTCATTCTAGTGGGTGTGAAATAAGTTGTGAAATGTCTCTTCTTAACATGATAAATGGAAGTCAGAAGTCAATGGAATAATATATTTAATAAAATAAAATAATGTCAATGTAGAATTCAATGTTTACTTCAACAATGTGCTTAAAAATTCATTTGAAAGAGAAAAAGATTTTTAAAATTGATAATCTGCACTAAGAGAAATATTAAGCATATTCTTTTCGGAGAAGGAAAATATTCCCAGATGAGAACTTAAATGTGCATGGGTGCTGGGTGCAGTGGCTCACTCCTGTAATCCCAGCACTTTGGGAGGCTGAGGTGAGCAGATGACCTGAGGTCAGGAGTTCGAGACCAGCCTGGCCAACATAGTGAAACCCCATCTCTACTAAAAATACAAAAATTAGCCAGATGTGGTGGTGCACACCTGTAGTCCCTGCTATTCCAGAGGCTGAGGCATGAGAATCACCCGAACCCAGGAGGCGGAGGTTGCAGGGAACCCAGATCACACCACTGCACTGCAGCCTGGGTGACAGAGTGAGACTCCACCTCAAACAAACAAAAAAGAAACAGGTGTGCATGGGTGGCTTTCTTTAAATGTCTTTGTCAAGGACATGCCCCTTTGTGTTCACATTCAGTTTGAATGTAGTGACATCTGGCACCTGTGATTCTCAAGTTCATCTCTGGTTGAATTTCAACAGCATAGAATGTGAAAAGAAGAGATCCTGAGGAATATCACCGTTAAGAGAGAAAAGGTGTCCAGAATGGCTACGAGAAAACTTAAGAGGACGTGACATTTTAGAAGCAGAGGAAAGAGAGCATTTCAGAAAAAAAGATAGATTACATGAATAAGTACAAAATATATATTTTTCGCTTTACATAAAGACACACTGAGTGACATTTTTGAAAACAATTTTAGATGAGTGAGGACTAAAGACAGATTGTGCGTGTGTGCGTATGTGTGTGCATGTTTGTGGTGTGTGCATGTGTGGTGTGTGTGTGCATGTGGTGCGTGTGTGTGGTGTGCATGTGTGCATGTGTGTGGTGTGCGTGTTTATGTGTGTGGTGTGTGCGTGTGTGGTGTGTGCATGTGTGTGGTGTGTGTGTAGATGTGTGTGTGCCTGTTTATGCATGTATGTGTGTGTGTGTGCGTTCATATTGGTGTGAATATTAGTGAGGCTGTTAAAGTGAAGATAGTGAGTAGCAGCATCTCCTGCATACACTGCCCTGGGAGGAAGCTTATATTCCTTCCCCCAGATTAATTTTTTTAAAAAAGAAGGAAGTGGAAAGAGAAAACCAATCAATGGCTTTGCACAATCTATATAAAGGAAACCCTGTGTAAATGTGCTAAGTATGAAAAAAAAATCTCATGTTTTAGAAGATACTGAGAATAGTAATAATATATGAGGTCACTTTTATAGGTAGGAAAAGAAGGTCTGTGGAAGAGTAACGAAATAATAAAAGAGAGAGAGAGGAAAGGCGGACACTGATGAGATGGAATGAAGGCATTGGACCTCAGGTCACCTGACAACGAACCCAAGGAAAACAGGCTGGGAACAAAAGAACCATTTTACAATCAACATCTCCTTGAATAATTTACTTAAACCATATAAATAATAGAAAAAAACTATTAAAAATGATTCTTGGTGGATTAGGAGGAAAGAAATGGGGCACTGCGTTGTAATTATATCTCTCTGCTCTTGCAACAGATGTTCAATAGGAAGCCCCAAATGCTTGTTGCTAGTTGTTATGCGTGCCTCAGAGCAGAACAGCTTGTCTGAGCTCTGGGCCCAGAATACTGCAATGTGAAAATAGGCCACAGGCATGAAATTCATTGTGATTATTGTGAACAGACACTGCTAACAGTACCCTGGGGCTTGTGGCTTAGGTAACTTTTCTATTTCCAGCGTAGGAATAAATTACTCTGTATGTCATTTTGCATAATCAAAATGCAATACCGTACGAATTGTCAATAGACATACAGCACAAAAGCGTTTTAGGATATATGAATATGTCAGGAGCATATGTTTTCCACGGATTCATGTGAAATTGCTAAGGTGAAGACGGCTAATGTTTATTAACTGGTTAGTTTTTGAAGTTTTAGAGGCAATATTGACGAGGATTCATGCAAACAAAATCAAAACCTGTTGTATACTACTATTCTGTGTTGATAACCTTCCTATTATGACATTTGTTTTAACTAAATAAAAGTACTATTTTATTTTATTTATTTATTTTTTTTGAGACGGAGTCTCGCTCTGTCGTCCAGCCTGGAGTGCAATGGCGCTATCTCGGCTCACTGCAAGCTCCGCCTCCCGGGTTCACGCCATTCTCCTGCCTCAGCCTCCCGAGTAGGTGGGACCACAGGCACCCGCCACCATACCGGGCTAATTTTTTTGTATTTTTAGTAGAGACGGGGTTTCACTGTGTTAGCCAGGATGGTCTCGATCTCCTGACCTCGTGATCCACCCGCCTCGAGCTTCCAAAGTGCTGGGATTGCGGCGTGAGGCACCGCGCGTGGCCCCAAAAGTACTATTTTAGAAAGGGAAAAAGATTGATTTGGAAAACAATGTAAGAGGAAGGTAAATTTTAAAATAATCATTCAAAGAGGAGCCCTTAATGGAAGACTATGAAAAAATTAGAATAGGGAAAATCAACAAAGTAAAAAGAATCCCTTTTGTATGTCTAAACACATCCCCAAAACATAATGTGTTTAAAACAAATATGTTCAGCGAGATCATAAATTAATAAACTATGGGAAAGATTGCTATACAACTATTATTATCAGCTTAATAAAGAACTAAATTTTGACCTGTTTAAAGGAATGTACTACCAATATGCTATTAAAATTTGTAAAAATGATCTCTTAAAGAGAATTTCTTTCATTGGATAAACTAAAAACTATAGTATAATTTTCATAGCCAGTGTTACACAGAAAGGATTTACTTCTCATACCACTTCACAGGAAAAAGTCCTAGCACTATTTGGCTTCAAAGGAATAGTCAGTATGTCTACTAGATACAGAAAAAAAGATAATTTCCATTGATTTATGAAATTACTCAGGAGATGAAACTTACTTTGTCAGCAAAACCTCGGCTTGCTATGATGATCACATTTGGAGAGTAATTTTTACCTTTGTTAAGCATACTATCATTAATTGTCTTATTTTATCATAAAATTCTATGATATTAAAATTCTCTATCACCAAACTGCTATGGTTTATCTGTTGCCTCCAAAACTCATCTGGAAATTTATTCCCCCACGTGGCAGAAGTGAAAGGTAGGGCGTTTGAAAGGTGATTGGGTCGTGAGGGCAGAGCCCTCAGAAGGGGATTAATCCATTCATGGATTTATGGGTTAATGGGTTAATGGATTAGTGGGTTGTCACAGGAGTGGGACTGGTGGCTTTATAAGAGGAAGAGAGTATACAGTGCGGTTTGTCACACTGCCACTAGATGGCAGTGATGATGAACATGGACCTCACATTTACACAAGCTCTACAACCACCTGAGCTTTTAGTTCTTTTTATTTACTATGATGCTGTTGTCACCATGGCACTGACATTAGAAATATATTTTCCTTTCAGTAAGTTAGTAGCTTTACTGAGCCCTTATTATGTACTAGACAATGAGATATGCCAGAATCACCATTTTATAGATGAGAAAATGGAAATCCAGGAAAATAAACTGAAAAGTCAAAAGTCAATAAGGCAAAAAATGAATTTAAGTTCAAAACAAAGTCTGCTTGATTCTAAACCAACTCCCTTATCTACTGAATACTTGAAATAGGATAGTGTCTGATACCTCTTAGAATTGTCACAAAGCCTTGGAACTACAGAGAAAAAATGAAAATAGTTTTTTGAATGAATTGTAATTCTATTGCTTGACTTTCTTTGGAACCAAAAACCAATATCTTTTATAGTTCTCTAGATTTTTTTAATCTTTGGGACTTACTTTTAGGGCTTGGTGAGTATATCTTTTGTAATGATTAATAGAGCCATATAAAATTCGTTAATAGACTCAAATACTTACAAGCGTAAACATTACAAATTAGCATATGAGGGGTTATACATTTTTAAGTAAAATTTTTAATGGGTATAATAAGATACCCAAAATGATCACAGGATTTATCTTCTAATATTTTAATACAAAATTTTTAATTTCTTAAAATGAGAATTATAAAAGCAAGATACAGAATCTAATTTCCTTTGGGATTAAATCTTGCAAAATAATCTAATTTTGCTTTAGGCCTCAATTATCCATTGATTAGATTTTCCCATGCTATTATTTTCCTATTGGTATTCAATTTATTAATAAAAATTGGATTGTTCTTAAATATAAAATGAACCTTGATGAGATTATATATTTATATAATGAAATAATAAAGGCACCATAAATGTGATTAATGCAATAAAATGTATTCTTTAGAGGTGTGTCCAGTGGCAACATATGCTCTTTCAGAGGCGTATCTGTTGTTTATTATATATTACCCTTTCAGATAACCTTCATGAATTATTAAATCTTTTTTTCAAATTTGTAAATTAATGCTGCAGTTCACCTAAGTCACTAAGACCGCATTTCCCAAATGCAGAAAGATAGAGGAAAAGAGAGGGTATCTTGGAAGTTTATGTTTTCATTTAATAATTTATTATAAACATAAGTCCTTCTCATTACATAGTTTTAACACATTATTTTCAATGGATTATTTAATTTTAATATCAAAATTTATAAACAAATATCAAAAAATGTTAAACACAAGTTCTGTTTGGACATGAAGTTGTCCTTCCCCACTGTATTATAAACAACGGGAATCATCCTTACTGGCTGGATAGAAATGTAACTCTTTATATGTCTCTCCAGGATATATGCTGTTTCAGGAACCATACCAATACACATACCCTAAATAGTGTATAAAAGCACTTGTCACTCTAATAGCTTAATTTTGCCCATTATCTAAATACATATGGACTGTACTTGTGTACACCTACATCTCGCCAATTTGGGAAAAAAAACTCACCAGCTACAATGAAATAACAGAGACCAGATTTCAACTTCTACCTTGAACAAGTGGAAAACTGGGCAAAATGCATAAAACAGTAGATTTCAGATGTTGGCCAACATTGCTAAGAGATGGCAAATAAACGCGGCAAGGCTTAGAAGTGCCGTGTGCTTCCTGGAGAGTTTCTGGTCTGCAGCACAGGAGGGATCCAAAGAGAGCCCAGTGAGCTCACTGACTTGGGGAAACTGAGTTCAGAACAAGGGGAGCCACAGTGGCCAGAATTTGCAGGACAAAATGCTGGAAAGGGAAAGAGGTCTGGAGATTTGTAGAGGGATCTCCTCTGGTCTTTGGTTTAGCACTGAATGAGCATGGGTGGGTGGAAACTACTGAGAGTCTGGAAAGAGCCATCAGAAAGGAGCAGCCAAACAATCCCCACAGCTCACACTGTGTGTGATAAGTGTGTGCAATTACACCATGTGTGTTATACAGTGTGTGCAATTGTGATACAGTGTGTGTGCAATCACACTGTGTGATACAGTGTGTGCAGTTACAGTGTGTGTGATACAGGGTGTAATTACACTGTGTGATATGGTGTGTGTGCAATTAGAGTGTGTGATACAGTGTGTAATCACACCGTGTGTGATGCAGCGTGTGCAATTACACAGTGTGATATGGCATGTGCAATTATACTGTGTGATTTTGTGTAATCACAGTTTGTAATGGAGTGTGTACAATTACACCGTGTGTGTGATACTGTGTGCAATTCACAGTGTGTGGAATTACACAGTGTGTGATACAATGTGTGTAATTATACTGTGTGTAATAGTGTAACAGTCAGAGTTTAAGGTTATCTCTCTTGTTCCCTGAACATTGCTGTTATCCTGTTCTTTTTTCAAGGTGCCTAGATTTCATATTGCTCAAACACATGTGCTCTACAAACAATTTGTGCAGTTGACGCAACCATCACAGGGTCTTGTTTCGACAGACATCCTCCTCAGCTTACAAAGATGACAGGATTAAGAGATTAAAGTAAAGACAGGCATAGGAAATCACAAAGGTATTGACTGGGGAAGTGATGAGTGTCCATGAAATCCTCACAATTTATGTTCAGAGATTGCAGTAAAGACAGGCATAAGAAATTATAAAAGTATTAATTTGGGGAACTAATATATGTCCATGAAATCCTCACAATTTATGTTCCTCTGCCATGGCTTCAGCTGGTCCCTCCATTCGGGGTCCCTGACTTCCCGCAACAACCAACCTAACATCAGACCTAGAGGAACTAGAAAAACAAGAGATAAACCAACCCCACAACCAGTAGAAGAAAGGAAATAACCAAAATAACAGCTGAACTGAATGTAATTGAAATGCTAAAAACAATACAAAAGATCAACAAAATCAAAAGTTTGTTTTTTTGAAAGAATAAATAAGATTGATAAACCATTAGCTAGACTACTAAAGAAAAAAGAGTGAAGGCCCAAATAAACAAATAAGAAGTGACAAAAGGGACATTACCACTGGCCCGACAAAAATACAAAAAATCCTTAGAGACTATTATGAACACTTCTATGCAGAGAAGCTAGAAAACCTGGAATAAATTGATAAATTCCTGGAATCACGACATTCTCCAAAATTGAATCAGGAAGAGATTAAATCCTTAACAGACCAATAATCAGTTCTAAAATTGAATCAGAACAAACAAACAAAAAACCCTATCACTCAGAAAAAAAACCTTGAGTCAAATGTATTCACAGGTGAATTCTACCAGACTTATAAAGAGCTGGTACCAATGCTACTGAATCTATTCAAAAACACAGAGGAGGAAGGACTCCTCCCTAATGCATTCTATGAGGCCAGCATCCCAAAACCTGGCAGAGACACAACAAAAAAAGAAAACTACAGACCAATATCCCTGATCAACATAGATGCAAAAATCCTCAACGAAAAACTAGCAACCTGGATCCAGCAGCTCATCAAAAAGCCAACCCACCATGATCAAGTAGGCTTTATTCCTGGGATGCAAAGTTGGTTCCACATATGCAAATCAACAAATGTTATTAATCACATAAACAGAACAAAACACAAAAATCACGTGGTCTTCTCAATAGATGCAGAAAAGACTTTTGATAAAATTCAACATCACTTCATGTTAAAAACCTCAACAAACTAGGCGTTGAAAAAACATACCTCAAAATAGTAACAGCCATCTCTGACAAACCCACAGCCAACATAATACTGAATGGGCAAAAGCTAGAAGCATTCTCCTTAAGAACTGGAACAAGACAAGAGGACCACTCTCACCATTCCTATTCATCATAGAAATGGAGGCACCAGACAGAGCAATCAAGAAAGAGAAAAAATGAAAGGCACACAAATAGGAAGAGAGGAAGTCAAACTACCTCTTTTCGCAGACAATATGATTTTATACCTAGAAAACCTCATAGTCTCTGCCCAAAAGCTCCCAGATCTTATACATAACTTCAGCAAAGTTTCAGTATTCAAAATCAATGTACGGAAATCAGTAGCATTTATATACAACAATGTCCAACTTGAGAACCAAATCAACAGCACAATCCCATTCACAATAGGCACAATAGCATCAAAATATCTAGGAATACAGCTAATCAGGGAGGTGAAAGATCTGTACAACGAGAATTACAAAACACTGCTGAAAGCAATCAGAAATGACACAAACAAATGGAAAAACATTCTATGTTTGTGGATAGGAAGAATTAATGTTCTGAAAATTTCTATATCGCACAAAGCAGTTTACAGATTCAATGTTACTACTATCAAATTACCAATGACATTTTTTACAGAATTAGAAAAAAGGTATTTTAAAATTTATATGGAACCAAAAAGGACCCTGAATAGCCAAAGCAGTCCTAAGCAAAAAGAACAAAGCCAGAGACATCACACTACCAAAATTTAAACTATACTACAAGTCTACAGTAATCCAAACAGCATGGTACTGGCACAAAAACTGACACATAGACCAATGGAACATGCTAAAGAACACTTATAACCATCTGATTATCAACAAAGTTGATAAAAAGAAGCAATGGGGAAAGGACTTCCTCTTCAATAAATGGTGTTGGGATAACTGGCTAACCATACGCAGAAGATTAAAACTGGACCCTGTCATTTCACCAGATGCAAAAAATCAATTTAAGATGGATTAAAGACTTAAATATAAAACCTAAAACTATAAAAACCCTAGAAGAAAGCCTAGGAAATACCAATACCTGGCAATAATTTCATGATTGATATGGTTTAGCTCTGTGTCCCCACCCAAATCTCATGTTGAATTGTAATCCTCAGTGTTGGGGGAGGGGCCTAGTGAGAGGTGATTGGATCTTGGGGGCAGATTTCCCCCTTGCTATTCTTGTGATAATGAGCAAGTTCTCATGAGATATGGCTGTTTAAAAGTGTGTAGCACCTCCTCCTTTTCTGTCTCTCCTGCCCCCATGTGAAAATGTGCTTGCTTCCCCTTTGCTTCTGCCATGATTGTAAGTTTCCTGATGCCTCCCCAGCCATGCTTCCTGTAGAGCCTTTGGAACCGTGAGCCAATTAATCTCTTTTCTTTATAAATTACCCAGTCTCAGGTAGTTCTTTATCGCAATATGAAAATGGACTAATACAATGATGAAGACACCAGAAGCAATTATGACAAAACCAAAAATTGACAAATGGGACTTAATTAAATGAACAAGCTTTTTCACAGCAAAAGAAACTATCAACAGAGCAAACGACAACCTACAGAATGGGAATAGATACAAAATAGGCATCCAATGAAGGCCTAGTATCCAGAATCTAGAAGGAACTTAAACAAAGTAGCAAACAAAAACCAACCACTTTAAAAAATAGGCAAAGGACATGAACAGACACTTCTCAAAAGAAGACATGCACACAGCCAACAAGCATGTGAAGAAATGCTCAACATTATTAATCAGTAAAGCAATAAAAATCAAAACCACAATAAGATACCATCTCACACCTGTCAGAATGGCTATTATTAAAAAGCCAAAAAACAACAGACGTTGGTGAGGTTACAGAGAAAAGGGAATGCTTATATACCACGGGTGAGTATGTAAATTAGTTCAACCACTGTGGAAAACAGCATGGAGATTCCTAAAAGAATTTAAGACAAACTGTCATTCAACCCAGAAATACCATTACTCGGTATATGCCCAAAGGAATATAAATTGTTCTACCATAAAGACACATGCACATGTATGTTCACTGCAGCACTATTCACAATAGCAAACATATGGAATTAACCTAAATGCCCATCAATGGTGGACTGGAAAAAATGTGGTACATATTCACCATAGAATATTTCACAGCTATAAAAAAGAAAGAGATCATGTCCTTTGCAGCAACATGGATGGAGCTAATTAAGTGAATCAATGCAGGAACAGAGAACAAATGCCACATGTTATCACTTACAAGTGGGAGCTAAATGTTGAGTACACTTGGGCACGAAGAAGGGAACAATGGACACTGGGGCTTACTTGAGGGTAGAGAGTGGGGGGAGAATGAGGATCAAAAAACTACCTACCAAGTACTATGCTTATTACCTGGGTGATGAAATAATCTGTATACCAATACACAATTTACCTGTGTAACAAGCCTGCACATGTACCCCCTGAATATAAAATAAAAGTTGGAAAAAAATGGCCAAAATCTGGAATACTGATGACATCAAATCCTGTTGAGGATATGGAACAAAAGGAATTCTTGTTCAGGCTGGTGGGAATGAAAAATGGTACAGCCACTTTGGAAGATGTTCTGGCAGTTCTTACAAAGCTACACATAGTCTCATAATCCAGCAGTCACACTCCTAGGCGTTTACTCAACTGATCTGAAAACTATGTCCACACTAAAACTTACATGAGAATGTTTACAGAGGCTTTATTAATAATCATCAAATATGGAAGTAACCAAGATGTCCTTCTATTGGTGAATGGAAAAACAAACTGGTATATAAATACAATGGAATATTATTCAGTGATAAAAAGAAATGAACTATTGAGACATGAAAAAAAAGATAGAGACACCTTACATGTAAATTGGTAAGTAAGAGAAGACAGTCTGAAAAATTAAAATTCAGGCAATTCAGGCAAGAGTCCTGAAAGGAAGATGCTTGGAAAATCAGGACCAGGGGCCTTTGTGGAAAAGACATGCAGTTAGAGCTATGGGAGTAGGTAGAAAGCATGGCAATCATTGTATTTGACATGGATGTGCACAACAAATTCCATATTTCAGGGCAGACATGGAAGAACCAGTAGGACAGAACTTGTCTAGAGTTGTCAGCTAGTCTCTGTGCTCACTTGCCCCAGGGCTTATGCAATGGGCTCACAGACAGAGTGGCCAAATTGCAGAGATGGAAGTTTTGGGCTAACAGCATGGGCTTTCTGTCATCTAGGCTGACCTAGCTACTACTGCTGCCAAAGTTCTGATGTGTCAGAGATAGGGACCCAAACTGAGTCCCCAATAAAGTATTGTGACTTAAAGAAATGAACCTGCCATTTCATGGCAATTTTACTTGAATGGATTCGACCCCGGGAAGACAGGCGATTCATGCTTATCGGACATAATATATTCTGAATACAGGTTTACCTTTCCTTTCCATCCCAAATGCCTTTGCCAGTACCATTACTCAGTGGTTCAGAGAGAGTCTGATTTACAGACATGAACTCCTTCATAACGCTGTTTGGGACCAAAGAATTCACTTGCTGAATAGGATATGTGACACTGAGCATATAGCTTTGGATCCCTTGGTACTACCACAGATCACACCATCCAGAAGCTTCCAGTCTGGCAGGGCATGGAAATAGATGCTTCAAGATACAACTAAGGTGATGTCTTGGAGAAGAGCCTCTGTAGGCTTGAGATGTTATCCTTCGAGTGTGATATGTAACTTAGTGTGATATGTATCCTTCAAGTGTGATATGTAACAGACAGTATAACTTATATAATACAGTCTGTGTCTTCAGGAGGTAGAATACGTGGGTCCAAAATTCAAGGAATGGAAGTAGGAATGACTCTGTGAACTCATCACTCTCATTGATCCATTTGGGGCTGTTTGTGTTTTGTATCATTTCAACTCTCTGTTGTCAAGAGGTCCTCATTCTCAGAAGGATAATTCCACCAGGAAACCCAGGCAGGCTTAAGTTAAACTTAAAACTATCTGCCACCAGTTCATACTGGCCTCCTCATAATATCGTACAAACAGGTAAAGAATTGAATCACTGTCACACAGGGGTAATTGACCTTTGTCGTCATGATGAGATAGGGTCAAAGCCACTTAAAATCAGTAAAGAGGAATCACTCCTACCTAGAGTAGATCATCAGGTGATCCATTGGGATGTCTCTTGGTGTTGTCATGTTCAGTTTTAACTGGGAATGGGTAATTACCATCTAACAAGAGCATTAACATGGGCTCAGATCCTTTCTGGATGAAAGTCAGTCAACCACCACACAAGACATCTGGGCCAGAAGAAATGCTAGATGAGAGTATTGGGTATGGGTGGTAGAGGAGAGATAAAACAAGTATTGATAATTATGACCTTGGAAATAACTTCAATCATGGGTTATAGGTTGTTCCATTAACTATCATCTTATAGAAGTTTTTAACCTAGAAATTATTAACCATTATAATTTTGAAGAAACTGTGACATGATGGCATAAACTTAACGTCAGCAATAACTGGGACTGAGCAGTGAAAGGGATGGATGTTGTTAGACACTGTCAGTATCTGTGGGTGGATCCCATGTGTCTCTCCTATGGATTCTGTGTTCCTAATCTCCAGTTTCTTTGTGTTTGACTCCTGCCAGTCCCCACTTGCAAACTTTTTTTTTTTTTTTGACAGAGTCTCCCACTGTTGCCCAGACTGGAGTGCGGTGGCACGATTTCAGCTCACTGTAAGCTCCGCCTCCCGGGTTCATGCCATTCTCCTGCCTCAGCCTCCTGAGTAGCTGGGACTACAGACGTCCGCCACCACGGCCGGCTAATTTTCTTTTTGCATTTTTAGTAGAGACGGGGTTTCACCGTGTTAACCAGGATGGTCTCGATCTCCTGACCTCATGATCCGCCTGCCTCAGCCTCCCAAAGTGCTGGGATTACAGGCATGAGCCACCGCGCCCCACCCCAAACTTGCAAAGTTATTTAAAGGGCTACCCACTTGCAAACTTCTTTAAAGGGCTACTTTTAGGTTATTGGAGCTGCTTCCTCTGTTGCACCAAGAGTCACAAGTGTCTGGCAGTTCTATTTCCCTCCAGGTAGCCCACTTCCAATGACTGACTGCTGAAAGAGGATGAAAGCCCAGCTTCTTTGCCTCCACAAGCAACAAACTCCACAGTGAAATGTATGTTCTGAGGCTTCTCGTGGGATCAGGCTGAGCCCTGAACTTTACCTTGTTTGGCTTATTTCCCCTCCTTTTCCTGCTTCTTCTACTTCTTACTACTAGGTGTAACTTGTTAATAAATTACTTGCATAGACATTCGTATTTTAGAATATGCTTCTGAGAAGTCTGAACTAAGACTGTAAAAATTTTTTGATAACACATGTTGGTAATGTAGAATATCTATTTAGAAGAAAATAAAATTATATCCTCATTTTTCACCATACAGAAATATTTCAAAGAGATTAAAGAACTGAGTACCATATTTTAAAAACAAAATATAAGTAAATAATTTCATATAATCTTAGGCTAGTAGTCTTTTCTAGGCATCAAATCAATGCCCAAGAGAAAAATTAGGAAATAGAATCACAAACTAATATAAAGTTTTCTAACAAGCAAAAGATGCTTTATGTTAAAAAAGATGAAAGACAGATTGAAAAAATATATGCAAGACTGCCAAGACCAGCTCGGTCAGGGAGACCATAACCCAGTGGCATTAGAGGAATTGAAGACACACACACACAGAAATACAGAGGTGTGAAGTGGGAAATGAGGGGTCTCACAGCCTTCAGAGCTGAGAGCCCCGAACAGAGATTTACCCACGTATTTATTAATAGCAAGCCAGTCATTAGCATTGCTTCTATAGATATTAGATTAACTAAAAGTATCCCTTATGGGAAACAAAGGGATGGGCCGAAATAAAGGAATAGGTTGGGCTAGTTATCTACAGCAGGAGCATGTCCTTAAGGCACAGATCACTCATGCTATTGTTTGTGGTTTAAGAACGCCTTTAAGTGGTTTTCTGCCCTGGGTGGGCCGGTGTTCCTTGCCTTCATTCCTGTAAACCCACAAACTTCCAGCGTGGGCGTTATAGCCATCATGAACATGTCACCGTGCTGCAGAGATTTTGTTTATGGCCAGTTTTGTGGCCAGTTTATGGCCACATTTGGGGAGGCCTGTTCCCAACATGTCTCCCTTATTTGATTTGCAAAGTGATAAAAGCAAAGGCAGCTTTGTCACGGTGAGCTACTTCTCACGGGAGTCAGGATCCGCATCTGCAGACTATACAAAGACAAACAACACAGATTAAAAGCACAATCATCATAGAAATCACAGAGCTTCCAAGTGTTTTTATCCATTTTAATGGGTTACTAGCTACCAATCTGTCTGCAGCTCCTTCAAGCACTCCAGTTCCTGGCATTAAGGTCAGGTGTGCCTGGGATGCTTTAAATATTTGTTCTTTTAATTTTGCAATATCCAAAAACAAGTTTGTAAAGTGTCCTTCTAGATGCTTTTTTATTCTTTCCCAAATTTTGGTTTTATTAAGAGCTATTAATAGTTTCCACAAATCCTTATGTTTAGCTCCTACAACGGGCCATTATCATTTGAGGTTGAGGTGTCACTATACCGCCATGGTTCCAGATAATAGGAACTTTTGCCATACTTCTTATCATTTCTACCATCTGACGGTTTTGTTCAGATCAGCTGAACATAGTGTGGCCATGGCACACAGACTGAGAGGTGCAATTTAAGCTAAACATCCCCTCAGGGGACCAATCAATAATGTTTCCATAGGAATCATTGCGCAGTCCCTCTGCCTGTTCTGCAATGCAATCTTCCCAAACAAGTACGTTCATTATTTCTGGCCAGGTTCTATTTTGTTTACAAATAGGTTTTTGAGGGCGGTAAGCCTCAATTATGGGAGCAGATTTGTTACGGTAAATACTGAGATTAGAAAGCATGTGTAACTGTGTCATAGAGTGATTACATCCAGGCATTATTGCCAGCCAAGATTGATAAATATGCCCAATAAATATAATTGTTCTCTGTGTCAGCCCTTGTTGAAGGAATACTCATGGCAATGGTGATCACCACTATCATAGCTACCATTAAATTACTCACTGTGACTGGTTGTTCCGGTTTCCTCAGGTTTCCTTCCACCATCTGTAACAGCTTCTTGATCTGTCCCCAGATGGGTGGCTGTATTTGACAGGTGTTGCTCATGACATTTGGGGTCCTTCTCAGCATCAGCCACGACATGGCTGCAACTGGTGGGTCCTCGGGATCCTCCCGGAATCTCTTCCTTGGCATCTGGCTCATGATAAGGTTTCAGGTGTCTTGATGGTATCCAAATTGGCTGTTGATTTTGGCCTGGAGGAATACAAGCATAACCTATATCCCAAGTTATTATTTTACCTATTTCCCAACTTTTTGTTATCGGATCTCTCCACCAAACCAGTTGTTCTGCTTCTGTCTTTGCAGCTGTTTTCTGTAGATGCTGTTCAGCTGCTGATAACATCTGGCCTTTGGGCAGGCTCAAGAAATTTAAAGTTAATAATGCCAGATTCAATTATGTATGGGCTGTCCTATAATCCTTATTTCTCCCCCTTTTTTGTTTTTGCCATCAGTTGTTTATCTGTATGAAATAGTAACTGAGCATTTTCAATTAACTGTGTGGAATGGACCACGTATAAAGAATCAGAAATCACATTAATAGGCATATCAAAAGCAGTCAATACCTCAATTACAGCTACAATCTCTGCTTTTTGAGCTAAAGTGTAGGGTGTCTGGAAAACTTTACTTTTTTTTTACCAGAATAAAAAGCTTTACCGTTACTAGACCCATCTGTGAAACAATGAAAATGCTTAGCAGGCTGCAGCTTGTTTACTGCAGGAATTGTAAATGCAAACTGTTCATAGGCTTGCTCAGCTAAGGGGATAATAAAGAAACAGTCTTTTAAATCTATGACTATTAAAGGCCAATTTTTTGGAATTATAGCAGAAGAAGGCAATCCTGGCTGTAATGCTCCCATAGGTTGTATAACTGAATTGATGGCTCTTAAGTCAGTTAACATTCTCCATTTACCTGATTTTTTCTTAATTACAAAAACTGGAGAATTCCAAGGGGAAAATGTTGGAGCTATGTGCCCATTTTCTAATTGTTCAGTAACTAATTCCTCTAAAGCCTCTAGTTTCTCTTTACTTAGTGGCCACTGTTCTATCCAAATTGGCTTATCTGTTAACCATTTTAAAGGTATAGGTTCTGGAGGCTTAACAATGGCCACCATCAAAAATGATATCCTAATCTTTGGTGGAAACTTTGTCTTTCCGCTTGAAGTGGTTCTTTCAAACCTTGCAAATTTTTTCCTAGTCCCATACTAGGGACATAACCCCATTTCATGCATCATCTGTTGATTCTGAGGGCTATGTAATTGTTCTGGAATTAGAACTTGTGCTCCCCATTGTTGTAATAAATCTCTCCCCCATAAATTTATAGATACAGAAGTTATAATTGGTTGAATAGTCCCAGGTTGTCCATCGGGCCCTTCACAATGCAAAATATAACTGCTTTGATATACTTCAGGGGCTTTACCAACTCCAACTATGTTAAATTGAGTGGGTTGAATTGGCCACGCGGACGGCCAGTGCTGTAGAGAAATGATTGAAATGTCCGCTCCGGTATCTACCAAACCTTTAAATTTCTTTCCCTGAATAGTTGTTTCACAGGTAGGATGTTTATCAGTAACTCGATTTACCCAATAAGCTGCTTTGTCTTGTTTATTTGTGCTTCCAAATCCTCCTGTTCATTTAATTTCACTTTTCCCTGTTTCCATATATGGCACAATCAGGAGCTGTGCTATACACTCTCCTGGCTCTGCTTTCCAGGGAACAGAAGTAGATATAATAATTTGAATTTCCCCGTTGTAATCTGAATCAATGACTCCTGTATGTATTTTTACCCCTTTTAAACTTAAGCTAGACCTTCCTAAAAGTAATCCTATCATCCCCGCTGGCAAGGGTCCACAGATTCCTCTTGGGACCTTTTGAGGGCGTTCCCCAGGCAGAAGGCTCACAGCTTTTGTGCAGTATAAATCTACTGCAGCACTACCAGCTGTGGCGGGGGACAGACATTGTACAGGGGTGAGGGAATGGCCAAAGCCGTAAATCCCTCGGTTTGGAATGGGGCCCAGGATGGGCCCCTCGTGGCATTTCCTGAAATCAGGTTCCCATCTTTATCAAACTTAGAGTGACACTGATTACCCCAATGTTTTCCTTTTTTACATTTTGGACATATTTCAGGCTCAGTAGTTTTCTTTTTTCCCCTATCTGGCGGCCTGACTTGCTAATATTTTCTACATTCTTTTTTTGTATGACCATGCTTCCTACAGTTAAAACAAGCTCCAGGAAATGGAGTATTTCCTTTATCCACTCTCAGTCCTGCCATTGCCTGTGCTAGCAGAGTAGCCTTATGCAGATTACCTCCAATACCATCACAGGCCTTGATATAATCAACTAAATGTGCTTTCCCAAATTTAAAAGGAAAAGGCTCAAATGTAGCTATAATATTTCCCTGTTGATCTGGCAGGTGTGTTCTAACAGGGAACTGGCAAGCCTCTATATCACCCTCTTGTCTAGCTTGCTGAATTCCTGCCTGAATAGAACTGAGAGCGGTCACTCAAGGTGCTGCTCGAACAGTCACTGGGGCAACTACTTTTAGCCCAATGTCCTCTGGAAAAGAGAGATCTGCAGGGTCAGGACACTCTTTTTCTTCAAAATAACAATGAGGGGGTGCAGAAAGGTAGGGATGAAACTCTCCCTCCTTTGCCACTTTAGCTTTAGCTGGCAAATAAACATGCTCTGTAACCTCTTCTGTTACTTCGTTATACTCTCCTTCCTCCTCATCATCAGTGTGAAAATACTCTCCTTCCTCCTGATCATCAGTTCACATCATCAGTGTGAACGAACCACAGCCCACACTTGTCCCATTGTTATAGCAGACAATTGCCTAACACTTTTCTTTATTCAGGTCTCTCCAGAGGGTAGTCCATATATATTTGTAAACAAATTTTGTCAGGTGTCTTGTCATGGCTGAAATCTTTCTTTTCTTTCTCTACTGCAGCCCCAATAGGCTTGGTGCTTGTCTATTAGATCACACCACGTCAATGCTTCCCGTGGTGATTCTTGAAGGCCATTGCTATCATAGTCACTGCCAGCTAGGACCGCTGCTGTTTCTGATTCCAAGGTTTTATCATCCTCCATTCATGCAGCACTTTCTTGAAACCAAATGTGTGTTATTTATTTCTCCTAAAGTCCATCTCTTTACATTTGATTCATTTTTCTAATTTATAAAAACTTCCATCATCCAGGCACTCATGATATTTTCAGCTGCAGCATCTGCATAAAACATATAAAGTATCTGCTATATGTTCACTCACATCATTGGCTAACATGTTGCATGGTTTCCCCTCTGGTTTTCTGTGTTTTATACCTTCCCAGGCAGGTTAAGACCCATTGTATGTTCATGTTATAATTCCAATACAGGCTTAACACTTTCTAACCAAATCATAACTCTTCTAGAATGAAGAGTGTGTGGGAGTGATAGATAGATAGACAGGTGCAGATAGATAGGTTGGTATCCTTGACACAAATTGAAAATGCTCAATAAATATTGGCTAAATGAATGGAAGAGCTGGCTGGTTGGACAAGATGACCTTGGATCATGTAGGAAATGGTCAAACCGAACAACTGTAATGTGATGTTTTTTCCAGTTAGGATCACCATTAGCTACAAAATGCTCCAATTAATTAGTAAATGCAAATTTAAAATTTAGACGCAAAAAAAGAGATGCTACCATTTAAACATATTTGTTTTTTGCTATGGTTTATTTGTACCTTTCCTTTAAGTAATAATTCTACCTTAGAATATATCAAATATAATAATTCCTTATTATGAATAATTTTGAGGGTTGCAATTAAGAAGAAATGGATAAATGTTACAGAACAGGCAGAAAAAATTATTCTACAGAAAGCTATAAAAAGAATTCAGAAGCTGGGGATATATTTTATGGACTGATATAGTTTGAGTATGTCTCCTTCAAATCGCATGTTGAAATGGTGGGAGAAACACTTCCTACCAGGCCCCAATGTTATAGAGATGGGGTCTGGTAGGAGGTGTTGAGATCATGGGGGTGTACTCCTCATGAATGGTTTAGTGCCATCCCCTTGGTGATGAGTGAGTTCATGCAAGATCTGGTTATTTAAAAGTGTGTGGGCCGGGCGCATTGGCTCACGCCTGTAATCCCAGCACTTTGGGAGGCTGAGGTGGGAGGATCACAAAGTCAGGAGTTCAAGACCAGTCTGACCAATATGGTGAAACCCCGTCTCTACTAAAAATACAAAAAATTAGCTGGGCGTGGTGGCGCACACCTGTAGTCCAAGCTACAGGGGAGGCTGAGGCAGGAGAATCACTTGAACCCAGGAGGTGGAGGTTGCAGTGAGCCAAGATCAAGTCACTGCACTCCAGCCTGGGCAACAGAGCAAGACTTCATCTCAAAAAAAAAAAAAAAAAAAAGTGTGTGCACCTCCCATCCCCTTTATTGCTTCAGCTGTTGCCATGTGATGTGTAAGCTCAGCCTTCGGCCATGAGTCGAAGCTCCCTGAGACCTCTTCAGAAGCCTAGTAGATGCTGGCGCCAGGCTTCCTACACAGCCTGCAGAGCCATGAGTCAATTAAAACTCTTTTCTTTATGAATTACCCAGCCTCAGATATTTCCTTATAGCAACATTAGAACAGACTGACCCAAGGACAGTATAGGAGTTTTTCTGAAGAAAGAAATGAAACAACATATAACCAGTTGATGATAAATGTCTTTCTGTGGAGAAGAAATGTTTCTAGAGGTTTACATTTTTATGTTTTAATTTTCACTCCACTGCCCTCTCCTGTGAAAGACCCAACCTCTCTAGATTCAAGTTATCTGATATATAAAATAATTTTCCAAGCTGACTTACTGAATATCTTAGAAATTTGAGAGCTCTAAAATCTACCAAAATACATTTAACTACTACTTACTCTATTTTTTAAAAAAGCCTTTGTCTTCACTCGAAGAATTTTGCTGCTAATTTCTCAAAATGTAGTATTATTAGTTTTCAGCCAAAGTTTTGTTATTTATTGGAAAAAAGTACAAAGTTGCAGCTGTAAAGGATGAATAGGTCTAGGAATGTAATGTATAACATGAGGGTTATCATTAATAATATTGTATTGTATACTGGAAATTTGCTAAGACAGTAGATTTTGGGTACTTTTACGACACACACAAAAAGGTAAGTATTGGGGAGGATAGATATGTTAATTTGCTTGACATTTCACTATGTATATGTATATCAAAACATCATGTTGTGCACTTTAAATATATACAATAAAAATATTTTGGAAGATAGTGAACAGTGTAAAAAGAGTTTAAATTCATTTTCAAGGACATTTTATAGTTAAAGCTGGGAGTCAATGAAGGATTTCTCATATTTATAATCAGATACATGTAACACAGTTTCTTTTTCTACCATTTCTACCAAAATCACATAATGATGTTTTTCTCTTTATTGCTCTTACTTGGTTGTTTATACCATGCTGTGACTTTACCCCTGATTTTATGCTTCAGGAAGTGCTAAGAGTCAAATGAAACTTATATTCATTGGTAGCTAAAGCGCCCATTTTATAATGTGTTGAGCAAGCCTTCTGAGCACAGGATTTGTAACAGAAGGGAGTACAAAAACGTGAGACCAAGTGACTTGTTTGTGCCTAAGAGAAATAAATATGAAATATAGAGGCCATGATGATTACATTGCACAAACCAACCTTTCTTCAATGTGAGGGTTTCTCTGGAACATTGTAATGGGAAATAGATGTGAGTCCTAAAACAAAAGTGTTTACTTCCTGAAGAAAACAGCTGAGAAAGTGCGAAGCCAAAGAGCATCTACAGAGCTATTTCTATACAATCAATGCCAGCTCAATAAGGGAGGCTTTGATTTGCTACCCAGGCAAGAAGGGAAGCCCAGAGATGCTGACCTTCCCCAGTTGGCAACATCTCAAAGACGAGTCACTGGTGAAGGCATTTGGAGTTCTCATTGTTCTTCTTTAAGTGTCTGTGTTTGAAGTTTACACACAGTCTATTCACCTTGGCCACATTTATAAATGTGCTTAACAGTATCTGTAAATCACTATGTTTCAAAAGTTTTTCACTTTAATTTTTTTCTCATCAGTTCTCTCACACTCTCATTTCTAAACAAGTAATTATGCCTTTTGCAGTAAAAAGCAGACTTATGCGGTACCTGCTGAGTTTCATAAAACTGAATATTGTCTTTGGAAACAAGCTTCCTCTCTGTAGCTTCAGTGGAAATGGTCATAAATCATATATAATTAGGTAAGTAGATTGTGCCATATTCAGCATTTGAGAAGAATACCATGAAATGGGAGGCAATTTTCTGTCTTTTTCCCTTAGTGAAAAGATAACAAGTTTCAGTCCTCATTTTGACTGTCTTTAGACACACTAATTGGTTTTTATTTGTTTTTGTTTTTTCCTTCCAAGGAAGAAAAGTAATCAAACATCATTTGGTGTTGTAGCAATGTAATAGAAAAAATGAAAATTAAAAATAACAATGAATTAGAGATTTATCCTACCTCCTAGAGTCTGATACTAACATCACCACTGCTGATAAAATCCAGATCTTCACTGGAACACTGGAAGAGCGGTCAGTACAGCCCTCCCTTTCATTTCCAGGAAAGAGAAGTCTAGCCATGGAGGCAGTGAGTCAGAGCCTAAAACAAATCCAGAGGTGCTCCAGTCCCATTATCAGGGTTCTTCACTGTCCCTCTTGTTTGATGCAGTTCTACTTTTTCTTTCCTAGTGTCTTTGAGGGCTTAAACTTGGTTCAAAAAAGGTCTTGAAACTAAGACCCACCAAATTGGGAAGGACCAGAAGGGCAAGGTAAAGTTACTGCCTATTTTTGTGTAGTAATGTTTGTTTTGCTTTGTTTTCAAGTGTTTCCTGGGGAAAGGAAATAAAGAAGCTTGGACAGTTAAGAGAAAAGCAGTTTGCATTAGTCAATAATGGAGGATATAAAAATTGCAGAATTGGCCTGGTGCAGTGGCTCATACTTGTAATCCTAGTACTTTGGGAGATTGAGGCAGATGGATCGTCTGAGGTCAAGAGTACGAGACCAGTCTGGCCAACATGGTGAAACCCTGTCTCTACTAAAAATACAAAAATTAGCTGGGCCTGCTGGCTAACCCAAGTTACAGGAGACTGAGGGAGGAGAATCGGTTGAACCCAGGAAGTGGAGGTTGCAGTGAGCCGAGATCATGCCACTGCACTCCAGCCTGGGCAACAGAGAGAGACTCTGTCTCAAAACAAAAACAAAAACAAAAACAAAAACAAAAACTGCAGAATTTAGAAATGGTATTAAGGAAATACATTGTATGTGGATTTCCAAAGAATGGTGTCAGAAGTGTGACAGTGTGGAAGGACAGCTTTGTGGAGGAGGTACATTCTTATGTTATTTTCCTTTCACCTTTTCATAAATGAGGCAACAAGAGCTTCTTTAAGTGTAATCCCCAGACCAGCAGCATTGGCATTCTGTGAGAACCTGATAGAAATGCAAATTTCTAGGTCTTCACTCACACCTGTTCAGAGGCCTAGCAATGTGTATTACGAGAAGCTATTCAGGTTACTCTGATGTACCCTAAAGTTCCAGAACTCCTGATGCAGAGGGTACATGAAGAGATACATAGTTAGATATATCTTCTAAGTCAGATACATCCTCCAAAACCTGGGTGCACTTACTATGTGACCTTGAAGAGGTACTTAACTTCAAAAGATATTGGCATTCTCCCCTATAAATGGAAACAGTAATAAATACATTGTAGGATGGTTGTCAGAGTTAAATGAGATATTGAATAGGTAATAAAATATTAGATGGAACCTTTCCTGTTACCTTGCTAAATGACCAACAAGTACATCCACATTCTAATGAGAATCATTAGATATGTCCAAGCAGAAATTCCCAAAATGCAACAGAAATGATCCAGCATCCATCGAGCTTCTATAGTCTACAAGAGGAGATCTGAAATTGCAAGGATAATGTTTAATGGAATTTTCAGGAGTGGATTAAGTTGCAGAGAGTGTTAAGATTTTTTTTTTCCTACTTTCTTTTTAGGAGATAAAAGTATGTTTTTCCCTCCCAATAGGCCAAGAGGGAATACTCCAAGAAAACTCTTCTGGAGACAAAAAGTCCATAAAGGAAAGTAAGATATGTAATCACCTGCTAGTTTTATTGTAGGTCCATTTGGACACAGCCATTTAGGTAGAGCAAGGCAAAATAATTCTTGTGAGGACCTGTCATCTGTCCCCAGGATGAGGGAACATAGGTTAATATTGACTCTGATGTGTTCCTTTCCACGTCGAGAATTTTAAAGTCTGCAAATCTGTAGCCCAAAATTGATTCCAGGAAGAGGAGGGAGCAGTTGGGCCTTGAAGAATGCACAAACGTGCCACACAAGAGAGTCAGTATGTGGAGGCTGCCAGAGAGGACATAGCAGCCAGTCATTCTCAGCTGAGTGAGGACCATGGGGAGCACCAGCTCAGGGGTAAGACTCTATCCTTCCAACATCCTTTCCCCCCAACACCCATTTTCTTTGCTCTGATCCTGGAAGAGTCAGAAGGTGGAGGAGAGAGTGAGGAAAGGCTGAGCAAGGTGAAAGTGTAGGTATCTTTCTTTAATTATGGCTGGTCCCTGAATTGGGGGAAGGGCAGATATTTGAGTATGATATGACAATAAAGTCAGGTTTTAGACTAAATTGGACTATTATAGTTGTTTTTTTTTTTTTAGATGGAGTCTTGCTCTTGTCACCCAGGCTGGAGTGCAACGGCATGATCTCAGCTCACTGCAACCTCCGCCTCCCAGGTTCAAGTGATTTTCCTGCCTCAGCCTCCCAAGTAGTTGGGATTACAGGTGCCCACCACTATGCCCGGCTAATTTTTGTGTCTTTAATAGAAACAGGGTTTCACCATATTGGTCAGGCTGGTCACGAACTCCCGACTTCAGGTGATCCACCTGCCTCGGCCTCCCAAAGTGCTGGGATTACAGGCGTGAGCCACTGCACTCGGCTGGACTATTATAATTTCCAAAAATGACACTGTTCTAGTAGATGGGAAACTACTGAAAAGTGATGGAATCTTATCCAAAGGGCTGATGGCGAACAAGAGAGATGTAATAAAGTTTGAAGGAAGAGATAGGAAAAAAACTAAAATAATTTTTGATTTGTACTTCAACAAATCTACTGCTTTCAATACACTTTCACATGTAAATTACCTAAGAGAGTGCCTGTAATATAGAAGCAGGTCAGTACATGTTTATTTTCTTTTCCTTTTGGTTTTTCTCTCTCTTTTTGTGACTCTCTAGGAAGGCTGTAAGGAACAGGTGATTAAATGTGACCTTTCATGATTTTTCAGTTAAAAGGTTGCTGTGGTTCAAATGACGGTGTCCTCTCTAAAATACATGTTGAATAATCCCTAATGTACTGAGAGCTGCGGCCTTTGGGAGGTGATTAAGTCATGAGGACTCTGCCTTCATGAATGGGATTAGCACCCTAATAAAAGGGGACAAGTTTGAAGAGAGCACTCTCTTGCTCTTTCATGCCTTCCACTTGTGAGGACACAGCATTCTTTCCCTTTGGAGGATTCAGCAACAAGGCACCATCTTCGAGACAGAGCAACCCTTACCCAACACAGAACCTGCTGGCACCTTGATCTTGGACTTCCCAGCTTCCAAAACTATGAGACTATTAATATATTTCTATTGCTTGTAGCTTACCCAACCTGTAGAATTTTGTTGTAGCAGCACAAAGGGTCAAAACCATATGTAAGAAATTTTAACACCTATCTGTTCTGAAGAACTAAACCAGAATAATAAATACTTTTCAGAAGGATTTTGACTCATAAAAGAGTATTACAGCAATTTTTTTCTTCTCATGTCAGAGAGAAAAAATTATTAATAAGATTAAATTCAATAAGAGTTTAGAAGACTTGAAAATTAATGGGAGTTAATGTTTTATCTTAGTATTTTATTTCTTTGCATTTGTTCATAGTTTAAATTCTTTTGAAATTATTTTAATAAAAAGATGTAATGAATTTTTAAATATCTGTAGAATTGTGTGATACAGTCTGAAACGTTTAGTGTTATCTGAAAAAAAATTCTCATTCCTGGGTTGACAAATCTCAGCTGTCACAATGCACCTGAAGGCAGTCAACCCTTATGTCAACTGAAGTTACCTGGAAATGTGGAACAGAGAATAGAGGAGCTTGGCTCAAGACTAAGGGTAGAAGATGTTCAAGTTGACTTGATCACTCTTACCTAGAGTCAACTTTAATCCAAAGTTCTATTAATTCATTCCTGAATGAATTCAAGACTTCCTGTGGGAATATTCCCACTGATTTTTTTCTCACTCTTCACCCAATCTCAAGATAAGATGACTTCTAAAAACTACATGAGTGTGGCCGGGCGCGGTGGCTCTTGCCTGTAATCCCAGCACTTTGAGAGGCCAAGGCGGAAAAATCACGAGGTCAGGAGTTTGAGACCAGCCTGGCCAACATAGTGAAACCCCGTCTCTACTAAAAATACAAAAAATTAGCTGGGCATGGTGGCGGGCACCTGTAATCCCAGCTACGTGGGAGGCTGAGACAGGAGAATCACTTGACACCAGGAAGCAGAGGTTGCAGTGAGCCGAGATAATGCCATTGCACTCCAGCCCAGTGCACTCCAGGCGACAGTGTGAGACTCCGTCTCAAAAAAACAAAAAACAAAAACAAACAAAAAAACTACATGACAGAAATAATTAATTTATATTTTATTAAAACAATGTAGAAAACAACTTACTATAAGTATATTAAAAATGAGCATTATACATTTATTTGCTTTTACCTAAAATTAGCTAAATGATACTTAAAGAATATTAAAGAATGCATAAATAGTTCCCTATTGCAGCACTTTTGGATAGCTACTTTTGTGACATAATTAGCAAATTTGATGATTTAATCAAAATCTCACCTTGGTCCTGCAGAAAGATGGAAAACTAGAAATGTGAGTTGCTGCAGGGTACACAATTTGTTCTTTGAACAGCAAACAGTTGCTTTGTGCCAGCTACTGTCCTAAACACTTTATATATAGCTATAGGCAGCTTTCTGTTTTAACTGTGTTACCTTTATTGTGTAGCTTTTTTTTCCTTATTTGGACTATTCTAAATTACAAAATTACAGACGGTGGTGTGATTATTTTTAATACTTTTTCTTCCTAATAGTCACACCAAAAAGCCCACTTCCTGTAACCTAGAGCTCTTTCTTTTCTTTCTCTTTCCCTCCCTTTCCCTTCCCCTCCCTTCCCCTTCTCCTTCCCTTCCCCTTCCTTTCTTTCTCGCTCCCTCCTTTCCTTCACTTTCCTTTCCTTTCTTTCTTTTTCTTACCTAGAGCTCCTCTTTCTTTTTCTTTCTCCTTTCTTTCTTTTCTTTTTCTTTTTCTTTTTTGAGACGTAGTCTGGTTCTGTCGCCCAGGCTGGAGTGCAGTGGCGCAATCTCAGCTCACTGCAAGCTCCACCTCCCAGGTTCATGCCATTCTCCTGCCTCAGCCTCCCGAGTAGCTGGGACTACAGGCGCCCGCCACCACGTCCGGCTAATTTTTTGTATTTTTAGTAGAGACAGGGTTTCACCATGTTAGCCAGGATGGTCTCGATCTCCTGACCTCGTGATCCACCCACCTTGGCCTCCCAAAGTGCTGGGATTACAGGTGTGAGCCACTGCTCCCGGCCAGTTTGATTATATTTTTAAATGTGTTCTACTAATCTCTGGCTTTAGTTTGGAGTGTGTAGTTAATTTACATTTAATATGATTACCGATAAGGTAATATTTACATGTGCCATATACCTATTCATTTGTCTTATGTCTTTTTTGATTCTGTGTTCATTCATTATGGCTTCTCTCTTTTTATTAAATAAATATTTTCAGGTATACTATTTAAATTCCTTTATTTATTTTTACTATATATTTTTTGAGCAATTCCATTAGTTGTTGCCCTCGGGACTCCAGTTAACATCTTAACTTTAAAATTTTGGTGCATGTTAACAGCAACTTAATTTCAATAGTACACACAATTTTCTTCCAATATAGGTTTATTTTCTTTCTTCTCCTTTGTGTTTTATGTAATAATAATGACATTATAAGCCTACCAACACAGTTTTATAATTACTGATGTATTCCATTGTCTTTTAAATTGGATAGCCGAAGAAAAGTATCACAAATAAAATTATGCTTTACTTTCTTTTACATTTGCCTACGTAGTCACTGGTAATGGTGCCCTTTATACTTCATGTGGACTCAGGTTACTTTCCAGTGCCCTTTAATTTCAGTCTGACAGATTCTCCTTAGTATTCTTTATTTGACAGTTCAGCCAGCAACAAGTTTTCCAAATATTTGTTTTTCTGAGAATGTCAATTTCACCTTCAGTTTCGAAGGATGTTTTTTGTTAGATATAGATTTCTTGGTTGATAGTCCTTTTTTTAGAACTTTGAATATGTCATCTGACTAACTTCTGGCCTCCATGGTTACTGCTGAGAGTCAGATGGTTTTCTTAGTGAGGATCCCTTGTATTTAATGTGTGACTTTTTAAATAACTTTTACTCCCATTACGGATAAGCTAGTATGATTGATGGTATCTCACAGGTCTCTGTCTGACTCCCCATTCTTTTTTTTTTTTTTTTTTTTTGAGATGGAGTCTCACTTGTCGCCCAGGCTGGAGTGCAGTGGCGGCATCTCAGTTCACTACAACCTCCGCCTCCTGGGTTCAAGTGATTCTCCTGCCTCAGCCTCCTGAGTAGCTGGGATTACAGGCATTTGCCACCATGCCCAGCAAATTTTTGTAGTATTGATGGGGTTTTGCCATCTTAGCCAGACTGGTCTCAAACCCCTGACCTCAGGTGATCTGCCTGATTCGGCCTCCCAAAGTGCTAGGATTACATGTATGAGTCACTGCACCCAGCCTCCATTCCTTTTTATTCATTATTTTGTCTTACTGTTCCTAAGACTGGATAATTTCAACTGACCTAGCATCAAGTTCATGAATTCTTTCTTCCAGCACTCCAATTCTACTGGTGACCTCTCCAGTGAATTTGTATTTAAGTTATTGTGCTTTTAAACTGCAGAATTTCTATTTGCTTCTTTTAAAATAATTTTTGTCTCTTTGTTGTTGTTTTTTATTTGGGTGAGTTATCATTTACATTTTCCTTTAGCTCTTTAGACATGATTTTGGCTAGTTCTTTGAAACATATTACCAGTTAATCTAAAGTATTTTCCTAGTATATGTAATATCTTGTCTTCCTCGCAGATAATTTCTAGTAACTGGCCTTTTTTTCGGTGTATGGATTATCCTTTCCTGTTTCTTCACATATCTCATTTTTTTTCTTAAAGACTAGATAATTTTAAATATGATAATGTGGAAATTTTGGAAATCAGATACTTCTCGGCACTTTTTTGTTTTGTTTCTGTTCTGGTTTTACTTTATTTTTGTTGTTTATTTATTTAGTTGTTTGTGTTGCGATTGTTGTTGCTGCTGTTACTGTTTGTTTAGTGACTTTCTGTATTTGTCATGGGTAGCACTGAAGGCTTGGCTTGGATAGCTTAGTGGTCAGCTAATGTTTTGACAAAGATTTTCCTAAATATTTTAGACCAGTTAGTCTCCCATCCTTTGCCTAGGGGTTCAGTATGTGTGTTGGGACATACCTCCAATGCACCAGCACACCATTTGCAACTATGTATTTGTTTTTACTTCCTATTTGTGCAGATCCTCAAAGCCATAAAGTGGTGAAAGATGAGAACCGTGGCCGGGCAAGGTGGCTCACGCCTGTAATGCCAGCATTTTGGGAGGCAGAGGCGGGCGGATCATGAGGTCAGGAGATCGAGACCATCCTGGCTAACACGGTGAAACCCTGTCTCTACCAAAAATGCAAAAAAAATTAGCCGGGCATGGTGGCAGGCACCCGTAGTCCCAGCTACTCAGGAGGCTGAGGCAGGAGAATGGTGTGAACCTGGGAGGCGGAGCTTGCAGTGAGCTGAGATGGCGCCACTGCACTCCAGCCTGGGCGACAGAGCGAGACTCCGTCTCAAAAAAAAAAAAAAAAGAGTGAGAGCCCTTTCATGTGTTACTTGGCCGTGTACACAGTCCTGCACATGCATGTGGCCTTTTAGATTCCAGGAATGCACCAGAGCTTTTAAAAATCTTCTATGAAAAACTAATTCTTCATTTTTTCATTTTAACTTCCTTTCTCTCTCCCTCCCTCCCTCCCTCATTTCCTTCACTTTCCTTTCCTTTCTTTCTTGCCTAGAGCTTCCTTTTCTTTTTCTTTTAATTTTTTTTTTTTTTTAGACGGCGTCTCACTCTGTCGCCCAGGCTGGAGTACAGTGGCGCGATCTCAGCTCACTGCAAGCTCCGCCTCCCGGGTTCACGCCATTCTCCTGCCTCAGCCTCCTGAGTAGCTGAGACTACAGGCGCCCGCCACCACGCCCGGCTAATTTTTTTTTGTTTTGTATTTTCAGTAGAGACGGGGTTTCACCATGTTAGACAGGATGGTCTTGATCTGCTGACCTCGTGATCCACCCGCCTCGGCCTCCCAAAGTGCTGGGATTACAGGCGTGAGCCACAGCGCCCGGCCTCTTTTCTATTTATTTTATTATTATTATTATTGTTATTATTATTATTATTATTACTATTTTGAGATGGAGTTTCGCTCTTGTTGCCCAGGCTGGAGTGCAAAGGCACGATCTCAGCCCACTGCAACCTCCTTCTCCCAGGTTCAAGTGATTCTCCTGCCTCAGCCTCCCGAGTAGCTGGGATTACGGGCATGTGCCACCATGCCTGGATAATTTTGTATTTCTAGTAGAGACAGGGTTTCTCCATGTTGGTCAGGGTGGTCTCAAACTCCCGACCTCAGGTGATCCACCTGCCTTGGCCTCCCAAAGTGCTGGGATTACAGGCATGAGCCACCACGCCCGGCCTTCATTTTCTTTTCTATTTATGGGTTGGGGACAGGTAGGGCTGTATGAGTGGCTACTATGTGCTAGTTGTTGAAAATGAAGAGATGCGTAAAATATTATCTGTTCCATCTTGGAATCCTACTCTCAGGTCTTTGTGGTACAAAAAACAATATGGAAAACAATTCAAAATTGTTCATTTTGCTCTATGTAAGGGAAAGTATCAATAGAATTATTTTAATCTGACAACTTGATTTTCAGTTAAGATGAATCCCTGTTACCTGAAAGTTAGTTTTTTGGTAATATTTCCAATGTATATGGTACTTTTTTTCTCCATAGCATTATCATATTACATTGCAGATTTCTTTTATATGATATAAAATTCAATAAAAATGTAATATCTAATATACCTTATAAATTACAAGGTTTGTGAGACAGAGCTTGATATACAGATTTGAGGTGGGTATAAAAAATTTCATAACAATCCAAAGTGATAATAAAGAAAACTCAAAGTACATGTCAGATAAACATTATTTTACATTTGATTGCCACAGAATGGTCAAGAAAAGAAAAATGGCACCATGGAAACATGAGCAAAGGACACCAAGTTAGTAATAAAAGTAACAAACAGAAGGCAAATGAACACTTGCAAGATGTTCACTGCACAGAAATCAAAATAATTACATTAATAGTAAAAAGCAAAGCAAACTTTTACATCAAATGGCCTGAAATATTTCCAGCTCATCCTCTGCTGAGAAAGTACACTAACATACATTTTTGTAGGATCCTTAGCTATATATATATATCAAAAGCTTTTAAAATTATAGCTGGCTCTGTGGTGCCATGGATAATGCGTTAGACTTCTAAAATTATATCCTTTGACCTCTATTTCTAATTTTAAGAATTTTTCCTAGGTCAAAAATTCAAAAATACCAAGAAATTAATAAAAGTAAGGAAAATTATTCCAGTAATAATAAAATGGTAAAAATTAAGAACAATCTAAATTTCCAATACAAAGGAGTCTGATTAAATAAATTATAGTTCACAGTATATGGGATATGATGGACTATTAAATTAGGGGAAAATTATACTTTAAATAATATCAAACAAGACTGGATAGGTAGATAGTATGAGGTCAAACTAGACAGATAACTAGTTAACTACATAATTATTCCAATTTTTAATTTAGACACAGTTTCTGTAAATATATGCACTAGCATACACATGTATTCACACAGATGAATGTCTAGAATGTCACACACTCAAGAAGTAACAGTGGTAACAGCAGTTATGTCTGTATGACTCATAATTGGATAGCTTTAAGGAGACTTTTTTCTCTTTATGTCTTTTAATATTTTTAAATTTTCTAAAATCAAAATAAATTCCTTTCATAACCACAGTAAATAACGTTTCTTAGAAGAGTAGACATTTGTCAGGCAAAAAATAGCATGAACATTCAAAACAGTAGGCAAAACACACTGGGGAGTACAGAGAAGACAAAGGGCATTTATCTGCTCTTCAGGGGTTCCCACAAGCGTGAATTTTAAGCTTTCTATTCCCTTCCAAAATTTAAAGGCTTTTGCTGAGTCTATGATCTATAATCACCCAAGCCCTCTGGTTAACAGAGAGGGTACAAAGCAGTAATGATTGTGTTTTACAGGATTTAAAGAGAATTTCTCTAGTCCTTAAGGAAAACGGCCCCTGAGAAATCAATACCTTGCAGAATTCTCTCCTATCTCAGAGTTTCTAGTTTCCAATGAGAAGTATTCTAAAGCATTTCCTTCTCATCACTATAGCACAAAGGAAAATGTAGAAGCCTCTCAAAGTTTGCAAAGGGCACTGTCACTCATCAAGGCCAAAGCAAGAATGCCTTCCATTTACTTTAGATAAGAAAAGAATAAAAAGTATTGTAATTGCTGCTTGTAGGCAGGCATTCCTGGCACCAGTACATGATGTAACTCACATGAAACCAACTAGGGACCGTTGGAAATGTATGCATTGTGCAATGGTCATGGATGCTTTGATTCTGAGGATTTTGTTTCTTTCAGTATCTTTTTGTATGAATGCAGAAGTTAAAGTACTGAAAATAGCAGTGATTTTCACGGGTTGGTTTGACATCACAGAAATTATGAAAATGAAACCCTTTGATTGACCCAAGATGCCGTTAGTCACTGCTCATTAGAAAAGGAAGCTCTAGGTGGCAGGGCAGCATGACTCAGGTCTGTAATCCCAGCACTTTGGGAGGCCGAGGCGGGTGGATCACGAGGTCAGGAGATCGAGACCATCCTGGCTAACATGGTGAAACCCCGTCTCTAAAAATTAGCTGGGCGTGGTGGCGGGCACCTGTAGTCCCAGCTACTCGGGAGGCTGAGGCAGGAGAATGGCGTGAACCTGGGAGGCGGAGCTTGCAGTGAGCCGAGATCGCGCCACTACACTCCAGCCTGGGCAACAGAGTGAGACTCCGTCTCAAAAAAAAAAAAAAAAAAAAAAATTGGATGTGAGAAATGCAGACTTTGCAGAGCTAGTGTTGGCTCTTGGGCATGTGGGGAAGAAACCTTTCCTTCTACCCTTTAAGGTTCAGTAGTTGAGGCCTGTAAGTTAAACCAACAACAAAAAAGGGCAACATTTATTTATGAACATACATGGGAACTCACAGACTATGTGGCTCAAAGAGGAGGTTAGAATTTAGGGCTCATATATTATCTTACTAAGGGAAGGGAAAAGGGAGAAAGGACACATGGGAAAAGAAATGACTTGTAGGAAAGATAAATGGGTCCTTCGGAGCACAGATGGGGGAGATCCAGTAGCATTGTGACAATGTCTGCTTCGGTGATGTCTTTTATTTATTTATTGGCACCTAGGTTTCTCCAGTAAAATCAAATACATTGGTAATTTAAACTGTTACACAGTGATCATTTACTGTTTTGTAATATATATATATATATATATATATATACACATATATATATGTAAAGATCATTAAAAATGAAGATTCACAAAATTTGCATTTGTTCAATGCACACTTTGGTTCTTTCCCTTTGCTTTCTCCAAATTGTGTACCTGCTTTGGTGATTTCTTATCCTAGTGCCAACTTCTCTGCTGTGATAGGAGTCCATCTTCCTTGGTTGAAACTTCTGGGGAGGATATTTATGACAGTTAAATTATTTTTGGAGGCTCTGATTTTAGGCAGATAAGGAAGGTTCAGAAAAAACAAACAAACCAAAAAACCTCATTCTGTATCTGTTGATTCTCCAATGTCTTTAGCTCAAAATATCACTATGTCACAGTGGTGTATTTTGGTTCCCTTCAGGCAGCAGATAATATGAATGAAGGAAAATGTACAAGAGACAAAAAACAAACAAACAAACAAAAAACATAAACTGTGATTTTCCATCTGAGGAAAAATAAGTCCAAAATTCTGCTCAAAAATAACATTCTTATCCTATTTACAGTGCATCAAAGAGACACACTACAATGTAAACAAAAATGTGACATCCACGTCATTGTTTCAAATTGTTTTAAATGCATAAATATTCATCATTGCTTCAAAACGCTAATGGATGTAGTGTGATTACATTGTTTACTTTGACAGTGCATATAAATGGCTTGTTGGAAGTATACACCGTTTCATTAAATCTGTTTTTAGAATTTAAAGAGATAAAATGAAAGTGTTTTTAAGACATTTTTATAAGTATCCTTTGCTCAAACTTATCATAGTGTGAGCCTGATTGGGTTCCCTATTGCTGTCATTTGAATGCCCAACCTCAAGTCAGAATTTGAGCCCATCATTTCAACTCCACCTGGCACTCATCACATCAATCACACCCCTGAAAAATAATAGAACTTAAATGACTCTCCCATATCTACAGTGTTGGAAAAAAGATAGGTCCTTTAAAATAATATATTAAATCTTTGTTGAGAAGTGCTTACTTCACAGTTTTTCAAGGAAAATGAATACCAAGGTGTGTCTAAGTTGCAATCTCTGGGTCTGGGTACAGTTTGCAGGCAAATTCTGGCATGTTGGATATTAAAGGGACCAAGGAGATAGAGGAAAGAAGAGTAGTCCCAGAGCTCCTACTAACATTTTTAATATTTGATGAATCTGGGATGCTAACACTCGTTTATGAACATTAACTCCCAGTCATTAAAAGAGATTGCTTATTTCTCATTCCAGTGTATTGCTTTTTTTTCTAGACTCCTACCAGGATTTGCCTGCAAACCACTCTTCTCCCTCACTGCCTGCTTCCTCCCTCCACTGTTACCTTCACCTAGCTCTGAACCTGAACATAGCCCTACATTAATCGTTCCTAGGATCACTGCTTCTCCCAGAGAGAGGCAGGACTTTTGTTTTCTGATCCTATCCAATTGGGTAGTTTCTTTCCTTTGGATCCTTTTACAAAGTTTCTCATTCGATCCCAGTACTTTTCTGTAGGAGGACTGTATTAGGCCATTCTTGCACTGTTATAAAGAAATACCTGAGCCTGGGTAATTTATACATGAAAGAGGTTCAATTGGCTCACGGTTCTGCAGGCTGTATGGGAAGCATGGTGCTGGCATCTGCTCAGCATCTAGGGAGGCCTCAAAAAGCTTACAATCATGGCAGAAGGTGGAAGGGGAGCAGGCGCATCATATGGTGAAAGAGAGAGAGAGAGAGTAGGGAGGAGGGGGTGCCACACACTTAAATGACCAGATCTTATGAAAACTCATTTGCTATCATGAGGACAGCACCAAACCATGAGGGATGTGTCCTTACCACCCAAACACCTCCCACCAGGCCCCACATCCAACACTGAGGATTACAATTCAACATGAGATTTGGGAGGGGACAAATATCCAAACTATATCAAGGATAAAACCAACAATTCTTAAAGTTGGAACCCAAAATTCCTAGGTACCTGGGGTCTAGTGACAGAATGGTCTGTCATCGGATGAACTTGTGAACATGCTAGAAGACAGCAGCTTGGATAGCATCTTACTTGAACCATTATTATAGCTAAGCAACATACCTAGGATGGACCACAGCAGGTGGCAATCAAAACTCAGTTCTTCTGACTCTAAGGCTAGTAGAGTCTGCCCTCCAATTCCACATGCATGGGTTCTGCACCAGTGGTCAACCAACCATGGATAGAAAATATCAAAAAGAAAAACACAACAATAAAAAAATACAGATGGAAAACAATACAGTAAAACAACTATGTCCATAGCATCTACATTGTGTTATGTATCATAAGAAATCTAGAGATTATTTAAATTGTACAAAAGGATGTACATAGGTTATATGCAAATACTACACTATGAGAGACTTGAGCATCCATGGATTTTGGCGTCCATGAGGGTCCTGGAACCAATCCCCCACAAATAGAAGGGATGACTGTATTTTGTTCAAAGCACAAAGCCTGGACTATGTTTTCATTACAATCCATGAGAGGCCATTTCATACTTTCTAATAATTCAGCGGTCTTCATAGTCTTTTTAGCTACTCTTCTAACAATGTAAAAAAATGCTTCTGCAGCTCAACCAAATTTATGAACACCTAAAGCAGACAGAGCCATGAAGCAGAGCAAGTACTGAGTATCTACACTTTCATGGTGCAGAGATAACCTACAATCTACAGTTGCTTCTCTATTAAGATTGTATTTATAAACACCCAAGGGAAAACAATTTTGTTTATGTTTTTTGGTGTGTGTGTGTGTGTGTTCTTTGAATGAGTGTTTTAGCTGACTTTCTACCTGCTTAAATACTTGACCTTTTTAGAAACATCAGCAATTTACCAAAGGTCAATCATTCTTCTGATTTACAATATGTATTTGTCCATCCCAGGTTTTGCTGGACTAAGCACGCACAAAATTAAACTGAGATTTCAACTAGTTTACATGTTCTGAAACCTGCAGAGTTGTGATAAGCATTTGACAAGATTTTGATCTGCAGGGTTCTTCCTTCTCTGTTAATTTATTAGTCAAGGTGGAAAATAGCTGGTCCACATGCTTCAGAGAAAACTCTGTGCAATGGTTGACTAAAATCATAACAACTAAGGTGAGTGATCACTTGCTACCTGCCACACTTCCTTCCATTCCCTCCTCCATGGCACTATGAGGAGGTGCTCCCTCTAGCCTCAGGTTACAGATGAGCAAACTGAACTGAGAGAGGAGTGTTTTACCTGCGATCACACAGGAGAATGTAGATGCAGCTCAGAAAATGTTTCCTTACTGATGGTGATTAATGGTTCATAATTACCATAGTTTGACTCAGAATTTTTCTCAAACATTTGACATACTACTACTCAGTAGTCCTGTCTAATGTCCATTTTTTGGACTAAATTTGATTCACTGATGTGGGGCTATCTTTCATGCGTGGAACAGTGCCTGAAATTTTCCTTTTTAAAGACTGAATGTTGTCAGTTCTCTTTTACAAAAGTTATTTTTCTGAGGGTGGTGATGTACATCCAGCAGTTTTGTTTTTGTCTGCTTGGTAAAAGTTGTGTTTAGAATCAATAAGACTGGTGGTGAAGAAGAATTCTCTCTTCAAATGTTTTATCTTTATACAAAACTCTCATGGAGGCTCTACATTGTTTCCTCTCAATTATTTAAAAAACTACAGTTAGACTTGACCTTTCCACATAGTATAAATATAAACATGAGAATTCACCAATGCTATCATAGATTAAGTTCAACAAAGATTGTCTACTGGAAAAGTAAAACCAAGTGAATGTCCCTTTAGCTTGTTTTATGTGAGAGTACTTATTTTTTTCCTGTGTACATGCAGTAAGATGTAAATTTTGCCAATGAAACATTTGCTTTTTTGTAAATCTGAAGATAAACAGATAGGCATATCTTTTATGATTAATAATTTCCCTGTTTCTGCCTCCTAATCATAAATAATTAGACTAATGGACTAAAATCACTCTGGGGTTCAAGAGGCCTGGAGAGCCTTTCAAAGCACATGGACAGCTAACAGCTTTCTAAAACTCAATTTTAAGCTTTTTTTGAAAATAAAAATATAGACACCATCAATTTAGTGGCATAATCATATGTGGAGTTTTAACATTTTCTGCTTTTTCACTTGGGACATTTTATTGGCAAACAAAAATTATATATATTTTCATGTATTTTTTGAAATATGCACACATTTTTGAAATATGCATACATTGTCAAATTTCTACACTGAAGTAGTTAAACATTACTTCACATACTTATATTTTTGATGAGAACATAAAATTTACTCTCTTATTTTCAAGAATACAATTGTTATGAATTATAATCATCATGTTGTTCAATCTCTTGAACTTATTCCTCCTGTCTGACATTTTGTATGCTTTAATCAACATCTCCCCACTCCCCATTAGCCTCACCCCATTTGTTTTGTTCTCCAGGGCTCAGTATTGTGTGTTTTCTGCAAGGGAAGAAGCTTCCTGGATACGTCCACATTTAGGGGATGCAGTAGCTGACAGTGAGCAATATTAAGGCTGTACACGGGGCATTGTACTAAAGTCTACCTGAGTCCTTAGTGATTTTGTTATAGGGCCACCAGGTTCAATTGTTCATTGCTCAGTAACAGACCAATACTTCGAAACAGCAGGAGTTGTAGCAATAAAGAGTTTAACAATCATGTGGAAGCCAAATGAGGAGATGAAAGGAAACTTCAAATCTGCCTCCCCAAGAAGACTGGGGATAGGATTTTAAAGGATGAGTAATGAGCTAAAGTGTGGATATTTCTGATTGGTCAAGACATGAGGGATGAAATCATGGGACACGGAGATGAAGAAACCACATTCACATTCATGTGCTGAGTCAGTTCCTTGGAGAGGGTCTTCAGACTGGCTGGTGTCAGTGGACTCATTGAAATGCAGGATCTGAAAAAAACTCAAAATGAAAAACTTGAAATTTCTTAAGATCAAAGGTGTCCCCCATAGAAGTTAGGACATTGTGACAGGGGTGACTTTGAAGCAGTAAGCAGCTATAAGAAAGTGGCCTTGGCTGGGCACGGTGGCTCACGCCTGTAATCCCAGCACTTTGGGAGGTCGAAGCAGGAGGATCATGAGGTCAGGAGATCGAGACCATCCTGGCTAAGACAGTGAAACCCCAACTCTACTAAAAATACAAAAAATTAGCCAGGTGTGATGGCAGGCGCCTGTAGTCCCAACTACTAGGGAGGCTGAGGCAGGAGAATGGCGTGAACCTGGGAGGTGGAGCTTGCAGTGAGCCGAGATGGCGCCACTGCACTCCAGCCTGGGTGAAAGTGGGAGACTGTCTCAAAACAACAACAACAAAAAAAAGAAAATGGGCTTTAGGGAAAGCTGGTTAACAACTTAGCTATGCTTCTACTTACAGGTTATACTCTTTTTAAAAATCTAGCAATTTAGTTTTATTAATTTTATGAGGATGGTTTCTATTTTTTGCAAACATTTAATCCACTTCCTATGTACTGTTCCTTGGATCCAAAGCTTGCTTTCTGTGGCTCAGCAGTGCACACCCCTCCCCAGCTGAACGGCCTGTACCAATGCCACCCTGACATCTCACCTGGCAATTCTGCCTTCTCAGGGCTCTCTGTCTCCACACCTTTCCCTACAGAGACAACACTTGTGTCTCAACAACACTTGATCAGTGTGTTCATAGGTGCTCCTGCTGATGTGAGAGAGGATTTGTTCCAGTTCTATTCTAGATTAAAAAGCCCTCATCTGCCAGAGACAAAAGTTCTATGTTCCAAAGGTAAGAGGAGGCCAGTGTTGCAGAAGGCCCATAAAGGAGTTGCATATTGGAAGTTGAGGCTTGGGGCACTCTCAGATTTCCTGAGAAGTTGGGAGGAGGTATATTACGGAAACAAGGAAGGCATTATTGAACAGATGACAGTGAATTTTATCAGTCTTCTAATCATTTTTGACTGTCTGCTGTTCACCAAGAACTGGGGAGGGTAAGAGATGACAAAAAGACAGAATCCTTCCCTTCACATAATTTATATACAAGTCAGGAGTTAGGACAGCTTGACAACTTAAATAAAGACAATTTTTGATTAGTGTTTTTGTATTGATAATAACCTGCATATAGAGAGAACATGGGCTCATTCTGATTGGAAGGAATTAGAAGATTCATGAAAAGGGTCAGTTAAAAATTTGTCACCTAATATGTGCAAGGCACTGCACTGGGCACTCAATATATAAAATTTTCTCCTCGACCAGGCGTGGTGGCTCACACCTGTAATCCTAGCACTTTGGGAGGCTGAGTGCGGTGAATTGCCTGAGCTCAGGAGTTCCAGACCAGCCTGTGCAATATGGTCAAACCCCATCGCTAGTAAAAAAAAAAAAAAAAAAAAAAGTCAGGCATGGCGGTGTGAGCCTGTAGTCCCAGCTACTCGGGAGGCTGAGGCAGAAGAATTGCTTGAACCCAAGAGGCAGAGGTTGCCATGAGCCGCGATCATGCCACTACACTCCAGCCTGGCGACAGAGCAAGACTGTGTCTCAAAAAAAAAAAAAAGTTTTTTCTCCTCACTGGAACATTGTTGTATCAGTCTCACCATTTTTATGTGACAAGCGATGGAGCTTAAGCTCAGAGAAGTCACAGCATTTTCCCAAAGTCACTCAACTGGGAAAATTCATGGGGTTGGGGAAGCATCTATACTGATATTGAGTACTAGGTAGAATGTTGATGGTGAGATGTTAGAGAAGAATGTTCTAGGCAGAAAAATAAACACAGTGTGCATTAAGGAATGTGTTCAAGAAAGTGTTCAGGGGTCAAAGCAGATGGAGAGGAATTTTGAGAACATGGCACATGCATTGGAGAGTCGGGTTTCAGCCAGGTGGCAAAAGCCTTTGGACAATTGGATGATTAATTTTATGTGTCAATGTGATTGGATGAAAGGAAGCCCCGATAGCTGGTAACATGGTAGTTCTGGTGTTTCTGTGAGGGTGTTTCTGGAAGGGACTGGCATTTGAGTCAGTGGACTGGGTAAGAACGATCCATCCTCACCTAGTGTTGGTTAGCATTGTCTAATTTGCTTAGGGCCCAGATAGAGCAAAGGTGAATCCTCTTCCTCCCCTGGAGCAGGGCAACCCTCTTTCTGCACTTGGACATCAGAACTCCAGGTTCTCTGGCATTTGAACTCCAAGACTTGCACCAGCAGCTCCCCTGCTTGGACTGAGTAACAACATTGGCTTCCCTGAAGGACCTTGGACTTGGACTGAGCCCCTCACTACTGTGGGGAGACCCCCTGAAACTATTGCTACGGAATAAAAGATGAAATGCTCCTGATTATTGTAAATACAAAGTAGCATGCAGGATTGTGTAAAGACAATGCCAGGTTGGGCTGCCAGAATGAGCCAACAGCACGTGATGTGCTTCCCCCTGCAGAGAGCCTGTGAATGGTCGTGCAGTCAGGGAGGTTTCACATCACCAAGATTCCTAGCCCAGAAAAGCAGATGTTCATAGCTCTGGGAATGGAATGCGACCCTTGTGGAGAGCCTATAAACGGACGCATGGGGGGTGCTTGCCCATACAGATAAGTTAGGGCTATAAATGCCCTCATCTTGCCACGGCTCTTCTAGGTCTCTTTAGGGTTAAGGCATACTCCCTTCTGAGAATTTCTGGTCTAACAGGCTGTCTAGCCTCACATCCTGTTTCTATGGATTGTGTGTAACCAGCTTTTGCTGCAACTGTTACTGCTGATTAATATCTTGCTAATCATAGTTTATGGATAGGCTGTGTTTATGTTTTAAGGCTCTGTTAGAAATTGCTGACGCACACACTATATTGTAAATTCTTATCACTGTATACTGTACTTCTGCATACCGATGTTATGTTAAAGAATTACTTCAGGCCGGGCGCGGTGGCTCACGCCTGTAATCCCAGCACTTTGGGAGGCCGAGGCGGGTGGATCACGAGGTCAGGAGATCGAGACCATCCTGGTTAACAAGGTGAAACCCCGTCTCTACTAAAAATACAAAAAATTAGCCAGGCGCGGTGGCGGGCGCCTGTAGTCCCAGCTACTCGAGAGGCTGAGGCAGGAGAATGGCGTGAACCCGGGAAGCGGAGCTTGCAGTGAGCCGAGATTGCGCCACTGCAGTCCGCAGTCCGGCCTGGGCGACAGAGCGAGACTCCGTCTCAAAAAAAAAAAAAAAAAAAAAAAAAAGAATTACTTCATCCCCATGTGATCATTTCATCTCATAATCAAATGACCCTAAATCCCTCACTAACCTACCCCATGGCGACAACTGGTCCTGGGTTCCCTGCTGCTGGTGGGGGAGGGCAGGATCAGGGGTTGCCACTGATACTGACTACTGCCATTTCCAGGTGGCAGCTGTGGCTGAGCCCACGGCAGTGGCTGGCAGGGTTACTTCCAGAGGGCCGGAGGGTCGCCAAGTGTACCGCTCTCCCATGCTAGGGTCCAATTTCTCTTGGCCCTGGCCCAGAGCACAGGTTTGCAGGGGCACTGTGCAGCCGCAGGGTTGTGACTGCTCGCCTCCTGCCCTCCCGCACCTGCGGGCTGACCGTGGCAGTGTCTGGTCCTGGGTTCCATGCTATGGGGGCCAGTGTCCAGGGTTGCCACCACTGCTGCCCCATGCCATGTGCAGGCTGCTGCGGCAGCTGATCCCAGAGCAGAGGCTGTCAGGGCTGGTCCCAGACAGCCTGAAGGTTGCCTAGTGCACCAGCTAAAGGGTCCATTTTTTCTCGGCCCATGCCCGGAGTGAGGGTTGCAGACTCTGGGCACTGCACTGTGGCGGCATGGAAAGACAGGTAGTGGGGTACTCCCCTATCTGCTCTACACAAAGCCCAGGTTGTCAGGAGTCAGATCTTGATCCCAGCATGCCCCAGTCTCATCCTTGGGCAGCCCAGAGCACAGGGGCCCACTCAATCCTGGCTCCATAACTTGTGCCAGGCAGGCACAGAGCCCCAGAGTCTCAGCACCTTTGTCTGTGGCTGGGCTAAACTGGGCTGTCCTCTGCACCTTGACCATCTGCCCAAGTGGGCACAGCCTCCAGCACAAGTCCCCAGACAGCTCCAGGGTTCTTCCTCCCTGGCCCCTTCTTCTGGCTCCTGGTCCCAACAGCAAACCACCTCCACCCTAGGCAGCCCATCTGCAGCCCATGGGGACACTTACTTCTACAGGGGGTGGAGAGCCACTGGCCAGTGCCCAAGGCCTTTACCTATGTCACATCGCCAGGGCTGTCTCCAGCTATCAAGAACGTCTCTCTCTGACACTACAGGTGCAGCCCCCAAGTTACCATCCAGTCATGCCAGATGTCTACCCCAGATCATTCTGGGAATACTGGGAGATGACTGACAACTGGGAGGTTCCCCTCATGTTTACTGACAGGTCCTAGTTTATTTTGAGTGGGACCGAACTCAAGGCGCCTCTTAATCATTAACTCCTCCTGGTTTAAACACAGAGACACAAACACAGGCAGCCATGTGCCCACCATGCACACAAATGAGAACGGCTCTTGGCTGGCTTCTGGGGGCCCAAGAACTGCATCTGGAAAGGGGCCATTGCCACCCCAGCCAGGTTCTCTGGACCCTCAGCTGATGCACAGTAGGCTCTGCAGAAAGAAGGCTTGCAGAGCACATGGCACTTGGCTCCCTTGCTGCCATCCCGGCCTCTGTGGATTTCCTGGATGTCCAAGGGGCTGGTGACCATCAGGATGTATTTCCTTAGTTGGGACTGTGGGCCGGGCACTGTTCTGGTTCTCCTGCCCCGGGCCCCCCTGGGCTGGGAGGTCAGAGTGTTGATCAAAGGAGACTAGGGGCTGGGAGGGCATGCATGGGCCTGGGCAGCTTCCTGGACATGTCCGGAAAGGTGGCAGCTGTTTCCAAGACCAGAGCGCAAGGGAGGTCACATTAGCCAAGTAAGTACTTGCCCTCTCCCAGGAGGGCAATAACAGTAGCTCCGGGGAACCCTGGCTTTTTTCCCCAGAGGGACCCCTGTTCCCTTGAAATCCCTAACCCTTTGGTTTGTTGTGGCTCCATGAGAGGGGACTCCAAGTCTGTTAGCTCCCCTCCTGCTGGTAGCCAGCACTGGGGTCTCTGTCCTCCCAACCAAGGGAACCCCACCACCTCCTGACAGCCCTGAAGAAGCCTTGGAATGGCCCAGCTGCAGACTAGGGGGTGGCCCAGGTTGTGGAGCCTTATAGTTGGTGTGACCCCAGCTTGGCCTCCCTTCTGTAAAGTGAGGGCTGGGCTGGATAAACTGTAGAGAATCTAAATGGTAGATGCCATTCTGAAAAGGGCAAAGCTGCTACTGCCACTTTCAGAATCCCCAGTGCTTTTTATTTGCCCCCAGGGACCCTCTGCTCAGACCTGCAGCCCTGGATTCCTGGATGAGGCTCAGTCCTTGTGTCCTTCTGTGTGCTGCTCTGAAAAGGGACAGGGAAAGAGGATGCTGGGAAAAGGGATAGCAGGTGCAAAGGCCCTGGAGCAGTGACAAACAGTGTGGGCGGGCAAGGCCAGTGTGGCTGAACATTGAGGCTAAGAGGCCAGTGGGAGAGGCCACAGGACCCAGGCTGCTCCCATGTCGGGGTTTTGGGAAGAGTTGGATTGCATTCTAATTGCCCTGGGAAGCCTTTTGGGGAGCTGGAAGCAGCTGAGAGAGAGGGATGAATTTAGAAGATCCTTCTGATGTGGGTGGAGAAAGGATGTTCATGGTTGCATGAAGAAATAAGCCACACAGGAGTCTACCAATGTCAGCAAGTCAGGAGGGTCAACCACACCAGATTGGTGTGGTTGGCTACAGAGGCTGTAACTTCTATTAGGACACTGTTTAGAAATCTGAGCTATGTTCCTATAGAGAAGAACATTCTGCAAAGCAAAACCCATTTTCTTATTTATGTCCATTAGGAAATGAGGGATGCAGTCCTCTGGAGAAGAAGATTGTGCAAAGCAAGTCTCATTTCCCCTTTGGCATCCACTAATGTTTCAGAGAGGTGTTTCGGGGGAGGTGACCCCCTAGAATGGATTGGCATGAAATAATGGGGTCCGTTTGGCACTGACCCTCTAGGGGTGCTGGTGAAAGTGGAGCTCGGGGCTGCTTCCTCAGGTGTCCGGCATCCCAGCCTCCTCCAGGAGACACAGTTCTCAGACCTTAGCTTGTGTGTGGCTATGAGTGTACATCAGGGTCCCTGTGAATACACACACTTGTGCACGTGTTAACAAGTGTGTGTGCACGCCCTCCTGGAGACATTGCCCTCTTTCACCTCTCAGACACCACAGTGGGTAGCAGATGTGGGTTCATGAATTATCGTGGCTGTGGTGCGAAATTCCTTCAGTCTGAGAGTTTAGGTTTTGTAAAATGAATTTGTTTTTTCTCTTTTGCGAATTCAGTCAAATGCTCTACTGTCTCTCCGGGAACAATCCCAAATAGCACAACATGGGGGCTAAGGTGTCTAGTGAAGTGTTTCAACTGCTGTACATTTCAGAGAAGGGGATGTCCCTGGGCTACAGTAGTCATGGAGGCTTCCTGGAGGAGATCATATATGGTTTAACTCAGGGCAGGGCAGGATGGTGTGAGTGACTAACTCGCTCTGAACACAGCCACCAATGGGTGTTTAGAAAAACTGGCTCTGGAACCAGTGATGACCAGCCCAAGGCTCCCACAGGGGAAGGTTCTTGTTCTGTCTGCATAGCACGGAGCTTTCTGGATAGATTTCTGAACCCAAGCTTCTTTCAAATATGTTAGAAACAGCAAGAGAAGCTGGCTGTTTCTTTTAACTAGCTGCATCTATCTGTTTAGAGAGTGAGGCATTTCTATCTTCCTTTCTCCAGGGATCCTTGGGAACTTTGCGAAAAAGCAAAGCACTTTGGAGAATTTAATGCTGGGAGGAAAGTGGTTTCCAGGGGAGAGGTCTGTTCCAAAAACAAGGGCTAGAGGCTGGTGTATGGGACATCTTAAACTAAGTTCTTGGTTTTGCTTCAATTTTTCTTTCCATAGATCAGGGATTGGGACACCCTGCTGCATGCTCTTCACCCCCCATCAGGAATTCCTGAAGTCCATGCTCATGGACCATGGGAAGTTAAGGAGGCGGAGAGATGCTGGCAAGCCTCAGCAAGACTGCCCAGGACCGCCCCTGTAGCCCTCATTCCCCAGGCCCACTCAGCCCAGCCGGCCAGCAAATGTGAGAATGATCTGCATCTGTTTTTGTGTAGGCCAAGGTCAAGGATTTCCACCGCAGCTCGAGGGGCTGAGGGTAAGTCTCTGCAATCTTGCTCCTAGACATCTTTAAAATTAGGTCTGGGATGAGCCTGTCACTAGTGGATTAGGTAGAAAGGTTTTATGAAGTCAAGGGTAAAATGCCTGGAGGGTGAACTGGCTGGTCTGGTTCTAGAACTGGAGGTGGTGCCTAGCAGCGCCTTTGTAAGAAGACACAGCCAGGCCTGATATGTGATGGTGTGTGTGTGTGTGTGTGTGTGTGTGTGTCTGCACACAGATATCCTGGAGCATATGTATATTTCCTCTCATGTCAGATAAACCTTACAGATTACAAAGTACTTTGACGTCCTTTCTCTGGATCCCTCAACAGGAGGCAGGGCAAACACTATTAAGCCCCATTACAAATGAAGCAATTTTGACTAGCCTTAAAAAAAAAATGAAATAAACAAATGGGGCAGCTGAAGCCCCATTCAGTGACTTGCCCAGGGTCACAGGAAGAATGAGTGCAGTGCCCAGCCTGGGTGCGCTCTTCTGTGCCAAGCTGCTGCTTCTCCTGGGCATGGCTGGGCCTTGTGCAGGGGACATTTCTCTTTTTTTTTGATGAGTCCTGGATACCTTCAGTCACACAGATATCACTCATGTGTGGTGAGGAGAAAATGTGTTTTCAGGCTGTATCGGTCAAAACAAAATACCACTTATTTCTCATAGTTCTGGAGGTTTGGGAGTCTAAGATGAAGGTGGCAGCTGGATTGGTTCCTGGTGAGGGCTGTCATCCTGGTTTGCAAAGAGCTGCCTTCTCTCTGTGTCCTCACATGGTCAGAAGAGAAAAGGTGGGGTAGGTGAGAGAGAGAGAGAGAGAGAGAGAGCTCTTGTCTAACTAAACCCATCATGAGGGCCCCACTCTGATGACCTCATCTAACCCTAATTACCTACAAAAGGCCCATCTCCAAATACCATCACATTGGGGGTGAGGGCCTCAACAGAGAAATTTGGGGAGGACACAGACATGCCATCTACGATACAGGTGGAAACCCATCTGTTCCTCACCACTGGCGGAGACCACAATCTGCAGCCATGGAGACAGTGGAATGCTTTTCCTACAACGGGATCCGTCTGCCCTAGAAGAGGGGGCAAGGAAGGAAAACAAAGCTGCAAGCACTGAAGAATATTAACAAGAGAATAAGGTTGCCAGATTTAACAAATAAAAATATAAAACGCCGGCCAGGTGAGGTGGCGCACGCCTGTAACCCTAGCACTTTAGGAGATTGAGGTGGGCAGATCACCAGAGGTCAGGAGTTGGAGACCAGCCTGGCCAACATGGCAAAACCCCGTCTCTACCAAAAATACAAAAATTAGTTGGGCGTGGTGGCGGATGCCTGTAGTCCCAGCTACTCGGGAGGCTGAGGCAAGAGAATTGCTTGAACCCGGGAGGCAGAGGTTGCAGTGAGTCGAGATCGTGCCGCTACACTCCATCCTGGGTGACAAGAGAGAGACTCTGTCTGAAATACATATATATGTATATAAAACAGCTAGTTAATTTTGAATCTCAGGTAAACAATGAATAATTTTCTAGCTTAAATATGTTCCATACTTTCTTTGGGATATACTTATGATAAAAAAATTATTCACTGTTTATCTGAAATTCAGATTAACTGGGCACCCTGTATTTTATCTGGCAACCCTGAAAGAGAAGGACCAAAAACTCTTGAGGGAAGCCAATGGATTCCAGGAGGGACTGCTGTTGGACTTCTGGATGGATGCTCCTTTCATATATTTAACTTTTTAAAACTTTCTTCCTTCTTTTCCTTCTTCTTTCTCTCTTTCCTTCTTGTTCTTTCTCTTCTTGTTCTGTCTTTCTCTCCTTTCTCTCTTTCTTTCATTCTTTCTTTTCCAGCTTTTCACTGTGCCCACTGGTCACCCCTTGCTGGGCCTCCAGGGGCCTCAGTAAGGCTGGCCGAGGTACCTGCTGCCCTGCCTGGAACCCACCTCCTTAAGAATCCTGACTGCCCCACAGGAACCATGGTGAGGACTTGCTTGCCAGCAGCCATCAAGGTAGCCCGGCTCTGGGAGAGGCAGGGCGCCCCTGTGAAGTCTGATGTTTGAAAGTGCCGCTCACAGGCCTGGGCCACCTGCCATTACCAGGAAGACCTTTCCCATTCTGCAGGCCCAGGCACATCATGGGTATTTATTCCACCTCCTGCTGGGCCAGCTCTTTGGAGGATCTGCTCCCCTCCTGAGGGCACAGAGCAGGGGACCCTGGAGTCCTCTGCTCCAGGAGGGAGTCCTAGCCATGAGACTTACCCTCTTCTGGGTGGTTCCTAGCCCTACAGCATGTTCCTGGCCAAGACCCCCACCTCCTGCCCTGCCCTTGTTCCTCCCCTGCACCCTGGGGGCCTCCTCATGTTGGGCATTGCCCTGGCAACCCCTGGTCTCCATCTTCCCTCCGTCTACCCCATACCTGCTGTCAGCATCAAGTTCAAACACATCCCAGAGCATACCCTTCTGCTCAAGGACCCACCATGGCTCCCCACTGCTGTGGGGTCAGAATGCCTCTGTTCGGTCCCCAGCCCTCTGTTCGGTTCCAAATGAGTGCCTGTGCTGGGACGGCTCACACCCTCCCTGCACAGGCCATGGAACTTACACCTTCCTTTTGGAGCCCTTGGTGGTTGGGGTGTGGGCACCCCTGAGCAGGTGGTCCTGGGGATGGAATAGTGCTGGCCTGAGGCACCACAGCAGCTAACATAGCCAGGGGCTCAAACCCCTTTCTGTTGTGTTGTGTTGTGTTGAAGGACAGGGGTTGGTGTCAGTCCCGGGAGAGGAAAGGTGGTGAGACCCTCCTGGCTCCAATCCAACCCCTGCCACTGGCCAGCAGCCCCTCCAAAGCAGGGGCCCCCACATCAGTCCAGAGGGCCATCCACGCTGGTCCCTACCTGCTCCAAATATGTAAAATGACCTCACTGAAGAAAGGATGGGAGAGCAGGTGCTGCCCTAAGTGACCGTGTAAATGAGTGGAGTGTGTAAGACCAAGGGCAAAAGGGAACTGAGCATAAGCACTGCACTCTAGCTGATTAAGGTGCTTCCCACAGGAGCATCAATTCACAATCTGATCCCACAATTCATGTGTGCTGGGACTGAATGATTAAGGAGATGGATCATAAGTAGTGGGAGTCAGGCTTCTCACTGTTAGAATTTACAGATAAAACCAGGGGATGAGACTAGAATGATTCATATGTTAGTGAATTAGAATGGAAGATATTGGTATAAACTCATGTTTAGCATAATATAGATACAAATGATTACATCTAGAAATACTTGTAGGTATATGTGTGTGCATTAATTAGTATACATATATCTCTCCTCTGTCATGAGACAACCTAGAAGCAATTATGTTTCAGTAGCTATAAACACAGCTAGTGCCCAGATCTTGGCTTCTAATACTGTTCTCCATAAAACGAAACAGGGCTCCTCAGAGAAATGGCTGATTCTAGGACTGGGGCAAGAAATATACAAGATAAATCTACATAAAGGAAGTACTAAAAAAAAATCTCCAAATCCTACATTAAAGGGACACAGGAGCCAACTGGAAGAGCTCCCAACGGCCAAAGCCAGAACAACTTGAGAAACAAAATAAAGTAGGGTCGAGTCATGACCCATAATGACATAGGTGTCCATGAGTCAGTGCTGACAGAAATCAGTGACTGAATAAACTAAGTGGGAAAGAAGAGACAAATCACCATTGCAAAAGGATTCCAAATAATTTATGCAGATACCCTGCCCTCAAGGAGGGGACCGTGACTCCCCCACTCCTTAGGTGTGGGCTCTGCACCATCACTTCCTTCCCAAGAGTGTGGTATGGAAGGCAGGTGGTAACTGTCGAGGGGGGTGATGACTATCTGGGCTGGTGGCGGTAGCAGGTAGGGGGAGCATAAAAGAATCTCCCAAGACAGTTGTAGATAATGAAGGGCAGACTTATTAGAGAAAATAGGAAAACACGTTGCGAGGAGGAAATGGGCAGACTCAGCAGAAGAGGAGCTGACTGCCAGGATTCAAAGGCTTGCTAGAGGTTTTACAGGGTGGTTCTTGGGCTGCAGAGGGCTGCGTGCAGTACTGATAACACCAGGGTTGCAGGGAGCTACCTTGCATTTTTCTATCAGCCGAGGGTCTGGTGACAGCTGAGCACAGGAAGACTGAGTTATCTGTGCAGGAGGGCTGTGTGTCCTGCACCATGAAGAAGGGTTGACTTGTCTCATCTGCTGCTTCTTTTTACTTCCTCTGCGCCCTGCAGCCTGACTCCTTTTCCCTAGTTAGAACCCCACAGTGATTTCACAGCAGAGATGCCTGACGGCATGACCTCAGCCAGGGGCCAAGGTCAACGTCAGCAAGGACAGCCGTGTCGAGAGCGCACCCCCTGTGTAGGATGTGTATGCCGGTGGTGCGCTGCCTCTCTGCTTTCTTCCCCCAGCGCATAACACCAGTCACTCATGAGAAAAAGAGCACATCCCAAGAGCAGGGCATCCTGCAGAATGTCTGACTCGTACTCCCAAAAACTGTCAAGGCCATCAAAAACAAGGAAAGTTGGAGAAACTGTCACAGTTGAGAGGCGCCTAAGGAGCCAGGCCAACCAAATGCCATGTGGTGTCCTGGACGGGGCCTTTCTGGGACACGGCAAGGACATTAGGGAGAAATTAGGGAAATCTGAATTCAACATGGAGAACATGGACTTCAGTCAATACTCATGTTTCAATACTGTTTCATCAGTGGTGGCAGATGTACAGCACTAATGTAAAATTTTAATAATAAGGGAAGCTGTGTGAGGGCGATACAGGGACACTGTGACGTCTTGTCAATATTCCTATCAATCAAAACTGTTCTAAAAATAAAGTCAGCTTAAAAAACTATAAGCAACATGCATGCAGCCCGTGGGTGGGTGCTTTGAAGAATGGGGAGCAGCCCTTATGAAGTCGTTTTCATGAAAGGTGAAGACTTCATAACAATGAAAGCCATTCACAGGTCTGTGTTTGGAATCCCAGTGTTTGGAACAAACACACCTCTCATTTCCCCTGGAGGTGAAATGTGAGTTGGTCCTACTGCCCACATGCATTAACTCAGGATGCAGAAAGCCATGCCTGTCTGTTATTCTGCTGATTAGGCAGGGGCAGGGCTGGACTGCTCCACATCGGAGCAAGAACTCCGGTGACCACACGGCAGGGATCCCCTCCATTGTTGTGTGGGAAAGAAAGCCCCTGGAGACCGAGGGACGTTCAGCAGTGTCATGGCCCTCAGATCTCAGACAGATGGCATGGGGTGCTAAGCCTCTTCCTCCCCTTTAAAAATAAGAATCATGGTTTTGTTTTGTAAGAAAGGCCTGGCTTCCTATTTAATAACAGTAACACAGGAGACCAAGAGGAAGTCAAAAGCATTCTCCAAGGTCTCCTTCCAGATAGTCAACTTTGTTCAATCTCACAAAGGACAACTCTCCCCATGGGTCTAGTAGAACTGGAAAGAGGAACAGAAGTAGAAATGTTAGTCACAGGCACAGTTTATCAGAAAAAGCATTCCCTGCATTTGGATTTCACAAGAATGAACCAAAGTGAAGCTGAAGGAAACACTTGAGATAAAAGCTTCACCTCTACATGGGACACAGACACTGGAAGACATGCTAAAAGCTACCGTGAAAGAGCATGAGAACAAAGGGACTTGTGCTTTTGTAAACCAGATGTTCCAGGTTTAGAAGTTATATTTTTACTCCCAACCCCTCCACGCTTTCTAGTATTATTATTGTTTGTATGTGATCAAAGTTCGTAACATGTAACGTCTGTTCTTCACCCAGTGGTTTCTACTGTCAGTGTCACTCGGTTTGACATCAAATGATTTCAGAGCTTGTCTGCAGCCTTGGCTGTGGTTCTTGCCCCCTTGAATTTTGTCTTCAGCAGCGTTTGTCACCTGGATTTTGTCACCTGAGGTTGCTGGAGAGGCTCCTGTGCTGGCTCACCATATAATTTATCGTCCAACCTGGAGCACTTGGCTTCTACTTTTTAGACTTTTTATCTGGAAGTGATATCAGACTTACATAAAGTCGCAAAAGCAAAAATAGTGCAAGGAATAGCCATATATCCGCTGCTCAGATTCACCTATTATTCTATCCCATTTGCTGTATCATTTGTGTTGTAAGAACAGAGGTATTCTCCTACATAACCTCAACAGTCATCAACTTCATACATCTCCACTAGTATTAAGAAGTATTTTTACATGATAGACCATCTGTATTCCAATGTTGTCAGTTGTTCTGATAACATCCTTTAATTAATTAATTGAAAAATGAGGTCTTGCTCTGTTTCCCAGGCTGAAGTCTAGTTGTTCAATCATGGTTTGCCGCAGCCTCAACAAACCAGGCTCAAGTGATCCTCCCACCTCAGCCTCCTGAGTAGCTGGGACCACAGGTGTGCGCCACCATATCCAGCCTCTAATGATGTCCTTTGTAGCACCCTTTCCCTCTCAAACTTGAGCACTTTTTAGAGCAAGAGTGCTATGAACAACTATGCTGGTGATGTAGGACAGGCAAGCCCTAAAGTGGGGCTCAGCCCAAGAAGGTTCTTGGCTTTGCCCAGGAAAGATTTCAAGGGCAAGCCAGAGGCAGAAGAAAATGGCTTTATTGAAGCAGCAGTGTCACAGCTCTGGTGGTGTTACAGTTCCATGACTGCGCCTGCTGGGCTGGGCTACCACACAGGCAGAGAAGAGCAGCTCAGGGCTGTTCTGCTCATGTTTATACCCACTTCTTTTTTCTTAAGACAGAGTCTCACTCTGTTGCCCAGGCTGGAATGCGGTGGCGCGATCTCAGCTCACTGCATCCTCCGCCTCCCAGGTTCAGGCAATTCTCCTGCCTCTTACATAACCTCCTGCCTCAGTCTCCCAAGTAGCTGGGATTACAGGCACGTGCCATTGCACCTGGCAAATTTTTGTATTTTTAATAGAGATAGGGTTTTGCTGTGTTAGCCAGGCTGGTCTTGAACCCCTGATCTCAGGTGATCCAGTCGCCTCGGCCTCCCAAAGTGCTGGGATTACAGGTGTGAGCCACCACACCCTGGTTCCCATTTTTAATTGCATTCAGATTAAGGGGTATGCAGGGAAGGGGTAGTAACTTTTGGATCACTGGGTGCCATGGAAAGAGGGGTAACGCCTGGGCATTGCCATGGCAACAGTAAATTGACATGGCACACTGCCAGCCCCTGCCTGCTCCTGCTTTCTTCCTGTGGTGTGCCTGTTCTCCCTTTGCCTTCTACTGTGACTGAAAGCTTCTGAGGCCTCCCCAGGAGCCGAGCAGATGTGGATGCCATGCTTCCTGCAGAACCCTGAGCCAATTATACTATTTTTCTTTATAAATTGCCCAGTCTCAGGTATTTCTTCATAGCAATGGAAGAATGGCTTAATACAGCTGGGGATTTATGTTGGGGTTTGTCGGACAGGTACAGTGGAGGAGCCAGGGTACAAAGGAATTCCTGGTGTTGGTGAGAAAGGTGGCCATGGAATCCGTGTGAGTCTGGGTGGGACGGAGGCCAGGATGCCTCCCGACTCAGGGCAGCCGGCTGAGCGAGCCTGGTTCAGAGCTCATTATGGAGATGAGTGCTGGACTTCAGAGGGCTCTTGGTCTCTTGGCCAGTGGCAGCCTCTCCAGTGACCTTTGTGTCTGTCCCAGCTACATGGCCACAATCCAGATGTTGCTGTTATCCTGGAGGAAGAGCCCCAGGTCCCAGCCTGGCTGGGTGTGCGGGGAAGGCCCGTGCTGGGGGAGCCAGATGATGCGGGTCTGTGTGGGAGGAGACTGGTTGGAAGGCGGCAGCACTGAGGGCCGGGGGTCCCTACACCGCCCACAGCCACAGACCCCAGCCTCTAGTGGAGGCTGCTGCCATCCCCACACTGGGCCTCAGGGCTCTGAGGGGGACTGGTCCTTTTGGCTTCCCGTGCTTGGGATGAAACCATCCTAGCTGACCTGGCAGGCCTCGAATCCAGTGGAAAATGTCCTTGTAAGAGAACATGGTGGAGACACACAGAGGCAGAAGAAGCTCGCATGGAGACAGAAGAACAGTTGGAGGAAGGCAGCCACAAGCCAAGGAACGCTGGAGCCCCCAGAAGCTGGGGGAAGCAGGAGGGGTTCCTGCTTGAGTCCCTGGGGGATCACAGGCCTGTGAGGGGAGACCAGCCCACTGCAGGCCTGTGACTTTACCCCAGAGGCCTTGGCAGGATGTTATCACTGAGCAATACTTGTGGCAGCAAGTCTCCTGTCCTAAGAGAAGGAGGAGCCTAGAGGCCACAGGGAAAATGGCCATGGGAGGTCAGGAAACCAGGCCCCAAGCCTGATCTCCAGGACTGGGATGGCTGCTGGGAAGGTGCCCTGAGGAGACCTGCATCCACAGCCAGGGAGAGGATGAGAAAGTCTGGCCTGTGGCCTGGGGCCCTGTGGAGCTGATGGGGAGAGGCCTGAACTGCCCCAAGGAGATGAAGCAGAAGGCCCCTGTCCACCTCTGAGGCTGAGCAGATGCTCAGTTTTGTGTGGCCCCAGCAGCCTGGCGCGGTGTGGTGCTGACCCAGCTCAGGAAACCTTCCCTGAGACGCTTTCACTTCTGACTCTCCGTGCACAGCCTCCTTAGGTGGCTCCCACTGCCCACACTGACCCGAGGTGGATGGGCAGACCTGGGAGTGACAGACAGCGGCTGTCTGTGGCTACCGCAGTGGCCAGGCTGCAGCCCCCAGGGGCTCTACAGACCCAAGTAAGAGCAAGAGTGAACCAACAAAACCCTCTTAAAATGTAGAAACCAGAAGACAGGGAAAAATCTTGAAAGTAGCTGGAAGAGGCAGACGATCTTCTAAATGGCAGCAAACATCTGCACAATTGCCCCTCAATGTGGTCCACGGAACCCAAAAAACCATGACTCTGTGGACAGATGGCAGTAGCACGCTCACAAAGATGGTGTGAAGTGCAGCATCTTGTATTCACCCTGGAGGCAGGAGCTTGACATACTCCACACCTCTGAGCCCGGAGACTTGTGGAGTACCAACCTCGTGAGCGTGCTACTGCCATCTGTCATTCCTACCCTACTCTCATCTCCCTCCTCCATGGCCCTGCCTCACCCACTCTGTGTTGCCCCGAGTACTAGGGTCTTTGTCTTGCTCACTTTTAGGAGGTCTCTCTCCTCCCACTAGAACATGAGCTCCCCACTGGAGGGACATCTGTCTGCCTCATTCTTTGTCCCATGGGCAGCAAAGGCCCAGCCTTGGGTCATGGACCAGGTGAAGAATGAGCCCAGATAAGGAAGGACCAGCTGTGAGTTCTGGGTCACGTCCCAGCACACTGGCTTTGGGAGGGATAACTTCACCTTTCTTTTCAACAGTGATGAATTTCCCCCCTCCCCACCCTCTATTTTTCAGTTTTTTAACTGACATCTGTAATTTAGGAAGCCATAAAAATGAATATAGATGAAATATTAGAGGGTGGCAGTCTGAGAAAATGTGGACAAAGAGGCTCTCACTGCTTTCAATAGGTCTTAAAACCACTTTCGTCTCCACGCAGTCTCAGCCCAGTGAAACTGATTCATTGACCAAATTGGCCATTTAAAATTCAAAAGCCTAAGCTCTCTCTGTTCAGCTCCCTCCTCTCCAGATTTATGGGGCCACAGAGAGGCACTCGGCGTGTCTCTAGTTTCTTTTTTAAGGATGATCTACAGTGAGGCAACAGGCCCCTTCTTCCTGGAGAGCACACACTTGCCCACAGCCACAGCCTAAAGCGGGCGGCCATGCCAGGCACTGGCTCTTGGGACCACAGAGGGTACCTTTGCAGGTGCTGTCCTGGGAGCCCATCTGTGGGGATGACCTCCCCTCTGAGCTCCTGTCCTGGTCATTTGGAGGAACAAGGACCGGCGGTGCTTCCCAGGAAGGAGAGAGGTGGAGAGCAGCCTGGGATCCAAGTCCATGGCAGCAGCTGCGTGAGCCAGGGCTGCTCTGACTAGCCTCAGGGAGGCTGAGAGTGCCCGACCTCTTCTTCTGAAATCATCTTGCTGTCCTGAGCAGAGTTACAGCACTGGGCAGGCCTGGAGGCTGATCCCAAAGGTGACACAGGGGTAGGCATGAGCCTCCTGTGCAAAAGAGTTTTATGGCAACCAGAGGATGCAAGGGTGGGGCCGCCCAAGAAGGAAGTGGGAGGGAGCCGTTCCTCCCCAGGTGGGCAGGCGATGGTGAATGATCAGTCCCCAGGGGGAGTTTCACTGCAGGGAACTCCTTCCCCGGTCACCTGGGCCCTGGCCTTTTCTGCTAGGTAAGCAAGCTGCCCCAGCAGAAGTCTGCAATCTAGAACCATGAGACTTCTTCAGGCTGCAAGAGGACAACTGGGAGAGGACATGAGAAAAGGGGACTAGAAAGTGAACAGGTACTCCAGAGCTCCTGTTCTAGAACATTAGGGCATCCACCAGCCCAGAGTGAAGCTCCCAGGTGACCTCAGATGGCAATAAAATTGGGGGTCAGAAAGGTCTGGAAATGTAGCTGCAATCAGAGTTCAGTCTGAGACAAGGATTTATGGCTCAGCCTGAGATCAAGATTCAGGCTTAGTTTGAGATCAGGATTCAGGGCTCAGTCTGAAATCAGTATCAGGCTCACTCTGAGATCAGGATTTGGGTTTTGATATGGTTTGGCTCTGGGTCCCCACCCAAATCTCATCTTGAATTGTAATCCCCACGTGTTGAGGGAGGGAGGTGATTGAATCATGGGTCAGTTCCCCCATGCTGTTCTTGTGATACTGAGTGAGTTCTCATGAGATCTGATGCTTTCGTAAGTGTTTGGAAGTTCCTCCTTCACCCTTCTCTCCTGCCACCTTGCAAAGAAGGTACTTGCTTCCCCTTCACCCTCCTCCATGATTGTAAGTTTCCTGAGTTCTCCCCATCCCCAGCCATGTGGAACTGCGAGTCAATTAAACCTCTTTCCTTTATAAATTACCCAGTCTCTGGGAAGTTCTTCATAGCAGTGTGAAAATGAACTAATACAGGCTTAGTCTGAAGTCAGGATTCAGGCTTAGTCTGAGATCAAGATTTGGGCTTAGTTTGAGATCAGTATTCAGGCTCTGTGAGACCAGGGTCAGAGCTCAACCTGAGTCAGAATTTTTAGGGCTTATTCTGAAATAAGGATTCAGGCTCAGTCTGAGATCAGGATTTGGACTCAGTCTGAATGATACCAGGACTTAGATTCAGTCTGGGAACAGGACTCAGGTGCTGTCTGACATCAGGATTCAGGCTCAGGCTGGCTCAACCTGAGACCAGGGCCCACCCTTAGTTAATTAGGAGGTCTCAGTTTCAATCTGTGCACAGGATAGCTTTCCTCAGTGTGAAGTGACCTAGCTGTCATTTAATTCAGGAACCCCTGCCTCTGCCCTCCTAGAATGACTTGTCCTTCCTGAGCTTGCTCCTCCGAGCTCTGTTACTGTTCCCCCTGCCAGGTCATTCTTCCTGGGCTGGGTGGAGGCAACCCATAGGTCATCACTTCCTTTACTCAGCACACCCTGCCCATAGGCTGCCTGAACACTGGTCCCCTGTGAGCCCTGCATCCAGCACAGCTGGCACATAGCCAACTCCCCAGGTGTCCACTGAGCACCCATGGGTCCCTGGGAACCATGGGTCAGGTGAGGGGCTTGCTTGAGACAAGTGAGTCAAGGAGGGAGCGCAGCCACGAAGGGCTCCCTGTGGGAGGGGGAGCAGCAGCATGATCCGCCCGAGAGCCCGGGAGCTGGGACATCCAGCCACATATCCCAGGCTCCCTGTTCCAGGCCAGCTCCCGAGAAGGCTAACTTCATGGCACTTCTGCCCTGTGACAGAGACAGCAGGAGGTCCCAGGGCATTTGGCAAAGAGCTGTGGGCGTTGGCAGCCTGAGGTCGGCCCTGTGTGCTGAGATACAGGGGGGGCTCTACAAGTCCCAAGGCCTTGTCCTCCCGAGCCCCTCACCTCCAGGACGGCAGAAGGTCAGCCCATGCCTGGCCACACCCCCAACCCAGGCCCTGCCGCCAGGAGGCTGGCTGCTCCCTCTCCAGTGCCCACTCTGGATAGAATCAGGAGCCTCCCAGCCCCAGCCCCCTGCAAAGCCCCAAGTCTCCGTTTAATTACTCTATCTTATTTTGTAATTATACAATAAGTGACATACTAAAAAACATCATTAAAATTTAAGCCTTTGTAATAACACCATTTTATTACATTTTGATGACTTTCCAACTGTGATACTCTATTATTCATTCAACGTTATTTTATGAAGGCACAGTGAGATTTTTAATATCTAATTACAGTATGGAGTGATCACGAAACCCGTCTCATGCAGAAGCGTGCTAAGCCCGGGTCCCAGGAGCACCTGGTGCCCAGGGAGGAGGAGCCCGCCTCATCTAGGGTCAGGAGGGACCCACGAGGCTGCGCGGGCAGCAGTTCTGCTGTGCGCTCTCAAAGGAGCGTGGAGACGGATGGGAATTCTGCAGCCACACCCACTGCGGCAGTCAAGAGATGTTTCCGCAAGGTGAGCTGGACATGCCTAAGGTCCTGGGGCTCCCGGGTGGCGGCCCTGGGTGGCCCAGCCTGTCAGGCCACTGCCTCAGAGAGGCCCCAGCTCCATTGGACAGCTCCCTGCAGGGGTGAGTATCCTCCAGCAGTGATTCCAAACCCCCAGGAAGGCTCCTGGGCTGGCCTGGACTTCAGGACATCCCACACGAGGCGCTAGGCAGAGTCTCTCCTCCCAGACTTTAACACCTGGGGGACTCCAGGGACTTCTAGTCTCCTAGAAGCAAAAACTCAGACTAGGGAGGGGTCGCCAACCCCGCCTGAGGCCACCCTTCAAGCCATTGGTGGCCCCAGGAGAACTCAAGTCCCACACCTGGGCCCCCAGCAGACTGACCTGCTGTAGACCTACCTTATGGGTGAGAGGCAGGCAGGTCGGGGAGTCCTGCAGGGAGCCTCGCGGGGCAGGAGGGGAGCAAGAGAGGCGGACTAGAGGGTACACTCCACTGAGCTTCCCACCCTCCGCCTTCTCCAGATGCTGCTCGGACGATTCCCGCGGAGGGTCCCACACCGGGCCCTGCCTGCTCAGCATGCCTCCCTCCAGCCTGTCTTGTCTCAGGGACTGGCCTGAGAATTCCTCGGAGCAGAGGAAGGCCCTGGACCCCGAGGGAGGAGGAATTCTGAAACGCCGTTACTGGAAATGTCCTCTCCCTTGCGTGGCCTGGGAGGTCCTGCTCCTGTGAGCCTTGGCCGCTGGCTGGTAACCCCACTCCCTCTGCTGCAGCACCCCCATACGGGCCTCCTCTGCCTGTTCTTGGACCTCTGGCTGCAGATCTTAGAAGGCTGAAATGGGTAGATGCGAGGCCTGGGAGCACCGTGGCCCCTCCTGGCCCCTGGGCCTCCTGCCTGGCACTTCATGTTTCTCTGAGTCCCTGCTGGGCCTCGGGCCTGCTCTCGGTCCAGGTCACTGAGCACACCCCACCCACTGCCACACCTGTCACGCGCCAGTGCCCTAAATGTGGTGTCTGGACATAGCCTCTCTCAGGGCTGAGTTTCTGCCATCCTGAGAAGTGAGAAGTGGCATCTCACGGTGCCCCCTTGCCTCCCATAGCAGACCCAGGGGACCCCAGCCCCAGGGGCCAGTGAGGTCGCACCGGCAGACTGGAGGCCCCAGCTGGCAGGGCCCAGGCAGCGTGGATGGGGTCCTGGGGCCACTCCACAGGTCCAGGCAGCATCTAGTTGAGAACCCAGAACATCCCAAGGCAGGCAGGCAGGCAGGTCCTTGGCGACCCTCTCCATCCCCCAGCGCCACGGACATGGAGCACTTGCTGCCTTGTGCGAGGACGGTAGTCCACACAGCAGCCCCTGGCCCTCTGAGAAGTGCTGCCCATGGCGGCAGAGAGGTTCCGCCCCAGCCAGGATGAAGGGATGGGCCTTGGCTGTGGCCCTGTCAGCTCCAGGGCAGAGGCTCACCGGGTGAGCCGGGGGAGAGACAACCGTGAAGCTGAGCGCTGGGCTGACAGCGGGGCATCTGGGGAGTCCGTGTCATCTCAAGAGGAATGGGGTGTGGCCGCTTTTATTTCCGTAGCTGTGCCTGGGGCCTCTCTGGAGGAATCTTCTCTGCAGGAATGAAGTTCCACCCACGTGGGGCTCCCACCTTCCAATCCCATGATTGAGTAGCTTTGCTCAAGCTCTGGCAAAATTTGATCATCCTAGAAATGAGATCGCTCACTTGTCCCACTCGGAGGAAGCTCAATTAACGGCGTCAGGCGCGGTCAGCCCTTCACCAGTGCAGGAAGGCGGCAGCCCTGAGCCACACAGCAGTGCCAGGCCTGCAGTCCTGACAAGGGGGTGTCAGACCCCAGCCCCGAGGGACCACAGACAGCCCTCTGACAGATGATTCAGTGTGGGACCACCGCAAAACCACGCAGGCTGGGCAGGCTGGGTACCTCCAACCTTTTCCCATTTGCCTAAAAGTAAGTGAACATAAAATTGAAAACTCTGAAAGAGGGTGTCTATGGTGATTCTGGCTCCATGCCATAGGGGTTTCTTTCTGTCTGGAGGGGCCCCTTTCTGTCTGGAGGGGCCCCAGTGCCTGAAAAGGCTGCTGCCTCCATGACATGGGGCTTTTTAACCAAGAGCAGAGAGGAGGTTCATAGGCAGGGGCCATGGCTGTCCTGGGGCTCATGCAGACAGGCGGGACCTGCCTTGTTCCAGGGTCCCCATGCCTGTCCCTACCTGCATCTTCCAGCACAAGCTGCCTGCCCGGGAGCCCCTGATGGGAGCCGGGGGCCTCGGAGTCTCTCCCATGTAACACCAGTCCTATGCTAGTGAGACCCCATGCTTCTGGGCCGTTGGTGTGGGGACTCAGCCCCTCTGCACTCCTGAGAGAGCAGCTGGGCTGCATCCATCCTCCTGCTGCCAGTGGCATCTCCTCTGCACCCTCCTCTCCCCTGCAGTGCCACCTCCCTTCCCTTCTCAGGAGAAGGCTGAAGGAGCCATGGCAGCTGGATATGCAGCCACCCACTACTGTCCCCAGACCTGCTCCTGGTGAGGCGCTGCCTGTGAGCAGGGAGTCAGGGCGGGCTCTGGCAGGGAAGGTTCCCTGGGGAAGGGCTGGAGAGGGGCCAGCTGGGGCCTGTTGCGGAGACAGTTCCCATGAGAAGTCTTAGCCGGCTTTTCAAGGCATCGGGCACAGCAGTAAGACGACTTTTATTTAAAATGCCCGAGCCTCAGTTTCCTCTTCTGTAAGATGTTGATTCTGCCTCATACCTCCCAGGCTTTTTGCCCGTGCAGAATTCAATGGTTTTTAGTATATCTACAAAGCTGCACAATCAAACCATTACCATCATCTGATGTTAGAACCTTTCCACCACCCCCAAAAGAAACCTCCATATCCATCGTGGCCACTTCCCATCTGCCCCAACCCCAGCCCCTGGCAACCACAAAGCTACTTTCTGTCTTCAACAGCTTTGCCTGTTCTAGGCACTTCGTATAGAAGGGGCCATTTGCTGTGTGGCCTTTGTGACTGGCTGCCTCGCCCAGCATGGTGTGCTCAGCCCCTGTTAGCATGTGGTTGGTGCCTCACTCCGCTGGTTACCAAGTCACATCGAAGGCCTCCCAGGCTCCTGCTGGGTTCCACCCAGTGGCTGCATCCTTCTACATTCCCGTCAGCAGCAGGCGAGGCTCCAATTCCTCCATGTCCTCGCCAACACTCGCTATTTTCAACAGAGAGCAGCTGGTGCTGTGACCATCTCCTGCCTCCAGGGTCCCCATGCCTGTTTCCACCTGCATTTCCAGCACAACCTGCCTGCCCAGCAGCCCCTAATGGGAGCCCAGGGCCTTGGAGTCCCTCCTGTGACCCTTCCTTCCCTCCCTCCCTCCTTCATTCCTTCTTCCCTCCCTCCTTCCTTCCTTCCTTCCCTCCTTCCTTCCTTCTCTCTTTTCTTCCTTCCCTCCTTCCTTCCTTCCTTCTCTCCTTCCTTCTTTCCTTCCTTCCTTCCCTCCTTCCTTCCTTCTTTCCTTCCTTCCTTCCTTCCCTCCCTCCCTCCTTCCTTTTAACCCTCCTTGCCTCCCTCCTACCTTCCTTCTCTCCCTCCCTCCTTCCTTCCCACCCTCCCTCCCTTCCTCTCTCCCTTCTTTCTCTCCCTCTTGCCCTCTTTCCCTTCCCACCCTCCTTTTTTCCCTCCTTCCTTCCTTCCTTCCCTCCCTCCTTCCTTCCCTTCTTCCTTCCCTCTTTCTTTCCTTTCTTCTCTCCCTCCCTCTCTCCTTCATTCCCTCCTTCCCCTCCTTCCCCTTCTACTCCTCCTCACCATCCTGGGGAGTGAGAAGTGGCATCTCGCTGTGGTTTTGGTGGATTCTCTAATGACTAATGGCGTTGAGTCTTTTCATGTGCTTGCTGGCCATTTGCAGGTCTTCTTCAGAGAAATGTCTTTTAAACTCCTGTGCCCAGCTCCTGGTTGGGTTGTTTGTCTTTTTGATGCTGGTGTGTAGCTCCTAGGAGTTTTGTGAGACTTCAATGTGGGACCAAGGGGACCATCTTGAGCTAGCGGGAAGCCACGGAGCCAGGAGCCCTGTTCTCCTTCGGATCCCCCAACCCCAGTTCCTCTCTCCTCCCCTCTTCTGTCCCTGGCTCCCTCTCTCTCCAGGCTTTCTGAGTTTTGTCCACACTTTGCAGAAAAGGCAGGGTTGGACCCAACTCCAGGGTGGCCACTGACCAGGTGTGCGACTCTTATCACTGGGAGAGGGGTTGACATCTCTGACAGCGTCATTTGAGAGTCACCGCAGACCCCAGGCTCTCCTAAGGGGCAGAGAACACAAATCAACCTAGAGATAGTTACCTGCAGGGCCACCGAGGGAGAAGTCGAAGGGCTGATGAATGCTGAAACGGCTTCCAGACACGCCTGACATCAGGGAGGAAGGCTGGGCCTCAGCTCGCCCCCAGCCACCCTTGGCACTGCCCCCAGGAACACTGACTGGGTTCTGTGTCTGGGGGCCCAGGCGTGTTTGAGCAAACAGCTTTCCTATTCCCAGGTCCCTGGAGAGGTGGGTGGAGAGGGCGTATCCCCGATCCCCGGGTTGGGGAGGCCTGGGGAAGGCCCCATGGAGGGTGGGGGCTGCTCTTGGCATCCTCTCTGCCCCTGCTGCTCCCACAGCCTCTTCTGACGTCATCCACGGCTGGGAAGCCCCTTCCTGTGCCCTTACCAGGAAACCGTGGAGGGCCACTCTGGGGCCCTCTTGCAGCCAGGGCCAGGGAGACCCGCCCAGGGTCACACAATCACCAGAGGCAGACTTCCAGCCCTGTGGATCCCGCAGCCAGGGGTGGCCACCCAGCCCTGACTGTTGCTTGGACTGACACCCACAGCCTTTTCCCTGCGCAGGTGCCGCAGGCCTCCCACACCTGTCTTCACAACAACCCTGTTAGGTAGTGATTCCCACCACCACTTTACACCTTAGAAAACCAGGGAACAGAGAGGTCACGTACCTGCCCAAGGTCACACAGCATGTGCCTCCAGAGCCCAGAGCTTGAGCCCTCGCTATGAGCCCTCTCTTAGCCCCTCCAGGCTGCTGTGACTATGTGTCACACACTTGGGGGTTGTGAGCGACAGATATTTATTCTTCACAGCCCTGGAGGCTGCAAGCCCAAGATCGTGGCATGGCGCATCTGGTGTCTGGGAGAGTCGCCTCCTGGCTTCTCCATGGCGTCTCCTCACTGTATCGTCACATGGGGAGCAGCAAGTGTCTCACTAGGCCCCTTCACAAGGGCACGAGTCTTGTTCCTGCAGCTCCCCCCTCATTACCTCATCACCTCCCAAAGCCCCCACCTCCTAAGACCATTACAATGGGGGTGAAGATTTCAACACAGAAATTCTGGGGGACTCAAATATTTGGTTCATAATGAACCCTGTGCCCGGCCCGAACACTGACCTCCAACCCAGGGAGGAAGGCTTTGCCAGTGGGAGGGAGGAAGTGAGACCAAGAACCACAAGGAGGCCTCCTCCCCTCACCCAGACAAAGCGAGAGGCCCGTCTCCGAGCGCCCACACTTCCCTCTGCCACGGAGCCGCGAGATGAAGCTGTCCTGTTTCGGATTCCTTCACACGCCCCTCACCTCACTCCTTTCATGCAGGAGGAGGCTGATTCGGGCTCGGATCCAGTTCTCATTGCCCGGGGACCCCCAGGCCTAGGATGTCACCTTTGGCGTAGGATGTCATGTGTGCTGTGGTGGGCAGATTGAGATGCTATTGGAGCCGGCCACTCCAATGTGACAGATGAGGACAAACAGCCTGGATGACCTCTAGCTGCAAGGACTTCCGTGAACAGTGGACATTCCCGGGAAAACAGGGCTGTGAAAAGGGGCTGGTGGGGGCAAGGGATGCCAAGCCTGCAGGGCACCACATGAGCAGTGAACAAGGTGCTGGTCAGAGACCCTGTCCATGGCAGAACCTCACCTGGGGCTCTAGCGTCACGTGCTGGGTAGAGGCCCTGGGCCCATCTGCGGACAAAGCCCGGGTTCCCCACTGCTGGGACAGGGACTTGGAGGGGAGGTGGGCTACGGGGCCTTCCTGGGAGGGGCAGGGGTCTGGAGGGCATCCCGAGCACAGCATTGCATGTTGGGGGTGTTCTTCCAGCAACCTACCTGTCCCCTCAGCTGGGACACCCATTGCCAGGACTGAGGGGAGGGTTGGGTGAGCAGTGCTTGAATGCCCTTTCCTTCCTTGGGGCCGTCCTTATCCCTTTTCCTCTTCCCTTCACCCTCACCTCTCCTCCTCCCAGGATTCTAAGGGGACCCCTGAGGCCCCCTCTGGCATGCCCTGTGCAGTCCTCTCCCCTGGAGGGGACAGGGTACGGAGCAGTTGACTTTGAGTTACTCCAAAGGGAGATTTTTCTGGGTGGGCCTCCCTTGAGCGGGCAGAGCGCTTCCAGCAGGGACCCTGCTGGCCCTAGAGGAGGAGACTGCCCTGGTGGCTAAGCTTCGCAGAGCCGCCACCATCAGGGACACTCAGGAGGAGCTGTGTGCTGAGCCAGTGTTAAGAAGGCCTCTGCCGTCCCCGGAGAGCCAAACTGTGCCTCTCTGCTTGTTAACAACATGGCCATAGACAGAGGGACAGGAGCAGGGAGCAGAGGCCTCTCTCCTGGGTGCCCAGCCCTTCCCTGCCTGCAAAGTCAGGTCCCCGAAGGGTCCCCTTCGCTGGGGCCCTCCAGCGGTCTCCTTCACAGGTCCAGGCCCAGGCTCTCCTTCCCCGCCAGGCCTGGGTCAGAGGGTGCCTGCTGCCTCAGCCCGAGGGCCCGGACACTCATGAGGGGGCCATCTCCGGGCAGGTCACTCCCACTGTGGTCTTCCTCTTCCTTCCATCAGTGGCTTTCCTCCCTCTGCCCTTCCCCTCCCGCATGGTCCCCTTGACTGGCGTCCCCACGGAGGCCACAGCCACTGTCTGCCGGCACGTGGTCTCCCTGCCAGGCAACTGCTCATGTTCCTGCCTTCATCACCATCACTGGGCCTCGTGGGGCCTGCGGGGACCAGACGCCGTGGTCTTCCCCTCTGTGCTCAACGGCCTCACCTTTTGGGAAACCCCGCCAGCCACCTTAGCACCATGGTCTCATATTCCATGGCTGAGCTGGCCCTCCTGATTCATGGAGGAACTGCATCTCTGGGGATCCCCTTGTTTTCAGTTTTAGGGTTATTCTTCCTGATTCTACAAACAACGCTGTGGGTAGAAACATCCTTGTTCTTACATCTTAGCAGACCAGTGCTTTCATTTCTACAGAAACAAGCACAAGGACTCTGCAAGGGGTCGAGCTGGGTCCCCTCCAGTTTCCTACAGTAAAGCCCCCACCCTGGTATGCAGAGTGTGCTTGAGTTTGGAGATGGGGTCTCTAAAGAAGTAATAAATTAAAATGAGCTCATTAGGGTGGGCCCTGATGACTAGTGTCCCTAAAAGAACAGGTGATTAGCACACAAGTGTGTGCACACACGCGCGTGCACACATACACACACACACACACACACACACACAGATGAACAACCATGTGAGGACCCAGGGAAAAGACCACGTCACATGCCCAGGAGGGAGGCCTCAGGAGAAAGCAGCCCTGCGGACGCCTTGACCTCAGACCTTCAGCTGCCAGGAGCATGAGAGAATCTCTTCCTGCCGTGTAAGGCGCCATCTGCGCTGCTGTGCTGTGGCTGCCCAAGCAGATACTACAAAATGGGATTTGGAGGTTAAAAAGCATAGATGGTGTTTCTTTGAACTGACATTCCTAGATAACCTTCCAAAAATGCCGCAGAATGTCTGTTTCCCAGCAGTAGTGATGCACGCTCTCTCTTCTTCAAATTCTCTCCCCAAATCCGTCGCGCTGCCCTTTTCTTTTAATTTGCCAGTCAGGTGGGTTTTAAGTGACAGCCCCTTGTGACTTTAACTTGTATTTCACCAATTATTGGTAATTTTGAACATTTCTTATATGATGTTAGCCGTTTGGATTTACTCTTGTGTATGTGTATTTTTTTGACCCTTTCTCGATTGGATTTTTTTCTCCTATCAATTCATAAGCACTTTTCATATCTTACAGATAACAGCTTTTTGAACGTTGTTTTAATCATAAATCACTTCTTGTGTTTCTTTTGTTTGTTTTGTTTTGGCTTTTTCCCAAAAAACTTTGAGACAGAGTTTTTCACTCTTGTTGCCCAGGCTGGAGTGCAATGGCGCGATCTTGGATCACCAAAACCTCTGCCTCCTGGGTTCAAGCAATTCTCCTGCCTCAGCCTTCCAAGTAGCTGGAATTACAGGCATGCACCACCACGCTTAGCTCATTTTGTATTTTTAGTAGAGACCGGGTTTCACCATGCTGGCCAGGCTGGTTTCAAACTCCTGATCTCAGGTAATCCTCTCACCTTGGCCTCCCAAAGTGCTGGGATTACAGGCGTGAGCCACCACACCTGGCCCAGTTTTTGTTTTTCTAAACTTATATTTTGTCTGTTGTAGGTATCTCTGCATAGATGAGTTTTAAATTGTTTTATAGTCCAGCATATTTATACTTTCTTCTAAGAATTTCTGAGTTTTCAGTCTTGCTTAATGAGGAATCCTTACCCTAGATGGCATGGTCTTCTAGATTTTCTTGCAGTATTTTTATTTTGTTTTACTTTCTTTTACATTTAAGTCTTTCATCCACTTAGAATTTATTTCTGATTAAGATGAAGGAGTGGATCCACTTTTATTTTCTTCTAGCTTGCCGCTGGGTGTGCTAGTCCCATTAATTAAATGGTGCTTCCTTTTACCCTGAAACAAATGAAGCTTGGTCTACCTTCTTGCTTATCCTGAGGCCATTTTCTGGTTTTCTGTCCCATCCCGTGGTGTGTTGTCAATGTGTGTACAGTGGCAGGGTTGTCTCATCTTGCATGAGTATTTATCCTCCCATAAAAATGTCAACGTTAATTCTACCCACCAAGACCACACCAAAACCCCTAAAACTCTGTTGGGAATCTAATGAAATGGCATTCAACTTAAAGATAAATTTCAGGAAAATTGACATTTTTAAATTGAAAGTTCTTATCCAGAAAAATGTGTCTGTTTTGTGTCTTTAAATAAGATTTTATCATTTTTTTCCATAGGGATTGTATCAATCAGGCTTTGACCTGGAAACCAGAAATCTCTCCAAATCTTTCAAGCACAGGGAATTTAATGCAAGGAACTGGTTGTAGGGGTTAATCTGTATGGTGGTGAGGATACTTCTACCCCAGGGCTGGGCCTGGAGGGTCAGTGTGGAGCATGCTCTAATCATATTAAGACTTCAGCCCCATCTGGGACCATGGAGAAAGGGGCTTTCAGGTGGGAGCCCACAACCACCGAGGAGACCCAGCTGCAGCTGGAGGTGCCACTGGAACAGAGAGAGGGAGAGGAGGGCCTCATGTATCCTTTCATCCCACTCTTCAATCTTGGGTCAGCACCACCCATTGACCAAATCTGCTGGAAGACAGAGGGGAAGGGAGACTAGAGTATGGAGCAGGGCGGGACAGAAAATGGCTCTGAGTGGCTGTGAGCAGATGCCAGGCACACAGTTCCTGGGTCCTGTTCCTCTGATCCCTAAGTAGCTCACGGTTTTGTCACTGTTGTGAACAGACTGATTCTTCCCCTTTCCGTTTCTAGATGCCTATCATTTGAAAAGAGATAATGCATTGGTTTCTGCATAATTATATGACATTGTCTCATCCTATCACATTTTCTTTTTAATTCTAATTTTTCATACAATATCTGGGTTGTAAAAACTAATAGCTATATCTTTTCCAATGCTTAAACTATATGTTTTATTTTCTTGGCCATTTGCATCTGCTTGAACCCTCAGTGCAATATCAAATAAGAATAGTGGGCCTCGCAGGCTAAGTTCTGGTTTTAATTGTATTAGTTTGGTGTTTCATGATTTGGATATCATCTGTGTCAGATGGCCAAGTCATCCCTAAAGGGAGCATGGCTGCAGCTGTGAGGTCAGCAGGCTTCATTCCCATAGACCTGGCTGCCAAGAAGACAGTGCGCCCAAGAGGAATCAAGACAGTTTATGACTCACACAGACAGCAAAGCCATGAGCAGTGCGGTGTCAGGTCCCTGGGCCCCTACTCCACAGGTCGACTGAAACAGAAAGGTCAGGTGATGGCCGGCTTGAGTGGTGGGTCACTCTGCCATTGAGGAGTCCTCTCTGAACTACAGCCAAGCATTTGCACAGACTACACGGAAGCCGGCAGCTCCACAGGACAGGGGAGTGGTGAGGAAGAGCTTTGTGCTCAATGGAAACTGGGGAGATGGATGAGCAACCCTTGGAGGCATTCTCATGCGGATTGGGGGCTGCCCTCACTGACTCCTCCCCAGGCTAATCTCCCCTTGCTTCAGGAGGAATCATGCCCAGGACTCAGCTTAGACTGTGGCCAAGCCTCCTCTAGGAGGCCTGTAAGGAGAGGTGCAACGTGGTAGAGGCACCATGGGAGAGCCATTCCCCTGCAAATTGCTGCCGGGTTTTGAGATCTCTTTTGTGGTAGTTTCTTTTTAGTATTACTTTTCTCAAGACTTTTTTTGCAGGACCGATTGCTGAGTTTTCCCAAATGCTTTTTCTGTGTCTATTGATGGGATCATATGGTCGATGGATATACTAAATTTTGTAGCTAGTTTCTTGGTATTGAACTACCTTGCATTCCTGAAAAACAATTCATAATACTTGGTCATAGCGGATTTTTAGAAATATATTTCTGGATTCTATTTGCTAATATTTTATTCAGATTCTTTTTGCATGTATATTGTGAGTCAGTTTATGGTTATCTTTTTCTGTTCTTTTTTAATTATACAATTAAAGTTTCACTTATACAATTAAAATTTCCCATCTTTTCCCATGTCCCAGAATATTCAAAAGAACACTGAAATTATTTGTACTATTATATAGAGAAAGCCAGCCTTGACCTGTTTAAACCTGGTGATGTTTTTTTTTAAAAAGAAACAGTATCATGGAGATACAATTTGCATACCATGTGGGTCACCTAAAGAGTACAAATTGATGTGTTTCAGTATATTCACAGGGTTGTGCAACCATCATCATAATCTAACTTTAGAACATTTTTGTTTCTCATAAAAGAAAACCTTTATCCATTAACAGTCACTCATATTCCTCTCTGCCCACTTCCCAGCTCTAAGCAAATTCTAATCCATTTTCTCTCTCTATGGATTGGCCTGTTTTAAACACTTCATTACAAATGCAATCCTATAATATGTGTCTCTTTGTTACCAACTTCTTGCACTTAGCGTGTTTTCAAGGTTCATCCCTGTCAACATTTTGTGGAATGTATCAGTATTTTATTTCCTTTTCATTGCCAAATAATATTTCTTTGTACTGATATAATGCATTTTATTTATTTATCAGTTGATGAATATTTGAGTTATTTCAATTTTTGTCTATTATGAATAGTGCTGCTATGAAAATTTGCATGTAAAATTGTGGACATGTGTTTTCATTTATTTTGGGTATATACACTTAAGAGTGGAATTACCAGGTCATATTGTAAATCTATGTTTAACATTATAAGAAATTGCCAACCTGTTTCCAAAGCAGCTGCAGCATGTTGCAACCCCATCAGCAAAACAGGCTTCCAGTTCCTTCACATCCTCATCTGCAGCTGTCATTATCTGTCTTCTTGATCCTAGGCGTCCTCAGGATGTGGAGTAGAATCTGGTTGTGGTTTTGCTTTGTACTTTCCTGATAAGGAAAGATATTGCGCAGCTTTTCATGTGCTTATTGGCCTTTTGTATATTTACTTTGAAGAAATGTCTATTTAAGTCCTTTGTCCCCCTTTAAATAGTATTTTTTGTCTTTTTGTTATTGAGCTATAAGAATTTGTAAATATATAGTGGATATAAGACTTCTACCAGATATATGATTTGAAAATATTTTCTCCAATTCTATGGTGGTGGACTTTTGCTTTCTTGGTGGTATTATTTGCAGCATAAAAGTTTAAATTTTGATTGGCCCAGTTTATCTGTTTTTGGATGATGTTTTTGTGCTCTTGGTGTCCTATTTAAGAAACCATTGCCTAACCCAAGGTCATGAAGATTGACTTTTATGTTTTCTTCTAAGAGTTTTGTAGTTTTAACTCTTTAATCTCATAGACGGTGAGGTCTATAATCCATTTTGAGTTTTAATTTTTGTGTATGGTATCAGTTAGAAGTTATTCATTATTTTGCATATGGAAATACAGCTGTTCAAAGCCATTTATTGAAAAGACACTTCTTTCCCCCACTTAACTGTCTCAGCAGCTTGTTGAAAACCAATTGACGATGAATGAATAGGTTAATTTCTGGACTCTGAATTCTATTCTATTGATTTGTATGTCTGTCTTCATGACAGTATCACATTGTCTCAATTACTGTCACTTTGTAGTAAGTTTTGAAATCAGGAAGTGTGAGTCTTTCAACTTTATCCTTTCTTTTCAATTTGTTTTCCTTGCTATTCCGAGTCTCTTGTGTTTTCATATGAATTTTAGAGTCAGTTTGTCAATTTCTATAAAACAGTCAGTTGGGATTTTGATAGGGATTGAGATGACTCTGCAGGTTGATTTGGGCAGTACTGTCATTTTAACAATATTAAATCTTCTGACCCATGAAGATAGTATGTCTCCATTAATTTTGATTGTTTTCAGTTTCTTTCAACAATGTTTATAGTTTTCAGTGTACAAGGTTTACACTTATTTTGTTTATACTTAAGTATTTTATATTTTGAATGCAATTATAAACGTATTTTTCTCCTAATTTTATTTTCAGAGTTTTCATTTCTAGTGTACAGAAATACACTGATTTTTGTCTTAATATATTAATCTTATATCCTTCAAATTGGTTTAAGCAATTTATTACCTCTAATAATTTTTATTTTGTGGATTCTTTGAGGTGTTTTTACATACAAAATAATATTATTTGCAAACAGAGATAGTTTTACATCATCTTTTCTAATCTGAATGCTTTTATTTCATTTCCTTTCCTAATTGTCCTGGCTAGAAACTCCAATACAATGTCGAATAGAAATGGCAACAGGAGACATCCTTGTCTTATTCCTGATTATAGAGGGCAATGTTTTCAATCTTCCACCATTGAGTTTGAAGTTTGCTGTACGTTTTTTGTACATTTTTTTTTCCCCCGAGATGGAGTCTCACTCTGTTGCCCAGGCTGCAGTGCAGTGGCATGATCTCGGCTTACTGCAACCTCCACGTCCCAGCTTCAAGCAGTTCTCCTGCCTCAGCCTCTTGAGTAGCTGGGATTACAGGCGGGTGCTTCCATGCCTGGTTAATTTTTGTATTTTTCACAGAGACAGGGTTTCACCATGATGATCAGGCTGGTCTTGAACTCCTGACCTCGTGATCTGCCTGCCTCAGCCTCCCAAAGTGCTGGGATTACAGGTGTGAGCCACCACATCTGGCCATGTACATGCTTTTTATCAGATTGGGGAAGTTCCCTTTTATTTCTAGTTTGTTGAATTTTTTTATCACAAAAATGTTGCTTGTTAAATACTTTTTCTGCATTGAGATGATAATATGACTTTTGTCCCTTATTCTATTAATATGGTGTGTTACATTAATTGATTTTTAATGATAAGTTAACCTTGTGCTCCTGGGATAAATCCTACTTGGTCATGGTACATAATCCTTTTTATATGTTGCTGGATTTAGTTTACTAGTATTTTTTTAAAGAATTTTCCCATCTCTATTCAGAAGATAATTCACCAGAGCTATTTTTTTTCCTTATGATATCTTTGTCAGGTTTTTATATCAGGTTAATACTGAATTTATAGATTGATATTAATTCTATGACCATTTCGTAGAATTTGGCGGTTAATCTAGGACCTGGGCTCTTCTTAATGGGAAGTTTTCTTTTGTTTCAATTTGGTTTTTAATTCTAATTAAATCTCTTTACTTGTTATAAGTCTATTAAGGTTTTCTATTTTTATCTTGAACCAGTTGTGGTAGTTTTCTTTTTCCAGGAATTTGTCTATTTCATATAAATTATATAATTTGGTGGCAGACAGTTGTTTATAGCATTCTCTTATTCTCCTTTTTATTTCTGTAAGGTCAGTAATCTTATAGCTTTTAGTGGTTTGAGTCTTCTCTCTTTTTCATGGACAGTATAGCTAAAGATTTGTCACTTTTATTCATCTTTTCAAAGAACCAAACCTGTGTTCAAAAGAACAAAACCGTAGATTTTGTTGACTTTATTCTTTTATATTCTTTATTTCCTTTATTTCTACTCTAATCTTTTTTATTTCCTTCCTTTTGTTTGCTTTGGTTTTAGTTTACTCTTGAGGAATATAAGGGTAAAGCTATATTTACCCTTATATTTCTCCATTCTCTCCCCATTTTGTGATGTCATTTTGAGGCCCAACAATACACCTGTATATTACATATATTGTTTTATGTAATTACTTTTTAAGTAAGGCAAGAAAACAAAGGGAAAGTGTGCAATTATGCAGTCTTTTGTAATTACCTATATAAGTACTTTTACTGACACTTTTGTTTATTTGTGTGGATTTGAATTACTGTCTTGTGTTGCTTGCTTTCAGTCTGAAGAACTTCCTTTAGTACTTCTTGTAAGTCAGATTTGCTGGCAATAAATTATCTCAGTTTTTATCTTGGAATGTCTTTATTTCACCTTTATATTTCAAGATGGTTTTGCTGGAAATAAGATTTTTGGTTGACAGTGTTTTGTCTTTCAACACTACTTCATTCCATTGCCATCTGGCTTCTATTATTTCTGATGAAGTTAGTTGTTAATCTTATTGGTGTCCCTTTGCATGAATTGTTTTTTTGTTTTTTTCTCTTGCCCAAATTCCTATCTAAGGGGACTGGGGAGTCATGCTCTACAAACCATAAAAATCTCATCAGACAGGTTTTTATTAAATGTGGCTTGCTTTCCACTTGACTTTGGTATAATATCACATGACAAGTAGCAGACTCTAAAGGAAATATTAATAAAAGTATTTTACCACAAAATATATTTTTTAAACATACCTTGAAATGGCTGCCATAGTGCCAACAGATTAAAATGACCCTGCAAAGCCACCTTTTATGGGGAAAATTTGCAGCTATAGAAAGTCTCCATGAATGTAACCAGGTATTTTCCCTTCCAGGCTTTCTCAGCTCTAGGAGAGATTAACTGAGAGCCTGACACCTTTAAAGTCTGAAAAGAGTCATTCACCAACTATTATAGCTCTGAGAGCTGCCACCCATGAGGCTTCATCTACACAATAACCTCAGCCTCCAAAACTTCCTAATCTTAACTCAGGCCTTCCTTTCTACTGATTTCAAGTCCTTAGACAATAGCTTAACTGTCTCAACCAACTGGCAACTGAAGAATCCCCTAAACCCACCTATGACTTGTAAGCCCCCGCTTTGAGAAGTCCCACCTGTTCTGGCCAAACCAATGTGCACCCTTCTCATATCAATTTATTATTTTACCTGCAATTCCTGTCTCCCTGAAATCTGTAAAACTGCCAAGGCCAGCTCAGTCATGGAGAACCTAACCCAGCAGTACTAGAAGAATTAAAGACACACACACAGAAATATAAAGTGTGAAGTGGGAAATCAGGGGGCTGACAGCCTTCTGAGCTGAGAGCCATGAACAGAGTTTTACCCACATATTTATTGACAGCAAGCCAGTGATAAGCATTGTTTCTATAGATTATAGATTAACTAAAACAGGAAACAAAGGGATGGGCTCTGGCTAGTTATCTGCAGCAGGAACATGCCCTTAAGGCACAGATCACTAATGCCTTAAGTGGTTTTCCCCCCTGGGTGGGACAGGTGTTCCTTGCCCTCATTCCGGTAAACCCACAACCTTCAGTGTGGGTGTTGTTCCCAACACAAAACCAAATTATAACCCCACCACCTCAGGTACACTTTCTCAGGACCTCTTGAGATTGTGTAACCTGGGCCATAGTCACACATATTAGCCCAGAATAAACCTCTTTAAATATATTTTGGCAAAATTTGGATTTTTCTGTCATCAACTGCTTTCAAAATTTTCTGTTTGTGTTTGTCTTTAATGTTTTGATTATGATGTGTTTGGGTGTTTCTCTTTGTTTTTATCCCACTTGCAGTATTGAGCTTCCTGGATGTGAGGCTAGTATTTTTCATCAGATTTGGAAAGTTTTTAGCCATTATTTCTTCAAGTACTTTTCCTGTCTCCTTCTATTTCTCCTCCCTTCTGGCACTCCCAATACATGTAGGTTGGGGTGCTTAGTGGTGTTCCACATTTCACTGAAGCTCTGTTAGTTTTTTTTCTATCTATCTGTTCTTCAAATTGAATACTCTGTATTTATTTATCATTAAATTAGTTCATTACCTCTTCTGCCAATTCAAATCTACCGTCAAACCTCTCTAGTAAATTTTCTACTTTAATCACTATACTTTTAATCTCCAGAATTTCCATTGACACTCCAGTCACAATAAGCACACCCAGTGCCCACATCTTGGTTTCTAATGCCTTTCTCCAATAAAAGGAATCAGAAATCCTTAGATAAATGGCTGATTCTAGGGCTGGGGTAAGGATTATACAAAAGAAGGCTAGAGCATCGTGTAGTGCCAGGAAGTAAAGAAGCGTTTAAAAACCCCACAAGAATGAGATTATGCCGGAGGGACACAGGAACCACTGAAAGAGTTCCCAGTAGCCAAAGCTGGAATAATCTGAGCAACAAAATAAAGCACATGCAATGCAAAATAGGAGATCGAGACCATCCTGGCCAACATGGTGAAACCTCATCTTTACCAAAATACAAAAACAAATTAGCCAGGCGTGGTGGTGCATGCCACCAGCTACTACTAATACACCAGATGGGAGTAGTCCCAGCTACTTGGAAAGCTGAGGCAGGGGAATCACTTGAACCTGGGAGGCGGAGGTTGCAGTGAGCTGAGATTGCACCACTGCACTCCAGTCTGGCGACAGAGTGAGACTCTGTCTCACAATAAATAAATAAAAATAAATGTTCACGAATCCTTACTGATATATATAATATGTGCATATATGTATATATATGTTATATATAAAGTAGTATATATACATATGCATATGTATGTCTAATGTAGATTGCCTAATGATACTTTTGTCACTAGGCAATCTACATTATCACTAGGCAATCTACATATTTAGGAGTAAGCCTTGTAAGTCTTCCGAGTTGCTGCCACTCTCAACCTCTTTCTACTGCCACCTGTCTGGAGCAGGGAGGACTCAGCCCACCCAGTAGCCAGCATCCATTTCAGAAGAGGTAGGTAGGTTGATTTGAGAAGGGAGGGATAAAGCCATGCTTCCAGCATCCCTCTTCCACGATTTAAAGTGGAAAGTCACATCAGACCTCTCTTCAAATGCCCCAAGTCTCTGCCCTTGACTTGAAAGAAAGAGACCAGATGCCCCTAGGAGGACCAGGTGGCCAAAGCCACCTACCTCTGGAGCTTTTCTTTTCTTTTTTCTTTTCTTTTTTTTTTTTTTTTTTGAGACAGAGTCTCGCTCTGTCGCCCAGGCTGGAGTGCAGTGGTGCAATCTTGGCTCACTGCAAGCTCTGTCTCCCGGGTTCACGCCATTCTCCTGCCTCAGCCTCCCAAGTAGCTGGGACTACAGGCGCCCACCACCACGCCTGGCTAATTTATTTTTTATTTTTTATTTTTAGTAGAGACAGGGTTTCACTGTGTTAGCCAGGATGGTCTTGATCTCCTGACCTTGTGATTCGCCCACCTCGGCCTCCCAAAAACCTCTGGAGCTTTTCAAGGGAAGTTGTGCCTCCGATTCTGCCAAGGATGAAGTGTCTCTAAACATCAGTCAGTTAATATTTTGCGAGTCACAAAGTCTGCAACGAAGTGACATAAAGGGATAGCTTTTCTCTCTCACAGCAGTGACTGGTCAGGGACCAGTGGAGCAGAGTAAGGAGAATGGCTAAAGGAGACACCGAGGGATGCTCGGAGGGGACGCTCAGAGCCGCCCCCCGGACCATGGTCCAGACACCTCTGCGGCGAGTCCCGGTGTCAGGAGCAGGTGAGGGGAGGCTCAGGGAATAACCACTGAATCACAACATTGTAAGTCATTTTAAAAGCAATTTATTTGTCAGCTCCTCCTTCCTTTCCTCCTTCATCAGCTCACCCTCAGCCCCGTGGCAGGCGTGTGAGTGAGTGAGATATGCTCCTGTGGCCTCAGATGCCATCCTGAGCCTCACGACTCTCAAACCCTTTTTAAGCGCTGCTGACCCGCGGCTGTGTCTGACCGCTGCCCGTCAATGGTACCCCTAACTTCAATGTGAGAATTCACCTCGCATCCTCTGCCCTGGAGCATACCTTTTTCTTTCAGGGTGGGAAGCATTGAGCAGAAGAAAGAAATTTAACACAAGAGATGCGAGAAGCCCAGTCACGGCCCTGCCCACCCCACTGCTAGGCTGCACCCATCATCTGGGACACCCGAGCAATTGGAGGGCAGCAAGGAACGCAGGGGGTGCTGTGCTGGGCCGATGGTGCTGTGGGTGCATCGTCCTAGAGACAGAGTGGATGAGAGCCACTCAGGAGGCAGTCCCTGAATCCTGGCATTGGGGGAGGAGTGCACTTGGAGAACCCAGAGAGGCCCTCAGATCCCTGGACGGTTAGCCCAACAGTCACCAGATTGCCTATTTGGTGGAACAGATGTGTATACATCAACCTTTTTGCTCTGGAGAGAAATACATACACTTATTCCCTGGGTTGGTTACTACTTTTGATGGAACTACCCCCCTGTGGGAGGCTCTTTGGTAATAGATACCTGGATAATGGCAGCCGGGCACGGTGGCTCACACCTTTAATCCCAGCACTTTGGGAGGCCGAGTCAGGCGGATCATGAGGTCAGGAGATTGAGACCATCCTGGCTAACATGGTGAAATCCTGTCTCTACTAAAAATACAAATAATTAGCCGGTGTGGTGGCGGGCGCCTGTAGTCCCAGCTACTTGGGAGGCTGAGGCAGGAGAATGGCGTGAACCCGGGAGGCAGAGCTTGCAGTGAGCCGAGATTGCGCCACTGCACTCCAGCCTGGGCGACAGAGCCAGACTCCGTCTCAAAAAAAAAAAAAAAAAAGATACCTGGATAACGGCTCCACTCTCTTCCTAGAATTTTTTGTCCATTGAACTATGTGTATATGTGGGGGTGGGAGTCATCAACAAGAGCCAGTGGTCAGCAGAGGGTGGGCACATGGCCAGGCTGGCTGGTCACACCAGGGGTGAGGATGGGGAACCGGCTGCAGAATCAGTTATGACGGGCTTTGTCCTGGGAACATAAGCATAAAGTATCTCTAGGCAATCCACTTTTATTGTCAGCCTCATCAACAAGTCTCAGGAGATAAACTTACCATCATCTCAGAGGATATAGCCTGGGTTTATTTTACCCTCCTTCCCAGCAGAGGCTCTTAGATAACAAGAGCTACAAGGATGACCTTAGCCTGATAAAACGCAGCCACAGCCAGCCTGTATCAAAGCTCAAGCTTCCCATGAAACTCCAGATGCAGTCCCATTAAAGTGGAAAGCAGGGAGTTGACTCTCTCATAGCCATCACTCAGCATGGTCTGATGATCCAGCCAACGTTGCAAGACAAGATGGAAAAAGAGGAGTGAGGATTGGAAAGGAGGAGACATAAATTTTCATATTTTTGGGGTAGACAATATAACTTTCTGCATACAAAAATTTTTAAGACTTTACAATGAGAGCTAATGAGGTTTAATATAAGAAGATATAAAAATCCACAGCACTGCTATGCACTAGCCAACACTAACAGGAGACTGTAATAGAAAAAACACACCATTCGCAATAGCAATAAAACTCTAAGGTATTTAGAAATAAGTATAATAAAGATGTGGGACATTTTAAATGAGAAACTAATACAATTTTTTTGAGGGCTATAGATGAAGATTTAACTAATTGGAAGGCTACATCATGAATACAAAAACTCAGTTTCAAATGTTCAGCTCTCCTCTAAAATAATCAATAAATTAAATGCAATTTCATTAAAATCCTAGCAGCGTTTTCTCATGGCACCTGATAAGATGGATTACCCCTTCGCATGGAATAGTAAAGGACCCAGGATGGTGAAGACAGGTTTGAAGAAGAAGCAGAGGGTAGATATGTTTTCTCTACCAAATACCAAGAGATTTCCTCTAGAGTTTTGATAGAGACTATTCAAGAATAAACAGATCAGCAGAACAGAACAGAAAGGCAAAAGCAGACCTGCACAGAGTGGAAACCCGGTACGCACCACAGGGATCCATACATCAACAGGAACAACTGTTCGTTGGTCAAATGTCACTGACAGAGAGGTAAAATATTCATATTATTATCTAACACTGCACCAGGAATAAAGTTCAGATGGGTTAAAGTCCTACATATGAAATGCAAAACTTTAAAACATTTAGAATAAACTATAGTGAAATAGCTTTATGATGTCAAAGTACAGAAAAGTTCCTTTTTCTTTCTTTCTTTCTTTTTTCTTTTTTGAGATGGAGTCTCACTCTGTTGCCCAGACGGGAGTGCAGTGGCTCACTGCAACCTTCACTTCCCAGGTTCAAGTGATTCTCCTGCCTCAGCATCCTGACTAGCTGGGATTACAGGCACACGCCACCACAGCAGGCTAATTTTTGTATTTTTAGTAGAGATGGGTTTCGCCATGTTGGCCAGGCTGGTCTTGAACTCCTGACTTCAAGTGATCCACCTGCCTCAGCATCCCAAAGTGCTGGAATTACAGGCGTGAGCCACTGCACCTGGCCCATAAAAGTTTCTCCAGCAAGACAGACAAACATAAACCACATAAAACTGAAGTTTGATAAAGCTGACTATGTTATGATTAATAGCTTCTATACAACAAGAGGTGCCACAAAGCTGAAAGCCAAAAGACCAGCCACACTCAGGAGGAAATATTTGCTATAAACAAAACAGAGAGATGATGGTTATCCATCTCATAAAAAGAGCTCACATAAATCAAAAAGACAAATAGAAGTGAAACATTTATGAATAGAGTGGAGCCCTGGTATGTCAGTTACCAATCCCATTATCTTCTCTCCTTGACAGCCTTATCAATCATGTTTGATATCTTTACCACAATGTATCCCATTGTTTTAGTAAAGATATATACGTTTACATATGCATGTTTACTGTATAACGAACTTAGTGAAAACCAGGCAAGTGATACAAACTCGCAATTATCAGAAGAGGAAACGAGACACGCAATGACCTGAAAAGATGCAGCCTCTCCCCAGTTACCAGGAAAATGAAAATTAAAGTAACCTTTTGCTTTATAGTCATCAGATTAACAGAGATTAAGGATCTAAGAGTAACAAAGCTGGCAGTGGGCAAGGGAGCGCTAGGCTCATGCTAAAGGGAAGGTTCGTTGGCTCCACCCTTTGGAGAGCCATTTAGCTACTCCTAGTGAAGCTGGAACCAGGCATGTTCCTCCACCTGGCAAGTCCCTCTCTCTAGACTGGAGACCTTGTTGCATGTTTGCACAAGAAGGTCTCCCCAGGAATGTGTCCACTGCCCCCCTTATGACAGTGACCCATCAGAACAATGAGGGCTGGCGAGTGAACACAGGCTATACATCCATGGCATATGTGTACAAAGTACTATCCAGTAGTTGGTCTGCTTACACATGACAGACCAGTGTTCATCATCCAGCGTGTGTAAAGAACTCACAGAAATTAGTAAGACAGAGGCATCTGCAACAGTTGGTCCTGCACAGACGCAGATCAATCTGAAAATGTAATGTTGAGTTAAAAAAGAAACAAAGGGCACACATGATATGCACCGTGGGATACCATTTGTGTAAAGTATTACAACATATCTTTATTAAACAACAGGATAGATTGTGGTAAAGATATCAAACATGATTGAGAAGGCTGTCGAGGGGAGAGGAAAATGGGATTGGTGAATGATATACCAGGGGTCTATGCATAATGTTTCACTTCTAAAAATGATTACCTAAAGCGAATATGGCAGAATGCTAATATTTGTCCAGTCCAGGTGGTGGGTTCATATTACCCTATGTAATTTGTCCCTAATGTTGGAACTATCCCATAATAAAACATTGGGACAAAGAACACAGATCATGAAGAAAAACAAAACCTAAGAAGAAATACAAGAAAACAAAAGATGATAGGGTCGCAGAATAGGGTGGGAAAGTGAGCCAGCGGAGTCAGGACAGTCGTGAAAGAGAGAAACCAGCTCAGAAGCAAGCAGGGGAGACTGCTGGATGGGGTGTCAAGGACATTTATTCATTCAACAAATAATCACTGAGCACTGTGAGAGTCAGGCCCTGGGGACTCAGAGGCGCCTCCCCGCGGGGAGAGAGGCAAACAGCCAGGAAGAACAAGTGCCGAAGATTTCAGATTGTACTGCTGAGGGCTGTGGAGGGCTGTGCCTGGTGGTGCGGCGGGGACTGGATGGGTGGGCTTGCTCTGCAGGGGTGGACCCAGGACCCAGGACAGCAGGGCCGGCGCTCAGAGCCTCGCCAGCTTGGTGCTGGCAGCAGGAGTGGCCAATGCAGCGCTGGCTGGAGGGGGCTTGGCGGGCCTGGGAAGAGAAAGGCGCCTACTTGGCTGGGGGATGAGAGGAGGCTCCGGTCCTCTCCAGCCAAGGTGTGGACCTGGAGCTCTCGCTAGAGCTGGAACAGTTCATCTCCATGGGTGTTTGAGCGGGGACATCAGGGCCACCCAGGACGTGCGGGGGAGCTATGGGTAGGGAGTGAGCTTCCTGGGGAGCTGGAAGCCCAGTAGGGAAAGGGAGCCTCAAGCTTTGGGAAACATCAGAGTGGCAACCTTATGCAGTGGCGTGGCCTAGGAACCACAGGGAGAACAGAGGAGCATGGAGATAAAGGCGCTTAGGGAGAAGAGGCATCTTTCTGTTTCTGCCTCCAAAGAAAACAAAAAGAAGAAAGAAGAACAACAAAAAAATAGGAAAATAATTCAAGCATGGATGGGTTTGGGCGGGGCTGGGAAATGGAGGGCTCCAAGCAGTAGAGCAGAGGGTCCAGTGAAGGGAGGTGAGGTGGGAAGGGCTGGAAAGAAAGCCGGGATGGGCCCAGCCTGAATCACTGTGGCAGGGATCCTCAGGGGTTACCCAGAAAACTGCCAAAAATCTCGAGCCCATCTGTAGTGGTGAAGGGGGAATGGGGGGAAAACCTGGAGAAGCCACCAGCTGGTGGAAAGGTCCTGGGTCCCCCTCATCTTCCAAATTTCACCTGGCTCCTCCCGTTGCCAACCTCACTGGAGTCATCCAGGGGATGGGGCCTGGGGGTCCTTCCTGGATTCTCCCTCTCAACACAGGAAAGAACTTGAAACCAGGGAAATGTGGAGTGGATGCTGGACCAACCATCCAGCCCAAAAGACGCAGGAGAATGAAGACAGTCCCTGTTGCAGAGAAAGCCACCAGTCCGGGTGTCAGCTGAGCACGCTTTGCTCCGGGAACACTTTCTTGACCAACACCACACCGTGAGAGATGGCAGAACAGGGTCCTGTAAGCCTCCTGAACGTGCTGATGGTGTGGTGCTGATTAAGAGAATGTTCTCACACAAGAGAAGCAGGCCGAGGGATGCTGGGTGAAAGGCCATGGACCTGCTAAAATTCTCATAGACTGTGTTTATTTCCTGTAAAAATAAGACCAGATCTCACTGGTGACAAGTGCCATGACCAGGACTGAGTTCTTTGAGGTTGCGGGACAAAATTCTCTGTGTTCTTGCTGCTGTCGTCTCAGGGCCATTCCCACTTCCAGACGCTGCTCCGTTTCTTGATGAGTGGCCTCGCAGCTCCACGTTCCAGCAGGCGCTGGAGGGCTGAGTCTTCTTGCTCTCTAGGGGGCCCTCCCTTTGCTCTCAGCAGGTGTCTGTTTACCCCCCAGAGCAGTGTTTGATGCCAGGCCCTTGAAGTCTTCAGTGTTCTTGGCACCCTTGGGTCCCTGCACAGACGGAGCAACCCCGTGGTGGAAAATCCTTGCTGTTCCATGTCACGTGTGTTCCTCAGGCTGCAGGCCGCCGCGCACCCTCCCCACGGGCAGTGACTCCTCATTCCTGTCTGCTGGAGGAGGCTTCTGGGGGCCTCTTCTGTGGCTCAGGGACTGTACGTGGCCGGACAAGAGGAGCTTGCTCTGTCAAAGGTGGACAGCGCTTTGAATTTCAAGTGCACGACTCAAGTGCTGTTTCTGGGAGCATCTCGGGGCTTGGCCCAGGTGCCTCATGACCTCTACAGGCTCGGTCACTGCTTTTACAGAAATACTCTGAGATGCGTCTGTGCATATTAAAGAAAATCCATCAGCACCATTTTAATTTTCAGTTCCTATTAGCAGTATTGACCAGAGGGTTCCCCAGGGCAGGGAACAGATGGGGTGAGGGCAGCTCCCCTGGCTCAGCCTGTCCATTTTTTTCTGCCCTACTGGGGTTTAGATTATAGTTCAATTCCATTTTAATCCACTTCCAATTCAATTCCATTCAGTTCAAATCCGAATTCCATTCCATTCCCATCCATTTTCATTGTCTAACTCAATTTCCTTTCAGTCCAAGTCCACATTTAGTTTCTATTTTGCTTAATACAGGTTCACAGACCTTCCACTGTGCTCCAGCCTCACACAGAAATGGCCACTAGAAGAAGCAGGAGTGTGTGGGGGCGACAGGACAGGAAGTCCATCCCTGTTCCTTAATTGAGCCACCCACGTTAGCGTGACCCATGCTCAGGCCAGCACTCTTGTCTGGACCTGTTATGGTGGTTTTCCCAAGCACATGCGTGGCCACTGTCCTGTGGGTCAAAGGCATGGGTGGGCCAGTGGGAAACATGGATTAAACACATTGACTATTTTACTACAGTCCTTCCCAGAGTGTCCTGGACACTCATGGCCATTGGCAGCTTCTAAGAAAGGACAGGTGTAGCTCTGGGGCTGCAGAGGGCAGAACCTGGCAAAAAGCCAGCTGGCCACTTCTGGGCAGGTGGGCAGGGCAGAGCTGCTGTCTCCCAGCATGGAAGGAGAGTCAGTGTGTCAGGATGGCCGGGCTCTGGGGCACTTCCTGGGCTAGAACCTCAGCTTTCAGGATCCCCAAATGACCCCTCATTTCAAGGCTGCCAGGGGCACGCTGTCTGCCTCTCAGGACAAAACTGAGAAGGAATTCACCAAGTCCTGCCTGTTCAACCACGTGTAAGTGATGAGGGCTTGTGCAGACACACATCTGGTCCCTGGACTGCCACGAAAGAGGCAGAGGAGCATCTGCATCTGCAGGAGCTCTGCCAGTGCTTCCCAGCACCCTTCGAGCTGGCCTGGAAACAGAATCGGGCTCCATGGCTGCTCTCCTGGGATGCGGTGGGCAGGCCTGCCGGGATCCCACAAAGAGGTGAGCGGAGGAGCCAGCTCCCCCTGTGCTCTCTCCCCTTGGGAGATGATGGCCATACTGCCTGCAAAACCACCCAAAGTTGCATCTGGGACTCTTTGGAGCAGGAGTGGTTTGCATGAGAAATTTGAGGATGCAAACTCAACTCATCATTATTTCCGAACCAGCACGGAGGAGTTTATTATCTCATCACTCACTAATCATGCCTTATAAATGCAGGGACCGACAAAATCCCACAGAATTAATAAAGTGGTAAGTTCCCGGTCTAAATCACGGCACCTAGGATTCTTAAGTAAACCTTTTGGTAATTTACAAAGGCTGTTGAATTTTATAGTAAGTGTTTTTCAAACCAAGCTGGATTCTAAACAGTAATGACTTTTTAACGTGGCTCTGTGATTACATTGTTGTGGTGAAATATGGGGGTCTTTGACTGCATCTGAAATGAGCCTGGTGTGAATTACTCACAGGCATAGACCAGCATGCCCCCAGGTAAAGCAATCTTCATAAGTTACCCTCCAATCCAGGTGGCCTGGCAGGCGAGGCCTGATGCCAATGTTTGCAACTCAATTTTCAATGAACAATTTGTAAACAAGCTCTTCCTTTTGTTCGAGACAGTGGCCACGGCCACCACGTCTGAGTGGAGGGGCTGAGCTCCCCACAGCCTGCCACACGCCAGCTGAGACTTTGTGTGTGTCCAGGACGGTGGCTGCTCATCCACGGAGGTGCTTAGAGGGAAGTGAATGAAAGGAACTGACATTGGGCGCCAGCCACACGCACCCATGGCCCACACGGGAGCATACGAGAAGCCAAGAAAGAAGGCGTTTCCTCCTCCTAGAAAGTCCTGTGGGCCCGCAGTGGGCCAGGGCCTGTGCTCCACACAGTGAAAGCGGGTTTCCCTCAGAGACCTTCAGCCTACCCCAGGGGACTATGAGACATGGCTGGGGGACAGGGGGAGCCAAGGACACTCTTGAATCCAAAGCCACTGGGCAGACGGGTGAGCTTGGCTCAAATCCATGAACCAGGGTGTGGGCAGCGGGGCCCATAAGGCTGGGTGAAGGCTTGGGGGCTCTGGAGGCTGAGGCGATGGGGCTGGGGCCACAGCCATGGGTGGTGGTGCTTGACCATCCCTGCCCTGCGGCTCTCACTCCACAGGCTGGGGAGCCCGGGACCCTGGCCCAGGGACAGAGTGAGGCTCCTCAGCCCCAGGGGCAGCTTCAGGTCAGGGACTGGGGGGTGATTGGGGCAGTTCCCACACACCAGGGCCCCTCGCCTTGGCCCTCCCTGCTGCCCCAGCCTGGGAGCTCCAGGACAGGTCCTGCCTCGCCCCATGCCTGGGTCTTGGGGAGAGTTTGCTGAAGGCATCCATGCCCAGGGCCCTTGGGGACAAGACCAGGATTTGCACCCCCCACCCCAGGTGCCTCAGTCTGAACGGCCCTCCTAGCAAACGAGCGCACCCATCCCTGGGGCAGAGGGCCCCACTTCCTGGGGAGCAAAGTCACCTCCTCCTTATTGCTCCGGATGCTTCCATGGTAACAGATTCTTCTGTAGTAGAGTGGTAGGGCACCCCTTTCCCGACCATCTGCCTCCCGGCAGGCTGGTGGAGGGGCTGACTCCTGTCCACGTGTCTCCCGTGGGCTCCCGCCTTCCTCTGGGGACCCTGGGTGCACCAAGATGTTTTAGAAGGAGCTGCACCGGCTTGGAGGCAAGAAGGGCAGGAAGAGGCTGTGGAGGTGCCCAGGAGGAGAGGCTGTGTCTTAAGGTCTTGGGTATTTAGAAATCTGTTTTACACAGGCTCTCTTTTTGATTTTATGCAAAGGGGGGTTTCACAGCTACACACATTTATTCCAATGTTCCATCGGGGAGAGCTTTCCCAGAATCAAGCGGCTCCAAGTCCCCATGGCTCTTGAGGTGACTCCAGTGCACATTGGATGCTTCCAGGGTGCCCCAGGGTCCCTTGGGGGCTCTGTGGAGCTTCTGTTTCTGAGGGTGGAGGCCTGTGTTCATGTGAGGGTGGAGGCCTGTGTTCATCTGAGGGTGGAGGCCTGTGTTCGTCTGAGGGTGGAGGCCTGTGTTCGTCTGAGGGTGGAGACCTGTGTTCGTCTGAGGGTGGAGGCCTGTGTTTGTCTGAGGGTGGAGGCCTGTGTTTGTCTGAGGGTGGAGACCTGTGTTCATTCTCCCTAAAGGCTTACCTTCTGGTGCCACCCTGCCATTCGTGGCTGTTTCCAGAGGCAAGCTGGAAGTGGGGTGCAGCTGGGGCTGTGGAAAGCACTCCCTGCAGTGCCCTGGGGGGTCTCTATTGGAACACAGTGACTGGAGCTGGAGGGGCTGGGGGTCCAAGGGAGGCCAAGATAAAGGCTGCCTGCATCAGGGCCTTCCCCAGCACCTGTCACTGAGGCTGCTGCAGGAACCAGGCAGGGATGACCTTCAGGCCTGGGGTCCTGATTGAGAAGTGACAAAGTGCTAGCAGCCCTCGCTCACTCTCGGCAACTCCTCAGGCCATGGAGTCCACTCTGGCCACGCTTGAGGAGCCCTTCAGCCTGCCGCTGCACTGTGGGAGCCCCTCTCTGGTCTGGCTGAGGCCAGAGCCAGCTCCCTCTGCTTGCTGGGAGGTGTGGAGAAAAAGGCACAGGTGGGAACCGAGGTTGTGCACAGTGCTCGCAGGCCAGCATGAGTTCCTGGTGGGCGCGGGCTCAGCGGGCCCCACACTCCCAGCAGCCGGCTGGTGCCGCCGGCCCCAGGCAGTAAGGGGCTTAGCACCCAGACCAGCAGCTGAGGAGGGTGCGCCGGGTCCCTCAGCACTGACGGCCCACCCGCGCTGTGGTTGAATTCTCGCCGAACCTCAGCCGCCTTCCCATGCTGCAGGGCTTGGGACCTGCAGCACCCCCATGCCCAAGCAACACCGCCCCCGCCGCAACTCCTGGGCTCCCGTGTGGCCCAAGCCTCCCCCACGGGCACCGCCCCTTGTTCTATAGTGCCTGGTCCCATTGACCACCCAAGGACTGAGGAGTGCAGGCACATAGCACTGGACTGGTGGGCAGCTCCGCCTATGGCCCTGGCACGGGATCCACTAGGAGAAGCCAGCTGGGCTCCTGAGTGGGGTGGGGACTTGGAGTACTTTTATGTCTAGCCGGAGGATTGTATATGCACCAATCAGCACTCTGTGTCTAGCTTGGGGTTTGTGGATACACCAATCAGCACTCTGTATCTAGCTTATCTGGTCGGGGCTTGGAGAACTTTTACCTCTAGCTAGAGGATTGTAAATACACCAGTCAGCGCTCTGTGTCTAGCTCAGGGATTGTAAATGCACCAATCAGCACCCTGTCAAAACGGACCAATCAGCTCTCTGTAAAATGGGCCAATCAGCAAGATGTGGGTGGGGTCAGATAAAGGAATAAAAGCAGGCTGCCCTAGCCAACAGTGGCAAGCTGCTCAGATAGCCTTCCACAGTGTGGAAGCTCTGTTCTTTTGTTCTTTGCAATAAATCTTGTTGCTGCTCACTGAGTCCGTGCTGTGTCTATGAGCTGTAACACTCACTGCAAGGTCTGCAGCTTCACTCTTGAGGCTAGCCAGACCAGCAATCCACCAACGGAAAAAGCTCCAAATGCATCCTAATGTCAGAAGGAACAAACTCTGGACACACCGTCTTTAAGAATTGTAACACTTACTGGGAGGGTCTGCGGCTTTGTTTTTGAAGTCAGTGAGACCAAGAACCCACCAATTTCAGACACATGATGACTTAGTTTTCGCCGTGATCCTGCTATCTGAGGGCTGAGGTTCTGCCTGGATAGCTGCCCCAAGAGGAGACCGGGCAAACCCTGGTTCCTGGGGTGGTCTCCTGCCTCCTGTCAGCAAGATTCCCCTCTGCCTGCGGCCGGGATGCTGGTTGCCCAAGGGAGGCCTCAGCAGCCTGTTTCATAGCTGAGGATGCTGAGGCCTGGAGAACAGGGATGCCCACTGGAGTCCCCAAAGCTGGTGAGAAGCAGGCGTGAGGGTGGGGCCCTATGGGTCAGATGCTGTCGGCCTGGTGGTATGGCTGCTGGAGGAGGGGGAGCTGGTTCGGGGAGGGGTCCAGGAGCCATTCTACTGGGGTAGTTGCAGTGCCCACAGCTCAGCTCTTGGCACTGGCTCTGTTACGTGCCGTGGGCAGGCATCGCCTCCTTCCATCCTAAAACCCTTTAGGTACTCAGTATCTTATTCCTATTTTGTTGATAGGGAAACTGAGTCAGGGTCGCCATCACTGGGCTGGCCAGATGAACTTGGGTCCAGGCCCAGGCGGACCTGCTTTGTGGGTGTGGCCTGGTCCCCACTGCCAGGCCAGCACCCAGCTACCGATCGTGACCAGGCCCACGGCCTCGATGTGTACACACAGGAGCTGGGTTCCTAGCGGCCGCTTGACTTCACAGGATTGCTGAGAAAATCAGACAGGTTAATGAATGACGGTTGGACCCTAGTAAGGAGTTGTTAGTAAGTTCCTTTCTGATATTTAACCAAAGCATTTGTTTGCAGCCCTGGGACTGTTTTCAAGAGGAAAAAGGCCCCGCAAAGAAGCAAGCAGAGTCTCTTTAATGTCCCTTCCTAAATTAAAAAAAAAAAAAACAGGTAGAAGTCAGGAGTAAAATTGCCTCTCATGAAGACACCACGGAGAACTGATGTAATTTCCATAATGCAGGACAACAATGAGCGCACAGCCTCATGGGAGAATAAATCCAGCCACTTTAAGGGAAGAAGGGAGGCGCTAAGTATATCACATCAAAAACTAACTTATGAACTTCAAATCTATGCACCAATTCAAAATCTGATTTAACAAACTGCTCTTACTAAAGTCAATTGGCGAGCATACCATTATAAAAACAAATGAAATCTTCCCCGTCTACTAGATAATTTTCTCCCCACACCTAAGCGGGAGGCATTAGCTTAACGAGTAACCATCTAAATTATGTATTAAACTCAATTACTTTGTATTACTGCTTTCCAATTAGGGTTCCCTGATTGACTCACGTGGCATGGAGACTCCTCCCGGGGAGTCCCCGATCCTCCTGGCCCCTGGATCTGGCTCTGCAGATGCCATTTGCCCCCAGCTTGAGTGTGTCTCTCCCTCGCTCTAAGAGAGTGAGGTGTGGCTTCTGATGGAGAGTGAACACGGACGGCGGCATGATCAGCTAAATCACCATCTCAATCTGCCAGAGCCACTCCTGGCGGCCACTTCTGAGGGTGCAGCATCTCCCGGCACTCTAGAGAGACCTCCTGAAATCACCAGCATCGCCAGGGCAGCTCTGCTGAGCCTGTGGCCTCTGCAGGTGCAAGCAGTGTGTTGCTGCTATGATGAGTGTCTACCTGTCCTCAGAGGTGTCAGTCCCCCAGCTCCTGCCCTGTGCTGGCCATGCCTCCGTCAACATTGCACCACGGTGAACTCCCCTATGTAATCAAGAGCTTTCCTTTTAAGTAACCAGACTCTCTGAGAAGGGCTGTGTTCCTGGGCATATTTCTCAAACAGCAGGGACAAACTCCTTTTAAAATGAAAAAACGTGTAGACTCCCAAGTGCAAAAATGCTACTTGTGAGGGGTCACTGCGCAGTGATCGCAGAGGCCAGCTTGCCCTGCAGAGCCCGCCGTGGCCTTTATGGAAGCCGGGGAGCTGTGGGAACCCCATTCCCCGGAGTCGCCGTGCACCGTGAGCTGCTCTGAGCAACACGGCGGGAGCTGGAGGATGGGGCCAGAAGGGGCTCGATGATGAAAGCACACGGGGAGGGAGGAATGACTGGGCAGCCTGCTGCAGGTGGCAGACACCTGGGAACACGTAGCACAGGTGGGTGGGGAAACTAGGAGCACCAGGTCGGGGATCTGGGTGAGAAAGTAGCTCTGAAACAGCGACGTGAGGGAGGCGAGGGGTCGGTCATTCTGAGATTAGAAGAAGGGGTCCCAGCAGGGCAAGCCACCAGGGCAAAGGTTCTAAGCCCCCATCTCAGGGTGGGGGTAGCAGCAGGTGGGGACAGACACCTTCAGGCTGGGCTTCAAGAGAGGCCTCAGAGCTGGCACCAGAGGCTCCCTCTGCCCCCCTCTCTGGCTGCAGGAAGAATAAAAGCCTGGAAAGAGGGCCTGGCCGAGTTACACAGAGGAGCCCCCTCAGCCAAAAAGAGCCAGGGGATCCAGAAGCTGGAGAGCTGCTCAGGAGTTGGGGACACTACAGGCAAGGTCCCTGCTTGTTCCTGAGTCTTGGCTTGGATGTGGCTTAGCATCGAACTTTCATGTTCACCCAGGCTTCTCTGAGTGACCCTGACAGGGATCAAAGGCCCAGCGGCCCACACATCACCCTTGACTGGCACGAGGTGGTGGTGGGGCCTCTCAGGGTACCAGGAAAGGGGGCTGGGCTTGAGCTGCCAGGTAGGGGACCCCTGTGGGGCTTGGGGTGGGTGGGGCAGGGGTGGAGCTGGCTGGGCCTCACAGGCCCGGGAGCCTAGGAGACAGCTTCAGTGCCTTCCCTGGGGATCCCCAGACCAGGCACTCCGAGAAGCCGGCTCTGCACCATGACAGCCATTGCTGCCACCCCACGTAGGTCCCAGAACGAGCCCTGCCAGCCCACCCCAGAGGCCGAGGGACAGGTAGGTGAGCTGCAGAAGGGACCCGAGGGCACTGAGACAGAGGCTTAAAAGGCCAAATCTAGCTTTAAGTCGTGGAGTCAAGCAGCCGACCGTCCCGACACGTGGCCACAATGGCATCCAGAGAGCGGTCCCCCCAGCAGTGTCATTCGGGTAGTAATGCGGGAAGGCCCCGTCCGGTTCGTGTTCAGGGCCCGGAAGGCCTCCGTGATTTGGCGGCACAAGCCTGGGGCTGTGGCACTGTCGGAGGACCTGCCTGGCCTCTTCATGCCAATGAGGTTCTCATGTAACCCCCAACATAACCCGCAGGGCCAGATTGACCTTCTCACCTAACCGGAGACGGAAAAGAACCAAGAGGCTGTCAGGAATAAGGCATTTCTCCGGGCAATCAGGTGTGCAGGGGCTGAGCTGGGATTCCAATTCTGGGTTACAGTGGGCTCCAGGTTCCGCAGCAGTTTCAGGGGCGACATTACCGAGGTCCTCGTGGGCGGGAGAAGGAAGTGCGATGGGGCACGTCAAGGACGAGGTGCCAGCTGGTCATTGAAGGATGGTGGGGCTCCATTCAGCAGAGGTGGGGGCTGTGATGGGGGTGGATGGGTGTGTGAGGTGATTGGGTTTGTGTGTGATGAGTGTGTGTGTGTGTGGTGCATGGTGTCTGTGTGATGGCCCAGTGTGTGTGGCTCTGTGTGCAGGTGTATGCGTGATGAGGTGTGTGTGTGTGGTGTGTGTGCGTGTGATGGTTGAGTGTATATATGGTGTGGTGTGTGTGGTGTCTGGGATGTGTGTGTGATGACTGTGTGTGGTGTGCGTGTGACGAGTGTGCATAATGAGCATGTGTGTGGTGTGTGTGATGTCTGTGATCGTGTGTGATGTGTGTGTGAGTGTGATGAGTGTGCATGGTGTGTGTGTGATGAGCATGTGTGTGCCGTGTGTGATGAATGTGTGTATGGTGTATGTGATGAATGTGTGTGATGAGTGTGTGGTGTGCATGTGATGAGTGTGTGAACATGTGTGTAGTGTTTGATGAATGTGTGTGATGAGCATGAGTGATGAGTATATGTGTGGTGTGTGTGATGAGTTTGTATGACTGTGTGTGTGGTGTGTGATGAGCGTGTGTCTGTGATCAGTGTGTGATGAGCGTGTGTGATGAGTGTGTGTGCTGTGTGTGATATGTGTGTGATGAGCATGTGTGTGGTGCATGTGTGTGATGAGTGTGTTATGAGCATGTGATGCATGTGTGATGAGCATGTGTGTGATGAGTGTGTGTGATGAGTGCGTATGGTGTGTGTGATGAGAATGTGTGTGATGAGCATGTGTGTGGTGTATGTGTGTAATGAATGTGTGTGATGAGTATTATGAGCGTGTGGTGTGTGATGAGTGTGTGATGAGCATGTGTGTGACGAGTGTGTGTGGTGTGTGTAAAATGTGTGTGATGAGTGTGTGGTGTGTGTGATGAGCGTGTGTGATGAGTGTGTGGTTGTGTGATGAGTGTGTGTGTGATGAGTGTGTGTGTGGTGTGTGTGGGGAGCGGGGATGGGTGCAGGTGGAGGTGGGTGTGCTCACCAGCCGTGTTCTGAGGCTCGTCCTGGTCCCAGGCCCCAGTGCTGTACCTGGCACAAGAGGTGGGAAGGACCATTGCTCCCCCCAGTAGCCAGAGCGGTGTCCGGCTTTGTCTCTCCCTTCACCACTGAGTAGCCCCAGCCATGTGATGTCATCTCCCCAGGCCTCACCCGCTTTTCTGCTCCTCTCCGTGTACTGTGGGATCGGCACAGGGACTCCATCTGGCGACCCAGTGGCCCCTCTGACCATGCTTGCCTGCTGGAGAATCCTCCTCGCATCCTCCGAGCCAGGCTCCAGGGACAGCGTGGCTCACAGGGCTGGTGTGCTGAACAAGGGCTGAGCTTGGCCGAGCACTGCAGGAGCTAGGACGGGGGTAGTGGCCCTTGAGCCCTCTAGAGTGCCTGGCCCTATGCTGGAATCTGAGGGGCCACAGGCAGAGAGAGAAACTGGCCTCAGCCTCTGAGACTGAGGAGCCCTAGTTCAAGTGTGTGGGCCAGGCAGGAGAGAGCCCTGAAGTTGGAGCAGTCAAGGAAAGCTGCCTGGAGGAGGAGGCCTTGGAGTCACAGCTCAATGGCACCTGAGAAGGACGGCCAGGGCCTCCACCCGGGGCCTGCATCCCTCTCCATCAGCACACCTCGGGGGAATGGCCTCGAGCTTCCATGCCAATGACATACGGCGGGAAAGCGCTGTCCCCACAGTGGGCACGGAAAACCACTGGTCCTCACCCTGTCTCGCATAATCCCTGAAGTTTGCTTTTTGTTTGATTGATGAATTCCTTTGATGTTCAAGAAAGAAATTAATTTTACTTATTCCTCAAGTGGTCATTAGAAAAACTTTTAATGAATACAGTAAAAACCAACTAATTATTGCAATGGCATTTTACTCTAAGTAAAATTGACAGGAACCAAGATGATGGTGCCTATAATTCTCCTCAGTTTATTAAAACCCATTTATCACATTTTATCCTAGAGGAAACTGATCATACCAGTCTGTGAATTTTCAACTAATATTTCCTCACTGCATCTAATATGTAAGAAGCATTTACTGATATTAAAGTCATAATGCATTATATGGAGATGAACTTGCATTCTAATTACTGTTCTTGGTGAGGAATGGGGAAGAGAATGATTCTGTTCTGCACACTCCAGATGAAGCCAATGCATGCTTAATGTGAGGCCTCTAACTAGAGAAAATTCCCTTCTCGGTTAAGCACAGTTGATCACCTACCAACACAGGCACGACACGGTCATTTTTCCTTGTGAAATGTGTGCTGGGGGCCTTGGTGTTGGAGCCCTCCCCCTACCCTAAGGGTGATGCCCGTGCTTCAGAAACTCACCATGTCCATCCATTCCCTGGATGACCGCTGTGAACCCACACGGCCCAGGTGCCTCCAGAAGCCTGGCAGACAATTCCTAAGTATGAAAGAAAGTGTTTGTTTCTGCTTTTTGTTAAAAGTCAGAAGTCACATTCTTCCAAAAACCATACTTGAAAATTTAGCTTTTTATTATACATCTTGCTCTGAGAGTTTTTTATTGCTCCAGATCATGAAATGTCACAGGGCTCAGAGGATGGGACATCTGATTCACTTCCTAAATATGAGTTGATTCTGTTGAGTTTTGCCACCAACAGCTCCCACATGCTTGCACCCGTACCTACATGTTCATGCAGAGACCCACCCAGCTTCTGCTCACAGACACACCTCACCTCCCACACCATCTTCCCTGCTTGTGATGTTTAATTTTAGGTGTCAACTTGACTGCATTAAGGGTTGCCTAGATAGCTGATAAAACATCATTTCTGCATGTGTCTATGAGGGTGTCTCTGGAAGAGATTAACATTTGAGTCAGTAGACTGAGTACAGACCTGCCCTCCTCAAAGTGAGCAAGCATCACTTAATCCATGGAGGGCTTGAATAGAACAAAAGGCTGAGGAAGGGTGAATTCACTTTCTTCTTTAGCTGGGACATCCATCTTCTCCTGCCCTTGAACATTGGTGCTTCTGGTTCTCTAGTCTTTGCACTCAGATGGAATAACACCATTGACTTTCCTGGGTCTCTAGCTGGCAGATGGCAGACTGTGGGACTTCTTGTCCTCCGTAACTACATAACTCCTATAATAAATCTCTCTCTCTCTCTCTATATATATATATGTATATATATTTATATATATTCATATTCTATTGATTCTGTTTCTTTGTAGAACTCTAATATAGATTTTGGTACCAAGAGTGGATCTAGAGGACCAGAATTTTGAGGATGAGTTTTCTGAATTCTTCCTGGAGTTTCTGGAATTGGATCTTTAATCAGACTATATGTAAAGACACTAATGATTCTACTTCCAGTAGTAAAGAGAGCACTGATCACCCATGGCATAAACTATAGAGATATGCAAACTATCTGCATTGGATCCTCCTAATAAACCACTTATAAGAAGCAAGGAGCTACATGACTCTGTATATGATACTTTTGAACATTTTAGGAAAACTGAGGAATATAATGACATTTGTTGCTTCTAATGTCATTGCACAAAGTGGTAAAAGAAAAAGATGAGCTCAGGGATTCAAATTCCCAGCTCAAGAGCCACAAAAGTGACCTAAGAGTTTCTATGTGTGCCCCAAGAGCCTTATTTCATACAAGCACAGGGCTGAAGTTTCTGAAAATCAAACTCAGGATCTCATCCAGCAATTGGCCAAATTATTAATTCAATGCAAGTTGAGCTCCCAGTCTCCTAGGATGTCTACTCTTAAGTGGGGAAATGGATTGGGAAAGAATGGGATACTGTAAGTTGGAATGGGGACATGTGGGAAGACCCTGATGAAGCTGGGGGTATCGAGCTCCTAAATTCTGATGTATTCTTTGCCAGTGGAAGAGGTCCCCCCAACCCTCAAACAAAGTGGCCTTCACATCCCCAGTGGCAGCAGCATCCCTGCCAATACTGGTATAGCCTTTCCACCTGATTTGTGGGAGTCCCCCGCATCCTGAGTCATATCTTCCTCTGAGGTGGTGGCAAAGTGGGACAATGCTGATTCTTTTCAGGACCCAGCCTCACCACCCCACTTTGCCTCTAGACCTATAACTAGACCCAAACCCCAGAAGGCCCCTGAAGGTGAGGGACAAATTGTGACCCACAAGAAGGTATGTTGCACTCCAAAAGAACAACATGGGTTTCTAATTTATACAAGTGGAAATCCAGGGAACACAGGTGAGAATGAATATTAAGGATGTGAGATGGTAGTGGAAGGAACATAAAGTTGGATCAGGCCAAATTTATTGATATGGGCTCAGTAAGCAGATATTGTGGATTTAAAGTTGCAGCTCAGTGAGTTAGAAAGGGCGAAGTTTGGTTGGATGGCTGAACAGGGGTCAAAAGATAGTCTGCCCTGCTGTGAGCAAACTGGAAAGATCCAATCTCCCCAAGTTTAATGTAGAGGGAGCTTAAAGGGCTAGGGAGGCTGATGTGTTAGAGTGGGTTTGTCATTTCAGACCTACTCACCCACGCTGGGGGGTCTGGAAGACAGCCTTTCACTAACACCTTGAGAAAGAACTGTGTGAGGGGGCCCCAGCTTCCTTGAAGAGCTCTGCCATAACTCTTCTCTGTAGGTCAGACCTTACGGTGGGAACCACAGCCACTCAGCTGGAAACCTAAGTGCAAGGGAAGCAACTGGATCCAGCTGTCAGGGCCACAGCGAGGTGGGTGCGGGTATAGCAATGGGCAGGAGTGGCACAGCAGCAATCAGAACAGCCTGGCTCATGAGACTCATGGCTCTGGCCCGTTATCATGGGGCTCCTGGAAGGGGATTTGATTAGAAGCCGTGATCTGTATAAGCAGAAAAGTTTTAGATCAAGTGAATAAAAGTCTAAGTCGAATCTGGGCATAGCAGCACATGCCTGTGGTCCCAGTGACTCAGGAGGTTGAGGCAGGGGGATCTGTTGAGCCTGGGAATTTGAGGCTGCAGTGAGCTATGATCACATTACTGCACTCTAGCCTGGGTGATATAATGAGACCCAGTCTCTAAAACAGAAGTCAAATTCAAATCATAAAATCATTCTCTCAAAGCAGAGAGTTACAGCCCCTCAATTCTCAGACCTGAGCCAATTTACAGACTTGGAACTCGTGAATGAAGGGACAACAATGTCGCCTTGGAAAACAACCCTGGTACACTACCCGAAATGTATACTCTTAATCTTTTCCCCAGCCTCCTCCAAAGGGACCTACCTTACCTTTTCAGGGACTCAGACCTTTCAGGGACTACTGGACACTGGATCTGCACTGACATTGATTCCAGAAGATTGAAAAGGTCACTGTGGCCACCCAGGCAGAGTAGGGGCTTATGGAGCTCAATGATCAATGGAGTTTTAGCTCAGGTTCATTTTACAGTGGGTCAAGTGGGTCCCCAAACCCATCCTGTAGTTATTTCCCCATTCCAGAATGCATAATTGGAAGAGGCATACTGAGGAGCTGGTAGCATCTACACACTGGGTACCTGACCTGTGGAGTAAGGACTATTACAGTGAAGAAGACCAAGCAGAAGCCACTAGAACTGCTTTAGCCTGGGAAAATAATGCAGTAGCCCCCCTTTATCTGCAGGGGATGTGTTCTGAGACCCCAGTGGATGCCTGAAACTATGGACATATAAACCACCAAAGCCTAGCTATACTATGTTTTTTCTGATACATACATACTGATGATAAAGTTTAATTTATAAATTTGGCACAGTAGACTATCAACAATAATAAAATCAAACAATTAGAAGAATATACTGCAATAAAAGCTATGCGAATGTGATTTCTCTCTCTCAAAATATCTTGTACTGTGCAACAGGTAACTTAAAATGTGGAAAGTGAAACCAGGGATAAGGGGTGACTACTGTAAGTCAAAAACAATGCCACATTCCTGGAAGGACTGTGGAGATTCATGCCACCCTCAGGAACTTGAAAGATGTAGGGCTGGCGATTCCTACCCCATTCCCATTTGACTCTCCTATTTGGCCTGTAGGGAACACAGATAGATCTTGAAGAATGACTGAAATATCATAAGCTTAACCAGGTGGTAACTCCAATTTCAGCTGCTGTACCAGATGTCGTTTCATTGCTTGAGCAAATTAACACATCTTCTGTTACCTGGTACACAGCTATTGATCTAGCAAATACCTTTTGTCCATCCCTGTCCAGAAGGCTGACCAGAAGCAGTTTTCTTTCAGCTGGCAAGGCCAGCAATACGCATTCACTGTCCCACCTCAGGGAGTGTCCCATCAATTCTCCAGCCCTACATTATAATTTAGTCTGCAGGAATCTTGGTTGCTTTTCCCTTCCATGAGATGTCACACTGGTGCATTACATTGATGACATCATGCTGATTGGACTTAGTGAGCAAGAAGTAGCAACTATTCTACATTTATCGGTGAGACGTCTATGTGTCAGAGGGTGGTGTCAGAGGGTGTTATCTGACCCAACAAGCCATACAGTTAGGTGTGCACAGCAACACTCTGTCATCGAATGGAAGTGGTATGTATGTGATTAGGCCCAATCAGCCCCTGAATGCTCAAGTAGGTTACATGAAGCAGTGGCCCAAGTGCCCATGGTCCCCACTCCTGCCCCACCGCCTTTCTCAGCTGAGACCCTCTCTCCCAGCCTGAGCCTGTGACCTCCTGGGGAGGTCCCCATGATATCTGACAGAGGAAGAGATGACTCAGGCCTGGTTTACAGACGGCTCTGCCCCATATGCAGGCACCACCTGAAAGTGGATGCTGCAGAACTACAGCCCCTTCCTGGGACGTCCCTGAAAGACAGTGGGGAAGGGAAGTCCTCCTGGGCAGAGCTGCAGGCAGTGCACCTGGCTGTGCACTTTGCTTAGAAGGAGCAGTGGCCAGTTGTGCAGTGATGGACTATTTCGCCAGCTGTGCTCAATGTTTATGCTGGATGGTCAGAGACATGGAAAGAACGATTGGAAAAATTGGTGGTGAAGATATTTGGGGAAAAGATATGTGAATAGGCCTCGCGAATGGGCAAAAATCATGAAGATATGTCTGTCCTATGTGAATGGTCAGCAATGAATGACCACAGCAGAGGGTTTTAGTAAACAAGTGGACAGGATGACACCAGTCAGGCTCTTGCCTAAGCCACTGCCCACAAGGCTCCCTTATGGACCAAGGCTCCGGCACCCACGCACTGTCGGGGTAGGGTAGTTTGTGCAGCTGTAACAATGCATCTGAGACTCTAACCTGCGGAAACCAAGCGCGGTCTACTTCCCTCTCACGGCAGGGCAGGCGGGGCTGCTGCGCGGGTCTCAGGCCCAGGCCCGCGGGCCGCCGGCTGTGGATGCCGCCCTGGCAGCCTGGGCTCGGGGTGGCCTTGGCGGCAGGAGCTTGGCTATCCGCACACCGCGCTCCGCAGCTCGTCCTCCGTGCGGGTGGCTCAGGAGCCTGGAGGGCCGTGGTAGCCCCGAGCGATGGCTGCTGAGTCTCCGGGCTCCAGGGCGCCCAGGCGTGCGCCGTGACCCCGCCAGCTGTGCCACGGAGCCCCCTCGCTGTTGTCCGCGTTGCTCAGCCTGTAGGCCGAAGGCCCTGGACTCACTCGCCCTGGAGATGCGCCGAGTCCCCCGCAACCCCGGTGCACCTGCCGTCGGGGCAGCCGGGCTCAAGGACCCAGGCCGCAGCTCCCACCCACGCTCGCTCACTGCTCCGGCCCGAGGCGCTGCGGGACCCCAGACCCAGCGAGGAGGGCGCCGCCTCCCCCCTGCACACCCGCACCTTTGCCGCCTCGAACTCGGCCCATCCTCGGCAACGGAGCACCCCAGCGCAGCCTCGCTAACTCCACTCCTTGAGGGAGGGACAGCCGTCCCCGCCCGCCGCCCATAGCCTTGTCTCTCCCGGCTCCTCCCAACGCTCCTCTTCACGAGGACGGGACAGCCGCACAGCCCAGCCCTCCCTGTCCCACCGCCTTTCCAACCACGCCCTGCTCCTCCCCTTCCCTCCGCAGCTCCTCGGATCCCCGGGCTCCCCCGCGCGGCTGAGCGGCTTCCAAGGCCACGCCGGCCTCCTGTGGCACCCCCACCCCTACCCCCACCCCCACCCCCACCCCCGCCCGTCCTAACCACTGCCTCCCACCACCCGCCCCGCCCCGGCCCAGGCCCTTCCTGGAAGCCTGGGCCTTCCTTGACCTTTTCCTCACCCCACACTCTCTTGGGTTTCTCAGTCCCTCTCGCCAATACTTCCTGTTCACTGGCTACAAGCTCTGCGTGGGCCGGTCGTGGGCCGCTCCCCAGGACCGCCGTGGGCCTCACCCCTCTCCCGTCCCTAAGACATCGCCTGGTCTAGCGCGGTCTCTCTTCTCACCTCACCGCACCGCACCTTCCTCTTGCGCTCCAGACCACGTCTAGCTGCCTATTCTAATTTCATTTTGCTGTTCAGGCATTTGTTTAAATTATGGCAGGAGCACATGACCTCGGGCATGGGGGCGCCAAGCATGCCGGAGTATCTAGACACAAAGCAGGGCTGGCTGCATCTCCAACCCCGCCCCACCGTCTGGACTGCTTTCTTTACATGGATCTACACACTGTGTGTACATACGAAATAAAATATACAGTTTTTTTCTAGCGATGCTGCTTTTTCACAAATGGAATCATACATATTTCATGCGTCGTCTGCAACTTGCTTTTTACATATAACACCATGTCCCGGGAGCTTTCCACGTTGGCCCACTTAGCTCGATCTCATTTTCTTTGATGGCTGCAGAGGCCTCTGCCCTGTGGGGCGATGCTGCTGTGTAACAAGATCTCTGCCGGCGAAGAGTTAAGGTGCTTCTCTTTCCTTCCCCTTCTAATTCTTTTTTTTTTTTTTTTCTATTACCAAAATGACTGCAGCTAGCATGGATGCGCATGATTCCCCTGTGTTCAGGCAGGCGTCCCTATCCACAGCAGAGGCCTCAAACAGGCTTTCTCTGCTGGCTTGTGCTGGACGTTTCCATATTGTTTTCTGAGAAGGTTGTAAAAATTATTCACCACCAGCCGCGCAGCCAAATACTTTTTACACCTTTATCATCGCTAGAAAGGTTAATCCTTGTCTTTCACCCCCAATTTTATGAGTGAAAAACAATAGCTCATGATTACCCTCATCAACATCTTTGATTTTCAGTGAAATCAAGGATTCTTTAGATTTGTGTTTGTAGATCTCTAGATATCTTTCTTTAATCCACAGAATTTACGTGTTTTTGTGACTTGGAAATCTGTGTTGATTCTGTCCCCTGGCAGCCTGTTTTCCAGACGGTCCATCGTCCACCCTGCTCTTTCCGCGGGACATGCCCTTCCCAGCGTACCTCACCGCATGGAGATACATCCGTTTCTTTCTGGGATCTCTAACTTGAACCTTGTCTGCAAAACCAATTTTCTTTTTTTTTTCCCCCTCAGGAAACCATGTTTACTAAGCATGTTCTTTTCCAGGTGAATTTCAGTCAGTGTGTCAAATTCCGTGAAAGATGCAATTACAGTTTGGGATTCCACTGCACAGGGCGCATCTCGATCACTTTGGGAGACCGTTGACATCTTTACAATGTTAATTTCCTCATTCAAGAAGAGAATGTTTTTCCATTTACTCAGAAAGTTTATTTTGTGCCTGCCAATAAAGGTTTGGTTTTCCTCTCACAAGTTTTGTGTGCATTTTTGTTTCTTCCAACCTCTGCCCCCAGATATTTCACAGTTTTTCTAGCTATTGTAAATAGGACAGCTTCTTTCAAATGGTTATTTCTTGTGTATATAGAAAGACATGGATTTTTATATGTTGGCCTCATCTCTGACTATATTACTGAATTCTCTTATTCATTTTTTACTGTTTTTTTTTTCTTGGATTTGCTAGATATGATTAGCTTGTCAGCAAACAACAGCAGGTTTTGCCTCTTTGCAGTATTTATAGCTTTTATTTATTTATTTATTTTTTTGGAGACAGGCTTTTGCTCTGTCACCCAGGCTATAGTGCGGTGGCACTAATGTGGCTCACTGCAGCCTCAAACTCGGGGCTCAAGTGAACCTCCCCCTTCAGCTTCTAGTGTAGCTGGAACCACAGGTGTGCACTGCCATGCCAGGCTAATTTTCTTATTTTTTTGTAGAGAAGGCGTCTTGGTCTTGCTTTGTTGCCTAGGCTGGTCTTGATCTCCTGGACTCAAGTAAGCCTCCCACCTCAGCCTCCCAAAGTGCTGGGATTACAGGTATCAGCTACCATGCCTGGCTCTTATATCTCTTAAAAATCATCTTGAGTTGACTTGGCCTCCCATGTGGAATACAGCATGAGTGTTGATGTCCTCATCTTGTCCCAGATTGTAATGGGTGCCTCAGGTGCTTTACCAAGCATGAAGTTTTCTCTGTTCCCACCTCCAGAGGAATTCTCATCCTGCATGGAGGTAGGATTTTTAACAAGTGTTACCTTGGCTGCATGTTAATTGAGCCCATGTTTTTTTTTTAATTAAAAAAATTTTTTTTATTATACTTTAAGTTCTGGGATACATGTGCAAAATGTACAGGTTTGTTACATAGGTATACACGTGCCATGGTGGTTTGCTGCACCCATCAACCCGTCATCTACATTAGGTATTTCTCCTAATGCTATCCCTCCCCTTCCCCTCCACCCCGACAGGCCCCAGTATGTGATGTTCCCCTCCCTGTGTCCACGTATTCTCACTGTTCAGCTCCCACTTCCGAGTGAGAACATGTGGTGTTTGGTTTTCTGTTCTTGTGTTAGTTTGCTAAGAATGATAGTTTCCAGCTTCATCCATGTCCCTGCAAAGGACATGAACTCATCCTTTTATTTTATTTATTTATTTTTTTTGAGATGGAGTCTCGCTCTGTCGCCCAGGCTGGAGTGCAGTGGCATGATCTCGGTTCACTGCAAGCTCTGCCTCCTGCGTTCATGCCGTTCTCCTGTCTCAGCCTCCCAAGTAGCTGGGACTACAGGCACCCGCCATCATGCCTGGCTAATTTTTTGTATTTTTAGTAGAGATGGAGTTTCACCATGTTAGCCAGGATGGTCTGGATCTCCTGACCTCATGATCCACCAGCCTCCGCCTCCCAAAGTGCTGGGATTACAGGCGTGAGCCACCGCGCCCGGTCGAACTCATCCTTTTTTATGGCTGCATAGTATTCCATGATGTATATGTGCCACATTTTCTTTATCCAGTCTATCATTAATGGGCATTTGGGTTAGTTCCAAGGCTTTGCTATTGTGAACAGTGCCACAATAAACATACGTGTGCATGTGTCTTTATGGTAGAATGATTTAGAGTCCTTTGGGTATATACCCAGTAATGGGAGTGCTGGGTCAAATGATATTTCTGGTTCTAGATCCTTGGGAAACGCCACACTGTCTTCCACAATGGTTGAACTAATTTAGACTCCCACTAGCAGTGTAAAAGCATTCCTACTTCTCCACATCCTCTCCAGCATCTGCTGTTTCCTGACTTTTTAATGTATAATGAATCATAACAAATGAGGTTAGTAGATTTCAAATGTCTTAAGTCCTTGAATTCCTAGAATAACCTTCCTCCAGGTTCCAGCTCCTCAAGGCTGGCTCTTGCTTCCCTTAGCCGGTGTTCCCTCCTTGGAGATGGCCTGGCTCCTGTGGATGGATGGACAGAAGGACCAATGCTAGCTCCCCAGCTAGCTGTCAGCTCTCTATGGAGGAGGGCTGGTGTCCATATTTCCCACCTACAAGTTCGTACTTTTCTATCACATGCTTGCATCCTCCAACAATATTTTATGTGCCTTAAAGTTGACATAAATGGCCAAATGGTGTAAAGATTCTTGCAACTTGCTTTTTTTCACTCAAAATCAAGTTTTTGAAATTTATCCATATTGACGGACATCAATTCAGTGTGTTTCTGTTAGCTGGAGTAGAATATTCTGTTGTGCCAATGAGGCACAGATTAGTGATCCTTCCCCACTCAGGAACTTACAAACGAGTTCTGCTTTCCCACCACACCATGAGCAGCCTTGCTTGTGTCTGCTGGTGCCATGTGCAGGGGTCCTTGGGCCAGGCCACTGTAGGAAGAGCCCCTGGCTTCTGGGAATGTGTGTCATCAGCTTTCCATGCCAGCTTTTAACAATGCCTGGCACTTTATAAATGTTCAATAAGTATTAAACATTAGCGCTATCATTACCATTATTATTAGGTATTGCTGCATTGCTGTCCAAAGTGGTTATACCAGTTTATACGCCTTCCAGCAGCAGAGTTTCCATTTCCACAGATTCATGGCAACACTCTGTAGTATCAAACTTCTTAATTTTTTACACTCTAATGGGTGAAAAATGGCATCTAGTTGTTTTAATTTGTGTTTCTCAGTGTTAGCAGTGAAGTTCAGCCTCTTTTCACTATTTATTGCCCATTGTTTTCTCTTGATATTTATTGTTTCTTATCATTCGCTCATTTTTCCATTGGGTCACTTGCCTTTTTCTTACTGATTTTCAGAACTATTTATGTATCTGGATAGTGATACTTCATCGGTTATGTGGATTGCAAATATATCCTCTCAGACTGAGGCTTGTACATTTTTTTGCTTTATTGATGGTGCCTTTTTCTGAACAGAATTTTAAATTTTAATGTGTCTGATACCTCAAACTGTTCCTCCTGTTTTGTGATATTGGTATAAACTCATGTTATCTTTTATAGCTTTGCATTCTCACGTGTAGGTGCTGACCTACCTGTGATTTATTTTTTCTTGATGAATTTGTTTTCTGTTGCTCCAGCACCACGTGCCAAGTAGTGCACCCCTTCCCCATTGAAGGGTAATGCCCCCATCATATACCAAGTTCACATGTATTCATGGTTCTTTTTCTAGCTGTAGCCTCAGTTTCATTATTTTATTTACCCATCTCTGAACCATATCACACTCTCTTAAGACTTGTAGCTCTATAAAATAAGTTGTGATATCTGTTATCTCTCTCGCCTTTATATTTAGGTATGTCTTGGCTATTTTTGGCTCATTGCTCTTGTATGTTAATTTTGTAAATCAGCATGAAAAACACATTTTGGGAAAAGATTTTGGAAATACATTTTATCTTTAGATCAATGTAATGATAGTTTCCATCATTAACGAGTCTCTCTATTCATGAATATGGCATATTTCTCCATTCACTTAGGTCTTCTTTCATGCCTTCCAACAAAGTTTACCCATTTCCTCCTATTAGAAACGTCTTGCACATTATTATTACATGTATCTCTAGGAACCTTGTGGGGTTCTTCACTGTTAATGGAATCTTATATACTTATCTAATTTTTGCTAGTAATTTTTATGCTGAATTTATATCCTGCAATTCATTGAACTCCCTAGTTAATTCTAACAGCTGTCTCTAGATTATCTTTAATTTCCTCTTCAAAAATGTTCTGCACATAGTAATAGCTTAGTTTTTTTCCTTCCTAGACCCAATAACAGATTTCTTTTTATCTCACAATCTGCTTCTAGGGTCTCTAGCACAATGAAACATAAAAATGGAGCTGATTTTAGAGCAGCACTGAATTTTACAATGAAAGATAATACTTTCTATATGATTTAATCCTCTTTATCAGGATAAGGAAATTCTCTTGTATTCTTAGGTTAAGAGGTTGTTGTTCTCCTTAAATCATAAGTTAGTGTTTATCTTCTATAAGGTTTTAGTTCAGTAGTATTTTTTTACCTGCATTATTAGTTACGATTATTATTATTTTACACACTCAGTGCTCCTTTAGATTTACCTGTATTATCTTGCATTTTCTTTGCTCACCCGAGCTTCATGTATCTTATTCCATCTTCCCAGGTTCAATTTACTTTTGGTCAAAGAATACCTCTTAGTAGGGTATTGTGTGTAGGTCTTCAGTGGGACACTCTCTCAGGATGTTTTGGTTCTGAAAGTCTTCATTTCATCCATTCTGTTAGTTCTCTTTTCACTACATTGATTGTTTCCTTTGGTATGCTGAAGCGTTTTACTTTTATGTAATCCCATTTGTTTATTTTTGCTTTTGTTGCCTGTGCTTTGAGGTCTTATTCATAAAATCTTTTCCAAGACCAATATCATAAAGCATTTTCCCTGTGTTTTCTTCTAGTAGTTTTTATAGTTTCAGGTTTTACATTTAAGTCTTTGATCCATTTTGAGTTAACTTCTGCATAGGGCGAGAGATACCTGCAAACTATTCATCCAACAAGGGATTTGTATCTAGAATACACAAGGAATTCAAACATCTCAACAGCAAAAAAAAAAAAAAATTAAAAATGGGCAAATGATTCAAACAGATAGTTCTCAGAAGGACATGCAAATGACTAACAAATATATGGAAAAAGTTCAGTATCACTAATCATCAGATAAATGCAAATCAAAACCACAGTGAGGTATCATCTCACTTCAGTTAGAATGGCCATTGTCAAAAATACAAAAAAAAAACCAAAAAACAAATGCTGGTGAGGAGGTGGAGAAAAGGGAATTCTTACACACTATTGGTGGGAATGTAAACTACTACAGCCACTGTAGAGAATAGTATAGAGTTTCCTCAAAAAAACAAAAATAGAACTAGCATATGATCTAGCAGCCCTACTACTGGGTAAAGAACCAAAGCAAAGAAAATCAGTACATCCAAGAGTTGTCCATACTCCATGTCCATTGCAGCACTATTCACAATAGCCAAGCTATGGAGTCAACCCAAGTCTCCATCAACAGATGAATGGCTAAAGAAAATATGATTTTATACACACACATACACACACCTACACACACACACACACACACACACACACACACAGTGGAATACTATTCAGCAATAAAAAGAATGAATTCTTGTCCTCCATGGAAACATGGATGAGCCTGGAGGAAATGGTGTTAAGTGAAATGAGCCAGGAACAGGAAGTTAAACATGTTCTCACTCATATATAGAAGCTAAAATAGTTGATCTCATAGAAGTAAAGAGTAGAATCCAGGTTATTCAAGGGTGGAAAGGGAAGGGGGATATAGGGAGAGATTTGTTAAAGGACAAAAAATTACAGTTAGGTGGAATAAGTTCTAATGTTTTATAGCACTGTAGGATGACTGTAGTCAAGAATATATATTTTCAAATAGCTAAAAGAGGACATTGAATTCTCCCAACACAAAAAATGATCAATATTTCAGATGGCAGATATGCTAATATCCCTGATCTGATTACTATACATTGTATGTATAGAAACACCAATACGTACCCCACAAATACATACAGTATTATGTATGAATTTTTAAAAATAAATAATTTTTATAGTCAATGAAAATAGTTTATTATTTTATTGTTTTTTGTTTATACATGTTAAGTTTCAACTTTCAATAATAAAATTCAATAAATTTGATTCCTTAATCATAAAAACTTGCTTTACACATTAGTTACATGTTGTCAAAGTCCATACAAAACATCACAAGGATTTGATTGACTCTATGCATGGTACCATCACACAGAAGGAGGAGGGAGCTAATCCAGTAACAAACATTCAAAGATTAAATTGTAGATATGCACAGTGTATTTGGCACTGTTGATTAATATTATAACACCTTCCTCTCAAAGACAGGCATTCTTAAGCGTTAGTCACAATATACCAGAATTTGCTATTCATATTAAAACCACCTTTTAAACTTTATAACAGTAACCAATTATTATAGTTTTAAGAAACAAAACGCAATGAGAACTGGGAATGGAATTCAAATCCTCCAACTTCTTGCTATGCTCCAAGCTGCCATCCATAAAACAGGTTTAATTTGGTAATTTTTCCATTGTGGGAAGTGTCAACAAGAAACAATTTAAAGACAATATTTTCCAATACAAATAAAGACATACACTTTTGTTTAAAATGAACAGTTCTTCTTGGGAGTGCAAAGGGAGCCTTGATGACGTACAGCTTGTGATGATTTTGGCAGCAATTACAGAACAACCAAGGCCATTCAAGTTGTGGAGATTATACTAGCAGGTGAACTCGTAAAGAGAAGATTCTGGAATGCCTATATCTGAAATCAGAATCCTAGTAGTTTGTAGTTTGCCTCTTCCTAGAAGTTCAAGAGACTCAAGTCATAGGCTACAGATGTACTTTCAAGTATATAATTATGAATGGAAGGAGAAAATAAAAGCACAAAAATGCAAATATTAAACCTTTAGTGACTTGGACTATATTCCAGTAGGTAATTTATTCCACTAACTTCACTTTAACAAAGATTAAATCCCTTTATTTTAATCAGGTCCATTAAATTTCATTCATTAAAGTTATACATACTCCAGAATGTTTATAAGACATTTACACCGATCATGTTTACAAAAAGCATAAATTCAGTCTTAAGCTGCACTACAAATGCCTTAATATAACATAATCACAGTATAAGGAAACAAATCAGAAATTCTCTGATTAGATATGCTGTAGCTTCACAGAAAACTCTCAGTAATAAATTAAAACAAAAAGACTTACAATGTATAATGGGCTATGCAGTGCAAAATGATGTCACCGGACCAAAATTTAGTTCAATCATTTTTATTTCAAGTGTGTTTTAAAAATCATAAACGGGGTTTCATAATCCAAAGCTGAAACATTTATTCTTCATAGCTTCAGAATTGACAAGCAATTGTAGACCATGCTTTCCAAATCCACTCTTCTTTGCTATTTTTCAAATTTCTGAGATCTAGTATTAAACTGCTCCATTCTAAATGTACAGTTTTAGATAACTATTGTACACTTGTTGATAAGAGTTTTCTGAAAACAGTCTATCAAATACAAAGAATGGTTTCTATCCAAGAATCAGCAGTGAGGGAAGAAATACTAAACACCTGTCAAGAAATCAGTTATTCATTTTAAAAAATAACAGAACCAGTGCTGCTCTCTGTCATAAAAAAGAACATGTAAAATTTATTTTTATAGGCTTTGGTAACATTATATTCCCCACAGAGGCCTTCAATCCTACTTAAAGATATTTTACACACGGTAACCATCAGGTTTACTGAGTAAAAATCTCAGGTATTAACCATGCCCCTAAAATGTGCTGTTCCAAAGAGGAACAGGTTACTTTTGAGGAAAAAAGCTGCCTTGGTAACTTCCCTCAAATGTTTATTTTAAATAAAAATAGTTGATGGAAGTATTTTTTAAACCAACTTTGGATATAATATGGCATACTGCCCATCAAACAAAAAAGGAAATCAAAACTTTTCTTCCATTTATAATGAGTTTTCCACCTTTACTTTTAAGATTACAACTTACTGACCTTTTATGCTTGTTTGGTTTTTTGACTGCCTAATCCAATATTTAAATTTTTAAAAGTCTGCATTTCAATGTAGTAAGAGTTCTTTTTCAAATAATCTTCATAAGCCAGAATACAGACACCAGAGCAACACTCTCAAGTCACACTGTTTGACTATAATGAAGAGATGAAAATGGGCGGATATCTGAAGATAGGTATTCCCTCTGCTCTGAAGGTGAGCAAGCTTTTAACATGTGAGCAACACAGAACTCCTTTCCTCTGGGGCTCCTTTCAACTCAGAATGCTTCAGTTCAGTAAGTCAATATGTTATTCCTAAAAATTAAAGTTTGGTCACTAAGAAGGACTGAACAAAATTTATTCCCCTCCCGCCAAACACAACCAGAACAGTTCTAATCAGGCCCCCTTCTCCCCACGAAAACAGGGAAGTAGCTGGGCTGAAGACTTTATTAAGTGTGACATTTCAGTTCCTAAAACATCACTGCTATATGCTCAAAGTTGTAGGTCTATGTATTTCCTTCTCCAACACGTCCCCATTTATGTTTATTTCCACACATACAAACGTGCACATGTGTGCACGCACACACGCACACACTCACTCTCAAGTAAGACACTTCTTTGTGTTTGTTGATAAATTATGAGGATTATGAACTAGGTGTGTACAGGGTTTCATAGGTGCTTTCTAAACATCAGAGTCACTTGGGTCCTTTCCTCCATAAGCCTCAGATCAAATTATGCAACCAATGACCACCACTTTCCCAGACGCTGTTCACAGGCTGCATAATGACGAAGGGCAGAGAAAAAGTCCCCATAACTGATGTTTACATGGGAAGGCAAAGAGACAATCTCAGTCAATCTGATGTGCCAGAGAAGAAAGCCTCGTGTGCTGTCCACAGGACCGAACTTCAGTACTAAATCAGGATCAGGACAACCATTTGAACTGAGTAAACTAACATATCTACATCCACATCTGTGGGTCTCCTTTGCTTCTGGGCTACTCACTGGCAAAAGTCCTGAGCGGCTCTCACAATATCTGCTTTTCCATCTTCCGGCAATAGCACCTTCACTGCCAAATGGCAATTTAAAACTTGATCATCTTTGTCATTACTATTTGCAAACTCTGGTGAGCATTTTGAACAATCTAGGCCCAGAAGTTCTTGCTGTTGTTTTAAAATTCCATCCATCAATCTGGAATTATTTCTTTTGAAAATACCTTGGTGGTCGTAGACGCTAATGTAGGAGATGCCCACGGCCATACACCACACCACGAGGCTCTCGATGTCCGAGAAGCTGGGTTCCTGCTCCACCTCGGTGATCACCAGGCCCATGTGCACAGGCAGCTTCTCCAGGGAAGGGCCGTCCGCGCGCCAGCGCACCTGGTGGTGGGCTGCGGGCAGGCACGACCCCCGGCGCGGGTGCGGGTGGTGATGGCGGTTCCTGCAGACGCCTGGGACTTGCGGAGCGTGAAGCCGAGCGGCGCTAGGACCGCGGCAGAGGCGGCGCGCCGGCACAGTCGCCAGATCCAGTTCCAAGTGCCGAACCGAACGCGGAGCCAGGAGGTGAGCTTGCGGTGCAGACAGAGCAGGGGGGCAGCACCCGCCACACCAGCTCTTACAGCCCCGTCATACTCTTGTGGCCCTCGGGTACCCCCTCTCCCTCCCGCCCACTCCCGTGGCGCTACGGCTTTTTATCCGCCCCTGCGCCGGCGCGGGCATCGCTCCGCGTCCCCCCGCCCCCTAAGCCCGAACCCCTTTCCACTGCCAACACCTCACCTCGCCCCCGCCGCCATCTTCCTCCTCCCTTGGCAGCCCCGCCCTAAAAATAAATAATTTTAAAAAGCATTCATTTTATACTATCTCTTGAACACTGTTCAGCAGGGTAGATTCCATTTTGATGATTATTTTCATCAGCACTTGGAATATACTGTTCCACTGTGTGTGGTCGTGATTGCTGCAGTTGTGAAGTTTGCTCTCAATCTAATCAGAGTCCCTTTACAGTTATGCCTTTTTAAAAGTGCTTTTAGTGTTTTTTTCTTTGATAATTTACAATTTAATTTTAATGTTTCTTTTTTTAACAGTGTTATTGAGGGATGATTGACATACACTAAACCGCGCATATTGAAAGTGCAAAATTTGATGTGTGTTTATGCTTGTGAAACCATCACTACAGTTAAGATAATAAACAGATCGGCCAGGCTCAGTGGCTCACGCCTGTAATCCCAGCACTTTGGGAGGTGAAGGCGGGTGGATCATGAGGTCAGGAGTTGGAGACCAGCCTGGCCAACATGGTGAAACCCCGCCTTTACTAAAAATACAAAAATTAGCCAGGCGTGGTGGCACACGCCTGTAATCCCAGCTACTCGGGAGGCTGAGGCAGGAGAATCGCTTGAACCCGGGAGGCAAAGGTTGCAGTGAGCCGAGATTGCGCCACTGCACTCTAGCCTACGTGACAGAGCAAGACTCCGTCTCGGGGAAAAAAAAAAAAAAAGATAATAAACATATTCATCACCCTAGTCTCTCCTTGTGCCCTTTGTAATCCTTCCCTCCACTTCTCCACCCTCAGCCTGTCCCCAGGCAACCACTGACATACTTTCAGTTATCATAGGTTAGTTTGCATTTTCTATAATTTTATATACCTGGAAGCATAGTGTATGTCCTCATACTTTTGTGAGCTCTGGCTTCTTTGCTTCAGCGAAGTTATTTTAAGATTCATCCATGTTTTTGGCAGTATCAACAACCCATTTCTTTCTATGGCTGAAGAGTCTTCAATTTTATCAGTAAACGCAATTTGTTAATGCATTCAGGAGTTGATGAACATTTGGATTGGTTCCAGCTTTTGGTTATTACAAATAAAGCTGTTATAAACATTTGCATACAAACCTTTATATAGACATATGCTTTTCTCTCTCTAGGAGTGGAATGGCTGGATCATATGGTAGGTGTATTTAGCTATTTAATAAACTGCCAAACTGTTTTCCAAAGTGGTTGTGCCATTTTTACCTTCCCATGAGCAGTGTAGGAGGTTTCTAATTTCTCTACATCCTTGCCATCACTTGGTATATCAGTCTGTTTAATTTTACACCTTCTAGCAGGTGTGTAGTGGTATCAACTTGTAGTTTCAATTTGCATCTCTTTATTGAATAATGATATTAAGCATCTTTTCCTGATCTTGTTTGCCATCAATATTTCTGTTGGTGAAGTGTCTGTTCAAATCTTTCGTTCCTCTTTTTATTGCATGTTTGCATTTTATTATTGAGGTTCAAGGGTTTTATATGTTCTGCATAGAAGTCCTTTACAGATACGTGATTTAAAAATACGTCCTCTTGATCTATGTCTTTTCATTCTCTTAACAGTGTATTTTGAAGAGTGGAAGTTTTTAATTTTGATGAAATGCATATTATCAATTTGTTCTCTTATGAATTATGCTTTTTATGTTGTATCCAAGGTCACAAAGATTTCTGCTCTATTTTCTTCTAAAAATGTTATAGTTTAAGGTCTATGAATTCCTTTGAATTAAAGTTTGTATATGCTGTGAGGTACGAATCAAAGTTCACTTTTTTGGGGATTCAGCATCATTTGTTGAAAAGACAATACTTTCTCCATTGAATTGTCTTTGTACTTTGTCAAGAATCTATTGGCCATATATATGTGAGTCTATTTCTGGAATCTCTATTGTGTTTCATTGATCTATTTGTCTATATGTATGGCAATACCATACTGTTTTAATATAGCTTTATATTTAGCCTTGAAATCAGATAAGTAAGTCCTCCAACTTTATTCTTCTTTTGCAAAGTTATTTTCACTATTCTAGGTCCTTCATTTTTTCCATATAAAACTTAAAGTTCAATTATTGATTTTCACTTTTAAAAGCCTTCTGGAATTTTGATTGATATTCAATTGATCTATAACTCAACTTGGGAGAATTGACATCTTAACAACTTCAAGTCTTCCTGTCCATGAACATGGTACATGTTCCATTTAGTTAGGTCTTCTTTAATTTCTCTCAGCAATGTTTTGCAGTTTTCAATGTACAAGTCTTCCACATGTTTTATTTGGTTTATGGCTAACAATTTTATATTTGTTAATGGTATTGGAAATAACATTTTTAAAATTTCAATTTCTGATTGTTTTATATAAAAATACCCTTGATTTGTGTATATTAATCTTGAACTCTGCCACCTTGCTAACTCACTTATTAGTTCTAATAGCTTTTATTTCATGGATTCCATGGACTGGTGTACACAAATGATAAGGAAAGTGTTACTCTTTCCAATCTAGATGATTTATTTCTTTTTCTTGCCTTATTTCATGAGTTAGAACCTCCAGTACAATGTTTAATAAAAGTGATGAGAGTAGATATCTTTACCTTGTTCTCAATTTTAGGAAGACATAGATTTTTGTGTAGATGGCCTGCATCCTATGAGGACTCTTCATTTTATCCCTGGTTTTGTGAGGGCTTTTAATCATGACTCAATGTTGGGTTTTACTAAGTGCTTTTTCTATTAAGATGATCATATGCATTTTTCTTTTTAGTCCACTAATATGGTAAAGTTCATTTATTGATTTTTGAATGTTAAATCAACTTTATCTTCCTGCAATAAAGTACACTTTGTCATGATATAGATGAACTAGATTTGCTAAAATTTTAGTAAGAATATTTTCATCATTGTTCATGAGGGTTATTGGTCTCTGTTGTTGTTTCTTATGATGTCTGTTTGATTTAGTAAGAAAGTAATGCTATCTTCATCAAATAAAGGAAAGACCTTTTCCTTTTCTATTGTCTGGAAGGATTTGCGTAGAATTGTTATTGTTTCCTTAAATATTGTTAGACTTCACCATGAAAACCACCTGGGCCTTTAGTTTTCTTTGTCATTAGGATTTTAATTAAAAACTTGATTTTGTCAATAGATACTCTTGTTATCTATTTCTTCTTGAGTGAACTTTGATAGTTTATGCCCTCCAAGGAATGTGTTCATTTCATCTAAGTTATCAAATTTATTAGAAAAAAATGGCTTACAGTAGTCCATTGTTTCCTTATAATTACTGTAGAAGATTTGGTGACACCCACCCTTTCATTCCTGGTATTGGTAATTCGTGCCTTTTTACTTTTTTCTTGATCAGCTGACTAGAAGTCTAACAATTTAATTGATTGTTTAAAATGATTAGCATTTACTTTCTTGGATTTTTCTTATAATTTTCCCTTTTTTCTTTCATTGATTTCTGTTTTTTTTATTATTTTCTTTATCTGCTTACATTGTGTTTAATTTGCTCTTCTCTTTCCAGTTTCTGAAGGTGAAAACTCAGGTCACTGATTTGAGACCTTTCTTTTTTGTTATAATATAGGATCTTAGTGCTTAAATTTGCCTCCAAGCATACATTAGCTGCAACTCCCTGATTCTGATATATCGTGTTTTCATTTTCAGCTCAATGAACTTTCCAATTTCTCTTTTGATTTCTTATTTGAATAATATACTTTGGCTCTATGTCTCCACCCAAATCTCACCTTGAATTGCAATCCCCATAATCTCCAGGTGTCAAGGGTGGGACTGGGTGGAGGTAATTTAATTATGGGGGTGGTTCCCCCCATGCAATCTGATGGTCTGATTTTTTTTTTTTTTTTTTTTTTTTTTTTGCAACATTGCCCTTTGATGTCCCCATGAGGGCCAGGCCCAGGCAGAACCCATCCCATTTTATCCTTAAACTCAGAAGGAAATTTGTCTAAATATTAAAGGATTAATATGGGAATAAAAAATGAACCTTAAACCCTGCCACTGATACACAAGCTGTCTCTCTTAGAGTTCAATGAACACTTCAGGAGAGTATTTCCAACAATATTTAGATATTGGAATATCTAAATATTGTTGATTTAGATAACCACCCTAGATTTCTCACCACCCTAGAACATTTAGTGGGGAGACATTCTTTTCTCCTTTTTCTGATAACTTGGTCAGAAGTGATTGACTGTGCAAATGGTATTTCTCAGCTAAAATCTCCCTTACGAACCCTTCCTCGAAATCCCCAAGGTCTCCTCTCTTTCTTAAGTAGGTAACAGCTAATTTGAATATTGATTCATCAGTATCCCTGTGTCTACACCAAGTTCAAACTGAAGATCTCCTTGAGGTGCTTGACTCCTTGTGGGCCTAAAAATTGTGCTGAGAATTTGGGGGGAGGGACAATTTCATTAAGTTCAGTTTAATCCATGCAAACTTATAAAAACCAAGCTTGCACAATGTTGTCTAACAACAGAAGCTAAAGAAAGTCTAAAACCAGAAGTCAAAAGCCTAAAAGCAAAAGGACTCATCATGCCTTGTACCAATCCTTATAATACTCTTACCATCCTAATAATAAAACCCCATGTGAGGACGAGCGTGGTGGCTCACGCCTGTAATCCCAGCACTTTGGGAGGCCGAGGCAGGTGGATCACGAGGTCATGAGATCAAGACCATCCTGGCTAACACGATAAAACCCTGTCTCTACTAAAAATGCAAAAATTACCCAGGTGTGATGGCGTGTGCCTGTAGTCCCAGCTACTCAGGAGGCTGAGGCAGGAGAATTCCTTGAACCCAGGAGGCAGAGGTTGCAGTGAGCCGAGATCGCGCCACTGCACTCCAGCCCAGGCGACCGAGTGAGACTCCATCTCAAAAAAAAAAAAAAAAACAATGCGAGAATATACATTTGTTCATGACCTCAGCCTCATAGTTATTCCTCATACACTTGGAAAACCAAATTTATATATAATCTTATTTTTAGTCCTATTTGAGGCTGTATTTTTTTTTTTTTTGAGACAGAGTTGCTGAGGCTGGAGTGCAGTGGCACAATCTCAGCTCACTGCAGCCTCCACCTCCTGGGTTCAAGCAATTCTCCTGCCTCAGCCTCCCGAGTAGCTGGGATTATAGGCATGTGCCACCACACCCAGCAAATTTTTTGTATTTTTAGTAGAGACAGGGTCTCAAACTCCTCACCTCAGATGATCCACCTGCCTCAGCCTCCCAAAGTGCTGGGATGAGCCACCATGCCTGGTCTGAAGCTGTATATTTTCTAGCTCTAAATATATGTTCTGTGTTCCTAAGTGTCCCTAGACATGATTTATATTTTAATTGAGAACCAACATTGTACCTGGACTCCTAAGCCTCAGGGATTTACTGAAATACCATTCTATTTTATAATAATCCTTAACCAAGAATTTTAAGGATCTTAAATTTTTCTGTGGTTCTATTGTTATCTGATATATAGATGATCTGCTGCCATATCCTAAAGAGCAGGTGAGGCCGGGTGTAGTGGCTCACGCCTGTAATCCCAGCACTTTGGGAGGCAGACGAAGGTGGATCACCTAAGGTCAGGAGTTTGAGACCAGCCTGGCCAACATGGTGAAACCCCATCTCTACTAAAAATACAAAAATTAGCTGGGTGTGGTGGTGGGCACCTGTAATCCCAGCTACTAGGAAGGATGAGGCAGGAGAATCACTTGAACCCAGGAGGCGGAGGTTGCAGTGAGCTGAGATTGCACCATTGCACTCCATCCTGGGCAACAAGAGCAAAACTTCATCTCAAAAAAAAAAAAAAAAAAAAAAAGAACAGATGAGTTCCAGGAATGTTTTAAAAAGATAGAATTTTTAAAGGAAAGTAACAAAACCAATGCACTTGGTTTTGTCAAAACCAAGTGCATTACCAAAGATAGATTTTTCTAAAGAAGGCAAATCCCTTTCTCCCAACAAACTATAGCTCTTTTAAGACTTTCCTAGGCTAGTAATTAGGATACATTTAAAAAGATCCTGAGGCTTCCTAACTACTGCAAAAAGTGGGTCCCTACTGTTTCTGAAATCAGCTCAGCCAAGCCTTCACTAATTGACTCCTTTTGTTTGCAAACTAAACATAAAGAGGTATTTTGTAATTTAAAATCAGTCCTTCAATAACCTGTCCAGGACCTCTCTCCCCTTGCCTACCTAAACATGATTCTCTAGCTTTTCACGTATGAGTAGAAGTCCCTGGTGTGATGTGTGAACTTCATGGGAGGCATCTGAGACTCACTGCTTTCGGGCAGCCTTTCTGTTGATTCAGTAGCAAAAGGCTCATACTTTATCTAAGTCTAATAGCAGAATCAGCTGAGCTAGTGCAGGCTTCTGGCCACTTGGTTCTCGGGTTTAGTCTTCCCTATACTTAGTGGTCTCTGCTATGGTTTGAATGTGTCCCCTCCAAAATCAAGGTATTGCCAATGTGATAGTATTAAGAGGTGGTGCTTTTATGAGATGATTAGGCCATAAGACCTGCTTCTTTGTTAATGGGACTAAGTCCCTTTTAAAAGAGGCATTTCCTAGCATTAGTTTCTTCTCTCTTGCCCTTCCACCTTCTTCCATGTGAGGATGCAGCAAGAAAGCTCTCATCATTTGTCAGCATCTTGACCTTGGACTTCCCAGCCTCCAGAACTGTAAGAGAATTAATTTATCTTCTTTATAAATTATCCAGTCTCTGTTATTAAAATAGCTAGATATTCTATTATAGCAGCACAAATGTTCTAAGACAAAAATTGGTACCAGAGAAGTAAGGTGTTGTTATGAAAAATACCTAAAAACGTGGACGTGGATTTGGAACCAGGTAATGGGGAGAGAGGATGGCACAGTATTGAAGTTAATGCTAGAAAAAACCTAAATTGCCATGAACTGAGCACTAAGGGCAATTTTGGTGAGGGCTCGGAAGACAAAAGCTGTAGGGAAATCCTGAATCTTCTCAGAGATTATTTAAGTGGTCATGACAGTGAAGTTTCTTCTAATGAGGTCTCAGATGGACATGAGGAACAAGGTATTGGAGACTGGAAGAAAGGTCATTCTTGTTATAAAGTGTCAAAGAACTTGGCTGAATTATGTCCATATCCTAGGACTTTATGGAAGGTGGAACTTAAGAGCAATGAACTTACGAATGAAGAAATCTCTAAGCAGTAAGAACTTAGAATGGCTTCTTTTCTTTTTTTTCCTCTCTTTTTTTCTTTTCTTTTCTTTTTTTTTTTTTTTTTTTGAGACAAGTCTCATTCTATCACCCAGGCTGGAGTGCAGTGGCGTGATCTTGGCTCACTGCAACCTCCACCTCCTAGCTTCAAGCAATTCTCCTGCCTCAGCCTCTCAAGTAGCTGGGATTAAAGGTACACGCCACCACGTCCAGCTAATTTTTGTATTTTTAGTAGAGATGGGGTTTCAGCATGTTGGCCAGGCTGGTCTCCAACTCCTGATCTCAGGTGATCCGCCCACCTCAGCCTCCCAAAGTGCTGGGATTACAGGCATGAGCCACCGTGCCCAGCCTCAGAATGGTTTCTTTTAACTGCTTTTAGTAAAGTGCAAGAAGAGAGAAACTATTTACACAGATGGAATTTATAATTTAAAAATAAGCAGAATATAAAGGTTAGTGATTTATTAAAACTACATGTCTTATCTGTTGCCAGCATCATGTAGGCACAACTCAAAAATGGGACATGAACAAGAGCATAAGCTTCAGAGAGCGTTTGAACAACTACAGATGATCACTACACACTCAGTAGATTTTAAACGTGTTCTTCTCATTGTTCATTTATTTTGGGGATTGAATTGAAGCATTTCCTTTCTGAATACTTTCAGTTCCAATGGCAGCAAAAATATTACTTGATTTTGTGTTCCCAACCTACAAAATTCTAACCCATTTTTCAAGTGACAGAAAAAAACCATTGTACTGGCACTGTCATTAAAAACCTTTACAAAACCTTAACACTTACTCAGAAACTTCACTGCCCATATCAGCTTCACTATTCAAGAAAGATTAAAAAAAAAAAAAAAGAAGATTCAGAAACTAAAATCAGGAAAGCTCTCAGAAACCTTCAAAATTCCATAGCCCGAGGTATTGCCATGGCTTTAATGTCAATGCCATCAATTTCTTTGAGGTTCATAAACTCTTCCCTTATACATTAGTAACAGACTGGCCTACACAAATATCTACAAATGTCACCTCTGATTGTAGACTCTAACATATTGCAAATGGATACTGCGAAATATTGCAAGGAATTAATGCAACACATTCAACCTTATGATCCACAGGCACAGGCAACCTTTTCTCATAATCTTCCTAAAAACTTGCATGATCGTAAACCTGAAGATCTGGTGTTCTGACTTAAAGAAATAAGAGAAAAAGCTCTAGAACACGAATGAAAAAGTTGATATCAAATACTGCTAATAATGGACACAAGAGGGCAACTCCAATATATTGATCCTTAAAGTCTTTTAATTAAAGAGGCATAAATAATCTTAGAATCCCTGGAAAGATGTCCTAATCAGAAACTTCAAAGATAATTATTTGTGGACCCCTCTAGAAACAGTCTTGAAAGAAACAGAATCCAGCGAAGATTTTTGGATCAAGTTGACAACTGTGTTTAGTAGACAGTCTATGCTTATCTATGGAACAAGATGTAGATGACCAAACCTTCAGATTCTCATGCTTTAATCTGAATGCTTTTGTTCATTACCTTTTAGGTATTTTCTTCTGCTGTTGGGTGTGTGTGTGTGTGTGTGTATGCACATATCAGCTTTATTGAGATATAATTTACATTCTGTACACTTCAGTAATTTAAAGTGTATATAAATACAATGTTTTTAGTCCATTCACAGAGTTGTATGACTATCCCCACAATTAATTTTAGAACATTTTCATCATTCCCCAAAGAAGCCCTGTACCCACTTACAGTCACTCCCCTGTTCTCTCATCATCTCTAGCCATAAGTAACCAGTAATCTACTTTATGTCTGTATAGATATTCCTGTTCTGGACATTTCATATGAGTGAAATCATACAATATTGAACTTTTATTATTTGGTTTCTTTCACTTGGCATCATATTTTTAAGGTTCATCCATATTGTAGCATGTATTAGTACTTCATTTTTTTACCCGAATACTACATTTTATGAATATCCCACGTTTTATTTGCCTGTTTATCAGTTGATCAACATTTAGATTGTTTGCACTTTTTGGATGTTATTAAAATAGTGTACAATGAAAACTTGTGTACAAGTTTTTATGTGGACATACGTTTTTATTTCTCTTGTGTAGACACCTGGAAGTAAAACTAATGGACCATATAGTATCCCTTTGTTTTTTTATTATAGCCATACCAGCAGTTGTGAAGTGATATATCATTGTAATTTTGATTCAGATTTAATTGACAGCTAATAATGTTGAGCATCTGTTATTATACTTATTTGTCATTTGTATACCTTCTTCAAAGAAATGTCTATTCAGATCATTTTTTGTAGATGTTCTTTATCATGTTGAGAAAGTTCTCTTCTATTCCTAGTTTGTTGAGTTGTTTTTTCCCCTATCCTTAATGGGTGCTGGACTTTGTCAATTCATTTTTCTACATCTATTCAAATGGTCACATGGTTTTGTCCTTTATTCTGTTAATCTGATATATTATATTAATTGGTTTTCAGATGCCAAACCAATCTTGCATTCTTGGAACAAACTCCACTTGGAATGGAATATAACCTTTTTATTTGTTGCTGGATTTGGTCTACAAGTACTTTTTGAGGATTTTTGCACATATATTCCTAAAATATATTGTTCTGTAGTTTTCTTTTTTGTGCTATCTTTGTTTGGTTTTGGTATCAGGATAATACTAGCCTCACAGAAAGAGTTGGGAAGTGTCTGCTCCTCCTCTCTACCTTTTGAGAAGAATTGGTACTAATTCTTCTTTAAATTTTTGGTTTTATTAAGCATTAAAGCCACCCAGGGCTGAGCTTTTTTGTGTGTGGAAAATTTGAAAATTACTAATTTAACCTATTTATTTATTACAGGTCTATTCAGATATTCTATTTTTTTCTTGAGTAATCTTTAGTAGTTTATGTCTTTCTAGGAATTTGTCAATGTTGTCTATGTTGTCTAACTTATTGGCATACAGTTTTTTGTAGTATTCCCTCAGTATTCTTTTTATTTCCATAAGGTCTGTAGTAATGTTCCCCCTTTCACTCCTGATTTTAATAATTTGAGCCTTCTCTCTTTTTCTCTTGCTCATCCTTGTGAAAAGTTTGTTAATTTTGTTGATGTTTTCAAGGTACCAACTTTTAGATTTGTTTATTCTACCTATTGTTTTTGTATTCTCTCCTTTATTTTTCACTTAACATTTTATTAGTTCTTTCCTTCTGCTCACTTTAGGTTTAGTTGCTCTTCTTTTTCCAGAATTGTATGTGGAAGATTGGGTTTATTTATATGAGCCCTTACTTCTTTTTTAGATACAAACATTTAAATAATAAATTTCCCTTTATGCACCATTTCACTGCATTCAATACATTTTCGTTTGTTGGGCCCTCATTCTACATAATCTTAAAGTATTTTCTAATTGACTTTGTAGTTTCTTCCTTGTCCCATTATTTATTTAAGAGTGTGCTGTTTCCTTCTGTTATTTGTAGGTTCTGGATTATTAGCAAATAATTGTTACCACTAAAGTACCTATTTTTTGCACTGCTAGTCATTCCTTGGAATGATATTAATAAATACCTACAATTTACTTATAATTTGGCAACAAAAATGCTATAAACTGACTGTTAGATTTGTATACAATTTCCTTTGGATTCTACCCAGTTTACTTTTGGTACTCTTGCAATGAAACCAAATAGTATCATAGACACAACCTCTGTAGCACATTTTAGGTGGAAAACACTGTCACAGAATTTTAACTACCAGATCTGTTTTAGGCCATACAGTTTGCTCTTAGTTTTATCAAGAGAATTTTTAAGGCTTGCTGCGACACTGCTATGTGTCCTTTTCAAAATCTGTTCTTTTCATTACTTACTTAGAATAAGATCTCTCTAAAATTTTAAATTAATAGCACAGAGAGAGAGGCTGGGAAAGCAGCCTTTTTATGTAAATGAAACCTCTTAGGTAGTAAAAAAAACCCCAAAAAGCTGAGAAAGTGATCACACAGTTTAAATACAGTCAAGATCTCTGAGCATAAGAAGAGGTCAGAGCCAGCTGATAGTAAACCTTGATCTTCAGCTACCAAATCTCAAAATGAAACTCCAAATGAGTTTGTTATTGGAGATGGGGACCAAGCTGAAGATTGCTCTTCATCATAGAAGCAGTAAACTCTAAGAAAAGGAGCTCTTCAGCAGAGTAAACCTCAGATCTCAACCACAAACTTTTGTGAGATCAGCAATCTCTGGAGGAAGAAGCCTCCAGACCTCAGCCAATTGTCCAATTGGTCAAAGTGATAAAGAGCTTCAGCAAGTACCAGGGCCCTGATAGGAGAGTTGCTGCAGGTCAGGGCCAAACTCCAGTCAGATAATTCCCTTGTTGCCAAAATGTAAACCAGTAAGTGACTGAGGCAGATCTCAATTGACTAGAGGTTTATTTTGCCAAGGTTGAGGACACACTTAGGAAACAGATGCAAGTTACTGTAGGATCTGTGATCCATGCATTTTCCAAGTATGGTTTTGGGAACTTCAATATTTAAATAGGAAAGAGCAAGCGGGGAGGTGGGGGTGGGGTGAAGAAAAAGAGGCAGGATAGGCAATGAGGCAAGTGGTTACATTCTTGTGACGTTTGATTAGCATTCAGTGAGTCTATGTTTTAAATGTGCAAAGAAGGTAGTAGAAAAAAAGTCACTTAAGCACTATTCTCATGCTCAGTACATCTGCATTTTACATAAAATAAAGCATGTGAAATTGCAGCTATCTGTTTGGGAACAGAAAGCTCCCCTTCTTACTCACCACGGGGATTGCTTTAAGAGTACTTGGGTGTCTTCCAGCTAGTTTTCCATTCCAACCGTCGCTCCAGCAACCCTTTGACCTGGATTCGAGCCTCCACGAATGGACGCCACTTGCCGAGACCAGCTCGCTCGGGGAGACTCTAACCCAATGGAGCTAGAGGAATTAAGGACATACACACAGAAATACAGAGGTGTGAAGTGGGAAATCAGGGGTCTCACAGCCTTCAGAGCTGAGAGCCCCGAACAGAGATTTACCCACATATTTATTAACAGCAAACCAGTCATTAGCATTATTTCTATAGATATTAAATTAACTAAAAGTATCCTTTAAGGGAAAAGAAGGGATGGGCCAAATTAATTGCAGCAGGAACAAGCCCTTAAGACACAGATTGCTCAGCTTTTGTTTGTGGCTTAAAAATGCCTTTAAGCAGTTTTCCACCTTGGGTGGGCCAGGTGTTCCTTACCCTCATTCCCGTAAACCCACAACCTTCCAGCATGGGTGTTATGGCCATTATGGACATGTTACATTGCTGCAGAGATTTTATTTATGGCCAGTTTTGGGGTCAGTTTATGGCCAGACTTTGGGGGGCTTGCTCCCAACAGTTTTAAATGTGCAAAGAAGGTAGTATAAGAAAAAGTTACTTAAGCACTATTCTCATGCTCAGTAAACCTGCACGTTACATAAAATAAAGTAAGCATGTGAAATGGCAGCTATCTGTTTGGGAACAAAAGGAAGATAGTTTTTTGCATGACTCAATTCCCAAGCTTAACTTTCCCTTTGGCATAATGAATTTGGGGTCCCAAGGTGTTATTTTTCTTTCACAGGAGAAGGTGTTTTAAATTTTGCTCATAAGAGTACACTTTACTCAGGCTGGCCATGGTGGCTCAAACCTGTAATCCCAGTACTTTGGGAGGCCAAGCTGGGCGGATCACTTGAGGTCAGGTTTTCGAGACCAGCCTGGCCAACATGGTGAAACCAGATCTTTACTAAAAATACAAAAATTAGCTGGGCATGGTGGCAGGTGCCTGTAACCCCAGCTACTCAGGAGGCTGAAGTGAGAGGATCACTTGAACCTGGGTGGCAGAGGTTGCATTGAGCTGAGATTGTGCCACTGCATTCCAGCCTAGGTGACAGTGCGAGACTCTGCCTCAATTAAAATATAAATATATATATATATATATATATATATATATATATATATATATACTTTACTCAAATGTTAAAAGCTGTAAATAGCTTAAAAGATAAAAAAGGTTTCTTGACTCTGAAAAACAAAATCAGCAAATGTTTTAAACAAAGAGTCATAAAAGATTATTTCAATTGTCTGTTAGTTCAGTCCATGCAGTTAACTTCTGGTCAATATTGGATCAGGAATCCTCATGAAAACATCAGCTCTCCATGAGAGTCCTGGAAGATTTTCTCTCCATTTCAATTACACGGTCTCTAAATGTGAATTCCACAAAGTTCTATAGCTGATTATAAACCACACTATGAAAGGATCAAAGTAATCAACAATTGTAGATGACAAAAGTTGTAGAGCAGCCATAGTTAGAGACACAACTGACAAGGAAATTTGGTTACTTTTGTGGCATATGACAATTTTACACATAATAATCGTAATTACTACTGACAACATATATTGAGACATATCAGAATCACAGGAATATTCTATGATTTTAGGACACACACTAATAACACATTTATGTAAATATAACCCAAAGTAGGTTAAACACCATTTCATATTTAACAATGCTTCCTGTATAATTTTTTTCTGTAGAAAATAAGCCAAATATGTCTGTTTTGGACTTCAGGGGACCTAATATCAAAACATTAGTGAGGTCAAAAGGACTGAATTTAGTATTTGATTTTAGAAAGTTTGTCAAATATGAAAAGTTTAAAACACAGGATATCACGAAATAGGATCACAGGTCATTGTAAAATAAATAAGTCATTCATTTAGCCAAAATGATAACTCAAAGATGTAAAAATAAATGGCCAAACCCTTTATACTTTGAGACAGGAGACTTAATTTCCCAAACAGTAAGCTCTAATAAAGATAGCATTAGGTCAAGACCAATTAAATGTCTCTCAAATCTTATAAATAAATCTACTAAATTTTAAACAACTTGACTAAAAGATATAATTCAATAAGCCTTTTTATAACCTTTTATATTTTTTAAAAAAGTGGATTAATGCTCCACAAAAGCCATATTAATCTGACACAGGGGCCCAGTTGCTGGTCTTGCATCAGTGTACCTTTGATACTAATGTTTAATTTATAGAGAAACCCTGAACTAATTTTCTTTCTCAAAATTGGCCCTTACAATCTCACGTGCTCACCTCTTCTGCAGTAGTCCCTGGGATTGGGGAGTTGAAGAGTTTTAATTTCTGTCCCTGTGTCTTATTATAAACACACTTTGTTTTGACTGTCATCTTCTCCTGGGTCTGAAGATGAGGCTTTAACTGCTGTCAATGTTTAAAAGTTAGCAGGGTTTGGTGTCTTTTTCAGACCCAGGAATCAATGGAGTCAAAGCCCTGTAACTTAACAGCACAAGGATTTCAAAAGCAACACAAAGTTAAATAGATGTAATAATGAGAGGTGACAGCGTGCTGGCAGCCCTCACAGCCCTCGCTCACTCTCGGCACCTCCTCGGCCTTGACGCCCACTCTGGCCATGCTTGAGGAGCCCTTCAGCCCGCCACTGCACTGTGGGAGCCCCTTTCTGGGCTGGCCAAGGCCAGAGCTGGCTCCCTCAGCTTGCGGGGAGGTGTGGAGGGAGAGGTGTGGGCGGGAATCGGGGCTGCGCGCAGCAATTGCGGGCCAATGCCAGTTCCGGGTGGGCGTGGGCGCCGGCCCGCACTCGGAGCAGCAAGCTGGCCCCGCTGGCCGGGGCAGTGAGGGGCTTATCACCTGGACCAGCAGCTGCTGTGCTCAACTTCTCCGAGGGCCTTAGCTGCCTCCCTGTGGGGCAGGGCTGGGGACCCGCAGCCCACCATGCCTGAGCTTGCTCCCGCCCCAGCCGTGGGCTCCTGCCCAGCCCCAGCCTTCCTGAGGAGCCCCGCCCGCTGCTCCAGGGCGCCCAGTCCCATTGACCACCCAAGGGCTGAGGAGTGCAGGCGCATGGCACGGAACTGGCAGGCAGCTCCACCTGTGGCCCTGTTGCGGGATCCACTGGGTGAAGCCAGCTGGGCTCATGAGTCTGGCGGAGACTTGGAGAACCTTTATGTCTAGCTAAGGGATTGTAAATACACCAATTGGCAGTCTGTATCTAGCTCAAGGTTTGTAAACACACCAATCAGCACACTGTGTCTAGCTCAGGGTTTGTGAATGCACCAATCGACACTCTGTATCTAGCTACTCTGGTGGGGACTTAGAGAACCTTTGTGTCCACACTCTGTATCTAGCTAATCTAGTGGGTAGGTGGAGAACTTTTGTGTCTAGCTCAGGGATTGTAAACGCACCGATCAGCACCCTGTCAAAACGGACCAATCAGCTCTCTGTAAAACAGACCAATTGGCTCTCTCTAAAATGGACCAGTCAGTAGGATGTGGGTGGGGCCATATAAGAGAATAAAAGCAGGCTGCCTGAGCCAGTAGTGGGAACTTCTGGCTTTGAGTCCCCTTCCACACTGCGGTGTTCTTTCGCTCTTTGCAATAAATTTTGCTGTTGCTCACTCTTTGGGTCCTCACTGCCTTTATGAGCTGTAACACTTACCACGAAGGTCTGCAGCTTCACTTCTGAAGCCAGTGAGACCATGAAGGCACTGGCAGAAACAAACGACTCCAGACGCACCACCTTAAGAGCTGTAACACTCACCGCGAAGGTCTGCAGCTTCACTCCCGCGAAGGTCTGCAGCTTCACTCGTGATCCAGCAAGACTACGAACCCACCAGGAGGAAGAAACTTTGAACACATCCGAATGTCAGAAAGAACAAACTCTGGACATGCCGCCTTTAAGAACTGTAACACTCACCGCGAGGGGCCGCGGCCTCATTCTTGAAGTCAGTGAGACCAAGAACCCACCAATTCCTGACACAGTAACTTTAACTTTAAAAATAAATGTAACTCAGTTTTTGTAAGTAAATCAAAACTTAATAACAATTATGTAGGACTTATTTCGATAAAACATAAATCTTTTTTGTTAGTCTAGTTACTAAAAGTCAAACAAAGAAAAAAAAAAAACACCCTCTGCAGTGTGACTGCTTTTCCATATAGGGAGTCTATTTAGAGAACCTGAAAGTCAAAACTAATGAAAATGTATTTGAACTAGTTAGACATAGGAAGAGTGTTTCCTGGGTTACAGGAAACATTAAGTGAACATTTTTGGTTTCATAGAACAATTTAAAGCCAAAGCACAGAATGTTATACTGGGAGAAAATATTTCCTTTATAACTTTAAGATAAAATGTTTTAGTATCAGGCCACAATAGCAGTTAAAACCTGAACGAAAAATTTACAGGAGCTGACAAAGTTGAGAGAGAGAGAGATATCATTGCTGTCCTTCTCAAAGGTGAGATAGCTAAAAACAGCAAGATGCAATATAAATTGAACTTCTGGTGTAAAAAAAATGAAAATCTCATAATTTTATTAAAATAATATGTTAAGAAAGTTTTGTTGTTCTAACCAATTCCTTAGTGTATTAGTGTATTTTTCATATAGATCTCTAGAAAGTCTATTATAAATAATTTCCTTGTAATTGTAGACAACTTGATCACATAAAATTTTTTTCACATAAATCTTCTTTTTATAATCCCTTATTATGACATACACAAACCACTTATGACATGTTTGGACTTCCTGTTTTATTCTAAACATCCTTCTTTTCTAAATAACCAGTCATTTTATTTTAGGACAAAAATTTACCATACAAGATTCTTTCTCATATAAAATAATTTTCTTTTTAATCTTCCTTACACCAGAATACCTCTTTATATTTGTATCTGTCTTTACATCTCTCCTATTTACTGGTTCCTTTTATCCTGTTTCATGAATAACCTTTAAATTACACAAAAATAATTTTCCTTTAAATAAGAACACTTTTTTTTTTTTTGAGATGGAGTCTTGCTCCGTTGCTCAGGCTGGAGTGCAGTAGTGCAATCTCGGCTCACTGCAAGCTCGGCCTCCCAGGTTCACGCCATTCTCCTGCCTCAGCCTCCTGAGTAGGTCGAACTACTGGCGCCTGCCACCACCCTGGCAAATTTTTTGTATTTTTAGTAAAGACGAGGTTTCACCATGTTAGCCAGGATGGTCTTGTTCTCCTGACCTCGTGATCCGCCCGCCTTGGCCTCCCAAAGTGCTGAGATAACAGGCATGAGCCGCCACGCCCGGCCATAAGAACACATTTTTTAAGAAAAATGTTTTCCCGGTGGCAGTAGTGGCAGCTGCGACAAAGGCGGAGCTAGCACTACAACTGGCTCCTCGCTCTGGCCTCCGCCATGGAGCCAGGAGAGAGCCTCCGCCAGCGGCCAGGCATGAGCTAGACACCGCCAGGGACCCTGGCCTCTTGGGGGCACCGCGCTCACCCAGGGGCTGCACAGGCACCCAGAGCCAAACTCCAAGATGACAGGCAAACTCAGCAAGAAGAAGGGCTACAATGTGAACGACGAGAAAGCCAAGGACAAAGACAAGAAGGATGAGGGCGTGGCAAGGGAAGAGGAGGGTCCCCGAAGGAGAGTGAGCCCCAGGCAGCTGCAGAGCCCGCCGAGGCCATGGAGGGCAAGAAGTCTGACCAGGACGCGGAGGGCAAGGCCGAGGAGACAGAGGGCAAGAAGGATGCCACGGCTGCCAAGGAGGAGACCCCGAAGGAAGAGCCCGAGAAGACAGAGAGCGCGCAGAGGCCAAGGCTGACCCCCCGAGAAAGAGCAGGCAGCCCCCGTCCCTGCTAATGGCGGCGAGGCCCCCAAAGCTGCCGAAGTCACCACGGCCCGGGCCAAGAGCGCGGACCCTACCACTGGGGAGGAGCCCAGCAAGGAGGAAGGGAAACCTAAAAAGACTAAGGCGCCTGCAGCTCCTGCCACCCAGGAGACCATAAGTGACGGGCTCCAGCATGATACGCAAACCGCAGCAGCTCGGAGGCTGCCCCCTCTTCCAAGGAGACCCCCCGCAGCCAGGAAGCCCCTAGTTCCACACCCAAGGCCCGGGCCCCCACAGCCTCCGCAGAAGAGCCCAAGCCGGCGGAGGCCCTGGCAGCTAATTCCGATCAAACTGTAGCCATGAAAGAGTGACAAGGACAGCCTATGGGAAAAATAATACCACTTAAAACAGTCTCCCCTCTCTCAATCTTTTCTCTCTCTCTCCTCTCCTTTCTCTCTCTCCTCTCTCTCTCTCTCCTCTCCTCTCTCTCTGCCTCTCCTCTCCTCTCTCTCTCCCTCTTATACTAACTTGTTTCAAATTGGAAGTAATGATATGTATGCCCAAGGAAAAATAAAGGATGTTGTCCCATCAAGGGAGGGAGGGAGTGGGAGAATGCAAATAGTATTTTTGTGGGGAAATATCTAATATAGCTTCAGTCAACTTTACCAAGAAGTCCTGGATTAACTCAGGATTTAGCTGTTTTCATTAAATCAACGATATCAAATGCCCTATTTATCAACAAATTACACCAACAAATATAGTACTCTTGTGGGCTGCATTTCTAGCTTTATAAACCTCATGCCAAATTTTGACAACTTATAATATCTAGTAGAGGTAAATGTTAAACTGCCTGACCAATGACTCTAAACAACAATGTATATTGACAATTCTGAAGATATTTCTAATTTTATTTTACCAATAACTTTAAAACCAGCTTATTTATTAAGAATTTACTTAAGTTACATAAACTTGAAAAAGCATTTGGGCTTAAGGTTTCTATTTTTCTAATAAAGTATTTGATTTAAGCCCCTTTTTTCCCTTTAAGGCCAAATAATTAGAGCTGTTTTATATATCTTTGATAATGAAACATATACATGACACATAAATACAGACATGTATTAGACACACAGGTAGAAATAGATCTTAGATTTGTAAGACCTCCTCTTTTTTCCCCTCTTATTTTAGACTTCCAATTTTTTTTTTTTTTAGATGCAGTCTCACTCTGTGGCCCAGGCTGGAGTGCAGTGGCGTGATCTTGGCTCACTGCAACCTCCATCTCCTGAGTTCAAGCAATTCTCCTGTCTCAGCCTCCTAAATAGTTGGAATTACAGGCAAGCACCACCACGCTCAGGTAATTTTTGTATTTTTAGTAGAGACAGGGTTTTGCCATGTTGGCCAGGGTGGTCTTGAATTCCTGGCCTTAAGTGATCCGCCAGCCTTGGCCTCCAAAAGGGCTGGGATTACAGGCACGAGCCACCTTGCCTGGCTCCAATTTCTTGATAATTTGTTTCATTACCCTAGGCAATTGTCAGGTAGATAGCCCTAAATTTGTATACCGAAGGAACAACTCTCAGGTGAAAATCAGCAAAATTTACTTCTCAAAGGAAAGAGAGAGAGAGAATCTGTTGTGTTAACAGGGTGATTAAAAAATGGATACCAAGTCAAACATAAAATTACAGAAATCTACCACAGGATTGTATAAAGAGACCAATCACACTTAGATAGTTTTAAACGTAGTCTCTGTTTTAACTGGATCTCTGAGCTCTGAGCACAGCCCACATTCAATCCTGGGTCTCCAAAAAGGAGAGAGAAATCATGGGACTAGGCCACATAATGCTTTTATGGTGTTACTTTGTTACAAAGATGTTGCTTGAGTGTCTAAGCACCCTTTCTTATTCTAAACTCCCAAGAGTAGCCCCTGTAATAATAACTATTTCAGTTAAAAAAAATCAGAAAACAAAATATAGAAGCAAGGAGTTTAAGATCTGAGAGGAACTTGTTTATACTCTTAGGGTTCCATAAGGAAAAACAGAGGTTTTGCCCCCAGAAGGAGTCTGGCATCTTCTCTGTTTTCTTTAAGGAATCCCAGCTCCAATTTCTTGATAATTTGTCTCATTACCATTGTTAAAATTATTTCCAGTGCCTCATGCAGCAGAGGGTGGGAAGAGAAAGGAGAGACAGGCAGAAGTAAATAGAAAAAGCAGAATTCAGTTGACTGAGAAGAAAAAAACTTTTTTACAAAAACACGTTCCTAGAAGACAAAAAAACATAAAGTCCTTTTACATACACACACACACACACACACACACACACACACACGGATTGCGGATACTATCTTTTAATTAAGCTGCCTTTTAACTGTTGAGGTCTTAAAAAATCCTTTTAAATATTATTACCATATTTTAGCTGGGAAAAGCTGCTGATATTTCAAAGGTAAAATAAATCTCAAACCAGAAAGGACTTGATTCATAACCAACCAACCCAGGCTGTCATGCTAAAAAAAAGGGCAGAATCTTTGCTGCTGAACTACTGCATAGGGTGACTACCATTGCTCCTTTAGTTTAGTTTGGCTAGCAGAAGGTGGTCTTGCCATGTAAATAAAGCCTCTCAGGTAATCAAAATGTTTCTTTTTTTACTTTTGCTGGTGTTTTTTTCTTTTCTTTTTTTTTTCAGCTACAGGAATTTAGCCAATTCAGAGGAAATCTTCCCCATAATTATGGAACTTTCTTACAGATTTTACCAAGTCTGGTCAACCCAATAAGAAAAAGACTGAAATAACAACAACAACTTCAACAAATAAAAAAAAACAGTTAAGCTAAATAAACAGATGATTGCAGAATTTATGTGATTACTGGGTACTCTAATGGTAAGGAGAAATTAAGACCAGCTAGTTGTTAATCTTAACTTTTAGTCATTAAGGAGAATTTCCAAGACAAAACTGCAATCCAGCTGCTTACCTAGGAATACGGCTTAGGCTGAAAACTTCTATCGTCTTAGAAATGGGAATAAACCTCACACTCACCGTCCCTGTTGGAAGCAAGCTGAAACTCCAAAAAAAAAGTTGCCTGTTGTCCATCATCATGGTGAAGCGGCGTCGTTGTCTGGGGTAAGTACCTGGGGTTCATTGTCTCGTACCAAGATTAAGGACAGAGTTCCCTCCATTGTTCATTGATTTGTAAACCAAAATGTATCTGTGACAGGTATTAATCAATTGAGAAGAGTTTTTTATTTTTATTTATTTATTTATTTTTTGCCAAGGTTCAGGACAGATCCAGGTGTCTTTCTCCAAAGATGATTATGATGGTGTTAATATTTAAAGGGGAAAGTGGCCTAGAGGGGAACAAGGGAGGGTATGATCATATTACTGTATCCACATGTTGCAGGAGAAATGGAGCAGGTACAGGAATAGTCAATTATGTGTTCTTCTCATGCTCAGTAAATCAGAACTTTACATAAGTTCAGGTGAACATAGAGTAGCTACCTGGGGAGATATTTCACCTTTTTATCTGTAGTGCTCTGCTTAAGAACAAAGGAAAAAACAGCTTCTTGCATGATTCAGCTTTTAGCTTAATTTTTTTCCTTTAGGCATAGTGAATTGGGGTCCCAGGTTTTTATTTTTCTTTCACAAATTAAAACTGATATTTAGACTATTTCTCGGTCCACTAAATTTCTCTCATCCTAAACTCCTGCTAACCACATGTACTCTCTCTGTTCATTTCCCTATTTATTTATATCAGCACTTCCTTCTTCTTGCCAACTTCGGTGCCACATAAGGGAAAAACAACAGAAATCTAACACCCTGGGATACCTTCAGAGAAAACAGAAAAGACACTGCAGACTTCTTTTTGGGAGAAACTCCTGTGTTTTTTTTTTGTTTGTTTGTTTGGTTGGTTGGGTTTTTTTGTGTTTTTTTTTGTGTTTTTTTCTATCAGGGAGTCCTAAGAACTGTAAACGAACATGTTAGCACTAGAGAACATATCCTAGTCATGTGGCACCAAAGTATGTTACTGGTGGCAAATGCATACACGTCTGCAGCAACCTCAATTCCTGCCTGCTCAGAAGAAAGAATTCAGCTGAGGGGCATAAGGCACAGTGAGAGACTGAGGCAAGTTTTAGAGCAGGAGTGAAAATGTACTAAACAGTATTAGAGCAGGAATGAAAGGAAGTAAAGTACACTTGGAAGAGGGCCAAGTGGGCAACTTGAGAGGTTAAACTGCATGGTTTGAGTTTTGATTTGAGGTTTTACGTGTTGGCATGCATTCAGGGGCTTGTGTCCCTTCTCCCCTGATTCTTCCCTCCGGGTAGGAGGGAAGAATCCACCTGAGCAGTGGCCTGCCAGCACTTGAGAGGCTCCGCAAGCACAAGTGTGTTTATGGGAGTTGTGCACATGCTCAGTTGAGGCATTCTTCCCTTACCAGTCGAGTGTTTCTAGAGGAAGGTCATAGACTAATAGTCTAATAGTCTATGACCTTTAGTCATACTAGTGCACATGCCTGAGCCCACTCACCTGTGAACCCCCAAAATTTGAGACAGGTCTCAATTAATTTAGAAAGTTTATTTTGCCAAGGTTGAAGACATGCCCAGTGACATAGCCTCAAGAAGTCCTGATGACATGTGCCCAAGGTGGTCCGGCCACAGCTTGGTTTTATACATTTTAGGGAGACATGAGACATCAATCACTATGTAAGAAGTACATTAGTTCCGTCCGGAAAGGCGGAGACAGCTCAAAGCAAGACCCCCTATTGGGGGCTTCGAAGTAACAGGTAGGTGAGAGACAGATGGTTGCATTCTTTTGAGTTTCTGATAAGTCTTTCCAAAGGAGGCAATCAGAATATGCATCTGTCTCTGTGAGCAAATGGATGACTTGAATAGAATAGAAGGCAGATTTGCCCTGAGCAGTTCCCATCTTGAAGGGACCCAAGATATTTTTCTTTCACATTTTCCCCTTTTCTTTTTTAACATCTTTGGAGAAAGCATTTTTACAACAGAATGAGTCTCCAGTCTCAGGAAAGGTCATCTGACCTTTCCTGGCTAGGACGGTTTATTCCTAGATTGGTAGGTCTGGAAAGTTCATTTTTAGCAGGTTGTGAAGTCTCATGTCCTGTGAAGAGAAAATATGGGGGAGGAAGGGATGAAAAAAACAACAAACAAAAGAACAATCCTGAAAAAATTGATATAGGCCACATTACTCTGCAGTCCATAATAGTAGGCAGGTATGAAAGTGGCTTATGTACGTAAATAGGTTATGTTATATTTTTCTGAAGTTTAAGTTGTCTGGCTTCAGTTCCCAGGGTTTTTAGAAAGCATAGCTTAGTTTTCAGTGACTCCAAATTGGGAAAAATTGAGAAAAAAAAAAGAAGGAAAAAAATTGAAAACATTATTTTGAAGGCTTGTAGCCAAGAAAAATTAGAATTCAGTCCAAACTCTAGAAAAATAATAAAAATTGAAAAAAAATAGGCAAGACTAGACTCTAACAACAGGTGTACAATTGTTTTAGAAGATAATTTGTTTTTCTCTCTTCAGTTTCGCATATTACTAAAGACAAATCATGGTAGGATTGGTTTGTTTATTATACTTGGCCTAACTATTTGTATACAATGCAGCAAGAATGATTATTTTTTACTTAGGCTTTTAAGTAGGCTCTGATGGAACTTTGTTCCATAGCAGGAATCTCAGATAAGACTTTGTAAAACCCGTAAAACCCAGCCGAGCCATGGATTTATGCCATTAAATACCCATGAGTTGGGTGAAATTTCCTCTCCTTTTGAGGGCCCAAGATAAACCTGGGGCGTCTGCACTTGTCAAAAAGTGATATTCTTTACTTACACAGTCAGAAACCCTGTTCAGGGACTGTGTATACAGAATATGAGGCCAGTTTTTCCAAGGGCTTTATTGGCTCCGTAAGTCAAGTTTGATTCCTTATAAGGAAAGCACATGATTCCAGTCAAAGCCTTGGTAAAATAACCAAATTCTCCAAATGTGTCCTGTTACAAATGAAAACAGATTCTTACTGCACTTATGCAAATAACTGTATTGCCATAAGTTAAGAATACTCACAAATAGTTTCCAAATTCTGGATAAATCAGATAGAAACAACTATGCCACAAATTTTGTTCATAGGAGTATACTAAATTGTTAAAATCTGTCAGTAGCTCAAAAGAAAAGTCATAAGACTCGGAAACGCAAAACAAAGGACCAGCAAATATTTTGAGCAAAAAGTAAAAAAGATTGGTTCAGTCCATGCAGTTAATTCCTGTTAATTCCTGCTTGATACTCATGAACATTTAGCTCTCCATGAGTCCTGAAGGTTCTTCCTCTATTCTGTTGTCACAATCTCCAAAGTTATCAGAAACCTGCATTCAAGAGCACCTATTGGAGTTTTATAGCTGATTATAAAACCACCTCCTAAAGAGGACCAAAACAAGACAACAATTGTCCATGGATGAAAAAAAGTTGTTTTTGAGACGGAGGCTCCCTGAGTCGCCCAGGCTGGAGTGCAGTGGTGTGATCTCTGCTCACTGCAAGCTCTGCCTCCCAGGTTCACCCCATTCTCCTGCCTCAGCCTCCTGAGTAGCTGGGACTACAGGCACCCGCCACCATGCCAAGCTAATTTTTTTCTATTTTTAGTAGAGATGAGGTTTTCACCGTGTTAGTCAGGATGGTCTTGATCTCCTGACCTCGTGATCGCCTGTCTCAGCCTCCCAAAGTACAGGGATTACAGGCGTAAGCCACCAGCCCGGCTGAAAAAAAAAGTTTTAAGGCAGCCATAGTCGAAAGGCACAATTGACAAGGAAATTTGTTGCCTCTGTGGCACACAATAATTTTAACATAACAATTATGATGCCGGGTATTTGGTGCCTGGCACAAGACTTTTTTTCTTATATAAAATTATTTTTCTTCAAGCTTTTTTTACCTCAGAAAAATACCTCTTTATTTTTACAACTTTCTTTACATATTTTTTATTTCCTGGTTCCATTTACCTTGTTTTATACATAATGTTTAAATAAGCTTTGAATTAGACATAAATTTTTCACTTTTCTTTTTAAAAGGACACACTTCTCTGTTTTTGTTTTTTTTTTTTAGCAAGAATGTTTTCCTGCAATATATATTTATTGGAAAATACCCAAGTAATGAAACATCTATTATTTAATTTAATATAACTTTATATTCTAAATTATGACCAGTTTGTCTACAAGTATTTTTCCCATTACATTTGCCTAATTATCTATTTTAATTATTTACCTAGATTATTTATGAATACTGTAATAGTCATGAATTTAAAGTTATGAAACTGCTATTGAAAAATTATAACCAGCCAGGCATAGTGGCTCACGCCTGTAATCCCAGCACTTTGGGAGGCTGAGGCAGGTGGATCACGAGATCAGGAGATCGAGACCATCCTGGCTAACATGGTCAAACCCTGTTTCTACTAAAAATACAAAAAATTAGCCAGGCGTGGTGGCGGGGTGTCTGTAGTCCCAGCTACTTGGGAGGCTGAGGCAGGAGAATGGCATGAACCCGGGAGGCAGAGCTTGCAGTGAGCCAAGATCGCACCACTGCATTGCAGCCTGGGCGACTGAGCGAGACTCTGTCTCAAAAAAAAAAAAAAAAAAAAAAAAAAAAAAAAGAAAGAAAAATTATAACTGAGACAGTGAAAAAAGATTTGATCTAGGCCGGGCACGGTGGCTCATGCCTGTAATCCCAGCACTTTGGGAGGCTGAGGTGGGTGGATCACCTGAGGTTGGGAGTTTGAGACCAGCCTGACCAACATGGAGAAACCCCGTCTCTATTTAAAAAAAAAAAGAAAAAAAATGCAAAATTAGCCTGGCATGGTGGTGCATGCTGTAATCCCAGTTACTTGGGATGTAGCAGGACAAGCTGCAGGCAAAACCTCTCAGACACCGAGTTGTAGAAGGAAGGGCTTTATTCAGCTGGGAGCATCATCAAGCTACTGCCTCAAAATCTGAGCTCCCCGAGTACACAATTTCTGTCCCTTTTAAGGGCTCACAACGCTAAAGATTTCACATGAAAGGGTCGTGATTGATTTGAGCAAGCAGGGGGTACGTGACAGGGGCTCCATGTACTGGTGGTCAGAGAAACAGAACAGGGCAGGGAGTTGCACAATGTTCTTTTATACAATGTTGGGAATCTATGAGTAACATCGGTTTCTAAGTTATGAGTTGATTTTTAACTACTGGGTTTAGGCCAGGCAGGCCCAGGCCTGGTTTTGGGCCTGGCATCAGGCTGCCTGTCTTTGATTTCATGTCCTTGTTTTTTTTCTTTAAACAGGTACTGAGTATAAAACAATATGAGAGGGTCTCTCTCTTCCCTCATTTCCCCCTTTGAGACTCTCACTTTTTATTAGTGGGAGTTCTCACTCTTATTTTTGCTACTTATGTCTTTTTGTGCAATAAATTGATAGTTATTCATATAGTACACTTGTGCTGAAGCATTTTGGTGAACTAAGGTAGTGATGAAGCTTTTTATCATTTGAAGAAGTACAGGTAGTAAACAAGGGAGCAGTAAGCAGGTTCTTATTACTATTATAACTTTTATTATAAGAGTTTTAAATTCTCCTAGTGCTGGGAACTAATTTTTAAACATGGCTTCAGGGCCAAATTCGTGCCACACTTGTACAGGCACATGTGTCAGTTTTGTCATATTTTTAACTATGTCTTTAACTACTTGCCTTTGATTATCTATGTATAGACAGTAATTAGTAAGGTTAAATGTCTTATAGACCTCTCTTTCAGCTGCTAGCAAGTAGCTGAGAGCCAATCTATTTTGATAGATAGCATTTTTTATCTGAGTTTCTTGCCGGGCCAGAATAGTCAAGGCTTGACCAGTTTTATTAGTGATGATTTCTGAAACAGCTTGTAACCATATGATTTGGTTGAGCATGTAGATGGGGGTCCGATATCCCCACGAGCCATCTTGTGCCCAAGTGGGGGGTCCGTAGTATTATATAATTTTTTAGGAGGTCATTCATCATCTTTTTAATTACCTATGGCTATGCTTCATTTTTCATGAGAAGCATAGATAGGGAAGCCCAGGAGTTCACCTGTTTTTATGGGCAGTAAAAAGAAAGATGGTTTAATGGTGCCAATTACACAGCTACCTGTCCACCGATCAGGCAGCTTAGCATAAGCTCTGTGTCCACATATCCAGTATAACCCGGTGGGGGCAGCCCAGTCCCGGTGAAATTCTGGGTGAGCCCAGACAGTCTGCAACCTTGGAAATTTACTGAATGGATCTCTTTCTGTGTAATTGGAGCTCCACCATGTAACTGTTTTGTGTGTGTGTGGTACTATTATAGTTTTTGTCCTAGGCAACTAAGTCATCCTACAGAATGAGTGAATTCTTTTTTTTTTTCTAGCTATGCAATATTGTCCAATAATTGAAACTTTTAGAACCTAGAAATGATCAGGGTGATTCTTTTGGGCTGAGAATTCATCAGGAACTGGGTCTGTAGGCACTAATTCTCAGGCTTCTTATGGCCATTGATCTCTTATTACAGTTGTTTTACAAACATAATATGAAGTGACATTTAGAGACTGGGCTACGTGCTCGGCTAATTGCAAAAACAAATTTTTGATTTTTCCTGGAGTCTCTGGTACTGGCACATTTAGTTCATCATAGAAAGTCTGAAATACTGGTTCTGGAGAGTGTCTTTGAACCTCTCCTTTTATTAGGATGTTCACGCTAGGATCTAGTCCCTTTCCATCAATGCCTAAAGATACATATTTTCCTTTATTACATTCTGGTTCTGAGGGGTTTGTGATTATCATTTCTAAAAGGTTGCAGCTCCCACTTGTGCAGGAGGGGCTGACTTTTCCTTTTTGGAGCCAAACAGGATCTTTTTTATCTTCTGTTCAAGTAGCCCAGATGACACAAGACCAGTATTGACACATCTCACATATGATTCTGGACAGATATACCTATTTTTTTTTTTACCGTGTAACTTTTTTTTCCAATTTAGAGAACCGCATCCTATTCCATGCTGCTTACTATCAATAGTGGCACAAGCGTCAAATTTTAAGGTTACATTTTTGGGACCCCTTTTTCTTCTGTTCTAGCTATTACTTTACTTGTGTCACTTAGAGAATGACCAGTTCTCAGTCCTACTTCAAAGACTGTGATCATAGGAGGTTCAAAGGGGTCATAGCACACATCGGGCTGGTCACTTCCTGGATTACATACTTTGTATTGGGTGTTATTATACAAACAGGTTCCTTTTGGAGTTCCTAGGCATTCATAATAACTATAAAATAATAGGACTGTAGCAATCTTTTGTCCTACTTCAGTGACTTGATGTATATACTGGAAACAGCCTTCAGTCTGAGGAAGGTCAGTTGAAGTCCTTACTATACAAGTCCAAATTTTAAGGAAAATGAGTCCCGCGATGAGTTTCCTCATGTTTTGGCCGTGCGTGGACCAGTCAGCTTCCGGGTGCGACTGGAGCAGGGCTTGTCGTCTTTTTCAGAGTCACTTTGCAGGGGTTGGCGAAACTGCTCCTATCCACATACAGCTCGCAGTCTACTGATGTTTAAGGTTGGTCTCGGAGGTTGGGCCTACTAGGGTAGACTGAGTCTAACACCTCTACACAGTTTATGTTCAACTGGGCTCTCTGATACCAGGAGTAAGGTGTGCAGGGTTAGGGTGTCGCAAACTTCAGTGGTTATGCGGGAATTTTCACAGAGCAAGCTTTGGTATCTAGTTAGTCTAGCATTCGTTAGCTAATGGTATCCTTTGGTATTTATTAAAATCATCACAGCATGGGGGGACTTTAGGTTTTGCCCAAGAGTTAGCTTATCTGCTTCTTATGCTAACAGGGCCATTGCTGCCAGGGCCCTTAGACATGGGGGCCAGCCTTTGGAAACCCCATCTAGTTGTTTTGAGAGATAGGCCACTGGCCTTGGCCAGGGCCCTACAGTCTGGGTTAAAACTCCAACTGCCATTTTTTTTCTTTTTGACACATGGAGTGTAAAGAGTTTTGTCAGGTCAGGTAGCCCCAGGGCTGGGGCCGACATGAGTTTTTCTTTTTAACTCATGAAAAGCTCGTTGCTGTTGGTTGTAATAGATGTAGTGTATCTAATTTACATTTTTATTGACTGTCATCTACCAAAATATTGACTTCAGTCCTGTAACTATTTGATTTCAAGCTTTAAATTGATCTGGTATTCCTTGCGGGGCTCCAATTGCATCTAAATATATACGAGAGTTGAAAGACCCATAAGGGGCTTCTCTCACTTTATGATGTCTTATTTTTTTTTTCCTCTGGTTGATGAAATGCCAGGGTGAAAGGGATAGCCAAATGGACTAAAGCACAAGTGCCACTTCTGGTTATTCGGCAGAGTGTCCAGTAAGTCCAGTAAAGGTCCACCGCAATACCACCACACATCCGCTCGGGGATGAGCAAGGGCTGACTGATTGATAAACTCTTGAAAATTCTTAAGCTCACTGCATCCCTTCAGGTCTCCAAGGAATGCTAAGTCTCCTCCCTGCCGTGAGAGACACGAAGTGAAGTTAGTGTTGGGAGATGGAAGCTGGATGGCCCTCGGTGGCTGCCCCCAGGGACTTCGGAATATAGCAGAGAGAGCTTGGCATGACTTATTATTCCAGGCTGTAGAATCCTGGAAAAGAGCTACCATGCAGCCCACACCTGGTCGACTGGAGGACCACCTAGTGGAAAGGGGACATTCTGAGCCTCTGCCCTGCCATGTGCACAAGCATAACAATTGCTTTTGTTTAACGTGCAGATGGAATATTTGATCCATTTCATCCAGGCATTTGCATCTTGGTATCCTGTCTTAATTGCCAAAGTTTGTTTTAAGTCTTTAACTTCTATGATCCTTTAGTAAAATGAATGCTTCCTTTAGCACCTATTTTTGTTAGTTTTTAGACCAAAGAAAGCTAAACACCATTTTATATTTAATAATGCTTCTTGTATGATTTTTATACCAGAGAAGCTAAATTTTATCTTTATATTAGTGTGTTATTAATGTTAAACTTAATTTTAATAAAACCTTGTAGACATATTTATCCAATTTTTCATGTTTGACTATAAGGTAAGATTTTATAGACTCTTTAACCTTTTATAATTTTTGTTAAAGAGCAGGTTGATGCTTTAAGAAAAATCTGTTGCATTTTTACTTTAATGTCTAGTCTACAGAAAAACTGGATGATACCTTTTTAACTTTAGTTAATATGTTTACACACAGAATTTTCTTTACAATTAACGTTTTAAAACTTGCTTAAACTTTTAAAACAATATTTTTTTAACCTTTTAATGTAGGTAAAAATTCACATTCTTATGCCTCCTTATAATCTTTTTATCAAAGGTATATTTTTTTATACACCTTGCACATAAACTGTTTCTTCAGTAGTACTCAGGAGGCCTTATTACTTTTAAGTTATACAACATTTTTTGCATAAAATTTTTGATAACATTTTTTCTTTCACAACTTTCACAGACAATTTTTTAACATGTCTTAACTTTCTGACTTATTACAAACTTTTTTTCTTTAAACAATCAGTTAATTTATTTCAGGACAAGAATTTACCATATAACATTCTTTTTATATAAATTCTGCCTCCCCCCTTTTTTCCCCTTTTTTAAAGCGAATTTTCTTTATGTCTTTGGACTAGACTGTCTAAGGCCACAAGATTAGAAGTTACCATAATACATGCTACACTTTTAACTTTTAGCAAACTTCACTTTTGTTGAAAACCTTGTAAGTTTGGGATTTCAATTATCCTTTGCTATTAATAAGACCTTGTTTAGTCTAAATTAACCTAGAATTGGTATAGATGGTCTTTTTTTTCTCTCTGCTGGTCTTTCCTTGCCTCTGCCAGCTGCTCATGCTGCTGTTCTCTTAACTTCTGTAGGGGGGAAGGGGGTCTAAAACCAGCTGTAACTGTCTATGTATGGAAACTGGTCTGGGTGCCTTGGCTTACAGGTTACCTTGTGCCATACCTTTGAAACAAGGGACCTGTCCAGGCTTCCTTCAGATGGCCAACCCACCTTTAATGCTGGCCAGTCTGTTTCACGCAAAGTTCTAAGTTTTCCTGGTGTCACAGTAGCACTGTAATCTCCCTTAAGTTCTTTCTTGAAAAAATTTTTTTTTTCTCCAAGACAGAATACCACGCTCACACCACACACACTCACCACAAGACAAAGAACGGGCAAAGAGGGCAAACACACACTTTTACCGTTTAAGCCAAACCAAAATCACGAAATTCAAAATCCGAGTACCAAAAAATTCAAGCCAAGTCAAAACCAAAACCAAACCAAAGTATCCAGCAATTCAAATCAAGTCAAATCCAGAACAAAAGTGCCAATGCAGGCACACCGTGGGTGATCAAGCCACGCTTCCACTCAGATGGAGTGGGGCAAGTTCCAAAGACTAGTCTTACCAACTTTTAGATGTCCAGACTCCAAGCGCCAGTTCCTTCCCAGTGTTCAGCCACTGTGTGGATCCTCCACGGGGGCCTGCTACGTGCTGCTCTGGCAAGGCGTTCCAATGGGGGCAATTTCCTAACCGGGAGCGCTCTTTGGATCGCGTCACTCAGGCTGGCCGGAGTCCCCTGCAGGGATGCTCCGCGGGGCAGGCCTAAGCTGCCTAAGGGGCTGCCTCGGCCATCCATCAGTCACCTCGTTTCCCTGTCAGGGAACCAAGAAATGTAGCAGGACGAGCCACAGACAAAACCTCTCAGACAACGAGTCGTAGAAGGAAGGGCTTTATTCAGCTGGGAGCATCAGCAAGCTACTGCCTCAAAATCTGAGCTCCCTGAGTGCACAATTTCTGTCCCTTTTAAGGGCTCACAACACTGAAGATTTCACATGAAAGGGTCGTGATTGATTTGAGCAAGCAGGGGGTACATGACAGGGGCTGCATGCACCGGTGGTCAGAAAGAAACAGAACAGGGTAGGGCGTTTCACAATGTTCTTTTATACAATGTCGGGAATCTATGAATAACATCGGTTTCTAAGTTATGAGTTGATTTTTAACTAATGGGTTTAGGCCAGGCAGGCCCAGGCCTGGTTTCAGACCTGGGGCTGGGCTGCCTGTCTTTGATTTCACTTCCTTATTTTTTTATTTAAATAGCTACTGAGTATAAAGCAATATGAGAGGGTCTCTTTCTTCCCTCAGGCAGGCTGAGGCAGGAGAATTGCTTGAACCTGGAGGTGGAGGTTGCGGTGAGCCGAGATGGTGCCATTGCCCTCCTGCCTGGGCAACAAGAGCAAAACTCCATCTCAAAAAAAAAAAAAAGATTTGACCTAATTGACTCCATCTTGCTCTTAACCTCCAAGCTGTCCTTGTTCATTCCTGGGCATAGACCGAACTAACTTTGGGAGGAACTTAGTTTACAATTTAGCTATGAAACAAAGATGATAACAGCCCTTTCCCAACAAACCTTCCCATTGTCTGTGAATTAGACTGCCTACAGCCGCAGGATTAGAAGTTATAGTAATCTTGCTAAATTCAAGATGCAGCTATTTTCATTATACCCATGTCAATGTCCTATTTATTAAAAATTACACAAGCAAAGATCATTCTGATTTGGGTTGGGTTTTATAACCCTTATGCCAAATTTTGACACCTTATAGTATTTGGTGGGGGTAAGTATGAAATTGCTTGATTAACAAATACAAACAAAAATGTCTGCTGGCAATTCTTAACACATTTCTAATATTACTTTGCCAATAATTTTAAAGCTAGCTTATTTATTAAAGATTTTATTTGTTACATAAACTTGAAAAAGCATTTGACTAGTCATTTTTTAGTATTTGATTTAAGCACTTTTATTTTTATGTCAATTAACTAGAGCTCTTTTTAGTAGTGAAACATTTTGTATACAACACATAAATACACAAAAAGACGTATTAGGCATACAGATGGAAGTACATTTTATAGATTTATAAAGACCCAGTCGGGTGTGGTGGCTCATGACTGTAATCCCAGCACTCTGGGAGGCCGAGGCAGGTGGATCACCTGAGGTAGGAGTTGGAGACAAGCCTGACCAGCATGGAGAAACCCTGTCTCTACTAAAAATACAAAAAAAAAAAAAAAAAAAAGCTGGGCATGGTGGCACATGCTGGTAATCCCAGCTACTCAGGAGGCTGAGGCAGGAGAATCACTTGAACCCAGGAGGTTGTGGTGAGCCGAGATGGTGCTATTGCATTTTAGCCTGGGTAACAAGAGTGAAACTTTGTCTCAAAAAAAAAAAACCAAAAACAAAAAAACGACAAAAGACCCCTGCATTTTGCATTTTTTCTGTCTTAGACTTTCAGATTCCAGATAACTGGTTTCACAGCCCTAGGCAGTTGTCAGCTAAATAGCCTTAAATTTGCACATTAAAGGAAACAACTCAGGTGAAAATCAAATAGCAAAATTTACATCATAAGGTACAGAAAAAAACGTCTGGTAGTGCTAGAGGGAGATGCTTTTACAGTGTACTTTTTTTTTTAAAGACATTTTTGAGTGTCTAAACTACATTCTTCTTTAAAAATCCAAGAGTAGCTTCTGTTGCAATACTATTTTAGTCAAAACATCAGGTGAAAACAGAATTCAGTCAACTGAGAAGAATACAAAAGCAAACTTTTGCTCAAAAAAAAAGCAAGGCCTTAGGAGAGTGGTCTCGGTTAACTTGGAAAGCTTGTTTGCCACAGTTGAGGCCGCGCCCACCACACAGCCTCAGGAAGTCCTGATGACATGTGCCCAAGGTGGTCCGGCCACAGCTTGGTTTTATACATTTTAGGGAGACATGAGACATCAATCAATATATAAGAAGTACATTAGTTCCGTCCAGAAAGGCGGTGACAGCTCAAAGCAAGGCCCCCCTACTGGGGGCTTCCAGGTCACAGGTAGGTGAGAGACAGATGGTTGCATTCTTTTGAGTTTCTGATAAGTCTTTCCAAAGGAGGCAATCAGAATATGCATCTGTCTCTGTGAGCAAATGGATGACTTGAACAGAATAGGAGGCAGATTTCCCTGAGCGGTTCACATCTTGAAGGGACCCAAGATATTTTTCCTTCACACACCTAACTTCTGAGATCTTATTTGGAAGCTGCTGATCACTAGTTACAGGTGTTTCTATTTATTGGGAGATTGTCGTTCCCTGGCGCCAGCTGCAACCAATTATTATTTTAGAGCGACTGTTTAACAACTGCCTGACCATCACTTGATGGTTGCCTGACAATCCTGGTGGGGGGCCCTTCTCCTGCCCTGCTCATGTCTGCCTGACTACCTTCTGCAACAGAGTATTCTCGTATCTAAAACTCTACTCTCTTTTGTATTGCATTACCTGATCTTTTTGGTTGAGGGGCGGGGTGGTAACAGAAATTATTTTGTATTTTGAAAAACTTGACTCTGGTGTGTATAATGGCTAGGGAATGGGCAGATCACAGAATGGGCTGATTGGTGTTGGGTTGCCCAAGGGGAATGTCTTTGTGATGAAATGCACTGTGAAAACATTGTATGGTCCCGTCCCCATGGCATGTCTCTTTTTGCAGACCTAAAATTCAGTGTGGGCTCTGTCCTAAGTTCAGCGGTCCAGTTAAAAGGTAGAGACCTATGTAAAGGAAATTGATCTCCTTATAAAATCTTTTAATACATTTATATAATTTTGTATTACCCTGGCATTAATTTTCAAATTGTCCTCTAGCACAGCCAAATTTCTTTTTTTTAAAAAAAGCTTAAATTCCCAGTCTCTTTCTATACTTTGAGATGCAAATTTTCTCCTTTAGAAATGCAAATTTAGGGTTGCCTAGCTAACAATTGCCTAGGGCAGTAAAACAGGTCATTGTAGGATGAATTAAAAAAACCGAACTATTTAAAACTGATGGATGAAAAATCTTATACATCTGTAAGAACTGCTTCTATGTTTCTGTTTATCTATTTATTTATATGTTGTATGTGTATGTGATGTTTCACTACCAAAATATATTGTAGCAGGACGAGCCACAGACAAACCCTCTCAGACACCGAGTTGTAGAAGGAAGGGCTTTATTCAGCTGGGAGCATCGGCAAGCTACTGCCTTAAAATCCGAGCTCCCCGAGTGCACAATTTCTATCCCTTTTAAGGGCTCAAAACACTAAAGATTTCACATGAAAGGGTCGTGATTGATTTGAGCAAGCAGGGGGTACATGACAGGGGCTGCATGCACCGGTGGTCAGAAAGAAACAGAACAGGGCAGGGAGTTGCACAGTGTTCTTCTATACAATGTCTGGAATCTATGAATAACATCGGTTTCTAAGTTATGAGTTGATTTTTAACTACTGGGTTTAGGCCAGTCAGGCCCAGGCCTGGTTTCGGGCCTGGCGCTGGGCTGCCTGTCTTTGGTTTTACTTCCTTGTTGTTTTTTCTTAAAACAGGTACTGAGTATAAAACAATATAAAATAATATGAGAGGGTCTTCCTTCAATATGAAAGCACTCTAATTGGCTTAATGAAAATGTGTTAAATCAAATATTTTATCATAAAAATAGAAACTTAAATGCCTTTTAGTTCATGTGACTTTAATAATCTTTAGTAAATAAAGACAGTTTTAAAATTATTGGTAAAATAAAATGGAAACATCTTCAGAATTTAGACATTTTGTCTGAGACTATTGGTCTACTGGTTTGATACTATATCTGCTAGATGTTTTAAGGTCAAAACTTGCTTTTATGTAATTTTTGATACATAACTCTTAAATAAACTTATGGTTTTAGATTTGAGCCTCTAAAATATAACAAGCCCTATTTCCAGGCATTGTCCTTTGTTCTGGACTCTGCATCTAGTACACAGTAAAAATTACTTCCTAAGTTTTTCACTAAAAATAAGAGTTACTAACAGTTAACATAATCAATGTATGTAGTGAAAACTACTAGATATAAAAGAAACAATTTAATATGCAAACTTAGAAAAGTAGATACGTTTTGGTAAAAAGCTTATGAGAAGGCATGGAAATATGTTTTCTCTTAAAGGGGAAGTAATTTTGCCTAGTCTAGAGGTTTTCTTAAATTAAAAGAGGAAAAAAGATGAATAAAACTAAAAACTAAACGGATATAGAAAGTTGAAAAGAAAGTAAATTTTTGTGCTAAGGCAGAATGATAGGATAAGGCTAAAGGTGTTAGGAAATTGAAGAAGGTTTGTGGAAGACAGATCTTGTAAAAGGAATTCTGTGTGTGATCAAGTTGGCTAAAATTTAAAAGATATTATTTAGTTTTTCTATAAATTCAGGATTAATATCAAAAGCACACTGATGCCACAGTCTGGGCTCCTGTGTGACAACAATGGTTTCCTTGGAGCATTAATCTGTTCTTTAATAGAAAACTATAACAGGCTATGAGAGGTTTATGGAAATCTTACCTTATGATCAAACTTATTAAGATTGGATGAATTTGTTTATAAGGTTTCATTAAAAATTAGTTTTAGCATGGTGACCTCCTGGGAGCAGGGGACTACCAGGTTGCCAACAGAGGGGTGAACTGGCCTAGGTCGGAAATGGGGCAGGGCAAAATTCGTGCTGATCAGTAATGGGATGGGCCTGTGAATAGCCACTGCCCTCCAGCCTAGGCAACATAGCGAGACCCTGTCTCTAAATTTAAAAAAAAAAATTATCTTTAGTGTTAATGCTACACTAATGTAAAAGTAAAATTTGGTTTTCTCTCTCTCTTTTTTTTTTTGACACAGAGTTTCGCTCTTGTCACCCAGGCTGGAGTGCAGTGGCCTGATCTGGGCTCACTGAAACCTCCGCCAGGTTCAAGCGATTCTCCTGCCTCAGCCTCCAGAGTAGCTGGGATTACAGGCGCCTGCCACCATGTCTGCCTAATTTTTATATTTTTAGTAGAGACAGGATTTTGCCATGTTGGCCAGGCTGGTCTCGAACTCCCGAACTCAAGTGATCCACCTGCTTCAGCCTCCCAAAGTGCTGGGATTATAGGCGTGAGCCATCGCGCCCGGCTGGTTTTCTATTTTGATAAAGAAAGATTTTTGTTTACCTCTTGAGTAAACTATAAAATAAAGAGGGAGAGAGGGAGATATTCAGTTCGCCTCATTCGATCTTTATTAGGTCATATTGTTTGGGAAACTGAGTCTCTGCTCTATCAAAAAGTGAATGATTTTTAAAGTCTTTGAATTATGATTGTGGCTAAGTGAATAATTTATTTTATAGTGACCTGTAATTCTATCTTGCGGTGTAGAGTGTTTTAAACATTTGACATTTGAGAAACTTTCAAACATTAAAATTTCAATTGTAATTCAGTATTTTTTTTACTTCATTAGCTTTTTTAGATAATAGGTCCCCTGAAGTCTAAAAGAAACACATTTGGCTTATTCGATATGTTAAAATCATATAGGAAACATTCAAATATGAAATGGTTTTTAAGTTTCTTTGGGTTCTACTTACATAAGTGTGTTATTAACATGTGTTCCAAAATTGTATGAGATCTTATAATTTTTTTTTTTTTGAGAAAGAGTCTCATTCTGTCACCCAGGCGGAATGCCGTGGCACAATGAGATCCTATAGTTCTGATTTGTCTGATAATCATAATAATCAAAATAAGTATTATTAAGTTAAATTTTAGTATGACACAGAAATAACCAAATTTCCTTATCTTTAACCATGGCTGTCCTAAAACTTTTGTCATCCACAGACAATTATTATTTTATTTGATTCTTCTCAAAAAGCAGTTAATAATCAGCTATAGTCCAAAACTTGCTTCTTTAGGGTAGTTCACAGAAAGGATTCTGATGGGTGCTTCAAATGTAAGTTTCTGACAACCTTGGAGATTTCATCAGTAGAGTAGAGAAACAAACTTCCAGAACTCTCATTGTAGAGCTACTGTGTTCATGAGGATTACTAATCCCAATATCAAATGAAATGAATTAATTTCATAGAACTGAACTAACAGAGGACTGAAATATATTTTATAACCCTTTTTGTTTGAAGCATTGTTGATTTTTTTTTTCAGTCAAGAAAACTTTTAGACATGAAATCAACCTAGGCGTCCATCAATAGTGGATTGGATAAAGAAAACGTGGTACATATACACCATGGAGTACTATGCAGCCATAAAAAATGAAATCATGTTCTTTGCGGCAACATGGATGCAGCCACTATCCTAAGTGAATTAATGCAGGAATAGGAAACTGAATACCACATGTTCTCATTTACAAGTGGGAGCTAAACATTTGGGAGCTCATGGACATAAAGATGGCAATGATATGCACTGGGGACTACTAGAGGTAGGAGGGAAGGAGGACGCATAGGTTGAAAACTACTGAGTATTATATTCACTACCTGGGTGATGGGAACATTTGTACCCAAAACCTCAGCACCATGCAATATACCCAGGTAGCAAACCTGTGCATATACCCCCTGAATCTAAAATAAAAATAGAAATTACTTTAAAAAGATAGCTTTTTTCTTTTGATCTATTTATAATTTTTAACAATTGAGTAAAGTATACTCTTATGACCAGAATCTGAAACACGTTTCTTTTTCTTTTTCTTCTTTTATTTTCTTTTTTGAGACGGAGTCTTGCTCTGTTACCCAGGCTGGAGTGCAGTGGTGCGATCTCAGCTCACTGCAAGCTCCACCTCCCGGGTTCACCATTTTCCTGCCTCAGCCTGCTGAGTAGCTGGGACTACAAGCACCCGCCACCACACCCAGCTAATTTTTTTGTATTTTTAGTAGAAACAGGGTTTCACCATGTTAGCCAGGATGGTCTCGATCTCCTGACCTTGTGATCCACCTGCCTCAACCTCCCAAAGTGCTGGGATTACAGGTGTGAGCCACAGCGCCCAGCCACGTTTCTTTTTCTTTTACCTGATTTCTCCAGAATTTGGAAACTTTTTTTTTTTTTTTTTTTTTTTGAGATGGACTCTGACTCTGTCACCCAGGCTGAAGTGCAGTGGCACGATCTCCGCTCACTGCAAGCTCTGCCTCCCGGGTTTACGCCATTTTCCTGCCTCAGCCTCCCAAGTAGCTGGGACTACAGGCCCCCGCCACCACGCCCGGCTAATTTTTTTGTATTTTTAGTAGAGACGGGGTTTCTCTGTGTTAGCCAGGATGGTCTCGATCTCCTGACCTCATGATCCGCCCTCCTCGGCCTCCCCAAAGTGCTGGGATTACAGGCATGAGCCACTGCGCCCAGCCGAATTTGGAAACTATTTTTGACAATCCTTAATTTATGGCAATATAATTATTTGCATAAGTTCAATAAGAATCTGTTTTCTCTTGTAACAGAACCCAATTGGAGACGTTGGATATTTTATCAAGTCTTTGACTGGAATGACATTTTTTCAGAAATAACCAGACTGCTTTGAGGAATTAAAATTGACTTTAAGGGCTGAGAAAAACCCCTTGGAAAAACTGGCATGGTACCCTCTGCATGCAATTCCTTTACAAAGCTCCTGACCTGTGGTGAGTAAAAAATTTCACCTTTGAATGGCCCGGAACCTCAAGTTACTTTGGAACATTGAGAAGAGAGGAATTCCCCCAATTCTTACAGGTGTCTGTTCATACAGCTATCTGCAGGCACAAATAAATCCTTGGCTGGGCCAGGGGCGGTGGCTCAAGCCTGTAATCCCAGCACTTTGGGAGGCCGAGGTGGGCAGATCACTTGAGGTCAGGAGTTCAAGACCAGCCTGGCCAACATGGTAAAACCTTGTCTCTACTGAAAAAACAAAAATTAGCCTGTGTGGTGGCAGGTGCCTGTAGTCCCAGCTACTTAGGAGGCTGAGGCAACAGAATCGCTTGAACCTGGGAGGCAGAGGTTGCAGTGAGCAGGGATGGCACCACTGCACTCCATCCTGGGCGACAGAGTGAAACTCCGTCAATAAATAAATAAATAAATAAATAAATAAATAACGTCTTAGGACTCCCGTCTCACTATGCCAAAGCGAAAAGTTAAGAGTGGGAACTGAGTCACGCATAAAACTGCCTTCTTTTTGTTCCCAAACAGAAAGAACCATGATTTCACATGCTTGCTTTATCTTACGGAAAATATAGATTTACTGAGCATGAAATGAATGCATAATTGACTTTTTCCTCTACGCCCTTCTTTGCATGTGTAAAATATAGATTCACTGAGTGCTAATCAATGCCTCACCACTTGCATCAATGCCTACCCTCCCTCCTTTTGTTTCTTCCACTCCTTCTTACTCTTTCCTGTTTAAATATTGAAGTTCACAAAACCTTCTTTGGAAAAAGCACAGGTGACAGGTACTACTTTAACTTGTGCTTCTTTTTCTTGAGTGCATCCTCAAAATCCATCTCTAATCAGTTGGGATCTGCCCTAGTAGTGGTTTACAATCCACAAATAGTCCTTTCCCAAAATTTTTTTCTGGGAAAATTTGGTTAGTGCTAGATCTTGCCAAAGGTCCTTGGGAGTTATTTCAGTAAGAGATAATAATTATTTGGTTATCTAATTGGCTTTCTTCTCATGATTTGTTAATCAGAGATGCCTCCATACTACAAAATAGAATGAGAGGTCATACTGAGAACAAGGAAGTAGAACAATAGAACAAAAGCTGACTGGTTAACTTCAGGTTCCTGCAGGTTACTTTGTTCATAAGCGTTAAAGCAGAGGGGACTTTTTTAGTATACTGACTCAGACTTGTATCCCCTGATTTCAGGAAAAACAAGTCTGATGTGGGATCTACCTGTTTCCTTAGAGTTCCAGTTTAATTATATGGTATTTAGCATGAGTGACTCCATTTTGGTTTAGTCTGGTCTCTTGTGGCCCAATTTGTAATAGCTCAGTCTAAAACAAGGGCCTCCCATAACTTTTGTTTAATCCTTCTTAGAACAACAGGGGATTTAAATACATTATGACCATTAATCTTAATAAGGTCAGCCAAAGTTGCTAGACACTTTTCAAGTTAGAAAGACTGAACATCTGCCCAGAAATAAAATGACCAACAAATGCAAATCTCCTACTTGAGGACCACTTTTTTTTAAGGTGTGTATGCCTCTATAAATAGATTATAAACAAACTTGTCTCTTTGTCTCCTAGTGAAGCAAAAGGAACCTGTGATGGGATTTCCTCATTGAGCAGAGGCTGTAATTGGATTTTATCTTGGGCAGAGAATATAGTTGAATTTCACCATGTATCCGTGATTTTTGCCCTGGAAAATGTAACTAAATGGGCCAGAACACCTCTTTCTCCATTATTTTTTTTTCTTTTTCTCTTTCTTTTTTTTTTTTTTTTTTTTTTTTTGAGACGGACTCTCGCTCTGTCGCCCAGGCTGGAGTGCAGCGGCACAATCTCGGCTCACTGCAAGCTCCGCCTCCCGGGTTCGCTCCATTCTCCTGCCTCAGCCTCCCAAGTAGCTGGGACTACAAGCGCCCACCACCACGCCCGGCTAATTTTTTGTATTTTTATTAGAGACCGGGTTTCACAGTGTTAGCCAGGATGGTCTCGATTTCCTGACCTCGTGAGCCGCTGCCTCAGACTCCCAAAGTGTTGGGATTACAGGCGTGAGCCACCACGCCCAGCACTCTTTCTCCACTTCTATATCAGTAGGGTGGCATAGCTTGAGGAGCCTCTGCTGTAGGTTAGGGGAACTTCTCTGTCATGATTTATCCACAGTTGCTGAGGACAAGATTTGGAGTGAGGCATGTTCAAATAACTAGGTGAGCCTATTCAGGCAGAGGGCTGAAAACTTTACATTTAACATTGGATTATTGTTCGTTGTTCATTTAATAAGCAGTAAAAAACATGAGAAAACTTTTGTTCCATCTCCTGATTTTTTTGAAATTTCCACTTCATTTTGTTAGGAAGACAGAGATACAGTGATGCCCAGGCTAGGTGGGCCTTCACACAATATGGTGCCTTAACCATATTGCTACACAGAGCTGTAGCTATTCCAGAGAAAATGCAGCAGAGACCACAGAGTGTCTGCCAGGCTTCCTCAATTTTACTGAAACACATGTACTACCTGCATGCGCTAATGAGAAATAAAAAGATTTCATAGTCATTTGGAGATTCAAAATGCTCACCATCAAGAGTGACTACTGTAAACGAAGGAGCCAAGGACAATTGCCAGGGAAAGAGTCAGATGAAAAAAATAAAGGAAGAAAGAAGAAAGGAAGGAAGAAAGGACAAAAGGAATGGAGGGAGGGAGGGAAAGAGGGAGAAAGGGAGAAATGAATGAAGGAGAAAGAAAAGGAAGTGAATGGTGTCAAACAGAAAACTTGCAAAAGAAAGTGGGTGGTTTGAAGTTTAGGATAAAGGGAATAAAAGATCCAGATAAATTTTTTAACAAGCAAATTAAAGTTATGAAATGCTAAGTGAAAGAAAACTGAAATCAGCCTAAGGAGCAGAACAATATTGCTCAGCAGGGGATGGTGGTTTTCAAGGTATCTGTCTTAGTCAATTCAGGCTGCTATAACAAAACATCATAGACTGGGTGGCTTAAACCACAAACATTTATTTTCCACAGTTCTGAAGGCTGGGAAGTCCAAGATTAAGGCGTCAACAGGTCTTGTGTCTGCTGAGGGCTGTCTCCCTGATTTGCAGATGTCTGCTTTCTTGCTGTGTCCTCACATGGGAAAAAGAGAGAGAATTTGCTGGTATTCCTTTTTATAAGGACACTAACCCCATTCATGAGGGTCCCACCCTCATGACCTCGCCTAAACCTATAACCTCCAAGGACTCCATTTCCAAATACCAGCAACCACATGTGTGAGCTTAGAAGAGGATCCTTCCCCAGGTGAGCCTTGAGATGACCCTGGCCTGTGACTTGATGGCAGCTTTTGAGAGACTGAGCCAGAGGCCTCCAGGTAAGCCCTTCTCAGATTCCTGAACCACAGAAACTGTGAGATAATCAATTTTATTGATATCTTGTGGATATTGATATCCCCAGTTTTATTGTGGAATAGATAACTGCCACACAGCTCCTGACAACTGGCATCTTGACACATGTTCTGTGCTCCAGGTCCCAGTAACTGTGCCCATCCATTGTTACCACAGGTCACAGTGGCCCTGGCCCTGGGGCATTATACTCTCTCTTGGTGTATTAGTCCATTCTTAGGCTGCTAATAAAGATATATCTGAGACTGGGTAATGTATAAAGAAAAAGAGGTTTAATGGACTCACTGTTACATATGGCTGGGGAGACCTCACAATCATGGAGGAAGGTGAAGGAGGATCAAAGGCACATCTTACATGGTGGCAAGACAGAGAGCATGTGCAGGGGAATTGCCCTTTATAAAACCATCAGATCTCATGAGACTTATTCACTATCATGAGAACAGCATGGGAAAAACCCGCCCGCATGATTCAATTACTTCCCACTGAATCCCTCCCATGACACATGGGGATTATGGGAGCTGCAATTCAAGATGAGATTTTGGGGGAAGGGCATAGCCAAACCATATCATTCTTCCCTGGGCCCCTCCCAAATGTCATGTCCTCACATTTCAAAATACAATCATGCCTTCCCAACAGTCCTCCAATGTCTTAACTCATTTCAACATTAACCCAAAAGTCCAAGTCCAAAGTCTCATCTGAGACAAGGCAAGTCCCTTTCGCCTATGAGTCTGTAAAATCAAAAGCAAGTTAGTTATTTTCTATATACAATGGGGGTACAGGCATTGAATAAATATTCCCATTCCAAATAAGAGAAATTGGCCAAAACAAAGGGGCTCCAGGCCCCATGCAAGTCTAAAATCCAGCAGGGCAGTCAAATCTTAAAGCTCCAAAATGATCTCTTTTGACTCCATGTCTCACATCCAGGTCACATTGATGCAAGAGGTGGGTTCCCATGGTCTTGGGTAGCTCCATCCTTGTGACTTTGCAGGGCACAGCTCCCCTCCCAGCTGCTTTCGCGGGCTGGCATTGAGTGGCTGTGGCTTTTCCAGGTTCATGGTGCAAACTGTCAGTGGATCGACCATTCTGGGGTCTGGAGGACAGTGGCCCTCTTCTCACAGCTCCACTAGGCAGTGCCCAATGGAGACTCTGTATAGGGGCTTCCACCCCACATTTCCCTTCCACACTGCCCTAGCAGAGGTTCTCCATGAAGGCTCTGCCCCTGCAGCACACCTCTGTCTGGACATCCAGGCATTTCCATACATCCTCTGAAATCTAGGCAGAGGTTTCCAAACTTCAATTCTTGACTGCTATGCACCTACAGGCTCAACACACCATGTGGAAGCTGCCAAAGCTTAGGGCTTGCACCCTCTGAATCCACGGCCTGGGCTGTACCTTGGCCCTTTTAGCCATGGCTGGAGCAGCTGGGATGCAGGGCACCAAGTCTAAAGGCTGCACACAGCAGGCGGGCCCTGGACCCAGCCCAGGAAACCATTTTCCCTCCCAGGCCTCTGGGCCTGTGATGGTAGGGGCTGTTGCAAAGGTCTCTGACTTGCCCTGGAAATATTTTCCCCATTGTCTTGGTGATTAGCATTTGGCTCCTTGTTACTTATGCAAATTTCTGCAGCTGGCTTGAATTTATCCTCAGAAAATGGGTTTTGCTTTTGTGCTGCATTGTCAGGCTGCAAATTTTTCAAACTTTTAAGCTCTGCTTCATCTTGAACACTTTGCCACTTTGAAATTTCTTCTACCAGATACTTTAAATCATCTCTCTCAAGTTCAAAGTTCCACAGATCTCTAGGGCAGGGGCAAAATGTCACCAGTCTCTTTGCATAGCAAGAGTGACCTTTACTCCAGTTCCCAACAAGTTCCTCATCTCCATCTGAGACCACCTCAGCCTGGACTTTATTGTGCATATCACTATCAACATTTTGGTCAAAGCCATTCAACAGTCTCTAGGAAGTTCCAAACTTTCCCACATTTTCCTTTCTTCTTCTGAGCCCTCCAAACTATTCCACCCTCTGCCTGTTACCTAGTTCCAAATTCACTTCCACATTTTGGGTATCTTTACAGCGGCACCACACTCTACTGGTACCAGTTTACTATATTAGTTCATTCTCACACTGCATTAAGACATACCTCGAGACTGGGTAATTTATAAAGAAAAAGAGGTTTAATGGAATCACAGTTCCACATGGCGGGGGAAGCCTCATAATCATGGAGGAAGGTGAAGGAGGAACAAAGGTATGTCTTACACGGCGGCAGGCAAGAGACCATGTGTAGGGGAACTGCCCTTTATAAAACCATCCAATCTAGTGAGACATTCACTATCATGAGAACGACATGGGAAAAACCTGCCCCCATGATTCAGATACCTCCCACTGGGTCCCTCCCATGACACACAGGGATTATGAGAGCTACAATGCAAGATAAGATTTGGGTGAGGACACAGCCGAACCATATCACTTGGGAATTCCCTGCATCCTACCCAGACCTTTGTAAGCTGGTCTCAGCCTGCCCAATTTGAATGTGCTGGTTCTTCCAGATCCCTGATGCATACCATTGTCTTGGCCAGGCCCATCACATAATGATTTTGAATCTTTTGACAGTATTCACCATATAATATGGCTACTTGAAGTAAATGTTTTCTAACCTGTCATTTAAAGTGATTTATGTATCATCTATATATCTACATTGTAAGTTAAAAAAAATCAACTGGATTAATAGGAAAGTAAATGTCAAAATAAGTGCAAAGGCAGGTTAGGTCCAAGGTTTTTTAAGTCCAGCAGTTCAGTAAGGCTAAGGCCCTCTTTCTTCTCTGCCAAACTCAATGTGTGGGCTTGATCTTCTAGATCACTCTCTAAAGGTGGCATGGTCCTTGCAGTTGATTTAGATATATTTTCATATCCTCCAGGCTAGGAAGCATTGATAGGCAAAAAATAAAATAATGTACCTTCTTAAGAATGAAGATACTGGGGGCCAGGTACAGTGGCTCACGTCTGTAATCCCAGCACTTTGGGAGGCCAAGGCAGGCGGATCATGAGGTCAGGAGATCAAGACCATCCTGGCTAACATGGTAAACCCCATCTCTACTAAAAACACACACAAAAAAATTAGCCGGGTGTGGTGGCAGTCACCTGTAGTCCCAGCTACTTGGGAGGCTGAGGCAGGAGAATGGTGTGAACCCGGGAGGCGGAGCTTGCAGTGAGTGGAGATTGTGCCACTGCACTCCAGCCTGGGCGATAGAGCAAGACTCTGTCTCAAAAAAAAAAAAAAAAAAAAAAAAAAAAAGAATGAAGATACATTTTCAGAAGATTCTTAGTAGAGTAACATTCAAATCTGTTTAGCAAGAACCACTTAATTGCTTGTCTACATCAATTAGCTGCAAAGGGAGTGGGGCCCTTATGAACACATAAAAGGAATCCAAACCTGCCTTTTAGAATCTGTGAAGCAAGCATGAGTTAAATAAAGGAGGGTGGATACCTAAAAAAAAAATCAATATCATGTCAGAAAGAAAGAAGCAGCTTTGAATGTCAGGTAGGCAATAAATAGTAACTGATACACTAAAATCTTTCCATTTTGTCCTCCGTCCATCCATCCATCCATCCATCCATCCATTCATCCATCTCATAATAAACTAATGCCACATAAAACTGAAATCATGTATTTGCTATTTCTTCCCCTTAAAAATTTTTGAATGTGACTCATGTTCACAACACACTGAATTTAGTGTGCTGGTTTACTTAATTTTTTTGTTTTTTTCAACAGACTGCTTACTTGTTAAGGTAAGAAGCACCTGTGAGTCTACTACTCATTGCTTTAACCTGGCCATAATTTACATTTAGCTTTATAGTCCCCCTACATTTCAAAACCTTCTCTTCTTCCCACCAAAAGTAACAGTCATCCCACCACTTTGTTAATTAACCCATTTTTATTTATGTATTTTTGTTGCTTCTATAATTTTGCCAATATATTTTATTTCTAACTTTATAGAAAACATATACTAAGCAATCTTCTTTCCCCACTCAATAGTATATTTCTAAATATACTATTTAGAAATATAATATATATTATATTATATTTAGAAATATAATATATATTATATTATATTTAGAAATATAATATATATTATATTATATTTAGAAATATAATATATATTATATTATATTTAGAAATATAATATATATTATATTATATTTAGAAATATAATATATATTATATTATATTTAGAAATATAATAGTTTATTTCTAAAATTCAACCACATGGTTGGTTATTCCCTTTGATTCCTTTATACGATTCCTTTCTGTGAATATCTTAGCACTTACTCATTTACTTGTGTCAGTGGACATATTATCTCTAGGGTTTTTGTACTGTGAACGGTTCTGCTTGGAACACTCTTTCATGTGTCCCCTAGCAAATGTAGAATTAGGTTCTATTAGATATGTAGCTTCTTGAGGAATTACCTAGGAGTCAAAATCCTTGATCATTATCAAATTAAAACCCTGTAAAGAGAATGAAAAGATAAGCTACAGACAGTAATATAATATTTTCAACTCACGTATCTGGCAAAAGACTAGTATTTAGAATATATAAAGAAGCCTCAAAATAAGCAGTAAAACATAAAGAATCCAATTGGGAAATGGGCAAAAGAAATGCACAGATATTTCGCTGATGAAGATATATAGATGATTAATAGCACACAAAAAGTTATCTAACAGCCATTAGAGAAATACAAAAGTAAAATCACAATGAGATGTCACTATATACCTATCAGCATGACTAAAATAAAAAATGTTGATGACACCAGGTACTGGTGAGGATGCAGAAAAACTGGATTACTCAGATGTTGCTGGTGGAAGTTAAAAATGACACAGCCACTCTGGAAAATCATTCAGCAGTTTCTGATAAAACTAAATATGCACTTACTACACAACTCAGCAGTTGCATTCCTGGGTATTCATCCAAGAGAAATAACAACTTATGTCCACACTAAAAATTGTACACAAGCATTCATAGTAACTTTATGTGAAATAGCCAAATATTGGAAACAGTCAAAATGTCCTTCAATAGGTGAATGGTTACACAAACTATGATGCACCCATAACATGGAATACTACTCAGTAATACAAAGAAATGAACAATGATGTACACAACAATTTCTATGGAACATCATTCTAGGGAATGATGCCAAGTGAAAAAAGTCAGAAAATTTCAGCTGAACTATTAGCTGTCTCATGAGTGCTGAAAAGGTGAACATTGGAATTTTGGATTCTGAAGTTCACTGGTAATTACCCTCAACTTTAGTTGTGCTGCCAGAAGGACAACACCATAGGAGTCAGGGGAAATAAGAATTATATTAGGACTTAGAAAGACTGAAATCCAATCTCAAACCAGCCCCATGCCTCATTGTGTTAAGATGATGGAAATTTCCCTTAACATAACTGCCCTGCCAGATGCCTCAAAAATTCATTCTAAAAGAAGATAATGCTCTCTAATGAATTGATATTTTTTCATCCACAACATCAGTTATTAAATTAAAGAAAGAACCAGAAAACTATTAGGCATTCTAAGGTATAAGACCAAGAAAAAACAGATAATAGAAACAGATGCAGAGTTGATCCAGAAATTGAAGTTAACAGAGGCAGACTGACATAATAGTGATTAGTATATTCAGGAAGATAGATGCCAAGGTGGAAAACATCATTAAGAGATTGAATCTAAAAACAATAATCAAATGAGTATTCAATAACTGAAATATAGTAACACGTTAAGCATCTGATCATTCCTTTCTGCCTGTTGCCCTCAGTCACGTGACTTTGCAGTGCCTTCCCATTCTCACACTGGCCTTGCCCATGTGCATTGCTTTGGTAAAGGGATACTAACAGACATGACAAAAACAGAGCCTCAACAAGGCCCTTGCATATTTCCACTTCCTCTCTAGCTCCTCTGTGGCTGCCAAGAGAGCACTGAGCTTGAGTGGTTGTTTGTTATGCAGCTTTGTTGTGGCAATCGATAGCTGATCCAGTAGAAGAGCTGTCACTGGCTATAACTGGAAAGAAATGTGCATAACATATTTTCTTTTTTTTTTTTTTTGAGACGGAGTCTCGCTCTGTCGCCCAGGCTCGAGTGCAGTGGTGCGATCTCTGCTCACTGCAAGCTCTGCCTCCTGGGTTCACGCCATACTCCTGCCTCAGCCTCCTGAGTAGCTGGGGCTACAGGTGCCCGCCACCACGCCTGGCTAATTTTTTGTATTTTTAGTAGAGAAGGAGTTTCACCATGTTAGTCAGGATAGTCTCGATCTCCTGACCTCATGATCTGCCCGCCTCAGCCTCCCAAAGTGCTGCGATTACGGGCGTGAGCCACCGCGCCCGGCCAACATATTTTCTTTCATACTTTGTATTCTTTCCTCCCTTCTAAGTATTTAGAATAACTTGTTTTTATTGTCCTGTGATGTGTGGAATTTACATAAGTTGGGACCTTCAAAGTGCAGGGATGAACTTTGTGGTGGTGATGTGGATCACAGACTATAAAGAATGAGCTAGGTCCTGGACACTGTAGCATTGGAATTTGTTTTTCAGTCACCTTTGTCATATGGCATGCCACACTGCTGTACACGGTACCAGCACAAGGAAGAGAAACTATCATATTGAGGCCCTCAGTTTTTTTTTACCTACAAATTTACCTCTTTGAGTCGTTTGAATCTGAACTTTTCCTCTCTTGAGATCACCATTTGTTAAAAAAAAAGTGGTGTAAGATCTTGATTCTAGTTTTCTTGGGTTATGTAATCTGAGTGTGATTGCAGAGTAGAATTACCCATGGTCGTTCTATTTTTAATTTTTTTAAGAAAGGGTTTCATGTTGATTGTAGCATTATTCACAGTAGCCAAGATATACACATAAACTAAGTGTCCATTGATGGATGAATGAAGAAAATGTGGTAAATGCATACCATGGAATATTTGATTGACTAAATTTCATATAGCTAATCAAATCTCTAATTTTCCTTGTGCTAAGAATCTCTTTTCCATTTTAGTTACCACCAACTTCCAAAGAATTGGAAAACATGGCCTTGCTACCATACCCCAACAGATTTGGATTGAAATTCTTCCACACAGAGCAAAACTGAGTCAGAAGCCTGTGTGGTGTGTAGGGGGAAATAGGCTAAAACAAAGTTCTATAACTGATCGACTGTATGTATAAGCAGGATTGATTCTTGGTGTCCTAGGTCATGAACAAAGGAGAGAGAGTTTTGATTTCTGTAACAGTGTATTGGCTTTCTCAGAGGGCTAAGATGAGCTGCTCAGACGAGTACATTTAAAAGAGATTTTTTGGCTGGGAGCGGTGGCTCACGCCTGTAATCCCAACACTTTGGGAGGCCGAGGCGGGTGGATCACGAGGTCAGGAGATCGAGACCATCCTGGCTAACATGGTGAAACCCCGTCTCTACTAAAAATACAAAAAAAAAAAAATTAGTTGGGTGAGGTGGCAGGCACCTGTAGTCCCAGCTACTCGGGAGGCCGAGGCAGGAGAATGGCATGAACCCAGGAGGCGGAGCTTGCCGTGAGCAGAGATCACGCCAGTGTACTCCAGCCTGGGTGACAGAGCGAGACTGTCTCAAAAAAAAAAAAAAAAAAAGAGATTTTGGCTGAGTGCAGTGGCTCACGCCTATTATCCCAGTGCTTTGGGAGGCCGAGGTGAGAGGATTGCTTGAGGCCAGGAGTTCAAGGTTACAGTGAACCATGATCATGCTACTGCACTGTGGCCTGAGTGACAGAGCAAGGCCTGTCTCAAAAGGGAGACTTTTTAAAGATGACAGAAATGTTTGTGAAGAAAATGTGCTTTTTAAAATGAGGTTGATTGGTTTTGATAGAACATATATTGATACACTTAAAGTATTTGTAATAATATTAAGAATAAACTTAAAGTTTATAAAATACCTCAACTTTGATTATTTTCCAGTCAAAGAATGGTGCAGGTGATTTCCTTTCTCTGGTTTGAAGAGTGTCAGGCTTAAGAGATTGGCCCTTCCATTCATACTCAGAGCCTGAGTATGAACCAAGTACCCTGGGGCCCACCAGTGGAAGGGCCAATGGAGGCCCACGGAGGGCAGTACTGGCAACAACACTGTAGTCCTTTCAAATTTGGTTGTTACTGCTTGTGAAGTGGCCGGTTCTGGATTCCTTTTTCTCTTGTTCCCCTTTTCTCAATCTCATTCCCAATCTGGGGTCCATTATCTGAAGCCAGGGAGAGGTGTGAAGTAGGAACTTGAACCTTCTCTTCTTTGTCCAAGAACAAAAAGGAATTTGGGATAAAGGGCTTCCTGGGAAGGCTGTTTCCCAGGGGAGGCACCCTCTGGTAGAGTGGACGTATAGCTTGCAGAAGACATTGCTCATTTCTTTTTTCTTTTTTTGAGATGGAGTCTCGCTCTGTCGCCCAGGCTGGAGTGCAGTGGCGCCATCTCGGCTCACTGCAAGCTCCACCTCCCGGGTTCACGCCATTCTCCTGCCTCAGCCTCCCGAGTAGCTGGGACTACAGGTGCCCAACACCATGCCTGGCTAATTTTTTTGTATTTTTAGTAGAGACGGGGTTTCACCATGTTAGCCAGGATGGTCTCGATCTCCTGACCTCGTGATCCGCCCGTCTTGGCCTCCCAAAGTGCTGGGATTACAGGCGTGAGCCACCGCGCCTGGCCGACATTGCTCATTTCTTACGAATGCTCACCTTCCAGAGTTGTTCATAGTCAACAGCAGGGCTGAGGGACCTTACAGACCAGCCTGCCCGGGTATGAGGTGAACTGCCCTGGGATTGGCCTCCTCCTCTGAGTGGATCCCTGTAGTCAACGCTCAACTTTTCAGCTGGGCAGTCATTCTGCTAAAAGTTGTGTGTTTTACAAAGACCTCAGAACACTGATTATTAATTATTAAGAAAAATATGTGCACACGGACTTCTCGGCAGCTCTGCAACCATTAAAATATAGGAGCAGCTCTGTGCATACTAGCCCCTCCCCATTGCTAACTTTGCTCCAGCTTGGTACTTATACTGTTACCTCCAGGACTTCATGTGCGCCTCTCTCCTGGGAGAGCTCATTCGCCACTTACCGCGATGGTACACTCCCTTGCCTTGTTCAGATCTCTGTTTAAACGTCCCATTGCAGGACTGCTTCTCGTGTCCATCTCAGTGAAAATCCATCAGTCCTGCTCCAGCATTCTCTGTCCCATTTTCTTTTTGTTCTCTTTAGCACTAATCACCATTTCATATTATTTTTCTTAATTATTGTATTTATCATGTCTTTTCCCCAGTAAAATATAAATTCCACATACAGGTATTATTGTCTGCTTTGTTCATACCATAACCCTAGTACCTAGAAGAGTGTCTGATACATGGTAAGTACCCAATTCATATTGTCATATAAATGAATTCAAATTCATTTGTAATCACATCCTGCTTCAGTAGGCTCCATTCCATTATTTTAAGATGTTCCCCTGAACTCTTTAGTTTTTCACTTTCTTATTTATTTATTTTTGAGACAGAGTCTTGCTCTGTTGCCCAGGCTGGAGTGCACTGGTGCGATCTTGGCTCACTGCAACCTCCGCCTCTTGCGCTCCAGCAATTCAATTCTCCTGCCTCAGCCTCCCGAGTAGCTGGGACTACAGGCACCCAACACCGCGCCCGGCTAATTTTTGTATTTTTAGTAGAGATGGGGGTTTCACCATATTGGCCAGGCTAGTCTTGAACTCCTGATCTCAAGTGATCGGCCCACCTCGGCCTCCCAAAGTGTTGGGAGTACAGGCTTGAGACATGGCATCAGCCTTACTTTCTTAATTATCACTCTTCATATTTTGAACTTGAAACCATTTAAAATTTAATTTTTTTAATGATATGCAGTAAGTGGTCAGCATTTTCTTCCAGTTAGCCAATTCTGCCAGCACAATGGGATTTACATAAGTGTTTCTGTACATTTATATTCCTTTATTCCTTATGCTAAAACAGACACTACAAATTCATTTTCTGACAGGCTCATATGGTCATCAGGTAATCTGCTATTATGCATTCACAGTTTTTTAAAAAATGATAAAAAGATATATATTACTTATTTCTGAAACAATTATTAATGTTTTGTTTAAGAATACATACTAGAGTTAGACACATCTGGATCTGATTTCTAACTCCACCATTTCTTAGCTATGTGATCTCTCAAGTTACTACTCTCTTGACTCAAATCACCATTTGTTAAAAAAAAGTGGTTTAAGATCTTGTTTCCAATTTTTTTGGGTTATGTAATCTGAGTGAGATTGCAGAGTGGAAATGCACATGGTAGTTCTATTTTTACTTTTTTTGAGAAAGGATTTCATGTTCACTGTAGCACTATTCACAGTAGCTAAGATATACAAATAAACTAAATGTCCATTAATGGTTGAATGAAGAAAATGTGGTAAATGCATACCATGGAATATTTTTCAGCCTTAAAAAAACAAGAAAATCCTGTCACATGCTACAACATAGATGAACCTGGAGGATATGATGCTAATTGATATTAGCCAGCAGCATAATGACAAATATTACATAATTTCACTCATATAGGATATCTAACATAGTCAAATTCAGAGAAACAGAAAGTAGAATGGTAGCTGCCCAGGGCTGCAGGGAAGGGGAATTAGGCAGTTGCTGTTCAATGTATATACAGTTTCAGTTATACACAATGAATAACTTTCAGAGATTATCAGCAGTCATAGCATTATATTTTCTGCAGTAGTAAGCAAAATGGTGTTTGACTTATTTCAGCATTATTAATTTATTTGAAATATTCCAGTGCCTAAGCTGCTTGCCATAGTTCCTATGCAAATCATCAATAGGAGGATGATATGGTAGAATTCTTAACCTGATTTTATTCATAGTTACCTCTGAGAGACTGGCAGGACAATAGCTTTATGATACTAAGTGTTGATGCAGTAGGTTAGAGTTTTATAATACCTTGTCAGATAGTTCTTGCAGCTGTTACTTCTATTACAAACCAGCATGGCACATGTATACATATGTAACTAACCTGCACATTGTGCACATGTACCCTAAAACTTAAAGTATAATAATAATAAAAAAAAGGTATTTTTCCTTTATGAAAATAAACGATGTTCATTATTAAAAAAAAAAGAAAATGCACCACTTAATTGATATGTATATATACATATACAAGAGCAGGTCTGTTTCTCTGAAATTTATGTTGTATTTTGGTGAGAGATTTGAACTTCGAATGTATAGCCATGAGGTGAACTTTGACGAGATTTGACCATGGACAAGATGAATTATTGACAAGCTGTTACTCTGAAAAAGCCCCCAGTTTACACAGAGTCCCATGTTATATCGAATATATTTTCTATTATGAGTCATTAAGTCATATATAAATAATTCTGAGGACTCCCTAGTGATATTTGGAGAATATGAAAGCTTTCATGGTGGCAAAGTCAATTAAATAGAGTTTCTAAAAGAGCAGTATTACTGTCATTTAATCCCTTCCTTACCTGTTTTTGACTATTTTATCCTTTTTCCCTATTATCCTTTTCATGACTTATCCCTGACCTGTAAAATATTTTTTTCTTCTTCTGCCTCTTTAGACGTTAGCATTTCCTACAGTGAAAACACTGATTTAATTGGTCATCCTTTAGTCTGATTTTTCACTGGAAGCCAGAGAACCTAAACAATTTTAGCAAGGTTTTAATTATTTTCTGTATTGTTTAAATTCGTTTTTCGTTGTGTTTCATTCTATTTCGTTTTTGGAGATACTATGGAGATAATAATCACTTTCACCTTCATTATTTTAATTACTTTTTGGCTTTTCTCTCTTCCTGGAAAATAAAAGAACACCGTGTTATAAAAAAGTTCCCTCTAAAGTAGCTTTTTGTATATAACCTTTAAATAATTAAAACTTCAAAATCTTTTTATAGAAGTTATACAAGAAGGTGCGATATTTACATATTCTTAAGCAAATGGAACTGTGCTTTAGAATAATAGATTATTCCATTCTGAGCAGCATTTATTATTTAAAGTTATTGGAAAGTTGGCACTAAACCTGTACTGAACCAATAAGCTGCAAACCCAAACTACATCACTTTGGCCTTGCATTAAGTACAAGTACAATTGCATTTCCCACAAGTACAATTTACTCTACTGCCCATGACTTTCACGGAGGCTCATTTAAGAAACAGCCAAATATAAAACATGTCTTCATTTAAAAATAAAATTTCTGCAAGGGTGTCATTATTAGTTGATTAGAACTTCTAACAAAGAACTTTAGGCAAAACAAAGTCCTCTTAGGACCCACATAATCGATATTCATTCAGCAAATGTTTTTGTTTGTTTGTTTTTGACATGGATTCTTGCTGTGTCACCCAGGCTGGAGTGCAGTGGCGCAATCTTGGCTCACTGCAAGCTTTGCCCCCTGGGTTCACGCCATTTTCCTGCCTCAGCCTCCCAACTAGCTGGGACTACAGGTGCCTGCCACCATGCCCGGCTAATTTTTTTGTATCTTTAGTAGAGACGGGGTTTCACCATGTTAGCCAGGATGGTCTCGATCTCCTGACCTTGTGATCCACCCTCCTCGGCCTCCCAAAGTGCTGGGATTACAGGTGTGAGCCGCCGCACCCAGCCAGCAAATGTTAATTGAATGTTTACTGTTTGCCTGGCCCTATTCTAGGCACTTGTTACATGACATTGAAGACTCCATGTGAAGTTCTTTTTCTCATGGAGCTTTCATTCATTTGGGTATGATTCCTTCTAGTAAACAATGATGGCTATGTAATTAGTCATGATTCTGTCTTTGCCTCAGTTTCTATGGAGCTCAGATTTAAGACTGGGTGGAGTATACCTCAATCAGGAAGCTCCCATAAAAATGTACAATTAAAAAATAAATTTTCGAATTAGTATTCTCCCTCTCCCTCTCCCTCTCCCTCTCCGTCTCCCTCTCCCTCTCCCTCTCCGTCTCCCTCTCCCTCTCCCCACAGTCTCCCTCTCCCTCTCTTTCCACGGTCTCCCTCTGATGCCGAGCCGAAGCTGGACTGTACTGCTGCCATCTCCGCTCACTGCAACCTCCCTGCCTGATTCTCCTGCCTCAGCCTGCCAAGTGCCTGCGAAAATTGCAGGCGTGCGCCGCCACGCCTGACTGGTTTTCGTATTTTTTTGGTGGAGACGGGGTTTGGCTGTGTTGGCCGGGCTGGTCTCCAGCTCCTAACCGCAAGTGATCCGCCAGCCTCGGCCTCCCGAGGTGCCGGGATTGCAGACCGAGTCTCGTTCACTCAGTGCTCAATGGTGCCCAGGCTGGAGTGCAGTGGCGTGATCTGGGCTCGCTACAACCACCTCCCAGCTGCCTGCCTTGGCCTCCCAAAGAGCCGAGATTGCAGCCTCTGCCAGGCCGCCACCCTGTCTGGGAAGTGAGGAGCGTCTCTGCCTGGCCACCCATCGTCTGGGATGTGAGGAGCCCCTCTGCCTGGCTGCCCAGTCTGGAAAGTGAGGAGCATCTCTTCCCGGCCGCCATCCCATCTAGGAAGTGAGGAGCGTCTCTGCCCGGCCGCCCATCGTCTGAGATGTGGGGAGCGCCTCTGCCCTGCCGCCCCGTCTGGGATGTGAGGGGTGCCTCTGCCCGGCTGTGACCCTGTCTGGGAGGTGAGGAGCGTCTCTGCCCGGCCGCCCCGTCTGAGAAGGGAGGAGACCCTCTGCCCGGCAGCCGCCCCCTCTGAGAAGTAAGGAGCCCCTCCGTCCGGCAGCCACCCCGTCTGGGAAGTGAGGAGCGTCTCCGCCCGGCAGCCACCCCGTCTGGGAGGGAGGTAGGGGTCAGCCCCCGCCAGGCCAGCCGCCCCGTCCGGGAGGGAGGTGGGGGTCAGCCCCCGCCAGGCCAGCCGCCCCGTCCGGGAGGTGAGGGGCGCCTCTGCCCGGCCGCCCCTACTGGGAAGTGAGGAGCCCCTCTGCCCGGCCACCACCCCGTCTGGGAGGTGTACCCAACAGCTCATTGAGAATGGGCCATGATGACAATGGCGGTTTTGTGGAATGGAAAGGGGGGAAAGGTGGGGAAAAGATTGAGAAATCGGATGGTTGCCATGTCTGTGTGGAAAGTAGTAGACATGGGAGACTTTTCATTTTGTTCTGTACTAAGAAAAATTCTTCTGCCGTGGGATCCTGTTGATCTGTGACCTTACCCCCAACCCTGTGCTCTCTGAAACATGTGCTGTGTCCACTCAGGGTTAAATGGATTAAGGGCTGTGCAAGATGTGCTTTGTTAAACAGATGCTTGAAGGCAGCATGCTCATTAAGAGTCATCACCACTCCCTAATCTTAAGTACCCAGGGACACAAACACTGCGGAAGGCCGCAGGGTCCTCTGCCTAGGAAAACCAGAGACCTTTGTTCACTTGTTTATCTGCTGACCCTCCCTCCACTATTGTCCTATGACCCTGCCAAATCCCCCTCTGCGAGGAACACCCAAGAATGATCAATAAAAATAAATAAATAAATAAAAATTAGTATTTACACACATGCATGTGTCTGTGTGTGCACATGTACATGTACCTATACAATGAAAACAACGGTAATATTTCAGAAAACTGTTATACATTAAAAATGAAACATCGCAAAAAAAATAAATTTTCTCTATTTTAATAATCATTACTAAAAAAATCACAAGTATGAAACTGAAAGATGATAAAAGCTTTTCCCTTGAGATCAGGAATTATACCAAGTTATCGGCTGCTACTGCGATATTTAACATTATGTCTTGTCAGTGCAATAAGGCAAGAAATATGTATAAATGATTAAAAGCAGGAATCTAAATAGATTAGAAAAGAAGAAATAAACTTTCATTACTTGCAGACGTAAGTGGCTATGTAGGAAATCCAAAAATATCTTTGGAAAAGCTGTCAAAAATAATTATAGTTAGCAAGCTTGCTGATTAAGTGAAATAATTATGTTCCTATATACTAGCAAAAAATAGAAAAAAGATTTATAAAAAAGTTAGAATTTAGAATATCATTTGCAATAGCAACACAAACATTACAGACTTCAGGATAAATGTAATCAAGATGTGCAAAACTTCTACACTGAAAGCCATAAAACATAATTGAGAGAAATTACATAAATGGGATATATACCATATTCATGGATTGAAAGACTCATTATTTATAATCTGTAAATTTTTTCCAATTTTTGTATAAATTTTCTGTAATCCCAGTGAAAATCTCAGTAGGGTTTTGTGTGTGTGTGTGTGCATGTGTGTGTGTGTGTAGTGGCAAGCTGATTTGTACTACCAGATATCAAAATGTATTATAAAGCTACAAAGCTACAGTGATTAAGACATTCTGGTGTTGGGATAGATAGATAGGAAAAATAGACTAATGGAATAGAATAGAGTGTCTAGAAACAGATCCAGATATACATAGTTACCCAAATTAGAAAAAAAGATTCTTCCTTTTTAGCAAATGAGACTAGATCAATCAGATAACCACATAAGGAAAAAAATTTGTCTTTTTCCTAATGCATATACTAAAGTCAATTCCAATGGAGACTTAAGTGTGAAAGGTAAAGAAATATAGTTTCTATAATATTACATATGAGAATAATTTTTTGACCTTGGGTTAAACCAATTGTTCTTAAACCAGACATAAAAAGACTAATACATTGCCAGGTGTGGTGGTGGGTGCCTATAATCCTAGCTACTTGGGAGGCTGAGGTGGGAGAATCACTTGAGCACAGGAAGCGGAGGTTGCAGTGAGCCAAGATGGCACCACTGCACTCCAGCCTGGGGAACAGAGTGAGATTCTGTCTCCAAAAAAAAGAAAAAGACTAATACAAATGGAATTACATTATAATTATAACTTTTGTTTATTAATATGTACTATTGAGATAAAACAATTCACAAAATGGGGAAAAGAGAATATATACAAACACATACATATCATATATATGTAACAGCTACACAGCAACAAGAAAAAAATAGCCTAAGTGAAACAAATTTTTTCTGTCCCAAGGACTTGAACAAGCACCATACTTTAGAGGATGCAAAATGAGAGGTTAAACGTATGGTCCCCAGTTTGTTCGTTCACAATCTTCTGATCAGGAAGTAGGTTCTGTGGCCTTGAATATATTGTGGCAGTGACTGTTTTGACCCATCGAGTGTGGTGAAATGATGATATGAGATTTCTGAGGCCAGATCATAAGAGGCCATGGAGCGCCATCTCGTTTTCAAGAGGCCCCCTGTTGGTATGCTCCATACTAGAATCAAGTCTTCATGCTGTGAGAGGCCAAACTACATGGCCAGCCCAAGTGTAGGTGCTCCAATCAAGTGCCAGGTGAGCCCAGACTTGCACTGATCCCAGCCCAGGAGCCAGACATACGAGTGAGTAAGGAGTCTCCAGATGATTCCAGCCTTCAGCCCCCAGTGCTGGGTAGCAGAAACACACTCTCATGGCTGAGCCCTAATTTCTTGGGCCACAAAACTGGTATAAGAAACTGACTGTTGCTTAATGCCCCAGGGTGGCCTGTTATGCATCAATAGTAACTAGAACATGGCCAAATATCAATAAGATAATCAACATTTAAAATCACCAGATATATAAACATTAAAACCAGTTAGATGTTTTTGTCTAAGTTATTTTTACTTGGTAGCAAGTCATCCCAAAGTTAACATATTAATATAACAACAATTATTTATTATTCATGACTCTGTGACTTGACTGGGCCATGGTTCTTCTGCTTCCGGTGACATTGACTATTGCTAAGACAGCTGGAATTTCCAAAATGACCTCACTCATGTGTCTAGCAAGTAGTGCTCATGGTTGGCTGGAAGCTTAGCTTGGACTATGACCAGAAGTTTTGGTTCTCCCCCAAAGACCTCTCCACGTGGATTACTGGGCTCCTCTCAGTGTGGAAGCTGATTTCCAACAAGGAGCATTCAAAGATTAGGAGTTCCCAGTGTTCATAAGTGGTTGTAAATCCTTCTCTTGCATCATACTTGCTAAGCACCCACTGGCCAAATCTAATCACATGGCCAAGACCAGAGTCAATGTGGGTAGGGATACACATGGCAAAATACCAGGAGGCATGCTTCATTAAGGATCAATAGTATAGCAAGTTAATACAACTTCATGCACTCACTATTAGAGCTAATCAAAAATAGGAGAAATTACCAGATCTGAGCAAGGATATAGAACTCTGGAATTCTCATTTACATTGTAAGGAGGGGAAATTTTTGCTGTACAATCACTGTGAATAACCATTTTACAGTATCTAGTAAAGGTAAATGAATGCATATCCTATGACCCTGCAACAAAACCCCACACATCTGTGCACCAAAATAGATGTATGGAAATGTTCGGCTGGGCGCGGTGGCTCACACCTGTAATCTCGGCACTTTGGGAGGCCGAGGCGGGCGGATCATGAGGTCAGGAGATGGAGACCATCCTGGCTAACATGGTGAAACCCCGTCTCTACTAAAAATACAAAAAAAATTAGCCGAGTGTGGTGGCGGGCGCCTGTAGTCCCAGCTACTTGGGAGGCTGAGGCAGGAGAATGGCATGAACCCAGAAGGCGGAGCTTGCAGTGAGCTGAGATCCCGCCACTGCGCTTCAGTCTGGGCGACAGAGTGAGACTCCGTCTCAAAAAAAAAAAAAAAAAAGAAAAGAAAATGTTCATCACAGACTTAATCAAAATATCAAAATTGGAAACAAACAAAATGCTCACCAAAAGTAGAACAGAGGAATACAACTATGGTGTTTTCACAGGAGAAAAATACTATTCACCAGTAAAAATAAATGAACTGTTTCCACATACAAAATATGAATAAATGCCACAAATACAATGTTTATAAAAAGAGGCCTTAAACAAAGAGAGTACATTTATCTAACTGCATTTACCTAAATATTTCAAAACAGACAAAAATAATTTATGGTAATTAAGGAATAATTGTTACTGTTTAGGAGGGGGATTGTGGATTATGACTAGGGGCAGGCATTAGAGAGAATGCTAAGGTGTTTTTCTGTTGTGTTTTCTTTTTAAAATTCATTGAGATTTACACTTATGATTTATGCACATTTATGTATGTGTAATATACTTCAATTAAATTTACCTTAAAATATTGAGCGACTGGTATCAAATACATAGATGACCAGATCCTTGCTCAAAAGTCACTTGGAAAGATTCCCATTTTTGTTTTTATCAAAATATCAAAAGTTAGTGTTCAACTGCCTTGTACTGTGTCATCTTCTAATAAAAAATTTTGAAATGCAGGTATGTGTGATGAAAATGACTGTTTTTAATATAAAAATGAATTAAGACTAGTACCATAAACACAGTTTAGAAGATGTTGAAACCGTAGGATGAACACACAGACTGACTAGCAATTTGTGATCAGTTACAACTCAAAAATCATCTTTTCCAGATTGGAAGGAAATAATTTTCAACTATGTGAAGTCTGATAAAGAATATAAAGCATGAAGTTCTATCTGTGTAAACTGGGAGCTTTCAGAAACAGGGAAACCATTGGTGTCTGTGTGTCCATAATAGTAAAATTTTTGAGGCTAGTGACAATATCTTGTCTTTCGGGTACCCCATATAGTAACTTTGAGGCTTATCAAAGGGTGCAAGAAAAGTGGAAGCATGATTTTCATGCGGCAGAAGAGCCAGGAAATGGAAATAAAAATAACCCAACTCAAGAGGTTTAAAAAATACAGATATAAAAAGAACTAATTTGGAAGTCTGTATATTCATGTCATTATAATATGAATTTTTTTTTACAGTGAGAACAGACCTTTTTATTAATATATTGAGATAAACTACAGAGACTGAAAGACAAAAATTCATATTTCATTCAGAACATTCATTAAAAATCTAATGCATTTACTTTGAGTTCTCGCAGAAAATTTTATTGAAGTCTGATATAACATTAAATATTTTACAAGTCAGACATTTCATTTTTAAATCTAAGTTATAATCCTGAAAGCATTATAGACAAAGTAAGCTCTCCTTTACCAGTTTCATTTAACTTATACAAGGCTCCCATTATAATTCCATCAAACCTTAAAAATCACCTGCAGCTTTTAAAAACACATAAAGTAAATGGAAAGAAAGTCTTATGTAGCAATCCAAAAACCAAAACCAGAAATTGGCAAGAAGCATTTCTTAATACAGATAAACTGCAAAATATCATTTCTGTGTGTTTCTTTCTTCTTATTGGTTTAATCATCCTATTCAAAATAATTCTTTTTGAAACTAATATTTACAGTACTCCAATGTCACTGAAAATCTCTATGATTTTAATGGCGTACTTAAATGGCAAAATAGAATATCAGATTGAAATGTACAGAGTCTTGTACTGAAGTGAATGAGACTTGCCACGGCAGGTGTCATCTGCTAGGCAGTTACAAGACATCTTGGCAACTAGTCATCCCAGTTGTTACTAACTTACTAAACAAGGACTTTTCAAGAAATACTTCTTACCCCTATATATTTCCAGCTGGCTGGATATAGAAAGATATAATTGTGTTTGAAGCATGGGCCTTGTAAGAGGAATCTCTGCATTAAAATATGAAAAAGAGCAACAGAAAGAATTCACACCAATGAAATTGTGTGGACTGATTTTCAAAGTTAGAAATAAAAATATCCACTGGGCGTGGTGGCTCATGCCTGTAATTCCAGCACTTTGGGAGGCCGAGGCGGGTGGATCACGAGGTCAGGAGATCGAGACCATCCTGGCTAACACGGTGAAACCCTGTCTCTACAAAAAATACAAAAAATTAGCCAGGCGTAGTGGCGGGCGCCTGTAGTCCCAGCTACTCGGGAGGCTGAGGTAGGAGAATGGCGTGAACCCGGGAGGCAGAGCTTGCAGTGAGCGGAGATCGCGCCACTGCACTCCAGCCTGGGCAACAGAGAGAGACTCCGTCTCAAAACAAAAAAAAAAAAAAAAAAAAAAGAAATAAAAATATCCACTGCTAATAGAAGCCCTGCTCTGTGCAAACATAGTGTGGTATATATTAAACAATCACACATTTGAGGTATTAGCTGGAAAAATATAGGTATATATATACACCTATGCATGGACATATCCACAGAATATTCACAAACCTATTGCCCCCAACACCAGCAGATAGTCATATTAAATGAAAAAAATCACATACCAACAGGAAAAAGTTACACATAGGGAATTTACCAAAAATGTGGTGCCATAGCCATTAATATAAGGAGTATGTTTTGAATTGATGTTTTGAGGAAAAATGTTTCCATTTATATGAAAGTATCTATTTAATAGTAATAAAACCAAAAAGGAAGCTGAATTCTAGGACTGTGTTGCCTACCAAATTATTGAAGGGATGAGCAAGAATTCCTTGAAAAGCCTCGTTCTATCCTTTTTCTTTGTAACTAAAAATTAGAATTTTTTTTTTTTTTTTTTTTTGAGACGGAGTCTGGCTCTGTCGCCCAGACTGGACTGCAGTGGCACGATCTCGGCTCACTGCAAGCTCCCCCTCCCAGGTTCACGCCATTCTCCTGCCTCAGCCTCCAGAGTTGCTGAGACTACAGGTGCCCGCCACCACACCCGGGTAATTTTTTTTTTTTTTTTGTATTTTTAGTAGAGACGGGTTTTCACCATGTTAGCCAGGATGGTCTCTATCTTCTGACCTCGTGATCCACCTGCCTGGGCCTCCCAAAGTGCTGGGATTACAGGCGTGAGGCATTGCACCTGACCTAAAAATTAGGATTTAAAAAGTTGGAAATTATTGCCAGACTACTTTCTTTTCATTGGTTTATAGAGAATTTTATGGATTTTAACTAGGCAATAGTCCAATGTGGTCAACAGACATGGTTTTTCAGCTGTTGAATGAAAATTAAAATTCAGATTTATTGTTGATTTTCATAAGTTTTCCTGTTCAGTTAAGAAAAAAGATTATGAATTCCCTTTCAGTTTGTTTCATTCAGTATGAAGATGGATAGTAATAGGATAGTACGGAACCCAAGCTTCAGATGGGGAAGCTCAACAAATGTACAAATTCTCCTCTTTTAACCATTTGGTCCTCTGAAATAAGACTTGCTTAACTGGCAAGATGGCTCACTTGGTCCTCAAGCTAACATCAAGAAATATTTAACTGTCTTAACACAGGTGGGAGATTTATTTATTTTTATTTTTATTTATTTATTTCTTTTGCGACGGAGTCTCGCTCGGTAACCCAGGCTGGAGTGCAGTGGCGCGATCTCGGCTCACTGCAAGCTCCGCCTCCCGGGTTCACGCCATTCTCCTGCCTCAGCCTCCCGAGTAGCTGGGGCTACAGGTGCCCGCCACCACGCCCGGCTAATTTTTTTGTATTTTTAGTAGAGAAGGGGTCTCATCATGTTAGCCAGGATGGTCTCCATCTGCTGTCCTCGTGATCTGCCCGTCTCGGGCTTGCAAAGTGCTGGGATTACAGGCGTAAGCCACCGCGCCTGGCCTATTTTTTTATTTAAAAAAAATTTAAAAAACCTTTATTTGAAAATTTCATATAGGCATTCAAAGTACATTGACTCATTGAACAGGAGACTTTACATCTCTCATGGCTGGGCAGCAGGTGTGTGTGGCTTCCTTACTGCTCGATCTGCCTTGATCATAGAGAAACTAAGCCAAGGCTTATTTGGTTTTGATGTCTAGCACAGTGGTTAAGTTTCTTATTTTCAAGTTCAGCAGGTAAAATTATCTCATTTTTGGAGGCATTTTTTAAGTATACAAAATCTGCTATGTTATTTGGGAAAGTTGTACAGTTCAGATGTGAACATTTCAATGTATTTAAGCTTTACCTAAAAATGTAAAAATAACAATCAAATAGGAGAGGTAGGGAATCCATAGAGGTATAAATAAAACAAGAATGGAAGAATGCTGATAACTGTTAAAGCTGAGTGATGGAAGTTCATTATATAGTCTATTTACTTTGTATATATTAAAACTTTTCCAGAATTAAGTCTGCTACATCAAACAGGGATTTTTTCCTATTTTAAAAATTAAATTTTTAAAATTAAAAAAATTCTTACTAAACCTTAATTTTTACCTATTATTTATTTTGTTTACTCCAAATTTATTTTCATCCTTCTTAAACAGAACATACCAAACCTATAACCTTCAGGTTCTAATTAATCCAGAGGATTTGATAAAATGTATTCTATTGATCCTGATGATAATCCTTATATCATACTAAGTATGTGTGCTCTTAAACCTCTCAAATTTATATGATTTTTAAATAGTTGTGCCTATGTTGAAAAATTTCATCCCTTTTAAAACTGAAGCAGAGTTATTCTAAAAATGTTTTCAAGCATACACAATATTTTTCATTGCTATGTATTTTTTATCAGGAAGAACTCTTAATTACTTTGAAGTATCCAGTGGCATAAAAATCAGAGTCATTAGTTCATTAGAAAGAGTCACATAAATATTCCCATTGTCTACTGTCACTGTGTGAATCCTTTGCTTTATTCCTTTGGAGCACTACTTGGGTTTTGCTGATGGATCTTTAGAGTTTATAGTCTGGTACAGACCTTCTCCTGTTGCCAAAGTAATTTTGTATTTATGCCAGCGGCAAACTATACACGGTCATCCATCAAAATCCTCTATATCTCCCAAATGTAAAGGTCCTCCTGAGTGGTAACAGCGAATATCCATAGCATGATATTCTCCCTTGTGATAGAAAATGACCACTTCTCTATCATGGACAACAGCTATTATTCTTTCAGATTTTTTAATGTCATCTTCTCTGCCCACCCAGACAGAAGAATATTCCCTCTTTTCAGTATCTTGTGCAGAGCCATCAAGATTCATGTTGGAGAGGAAGTGTAGATAAGGAAGAAGGTCTAAGACATTTCCTGAAGCACTTCAACATTTAGAGGTCAGGTGGAAGAGAGGTTGTAGAGAGGCAAGACCAGTAGAGTGTCCAATCTACTGCTAATCAAATGAAATTCATTCACTGCTTTCTTCTCTATCTTATATTCTCCTTGAATTGCAGATAGGTGGTAACTTGTCACTCCTCTTGAGCCATGATTAAGCTGCTTTTACTAAGTCTGGAAACTTTGCCTACACATTATCAGAATGCTTATCTCAAGTATGACACCCTTGCTTTTAGGTGCAGGGAAGAGAAATGCCTTAGAGTAGTTTTGATATCTCTCTGAATGGCAGAATAATAATAGATAAAACTAGCTGTCCTTCAGTAAGTGCCTACTGCTTGGACCCTTTGAATATAATAGTTCATTACTCTTCACAAAACCGCCACGGGGTAGGCATTAGTTTTATTCAGGTTGCACCCACGGATTTATAAAAACATGTGGCTTACAAGTAAACTATCCTGAAGACACAAAAACCTTTTAGCAAAGCAAAGATGTATATTGGTGATATATATAATATTGATATCTATATGTCACCAAACATGGTCCTGAATTTAAAAAAAAATAGGAAAGCTAATGTGCAACAGCTATGTTCACGAATGTTTACAATTGAACGCTTGCCCAATAATTTTATATAAAGTCACGTAGCTGTTCTGGAAATTGGCATCATCGTCTGATGTTGAACTGTGATCACGAGTGAGCTAGACCTGGGTTTGCATCCCAGTTCTGCGTGATTTGGGGCAAGTTGCTTAATTTCGCTGTGCTGCAGTTTCTTTTACTGTAAGAAGGGCCCGCCACATAGGGGTGTGGGCAAAGCACATAAATGCCTTAACACATATCAAATGTTTAGAGCAGGCCTAACCTCAGAAAACGCTCACAGCGCATTAGCTGGCACCTCTAAGGTCCATCCAGCTCTGGCAGTTATCCTGCCTAACTTCAAGCTGTGTTTAACATTTCGGTAAAGACGCCTGCAGTTCTGAGACTGCACGTGGCTGTCCAGGAGCTGTAAATTCTCAACTACGGACTCCAGGGAACGAGTATCTCCAGGACGGCCGGGGCTGCGGAAGCCCTGGAGCAGCTTCTATACTTTAAAGCGCACAAATGCCATGAAAGCTTGTTAGAAACGGCCTGCTTACCACCCTGAGGTGGCAGGTCTCAGGTGTGGCCCAAGTTTCAAGGTGAACAAGCTCACTGGCTCTCCTGTGCCTGGGCAGAAGCCTGCCCTGGCGGGTTAACTGTTAACTAACGCTGAACCGAAACCCAGGAGGGCCTCAGGCCTGGCAGCGGCCCGGAACAAAGGCCGCAGGTCGACGGCCTGGCCACCCAGAACGCTGAGTCCACGCCCCCGCCCGGCCAGAAGCAGCTGATCTCGCGAGCCCGCCCCCTGCTCGGCGAGAACAGAGCTTACTGTCCCTGAATCCTCGCTACGCCTCCGCATGACACTAAGGCAGCCAGCCAGAGCTCCAGCCACGCGCGGCGCCTGGACTGGGCCGAGATTCCTATGAAATACATAGGAATCCATTAAGTAACATTAGCATGTCATATGTGTTAAATAGCTTCATTTAAAAATTTTTACAAAATATTTTACAAAACTATTACAGTATTTTTATAATATTTTACAAAAATATAACAGTATTAAAAATACTCACCTGGAAGTAAAAGTAAAGTGTGTTTTTAAAAAAAGGGAAAAAACGGACGGGCGCGGTGGCTCACGCTGCACTTTGGGAGGCCGAGGCAGGCGGATCACAAGGTCAGGATCTCGAGACCATCTTGGCTAACACGGTGAAACCCCGTCTCTACTAAAAATACAAAAAATTAGCCAGTCATAGTGGCGGGCGCCAGCAGTTCCAGCTACTCGGGAGGCTGAGGCAGGAGAATGGCGTGAACCCGGGAGGCAGAGCTTGCAGTGAGCCGAGATCCCGCCACTGCACTCCAGCCTGGGTGACAGTGGGAGACTCCGTCTCAAAAACAAAACAAAACAAAAAGATGTCCACAGGAAGAATATAAGTGGACAATAAATATTTGAAGGTCAATCCTTTAATATTGAATGGAATGTCAAACAAATTTAACTTATTAAAATAGCTTTTACTGGTGAGTATTTGGAAAATACAGGTTCTTATATTATGCTGTCTTGAGAACATTTAATTACTTGACTTAATTGTAATTCCAGGAATTTATTTCAAGAACTTAATCATAAACATAGAGAAATACTTATACACAACATTGTTAATCAGAATATTACTTTTAAAAGTTAAAAATGAAAAACAAACCAGTAAGGATTGGCTAAGTGTATAGTAGAGTATTATTAGCAATTAAACATCATGTTTCAGAAATATACACAAGGATATGGCAAATTATCCATAAATTGTTCAAAAAAGAATGCTGAAGTTTAATAAATAGACATATTATATGTATGAATGAAGACTGAAATAAAATATGTAAAAATATTAATAATATTTACCCCTTCTGATGGGATTGTACGTGACTTACTATCTGCCACTATGCTTTTCTATATTCTCAACTGTTTTGGAAGTACATCGTTTTTATTTTCAAGATAGAAATAAATGGAACTCAAAAAAAGTTTTTCTAGGAGATCTAACTACTGCATACTCCTGTTAAAATTTTTTCCTAAGATGGGTGTATTTGTCCAAGATGTCACATATGTGGCTCTGAATATGTGCCAATAAAAGGGAGCAAGAGTATTTGGAGTGGATGATCTTTCTCAAAGAAGGTGACAGGAGAAGGTAGCTGAATAATTGCAACACTGTTGCAGAAAGATGAATGGGGGCTCTGCAGAGACCATCTGTGTTTCATCAGAAAGGATGATGACTACTCCGCCCTTGTATCAGTGAGAAAGCAACATCTTCACTGCATATACAGATTTTCTATAATAAAAATGTTCCTGGCTGGCATAGAGGACTGATCAAAGTCAGAATTTTTTCTTGTAACCAATTTAATTTGACATCTCAAAGAGTGAAACAACAATGTTTTATTTGGGAAATTAACACACACCAGCTCAAACAATGTTTCATTTGGGAAATGAGCTTTGAGCTGGTATGTGTTCTTCATCTACAGGTTAATTAAAATAAGAATTAAAGCACAGTTGCATCAGACAAAAGTCAACAGGGTTCAGATTAATTCATTTCATGGATAATCATGAATTGTTAACTTAGAACTTCTTCAGAATTTAGAGAAAAGTCAAAGAATTGGCACAGAGAACTTTTCAACACTTCATGCTACTTGCTTTGGAATCCACGTTATTTATTCACTATCTGTTTTCACTTGGAGTATACCCTGGGGCATTTTTGCTTCAGTAGGTCATATGTCAAACTACAGAAACTGCCTTGGTGATGGACATGTCAGTCTGAGGAAATGATCACTTAGACTGGTGAAGGCCAGAGGTAAGATGAGATCAATGAAACCATAGATAGGAACGTGTGTTCCTCCCTTTTTCACTTTGATTACCTATCAGTGTTGGTTTATACAAAATAATGTTAGCCTGAAAGATTTTCTAAAGGACTCCTACAAAGGTACCTCTGATGGCTCATAAAAATATCTGAATCTTACTAGCCATAGGGAAAATAATGTATTTTCTGTCTTTAAAGTCACACTTTTGGAGTCCAGGAGGCTTCTTGCCAATCTCAGTTATACTGGTTTTGCTCGTATTTATTGGTTATCACCCTATGGACTGAGTGATCAGAAAGGAAATGCCTGCGGTGTCACTCCAGTGTAGTAAGTGCCCATGCAACCTCTGACTCTAAGCACCTCACTGTGTGTCTGTGTGCGTTTGGTTTAGTTTCACAATCTATGGAATGAAGCCATTCAGATTAGGAGCCCCTAGAATTGTGTTGAGGCGATCCAGACAATTAAATGGGAAAATACTGTGTTATTTATTCTGAGTATGAAAGAAACAAAACATGAAAGACAGGGAAGACAAGGAACTGTGATGGGAAGAGCACAGGACTGATGTGCGGGAAACCTGGACACCAGTGCTCAAATGCTACTTCTGTTACTGAATGTCAGTGACTTTGACAAGTCACATCGACTTTCTAAGGGGTTAAACTAGATATTCTCTGAGATACCTTCTAGATTTAATACCCTATACCAAAAAGAAAAAAAAAAAAAAAGAAGAGAAGAAAGGAAAAAAGGAAATGAAGAAATAAAGAAATGTAAAATATTCTGGAAAGACAACTTCCCTATAGTAAATTGGAAACTAATGATGAAAAGGAGTACGTCTAAGTACAGAAACATCTGCGCAAAGATAATTATTTGCAAAGACAGTCTCTGTAGACTCCTTTTTCTGTTTTGTAGGGAGTCGATGTCTTTGAAAAGATCATGAATCTTCATGATCAACTACTGCTGTTGCCTTTCTTTCCCCTTATTTTAAGTAAGACAGGAAAATGGGACACCTAACTACAGAAACCATTCAAGTAGAAAATAATTACATGATCTTATCTAAATCTGGCAGCCTTTTTTATGTGACTACCAAACTATAGCTCCTATATTTTGAGATTATTTGCCCTTACATATTTGTTCACATTTTATTTAATGCTTTGTCAACTTTTAATACCAAAATGAATGATGAAAAAATTAAACTAACACACAGGAAAGCAGTTTACAAATGTCTTTTTAAATGGCAGGAGAACCATTATTGGGTTTATAGCAGGTTATATATCATCCACATGATTGAAAAAAAATAGCAAACAACATCATTCAGGAAGAAAATAAAATAGACTAGAAAGGAAACGTAAATTTAGAAATCATAAGAGAAAATGACATAAGCAAGATCAAATTGAAAGAGTCATCCTGAAACGACTCAGATAGAATTAAAACGCAAACACCCGTATGCACACAGAATTCAAGTATATGCTCTTTACAACAAACATGAAGCATAATAATAAGAATATAATCAATAGCAATGACCAAGCAAATGTTAACTGAAAGAAATCGAGGGTGATAATATTAACAACAGCTAAAGGAAGCTGGGCAATCCAGCACCTACTAGTAAAAAGGGTCATGTGAGTTCATTTTAAAACACTTAAAGAAAAAAAGTTATTTCCAAGCCGGGCATGGTGGCTCACGCCTGTAATCCCAGCACTTTGAGAGGCCGAGGTGGGCGGGTCAGGAGTTGGAGACCAGCCTGAGCAGCATGGTAAAACCCTGTCTCTACTAAAATACAAAATTTATAAATATAAATATAAATAAAAATATATATATATTTATAAATATAAATATAAAATACAAAAATTAGCTGGGCGTGGTGGCGGGCGCCTATAATCCCAGCTCCTTGGGAGGCTGAGGCAGGATACTTGCTTGAGCCCGGCAGGTGGAGGTTGCAGTGAGCTGAGATTGAGCCATTTCACTCCAGCCTGGGCGACAAGAGTGAAACTCCGTTCCCTGTCCCCACCCGCCCCGCCAAAAAAAAAAAAAAAAAAAAGTTATTTCCCAGATGTACGACTTGTTGTTCAGAAACGTAGAAAGCATGAAGCTCCTCTGTTCCATTTCATCAAGTTTTCTAACGTCAATGGCACATGAAAGTAGAAAAAACAAGCTACTGAAAAAAGTAGTGCCTGATGTTACTTATAAATATGAAAAATTGCTGAATAAACAATGAAAAAGGCTGGGCGCGATGGCTCACGGCTGTAGTAATCCTAGTACTTTGGGAGGCCGAGGGTGGATCGCCTGATCTCAGGAGTTCGAGACCAGCCTGGCTAACATGGTGAAACCACGTCTCTACTAAAATGTAAAAAATTAGCTGGGCGTGGCGGCGTGCGCCTGTATTCCCAGCTACTCTGGAGGCTGAGGCAGGAGAATCACTTGAACTCGGGAGACGGAGGTTGCAGTGAGCCGAGATCGCGCCATTGCACTCCAGTCTGGGCAGCAGAGTGAGACTCTGTCGAGTCAAAAGAATCTGCTCTCTGAATGTAAAAGTAAGTGGACAATGGGAAAAGAGAGTTGAACAGTGAAGATAAAAGTAAAATGAAATGAAAAGAGGTAATGCTGGAAGTAAAAGTTGAAACAAAAGTAAATGGAGTTACAGAAGAAACAACTGACCATGGGGCTGACACTACTGACACTAGATACGCAGCCAGAGGAACTTAGTGAAGGTGAGCTTATCAGTACAAAGGAGGAGAGAGGTTATGATATAAAGGACAAAGATGTCCCAGAGTAAGTGACATTGGCGAAACATCGCTTCACATTACAGGGCTTTCAGAAATACTGCATGACCAAAGATGCAAAGGATTAAATGTGAGCATCTGATCCAGACTTAGAAAGGAGCGTGGAGCGTGACAATAAACCCAGGCATAGAAAAGATGAGCACTCCATAGCAAAAGTTATATGAGGAGGAGAGGAAGGCAAACACCATTCAAACTTTTCTTTGGAAGTTTTAAATAAAGCAATGAAACACTTCAATCATCAACATTTCCAATTCTTAAATTATAGTGTACTAAATAAACTTAGCTTTAGTAATGTGTGTTAGTAGCTGACAGCAACAGATTCTTTTCAATATATTCACAAAAGTTTTAAGGCCCTAGAATAATCATAATCTTCCCATTAGTTAATAAGATTGGTTTGCGGCCGGGCGTGGTGGCTCACGCCTGTAATCCCAGCACTTTGGGAGGCGGAGGCTGGTGGATCACGAGGTCAGGAGATCAAGACCATCCTGGCTAACACGATGAAACCCAGTCTCTACTAAAAATACAAAAAAATTAGCCGGGCCTGGTGGTGTGCGCCAGTAGTCCCAGATACTCGGGAGGTTGAGGCAAGAGAATGGCATGAACCCGGCAGGCGGAGCTTGCAGTGAGCCGAGATTGCCTCACTGCACTCCGGCCTGGGCGACAGAGCAAGACTCCCTCTCAAAAAAAAAAAAAAAAAAAAAAAAGATTGGTTTGCATGATTTCAGCATGGATTATTCTTACAGTCCTGCACTACTTACTGTGCAGAGTGAGAACAGACTTTCGGGATTTCACACCAACTGTCAAATGAGAAATAGTGCATCACTATGTAAATATCTTCTGAAGTCATTAAATCAAACTTATCATATATTCTTTTTTTGGGATTACAGGCTCCCGTCACCATGCCTGGCTAATTTTTGTATTTTTAGTAGAGACGGGGTTCACCATGTTGGCCAGGCTGGTCTTGAACTTCTGACCTCGTGATCTGCCCGCCTCGACATCCCAAAGTGCTGGGATTACAGGCATGAGCCACCGTGCCTGACCTAAATATTCTTTATAACATCTCAATTTTAAACCTGATAACATTCTTAAATAAGAAATACTAGCAGACACTTTTAAAGTTAGGAATAATTATTATTTAACCTGGACATGAATAAGGGAGAAATGATCATTTTAAACTTTACTGAGTACTGCCTGGGAAACAACTGTTAGAATCTAGTGAGAATCCACTTGAATCCATCGAAAACTTTAATATAATTTCTAAATAAGTACATAAAGACAATACTTTTTATATGTTAGTAATAACCAAGTAAAATATATTATTGGAGTAAAGGATTGTATTTGTTGTAGCAAAATTTCTGATCTAGGAAGCTAGGAAATTATTTGCAACTAAGATGACAGGCAAAATATTGAATTTGTTTAAATATATAAAAAAGTACTGCTAAGATAAAGAACAAAAATTATACAATTTAACCAAAATGTGAATAAAAATGGCAAATAACTATTTGAAAAAATATTTCATCTCGCCTATTTTATTTTATTTTATTTTTGGCTAAAATAGCAAAGATTTTTAATGATAGCTTACTTGTAGTGGCAATGGTGATATTAGATGGATTCAACTATATCTTGCTGAAAAAGATAAAAATGGCTACTTTCTTTAGGAATGTACTTTGGGTTATATGTAAATACCACTGAAACATCCACAGCTATGGTGCTGGGTCAGAAATGTTGAGGGAATTTAGTGAAAGACTTTATAGGTTTAATGCAGATCCTTTGATTGTTTAGGGAAGTCATATAACTACTCACAAATTTGGTGATTCACTGGAGAAATTACGCGACTCAACATATGAGGCTTGCATGGACCAGCATATGAGGGTTCCAGCTGCAAACAGAAAAGTCATGTCCAAGATGTCTCAACTTTGGGAAGCTCACTTGATCCTTGTGATCCATACTGGTCACATGGTTACATGACCAGCAATAGTGTCCCAAACCAGGCATCAGGATCACATCATGAACCTTCAGGTTTACCTTACATAATGCTGACAGTCTGATGCATCCTGACCACTGCCTTGGGCATGCAGAATAATATCATTAACCAGTTACCATGTGCACATGCCGGGACTTGGTTCTCAGCACTTAGCCAGGAGGCATTACAATGGCTACAGAAAGAAGCAAAAATGATAAAACAGACCTGCTGAGTTATTTTATTCCTTGCAGTTTACCTCTGACCCTTAGTCAGTTTCACCTTACAAAGAAATTATTTATAACACTATTAAATCTACATGTAGTGTACCATTTATTTATAGGGTAAAACAGGAATGGTAATGCAAATACATGCATCATTTGCAGAAGTTAGTGAGGAAGGGGGGCAGACTTAAAGAAATAATCTGTTAAATTCAATGTTCCACAACATATTTCTTTTTACTGTTATATAAACTTAATTATTGATTTTTACTTATCTATGGCTATCTTACTTTATGAGAAAACTCTGCAGAAACACCTATTATAGTGATTAATTGATTAATTAAATCTCATTCTTCCTCAGGCCAATTAGTGTCTCTATTGATATTACAACCCAAGGAAGTTTTAACTCAATTTCTCAGTATATTCACTCAACATTAGTACTATCATTTGATGCATTTATATAAGATAGCCAAATTTTACCAATAATCCCAATTTTACACCATATTGGAGTATTATTATGTTATTATTATTTTTTTTTTGAGACAGAGTCTTGCTGTGTCGCCCTGGCTGGAGTGCAGCGGCATGATCTCAGCTCACTGCTACCTCCGCCTCCTGGGTTCAAGCAATTCTTCTGCCTCAGCCTCCCGAGTAGCTGGGACTACAGGTGAGTGCCACCACGCCCAGCTAATTTTTATATTTTTAGTAGAGATGGGTTTCACCTTGTTGGCCAGGCTGGTTTCGAACTCCTGACGTTGTGATCCACCAGCCTCAGCCTCCCAAAGTGCTGAGATTACAGGTATGAGCCACAGTGCTATTATATATTTATTTATTTATCTGAGATGGAGTCTTGCTCTGTCGCCCAGGCTGGAGTGCAGTGGCGTGATCTCGGCTCACTGCAAGCTCCACCTCCTGGGTTTATGCCATTCTCCTGCCTCAGCCTCCCGAGTAGCTGGGACTACAGGCGCGTGCCACCACGCGCGGCTAATTTTTTGTATTTTTTTAGTAGAGACGTGGTTTCACCGTGTTAGCCAGGATAGTCTCGAACTCCTGACCTCGTGATCAGCCTGCCTCGGCCTCCCAAAGTGCTGGGATTACAGGCGTGAGCCACCGCGCCCAGCCCTATGCTATACTTTCGTATTGTTAGAAAATAATTGGGTGAGCATTATAGCATTATTAAAATCATGTTAGTAGATTTGGACTTTACCCATATACTAGATATTATTATGAGCTGGGATTGTTACCAGTGTCTTATGATTCTGTTACTTCTGGATTTCAGGCTAACTGGTACAAAGCTAATCTCTTAGCCTCTGTCAGTATGTTTGCACAGATACAAGGTTCCCATCTGGTGTTACATATGTAAAAAAGCTCTCCTTGATTCCACAAGGAGTATACATGTGTTGTTTATTATATTCTTTACACAATATGTCACGTCTTGGTTTATTCTTGGAATAAGAGCATTTAGGGAACATTGATATAAATTGCCTTTGCCTCAAGAAAATTTTCATAAGTTCAGGAGATCACGTATTTTTCAGAAGTGTACTTCTAGAGCTTCTGCTGCAACTAAAACGGTAGGTCACCGCCTATGACTCATTTGACCTCCATTTCAAGAAACATGATTTGAAGGCTCTGTTGGACTAGCTTGTGTGCTCTTTTCCGATAATGAGTTTTTTGTGTTTTGTCATTTTCTAATATGGTAGATTGGGTTTCTATGACCTGATTTACTAGGGCATCTGTCTTAGTCTGTTTTATGTTGCTATAACTGAAATCTGAGGCTGGGTAATTTATAAAGCGAACGAATTTATTTCTTACAGTTCTGGAGTCCCCAGAAGTTCAAGGTTGAGTGGCTGCATGTGGTGAGAGCTTTCCTGCTGCTGGGAACTCTCTGCAGAGTCCCAAGGCAGGCATCACATAGTGAAGTGGCTGAGTGTGCTAATCTGCTAGCTCAAGTTTCTCTTCCTCTTCTTATAAAGCCACCAGTCCCTCTCCCATGACAGTCCATTAATCCAGTAGCCTATTAACCTGTGCTTGTTTGTTTAGAGATGGGGTCTTACTCTGTCACCCAGCTTGGAGTGCAGTGGTGCAATCATAGCTTACTGCAGTCTTGAACTCCTGGGCTCAAGCAATATTCCTGTTTCAGCCACACCAGTAGCTGGGACTACAGGTACATACCACCAGACCTGGCTTATTTTTGTATGTTTTTGTAGAGGTGGGGTCTAGCTTTGTTGCCCAGGCTGGTCTCGAACTCCTAGCTTCAAGTGATCCTCCTGCCTTGCCTCCCAGAGTGCTGGAAGCCATCCACCATGTGTCATCACACCTGGCCTAACCTATTAATCTATGAATGAATGAATTCACTCATGAAGGTAGAGCCTTCATGACTCAATCATCTCCTAAAGGCCCCTTCTCTCAATATTGCCACATTGGGGATCAAGTTTCAATAGGAGTTTCTGAGGGGACAAGCATTCACATCATAGCAGCATCAATAGATTCTGTTCTTTACTGTTTGAACATAATTTCTTCCAACTTGTCTATTTTTGCTATTGATCTTTTTCTTTTGAATGTCCTTTATACTGAAGGAAAACTTTGCTTGTCTTACCATGCCTATACCCATACCTATTTCACAAAGAGCTCTCTTTCATCTTGTTGCCCAGTGTCTTTTAATCCACTACACATGCTGTTGTTGTTGAGTGCTAATTGCCTGGGAACAATAAAAATACATACTTTGTACCCCAAATTGTCGGGTCCTCTATACTAAGGTCAAATGTGTAGTGGTCATTCATACACATTTTAGTGTGCCACAAAGCTTCCCATAACCCCCCATTGTCTCGCTGCAGAGTTAACTTCAGTTGGGATGTGAGCCCAATGCTTTATCAGCATCTGAAGTAATTTTTTGTTTTAATCTTGTGTGACATCTGTCCATCCATAAAGACAAAGGTTTAAGTTCTTTTATACATTACACTAGGAGATAGCTGCCACTATTTGTTTTCCATTATACTCAGGAACCTAAGCATTTGGCCATCAGATTAATGACACAATGATTAGTCTGCCTGCCTGATATGACTGTACATCATAGCTGCCAGAAGGGAGAAACTCTCCGAGATCCCTCCTTAATTGCAATCTAATTGATATGTCCTGTAAAACAAGAACCAAAAGACTTAAGGGACATTAAGAGAGTCCTGCTTAGTCTGTCTACTGGGCAGCGCCGGGGCCTGCGGCTGCACAGGAGCCGGAGCCGGGAGCCGCGCTCCGCCAAGAGTTGGGCAGACGCCCCCCCTCCCCTGGTTGTCATGGGCCCCCTCTCGGGGCCTCAGCGGGCACCAGCCGCGGGAACCCCCGGGCCTCCTCGCGCCCGAGCCTGAGCGACCCTCGGGTTCTCCGGCGCCCCCTCCCTCGCCCTATTTTTTTCCTGCTCTCGCTACCGCTACCGCTTCTGCTCTCGGTTATGGCAAAAGAGCCACCATCACCCCTCCGGGTCGAGGCGCCAGCCCCCCGGAAATGCGGGCCCCACCGGCGATCGAGGCCATCCCTGAGGGCACCGGGCAGCCGGCGGGCGGCAGACTCCGCCTCCTCAACGGCTAAGTGCCCCTCTCGTATCAGGTGGCCGGACACATGAACGGGAAGGACAAAGTGGGTATACTGCAACACTCAGATGGCACAGCTTTGAAACAGTTACAACCACCTCCAAGGGGCCCAAGAGAGCATACGGTTTATGCTGCTGACTGTTCTGATGGTGTTCTTCTAGAGCTACGAAAATATTTGCCAAAATATGGCATCTGGTCACCTCCCACTGCACCAAACGATTTATACCTAAAACTGGAAGATGTGACACATAAATTTAATAAGCCCTGTATAATGAATATAAAGATAGGGCAAAAAAGCTATGATCCTTTTGCCTCATCTGAGAAGATTCAGCAAGTACCCATTAATGGAAGAGATTGGGTTTCTTGGTGCTTGGCATGAGGGTTTACCATGTTCATTCCGATAGCTATGATATACAAAACCAGCATTATGGAAGAAGCTTAACAAAAGGAACTACAAAGGATGGAGTCTCCGGATTTTTTCATAATGGGTACTGCTTAAGAAAAGATGCTGTTGCTGCCAGTATTCAGAAGATTGAGAAAATTCTGCAGTGGTTTGAAAACCAGAAGCAGCTTAACTTTTATGCAAGTTCATTACTATTGGTTTATGAAAGTTCATCTCAGCCAACCACTACAAAATTGAATGACAGAACTTTGGCAGAAAAGTTTTTGTCCAAAGGACAACTGTCAGACACAGAGGTACTAGAGTACAATAATAACTTTCATGTATTAAGTTCCACAGTGAATGGAAAAATAGAGGCTTAAGTGGGCAAAAACTTGTCCAAGATGTATGCTCGTCACAGGAAAATGTATACAAAAACCATCACAGTCAGACTTCAATGAAAGTTGAAAATCTGGAGCAAGACAATGAGTGGAAAAGCATGTCACAGAACATTTAAATGGAAATGTACTTTCCCAACTGGAAAAAGTTTTCTACCATCTTCCCACTGGTTGCCAAGAGATTGCTGAAGTAGGAGTGCGAATGATAGATTTTGCTCATGTGTTCCCTAGCAGCACAATAGATGAGGGATATATTTATGGGCTAAAGCATTTAATTTCTGTACTTCGAAGTATTTTAGACAATTGAATCCTCTGTTGCAGTCTTTTTAAGGGGTGGGCCAATCATAATGAAGAGGAGCAGTCAATATCTCTGCACCTTTAATGCTATGTAAAAAATTTGTATTGTGAGTCAACATTTTATTTGTCTTTATACTTTTGGAAGAAAGGTTAACTTTTTTATACTCTTTCTCAGGAAAACTAATTATTTGTTCATTAGAAAGCTATGAAGAATAAAGAAACTTAGGAATGTTAAGCAGGGAATGTGGTGGTACATGGCTTAAACATCTTTTTTGGCTCAAGCAAAATGCAAATCATTATTCAGTCACTAAGTGTTTAGTTAGCTTTCTGTAGCCAATTCATGTCCAACTCTGTCCACCCAGCCTTGACAATGAGCCATATCTAAAATATTCCATTATTAGAACACCTACCAAGATCTCGAAAGCACAGGTTGTTGTTCTTAGTATTGCTATGTATGAAGTTACTAAAACTGGTGAAAATTCTACTTCAGAAATAAGTGGTGTTTAGGTTTTATATTAAAAGTTCGGACCAGCATATCAAAGGGTGCTTCTTAGTGAAATGATTTAGAATTGCTGCATTCCAAAAGCAGGTTTTCTCTTTAATTTTTACATCTCTCTCTCAAAATATTATACTTCATGAAAAAGACAGTTGATGTGGATGACAACAACAAAGTCTCGAAATTAAGGGCACACTAATTGTCCTTACTGGGGTTAGGGGAAGAGAGAGGTTATTTTCAAGGAACAAAATATTTTTCTTTACAATCTTTCATTTATGAGAAAATTGGAATATAAATTTATAACATTGTGAAAAGTATCATAAACCATATAACTTTTTATCTAAATGCAGCTTTAAAAAGTAAATAATTGAAGTTTTATTTCTCCTCTAAATAACTTGAATTGTTTTCTTTAAAAATTTATGTATTTATATGTCCCCATTTAGTTAAGTGGTAGTGTAAATGTATGTTGTTAAAAGCAGTTTCTCGGAATTATAGTAAACAATGAAAGATAATATCTAATTAGGTTGTTATCAAAAATACTATGTGTAAATTAGTCCGTCATATAGGGTTTGGTGCGTATCTAAATTCATGCTTCTATTTCACTCTTGTTCAAAATAGTTTTATATTATTTTGAACAGTGAAATTATAACTTAATTTCATGGGGACAGGGACAGTACTACAGTTCCTGGAAAAATTAGATTTGTATTATCTTTGTTTCCCACCCACCACCTTAAAAAAAAATCAACCAGTTATTTGTCATTGAAAACATTTAAAACATTTGAGTCTTCAAATACATATGACGTGAATGTTGTCATTACTTGCACTTTGATTCACTAATAACATTTCTAGGGAGTTATACGTTTTGTCATATTTCTGGAAAATTATTTTGGGGATGTAAATTGTTTCTCCTATTTTTCTTCTAGAGTTACAAATTGAATTTTTAAATCTGAGTACCTTTGTTGTGGTGTGGAGAAAATTATCACAATTTTATCTTTATTTTACCTTCTCAACCTTCTCTGGGGGTGTTTTGCAAATACCTGAGTCCAAACAGAAGAACCAAATAAATGCTCTATGAACTCTATCCTTAGTAAATCTATTAAACTTGAATAATTTAAAAGATCATGTGCATTTTGGCCGGGTGTGGTGGCTCACGCCTGTAATCCCAGCACTTTGGGAGGCCGAGGCAGGCAGATCACGAGGTCAGGAGATCGAGACCATCCTGGCTAACACAGTGAAAGCCCATCTCTACTAAAAATACGAAAAATAGGCCGGGCGCGGTGGCAGGTGCCTGTAGTCCCAGCTACTCAGGAGGCTGAGGCAGGAGAATCACGTGGACCCGGGAGGCGGAGCTTGTAGTGAGCTGAAATCGCGCCACTGCACTCCAGCCTGGGCGACAGAGCGAGACTCCATCCAAAAAAAAAAACCGATCATGTGCATTTTGTAATAGAAAAATTTGATTTTAATTTTTTATTTAGAATTGATGTATTTATCATAGGGACTTCCAATTTTTCTTCACTTTTCAAATGAATATTGGCTATAGTTTTATGAATGAATGAATTTCAAGTCATAATTAACAATCAGAAAATTTTTAGTTTCACTTCTTTCTTTTACAATATGGACTTTTGTTGTTATTTGGATAGTGGTTCAATAAATCTTAAGCTCAGATAATTAAATACTATTTTGAGTCTTAACAAGATACTGAGGCTTTTTTTGGATGGGATATTATCAACCTATGCACAATGAATTAAATAAACTTAAGTATTATCAGATTTTTTGCACATTTTAGCTCAATAAAATCTGAATTAACTGTTCAACTTTTTTTTATCTGTATTTGGAAATATAATTTTGTAAAATCAGTGTCTTACCTTTTTGATACAATAGATCATGTTTTATTTTTAATAAAGCAAGAAGCCCTTTTATCTGTTGTTTTTCAGGGAAGGGATTAATATTTAATTCTGTTTGTTTACATTTGTTATCATTGTTATCCAATGCTCATTTTATGTTGCTTTATAAGTAAGCTTAGGTATAACAGAATAAGTATCTGTTTATGTAATCTACATGTGACTATTTTAGTCTCTCTCAGTCACTTAATATTGTGCTGAAATTTACCACTGTGGGGATGAATGATCACTACTCACCAAACATATTTGAACATGTAAATGCTTAAGAAATAAGCATAATACGGATATAGTTTGGGTTAATAGGATCCTTACAGTTTTTTCCCCTATGAAACATAAGTAATGATTTTAGTGTGTTTCTTATGGAATACACGTATTTAAAAAGGACTTTAAGAAATTGTGGATGTGAATAATACCTTTTTCTAATAAAAATTTAAATTGTATAATAGTTTTATAATAAAGTATTTAATTGATATTTTAATATGGATGGACATTGCATAGATTCAAATAAATTAAAATAAATGATAAATTCTAAATATTTTACCTAAATAGTTTTTCAAGAAACAGTTATGAAAATGTGTATATTAAATGGCTCTAATGTGGAGCTTGTGGTATTTCAACTCAGTATTCATTATTCTTTGTTTTGTGTGTCTGGAAAGATTGTACTTACTTTTCCTCTTTACACTACAATTTGTTCTTATGGGGCTCTAAACTGTTCAACTGAATAAGAACCTTTGTATTTCGATTGAGCATAATTTAGTATTTTATGATTTCCAAGATGATGTTCTTATGTCTATCAAGTTTATGTATCAAATTTATAACATCATTTAAGAGAAAGGAATTTCCATAGATACTTCAGTTGCATTTTTTTGTTTCACACAGCTGAAAATGCATTTGTTTTTAGGGGTTGGAATATTATAGAAGATGTAGGATGAAAGAAAACGATAGAACAACGAAAGAATTCTGTTTGCGAAATTACAGGAATTGTGTCCACTATAGTAAAACATTGTCATCATTTTAATACATTTTCTCTTAGTAGCTTGGCGTTTTATACTTTAAAACTTGATTTGCTTTAAAAATTGTTTACAATGCTTACCTTCTTTCTCCAGTGCCTTTAGCTTTGATTTGATACGTTTGTACCCTAAGTTACCCTTTCTATTACATGTTTTTGATGTTTTCATAGCCTAGGAAACACCGATTCCTTTTTAATAATTGTCAATCTGGTTATCTAAAGAGGTAACAATTATCTGTTAATGCTTTGGAAAAACAAGTGGGGTTGCCTTTGGAGGCCAGGCTTCTAGTTCATTCAAAGGTATTTCTTGGATTTATGCCATGTGTTAAGCATTTTTAGCCCCCAGTATTACAACTGTGAACCAAACAGGTAAGGGCCTAACCATTTTCAGCATTCTCTTTGGATAGGGTGGGATTGGGGACTTAATTGAAATAGAGATATAGAAAAATAGGCATGTAAATAAGATAATAAGGTTGAAATGAAGCAGCCAACAATAGTTGAAGTTAGAAGTAATATTTTGCAGTATTGTAACCTCTATTTAAGTTTGGGTAGTAGTTACAGATAGCATAGAAAAGCCTTAATTTTTCACTTTCCTTGCTGGCAAAGGTATGTTTATTTAGACTGCCCATTTAAAGTAATGTTTAACATAAACATTACTGTGGAAAACATTCCATTACATATTCCCAAGCAAATGAGCTGCATCTTCTTTACTGTATTTTACAATTTAGCACAACAGTTTTAGGCCTCAGTCTTCACATCACTGGTATTTTAAATTTGGCAATGAATATGGAATTACTTTTGACTTACAGACTGATTATATTGAAAATGCATTAATTTCTTAGAAAAGTTTGGAGCCTCTATCTTTTTTTGAGTTAATATTTAAATTCTCATTACTTATTTTAATAGCCTGTACTAAGTGAAAATATTACTTATGCAAGTAAACAAATCACTGTAGGCTTTCAAGACTTTTCTTTAATTTTAAATTTTGTCATCATTGAGGTTTAAATTTTTTACCTGCTCTCCACTTAAAATATATATTAACAGTTGGTGAAGTGAAATAGTTTTAAGTATGATGTATGATGCACCTGCAGATAAATGGAAATGGTGTGCACAAAGACACTTTACTATGGGAACTGTACTGGAAGATTTATGAAAGCATGTGAAATTGCACCTAAAATTGTGTTATTAGTGACTATAAGCAGCAATGCTAAATTTATTGTACTTGATGAATGAATGTATTTAGTCTAGTCACAGTTACTTTGTTAAATGTATAAATGTCTGTAGGGTTTTTTTTTTAAATGTGTTTGTAATTTGTCGTATTGTGGGGGTGTATTTGGACTGCAGGGGTTATTGTCAATGTGTGATTTGTGTTTTTATTTCATAGAATCATCTAATGTGTTATACCAATTTTTATACGTGATATTTACATAATTCTAATAACTGTATATTTGACTACCTATTAAAATGTTTTGCATTGGAAGAAAAAAAAAGAGTCCTGCTTACTCATCAGGAATTGTTCCTTTTTCTTTAGCACAACATGGGAGAAATGTGTCCCCTGGAGAGATGGCACTTAGGGATGCTGGTTGCCTTTCTACTTAGTAAGATTTCAGAATTGGTGCAACGTTAGCAAAAGTATTACGTCCCCCTCTGAACATCTGGAATTTAAGCTGAGAGAAAACATTATTCTCTTGCTCTGAGGAACTCTCAAGGCACTGATATAGTGCTGGATATTCCCTTCAACAGTGTCCATATATTCCACACTTTGCATTCAGGTATTATCTCTTTTTTTTTCATTTATCATTAATTTTGACCCAAATTTTTCCACCTTAGGAGGAACCTGGTGCACCTGTTGTGCTGGCCAAATTGCCAGTAGCCTAGTATGTGAGTCTCCTTCAGTCCACTCAGATGGAGGACAATTAAATAGGTACAAAATTAGTGGACTATTGCATCCATGAAGACCTCACCATCAAATTCAGCTTTAATCCTAATTTTGCTGAATGAGGATAAGGAGTTTGGCAAAGACAAGGGCTACCAAATACTCCATGTTCTCCTCTACACTCCCTGGATTCCCCTGCTTTTAGGACAGGCGGTGTGCTTAGTTATTGTCAATGGACTCTGAAGAGAAGGATATATGTCTCTTCTGGCATGAAGCAGTTAAGAATATTGCAACTCTGGCAACTCTTCCTCTGTCGTGGAAACCTCAGAAACCACGGCCGGGCGCGGTGGCTCACGCCTGTAATCCCAGCACTTTGGGAGGCCAAGGCAGGCGGATCACCTGAGGTCAGGAGATGGAGACCAGCCTGGCCAACATGGTGAAACCCCGTCTCTACTAAATATACAAAAATTAGCCGGGCGTGGTGGCAGGTGCCTGTAATCCCAGCTACTCTGGAGGTTGAGGCAAGAGAATTGCTTGAACCCTGGAGGTGGAGGTTGCTGTGAGCGGAGATCGAGCCATTGCACTCCAGCCTGGGGGATAAGAGCGAGACTTCGCCACTCCCCCACCATAAAAAAGAAACCACACATGTTGAAGTGCTGGAATAATAAGATCAGAGAGATCTGAGTCTCTGAGAACTAGATGGAGTTTCAAAAAATGAGAGATTTTCAAGAAAAGTTGGCCAGTGCGGTGGCTCATGCCTGTAATCCCAGCACTGTGGGAGGCTGAGGCAGGCAGATCACCTGAGGTCAGGAGTTTGAGACCAGCCTGGCCAACATGGGGAAAGCCTGTCTCTACTAAACATACAAAAATTAGCTAGGCATGGTGGTGAGAGGTGAAGCCAGCTGGACTTCTGTGTCGGGTGAGGACTTGAAGAACTTTTCTTCCACGTGGTTTGTAAAATGCACCAATCAATCAGTGCTCTGTAAAAACACACCAATGGTTGCTCTGTGGCTAGCTAGAGGTTTGTAAAATGCACCAATCAGTGCTCTGTGGCTAGCTGGACGTTTGTAAAATGGACCAATCAGCACTCTGTAAAATGGACCAATCAGCAGGACATGGGCAGGGACAAATAAGGCAATAAAAGTTGACCGCCCCAGCCAGCGGCAGCAACCGGTACCGGTTCTCTTTCATGGAGCTTTGTTTTTTTTACTCTTCACAATTAATCTTACTGCTGCTCATTTTTTGGGCCCTCGCCACCTTTAAGAGCTGTAACACTCACCTGAAGGTCTGCGGCTTCATTCTTGAAGTCAGCCAGACCATGAACCCACCAGAAGGAACAAATTCTGGACACGGTGCAGGCCTGCAATCCTAGCTAGTTGAGAAGCTGAGGTAGGAGAATTGCTTGAACCTAGGAGGTGGAGGTTGCAGTGAGCTGAGCTCACACCATTGCGCTCCACCCTGGGTGAGAAAGCAAGACTGCATTTAAAAAAAAAAAAAAAAAGTCTTAACAGACTTTTAATATCACCACATTCGTTCCAAGTATAGTTGAGTTTCTGTATTCATGGATTCTGAATCTGTGGATTCAACCAACCAAGAATTGAAAATATTTTTAAGAAATGGATGGTTGGGTCTGTAGTGAACCTGTACAGTACAACGTTTTTTCTTGTCATGATTCTATGAAAACATAGTATAAAGACTATTTACATATCATCTTTACTGTATGAAGTGTTATAAGTAATCTAGAGATGATTTAAAGTATGAGGAGAGAATGTGCATAGGTTATATGCAAATATACTATTTTATATCAGAGATTTGAGCATCTGTGGATTTTGGTATACTAGAGGGGTCCTCAGACCAATCCTCCATGGATGCTGAGAGACAACTGTATATTCTATAAAGAAGATTTAGTTGGCGATGGATAAACTAAACTAGGTCTCTCCTGGGGACCTGAGGAACCACTGTTGTCTTTCTGAGGACCAGAGGAACAAATAATATAAGGAGGTCTGCAGAGAGTGTGGACCTTAATTTCTAAATTCTTTTATCTTCAACACACAGCCTTATGGAGAGAGGAGAGAGAGCGAGAGAGAGAGGCTGAAAAGAACGTAGTGTGGTGTTCTAGTCTAACTACATGGAGAGTACATTTTTCCTAAGGCTGGAGAACCAAAGTAGGTACAGTGGACAAATTTGTGCATTTTCCTTTAGGTACAACATGGAATCTTACTGCTTTGTGTTTAGTATTTCCACATAAAGACAAGATTGGTCCAAGAAGAACACTAAACAAAAAGAAGCTAATGCACTCCTAATACTTAGAGCAGAGCTGGATTGCCTCCACAGGACTTTCACCAGGAGACCAGGGTCAGTGTCCACACTCCTCTTATCTTCATGGTCTCCCTAGAGAGAGGTAAAAAGAGAAACAGACATTTAATAAATCCTTGCTACATATCAGGACGTGTGTGTATCTCTTTATCTGTATTATCTCTTCTAACTCTTAAGACAATCTTGAGGGTAGAAATATTATTTTAATAAATCAAGAAAGCGAGGATAAGAGAGGTAATCTTTCAAAAGGCACACAGGAGTTGAGCATTGGTATGGTGGATTCCAGAGCCCAAGCTCTCAGACATCGTATTATGTTGACTCACTTAGTATAAACATATAGTACCCCAAATTTGCAAAATTTGCTTTCATTGAGGTGAAATTCACATAATAAGCAATTAATCATTGTAGAATATACAGTTTAGTGGTATTTGATGAATTCAGTGTTATATACCAATACATCTCTCTAGTCACAAGCTGTTTTATCATCCCGGAAGAACACCCCCTCACCCATTAAGTAACCACTACCCATTTTCCCCTTTCCCCATCCCTGGCAACCACAAATCTGCTTTCAGTCTCTAGTATTTGCTTATTCTGGATATGCCATATAAAAGGAATTACACAATATGTGACCTTTTATGTCTATCGTCTTTTACTTATTGTAATGTTTTCAGTGTTAATGAAAGTTGTAGCACGTATCAGTACTTCATTCCTCATGACTGAATATTTTACTGAATATATGTTCCGCAGTTCATTTCGCCATTTATCTGTTAATAGACACTTAGTTTTTTCCGCCTTTGGCTATTGTAAATTGTGATGCTATGAATATTCATGTACAGCTATTTGCGTACGTTTTCAATTCTTTTAGGTATACATTGAGAAGTAAAATTGCTGGGTTGTAATGTAATTCTATGTTTAACTTTTGAGGAACCACCAAACTGTCATAAATACTGCATCATTTTAGATTTCCACAGGCAGTGCTTGAGGATTTCTATGTCTCCATTTCTTGTGCAGCACTAGTTACTTTTCATGTTTAAAAATTATCGTTATAAACATCCTAGTGGTTGTGAAGTGTAGAGATGGGTCATGCTCTGTCACCCAGACTGGAGTATAATGGCGTGGTCATAGTTCACTGCAGCTTAGTTATGCAGCTTAGTCATAGTTCACTCCTGGGCTCAAGTAATCCTCTTGCCTCAGCTTCCTGAGTAGCTGGGCCCACAAATATGCACCACCATGCCTGGCTAATTTTAAAAAATTTTTTGTAGAGGTGGGTCTCACTATGTTTCTCAGGCTGGTCTTGAACTCCTGGACTCCAGCAGTCCTCCTGCCTTGGCCTCCCAAAGTGCTGGGGTTACAGGCATGTGCATTTTTTACTGACCAGCGATGGACATCTTTTCATGTGTATCTTGGCCATTTGTATAGCATTGGAGAAATCCCCATTAAAGACTTTTGCCTGGCCAAGCATGATGGCTCATGTCTGTAATCCCAGCACTTGGGGAGGCTGAGGTGGGAGGATTACCTGAGGTCAAGAGTTTGAGACCAGCCTGGCCAAAATGGTGAAACCCCATCTCTAATAAAAATACACAAAAATTATCTGGGCTTGGTTGTGGGCACCTGTAACCCCAACTATTTGGGAGGCTGAGGTAGGAGAATCACTGGAACCTGGGGAGGTGGAGGTTGCAGTGAGCCGGGATTGCACCATTGCACTCCAGCCTGGGCAACAAGAATGATATTACGTCTCAAAATAAAACAAAACAAACAAACAAACCAGACCTTTGCTCATCTTTAATTGAGTTATCTTTTGGTGTTTGAATTGTAAGCATTCTTTATATATTCTGTATTATGCTAAACCTCTATCAGATGTATGATTTTCAAATATTTTCTCTCTTGCTTTTTCACTATCAATGTTCTTTGATGCACAAATGTTTTTAATTTTGATAAGGTGCGATTTATCAACTTTCTTTTGCTGCTTGTTCTTTTATGTAAAAACCTAAGAATCTTTATGTGTCCCATAAGTCCAAGGTCTTGAATATTAACCCCTAGGTTTTGTCCTAGTGATGTTATAGTTTTAGCTCTTATACTTATGACATTGACCTATCCTGAGTAGACTTTTGTATATGGAGGTAGTTCAAGTTCAGCTTCATTCCTTTGGATGTTTACATCCAAATGCCCCAGCACCATTTCTTTTTTTTTTTGAAACGGAGTCTCACTCTGTCGCCCAGGCTGGAGTGCAGTGGTGCGATCTCGGCTCAATTTGCAACCTCCGCCTGCTGGGTTCACACCATTCTCCTGCCTCAGTCTCCCGAGTAGCTGTGGCTACAGGTTCCCACCACCACACCCAGCTAATTTTTTGTATTTTTAGTAGAGACGCAGTTTCACTGTGTTAGCCAGGATGGTCTTGATCTTCTGACCTCCTGATCCACCTGCCTCAGCCTCCCAAAGAGCTGGGATTACAGGTGTGAGCCACCGTGCTCGGCCACACCAGCACCATTTCTTGAAGAGATTATTTTCCTCCAAAGAATGACCTTGACAGGTTTGTTGAACTAAAGTGGTCATTGTAGATACTTGGGTTTATTTCTAGATTTTTACTTTTATTTTCATTGGTTGTATGTCTGTCTTTATGCCAGTATGACATTGTTTTGATTATTGCATCTAAGAAATTGGGAAGTGTGAGTCCTCCACCATTGTTTTGTTTTTCAATATTGTTTTGGCTACACATCTCCATATAAATGTGAAGGGCTGCTTTTCTATTTATGTAAAAGGGCCATTAATATCTTTATAACACTTGCATTGAATTTGTAGATTGCTTAGGGAATATTAATATCTTAACAATATTGTATTCCAATCGATGAACATGAGATGTCTTTCTATTATTTAGGTCTTCTTGAATTTCTTTTAGCAATGTTTTGTAGTTTTCAGTATATACTTTCACTTTCTTGGTTTCATTTCTTTTACTTTCCTGGTTAAATGTATTTCTAGGTATATAGGTATTCTTTTAGGTACTACTGTAAATAATATTGTTTTATTTACCTTTTCACATTGATTCATTGCTGGTATATTAGTGGATTGTTGAGTGTTGATCTTGTGCCGTGCAACTTTGTTGAATGTGTTTATTAGATCTATTAGTTTTGTGGTGTATACTCTGTGGTACTCTACAGATAGAATCATGTCATTTGCAAATAGAGATATTTTGCTTTTATTTCCAATTTGGATGATTTTTATTTTTCTTGCCTAATTACTATAGATAGGACTTCCAGTACAATGTTCCATAGCAGTGGTGAAAAGTGAGCACACTTGTTTCTGATATCAGGGGGAAAGATTTCAGTCTTTCTTCAAGGAGTGAAATGGCTAGTTGTGGATAAAGGGCATTTTCCATAAACATCCTTTATCATATTATGAAAGTTCTTTTTCTGTTTCTAGTTTGCTGAGTGTTTTTATCACATAAAGGTGTTGAATTTTGTTAAATGCTTTTTCTGCATTAATTAAGATCATTTTTCCTTCATTTTATTAATTTAGTATAATACATCAACTGATTTCTTTTTGTTTAATCACCCTTGCATGACTGGGATAAATCTCACTTGGTCATGATGTATAATCCTTTAATATGCTCCTGAATCGAGTTTTCAAGTTTTTCTTTTTTTAAGCAGTTTTGTATTAGTATTCTTCAGGAATATTTCTCTATAGTTTAGTGTTCTCTTGGCATTTTTGCCTGGTTTTGGTATCAGAGTAATGCTGACTTCATAGAATGTATTAGGAAGATTTTCCTTTTCTAGTTTTTGGAAGACTTAAGCAGAATTGGTATTAAATCTTCCTTAAATGTTTAATTGAATTCACCAGTGAAATCATTTGGTCCTGGACTTTTCTTTATTGGGAGATTTTCAGTTACTAACTAATTTCTGTACTTGTTGTAGGTTTTTAAGATTTTCTATTCCTTCTTGAATCAGTTTTGGTGACTTCTGTGTATCTAGAAATTTCTCTAGGTTACATAATTTGTTAGTGTACAATTTTTTGTAGTATTCTCTTGAAATCTCTTCTATTTATGTAATGTCAGCAGAAACTAGTCCCCACCGTCATTTCTGATTTTAGTTACTTGTGACTTTTCTTTATTTTTTCTTTGTCAGTCTAGCCTGAGATTTGCCAGTTTTGTTTCTATTTCAAAGCACCAACTTTTTGGTTCTTCTTATAATTTTCTTATTGTTCATTTTGTTTATCTCTGACATAATTCTTATTTTTTCCTTATGCTAACTATGGGCCTAATTTACTTTTCTTTTTTTTAAGTTCCTTAAAGTGTAAAGTTAGGTTTTTGGTTTGAGATTTTTTTTTTGAGATGGAGTCTCACTTCGTCACCAGGCTGGAGTGCAGTGGTGTAATAATCTTGGCTCACTGCAACCTCTGCCTCCCGGGTTCAAGCAGTTGTCTGCCTCAGCCTCTTGAGTAGCTGGGATAGTAATTGTTTTCTACAAGTTTTAATCACACAAGAAACAAAAACGGAAAAATATTAGCTTTTATATTTACCTATGTATTATATAGTTACCTTTACCAGTGATCTTTATTTCTTTATATAGCTTTGAGTTACTATCTGATATCTTTTGTTTCATTCTGAAAAACTCTCTTCAGCATTTCTTATAGAGTAAGGGTATCTTCTAGCAACAAACTCCCTTAGCTCTTGTTTATCTGAGAATGTCTTAATTTCTCCTTCATTTTTAAAGTTACCAAGCATAGAATTCTTGTTAGGCAGTGTTTTTTTGTTTGTTTGTTTGAGCACATCATCCTACTACCTTCTTGCCTGTGTGGTTTCTGATGAGAAATCAGCTGTTAATCTTATTGGAAATCTCTTTTGTATAGCAAGTTAATTCTCTCCTTCTGCTTTCAAGATTCTTTTTTTGGCTTTGGCTTGTGACAGTTTGATTATACTGTGTCTTGGTGTGAATATCTGAATTTATCCTGCTTAGATTTCACTTAGCTTCCTGTATGTGTAGATTCATGTCTTTCTTCAAATTTTGGAAGTTTTCAGCCATTATTTTTTACATACATTTGTCTCAATGTTTGTCTTTCTTCTCCTTCTGGAATGTCCATAATCCATAATAAGCTGGTGTGCCTGATGGTGTCTCATATGTTTCTTAGACTCTGATTATTTTTCTTTATTCTCTGTTCTTTCTTTTCCACAGACTGAATCATTTCAGTTGCCCTGTCTTTGAGTTCACTGATTCTTTCTTCTATCTGCTGAAATAGACCATTAAACTCCACTTGTGCATTTTTTAATTTCAGCTATTATATCGCAAAAGCTTCAGGATTTCTATTTGGTCCTTTTAAACTAATGTCCATTCCTTTGTTGATATTCCCTAGTTGTTAATTCATGGTTCTACTCCCCCCACTTTTAGTTATTTTCTGTGTTTTTTTTTAAGGTCTTTAAGCATATTTAAGACATTTAATTTAAAGTCTGTCTAATGAGCCCAATGTCTGGGTATCCTCAGGAATAGTTTGTGTCAATTTCTTCTGTTTATTTCTCTGTGAATGGGTCATGATTTCCTTTTCCTTTGTATACTTTAGAATTATTTGTTGAAAACTAGACACTGTAATTTATAATGTTCAAATTCTGGATGCCATATTTTTTTTCTCCAGAAGTTGTCATTGTTACTCATTGAGAGCTCCTGTCATCTTTAATAACTTGCAAGGCAATTTTTACAACGATTATATTCATGCTTATGTGTGGTTACTGTAGTCTTTGTCCCATCTTCTCCAAGGCCAGCCGATGACTTGACAGAGATTTCTTAAGTGCTTGATCCAATAAGAAAATTTTAAAAATATGTCTCGTCTCTTTAAATTTTTTCAATAGAGGCCAGGGATTCTGATTCAGCCTAAGGCAGTTAAAATGACAGTCAGCCTCCACGCTGGTTCTCCACTGAACAGGCAGATCAAAACATGCAACTCCAATTTTTAGAGGATAACGTTCTTACTTCCTGTCCTGGCACCTACCAGCTTCAATAGGAATATTGTCTGCCATCCCCACAGTTCCCTGAAATTGGGCTAGAGGTTGTGGAATAGTAGCTTTTATTCAAAATGCCAAAATTCACTGAAATTTACCAATATATTTCTTCTTCATACGCTTTCTTGGATACTCAAGGGTTCAAATAGACTCTAGAGTTGCAAAATAGTTGATTCTGATAGTTCTTTACCAATTGAATAGCTATTTTGGTAAAGTCTGATGCCTGCAGCTTCCAACTTTGAGCATGACATCACTCAAATATATGCCAAGTTTTCATGCAAGGATAACCACAGAAATAGAGAAGGCTAAGACCCTCCTAAATGGAAGCCCTTCTTACATTTAAGGATATTGGGAAAAAAAAGAATAGCTAAGAGACAGAATCCCACTAGAAATGCGAACCACAGCCTTGACAGTATAAATTCCTATAGCAGAAATTCTTCAAGGTGTGTTTTAATGACTGGGGGAAGGGAGGAGTTCCAAGTGTCTCCTAGCTGGTAAGTCTGGTGCTTGGTAAGGGAACTCTGATATGGATGTAGTCATATAGAAGACTTTTCTCTGGTTCTCGGATGGGTGTGGTGGCTCACGCCCATAATTCCAGCACTTAGGGAAGCCGAGGCGGAGGGATCACCTGAGGTCAGGAGTTCAAGACCAGCCTGGCCAACATGGTGAAACCACGTCTCTACTAAAAATACAAAAAAAATTTAGCTGGGCGTGGTGGTGGGGACCTGTAATCCCAGCTACTCAGGAGGCTGAGGCAGGAGAATTGCTTGAACCTGGGAGGCAGAGGTTGCAGTGAGCCAAGATCGTGCCATTGCACTCCAGCCTGGGTGGCAGAGCTAGACTCCATCTAAAAAAAAAAAAATTTTTTTTAAAAGGGACATGGATGAAGCTGGAAGCCATCATTCTTAGCAAACTAACACAGAAACAGAAAACCAAATACCCCGTGTTCTTACTCATAAGTGGGAGTTGAACAGTGAGAACACATGGACACAGAGAGGGGAACATCACACACCGGGGCATGTCAGGGGGTGGGGGCCAAGGGGAGGGGGAGCATTAGGACCTAATGCATGCGGGGCTTAAAACCTAGATGATGGGTTGGTAGGTGCAGCAAACCACCATGGCACATGTATAACTATGTAACAGACCTGCACGTTCTGCACATGTATCCCAGAACTTACAGTAGGATGAATAAATAAATAAAAATAAAATGAAAAAATAAAAAAGAAGACTTTACTCTGGTTTTTTAAGTCTTCGAGGGTACCAAACAAGGAACTATGGCAGAGGCTCAGATGATGTAGGAGTAATAATCTGCATCCGTGGCGTATCAGCTATGCTCCCACACTATTTCAGGCACCATATATTCAACATCTTAGATGCTCATGACAGCCAAATGAAATTGGCTTCATTTCCCTTCTGCAGTCAGCAAAATTCCAAGGTAGCCACCCAAATTCCTGCCTTCTGGTTTATGTGCTCTGTATAATCTTCTCCTTTTGAATGTAAATGTGATTAGTAAATATGAAATATCACTCCTGTGATTAGATTATGTCATATGGTACAAAAGATTTTACAGATGTAATTAAGGTTCTAATGAGTTGACTTCAAGTTAAAATTTCAAATTAAAGGAAGATAATTCTTGGTGGGCCTGACCTAATCAGGCAAACCCGTAAAAGAGACAAGATTCAGCAGCAAACAGTATCTTGCTGGCTTTGAAGAAGCAAGTGATCAGATTGTGAGAGGAGTGGCAAGGCCCTAAGTGTGTGTGGCCTCTAGGAGTTAGAGAGTTTGCCAACCAACAGCTAGCAAGAAGACAGTCATACTGTCGCACACACACACACACACTCACACACACACCATAACTCCTTTCAACAACAGTACTCTTGGAAGAGGACCTGAAACTTCAAATGAAATCCTAGGCCTGGCATGGTGGCTCATTCCTATAATCCCACCACTTGGGAGGCCGAGGTAGGTGGATCACCTGAGGTCAGGAATGCGAGACCAGCCTGGCCAATGTGGCGAAACCCTGTCTCTACTAAAAGTACAAAAAAAAAAAAAAAAAAAAAGCCGGGCATGGTAGTGCATGCCTGTAGTCCCAGCTACTTGGGAGGCTAAGGCAGGAGAATTGCTTGAACCTGAGAGGTGGAGGTTGCCATGAGCCGGGATCGTGCCACTGCACTTTAGCCTGGGTGACAGAGCAAGACTCCGTTTCAAAAAAGAAAAAAAGAAATCATAGCCTCAGCCATCTCTTTGATTTCTACCTGATGAGATATTGAGAAGAGATTTCAGCTAACCAGTACCCAAACTCCTGAGACATGGAAAAATGTGAGACAATAAATGTGTAGTTTTAAGCTCCTAAATCTGTAGTAATTCATTACACAAGGATAGGATACTGGTATACTCCTTTTTTTTTTTTTTTTTTTGTGGTAAAAAACCCACTCTATCATGTTAACAGAGCAGGATAAGACGGGCTTATTTGTTGAAACTAGAAAGCAAGGAGGTGGCCTAGTTGTAGAAACCTGGGTACAAGGTTAAAGCAAGACCAATAATAAGGAATAACTGGAAGCTGAACTAATAATTTTATTAGGGCTTTTAAAATGTGTCCTTTATGTCTTCCCTTGAGAAATGTCTATGTAAATGTTACACAGGTATACATGTGCCATGGTGGTTTGCTGCACCTATCAACCTAGGTTTTAAGCCCTGCATGCATTAGATATTTGTCCTAATGCTCTCCCTCTCCTTGGCCCCCACCCACTGACATGCCCCAGTATGTGATGTTCCCCTCTCTGTGCCCATGTGTTCTCACTGTTCAACTCCCACTTATGAGTGAGAACATGGGGTATTTGGTTTTCTGTTTCTGTGTTAGTTTGCTGAGAATGATGGCTTCCAGCTTGAGGTCTTTTGCCCATTTTTTTTAAAAAAACTTTTAGGTTCAGGGGTATATGTGCAGGTCTATTCTATAGGTAAACTTGTGTCATGGGGATTTGTTGTACAGATTATTTTGTCACTCAAATATTAAGCCTAATACCCAATAGTTATTTTTCTGATCTTCTCTCTCCTTCCCTCTCCACCCTCCAATAGGCCCCAGTGTCTGTTCTTCCCCTCCTCCTGTCCATATGTTCTCATCATTTAGCTCCCACCTGTAAATGCAACAGCCAGTATTTAGTTTTCTGTTCTTGTGTTAGTTTGCTAAGAATAATGGGCTCCACCTCCATCCATGTTCCTGCAAAAGACATGATCTTGTGTTTTTTAATGGCTGCATAGTATTCCATGGTGTATATGTACCACAGTTCCTTCATCTAATCAGCCATTGATGTTGCTGATTTTAAAATAAGATTATTTGTGTTTTTTTTCTTGGTATTGAGTTGTTTAGCTTCCTTATATATTCTGAATATTAACCCCTTGTCAGATGTATAGTTTGTAAATATTTTCTCACATTCTGTAGGTTATCTTCACTCTGTTAGTAGTTTCCTTTGCTGTGCAAAATCCTTTTAGTTTGATGTAATCCCATTTGTCTATTTTTGCTTTCGTGGCCAGTGCTTTTGAGGTCTTATTTAAAGACCAACAGATATATTAAAAAAGTGCTCAATGCCGTTAATAATCAGGGAAATACAAATCAGAACCAAAATGAGATACCTCCTCACTCTAGTTAGAATGACTAGTATTAAAAAGATAAACAATGAAAAGTGTTGCTAAGCACGTGGTGAAAAGGGAACACTTGCATATTATTGGTGGGATTATAAACGAATACAGTCATTATGAGAAACAGTGTAGAGATTGAGACCATCCTGGCCAACATGCTGAAACCCCATCTCTACTAAAAATACAAAAAATAGGTGGGCGTGGTGGTGGGCGCCTGTAGTCCCAGCTACTTGGGAGGCTGAGGCAGGAGAATTGCTTGAACCCAGGAGGCAGAGGTTGCAGTGAGCTGAGATCTTTCCACTGCACTCCAGCCTGGGAGACAGAACAAGACAGAGTGAGACACCATCTCAAAAAAAGAAAAAGAAAAAGAAAAACAGTATGGCAGCTCCTCAAAAAATTAAAAATAGAACTACCATATGATCCAGCAATTCCACTACTAGGTATGTATCAAAAGGAAATAAAATCAGTATATTAAAGAGATATCTACACTCCCATGTTTATTGCAGTACTATTTACAATAGCCAAGATAGAGAATCAGCCTAAGTGTCCATCCACAGATAAATTGATAATGTGGTATATATATGCAATGGAATACTATTCAGCCATAAGAAAGAATAAAACCTTGCCATCTGTGACAATATGGATGAAGCTGGAGGAGATAATGTTACGTGAAGTAAGGCAGACACAGAAAGACAAATACCATATGGTCTCACTTATATGTAGAATCCTCCCAAAAAGAAAACGTTGATGTCATAGAAGCAGAGAGTATACAGTGGCTACTAGAGATTGGAGAGGGGAAAAGGATGCCAAGGAGAAATGGAGAGGCTGGTGAATAGGTACAAAGTTACAATTTGATAGGATGAGTAAATTCTGGTGTCCTATTGCACCAGAGGGTAACTATGGTTAACAGTAAAATATTGTATATTACAAAATAGAAGAGAGGCTTTGGATATTCTCATCACAAATAAATGGTACATATTTGAGGTATCTGTATACTAACTACCCTGATTTCATCATTATACAACATGGATGTATACCAAAACATCAAGTTGTACTCCATAAATATGTAAACTTACAATATGTCAAATAAAAAATATGAAAACAGGCTGGGTGCAGTGGCTGATGCCTGTAATCCCAGCACCTTGGGAGGCCGAGGCGGGTGTATCATGAGGTCAGGAGATCGACACCATCCTGGCTAACACAGTGAAACCCCGTCTCTACTTAAAATGCAAAAAATTAGCGAGGCATGGTGGCACACACCTGTAGTCCCAGCTACTCGGGAGGCTGAGGCAGAAGAATTGCTTGAACCTGGGAGGCAGAGGTTGCAGTGAGCCGAGATCGCGCCACTGCACTCCAGCCTGGGCAACAGAGCAAGACTCTGCCTCAAAAAATAAACAATAAATAAATAAATAAAAAATAAAAAATATGAAATCAAATGTGCCCTTTTCAATCATCTCCAATTTTTAGATGAGGCCACTACAGCCCTTTTTTTCTGAAATTAGATTAACGGTAGTCTTATTGAAGTAAAAGTGGGAACAAAGTCACCAGGAGAAAATGAAAATATTTTCTGTCATTGTTACTGGTATTTTATATAAGTGGCAACAATTTCCTGAAGAGCTGTAAATACTGTTCTCACATGGATAGAAGCATCTCTTTCCTAGCAACAGAAAACCTAAATTAGATAGGAAGGTAAAGTACAGAAAGTAGAAAAAGCTTCAGGAATGTGCTTTCCAGCAATACACTTTCCACCAGAAGACAATACTATATTATTGCCCATATACTGTTGGTTTTAGTCTGTCTCTTGTGGTCTGTAAGGGTTATGTTTTATTAAAATTTTTTTCTTTCTCTGTGATTAAATAGTTTTAATGGATGGTATGAAATTAGAGTAGAAAGGGAATGTTGTTTGTCTTTGTCATAAGGTTAGTGCTGGCATGTTTGGGGATGGACTATCATCTTAAAGGAAGGCAAGGCATGGCCAGGCGTGGTGGCTCACGCCTGTAATCCCAGCACTTTGGGAGGCCGAGGTGGGCAGATCGTGAGGTCAGGAGATCAAGACCATCCTGGCTAACACGGTGAAACCCCATCTCTACTAAAAATACAAAAAATTAGCCAGGCGTGGTGGCGGGCGCCTGTAGTCCTGACTACTTGGGAGGCTGAGGCAGGAGAATGATATGAACCTGGGAGGCAGAGCTTGCAGTGAGCGGAGATCACACCACTGCACTCCAACCTCGGCAACAGAACGAGACTCCGTCTCAAAAAAAAAAAAAAAAAAAGGGAAGGCAAGGCATGCAGCCAGTCAGGCGACCTTCATCCAAGAGCTCTCTTAAGGTGGCATTTCCTAAAATCATTTCTTTTTTCAGTTTCTAAGAGCTGATCAGACATCACATGAAAGTATGAAGAAGGTATAAATCAGGTACAAATACTTCACTAATTTCTAAAAGAGGTTTTTCTTTCTTATGACTGGAATAATTTTTCACCTATCTATGGTATGGTATGTCTCTCTGCATCAAAATATGATTGTCCTATTTTATGATGGGAATTCCTACTTTAAACCTTCACAATTCAAAACTTGGGTAACCCAAGAGTAACTTTTACATAGAAGCAAATGCAAGTTAAGTTTAATACTTTTTACAGAGCTTAAAAATCTACTGAAAACAAAGCATAAGAGAATATTGCTATGATGTTTATTTTGCAGCTATGCCATGAGAAGGTTTTCATTATCTTTGGCTGATGTACAGTGATCTTTGCCAACACGAAGGTGCTGCAGGTGTGCTTCTTTAATGCTGTTTCTTTATTTTCAGAACATTGTCTCTAACATTAACCGACACGTATATGGTCCTTTTTTTTTTTTTTTCTTTTGAGACAGAATCTCACTTTGTCTCCCAGGCTGGAGTATAGTGGTGTGATCGCAGCTCACTGCAACCTACATCTCCCAGGTCCAAGGGATTCCACTGCCTCAGCCTCTTGAGTAGCTGATATTACAGGCGCAGACCACCAACCCCAGCTAATTTTTGTATTTTTAGTGGAGAAGGGGTTTTGCCATGTTGGCCAGGCTAGTCTCGAACTTCTGACCTCAGGTGATCCATCTGCCTCGATATCCCAAAGTTCTGGGATTACAGGCATGAGCCACCGCACCCAGTCATATGTTCCTTTTTAAAAAATTGTTTTATCTTACTAAGAATCATTGATTTGGAAGTCTGGTTTTGTATTCTTATACTGCCACTACCACTTAATGAATATTTGGATAATATTATCATAGTACATAGAATTATTTTAAATTGCATTTGTAATGAACATTAAAATAAAAGCATCATAATCCCTAAATCACTGTAAGAAAGTGCTGATGTCTTTAAAAAGCACCATGGATCTGATAATATTGAAAAGGAGCAGGAAGCCTTTCTGCTTCTAACTAAGGTAGTTCCATCTACAGCAAAGACACAGGCAAGGCAAGGTTTAAAATCACCCCTTTTTCTTTAAGAATTAAATTTTTGTAAGATTTAATATCTTTCAGCATTTGCACATAAATTTCAATTTTATTTTAAAAATTGCACTACTTGGCTGGGCGTGGTTGCTCATGCCTGTAATCCCAGCACTTTGGGAGGCTGAAGTGGATGGATCACCTGAGGTTAGGAAGTTGAGACCAGCCTGGCCAACATGGCAAAACCCCATCTCTACTAAAAGTGCAAACATTAGCCAGGCGAGGTGGTGGGCGCCTGTAATCCCAGCTACTCAGGAGGCTGAGGCAGGTGAATAGCTTGAACTTGGAAGGCGGAGGTTGCAGTGAGCCAAGATTGTGCCACTGCACTCCAGCCTGGGTGATCAAGAGTGAGACTCAAAAAAAAAAAAAGCACTACTTCTGATTGCATAATTTGTTTTCATAAAATACAATGGTATACACACTGTACTATTTCTTGGTTACTCAGAATATTGCTCGGTGATTATATAATTAGAGAAAAAACAGTCAATACATTTGAGAGCTATTTCACCAAGCTATGAAATGATGCCAAATGAACTATTTTTGTTCCACAACAGAAGACTCCTCTTCATGTGCTACAAATTTTTAATCTCAAGGTCAATCTACATCTTCTTGGAACAGTTTCGAGTGAACATTGCCAACACCCAGTTTTTGGATGCTCTTTTCTATTCAATAGTGTGATAATTCTCTTTTTCATATTGTTTTTCCCCATAGGTAAAATAGTGTAGATTGTATTTCTACTGCATACATTATAGTCACTTGCCAGGGATGCCACCATGATTAAGATCTGAGGTTCTCCCAACACTTTGGTAGCACATTTACAGCCAACACAGCCTAGAGGTGAGAGCAAAGACTTTGGTGTTTGCCAGCCTAGGTTTGAATATGGCCTGCTTACCAGCTGTGGAATTTGGCCAAGTTAATTATTTTTTTCTAAACCTCATTTTGCTTTGTGAAATTTAATTAATAAAATTTACCTCATAAGATTACTATGAGGGCCGGGCATGGTGGCTCATGCCTGTAATCCCAGCACTTTGGGAGGCTGAGGCAGGTGGATCATGAGGTCAGGAGATCAAGACCATCCTGGCCAACATGGTGAAACTCCGTCTCTACTAAAAAAAAAAAAAAAAAAAAATTAGCTGGGTGTGGTGGCACATGCCTGTAATCCCAGCTACTTGGGAGGCTGAGGCTGGACAATGGCTTGAATCCAGGAGGTGGGGGTTGCGGTGAGCCGAGATCATGCCATTGCACTCCAGCCTGGTGCCTGAGCAAGACTCCGTCTCAAAAAAAAAAAAAAAAAAAAAAAAGATCACTATGAGGACTGAATGTGATGAGATAATGTGTAAAATGTTGAGTTTTATGGCCACTACCTAACAGGTGGTTAAGAAATGGTGGCTAGTATTACTGTAGGTATTCAATGGCTTTTTCTCATTGATTCTGTGTAAATTTTAGTAGCTTAACTCCTATTGAAAAACTTTATTTTCCTTACCTGTAAATCTTACTGGGTACTTTTCTATTTCTCACCTTTACTTGAATCCCAAACGAGCTATGTTTTTATTTAGAAGAGGGAAGAGCTCTTTGTCGGCAGAGTTAAAATTGCACTTTATTTTATCCGCGCCAGTGTAGGCCTGGCATTGAAACTAGCAGCACTTCAGGCTGGAATATCCATGGGTAATGACACTCTGCCCCCGGTGACCTTGGCTACGCTCCCTGCCACGTGTGTGGGGAAAAGAAAGAGAGATCAGACTGTTACTGTGTCTATGTAGAGAGAAGTAGACATAAGAGACTCCATTTTGTTCTGTACTAAGACAAATTCTTCTGCCTTGAGATGCTGTTAATCTGTAACCCTACCGCCAATGCTGTGCTCCCTGAAACATGTGCTGTGTCAACTCAGGGTTAAATGGATTAAGGGCTGTGCAGGATGTGCTTTGTTAAACAGATGCTTGAAGGCAGCATGCTCCTTAAGAGTCATCACCACTCCCTAATCTCAAGTACCCAGAGACACAAACACTGCGGAAGCCCGCAGGGACCTCTGCCTAGGAAAGCCAGGTATTGTCTAAGGTTTCTCCCCATGTGATAGTCTGAAATATGGCCTCGTGGGAAGGGAAAGACCTGACCATCCCCCAGCTCGACACCCATAAACGGTCTGTGCTGAGGAGGATTAATAGAAGAGGAAGGAAGGCCTCTTTGCAGTTGAGATAAGAGGAAGGCATCTGTCTCCTGCTCGTCCCTGGGCAATGGAATGTCTCGGTGTAAAGCCCAATTGTATATTCCATCTACTGAGATAGGGGAAAACCGCTTAGGGCTGGAGGTGGGATATGCTGGCAGCAATACTGCTCTTTAAGGCATTGAGATGTTTATGTATATGCACATCAAAAGCACAGCACTTTTTTCTTTACCTTGTTTATGAGGCAGAGACATTTGTTCACATGTTTTCCTGCTGACCCTCTCCCCACTATTCCCCTATTGTCCTGCCACATTCCCCTTTCCGAGAAACGCCTGATAACGATCAATAAATACTAAGGGAACTCAAAGACTGGTGCTGGCGCGGGTCCTCTGTATGCTGAGCGCCAGTTCCCCGGGTCCACTTTTCTTTCTCTATACTTTGTCTCCGTGTCTCTTTCTTTTCTCAAGTCTCGTTCCACCTGATGAGAAACGCCCACAAGTGTGGAGGGGCAGGCCACCCCTTCACCCTTCACACGTGAACTTTCCTGGCACCTTCAGGAGAGTCGCTTCCCAATTCGAAGTAATGGCAGCTTGCCTAAGACAAGACCTCAGAGGAAAAGAAGTAAGAAAATTGTGTCAGCTGTTTTTCTTTTTCAACATTTTTTTCTGAGGGAGAGTTAAGACTATCACTGCGTCTCTTGGAGGATGCACTGTGGCATAGGGATTGAACGTAGGCTTTGGCGTGGAACAGCAGAATAGATTTGAATCCCGACTCCATTCCACAATAACTGTGCAGCTTCAGTGATACGCTTAACCTCGTTGAATCTATTGTCACTTTTATAAAAAAAAAAGTATGATTATTTCTATTTCCCTGGGTTAGTATGAAAAACAAAATGAAATATGCCACAGTGCTCATGTGAGCTAATTTCTCCATTATTTCCCTACTCTCACTATAATATGTATTAAAACAAAACAAAACAAAACACTAGAATGCTTCTTCACTAACGTTGTGCCTGCTGCTACTTTGATGGTCATGGAATGCTGTTTCCCCAGCTTGTTGGATGTCACTAATACTGACTGAGCTGTAGACTGGCGTCCTTCCACATTTGGCTCAGCCCCAAGCACAAATTCATAACACAGTATTTACCCAACAATGTCCTTCCCAGATTCAGTGTTTTATAGCCTATCATCTCACAGTCTTCAAGCTGCCAAGGGCATCTTATCACTCAGAGCAGAACTCAAGTAAGTGACTTATGCCAGGAATTTTCTATAATAGGGGAAAAGATATAAGTCAAAAGGTTGCATTCTAACTGTGTTAGTACGAAGTCTTGACACATTTTCTTCCAAGCATTCATAGGCATGGGGTGAAAATAAAGAGTTTTCTTGGATTGAAAATTGAAACAAAATGACAATCTTATTTTTAAATTGTCATTTCCTGTCATTTTATCAAGTGCAGTAAGAAGTAAATTCTTTCGTATCTCTAGTAGTCATATAGCAAGCAGCTCTATGGGCCAGAGTGCTCTTTATGAAAATATGTGATGTTAGGACATTTAAAATCCATTTTACCATGCAGGAAGCTTTGCACAATAGATTGCTTGTCATTTTTGAACAGGAAAGTGTTGATCTTTCAGCCACCTTTTATACCTATGCTGTTTATTTCAGACACCTTCACTCACTGTCAGTATCTTTGGACAATTTGCAATTTTCTCATCTACACAAATTTGAGAAATTATGATAGGGAAGATACAATTTTTGATGCATTTCCCATTTACCATCTGTCAATGAGTATTCTTTTTTATCACTATTTTACGTAATTTCAGATATGGGGAAATTTCAAGAATAGTACAAGGAACACATACACACACACATATATATATACACTTAGTAACAATTATTTATAGGTCTTTATTTTATATGTATTTCTCTACATATACATAATAGATAATATACATAATATATAGAGTTATATAATATACAGTTAACTATTTATTTTTCCTAAACCACTTCTTAGTCAATTGAAGATACTGTGCTCCTTTTATCATTGAAATATTTAGCACACATTTCCTAAGAACAAAGGTACATCTTATATAATCAAAAAACACTTATAAAAATCAGGACATTTAATTGACAGTCTATTTTCAAATTTCATCAGCTGTTCAATGTCCTCTGTAGCTATTTTGTTCCCGGTCCAGAGTTAAGCATTGCATTAAGTCACCTTCAATTGCATTCAGTCTCCTTTAACTCAGACAGTTCCTCAGACATTTTTTTTCTTTCTTGACCTTGACACTTTTCACAAATTCAGGTCTTTTGATTCTTTTCACAGGAATGCCATAGAAATTATTCTCTGTTCTTCTCAGTATATCGTCAAGAAATGTGTAATGTCACTTTGTACTAATGTGGCTGATGTTAAGTTTGATTTTTTGATTAAGGTATGGTCAATAAAGTCTCTCCATTGGAAAGTTACGGTTTTTCCTCTTGTAATAGATAAGTAAGTTATTAGGAGACACTTTAAGACTATGTAAATACCCTGTTCCACATCAAACTTTATCCACTGCTGTTAGCACCCGCTGATGATTTTTCTAACGCCATTATTGTGCATTTATTTGTTGGCATTACCTTCTGTTTATTTACTTAGTCATTTTCTTTTTATAATAGACGGGAACATTTTTATTTGAATAATGGTAAAAATGATCACGTTGCAAAGATGAAAGTAGGCTGAAATCTTTTTTTAAAAAAATTTATAAGCAATAGAAATTTATTGCTCACAGTTCTGGAGGCTGGAAAGTTCAATATTAAGGTGCTAGTAAGACCTACTTAGTTATTTTATTACATCAGAATGGGATCATAAATACTTATTTAAAGAGTTATAATCTATTACAATTATTATTTACTTATTTTAGATTTGACCAATGTGAGCCCTTCAAGCTGGTGCCTGTGCCCTTTTGATATATGTCTATCATACTTTTGACTTCTCTATTACTTTATAACACAAGAAGATCTTCCAGACTCATTCAGTACTTTTCCTGTGCTATTCTTTGTATTAACTTCTGGCTCCTCATTGTAGAGAATTTTCTCATGTCATGGAGAATCTTTTACTAAGGTACTAGTACTAGTGTGACTAGTGTGTTCATTGCTTTCAAAGAGCCGTTGCTTCTAGGTACTCTCAACATACAGAGCTCAGAAATACAACTAAATCTATTATTCTGTCTATATCTATCTAATCTATCATCTATCTATCTAGTTGATTTGTCTATCATTATCTATCTTTCATTTACCTATTATAAAGTATGTATTCAGGCTTATGTCCTCAGTTCCAAATCAACACCATAGGTTGCATTTTCACCTTTCCCCCTCTCCATCAGTAACCAACCTGACTCCCAATTTCCCCAATATACGCATTCATTTACTCAATCATCAAGTACACAGAAAGAAATTTCAGAATTGCCATACCAGAAAGATAAACTACTGTGTAAAGGTCAATGTTGTGTAGAATTCTTTTATTCTGAACTAAAATTTTCATACAGTGAAACTTAACAGATCTAAAAGTTGCAATTAAGAGTTTTGACAAGTACATATACTTCTGTAACCCACATTCCTATCTTTATTTGTTAACTTTTATTTTAAGTTCAGGGGTACATGTGTAGGTTTGTTATACAGGTGAACTTATGTCACAGGGGTTGTTGTACAGAGTGTTTCATCACCCTGGTCTTAAGCCTAGCACCCACTAGTTATTTGTCCTGAACCTCTCCCTCCTCCCACCCTCTGCCCTCTGATAGGCCCCAGTATCTGTTGTTCCCCTCTATGTGTCCATGAGTTCTCATCATTTAGCTCCTGCTTATAAGTGAGAACATGTGGTATGTGGTTTTCTGTTCCTGTGTTAGCTTGCTAAGGATAATGGCCTCCAGCTCCATCCATGTTCCTACAAAGGATATAATCTCGTTCTTTTTTATGGCTGCATAGTATTGATTTATATTTTCCACATTTTCTTTATTCATTCTACCACGGATGGGCATTTGGGTTGATTCTATGTCTTTGCTATTATGAATAGTGCTGCAGTGAACATATGCATGCATGTGTCTTTATGGTAGAACAATTTGTATTCTTTTGAATATACACAATAGTAGGATTGCTCAGTTGAATGGTAGTTCTCTTGTTAGTTACTTGAGGAGTCACCACACTGCTTCCCACAATAGTTGAACTAATTACACTCCCACCAGTAGTGTATAAGTCTTCCCTTTCTCTGCAACCTCACCAGCATCTGTTATTCTTTGACTTTTTAATAATAGTCATTCTGACTGGTGTGAGATGGTATCTTATTGTGGTTTTGATTTGCATTTCTCTAATAGTTAGTGATGATGAGCTTTTTTCATATGCTTTTTGGCCACTTGTATATCATCTTTTGAAAAGTGTTTGTTCATGTCCTTTGTCCACTTTTTAATGGGGTTGTTTGTTTATTATCTTAACCAAGATATAGAAATTTTCTATCATTACAGGATGTTTCTCGAGCCTCTCCCCAGTTAATTCCTTCTCTCAAGAGCAAAACACAATTTCTGGTTTTTTTAACCATAGTTTTTTATAACCTAGAATTTCAGGTAGCTAGCATCATATTTGTGTGTGTAGCTTGTTAAATCTATATTGTTGCATGTAGCAATAGTATTTCTTCTTTGGTAATATTCCATTCTAGAAATGTACAACAATTTTGGCCAGGCGCGATGGCTCATGCCTGTAATCCCAGCACTTTGGGAGGTCAAGGCAGGTGGATCACCTGAGGTCAGGAGTTCAAGACCAGCCTGGCCAACATGGTGAAACCTCGTCTCTACTAAAAATACAAAAATTAGGAGGCCGGGCACAGTGGCTCATGCCTGTAATCCCAACATTTTGGGAGGCTGAGGCAGGCGGATCACCTGAGGTTGGGAGTTCAAGACCAGCCTGACCAACATGGAGAAACCCCATCTCTACTAAAAATACAAAATTAGTCGGGCGTGTTGGCGCATGCCTGTAGTCCCAGCTACTAGGGACGCTGAGACAGGAGAATCACTTGAACCCAGGAGGTGGAGGTTGCGGTGAGCCGAGATTGCGGTGAGCCGAGATTGCGCCGTTGCACTCCAGCCTGGGCAACAAGAGCAAAACTCCGTCTAAAAATAAATAAGTAAATAAAAAATACAAAAATTAGCCAAGTGTGGTGGCAGGCACATGTAATCCCAGCTACTTGGGCGGCTGAGGCAAGAGAATCGCTTGAACCTGGGAGGCGTTTGTTGCAGTGAGCTGAGATTGCGCCATTGCACTCCAGCCTGGGGTACAAGAGCGACACTTAGTCTCAAAAAAAAAAAAAAAAAAAAAATAGAAATGTACTACAACTTTAAAATCTGATCTCTGGTTAATGAACATTTTAGTTGTTTGAGACATAATAAATAAAGTTGCTATAAATCTTGTTGTTCAAGCTTTGTTAACATACTTTTTTTTTGCGAAATATTTCGGTGTGGAGTTGTCGGGCCAGAGTATAGGTAAAGGTTTATTTTATAAGACACTGCCACAAATGTTTTCAAAGTGGCTGTACTATTTTCATATAACAACTATTAATGTATGAGATTGCTGTTTGCTCTACATACAGCCCCTGTTGTTTTTTTTTCAATTTTCTACATTCTGGTAGCATAGTGGTATATCGTGCTTTTATATGCATTTTTCAAATGATGAATAATGTTGACTATCTTTTCATATGCGTTTTGGCTATTTGTATGTCTTCCATTTTAAAGTGTTTATCGAGTCTTTTGCATATTTTAAAATTGGGTTGTTTATCTTTTTCACGGAGTTGTAGCTATCTTTTGTGTATTTGGGATAACAGTTCTTTGTCAGATAAATGTTTTGCATACATTTTCTCCCATTTTCTCTGTTACTTGCCTACTCATTTTCTTAGGAGTATGTTTTTTGATTAACAGAAGCTTTTTTATTTGAATGTAATCCAACTTGTAATTATTTTGCCTTTATAATTAGTAATTTCTGTGTTGAGTCCAAGAAATATCTATTTGGCTACAAAGAACTTCTCTCATGTTTTTTTCCCCCTCAAAATGTTAAAGTTTTAGTTATTATGTTGGGTTTGTGATCCATCTTGAATTAACTTTTGTATACTCTGTGAGATAGAGGTTGAATTTTATTTTAGCTTTCCCTTGTAGCTATTCATTTTTTCCAAAGTATTTATTAAAAAGATTTCCCTTTGCTCATTGAATTATTTCAGTGCCTTTGTTGGAAATCAGCCTTTGTTGGAAATTAGTTAACCTCATAAGTGTGAATTTACTTCTGCACTGTATATTCTGCTCCATTGAACTATACTTGTCCATCTTTATTCCAGTGTCACACTGTCCTGACTAGGGTAGCTTTATAGTATGTCTTGAAATCAGATAGTGTACACCCTTTGTTCTTTCTTCCTGTTTTTTGGTACACATTTCTTATTTACTTATTTATTTTTAATTGACAAAATTGTATATAATTATGTACAACATGATGTTTTGAAATATATATATATATATACACACATTTTTGAATGGCTAAATTGAGCTAATTAACATGTGCATTACCTCACATTTTATTTTGTGGTGAGGACACTTAAAATCTAGCAATTCTTAGTAATTTTAAAAAATACAACACAATATTGACTATAGTCACAATCTTGTACAATAGGTCTCTTGACCTTATTCTTCCTAACTGAAATTTTGTATCCTTTGACCAGCATCACCCCAACCTCTCCCCAAACCCCAACCCTTGCTAATCTCCTTCTATTTTCTACATCTGAGTTCAGCTTTTTTAGATTCCACATAGAAGTGAGATCAAGCAGTATTTTTTTGTGTCTGGCTTATTTCATTTAACATAGTGTCTTTCAGTTTTATCCATGTTGTCACAAATGACAGGATTTTCTTCTTTTTTAAGGCTAACATTATGTTGCGTGTATATTCCACATTTCTTTATCCATGCATTCATTGATGGATACTTATGTTGTTTATGTTGTTTCCATACCTTGGCTACTGTGAATAATGCTGGAATGAACATGCAGTGCACATATATTTTTGGCATACTGATTCTATTTTCTTTGGTTATATAATCAGTGTTGGGATTTCTGCATCACATGGTAGTTCTGTTTTTAATTTTTTTGAGGAAACTCCATATGGTTTTTCATAACAGCTGTATCAACTTACATTCCTACCAACAGTGTGCAAGGATACCCTTTTCTCAGCATCCTCGCCAACACTTGTTATCTCATCTTTTTGGTAATAGCTATTCTAACAGGTGTGAAGCGGTATTCTATTATGGTTTTAATTTACATTTGCTTGATGATTAGTGATGTTGAGCATATTTTCATATAACCACTGGCCATTCGTATGTCTTCTTTCAGGAAATATGCATTCAGGTCCTTTGCCCATTTTTTAACTGGGGTATTTCTTTCCTTGCTGACTTGAGTTCCTTATGTATTTTAGATAAGAACCACTTATCAGATGTATGATTTGCAATATTTTCCCCCATTTTGTAGGTTATCTGTTTACTCTGCAGTTGTTTCCCTGACTGTGGAAAATCTTTTCAGTTTGATGTAACCCCATTTGTCTATTTTTGCTTTTGCTGTGCTTTTGAGGTCGTCTTCAAAAAATCGTTGCTGAGACCAATGTTATGGAGCTCTTCCTCTATGTTGTTCTTTGTCAAGATTACATTGGCTATTCTACATTATTTCCATTTCCATATAAATTTTAAACCATCTTGGGAAATTCTAAAAAAAACCTAGGCCAGGCACGATGGCTCACGTCTGTAATCCCAGCACTTTGGGAGGCTGAGGTGGGCGGATCACGAGGTCAGGAGATGGGGACCATCCTGGCTAACACAGTGAAACCCCATCTCTACTAAAAAAAAATACAAAAAGTTAGCCGTGTGTGGTGGCAGGCACCTGTAGTCCCAGCTACTCGGGAGGCTAAGGCAGGAGAATCGCTTGAACCTGGGAGGCAGAGGTTCTTGTCTTGATGTACCTGAAGAATCAGATCACAAATAGACTTGGAGAATGAGTGCAAGGTTTTATTGAGCGGAAGTCACTCTCAGCAGACGGGGGAAGCCAGAAGGGAGATGATTTTCCCTCGACTCTTCTCCCACTGCTCCCTGCAAACTCTGCCTCGTTCCACCCATCGATGGCCTACTGGCCTGCTGGTGTCTGTCAGTGTACTCTTCCACCTGCGTGCTCCTTTCTACTCAGGAGACTGAAGCAGGAGGATTGCTTGAGCCCGGGAGTTCAAGGCTGCAGCGAGCCAAGATTGCGCCACTGCACTCCAGCCTGGGCAACAGAGTGAGGCCCTTTCTCAAAAAGAAAAAAAAGGTACAGCACTGGTCATATTTACCTCTTGCCTAACATTCATAAACACAAACCCTCTGACAGAAGGATGAAGCCCACTTCTCTCATGTTGTGGAAAAGGCCTGGCTGGGAGGCGCCCTGGTCTGCCTCTGACGGGTCTCTTGCCCTGTTTCTGATGCTTCAGACTCAGTATTTCAACCGTAATGAACTACATAAAGTTTCTCAAAATATGTTTGTTTCAGAACTGTAATTTTTATTAAGCAGTTGAACAATCACTTGCTAGTAATTTCCTTTTCCTCTTTGTGTTCTTTGAAAATATTTATTTCTGAAAAATGAGCTTAATTGAAATCTCCTTTATGAAACCACTTTCCTGGACATCTCTGTCCCCATCCAGTTAAAACTGTCCACTCCTCATCTGTGTGTGTCCCTCCACAACAAATGGAATGCCACATGATCACAGCATCTTCAATTATCTTATTCTCATTTATTTATATATTTGTTTATTCTCCATTAATTTTTTTATATTCTTATTCATTTATTCATGTGATGAAATAAAAGTAATTGATAGGAGTCAGCTCTAAGACTTTACTTTGCTTTCAGAATACAAAAAGAAATTTTGAATTTGCCATGTCAATTCTTTTCCCGTCATAGCCTCTGAAAGTCTTGAAGTTAATAGGAGAGGCTATGTAGGTCTACACAATAACATGCTGTGAGACAGTCGAGGGGAGAGAAAGATGAAAGACAGCCATTATTTTCTTTTGCTATATATTCTGTTGCAGTGTCTTCCATTAGCCAAAATCATCCCCAAACAAGAGATCTGGGGAGTGTACATGACGAAATCCACAGAAGATAGTTTTCAACACATAAAGCCTAGAGGGGCAGGGTGGAGAACGGATGTGGATAGGCAGACGGAGAATGCCCCACACAGGACAGCACCCCGTCTACACCCTGGCTAGGAAGGGCACACAGGAGCACTCTCCTGAGTCACATCGATCTCATTTGCATCATTACCTTTTCCTAAATCAACCCCTACAGCCAACCTCCAAGCTTGGGGTGGGCACATTTCCCTGGACATGCAGAGGCTATACTGTAGAAAAGTTAATGCCTGAATAATAAATCAGGGTACTTTTGGAAAGAGAGAGGGATGGATGACAGGTAGTCAAGAACACAAGGTGCCCACCATAGAACTGGGTGCATGAAAGCAAATGATTTTCTTGAATAGAAACATAAATTAGCAACTAATTTACTAGAACACATGCTCTATAAAACTATAGGATTTAAAAGCATGTTAAGACAGAAGGTTAAAAACCCCCCTAATATCTATTCCATGTTTCCTATGTACCTTTAGCATTATGTGTTACATAATTTAATGTCAAGAAGAGCCAGAGAATTGAGATATCTTATCCAAGATCACTCAGCTGGTAAGTGGCAAACCTGGATTTCCATTTCTCAGTTGTTTTTTTTTTTTTTTTTTTTTTTTTTTTTTTTTTTGATATGGAGTTTTGCTCTTGTTGCCCAGGCTGGAGTGCAGTGGCGTGATCTCGGGTCACTGCAACCTCCGCTTCCCTGGTTCAAGCGATTCTCCTGCCTCAGCCTCCCGAATAGGTGGGATTACAGGTGTGTGCCACCAAACCCGGCTAATTTTTTGTATTTTTAGTAGAGATGGGGTTTCACCACGTTGGCTAGGCTGGTCGTGAACTCCTGACCTCAGGTGATCTTGCCTGCCTCAGCCTCCCAAAGTGCTGGGATTACAGACGTGAGCCACAGCGCCCGTCCGTCTTTTTTTCTTTTGAGACGGAGTCTTCCAGTGTCTGACACGGAGTCTCCCTCTGTCGCCAGGCTGGAGTGCAGTGGTGCAATCTCGGCTCACTGCAACCTTCGCCTCCTGGGTTCAAGTGATTCTCCTGCCTCAGCCTCCTGAGTAGCTGGGACTACAGGTGCGTGCCACCATGCCCAGCTAATTTTTGTATTTTTAGTCAAGACGGGATTTCACCATGTTGGCCAGGAAGGTCTTGATCTTCTGACCTCATGATCTGCCTGCCTCGGCTTCTCAAAGTGCTGGGATTACAGTCCTGAGCCACCGTGCCCAGCCTTTATGGTCTTACAGATTGGCAACAGTGTATTAAAAAATTTCCATCATGTCTCTTTATTCCAGAATTTCTCAAAGCTCTTTTTTTTGTTTTTGTTGCTTTGTTTTGAAGGAAAATTTGTATTTTAATTATTTTTATGTACAGAAAACTCGACAGTGTACATTTAACCCAGTTTACTGGCAAGTTCTTTAGCCTTTGCCTTTTTGAGCTTGGCGATACGAGCCACAGACTTGGGACCCAGGACATTGCTGCCTCAGTGACGGCGGATCTCACAGTATCTGTCGTTGTAATTGGTCCTGATGGCTTCCACCAGCTTAGCCAAAGCGCCTTTGTCTTCTGACTTCACTTGTGTGAAGGTGACAGTGGTGTAGGTCTTCCTGTGGACTAGATATTCCAGTCTTGCCTTCCCCTTGATAATGCAGTAAGGGACCCCCATTTTACGACACAGGGCAGGCAAGAAGACAGCCAGCTGGAAGAAAGCATTAGCTGAAGAGTGTATTTTGACTAAAAGCAGTAAATTTCAGAGTTAGCTTGGTAGCAATTGCTCAGGGTTAAAAAGCTCATGGATTTGCACTTCAAAAAGCTCTTAAATAATAATGTTCATTGTGAATCTTTAGGAAGGAGATATGTTAAGTGGGCTTTTCTATACTTTTCTGATCACCAAATCAGTTTTTTTTCTGTGGAAAACGCCCTGATCTCTTCCTGGAGTAGTGCTCTGGAGAGCAGTTTTTGAGACAGTCGTTTAAATGAATCTGGAGAGAACTTTATCCCTTACCTTTCTCATTTAATCACCACCAGAAGCCAATAAGGAAGGCTCATATATATTGATAATATGGCCACAGGTTTAACCCAAATTAAAGTTTCCTGAAGCACAAATATTCCATTTAACTGAACATCAGAGACATATAATTTTAGAGCTATAGTGACAGATGCCCCCTTCCCCGTGATAGCATGTCTTCTGTTATTTTAAATCATAAAATTTGCATTTCTTTCATATAAACTATTGACATTTTCTTGTGTCCCTTTCACAATTTTGCTCCCCCTACCAGAAACAAAACCCAAATACAGAAGCTTTACATTGTTAAAGGAATGTCTATGAGGAAAATAATCAATAGATTATTGGATTATTTCTTTAGAGCCAGTACAGGAAGAGCTGTAATAAGGAGTATTTTCTACACATTTTAATTTGAAGTCATAGCTTTCAAAACTAGCAGTGAATTATTTTGTATGTCTTGAGGGGTAGCTTATATTTATCATATGAGACTGTATTTTTTACATATCATAAAACGTTATTCAGGTAATGCCTTCTGATTAAGCTTGATAAGCACACTGGTAATACCATACTTGACCAAACACAAAGTTTGATCATACAGACACAATTTTGTATTGTCAGGCACTTCAGAAAATGGAGTATGAAGCATATATCACACAATGGAAACACTGGTGCCTATTTTATCTAATTATGATCATTCAAAGGATGAAGAAACTCTAGTATGTTTACTCCTTTGGGGAGTCTGAGCATACAAGCTTTATTTTAGAAACATCATCAGGGTTATAAAAGAGAACATAATTGCACAGTCCAATTTCACTCACACAGACATTGTTCATGTTTTGTATCACTGAAGCAGTATTTTCTGGCTAGTGCATTCTGAAGATGTTGGTGTAAAATAATAGACAATTAGATCTGAAGGTACCCTTAGATATTATTTACTGAGTCGCAGATGAGGAAAGGGGAAAGATAGGCATAAATGTGTATTCAGTAAAAGAATGGCATAATTCTGAAACAATATTCAAAGACACATCAGCAATTCTCAAGATTCATAAATAGGATGAACCTAGACTTTTACACTAAACCTAACTTAAAGTAACAAAACCCACAAATTATTAGCACAAACATCTCATGAGAATCAGCAAATAGATGGCATATGAACTTACCTATGTAAAACATAATTAACATTGAATCACCAGAATCAATTTTTAGCAAAACTGTTTAAAAATTTTTATGTTAGGATGTTTAAAAACACAATTTTAAAATGTTTTCATAATTGATTTTTAAATTCAGAAATAGAATGAAAGAATTTTCCAAATTTGGCTTAAATTATCGTCGCTATTATTTGTCACCCCTGAAATGAGGGATTAATGAAAAAGTGACATATAAAGATTAAGGCAGTACCATGGTGCTCTCTGGTGGCAACATCTTTGTATCTGCTTGAAAAAACAGAAAAAAGACCAGCTAACTTCCAGAGGTAAGACATGCTATAAATAATGATTTTAAAAGACTCTTTCATTCAACAGTATTTGCCTGTAATTTGGTTGTATTTCGTTAAGCATAACCTCATTATTAGAGTCCAGCATACATGTATAAACTGAGAATGTATGGGAAATCCAGTTCTATCTTGGAATTAGAGCTAGACTTCTGTCCATACTTCTGTGCCCTATGACGTGTGTAAATATTAGGAGGCAGGGCATCCATGGGCAGAAGCTGAGGAAGTGAAACCATTGGGAACTAAAATGCGGAAGCTGGGGCTACGGCCATTCCTGAATTTGGTCATCATCTGGGAGGGAAATGGTGTGTGCGTGGCTGGTTACTCAATGAGGAACACATCTAGGAAAAGCATGAGAACATTGGACAGATGATTGCAAAGCAATCCTAGCTCCACAGCCCCCATGCCCAACCATACAAATTTTAAGCTCATAAAAGAATTTCAGGAGCTCAAACAACTCAATAGCAAAAACACAACTTGATCAAAAAAGGGGCAAAGGACATGAACAGACATTTCTCAAAAGAAGACACACAAATAGCCAACAGATATATGAAAAAATGCCCATCGTGAATCATCAGGCAGCTGCAGATAAAACCCACTGTGAGATATTAACTCACACCTCATACTTGTTAGATTGGCTATTGTCAAAAAGACAAAACATAGCAAGTGTTGCCAAGTATATGGAGAAAAGAACCAAAGTACACTGTCAGTGGGAATTTAAATTAGTACAGTCATTATGGAAAACAGTGTGGCAGTTCCTCAAAAAATTAAAAATAGAACCACCATATGATCCAGCAATCTCACTGCTGGGTATATATCCAAAGAAATTGAAATTAGTATGTCAAAGAAATATTTGTACTGCCATGTTCATAGCACAATAGCCAAGATAGGAAAAAAAGTGTCCATTATTGGATGAATGGGTAAAGAAAATGTGGTACACACAATGCAATGGTATTCAGACTTTAAAAAGAAGGTAATTTTGTCATTTGCAACAACATGAATGAAACTGGAAACCATTATGGTAAGTGAAATAAGCCAGCCAAAGACAGACAGATACCACATGGTCTCATTTATATGTGGAATCTAAAACCGTTGAACTCATAGAATCAGAGTAGAATGGTGATTACCAGGGGCTGGAGTAGGGGAGGTTGTGGATGGGGAAAAAAGAGATGTCAGCCAAATGATATAAAGTTTAAGTTGAACAGGAAGGTTAAGTTTCAGTGATGTATTGCACATCCTGGTGACTATAGTTAATAATAATGTTTGCATATTTCAAAATTGCTTAAAGAGAAGATGTTTTAATAATTTCAACTTTTATTTTAGATTCAGGGGTACATGTGCAGGTTTGTTATATGGGCATATTGTGTGATATTAAGGTTTGGGGTATTATTGATCCTGTCACCCAGGTAGTGAGCATAGTACCCAACAGTTAATTATTCAACTCTTCCCCTCTTTTGCCTCCTCCACCAGCAGCAGCCTCCAGTGTCCATTGCTGAACACTTTACATCTGCCAGTACCAAATGTTTAGCTTCCACCTCTAAGTAAGAACGTGTGGTACTTGCTTTTCTGTTCCTACCTTAATCAGCTTAGGATAGTGCCCTCCAGCTGCATCTATGTTGCTGCAAAAAACATGATTTCATTCTTTTTTGTGGCTGTGTAGTATTCCATGGTGTATTTGTACCACATTTTCTTTATTAAATCCACCCTCGATGGACACCTAGGTTGATTCCATGATTTTGCTATTGTGAATAGTGCTGCAATGAACATGTCTGTGATGAACATATGAGAGCCTGTGTCTTTTGGGTAGAACAATTTATTTTCTTTTGGATATATACCCAGTAGTGGGAATCCTGGATTGAATGGTAGCTCTGTTTTAAGTTCTTTGAGAAATCTAAAAGAATAGATTTTAAATGTTCTTACTACAAAAAAAAAAGTAGATGAAGTGTTAATTAGCTTGACAATCATTTCACAGTCTATATTTGTATCTACTTATCTATCTCTTTATCTATCCCTTAAACATCTTGTTCCTCATGTCACCCTACTCCATTCTGTTTGCAATGTGATCATCCCTTTGTGTGGTGGATCTATACTGTATATGCTACCTGCCCGTTGCTGTACAGGAAAAAACATACGGCACGAAGGCTTCAGTGCTACCACAGGTAGCATTCAGGTGTTCATGGTGGTATCCATGTCAAATAAAAGGGAACCGAACCATTTTGCATTCCCACCAGCAATGAATGAGAGTTCCTGTTGTTCCACACCTTCACCAGCATTTGGTGTTGTCAGTATTTTGGATTTTAGTTATTGTAGTATGTGTGTTGTGGTATCTCATTGTTGTGTTAATTTACAATTCCCTAATAACACATGATGTTGAGCATCTTTTCATGGGTTTATGCCTGTTTGCCATCAGTCTATCTTCTTTGGGGAGGTGTCTGTTCAGATCTTTTTCCCATTGCACTTACTTTTTTAGTCACCTTTTCTTGGACATTCTTCTCTTTTGATGAAAATTGTGTTTGTCGAGATTGACCTTCCTGTTTCCCAGAATCTTGCTTACTTTCAGTTTTGAAATTTGTGTAATTTTTCTCGGTGTGATTTTGTTCTTTCTGGAATACATCCTTCAGAAGTTCATTTCATGACATGTCCTCATGACATTTTTTGCAGTTTGTCTGAAAACTATTTATTTCTCTGTTGTTCTTCAATGAGAGTTTAACTGAATACAAATCTCTGGATTTATAGCAGTTCCTTTTAGAACTTGGAAGATGTTATTCTGGTATTTTCTAGCTTATCGTTTTTAGTAGCCATTTTTATAGGTAATTTGGAGTTTAATTTTTGAGGGGAGGGATTTTACAGTTCTAAAATTCGTCTGAAATGGGAGATGTTTGAACATTTATTTCTCTTGGTATTTGTTTTGTTTTTGAAGCTGAGGATTCATTTATTCCATTTAATTTGGAAAACTCTTAGTCATTATATCTTGAAATATTGCTGTACTCCTGTTTCTCAGTTCTTTTATATTAAAGGTTCTGTAAACCATATCCTGGACCTTATTTTGTACTTCATGTGTCTTAACCTCTCCTCCATGTTTTCCATCTCTATCTATGCTGTGCATTACGGTTAGTTTCTTCTACATGTTGTTCAGCTCCTTGTTTCGATCTTCAACAGTGTCTAATTAAGATGCCCACTGTTTACCGAGTTTTAAATTTCAATGGTGATATATTTTACATTGAGATGTTAATTTTGTTTCTTTATAAAATTCTTTATAAAATTTTGCTAATTTTTAATAGCATTTTTCCTTTTCATTTTCCAATTCCAGGTTTTAATCCTTAAATATCTCCTTCTTGAAGTTCAAACAAAAATGTAAACCTCTCACACTGCAACTCCATTGCACTTTCTGTGTATTAAACTTCTCTCTGTTCATTATTGTTGAATCAATTTATGCCCAACAAAATAGGGGCTATAATGTGTTTGTCTCAAAAATAATAACTCAAATACTAATAAAAGCAAGATTCTCCCTGATGCTGGTCATTGATTCTTTCCACAAACATTTGTAGAGATCTACTACATGCCTGGCAGTAAGCTGTGTGAGAATATGAAGTAACCAAGCTCCTTATCCTTAAAGAGCTTAGAGTTAACAAAGGGGAAGTTGTAGAAGTAAAGGCAATAATAAACCAGTTGTGTCAGGAGAATATAGATCTGGCTTTCTTGTTAATTGACTAGCCAAGATAATTATCCCAGATGTATAGTGTTTGTAATATTTTATATATACAAATAAAGGGCTACGAGAACAGAAACCTACATATTTATACTTGCTCAACTGTGGCAGGCATAATGAAAGTGGCTCGTCTCACACCCAGTACAAAGCATATTTCAAAATATGTTGAGCCTAGCAAAGATATAGAGCAAAAACTCCATTTATCGTCTGGGGAGGGGGGAAATCCTGTTTAAATGTTTTTTGTTTTTGTTATTGTTTTTGTTTTTTAACTGAGTGCATGTAAAATATCCCTTTACTTCAAGCACATAAAAATTGTCAAAAAGGAATCACGTTTGATTCCATTCCAATAGATATAAAAGTGCATTTTAAAATAGTATTTATTCAAGATAAAACTGTTAGAATATTTGGAAGGGAAGGGAATTTTCTTAACCTGCTAAATGGTACGCATAATAAACAATAGCAAACGTTACACACCATGATGAAATAGAAACAACGCTTTAACGTCAAGAACACAAGAGAAAGCTTTCTGTTTTCACCTCATTGATTCAACCTTGTAGCTGAGGTGTTTTAATGCCTGCAAAGGCATTACAAACACAGACAGGAGCATCAGGTTTGGAAAGCAATTTCATGCCAAAGTTTTAACTCCAGAGGAAACCTATACACTGTGACATGTAAAAGAATGTTCTTTGCAGTGCAATTTATCATATTGAGCAAATGGAATCAACTTCACTGTCCTGTTCAAAGAGATGTATTACTACTATACTGTTGTTAAAAAAGAACTAGAACTACAAATATAAATAGATAAAACTTCAAAACCTACCATTAAGTGAATACCACAAATTGCAAGAGAATATATATACATACACACACATATATCTGCCAATGTGTATCTCAATAGAATGATGCCATATGTGTTGTAGACATTTCAACTGATAAAATAATGGTTCATAGTGATTATGAATTATACATATTTACATAAGAAACAAAACTAATACTCAGAAGTCAGTAGTTACTTCTGAGAATGGAGAGATGGGATAGTATCTGTGTATTTGTGAAGATTATTTCTTTAATTTAGAAAAATATATAAAGTAATATCGTAAACTTGGGTACACAAGTATTTGTTATTATTTCTGTACTTTTTAGTACATTTTAAGTATTTCATAATTTAAAAATATATATATTTTTGAGACGGAGTCTCAGCCTGTTGCCCAGGCTGGAGTGCAATGGCACGATCTCGGCTCACTGCAACCTCGGCCTCCCCGGTTCAAGTGATTCTCCTGCTTCAGCCTCCCAAGTAGCTGGGATTACAGGTGCGCGCCACCATGCCCAGCTATTTTTTTTTATCTTTAGTAGAGACGGGGTTTCACCATGTTGGCCAGGCTAGTCTTGAACTCCTGACCTCATGATCCGCTCGCCTCGGCCTCCCAAAGTGCTGTGATTTCAGGCTTGAGCCACTGCACCCAGCCAGTAAAAAATAATTTTTAAAAATGTCATATTACCACATGATGGCGCCATAATCCCATTAATATAGCTATAAGGCCTTAGCCATCAGAAAAAATATTCATTACATCCCATTGATTTATAAAGAAGACAACGAAAAGTCTACAGTTCCCTACTCATGGGTGCTAATGTGGGCCTGCCTGCCTCTGTGTGTGTGTGTGTGTGTGCACGCGCATATGTGAGAGGGGCAAGGCAGAGTTTCTCTCTTGCACTTTACTAAAAGCAGCTAAAAGAAACCATTCTGAGGCTGGGCATGGTGGCTCACACCTGTAATCCCAGCACTTTGGGAGGCCGAGACAGGTGGATCACTTGAGATCAGGAGTTCAAGACCAGCCTGGCCAACATGGTGAAACCCCGTCTCTACCAAAAATATAAAAAATTAGCCAGGTGTGGTGGCCTGCGCCTGTAATCCCAGTTACTCAGGAAGCTGAGGCAGGAGAATCGCTTGAATCCATGAGGCAAAGGTTGCAGTAAGTGGAGATTGTACCACTGCACTCCAGCCTGGGGCAACAGAGCGAGACTCTGTCCCAAAAAAAAAAAAAAAAAAAAAAAAGAAGAATAACTGTCTCCTTAGAATTGGAAAGAAACCCAGTTTGCAATAAGGTAGAATCTCAGTAACAATAAAGTCAAAAGCTTATTAATTTAAAAATCTGCTAAATTTAAATTCAGATTATTTGGATAGAAAGTTGTTCTTTGCATTAATATAGATGGTTTGCTAGAGGCTTCCTTTCTGATCAGCAGAAATGGGACGATGTGGTTAACTTGGCTGTAGGTGGCTGCAACTAGATTTTGGATATGAAATTCAGCTCCTTTTATCTAGAAAATGGGTAAAACAACCCGTACCCACAAACTATTGTTTTGAGATGAATTTCTCTTTACATCCTCATCGATAAAGGACTCTTAACTGATGAAAGGTTAATTAACCTCCCTGTCACCTCTCCCTTTGAAGGAATAGACTATTGTCATATACCATAAGAATCGCATCCCATTCAGTATGATGCTGTCACCAACCATTTATAAAATGGCCAATTCCTATTAACTATGAAACTCTTACATATAAAAATGCTGAATTAAAAACAGGGTTCTACACTATTAACTATGCTTTTGGATAACTAATTAATAATATTTTGTTTTTTATCAGAACCTGCTTTGTGCTTGGTGGATGAAAGAGTGCAATATATTGTTTATTTATTTTAATTAAACAATATATATTGTTTTAAAAATATATTTATAATTTTTATCAAAGCTAAGATTGAGAAGAACAGACCTTTTTCTCTTGAATTACTAATAGGTATGAAAATGACAATATAGTTTTACTTCGTGGCAGAATATTAATATTTTTATGTATTGTGCATTTCGCTGCTATAGTAATGACATTAAATTAAAAAAAAAACAGTGAGAAATGTTACTCACACATATATTCCTTGGACCAGCTTAGTGGTCTTATCTCAAAAATATGCACAACATTTTTTCCCAAGTTGACATGTGATACAGTTTCAATAACATTTAGATAACAGTATTTAAGACATGCTGATAACACCATTAGTCTGGTGCAGGGCTTACCAGGGTGAGCTGCAGATTCTAAGGCTATAATGGGATGTTTGTTTGTTTAATTAGGTGGTTAGTGGCTTTATGAAAAAAAATTGAATTTGAAATTGTAAGTTAGAGCAGTATAGTTAGAAAAGGTGAGAATACAAATGCAATTGACGAATAATCCAATACTGATGGTAGAGAAAGAGGAGTACACTGAAATAAGAATCAGATAGGCTTTATGGATGGGAATTTGGCTACAGTCTAGAAGGATGAAATCTAAAAATGACTTGAGTTGTGGCCTTGTAAATACGGTTGTACAAATCATCATGGTTAACATCAAATCACAGTACTGTTTGAAGCTTAAAGATGACAGTTTTAGGATAAAGGGGAAGATAGTATCAATGCGGTATATATTCCAGTTGTGGGAATTTCGTATTTAAGAGGTCTATAGGAAAGGCTTAAAGATATGGCCAAAAATCCAAGGATTTACCTGTTAATGTCACACGAAGGCTCCTACCCTTGCCCAGATAAAAGCCCAGGAAGTTTCGTGATAAGAAGGGATGAGGTGAGGGAAGGGATTGGGCCACTCCTCCTCATCCTTCTGAGAAATATTTTCAATTCAACTCTTTTAGAAACTTTGAGCTGGAAATGATCTTGCAATCTAAGCACCATATGAGGAAATTGAGGACAATGATATTACTTCACTTATTTCAGGCAGGGCTGAAACCTAAAAACTTAAGAGCCATATATGGACAGACTAGGTTCTTTGAAGTGGCTGAGAGTTGCTGGTGTAATTTGAGTCTCGGGGCACTGGGGTGTGGGCCTGGATTGGTGAGTACACACGGAATGACCTGCCCATCCAGGAACCTCTGAGAATCAGGGAGCAAAGATCAAAGAAAAAGAAAAATGTCAGGACTTGGGAGAGGGTGTATTACTGAAGGTTAGAATATAACGTTTGCTTTGCACGGCATGGGGATTGTCCAGTTTCCTGGAGTCGGCACAACAAAGGACCGCAAACTGAGCCGCTAAAACAACAGAAATGTATTGACTCACTGTTCTGGAAGCCAGAAGTGTAAGATCCAGCAGTCCCCAGGGCTGTGCTTCTTCTGGAGGTGCGGCGGAAGGATCTGTTGCAGGCTCTTTCCTGGCTTCCACCGATTCCTTGGCAGCAGAACTCCAGTCTCCATGCAGCGTTCTCCTGTGTGTCGGCTTCTTCACCTGGCCTTCTTTTTATAAGAACACAGTCGTGTTAGATTAGGGGCCCATCCTACTCCAGTGTGACGTCGTCTTGACTGATTACCTCTAAGGAACCTCTTTCCAAACAGGGCCCCATTCTGAGGTGTTGGGGGTTAGGACCTCAACATAGGATGTTTGATGGGGGGAAAAATTCAACCCAGAAGAGGGGTGGCGGAAGCTTTATTAATAATGACACATTTTCCCAATGGCCCAGCACCTCTGGTTATGGTAAAAGGTTTCACCCACGCCTGAGGCGGGGCTTTCATTCTTCATTCCTACTGCTTTTCTCATCCTATACTCTTTTCCTGGAAGCAACCATTCTCAAGATGTAAACTGCCACCTCTATGTAGACAGCTCGCTAATGTATGTGACCAGGCCATAGTCCTTTCCTGAAATTGAGGCCTTCTTAACCCACTGCCTGTCGACACATCACCAGGTATCACCCAGATACAGAAACCTCGATGGAAGCCAAGCCTGGCCGCTTCTTCCTCAACCCCCACCTAAGGAAGGTCCCGCCCCAGGTAAAGGCGCCTCCCGTGGTCCCCAGCTAAGCTTAGCTCCTGCACAACAATCTTGGGTGCTTCCCTCCCTTTCTCCCTCCACATCCCGAGTCCCTCAGCTTCACAGATAAATTGCCTTCACATCTGTAGAATGCCACCTCTTCCTCCTTATTCCTCTGGTTTAGGCAAAAAGTGCATTTTCTCTACATAGATGGTCTTACCTTTGTTCTTCTCCAACCCATCTTCAACACTGAGACAGGAGAATTCCTTCTGAAACCCAAACCCGATCACTTCACTCTCCTATTTTAATCCTAGGACTTGCAGAATATGTTCCTGTCTCCAGCTTCAGCTTTTCTCCTCATTTTTGGAGTTCATAAGTTTTAAAGACATGTATTGAGAAACTGCTGTGTGCCTGGCACTAGTCTAGGCACGTGTAGGGTACAAGGAAGGAGTGACTGACACATTCACAAAAATGCATGTAATTTTTACCATTGAGAATGCTTTTCAAGTTTTATGTCCCAAGTCCCTAAGATCGTCTTGTAAAACTGTGCTTCACTAAAAACGAAAAGCAGTGGGAACTGACTGATCTGATCAGGAAGAGGTTAAACTGTGGATGAAATGGACCGATGGAATTTACCCATTTCTGCTCTCTGCAGCGGCACCTCCTTACCTTATTTCTGAGTACCCCAGCAAAACAGGTCTGTTTATATTTTTCAGTATACAATTATTCCTCCCTTTTCTTCCTGACCTTGGAACGCCCTGACCCTGAGGTAGACATAAGGAGAAAGCAGAGTCATTGGAATGCAATCTTTAAGAAGCCTGCAGCCTTGCTCAAGCAACACACAAAGGCAGATAGAGCAATGGCTGTGAGAAACGAAGTGAAAATAAGCAAGAAATGAAAAACGTGTAGGCAACTTAGATGTCTTCAGAGCTTGCTGACTTGGTGACCTACTAGGGCACTAAAATCAAGAGGGGAGCTCTCTGAAGATGAAGAATGTAACTCTGGCTAAAGTATCAAAGACAAAGTACTCTCTCATCAAAATAATAATAATAGTAACATGCTTCTTTATGTTGTCATATTTAGTGACACCATTCTACTTAATAATGGCTGATGAGGGCTTTTTCAGAAAATAGAAATTCTACTTTAATGATGCTTCCCTGATGAGATTTAAAATCAAAACAAAAACAAGCAAGAGAAAAAGCTGTTTGTTCTTCAAGAAACTGATAATTGATACCAGGCTATGTTATATCACAATATACCTCTCCAAAGCTTCCCTGAAACATATTCTGTCACATGGGATATTTGGTAAGTTGCATAGAATTTAGACATATCAAATTTTATATTAGAAATATGTTTGTAAAAAAGGCGTGTAAAATAAATGTTCACTAATATGCATGGTGTTGCTACAAACATTCATGTACATGTCTTTATGTGGACGTACGTTTTCGTATCTCTTGAACGTACACTGGGAGTGGAGTTGAGGATGGTATGGTAACTGGGTAGGTAACGTTCTGAAGAACTGCTATACTCTTTTACAAAGAGGTTGTATAATTTTACGTTCTTGCCAACAAAGCATGAAGAATCCAGTTTTTCCACATGTTCCCAACACTTGCTATTGCCTGTCTTTTTAAATATAGTCATTTAGTGGATATGTAGTGTTATCTTGTGGTTTTGTTTGCACTTCTTCAGTGGCTAAAATTTCAACTGATGGCTGGGTACACAAATGTGGTACATCCACACAATGGAATATTATTTGGTAATTTAAAGGATTTAAGTACTGATACATGCTGCAACATGAATGGAACTCAAAGACATTGTGATCAGGGAAAGAAGCCCTTAGTACTATGTCCTTGAGTTCATACAGCATGTGGTGGTTTTGAAAAAAGCCCACTTACATGAACTACTCAATTCTTTAGAGGCAGAAAGTATATTACTTGTTGCTGAGGGCTGGAGTCAGGGAGAATGAGGAGTGACTGCTAATTGGTACATTTCTTTCTGGGACAATAAAAATGTTCTAAAACAGATTATGGTGATGGTTGGAAAACTTTGTAAATATATTAAAACCCATTAAATTGTACATTTAAATGAGTGAACTTTATGGTATGTAAATTGTATCTCAATAAAGTTGTTAAAAAATAACTATACTTTGTGATTAAAGCTGTGTTTTGTTGTTAAAATAAATAAATCTTTTAAACATGAACAAATATTCTCTAATATGCCATTTTAAAAAGTATATGTTTTGAAATATTTTCTTAATATTAATTTTCTTAAATTAGAGCTTTTATCAGCTTTAGAAATCTACATATTTTGCTTCAGTTAATAACTCATCTGTTTTTGTTTGAAATTGAAACCTTGATTTTAAACTTATTTAAATGCTTATTAACCTGTTCAAATATATACTTTTGGTCACAACTAAAAATTGTTTCAAATTGAGAGCTTCTGAATCAAATGATATTCCAGGACAGAATGTCCTCAGAAACCAGCTTTTCTACCATGTAGTCCAGTGATTTGTTTATTAAAGAGAAGAAAACTGGGAACAGAATGGAGAACAAAATTTTAGATTAAATTTAAACTCCGTATTGGTAAGATATACTCTCAAATTACCCCGAAGATGGGTTCATTAAGGTGCAATCTTACTTTGAAGATTAATCTGAAATCTTCTCCAAACCAATTCACATGCATTTGTCTTATTTGGTCCTGGAAAATAAAAAGAACTGTGGCAGGCACAAAAGTATTTACTATTAACTTTAGACCTTAGACATCCTTAATAGCTAGACTTAGTACATAATGTGGTATTGGATTGTGGAGCTGAGATTGGAAATCACATTCTCTGATAGGCTGCCATTGTCATCGCCCCGCCATCTGCCCTCAGGTGAGACTTGAGATTACACACAGAAAGAAAGCAGATCACTGAAATGGAAACTAATGGTTCACTCAGGGCGGCTTGGGGAAAAGAATTTCTTCCTGGAATCAAAAGGTATTTTAGGAACAAAAAAGCTTTAACCTCATGCTAGTTTGACCAATTAATCATTTTAGGTATTTAAGTCCAACCTTGTTAACACTTAAGATTCCTGTCCTCACCATGCTGGTCTTCCAGAAGTGACTTTCAGAACCTTTCAATTTTTATTCATAACAGGATCATTTCCCTTTCTCTGATGAAACCTTATCTGACTTCCCGGGATGCTTAGCTCCAAAGCCAGTGACAACTGTCTCAGAGATACGCTTTTAATTCACAATTCCACACTTTTTTCAATAATGAGTGGCTGATTTTAAAGCTTGTAATTTAATAAGTCTAAACTCATAAAATAACTAGAAATACAAGACGAACTTCTCTACTGGGTGCATTGTTCCCTTCTAATCCTTTCTCCTTATAAGGGCCAGTATGTATAGAGGTCTTTGTGAGGCTTCAGAAATTGCTGAAGATCCCTTCAAAGCAAAACTGATTTTACAAAACTCTCATCCTCCCCCGTCTCCTCTCGCCACAGGATCAGGTCAGGTACTGAGTCATACAAACAGGTAATCCACCAAGCTGCACTCCACGCAGTTAAGTGGCTCTAACATAAACTCTCATTGCAAGGGGGGTGGGGGAATGTGAGATAAAAGCACCATTTATCTTTTGCACACTCGCCGAAAATCTACCCATTATACAGTGTAGACCTGGATGAGGGCTGCTTGTGCTCTTTTGATGTGGGAGAATTTGCTTTGTCCCAGAACAGTAGTCAATGGTCCAGCTTTTCTTCTCCCTTGGCAGAATGTGGGTATTTACTTGCTGCACATTCCAGCACTTTGATAGATCGCTGAGCTGAACTTGGCCTGCGCTGAGCTAAGGAGATCAAGACTTGGACAGATTCTTTGTTCTGTCCCCTGGTGTCAGCGACTTGGAGTACTCAGCCTGTCGACTCTGGGGCCTTTCAATGGGAGGACAGATCCTTGAGTTCACAGATAGAGCAACAAAGGTTTGCTTATGGGGTAGTGGCCTCCCCTGAAAAATAGCTTTTTTGTGTCAGGATATTTATCATGCTCTCATGTCATCATTTCAGAGTTTACTGTGGCAGTCTTAGCTCAGACAGTGCATGAAGCTTTTTATCTGTTAATGTGAATATCGCTTTGAAGCCCAGGCAGGGAATACGTTATAAGTTTAGTGATAGAGAAGCTCAAATAGTTGAGTAACAAGTGAGAGAGGATGGAGAAAGATATAGGGCTGCTAATGGAGGGAAAAATTAATCTAATCATCCTTTAGTTAGAGAAACAGATCTTTGTTCCCCACCTTACTCAGAAATCTCAGGTATTTAGAGTCATGTAAGTGTGGTTTCATCTTATTCTTCATCTGGGTACTGATTTGCAATAAAGGAAATATTTCAAAGCATTAAACTTAATTAGATTATTTTTATGCTTATAGAGTGCTAGAATTAGAGGACCTGGAACAAATGGAGAGATTATCTTGTCAACACTTGTTTTGTGGAAGACACATCTCCAAAATCACATTTACATTTTATTTCCATTTTCTTCATTCAGAAAGGCCATGAGACAGATTTTCCTGGAGTCCTATTTTATCAAAATTAAATTCCCTTGAGTTTATTTATTTGTTTAGATTTAAAAATAATCTCAGAGAGAAGTGCTTTCACTTCTGATTTACTTTAGTGTGTTATAAAAACAAAACCCCCGAGCAACCACAGATCTTCTACACACATGGGCAAAATGACTATTGATATTGTTAAAAGCCTCAGATAGAATTCTAAGTGAAGGTACTCAAGAAATATCTATCCACTAAGTGGTGGTAGATGAAACTTAGAAAAAAGAAAAGATAGGCTATGTGCCCTTTCATGGCACTACATAACCTTTAAGTCAAACATCAAATAAAACCTCTTGGAGAGAAAACCTGCTAAGATACCATGTGATTTTTGCCACTAAGTATAGTTAAATATCTAGTGATTTTTACCCATAGAAAATTATGACCAAACTTGCTGGTATTATATTTTTCATGATTATTGAAGAAAAGAAAGTTTGGTTTGTGGGCACTACATATATTTACTTAAAGATGACATGAATGAAGCATGCTGTTAGCTGTTTGCTAAAGTACAATTTTAGTAGAGACTCATATTTATATCTCTTTATAATTTTATTGTATGTAGCTTATATTGTGAGCATTTAGTGAGAAGCAGGACATGACTTTACTTGAGTTAACTGACACTTACATTTCTTTCTGTTCTGATTATCCCCCTACTTTGAAAATAGATTATGGTCTGTCAGGTGTGAGTGAGCTGCCGTCTCTCAGCTGAAACCCACACCAACTACAAATATTTATTTACATATATATTTATTTTACTTCCTTAAACTGATTATTTCTATATACACAGATTTTGTTGTCTATTTGCCCTTCTTGCAAATCTTATTGTATATGTGTAAAAAGCTTAATTACTCTTTTGAATGATCTAGTTACATAGACTAATTTATAAACCTTTTTGAAGAGCACTATAGTTTAAAAGGAAAAATGCTCTGTCAATCTTAAGGCTTCATATTATAGTCAGCTCTTAAAACTATGAGAAAATCTGTACTTTTGTCAATGGGTTTAAATATAAATTCAAAATTGTATTCATAGTAGCATAAAGTGTTTGCAGTGAGCTGAGATCGCGCCACTGCACTCCAGCCTGGGCGACAGAGCGAGACTCCATCTCAAAAAAAAAAAATAATAATAAATAAATAAATAATAAAAATAACATAAAGTGTAGTAGAATTAGGGGTATTGGTTTTAACGTGTTCAACTGCAAGTAACAAAGAACCAAGAACAAAACTGCTTGTTATTTATTTAGCACGTGTTCCAGCAGTAAGCTATCTCAAAGTTTTCCAGCTGTTTGTTCCACTATTCAAAGTATCTTGATTTTTGGTATTTATAATTATCACTTATTTTCTTTTTGTAATAAAAAAGCTATAAAGAAAGATCCAGTATAATTCCATCACCCAGATTCAATAATTCCAAGATTTTGTTTATGTATTCTTTTGCCTTTTCTTATTCTCTCTTTATTTTTTGAAAAATTATCTCAAGACTGCGTTGTGGCTCACGCCTGTAATCCCAGCACTTTGGGAGGCCTAGGCGGGTGGATCACAAGGTCAGGAGATCGAGACCATCCTGGTTAACACAATGAAACCCTGTCTCTACTAAAAATACGAAAAATTAGCTGGGCGTGGTGGTGGGCACCTGTAGTCCCAGCTACTCGGGAGGCTGAGGCAGGAGAATGGCATAAACCTGGGAGGCAGAGCTTACAGTGAGCCGAGATCGCACCACTGCACTCCAGCCTGGGCGACAGAGCGAGGCTCCATCTCAAAAAAAAAAAAAAAAAAAAGAAAAATTATCTCAAAAAGCAGACCTGTTGGGTGTGGTGGCTCACGCCTGTAATCTCAACACTTTCAGAGGCTGAGGCAGGAGAATCCTTTGTGCCTAGGAGTTCAAGACGACCCTGGGCAACATAGTGAGACTGCATCTTTACCAAAAGAAAAAAAAAAAAAAAGCCAGGCGTGGTGGTGCACACCTGTAGTCCAAGCTACTCAGGAGGCTGAGATGGGAGATGGGAGGATCACTTAAGCCGGGAAAGTCAGGGCTGTAGTGAACCCTGCTGGTGCCACTGCACCCCAGCCTGAGCAACAGAGTGAGACCCTGTCTAAAAACAAAACAAAAAGCAGATCAACATTACATATGCATCACCAATAATTGTAGACATTTTCTCACACTGAAAAAAATAACAATAATTCCTTTGTCTTTATTCAAATTTTCTGAAAGTAAGTACGTAGCAGAAAGCACAAATATCTGCCTTCTCATTCATGCAGGTTTAGAGAAGTTACACCTTCTGATTTCAGGGATCTCCTTTTACAGGTTCTTCTGAACCAAGCCTGCAAGTAGGAATTTTTAAAAAATCTGCAAAGGAGCTAACAAGTTGCAAGAGGTATTTGTGATAATGGTGGATTATCAGTTCATAACAAATAAGCATTGAATCTATATTTTCTTTTTTTTTTTTTTGAGATGGAGTATTGCTGTGTTGCCCAGGCTGGTGCAGTGGTGCGATCTTGGCTCACTGCAACCTCTGCCGCCCGGGTTAAAATGATTCTCCTGCGTCAGCCTCCCGAATAGCTGGAATTACAGGCACCTGCCACTGTGCCTGGCTAAGTTTTCTATTTTTAGTAGAGACACGGTTTCACCATGTTTGCCAGGCTGGTCTTGAACTCCTGACCTCATGATCCACCCGCCTCGGCCTCCCAAAGTGCTAGGATTACAGGCGTGAGCCACCGTGCCCGGCCTCTATTTTTATTTTAAAGCAAAAAACCATTTGATTATAGATTTTTCCTGGGTTTATTTCAGTTTTACACACACACCCAACTAAAAATTAAAGGTAAGAAAAACTTACCAGCTGGTTTCTATTGAATGGCAGCATCCAAATTTTGCTTATTCTGACTCAGAAATCTCGGGGTCACATCTGGCTCCTCCCTTTCCCTTGCCCACCTCTAAAATGTTACCAAATCTTTCAATCGAACCTTCAAATGCTTCTCTTATTTGTTCTATACTTTTTATTTCCTCTTCTCCTGTACTCTAGTTAAGGAACTCACTGCCTCTGTTCTAAACTACTATAGTCGCCTGATCGGAGGTCCTGTGCTCACTCTAGTTTTAACTCACCCTACTAACAATTTTCAGATAGTCTTTATTTTGCTTTTGTTTTTGTAATAACAATGGGCTGACCTTTATTGATGAAATAATATGTGAAGGCATTGTGCTCTTACAATCTTTCACATGCTCTACCTCACTAATCTAATAGTCACAATGCTATACAATAGATTTCTTGAACTTATTCCTCCTATTTAACTAAAATTTTTTATCCTTTGACCAACATCTCCCCATCTCACCCTCCAACCATCCCAGGCCCTAAGAACCACCATTTTACTCTCTACTTTTATGAGATCAGGTTTGTATATGACACATGTAAGTGAGATCATGTGGTAATTGTGTTTCTGTGCCTGACTTATTTCACTTACAATTTCCTCTAGATTTATCCATGCTATCATCAATGACAAGTTTTTCCTTTTTTATGGCTGTGTAGCATTTGATTGTGTGTATATATATACCATATTTTCTTTTCTTTTTTCTTTTTTTTTTTTGAGATGGAGTCTTGCTCTGTTGCCCAGGCTGGAGTGTAATGGCACAATCTCGGCTCACTGCAACCTCAGCCTCCCAGGTTCAAGTGATTCTCCTGCCTCAGCCTCCCCAGCAGCTGGGACTACAGGCACCTGCCACTGCGTCTGGCTAATTTTTGTATTTTTAACAGAGACGGTGTTTCACCATCTTGGCCAGGCTGGTCTCAAACTCCTGACCTCGTGATCCACCCGCCTCGGCCTCCCAAAGTGCTGGGGTTACAGGTGTGAGCCACCTTGCCCGGCCTATACCATATTTTCTTTATCCATTCATCCATTGATGAACATTTAGGTTGATTCTATATCTTTGGTACTACAACTAATGCTGCAATAAATGATGGGAGTGCAGATATCTCTGTCAAAACTGATGCTACTTCCTTTGGGTATATACTCCACAGTGAAATTTCTGGATCAATCGTAATGCTATTTTTTTTTTTTTAGTTTTTCCAGAAACCTTCACACTGTTTTCCGTAATGGCTGTATTAATTTAGATTTCCACCGACTGTGTGCAAAAGTTCCCTCTCCTGCACATCCTTGCCAACACTTGCTATTTTTTGTCTTTTTGGCAATAGCGATTCTAACAGGTGTAAGGTGACACCTCACTGAGGTTTTGATTTGCATTTTCCTCATTAGTGATGTTGAATATAGTTTCATATGCCTGTTGGCCATTTGTATGTCTTCTTTTATGAAATGTCTGTTTAGGTCCTTTGCCCATATTTTTGCTTTTATTTTTCATTGGCATCTACTAATTGTACTTTGCCTGTTTTTTAATCAGGTCATTTGTCTTCTTACTGTTGAGTTGATTGAGTTCCTTATATATTTTGCATATCAACCACTTATTAGATACACAGTTTGCAAATATTTTCTCCCACTCTCTACATTTTCTCTTCACTCTCTTGGTTTTCTTTTTTTTTTTTTGCTGTGCAGTTCTTCATTTTGATGTAATGCTATTTGTTTATTTTTGCTTTTGCTGCCTGCACTTTTGGGGTCATATCCATAAGTTATTGCCCAGAGCAACTCCATGGAGCTTTTCCCCTATTTTTTTCTAGTAGCATCATAGTTTGGGGCCTTACATTTCAGTATTTAAGCCATTTTGAGTTGATACTTGTATATGGTATGGAATAAGGATTTAATTTCATTCTTCTGCATATGGACATCCAGTTTTTCCAACACCATTTATCAAAGAGACTGTTTTTTCTGCATTGTGTGTCCTAGGTGTTTTTGTTAAAAGGTAAAATTTTTATCATCCCATTTTTGTTGTAAGAAAATTGTAGGGCCGGGCTCGGTGGCTCACACTTGTAATCCCAGCACTTTGGGAGGCTGAGGCAGGCGGATGACAAGGTCAGGAGATCAGGAGATGGAGATAATCCCGGCTAACATGGTGAAACCCTGTCTCTACTGAAAATACAAAAGATTAGCCAGGCTTGGTGGTGGGCATCTGTAGTCCCAGCTACTCAGGAGGCTGAGGCAGGAGAATGACGTGAACCTGGGAGGCGGAGCTTGCAGTGAGCGGAGATCACACCACTGCACTCTAGCCTGGGTGACAGAGTAAGACTCTGTCTCAAAAAAAAAAAAAAAAAAAAAAAGAACATTGTACTTTAGAAGCTTTAATTCATATGTAAGATTGCCAAGCTATTAATGACTTATCATTCTGACCTCGATCTCCCTGGCTCCTGAGTCTATACACTTTGTCAAGACTAAAAGTGAAAATTAAAATGATGGCTCAGAAAGGGCAACATTTTGTAATAATCTCAGGATATGCCTCTGTGGTTCCCCAGGGTTTCTTGAAGTATTGAGATCACTGACCTACATGAATACCTTCCTAAGTCCTTGCAAATAAGAGCAAAGTGGGTTATCAACATGTTCCCTCCAAATCCAATAAGCATCATACTGTGTCAAAACTTATTGCAACATGATTGAACCATCATATAGTCCATACAACTGTAACTAAAGTATTTGGACAAATTGAACAGAATCTCTAAGAATCCCCATGCCACAGTCTGTTTCTGTACTGTGCAGGGACCCCAAGGGGAGAACATGAGAACTCAGAGTAGGGGAAAAGGTTCATATATTTGCACTCTAGCTTGGCCGCCAATTGGAGCCAACGGTTAGGACAAGAATAAGCCACGTGTAGGCCGGGCGCTGTGGCTCACGCTTGTAATCCCAGCACTTTGGGAGGCCGAGGCGGGCAGATCACAAGGTCAAGAGATCGAGACCATCCTGGCTAACACGGTGAAACCCGATCTCTACTAAAAAAAAATTAGCGGGCGTGGTGGTGGGCACCTGTAGTCCCAGCTACTCAGGAGGCTGAGGCAGGAGAATGGCATGAACCCTGGAGGTGGAGCTTGCATTGAGCGGAGATGGTGTTACTGCACCCCAGCCTGGGCGACAGAGGGAGACTCCGTCTCAAAAAAAAAAAAAAAATTAATATCAAATTTTATTGAGAGGCTCAAATGGAAAAACATAAATAAGAGTGCAAAATCTAATATGTAATGCACTAAATAAATGCAAACGACTTTTTAAAGTTTTAATTCAGTGTATAATTCAGTGGGTTTTAGTATATTCAGAGTTGTACATCTATCTCTATAGCGTAATTTTAGAATATTTCATGACCCCTCAAAAAGCAACCCTGTGTCTATGTACTCATTAGCAATTACTCCACACCTTATCTCTCAGTCCAGCCCTAGGCAACCACTAATCTACTCTCTATGTCTATGGATCTCCCTATGTTGGACATTTTAAGTAAATGGAATTATATACTCTATGGTCTTTGTGTCTGGCTTTTCTCACCTAGTCTAATAAAGTTTTCAAGGTTCATCCATGTCGTGCCATATGTTAGTACTACTTCATTGCTCATGGCCGAATATATTCCATTGAATGGATCTGCCACATTTGTGTATCCATTCATCAGTTGATGAATAATTGGATTATTTCCACTTTGGGGCCAATATGAATAATGCAGCTGAGTGTGTATACATTTTCTTTTCTTTTCTTTTCTTTTTTTGAGACAGAGTCTCGCTTTGTCGCTCAGGTTGGAGTGCACACTAGAGTGATCTCTGCTCACTGCAAGCTCCGCCTCCCGGATTCACGCCATTCTCCTGCCTCAGCCTCCCGAGTAGCTGGGACTACAGGCGCCCATCACCACATCCGGCTAATTTGTTTGTATTTTTTTAGTAGAGACAGAGTTTCACCATGTTAGCCAGGATGGTCTCGATCTCCTGACCTCGTGATTCACCCGCTTCGGCCTCCCAAAGTGCTGGGATTGCAGGCGTGAGCCACCACGCCCAGCCGAGTGTGTATACATTTTCATGTGGAAATGTTTTCGTTTGTTTTGGGTATGTGCCTAAGAATTGCTGAGTCATATGGTAATTACATATTTCACAGTTTGATAAACTACCAAACTATTTCCAAAATGACTGCATCATCTTATATTCTCACTGGCAACATATGAGGATTTCAGTTATTTCTCCACATCCCATCATTACTTGTCATTGTCTTTTTTATTATAGTCATTTTATTGGGTATGAAAGTCGTATCTCATTTGATTTTGATTTACATTTCCCTAATGTCTAAAGATGTTAGATGTTGAGCTTTTCTTCATATCCATATTGGCTGTTTATCTTTCTTTCAGAAATTCAGAAAGGTCTATTCAAATCATTTATTTGAATTTTTTTAAAATAGAGTTTATTTTTTAAAATCAGTTTTAGGTTTACAGAAAATTAAGTAGAAAGTATAGAGAGTTATTATACACCCCCCTTTCCCCACCTCTTTCTCTTTCTCTCTCTCTCTCACATACACACACACACACACACACACACACACACACAATTTCCTCATTATTATTTTAATTAGTGTGGTCCTTTTGATACAATTGATAAGATAATGTTGATACATTATTTTATAGTCCGAAGTTTACATCAGGGTTCATACTTTGTGTTGTACATTCTATGAGTTTTTACAAGTGTATAGGACATGAACCCACCCTATAAGTAACATACAGGATAGTTTCACTGCTCGAAATCCTGTATGCCCTACCTATTCCCTGTCCCCTTTCTATTTGAAATCCTTTGGTACTACTAATCTTCTTAATATCTCCATAGTCTTGCCTCTTCCAGAATGACAGATAATTGGATGTAGGTATGACATACGGTATGTAGCCTTTACAGAGCCCTTTTTTTTTTAAACTTAAGCCTATGAATTTACTATTCCTCTATGTCTTCTCATGGCTTAATAGCCAATTTCTTTTAAGGACTGAATAGTACTGCATTGTCTGAATGTACTACCATTTGTTTATCTATTCACCTACAGAAGGACACCTTGGTTCCTTGTAAGCTTGGGAATTATGAATAAAGCTGCTGTAAACATGTGTATGCAAGTTTTTATGTGGGCATAAATTTTCTACTCATTCAGGTCAATACCAAGGGGGCATAATTTCTGGACTGAATGGTAAGAGTATGTTTAGTTTTGGAAAAAAATCATACAACTGCTAAGCTGTCTTCTAAGGTGGCAGTATTAGTTTGCATTTCCACCAGCAATGACTGAGAGTTCCTGTTGCTCCACAACCTCACTAGGATTTGGTGTTGTCAATGCTTGGAATTTTAGTCATTCTAATAGGTAAGTAGTAGTACATCAAAGTTATTTTAATTTACTCTGCCCTAAGGGTATATGATTCATATCTTATTCTATTAGTCCATTCTCACACTGCTAATAAAGACATACCCGAGACTAGGTAATTTACAAAGCAAAGAGGTTTAATTCACTCACAGTTCACCATGGCTGGGGAGGCCTCAGGAAACTTACAATCATGGTGGAAGAGGAAGCAAACACGTCCTTCACATGGTGGCAGCAAGGAGAAGTGCAGTGCGAAGAGGGGAGAAGCTCCATATAAAACCATCAGATCTCATGAGAACTCACTAGCATGAAAACAGCATGAGGGTAACTGCCCCAATGCTTCAATTACCTCCCACCAGGTCCCTCCCACAACACGTGGAGATTATGGGAACTACAATTCAAGATGAGGTTTGAGTGGGGACACAGCCAAACCATGTCACTTATCATATGCTTGTTTGTCATCTGTATATCTTCTTTGTCAAACTATCTGTCCAGATCTTTTGCCCAATTTAAAAATTGGGTTATCTGTTCTCTCATTGTTCAGGCTGTAAGTTTCAGATACCTGTCTTTTATTAAAGATGTGTTTTGCAAAAATGTTCTACAAATCTGTGACTTGTCATTTTGTTCTACTAAGTGTCTTTGGCACAGCAGGAGTCTTTAAGTTGATTGAAACCTGATTTAATAACTTCTTCTTTCATGGATTGTGCTTTTGGTGTGGTATCTAAAAACACTGCCAAAACCAAGGTCAACTAGATTCTCTCCTATGTTATTTTCCACAAGTTTCACAATTATTGCATTTTACATCTAGGTCTATGACTCATTTTGAATTAAATTTTGTGAAAAGCGTAATGTTTATGCCTAGATTCTGTTTTTCTTTTTTGCATGTGGATGTGTAGTTGTTCCAGCACCATCTGTTATAAAGTCTGTCCTTTCTCCATTGCATTGTCTTTGGTTTTTGTCAAAGGTAAGCTGACTACATCTGTGTGGATCTCTTTCTGTGCTCTTTCTCTTGTTCCATTATCTTATTTGTTTATTCTTTTCTAATATCACATTGTCCCGGTTGCTGTAGCTTTATGGTAAGTTTTCAGTAGGTCAGTCCTTATGCTTTGCTCTTCTCCTTCAGTGTTGTTTTGAATATGCTGGGTCTTTTGTCTTTCCACATAAACTTTAAAATCACTTTGTCAGTATTTACAAAATAACTGGCTGAGATTTTGATTGTGATTGTGCTCAGTTTATAAATGTGGAAAGAATGGACATCTTAACAATATTGTCTTCCTATCCATGAACATGGAATCTCTTGATTTATTTGGATCTTTGATTTTTATTACCACAGTTTTGCAGTTTTCCTTATATAGCTTTTATGTGTGTTTTTTAAGATTATACCTAAGCGTTTTTTTTTTTTTTGGTGCTAATGTAAATGGCATACGTGGCAGGAAAATGGTTTTTTGGGGGTATAATCTGGGAAAAGGGTCTTTGCAGATGGAATTACAGATCTTGAGATGAGCTTATTCTGGATTATCCTGATGGGTTTTACATCCTATGGTAAGTGTCATTATAAGAAGACATGAAGCTTCCCAAGGAGAAGGCCAAGTGAAAGTGGAGGCAGAGATTGAAATTATACCAGAGTCTGCAGACAGTATGGCCATGATACAATTTCTGGAAAATAATTGTGCCCTTTCATTCTACAGCAAATATTCTAATGTGTATATGTGGCTTACATGCAAGGGTTTGCTCAAGGCAAAAGCACATTTATAAAAACATTTTCTCAATATGAAACTACTAGAGGCCCTTTGTTGGTTTAAAGTGAACTCTCCTCTTTCCAATCTAGTTGTGAACATGTCCCCTTTTAGACACATACACACTTGCACGCACACACACACACACACCAGGCTGGAGATCTTGAGGTATTTAGCCAAATGTAAGCTCTTATTTCTTCACTTAAAGCAGTATTCCTTAAAGTAGCAATAGGCATTAACAGTTTAGATGGCTTTCAGTCATCTTAGGGTTTAATTCAGTTAACTCTGAATAGAGAGCTCTGCATCCAGACTCAGAATCATTGATTTCTATAGGAATGCGCATAAGCTCTCTGGACCTTCCCACATCATGGTCCCAGAGGAACTGCTCATATCTTTGATCTGGCAACCAAAGGCGGGGTTTGAGTCCCTTAAATTTACCTTCTCTGCATTCATGGTCGGGCTCAAGGAAAAAATCAGCGGTGAGGCAGACATGCACATCAATGTTAAGATGAGCAGAAAGCCACACGAGCACATCTATTTTCCAGATGAAACCTTTCTGACGGGCTGGGCATGGTGGCTCATGCCTGTGATCCCAGCACTTTGGGAGGCCGAAGTGGGTGGATCACTTGAGGTCAGGAGTTCAACACCGGCATGACCAACATGGTGAAACCCTGTGTCTATTAAAAATACAAAATTAGCCAAGCGTGGTGCCAGGTGCCTGTAATCCCAGCTACTCGGGATGCCAAGGCAGGAGAATCGCTTGAACCCAGGAGGCGGAAGTTTCAGTGATCTGAGATCGCACCATTGCACTCCAGCCTGGGTGACAAGAGCAAAACTCCATCTCAAAAAAAAAATAGTAATAATAAGGAAAAAGAAATCTTTCTTTGGATATTTCCCCTCACCATGTTGGCTCCTTGTTAAATACACTTGATATTAAAAAGCACTGTAGTCATTCTGTTTCCAGTAGTCTATTGTTTATTTAAAATGGAAGGAAACAGGAAAACCTGCTGTGAGATATTCAGCATGGGCTTCCCTTATTAAAATTTTGGAGGAACCAGATTATTCAGGTTGGGGCCAAAAGGGAGCCTCATTGCTCAATTAAGGGGGCACGGTAGCAATCTGCACCCTCATCAACTTCTTCCAAACGTGGGCTCACCCAGCTGTTGATCTTGATTCAATGCATTAGGGAAATGTGGGTTTCTACATGCAGCATTGTGCTTGCTTTATGGGTTATGCTCCTGGGTGGAATAGAAAGTGAGATTGTGTAGAAGATAGTACAAAAGTCACATGGACTTAGAACTGCTTTTCTATTTAACAGATACCAGAAGACCTTTGCCAGAATTTCTTTAGGCTTAAAAAACAACTACAAAATGGTAGTGTCTATGGATTTAAATGAGCATCTGTGAACTTGCATGTATTTTAAGTCTCATTCTTTACAGGCTTCCCCGAAGTGGTGAAGCAGAAGCTCTGCTGGTGATTCTGGTATATTCTAGCTCATGAGCCGAGGCCATCGAATTAGAAAGCCACTTCACAAAAGCAGAACTCATGCAGTGGTTTTGTCACATCTTGCTTTCTTTTGCCTTTTGTTTTTCTACGTTTTATGTCACAGGTTCGTTTCTTTTGCCTTTTCTGTTTCTAAGTTTTATGTCACAGATTTGAAAGCACGCCATTAATGCATTCACAATGAGGAAAATTAATTACAGAGTTCTCAGTAATTTAAGCGTGTGCAGACCAAGTGATGTGTGTGTTTGTTTTGTTTATTTGGTTGGTTTGGTGTGCTTCATACAAACTGACGCTCTCTATTATTTCCGTTCTTTGGGGTGACAGAACACTAAGTTGTTTTTCCGAAGCGCGATGTCTCAGCGTTGTGACAGACAATGGAGGCAGTCATGTGTGGCCTCACCAAGCGACCTTGCCTAATGGGAGCCTTTCCTGTGTGGAGGCTGCTGAGAGGCTCATGGGAAATAAGCCAGAGGCCTTGGGGAGACGCCATGTGTCTCTTCACAGCAAAGAAAATTATCATTTCCAGTGGCTGATGTCACTTGGGATGTGAGAGAATGGCCTAAGGAAGTGACATTTCTTTGCCATGTCTACCTGGAGTCCAGCAGGCAGCTGGATTGGAATACTGGCTTAACTACACTAAGAAGTTCTTTTTCTTTGTTTTTCCTCATGATACATTTTTTTTTCCTTTTTCACGTACACAGGAAATAGAAATACTCTTAGATGTTTTGTATAATTGAACGACAGGGTCAATCAGTCCCACGGTCCATTCCGAGCCTTTGTTTCACTCTGTTCCTCACTCTTCCTTCAGCGCCTTGTTCAGTCACCTTCTGGGATATCACTGACTCTCGGTTCTTCCTCCTGACTGGCAGCCCCTTGTAGATTCCTTTCTGGTTCCTCTGTGTCTCCCATTGCAGAATCAGGCATACCTTGGGGCTCCAGCCTCGAACTCCTTCTCTTCTTGGCCTGCACCTACTGTCCCGTGATTTCCTTTTATCTTATGGCATTTAATCTACTCTCTAGAAGCTGCTGATTCCTAAATGTGCCTTGTTAGCCCAGGCTTCTCCCTGGACTCCAGCCTGTGTATCTAACTGCCTTCTTAACATCTCTATTTGTATATCCAAGGGGCAGCCACTTGTGTCTTCCACAATCTCTTCTGTTTTTATAAGTGGCCACTGAGACCTGTAGTTTCTCAAGCTACAACTTCCCTGGATACCTTTTCCTCTCACCCTTCAACTTGAGTCCATTAGCAAATCTCATGAATTCTTCCTTCAAAATATATATTTAAAAATCTGCATATTTCTCATCACCTGTGACTTCCACATGGTCCCCCACTTTCATCTGGATGTATGCAGTGACCTTCTAATTGTCAGAGTGATCCTACTAAGATGGAGTAAATTATGCCACATCTCTGCTCAATCGCCCGCAGTCATCTGGCTCAGGACAAGAGGCGAGGCTCTCTGTGTGGCGGCAGTTACTCCTCTGTCCTCACCGCACGGACTGTCCACGCTCCCTCTCACATCCTGCCAGGGCTCCTATTCGCTGGCCTCACCTCAGGGCTGCCTCTTCCAGCATCACATAGCTCATCCCCTTTTCAGAGAGACCTCTTCAGTCATTCTAAATAAAACATCCACTACCGCACCACACACTGTCTTCCTCCTCACTCTAACTTAATTTTTATCACTTGTATCTACTTACATTTTTACATATTTATTTATTTGATATTGTCTGCCTTCCCATCACTAGAAGCTTCATCGGGCAGGGAATTGCTACTTTTTGCTCACTGTAGCCTCCTGGGAGCCTAGAATTACTCAATAATTGTCGAATGCGTTAGAAGCATGAACAATGGGGAAAACATATAAAATAATAGAAGCTTAAAAACATGCATGCTCACACATGAAATGATGTGCAAAGCATCCAGGTGGCCAGGGTTGTTTGTTTCCTCTGTTTCTGTTTGTGGAGAGGAGAGATATTTTAAGTCAGTACAGTTTCGACATTGCTGAGGGACCTCCCATGCAGTCCCACTCATGTGAAGTCTATGTTCAAGAGTGTGTGGGGGCTACTGGCCCGTCCCTACCCTTCCTGGTGGAGGTTCTGGCACGTTCTCCTTCTACAACCAACTAGGGTGGGAATTGCAATTTTCCTGTCCAGGAGATCAACCTGAACTAGTTTGAAACATTTATTTTTGGCTAAATGTAGAGGTAGCTATGACCATGTCATTAAATTCTCAAGTCAAGTCATAACTTGTATTGGGTCCAGCATTAAAAACATAGAATTGATGAAAAGTATTTCCTTTGCATTTTCCCAGAAATTTACTTTTATTTTGGAGATTCTCTGGGCTCATGTTATATCCAAATTAGTCATAATAATTTATATTAATTTGATAAGATGAATTATCCTCACAATTACCTCAAAGAAGAAATAACCTGTGTATATAATCATAAAATTATTTTAGGGGTATGAAGGTCATATATGGAAAATATTTTTTGACCTATGAAGCATTCTTTTTTTTAACTTGCACATGAATAAAATATATGCCATCATGCCATTGCATGTGTGCTCCTATATTTAGTCCTATACAAAGATTGTCTCACCTTCAAAAAAGAACATATACTCTTTTGTGAAACTTTCAAAACAGGTAGTTATCTATACTCATTCAGTCCCAAAAAAGAAATGTATATAGGTCAAGGATTTGACAGGAAAGTGCTGCCACTTCCCACCTTACTTTCTCACTTTTTTCACCTCACCATTCCTCCCCAGCTCTCTCCTTACCCACACACCTGTGAAAATGTCAATTTCTCTAATGATCAGCCACAGGTCATTATAACTGCTCATAACTGACTAGGAAGAATGTGAATACAGTCACACTGGAAAGACAAGAGGGCTTCCTGATGCTTTCCTTTCCTGTCTTAGCTAAAGATGATCAAAGTACCCATTTATTGCCCCTTTCAGCTAAATGGAAGATTATTATTATTCAGAAATTTCAGCCAAGAAGAAACTCCCTAACAAGAGAATGGGGAATGTAAATGTCAGAAAGTCAAAGTGTGAGGATGATAAAAACTGTATGTTGAATTTAATTAACTGTTGACCATGACTAGACTTCATCAATCTAGACTTGTCTGCTGTACCAGCTGCCATTTCATTCAGCTATTCTTGGTTTTATAACATTTGTGTTATGGGAAATTAGAGCAATTTCTACAATGCTTTTGATTTTCCCCCCTCATAAATAAAGTACAGTTTTCTGAGGAGACAAGGCTTTCTTGTTGGCATATACTGTTGGCTGCCTTTTTCCTGGACCCTTAGCCTGCATCAAGAATCTCTTGGCTTTCTCATCACAACAGCCATTTGTTTCTGTCTCTCCACTTGTTCCATTGTGTATTGTCCAATATCCTATATGTTCCTTTCAGAGTTTGAGGGCGGGGGTTGGCAGAGGGGATGCCAGCACGCCATGGTAAAGACCTTTGCAGAGTTAACCTAGATTAAATGAATATATTACACTAAACCGGATTTAAGTGGTCTTGAATGGGAAATTGTTTCTCTTTGTAATCAACACTTGAGTTGTAATTGATAGGAGACATCTTTAAGGAATGTTGTTTTTTTAATTCGGACAGCAGAACTATGTGTTTCCTTCATGTATAAGGCTCTCTTTGAAGCTTGCAACTGCTCTGAGACTGGAGAGGTCAATGTGGAGGTACAAAGTACACAGACAAACGTTTGAGGCAGAGAAACGCAACTTTGTAAGAACCAATCTTGATTTAAAAAAAAATCTGAGTTCCTATTCTGGTTATTTTGTTTCTTATTTATTTCTGTCTTTGATTGGGCTGATTTTGACCGTGCAAGGGGATCTGAGAGAAGTTCTGGCTTTGGTAAAGGCATAGAGAGAGATATTGTCCCAGTATTAACCTCTCCAATTAAAGTCCAAAATTCTATCAACTTCAGAACCGGAGATTTTGCAGAACTGGTGGAAATATTTATGTGTCTGTTTCTGTGGATTGGCACGTATTACTTTTATAGCCTTAGCCCTGACTTTCTAGTGTATTTTTTTTTATGTTACACCACACAGTTTATTCCCTAGTTCCTTTCCATCAAGAAATATAAGCTCATGATTTTTTTTTTCATTGAAGCCTTTATGCCACTTATCAATGTTCTGAAAAGGGAAATTGTCATTTACTTAATATACATTATGCAAAAGCCACAAACTGTGATACATGTAATTTCCTTTAATTTTCACAACAAACCAACAAGTGAACTGGGATAATCACCATTTAAAAATGAGAACATTGTAATGTTAGAGGTTTAAGAATATTCCACAACATCTCACAAATAATATGTAGCAGAGAGGGACTTTAAACAAGGTCTGGCTTCAGAACATACTCTCTTGCCATATACCCCATTCATGATATTTTTAATACGGCTTTAATGTTCTGCATTTTAAATCCTTTTTCTTTTTGTGAAAAGAAGGCTCATTTCATATTAACCAGTTTGACATATTAAATTCAATGTATTTATTGAACACCTTCTAGATGGAAGGCACTATGATAGACTTGGCAGATATAAACATGAAAGAAGCATTATTCTTGTCCTTAGGAAGATACCAGAATGTGATTGTAGGTTAAGTCAAACACAGGTGGTAAAGGCTCATGATAATGCATTGTTAATTCTTTTTATTCTATGTAATTTAATTACCTTTAAAGTTTTTATCAAAATAGTATCTGTACATATTAAAAACTAAACTTAAAGCAACAGTGCTGCTCCTGCCTTTCCCATGTCCCATTCCTCACATGCAATCACTTTCAGCTTTATAGCGACTTTATTTTTATGTTTTAAATACTATGCTTGACTGGGCTTGCTGGTTCACACCTGTAATCCCTGCACTTTGGGAGGCCAAGGAGGGAGGATTGCTTGAGGCCAAGAGTACAAGACCAGCCTGGGAAGCATAGTGAGACCCTGCCTCTACAAAAAACAGAGTTAGCAGGGCAGGGTGATGTGTGCCTGTGGTCCCAGCTACTCGGGAGGCTGAAACAGGAGGATTACTTGAGCCCAGGTGGTTGAGGCTGCAGTAAGCCTTGATTGCACCACTGCATTCTAGCCAGGGCAACAGAGCGAGACCCTGTCTGTAAAGCAATAATGATAATAAGAATTAAAAAACAATAGTAGACTTAAATTACTATTTTTTAATTACTTATTTGTAGATGGTAAGTTTCCTTATTTTCTTCATCCTCTTAGCTACCATCCCAAAGACACATATGATATACCTACGCATAGAGTCAATGACCAGAGTAAAAACGTCCTCAATGCTTTTTAGCCAATTGAATGGTGGTTTTACTCGCCCTGCCCATGGACAAATCAGCAAACACTCCCCCATTCTGAGTCCAGAGAAACCCTAGACAGAGCCTCACACATGGCTACCCACTTTCAGGCCCCCTCTCACTCGGAGAACTAACAACTTTGGTCCCCTCTTGTTGTCCAGAGCTCTTCTGTCAGTCAATAAAATTCTTCTTTGTCTTGCTTACTCTCTGCTGTCTCCATACCTCATTCCTGTTGGTCATGGGACAAGAATCTGGAACCTGCCAAACGGTGGGTGTGAAAAGAGTTGTAACATTTTCCTGCTGGCTGAGCTACGGGAGTGAAAAAACTGCTGGGTGCCACATGCCCCCATTCAGCGAACTGTGGGCAGTGGGACCAAAGGAGCTGTGACACACCCCATTCGCTGAGCTGTGGGTGGCAAGAACGTGAGAGAGCTGTAACACTTCCTGCGGGCTCAGACCTCGAGACTCCCTGAGCAAAAGATGTAACACCCCTTGGGGCTCGCCAGTTGCTAGCATCTCCGTTTTCAGGTGCCGCTGCGTCCTCCTTGTTCAGACCCCGGCACTCAAGGTGGAAGCTGGTGCGGCATGTCCGGGCCAACTGCGGGCTGAGCACAGAGCGGCGGCAGGCTTGGGATCCAGGCCCAGTAGCAGCAGCCAAGCGTTGCCTGCTTGGCCGCGTGGGCAGAGCGAGCCCAGTGGTCCAGAGGCCCCGGCGAAGCCCGGTATAGGCGCCTCTGGCTGTGGAGATTTCTGGCCAGCGAAGCAGCATGGAAGGGATCCTGCGTCTTAATGACATGTGCACCATTATGGTATCATGTAGAAGAGTTTTACTGCCCCGAAGTCTTCCATGCTTTGCCTCTTCATTACTCTGGCTTCGTTTTTCACTCCTAGATGAAGTTAGGTCTAAACTTCCTCCACCGCTCTGTCTGTTGTCCCTTGTTAGTTGGATGTTAGTGTTCCATGGTTTTGGTGATGTCTCATCTGGTGATATCTCTGCTCCCATTTGCTTTTTCTGCCAGTGGAAACAAATTAGAAGTCAGTGTCTGTCCAGGAAATGGATTTCTTGGTGAGGGTCACAAGAGAACTTTTTGGGGTGATGGAAGTATTCTCTATCTTGTTTGGGGTGGTAGATACACAGGTGTATTCGTTTGTAAAAAAACATCAAACTTTAAATGGGTGCATTTTTTTTTTTTGAAACGGAGTCTCGCTCTGTCGCCCAGGCTGGAGTGCACTGGCGCGATCTCGGCTCACTGCAAGCTCCGCCTCCCGGGTTCACGCCATTCTCATGCCTCAGCCTCCCGAGTAGTTGGGACTACAGGCGCCCGCCACCACGCCTGGCTAATTTTTTTGTATTTTTAGTAGAGACGGGGTTTCACCGTGTTAGCCAGGATAGTCTCAATCTCCTGATCTCGTGATCTGCCCACCTCGGCCTCCCAAAGTGCAGGGATTACAGGCGTGAGCCACGGCGCCCGGCCAAATGGGTGCACTGATAATGTAAATAATACACCAGTAAAGTTGATTTAAAGTTAAAAAGTTTGCTTGAAAGATAAAAGCAACACCTTACTCGTTGCATAAAGGAGAACTAAGTTTTGGTTCTACTTTTTCCTACACTGATGATGTCTTAAGGAAGCTCTCTGAGTTAGAATGATCATTTCTTTGTTCAGGTTTAAGACTAAGGCCCAGACCGATTAAGTATGGTCAAGGTGAATCAGACCCAGAGTGGTTAAGCGGCTTACTGGCTGGATGTACAAAAGAAAAAAACTAGAACTCAGGCCTCTTGCTTTGGTAAATTCAGAATTCAAGCAGGGGAGGATGCTTTATAGCACAGGAAATTGTGACTAAAACACGCATAACTTTGAATCTTCACAAATAACACAGCCGTTCACATTAGAAAAGAGTTAAGAAGCTGAAAATAAATTCCATGACTCAAAAATTATAAAGTTTTATTTTCTGACCACAATGATAAAAATTCATAAAAATTAATATGAAATTTTACACCAAACTATTTAAAAACTCAAAAGAAACAAAACCAAGTATATGTTGGGTCAAAAAAGGAAAATAAAATTAAAATTATAGACTTTTGAAATGATGTGAGAAATGGCTTCTTGCAACAAGATATGAAACTTAGACAAGCCATCCTCAGGAAAATTCATACTTTTAAATGTCTTGCTTTATATATGAAAAAAATATGACTGAAACATTCATTCAGTCAGATAAGAAAACTTGAAATAAAACCAAGAATATTAGATGGAAGAATATAATAAATACCACAATGGGAAATAAGTAACTTAGAAAAAAAACCCTAATAAAATATGTGAGGAAATGCAAGAATGTTTTGCTTCCCTTTTAACAAAGAAAGAACTTCAAAAACAAAGTAGGCAAGCTGCTGGAACATTCAAGGTAGACAAATGCAAATTCAATGGCAACTATATATAATTGTCTAGATACAAATTAATTTCATAAATGTACATATTATTAGTCTATACTAAAACAATGAAGATTTGTTTTTTGAACTGGCCATTTTTAAGAAATCAATAAAAAACTGAAGAAAGTTTCTGAAGATTTATCGCTACTAAAATTTCCAAGGTCAGGATCCAGAGACGTAGTTCCCCAAATTTAATAAGCACATCATTCCCATGTATATAATTTAGTGTGCAGAATGATTCATTTTAAAAACTTAAGAAATCAAATAAAATTTTCTAAATCATTTATAAGTATGTGCCATAAGAAATCTAAAATCCAAATGAATATATCGCTTTCTGAAAAAGGTATGGATATATCTAACTTTTCTATTCATCAGTATTATGTAAGAAACTATAATTCCAACCACTGACAGTAATTATTTTTACTTATTTGTGGTTTGTGTCAGACACTGAGTTAAGCAATCTAATGAACTAGATAATATTAGTCCCATTTTACAGATCAAGAGACTGAGGGTCATATGGTTTAAATAACATTTATCACGGTCATGTCACTATTACATTTCAGAACTGGAATAGAAATCTTTTGAGTACAAAGCCATACTCTATTGCCTACCCATAAAATAGTTTATTAAAAACTAATTAAGATATCAGAAATTAAATATAATAATAAATTAGAAAAGTTAGCCACTATGACCAAAGAGGTTATACTAGGAATGGCATGTTAGCATACTATACCCATTGTTAATTTCAAAATAAATATGCACCAGAAAATAGGACAAAGAGGAAACTGTTTTAATGAAATCTATCTCAAAAAACAGCATAGGCACACTTAACAGTGAGATATCATCAGAATTTCCATTGATCTACATATTCACAAATGTAACACATGACCTGTCAACACTGTTGTCGACATTTTGGTCAATGCAATAAATAAGACATGAAATAGAAAAAGGAGACAAAAGTTATTGCTCAGTGGACAACTTTGCATTACTGAAATTTGCATAAACAATAAATGTAAGAGAATCAGAAAAGAAATTAGAAATAAATGAGTATTCAATAAAGTAAATGAATGTTAACATACAAATAAAATGTTCTCATATATTATCCATAATGCTTGATGATATAGGGATGAGAAAATATTTGAATTATGATACCAACTAAAAACTAGAAATAAAAAGAAAAATAAATAAAATTCAAAACGCTGCTGCTAGGAATCTTCCTAGAGAAAATTGCATTAGGCATATATGAAGAAAACATACTAGGAAACTTAAAAGTGAATTTTAACAAATAAGGAAATGTGCTGTGATCTTTTGAGGGAGTAATAAACTATGTTACAGGTGCACATTCTTCCCCAATTAATTTTTGGTTTTAATAAAATTATAGGCCATGGAATGAAAGAAATAAGGTTTGGTGAGGGTGCCAAGTGAGGGCTTAATACAAGTTATAAAAGATCTTTTAGAAACAAGTTAGAATGAATGCAGAGAATAAAGAAGAATAAGAATGCGGGTAGTTTGGCCATAGCAGATAGACAATGCTATTTCCTTCTAAACATTGTGGTTCTGTTGCTAGCTTCAGCAGATGGAAGAACTGGAGAAAGCAGCAGCTGCCTATCTTTCTAGGTGTGTTTGTCTATGTGTGCATACATGCATATGTGTGTGTGTATGTGATAAAGATAACATATCAAACCAATGGGGGTAATGGATTTTTTGATTAGTGGTATTGGGAAGATCTTATCATTATCTAGAGTATTTGGAGAAACTCTATATTCCATTTTTGTTCGTATCTCATATCATATACCAAAACAAAAACATGCAGACTAAAACACTAAATCATAACGTGTTGAAAACAATTGAGATTTCAGAGAAAATTATCAATGTTACATTTAATACACTTAAGTCAAAAGATCAAAATTGTTAGAGCTAAGAAAATAATTTACAATGTAAATGCCAGCTAAAGTATTAATTACTGTAATATTATGATAGGTTTTTATAAATGACAAAAAGTCCCTAAGCAAAAGCACCAATAAAAATGAACTAAGACCAATCCACAAATTCCCTACAAATGGCAGATCAACACAAAATCTAATAATATGCAACTGATTTGTAATAAACAGAATGCAAACTACATGCATGAAATGTTTTAATCTAGGAAATAAGAAACAAAATATAACTAAGTTATGGTCAGTGGAGTATGCAGTTACAATCATTGATAATTGGATCAAACCTTTCTAGGGAAACACATTGGCAGTGTGTGTTAAAATATTTTACTGTTTTCAGTTTTCAGCCCAATAATTTCATGTCTCAGAATTCAAGGAAATAATGGCAGATTTTGTCTAGAATCCAAGTTCAAGAATGGCAATGTCAATGAAAGATATAATGGTATTAACATTTAGAAGCATACAAGTTTTTTTAAAGGCATGAACAATTAACTGGTAGTACATCCAAAACATGATATATTATACAACATTAAGAACTACTTTGGTGGCTCGTGCCTGTAATCCCAGCACTTTGGGAGGCCGAGGCGGGCAGATCACCTGAGGTTGGGAGTTTGAGACCAGCCTGACCAACAGGAGAAACCCCGTGTCTACTAAAAATACAAAATTAGATGGATGTGGTGGTGTATGCCTGTAATTCCAGCTACTTGGGAGGCTGAGTCAGGAGAATCACTTGAACCCAGGAGGTGGATGTTGCGGTGAGCCAAGATCGCGCCATTGCACTCCAGCAGGGGCAACAAGAGTGAAACTCTGTCTCAAAAAAAAAAAAAAAAAAAAGAACTGCTTGATGAATTAGGAAAACGCTCATGATATAATATGTAAAGCACTCAGATAAAACTTTTGTACATTATACATATATATGCAATTTTCTGTGCACAACAGAAATATACAGACATTTATATAGTTATGACATATGTATAGATAATTGGCATCTTATCAAATACAGTTTCTATCCTTTTCTCTTTATTTTATCATGCATAATTATCTATTCCATTAATTGTGAAAATTATCAATTTTATGGTTAAACAATATATCATAAACTACCTACATGCTTATGTAGGTATGAATAAATAGAGAAAAATCACAAAATTACTATTCCAAATGTAATAGTTGCTATCTCTGGATACTAATATGTTGACTATAATTCTTTAATAATTTTAATGATTTTTTATTTTTTCCAAGCTTAACCCAATTTAGTCAGATTTCATTTTAAATTATATCCAAATTAGGGGAGGGTAAGTGTACATAGTTAGCTTTGATGACATTCACAAAATGTGAAAAATCACATTTCATCTAGGATAGATTTAGTAAACAAAACAAATCAAGACAAAACAAAGAAACAAGAAAACAAAGAAATAATGTTGAGAGGGGAAAGAAATCTGGAGATATCTCAGAAAGAGAATAAATTCGGGCATTGGGACTGTTCATTTCTGATTGTAACACTGTTTATCTGATTTTGTCGAATTATTGCACAAGACCTTGGTGGATTAAACAGAATCAGTGAATTGCCTGGGCCAGGATGGGTCAGGAGTGAGCCAGAAGTACATCTGGAGGAGCCTGCTATGGAAATTGGACTGGTGAAGGGAAAGTAAAGCTTGCTTCTAAAAGCAGGGTGTGGGGCAGATAAAAAGATGCTGCAGACACCAGCTGCTTTGCAGTGTATTCTAGACAGGCCTTGACTAGGCTGATTAGGAGGATTCAGAAGAGTTTGAAGAAAACATTTTAGCGCAGATGAACAAATATGTTGTCAGTTTTGCCTAAATGCATGTAAATTGTGATGCAGGCAATATGTTATAAAGTTCTAAGAAGTGTCTGTGTTTCTTGAAAGTAAAATAATAAAATAAGTCTGGTGGGTAATTGTTTGTTCCTTGAATTTTGTGTTTAAGTCAGCTCTTGGAAACCACCTTTATGAGTTTCTGCTATGCTTTGTCCTGAGAGAATATGACAGAAGCCAGTAGCAGCAACAATGATGTGTGAAACCTGGGGAGGGGACAGTGCATGTGTTGTGTGTGAGGCACACAGCATGATCCACAAATAATTAAAATAAAAAGGTATATATTCTGGCTGGGCTCAGTGGCTCATGCCTGTAATCACAGCAATTAGGGAGGCCGAGGCAGGTGGGTCACCTGAGGCCAGGAGTTTGAGACCAGCCTGGCCAATATGGAGAAACCCCGTCTCTACTAGAAATACAAAAATTAGCTGGGCATGGTGGCAGGCACCTGTAATCCCAGCTACTTGGGAGGCTGAGGCGGGAGAATCTCTTGAACCTGGGAGGGGGAGGTTGCAGTGAGCTGAGATGGCGCCACTGCACTCTAGCCTGGGTGACAAAGACAGATTCTGTCTCAAAAGAAAAAATAATAAAAGATAAAAAATTAAAAAATAAAAAGGTATATATTCTATATCTGTATAGATTAGGTGAATTCTGCTCAATTCTCTTCATGAAAAGGGCACGGATTCTCTTTGGTGCAGATTATCTCTGAGGCTCAAATGTTTCAGCAATTAAATATTACAATTTGAAATGCAGTATAATTTGCTTTCTGCAGCTTAAAAGTTTTCTTTAATATCGCAACAATCATTTGCAAATGTAAGGGGGAACTTCCCATAAATTTTACTTTCTTTGTTGTGCACAGTGTTAGTGTATTGTTGTAGTCTGCTATTTGAAATGTATAGCTTGTGTTGTAGTGAGTTGTAGTCTCATGTTCTTTCTTTATTCCTCTTTTTTTACACTTGTGTGTGTACACACACCTACGTATGCATATTTTCATAGTTCTCTATTAACATTTTTGGCATCCCTCTATGGGAACACACTATCTCCAAATATTAATAACCTGTTATTCTGAAGAATTGGCAAGGAAGGGATGCTAGAATCCTCTTTAAATAAAAATACAATGCTGCTTAACATATCAGGGCAAATACTTCAAAACATTCTAGGGGAAATGGTGAATTAGTGCCTGAATACCATAACATACTAAGTATAAGCCAATCAACTTTGTTTAAAAAAGGTCATCTCAACCAAATTTAAGTGTAATTCTCAGATAAGATAACAACCCGAGTAGATATCAAGACTCTGGTGGGTTAAGGTCACCTTCCTGGAGAATCACTGAGTTGAATGATTTTATAATAGGTTGGAGGACTCTGGAAGGAATGCATATTAGTAGAGTTAGATGGCTTCAAAACTAGTTTAAAATGAATCTGTCTAGACAGGAGTCGATGTTAGTGTCTGGGAAGAGTATTTATAGACACCTCTTTGATATCTATACAACATTTTCTCCTATGGAATATTTATTATTGTCCAAAAAGAGGAAAATGAGTTAGCACAATGTTCACATTTTTAGTATATCCAAATTAGGTTGGGTACAAGGAGACATTTTCTAATTAGTTTCAAGGAATTATATTTTAATATGTTTTTAAAAGAAATCAAATACTTTGATGAAAAGGAAATATAAGGTAAAGCAAGAGTTAAATTTTAAGCTGGAAAAAAATTAAGGTGCTTTTACAATGAAGTGCCTCTCTGAAAGTATAAAACTTAGATGAACTGTAAAGATCAAAAACTTGGTGATAAAATGATGACATTAGAGAAAATGAAAAATTGTATGAAAGTAGTAATGTCTGGAAATTGTTGAGCTCATTCAGGCAGGAGGAAAGATAATGAAAGCGGATAATGGACTGTAATTAAGTGCTCAGACCTCCTGCAAACCCGTGTGAAAGTCAAGTTACTTTTGTTCAAGATAGAAACCCCAAAGCCTTGGCAAGAAGTACCAAGAATTCTTTTCAAAGAATAAACACACTGAAAGATTTCTTTGAAACACACACACACACACACACACACACACACACACACGTACACACATAGTTCTCACCCATTTAAGGAGACCATTTATTATTCTACTTACAACCAAAGTGAAATCTGGTACCATTATCCTTGCTTGTGATTTAATGGCGTAGAATGTTGACAGAGAGAAGTCTCTGATGGAAACATCAGAAGAAATTGCTTTGTAATTCCGCAGAGATTATTACTGACTGCTTAGACAAATCTTTAGCAAGATAGCCAAGCATTTTCAGAGCAAGTAACCTCTCTGTGCTGTGATTTGGGTGATGTAAAGGTTGTCCACCCCAAAATATTGCAGATGAGTCAGCCATGGTACCCAGTGATAATTGCCCTCCCTGTGAGGATGCATTTCATGGGAATGTGACAGTAATCTATAGCTCACTGTGTATTTGGGGAGATGAGACTAAGCAGGTGAAATTTAATTAATTTTCTAGGGATGTCATTTGGTGTCATGAGAAAGGCATAAGTGTTAAAATTAAACCAAAACTGGCCGGGCGCGGTGGCTCATGCCTGTAATCCCAGCACTTTAGGAGGCCGAGGCGGGTGGATCACGAGGTCAGGAGCTCGAGACCATCCTGGATAACACCGTGAAACCCCATTCTACTAAAAATACAAACAAATTAGCCGGGCGTGCTGGCGGGCCCCTGTAGTCCCAGCTACTCGGGAGGCTGAGGCAGGAGAATGGCGTGAACCCGGGAGGCGGAGCTTGTGGTGAGCCGAGATCGTGCCACTGCACTTCAGCCTGGGCGACAGAGCAAGACTCTGTCTTAAAAACAAAAAACAAAAAACAAAAAAACACAAAACAAAAAAAAAAAACTAACAAAAAAATGGGTTGGAAAGCCAGCTCCACCACAACCTAATTTGGGACTTGAGACTTGCTAACTAACTGTTGAAGTCCCACTTTCCACACCTGTAAAGCGGGAATGATCATCTCAATCTGACAGTATTGTTGGAAAGATGAGATAACATAGGAAAACTAACTGACTTATAATAGGTGCTCAATGTAGGATTGCTTTTACTATTACAAAATTAATTGTCCAAACAATAAACAGTGTCTCTGTGTAATTCTTTAGTCTAGATTCTGTAACAAGTGCTATAAGTTCTATAGTAGATTGACATTCTTGCATGTCAGAAATATTTATCTTCATATATCTAGTACTTGACACAGAACAAGGCATGGAGTATGTATTTAGAACTTACCTCTTCAATTTGAATTATACTGCAATTGATTCTCTACACTGTTTATATTTTTAGGTAAGTTTGGGGAAAGCAAAATTTATCTCTCAGGATAAACCTTATATGTGCTTTAATTTTTTTTTCAAATTTTCCAAAATTTTTTCCAACTTTTTAGTGTGTTAAAAATACACATAAGAGTTACCATCTTAACCATTTTTAAGTGCAGAGTTCAGTGCTATTAAATACATTAATAATATTGCACAACCAACACCACCATCCATATTCATAGCTCTTTTCATCTTGTAAAACTGAAACTCTATATTCATTAAGTAATAACGCTGCATGTCCCTTCCCCTCAGGCCCAGGAAACCACCATTCTACTTTGCCTTTATGATTTTGACTACTCTGAGTACCTCATATAAGTAAAATCCTTACAATATTTGTCTTTTTGTGAATAGCTTATTTCACTTAGCATAATGTCCTCTGGATTCATCCACGTTGTAGCTTATGTCAGAACTTCCGTCCTTTCTGAGTCCGAATAAGACTCGGTTGTCTGTAAAGACCAGGTTTTGCTTATTCTTTCATTTGTCAATGGGCACTTGGATTGCTTCCACATTTTAGCTATTGTGAATAATACTACTATAAACATGGGTGTATAAGTATCTATTTAAGACCCCATTTTCAATCCTTCTGTGTATATAACTAGAATTGTTGAGTCATTTGATAATTCTGTTTTTAATTATTTGAGGAACACCCATACTGTTTTCCACTATGGTCGTATCATTTTACATTCCCGCCAACTGTGCACAAGAGTTCCAATTTCTCCACATCTTCCCCAACACTTACTATCTTCTGTTTTTTTTTTATAGTAGTCATCCTAATGTGTGTGAAATGGTATCTCAGCATAGTTTTGATTTCATTTTCCTAATGATTAGTGGTGATTGGTGATGTTGAGTATCTTTTCACGTGCATATTGGCCATTTTTATATCTTCTTTGGACAAGTGTTTTACTCAAGCCCTTGCTCATTTTTTAATCAAGCTTGTTATTGTTGAGTTTTAGAAGTTCTCTACATATTCTACATACTAACACCTTCTCAAGTATATGATTTGTAAATATTTTCTCCCATTCTGTAGAGTGCATTTTTACTCTGTTGATAGTGTTTCTTGATGCACACAATTTTTACATTTTTATGCAGTCTTATTTGTCTATTTCTTTTCTTGTCTCCTGTGCCTTTGGTGTCATATCAAGAAATCATTGCCAAATCCAATGTCATGCAGCTTTTGCCTTATGCTTTCTACTAAGAGTTTTATAATTTTAGGTCTTAACACTTAGGCTTTTGATCCATTTTGACGCAATTTTTATATATGGTATTAGGTATGGGTTCAACATCATTCTTTTGCACTTGGATGTCCAGTTTTTCCAGTACCATTTGTTGAAAATATTGCCTTTTCCCCATTGAATGACCTTGTGACCCTTACCAAAATCACTTTACCATATATGAGGTGGTTTATTTTTGTGCTTTCTATTGTATTCCTTTGGTCTATAAGGTTTGTTTTTATGCCAGTATCACATTATTTTGATTACTGTAGCTTTGAAGTAAATGTTGAGATCAGAAAGTGTGAGTCCTCCAGCCTTGTTCTTTTTCAGGATTGTTTTGAGTAGTCAAGGTCCCTTGAGATTTCATATCAATTTTAGGACTCTTGAAAGAAATTGCATTGAGTCTGTAGATTGCTTTGGGTAGTGCTGACATCTTAACAATACTAAGTAATCTAGTCCATTTCCATGGGAAACACATTTATTTATCTTACTCAATTTCTTATAGCAATGTTTTTTAGTTTTTATTGTACACTTAATCTTTCACCTCCTTGGTTAAATTAATTCCTCAGTATTTTATTATTTTTGAAGCTACTGTAAAAGAAATTGTTCCTGTAATTTAATTTTCAGACTGTTGATTTTTAGGGCACAAAATGCATTTTTTTTTTTTTTGAGACGGAGTCTTGCTCTGTCGCCACGCTGGAGTGCAGTGGCATGATCTCGGCTCATTGCAACCTCTGCCTCCCCAGTTCAAGCAATTCTCCAGGCTCAGCCTCCCAAGTAGCTAGGACTACAGGCGCCCGCCACCACTACCATTTTTTAGTAGACATGGGGTTTCACCATGTTGGCCAGGATTGTCTCGATCTCATAACCTCGTGATCCCCACTTTCGGCCTCCCAAAGTGCTGGGATTACAGGCATGAGCCACCGCGCCCTGCCAAAAAATGCAATTTTTATTTATGTAGAATTAGTAATAATGTCCCCACTTCCCTTTCTGAATTTAGTAATTTGTCTTCTTTCTTTTTTTCTTAGTTCATTTAGCTAAAGGCTTGTTAATTTTATCTTTTCAAAGACCTTTTTAGTTTCACTGATTTTTTTTCTATTCTCTATTTCATTTATCTCTGCTCTGATATTAATTATTTCCTTCCTTCTGCTAGCTTTGGATTTAGTTTGTTCTTTTGCTAATTTTTTAAGTTGTAAAGTTGGATTGTGATTTGAAATCTTTCCTTTTTTTTTTTTTTTTTTGGGACAGAGTTTTGCTCTGTTGCCCAGGCTGGAGTGCAGTGGCCCGATCTTGGCTCACTGCAAGCTCTGCCTCCCGGGTTCATGCCATTCTCCTGCCTCAGCCTCCCGAGTAGCTGGGACTACAGGGGCCCACCACCACACCTGGCTAATTTTGTTTTAGTAGAGATGAGTTTTCGCCATGTTGGCCAGGATGGTCTCGATCTCCTGACCTCATGATCCGCCCGCCTCGGCCTCCCAAAGTGCTGGGATGACAGGGGTGAGCCACTGCACCCGGCTGATTAAATCATTCTTAGATGTGTGATCTTGAGTAGATTACTTAACTCTTCCATGTCTTGGTTTCCTAGTCTGTAAGAAAAAGATACAATAATAATACCTCACAGGGTTGTTGTGAACCTTAAATATGTAACTGCATGTAAAGCAGATACAGGACTGACATGGAATTAATGCTCAATAAAGGATAGGTCTAATTACTTTGTTACTGAGAAATTGATGTCAGGATATAAAAAAGACTTAAGAAGGGCACACATGCCAATGTATTACCTGTACATCCTTGGAATTTACCACTTCCCACAGATGTATATTGGTCCTCTGTCTGCAAATGATTTTACTCTCATGGCCATAGTGATCCACTGTTACCCACCGACTTACTCATGGCAACAGCTAATACCTTTATTTCCTGCTGTAAAAAAGTCTTTTCATCCGAAATATTCTCAGATTTCTTCTCATCTACTTTAACACCTAGTGGGAGGTGACGTGCTTTATGATCTATGCCTTCATTTAGTTTAGCTAGTTACTTCCGCAAGAAAGAAGACCACATTCATATTGAGAAATTTATAATTGTCCTTACAGTACACAATTTGCATCTAAAATCGATAAATATCATGTTTGACCTAAATCTGTGGGGCTAGAAATGTTCAATTATCTGGTTAATAACACAATTTACATTTGGATCACTTTAGTAACGAATCTTTACAGCTAGGATTGAAAGTGATACTCTACCACAACTAGCACCACTACCTTCTAGACCTGTCTTTTGCTTTGTCTAGATCTACACCAACTAGATGTAGTTGACACTTAGTAGTTTGCACATTGTCTTTGATGTTGGTGAACGTATGTGACTAACACTGCCCTGGCCCCTGAGTTTAAGCAAGTCCAACTACAGCTTCTACAGATGACACCTGATTGACCCAGAAGACCCTAGGACTCACATCTGGACTGCAGCACGGAAACCAGGTACCCGAGAACACAGGCCTACCACTCCCCTTCCCAGCTTTGTTATTCAACTCCTCCTCCAGTTGTGCATAAATTCCTCACAAAGCCTCTCCTTCTTATGCTCACGCTGGTTAGCTTTGGGTTTTGCTATTCACAACAATAGCTTTGTGGAATTTTTTTTTTTTTTAATATACTTGTATGCTCCAATTTAAGAAACTGACCAAAGTTGTGGGTAGGAAAGGAAAGTAGAAAGTTAAAGTGAGGAAACTGTTTAATTTTATAGAGGCTTCGTAGATTTCTAAGTGTTAGCCATAATTTTTCATACATCATTCTATATTTTTGAAATGATTCAATTTGCATGGACATATGAACTATTACATAAAATATAGTAGATATCTAGACTATTGCATAAATATTATTGGATAACATTTTATTGGATAAAACAAAGAGAACCATGAACTCCAATTCAACATTGGAAAAATAACATTGTAAGGCAAAATAAGATTGCAAAGCATTCTGAATGTGTTTAGGTTTAAAATGAAAGGTTAGCTTACCTTAATATATGCTTTCCCGTGGAAAAAATACCATATTCTTAGAAACTCTGAAACATAAATGAGGTAAAGAAATGCACACTCATTATTGATAAAGTGTTACGTGTTTCTTATCACTTTAAATTATTTTTTGCCATGGAACTTTTAGTGTTTTTTTAATATTTGGGAAGTTTTTTTCCCTTGAATATAAGGTGTAAATTCTCATAATGCCATATGGTGGAGCTGGTGGACAAAGATTGACTCCTAAAGGTTTTATTATTTTGATGGTTGCTCTGTGTGAGATTTTATTTTTTATAATGCTTATTACCACGTTAAGTCTGATATATTTCCTGTGAAACTTAACTATTTGCTTTAGTATTTCTATTTGAAATTCTTGTACCCAGTCTTATTAGCTTCCTAGTTGTTAAGGAGTTGCAAAACTAAATAATAGCCATAATGATTTTTCAATGAGAGGTAATGTTTCCCAAAGAAGGTGAATTATGGGACATGTTGTCCGTGTTACAACCTCAGTTGCTATACAGATGCAGTCAAGTGTCCCTTGATGATGGGAGTACATTCTGAGAAACGAATTGTTAAGTGATGTTTTTATTGTGGGAAAATCATAAAGGGTACTCACACAAACCTGGATGGTATAGCTTCCTACACACCTAGGCTATATGGTATAGCCTATTGCTCCTAGGCTACAAACCTGTACAGCACATTACTGTATACTGTATACAAATTACTGAATACCGTAGGAAACTGTAACACAATGGTAAGCATGTGTGTATCTAAACGTATCTGATCATAGTGAAGGTACGTAAAAATATGCATAAAAGATTAAAAATGGTACACCTGTACAGGGCACTTACAGTGAACAGACCTTGCGTGGCTGGGAGTTGCTCTGGGTGAGTCAGTGAGTGAGTAGTAAGTGAATATGAAGGCCTAGGATATTACTGGACACTACTGTAGATTTTAGAAACACCATACACTGAAACGATGCCAAACTTTAATTTTTTCTTTCTTCAATAATAAATTAACCTTAGCTTACTGTAACTTTTTTACTTTATGAACTTTGAATTTTTTTAACTTTTTTACTCTTTTGTGCTGACAGCTTAAAATACAAATACATTGTACAGCTGTAAAGACATTTTCTTTCTTTATATCCTTATTTTATAAGCTTTTTTCTATTTTAAAAATGTTTTCTTAATTTTTTACTTTTAAAATTTTTCATTAGAAAGTAAAAATCAGACACATACATTTGCCTAAGCCTACACAGGGTCAGGCTCATCAACATCACCATCTTCCACCTCCATATCTTGACCCACTGGAAGGTCTTCAGGGGCAACAACACACACGGAGCCATCATCTCCTGTAATAACAATGCCTTCTTCTGGAATTCCTCCTGAAGGACCTGAGACTGTTTTACAGTGAACTCTTTTTTAAAATAAGTATGAGGATTACACTCTAAAATAATGATTAAAAGTACAGTGTAGTCAACTGATAAACCAACAACATAACCATTTACTATTGCTATCGTATTCTGTTCTGCACAAAACTGTATATAGCTTTGTTCACACTACATCATCATGCACACATGAGTGATGCATGTTGCACTACAACACTATGAATCCTTCATTGTCACTAGGTGATAGGAATGTTTTATCTTCATTATGATCTTATGAGACCTGCACTGTTGACTGAAATATTGTTATGAGGTGCATGACTGGTATTTGTAAAAGTATGGCATTTTTAGGGCATAGAAGCATATCAGGTGCTTTAAGTATATATATATTTATATATATACTTTATATTTTATATTATAAAGTCTATAGCTATATTTCATATTAAATAGATAAATATCATATAAATATAAAATATTTTATATTAAATATAAAAATATATTTTATAAAGTATATATATTTATATATACTTTAACTATATATTTAATATAAATATATCTACTCAGGGTTTAGACACTTAGAGAATATTATATGTATATTTCACTCATTAACTTTTTTTCAAAGGAAATAAACAGTATTACTCTAAAATCAGCATGTTCATCATTTGAAATCAAGAAATATTTGTTCAGTTGGTGTATGGGACAAAGCACATGTTGATTTGATCAGCTTTTTAAATTGTGATTTATACTACATTGATAGAGTTATAAGAAAATAATGAAACATCTGGAATGGGCAGAATTATACCATATTTTATTGTATGAAAATGAAAACAATAAAAAAATTTTATTTCATACATAGCACTTATAATCTAGTTTTAAAAACACAAAATAACACAATTAATTAACACTGAAAATTAAAATATTATTGCAGACCAGAACAGAAGAGCTGTCACAGGAAAATATCCATTTAGGATCCAAATAAATTTAAAGAACATGATGTGGAGTATGAAAGTGAGTTTGTGTTGGACATAAAGACAGAAGGCACAGATGCTAGATTATCAGCTGTCTGCAGACTTCTGATTTAAAATGAAAAGTAAAAAAAGTTTGTTTAAAAAAGTTTATTGATAATATCATTGGCTAATATATTGAGAGTCAAAAGCAGTAAAACATGTTTAAATGCATTTAAAATACAGTAGGCAAGAGCATATTGGAGTTTTTCCAAAACATCTAAAAATATAAACCAGATACATATTTCTCTATAGATAAAACATATGGTTTTTAAAAAGGGCCATATCCAATTAAATATTATCACTTAATTACAAACTAATTTAAGCTATAAAGTGTAGTTCAACATATTGTACTTGTGTATTAAATAGAGACTATATGTCTCCAATAGGAATTAGCTCACATTGAATTTTCCAGGCATGTCATGTGTTGGGGATAAAGGGCATCAGGTAGCTTAATTGCAAATCAATAAAAGTTAGAGAGAAAATTACTCTTTCTAAAAAGTTTGCTGTGACCGTGCTACCAGGAATGTTAGAATGAGTGCAGTAGGAGATAAGAGGAAACATTTGTAAAGTGTCAACTACACATTCAAAACACAAGATTTATTTAAGGTCCACAAAAACCTTGGGCTGCATATATTTTAATCTCCTTCTTGCAGATGAAAAAACTGAGTCTTAAAGAGATTAATAATGTGCCCAAATCCTATATTGAGTCAAGTGGAAGAGCTAGGCTTCAAGTTCTTATCTGTCTGACTCAAATTCTATTCTCTTAGCCACACCACATGCAGGTACATTTAATTTTGAGCCCTGAGTAAGTAAGACTGTGAATGCCATTAACAATAGGAGAAACGGATTTGGGAAGAAAGAGGATAGGTTTGGTTTACAACATGTACAATTTAAACAATACAATTTATTTTTGAGCTGAAAAACAATTTAAAGAACGTGTAGGTCATTACATTGCACAAATGTTTACCAGGCAACTAATGAGCATAAATTACCTAGCAGTTACATTGAGGCTTTAAAGGATAAGCTCAAAGTCAAGGGATGAAGAGAGGCATGTAAAAACACAATTATAATACAAAACAAAGAGTGTTTTAATCGACTCATAAAAGCATACTACATGAGAATAAAAGAAGATTTTGATAATTCTGACTAGGAATGGGTTCAAGTACCTGATACTTAAAACATAATCTTGAGGCCAGGCACTGTGGCTCACACCTATAATCCCAGCACTTTGGGAGGCTGAGGTGGGTGGATCATGAGGTCAGGAGTTCAAGACCAGCCTGGCCAAGATGGTGAAACTTCGTCTCTACTAAAAATACAAAAATTAGCCAGGTATGGTGGCAGGGGCCTGTAATCCCAGCTACACGGGAGGCTGAGGCAGAGAATTGCTTGAACCTGGGAGGCAGAGGTTGCGGTGAGCCGAGATTGCACCACTGCACTCCAGCCTGGGTGACAGAGCAAGACTCCATCTAAAACAAAAAACAAAAAAACACAAAACCATAATCTTGAATATATGTGTGTTTGTCTGTTTGCATTGTTTTAAAGAAATACCTGAGACCGGGTAATTTATAAAGAAAAGAGGTTTATTTTGGCTTATGGTTCTGCAGGCTGTACAGGAAGCATGGCACCAGCATCTGCTGCTGGTGAGGGCTCAGGAAGCTTCTAATCATGCTGGAAGGTGAAGGGGGAAGCAGTGCATCACATGGTGAGAGAGGTAGCAAGAGACAGGGAAGAAGGTCCCAGGCTCGTTTAAACAATCAGCTCATGTGTCACTAAGGGAGTGAGAGCTCTCTCATTACCATAGTAGGGCACCAAGCCACTCATGAGGAGTCTGCCCCATGACCCAAACACCGCCCCACCTTCATTTCTAGGGATCACATTTCAACATGAGATTGGAGGGGACAGATCTCCAAGCCATATCAATATGAATGAAGAGTCACAGAAAAGATGACATTTCAGCTGGGTCTAAAAAAGTAATAGGAGTTCAGCAGGCTCTTAAGGTAACAGGTGAGAAGAAGAAAATCCTAGTCTAAAGATATCATTCCAGCCAGGTGTGGTGGCTCACACCTGTAATCTCAGCACTTTGGGAGGCCAAGGTGGGCAGATCACCTGAGGTCAGGAGTTCGAGATCAGCCTGGATAATATGGTGAAACCCTGTTTCTACTGAAAAATACAAAAAATTACCCAGGTGTGGTGGTGCGCCTGTAATCCCAGCTACTAAATTGGCTGAGGTAGGAGAGTCGCTTGAACCCGGGAGGCAGAGTTTGCAGAGAGCTCCACTGCACTCCAGCTTGGGCAACAAGAGAGAAACTCCATCTCCCCCAAAAACAAAAAAGAAAAAAAAAGAAATCATTCCTAATGCAGTAGTTTTGTGATAGTGAGGCCCAAAGAAGTTAAATGATTCACCTAAGGTTGAACAACTACTTAGTACAAAATTCAAGGCCGGGCATGGTGGCTCATGCCTGTAATCCCAGAACTTTGGGAGGGCTGAGGTGGGCGGATCACGAGGTCAGGAGATCGAGACCATCCTGGCTAATATGGTGAAACTCCGTCTCTACTAAAAAATACAAAAAAATTAGCCAGGCGTGGTGGCGGCGCCTGTAGTCTCAGCTACTAGGGAGGCTGAGGCAGGAGAATGCCGTGAACCTGGGAGGCGGAACTTGCAGTGAGCCGAGATGGCAGCACTGCACTCCAACCTGGGTGGCAGAGTGAGACCGCATCTCAAAAAAAAAAAAAGGGGGGGGGGTATCTTGGGATCTTAGAGGCAGTCTAAAAAATCTAAAAGTGTCAACAAGTAGAAAAACAGATCACCTGAAGAGTGAATTGCCAGAATGGCTGTGGATTTCTCAATAGCAGTGCAGATACCTAAAAGACAATTGAGTGAAACCTTTGGAAGGCTGAGAATATTTAGAATTTTATACCTAGCCAGCCATAAATCAAGAATAAGTACAGTAGGAGAGGGTGGCAAGCGGGAGCGGGGAGGAGAGGGCGGTGAGCAGGACTGAGGGAGAAGGCAGTGGGGAAAAGAGCTTTTGGGTAGATGGAGGCGGAAGAGGCGGTGGCGTGAGTGGGGAAAAGATGTTGGGGGAAATGACTTGGGGGAAAAGTTTTTCATTTATTGGAGGAGAAAAATAAGGTGGCGAGCCAGAGGGAGGAAAAGAAGGTGGCAAGAGGGGTAGGGGAAAAGAGGGTGGGAAAAAGGTTTTTGGGTAGTTGGAGGGGGGAAAAGAGGGTGGCGAGAGGGAGGGTCGCCAGAGGGAGGGTCAGCAAGAGGGTAGAGAGGGGAAGGAGGGAAAATAGGGCAGTGGGGAAGAGAGTGGAGAATGGGAGGAGGGAATAGCCTGTGGGAAAAAGACAGTGAGGTAAAGACAGTAGGGAAAAAAGTTTTTGGGTAGATGGAGGCAGAAAAGAGGGCGAGAGGGAGCAGGGAGAAGATGGAGGGGAAAAATGCATTTGGGTAGAAAGAGGGGGAAAAGAGGGTGGGGAAAGGGAGTGAGGCGGGAAGAGGGTGGCAGCTGGAGAGAGGAAAAGAGGGAGCAGGAAGAAGACAGTGGATACGTTTTTGGATAGATAGAGGGAGAAACGGTGGCAAGAAGAAGTGGTCGGTGGGAGGGGGGAATGAGGGTGGCCAGGAGGAATGGGGAGAAAGTCTGGGGCAAAGACGGTGGCAAGAGGGAGGTGGGAGAAGGCAGTGGGGAGAAGAGGGTGGGAAAACGAAGGTGGGGGAAAATGTTTTTGGGTAGATGGATGGTAAAAATAGGGTGGGGAGAGGGAGTGGGGAAAAGAGGGTGGCAGAGTGGAGGGAGTCAAAATAATGAGTATAATAAAGACATTTTCAGATATGTGAATTCTCAGAAAATTGACCTGCCAAGTACCGTCTCTCAGGGAACTCTGGAATATGTCTTACCCTAAAGTGAAAAGTGATCCAAAAGAGAGAGAAAGGCACAGGACCAGGGAAACAGAATCGAAATCAGAACAGAAGTAAAGGAAATTCTCCTGGCAAAGGTCAAAAGAACCTTCGAGTGACTGTTGACAAAACCAGAAAAAATACCAGAGCTTTAGAATTTAAAAAACAAACAAACAAACAAACAAACAAACAAAAAAACCGCAAACAAACAATAGGCTAGGCGCGGTGGCTCACGCCTGTAATCCCAGAACTTTGGGAGGCCGAGGCGGGCGGATCACAAAGTCAGCAGATCGAGACCATCCTGGCCAACACAGTGAAACCCCGTCTCTACTAAAAATACAAAAAATTAGCCGGGCGTGGTGGCGGGCGCCTGTAGTCTCAGCTACTTGGGAGGCTGAGGCAGGAGAATGGCGTGAACCCGGGAAGCAGAGCTTGCAGTGAGCCGAGATTGCACCACTGACTCCAGCCAGGGCGACAGAGCAATACTCTGCTCAAAAAAAAAAAAAAAAAAAATAAAAAAAAATAACAGTAGTCTTACGAATTTGCAATTCAACAATTACTGAGGACCTAATATCATCAATGGGCTGGATATAAGATGTTTTTACCTAGCAATACGTTTTTACTTATTCAATTATTTAAAGAATTTCTAGGACGATGCTACTACCCTAGTTTTGTTGATTTTTTCTTCCGTGCTCACAGTATTTTAACACTATAGGAATTAGTATTAAAGACTTTGGTTGTATTTTCATATTACATTTCTATCATGGATTTCTTAAAATCATATAATGAGAAAATGAAGTAAGATAATTACTTAGTGTAAATTTGGAAATAAGGCCCTATGCTTTTTTGTGTGTAGCTTCAGTAACTACCACTTAGGAGCTTTTTTTGTGTTCTCTTCTATTTTTTAAATGTTCCTGTGATGTAAGTGATTTGGGGAGAGATATTTCTGTTAAAAAAATGAACTCAAGCCTCTTGAGACCATGAAGCTGGAACTCAGTTAGAGGGGACAGTGACAGATGTAAAGAATCCAATCATGTCTAAGGCAACACTGTCTACTCTTCCAGTATTTCGAAGGTTGGAATTATCACACTGATTTTCCTCTCACATTTGTTCATGTTGACTTTTCTATGACAACACCATATTTAAATTGAAAAATAATGCAGCTCATACTACATAAATGGGCATCTTTGATTGGCTTTAATAATCACTTGACTCAGAAGTATGCGTGCTCCATGTAGTACTCCGGACACTAGAGAGTCACTTAGTACAGTGCTAAAGTTAATTAACATGTCTATATCAAACGTGGATATTTTAAAGTCTAGAGTCCTATGCACTCTATATGAAGGAAATATTTTTCAAGATGTGACAATCTCTAAGCAGAAGTCATCAGATGTGCTGTACTTCCTAAGCAAAACCTGTAAGAAAGCAGGTTCTCAGTCCCAGAATGGAAATTTAAGTGTAAGAGTTACCAGAATTCTCTGCTAGGCTGCCAAGGATGCAGCAGTGATAATGCTTCTTTCCTCAGGCTCAAATTCTTCTCAAACTAATTCAACTCTGCCTTTCTCAGAAACAATTTTTCTTAAAAAAATTTCTTTTTAGCTACAATAAATCAAAGTAAAGTATTGTATTCATCAGTGGTCATGAAAATTCTTTACCACACTGAGAAAGTGGCATGGATTTTTTTCATTCGTGTATTTATTAATCTGTACCTATACATTCCTTCTCTGATGAGATGATGACCATCTTGCATTTTCAAAATAACTACAGAGAGCTTTTTGGCATTAGGATGAGGTTGTTGGCTCATTAAAAATACTCCCTGGGCTCCATCATAGCTTCTGCAGTGAAAGGTAGGAGTAGCTGAATTCTTGAGTCTCTTCCTATGCTGGAATTCAATGAAGCTTCATATGAGAGATAGGATATGGGAACTAACACTATCTTAATGTCACAAAACAATTCCAAGAAAGTTGAATTTTTTTTTACAAAAGCATTTGACACTAGGTATTTTGGTCAGGCCACAGAATCAGATCAACTGTTTTTTTTTTGTTTTTGTTGTTTTCCATTTTCTTATTTTTTTTCCTTTTAAAAAAGGTCTTGATACCAAGGAAACTATCAGCTCTCCTTATGAAAACAGAACACAAAAATTAGATAAATTCACATTAGCTTCCTATTGTTTGAGTCATACTTTGACTATCAGTTCTAAGTCACACCCACTTTGGAAGTCTAGGCAGACATTTTAAAAAGGGGAGATTTTTGCTACATTAAGTAAGACTAAAGATATTCATCTCTGTTCACTAACTGTCTAGACGTGGGAAACATCTGGGAAATACACCAGAATTTTAATATAAATTTCCTTCCGTGCTTCTCTTGGGCCATTCTCAGGAAACTGCTTTACTGCTGGTCTCTGTGATAAAAATCCTTGTACTCACAACTCCTTTCTTATGTGCTCATCAGCTCCTTCCTTTTATCTTCCTGGTAAGTGCGAAAGGGAAAGAATCACCTTTTCTCAAACTAATGATCTGTGCAAATGTTTTCTTTTTTTCAATGAACTTTTGCATATAATCTGAGTAACACAGTGTATTGGTCTGTTCTCACGCTGCTATGAAGAAATACTCGAGACTGGGTGATTTATAAAGGAAAAAGATTTAATTGACTCACAGCTCCACATTGCTGGGAAGGCCTCAGGAAACTTACAATCATGGTGGAAGGGGAAGCAACATGTCCTTCTTACAAGGCAGCAGGAGAGAGAAATGCCAAGCCAAGGGGTAAAATCCCCTTATAAAACAATCAACTCTAGTGAGAATTCAATCACTATCAAGAGAACAGCATGAGGGTAACTGCCCCCATGATTCAATTACGTTCCACTGGGCCCTACCCACTACATGTGGGGATTATGGGAACTACAATTCAAGATGAGATTTGGGTAGGAACACAGCCAAACCATATCACACAGGATCATCACTAATTAGTTGTTTCTTTCTAATGTAAATATCTTTAGCTGTCGCTCCTTCAGAATACACTAGTTCAAGCAAGAAAACATGTTTTCTGCCCCTAAAAATTAGTTTGATTTTGCTCTTTGGAAAGAGATTTCTGGTCTGGAATGGTGGCCTCCTTGCTTCAGCCAATCTAAATCACAACCATCCTTCTTGTTGATTTGAGTCAGACTTATCCATGAAGCTTTCCCGAGACTCTTCAGAAGTCATAGCAGTCACTATATAATTAATTGTCCCGGACAATTTGTTATGCTGTATTATTCGGTTTATGAAATGTGGCTATATCTTGTTCTATCAAATAGTTTGTAAGAAGACGGATACTGAACTGCATATAACTTTGTCTGTTCCTCAGGGTGTGGCCTGAAGGTGTTCCATACATAGGGCTCTTGCTGCGTTGTGCCAGTAGACAGGTACATTCTCCTTCAGTGTAGATTGCTGGCTCCTCATGTGGAAATTCAATACAGCAATACTGCAGTGAACCCATTGGATGGGAGAAGTACCTGAAAATCTGCATAGGATCCCTGCTTGCTACAGCTGATGGTATAGCCTAAATATGTTTCATTTTTAAAGTTGACATGGCAGGATTATACTTTAAAGACATCACGATGCTTTTTCAACTTGCTTGTGAGTGATTGAATGATGCTTTATCAAATGGTTGTGAGGGAAAGTATCTGAGATCATCTGGTGAAATGGTTCCCAATATAAAATTGAGAAAAGGGATCTAAGCTACGTTGGTGCTGATGCAGTTCAGACTACTTGAAATATTAAGACTTTTTTCTTTTGGCTAAAGTTACATCAATTAAGAATGACAACAATGATTGTTTCATTCTCACAGGAAACCCTAAATAGCTAAGTAACTAGACATGCATCTACTATTGATTAACAAAAAGGTAGACATGTATCATCAGTAACAGTTGACAATAATTATTATTTCATTCTCACAAGAAACCCTAAATAGCTAGGTAACTGGACATGCATCTACTATTGATTAATAAAAAGGTAGACATGTATTATTAGTGGCAATAGTATTTTCAGCAGAAAATATACTTAAAAATAGAGCTACCAATATGGATTAGAATATGTCAAAAATTGTAGGTGTTGAAAAGTTGTCAATTACACATCAAATCCAGCTCCATTTAGGTGAGGCAGTGTTGGGGATGAGAAATCTGAAACCACCAAAAGTTAATTTTTGTGGGGCATAGGGGTGAACCTGGCAGAACTCACATCTTATAATTAGAAGTGCATTGCTTTTTAAATTTATTTTTCTGTAGACTTTCAGAAATTAACCAATGGCCTAGTGAAGATGACAGAAAGTGTTTGCAATCCTGTTAGGTGTTTAAATTGCTTAAGAATGGGGTAAAAGTCATTGTGTTGAAAGAAAATTACCAAGAACAAACTTTCATCCATGGGCTTAAAGTATAATTCATGTTAAACTATTTCTCAACATAGTGAATTATAACATTTGTCTTCATAATTATGTTTCTTTATTCTGTAGAAAAGTTAATAATTCAAAAAATCTCAAGGAAATAATTAGTGGGGAGTAAATATATCACTGATGTATTGGGACAGTGGTGTTTGGTCAGGCACAGGCTTGGTGTTAAGAGTAGATTTCTTTATGAAAGTAATGGATTTCAGGAAATAGTTGCAATCCAGCACTTTGGGAGGCTGAGGCAGGCAGATCACTTGAGGTTGGGAGTTCGAGACCAGTCTGACCAATATGGAAAACCCCATCTCTATTAAAAATACAAAATTAGCCTGGCATGGTGGTGCATGCCTGTAATGCCAGCTACTCAGAAGGCTGAGGGAGGAGAATCACTTGAACCCAGGAGGCAGAGGTTGCGGTGAGCCAAGATTGAGCCAGTGTACTCCAGCCTGGGCAACAAGAGCAAAATTCTGTCTCAAAAAAAAAAAAAAATCTACACTTTTCATTTCATTTAACTTCAAAATTGAGACCATGAGCCAGCATGCAGTTCTGTACAGTAAAATTGTTTAATCTCCATTGTCTTTCAGAGAATCCACGCTACAGCTGATAGGGTAGAAATTCATACTGAATTCTAAATATAATGCTCATGAAGTTAGATTCATCACATGAATAACTGCAAACACAAGAAAATTATTTTTTCTATTAGCACATAATGGGTTTTAACAACTTTTGGAAGGTTTCGTAATGTAATTCTGTCCCACAGTATAGAATATTGGACATAGGTGGCCGGGTGAGGTGGTTCATGCCTGTAATCCCAGCACTTTGGGAGGCCAAGACTGGCGGATCACGAGTCAGGAGATTGAGACCATCCTGGCTAACACGGTGAAACCCCATCTCTACTAAAAATACAAAAAATTAGCCGGGTGTGGTGGCGGGCCCCTGTAGTCCCAGCTACTCGGGGAGGGGGCTGAGGCAGGAGAATGGCATGAACCCAGGAGGCGGAGGTTGCGGTGAGCTGAGATTGTGCCACTGCACTCCAGCCTGGGCAACAGAGCAAGACTCTGTCTCAAAAAAAAAAAAAAAAAAAAAAAAAAAAATATATATATATATATATATATATAATGACACATGTTTAGAAAAAAGAAAAAATATTTTCTCTCTTTAGAAATTCATACCTCTACATATGCACACAGAAAATATAGATACAAGAGTGGAAACCAAATTAATGCTTCTATTTTACTTGACTTAGGGGAAATTATATTTGCATGACACTATATTAAAGTGAAACAAGAATGAGTAAATAAAAAAGTTGAAATGTCATTTCCTTTTCAAACTACAATCTGTACTTATTTCTTCAGGGAGTATTTCTCTGTTGAGTCTAAGATTAAGTTGAAAATGATTATCACAGCAAGGTCTCTGAATCACCACTAAGCATAAATACATGGAAAGGGAGCTGCAGGGCCATTTGATATTTACAGTTATCTTTTTAAAATATCACATTAACTCATAGAAGAAACATATTTTTAAAATAAAATTAAAAGTTGTGTTATTGGCGTAATATTTTAAGGAGTACTTTTGCTGGCTGGAGGATATTTTAATATTTCTCTTGAATGAGCTTAGTTTTTATTTTATTGTATTTTTAGCATCTTTCAACCAAAACATCAGATGAGAGTTTTTAAAGGCTCTTTTATTTAGAAGTCATTCTTTGTGATTCAGATTCTCCGATTAACACCTAACTGCCCATGTTGGTGATGGAAGTGATATGGAAGGGAAGTGCTGGGAAGGGAAGAGCTGGTCCCTTTAAATGATATGGAAGTGGGGAACGGAAGTGCTGGGTAGAGGAAGGATGGTCCCCGGCGAGGGCTCCACCACTGGGTGAGGACAGGCATTTTTGTTGCATTTCCCAAGATCACCCTGGACTGCCACGCCTATAACCACCCCACCACCCCTGCCCCGGCCACAACCCTAGCAGGCAGACACACAAGCTGCTGGGCCTAGAGAGGAGCAGATAGGCAGAGGAGCGCACGGGCGGCTGGATGCCTAGAGGAACACAGCGACAGGCACCGGCATGCTGGCACACCAGGCCACCGACGGGCAGAAGCAGAACAACCTGCAGTTTGGCTGGGGCAGAGGAGAGCCCGGGCCACTAAACGGCCCGACTCTAGGGGAAAACCTTCCCACTCCATTCCGTTCTGTCTTCTGCCATCTGCTACTTCCACTCGATAAAACCTTGTACTCATTCTCCAAGCCCACGTGTGATCCGATTCTTCTGGGGCAAGAACCTCGGGATACAGAAAGCCCTCTGTAGTTGCAATAAGGCAGGGATCCAGTTGAGCTGACTCACACAAACTGCCTATAGGCGGCAAAACTGAAAGCACACTGTAACACATGCCCACTGGAGCTTCGGCTGTAAACATTCAGCCCTAGACACTGCCTGGAGTTGGAGCCCCACAGCCTGCCCCTCTGTATGCTCCCCTAAAGGTTTGAGCAGTGGGGCGCTGAAGAAGTGAGCCACACCCCCATCGCATGCCCTGCAAGGGGGACAAGGGAATTTTCCCATTTCAGAAGTAGTAATAGAATTAAATGAAATCTACAGAGAGGTCCTAAATTTTATTTTAGCCCTAGCTTCAGTATTCTACTACACCCAAGTCTTTTTACTAGAAATGCTAACAACTGGTAAAAAAAAAAAACAAAAAACAAAAAACAAAAACAACAACAACAACAAAAAACTAATTGAATCTTTTTTGTAATTCTCCTCAATTCTCCTCAAACTCTGGTTAAGCTTGATAAGCAGTGGGAATAGTCTACATTTGTGTAAAGATAATATGGGACTTTGCTAGTACACGCAATAGATAATCCTCTAAAAAGGGTTGTATACAATAGACGGGGACTAGCAGAAAATAATAAATAGTTTTAAAGATTGATAGGTTGATAGATGAAGGTGGATTGATTAGTAAACAAATAAGATCACTAGTTGGACTGTCTATAAAATGGAGCCTTCCGTTAGTAGAAACTTGTGATCATAAATATGAAAGTATTTTTTACTTTGTTTTATTTTATTTTGCTTTCATGAAAAATTTCCTAATACGTTAACAGTTCATATTTATCTTTTTTTTTTTTTTTTTTTTTTTTTTTTTTTTTTTTTTTTTTTTTTTTTTGAGACAGAGTCTCGCCTTGTCGCCCAGGCCAGTGCAGTGGCGCGATCTCGGCACTGCAAGCTCCGCCTCCCGGGTTCACGCCATTCTCCTGCCTCAGCCTCTCGAGTAGCTGGGAATACAGGCGCCCGCCACTATGCCCGGGTAATTTTTTGTGTATTTAGTAGAGACGGGGTTTCACCGTGTTAGCCAGGATGGTCTCGATCTCCTGACGTCGTGATCCACCCTCCTCGGCCTCCCAAAGTTCTGGGGTTACAGGCGTGAGCCACTGCGCCCGGCCTCATATTTATCTTATAGTTCTGTTAAGTTTAGTAAATAATCTTCTAATTTGTTTGGCCTGTGATGATGCAGCAGCACCAAAGGTTTGGAATTTCAGTGGTCAGTATACAGGGCTAAGGTTGTAAAAAGTGTAGGGCAATAGATAGCAATGACAAAACTGAATGGAAGCTACTAATGAAATGAGTTCCAATGAGAAAATAACCGATATCCTCAACTTTACTATGGTTCTACTTAAGGTTTTTCTACTTACAATGGGCTTATCAGGGAAGTAACTCCATGTAAACCGGTGAGAATCTTAACATGCCAGAGGTGGGAGGCATCACCGGGGCTGGTTGATAAAGGAAGGAATGAAGTTGAGGCTGAGTTGACCTGATAAATGAGCAGTGTATTAGGCCATTCTTGCGTTGCTACAAAGAAATACCTGAAACTGGATGATTTATAAAGAAAAGAGGTTTAATTGGCTCCTGGCTCTGCAGGTTGTACAGGAACATGGCACTAGCATCTGCTCGACTTCTGAGGAGGCCTCAGGGAGCTTTTACTCTCAGTAGTAGGTGAAGCAGGAGCAGGCACGTCACATGGCAGAGGCAGAAGCAGGAGCAAGTGGCAGAGGCGCCACACGCTTAAACAACCATATCTTCTGAGAACTCACTCACTATCACAAGGACAGCAACAAGCCTGGAGGGATCCTCCTCTCTGACCCAAACACCTCCCACCAGGACCCACCTTCAACACTGGGGATGATGTTTCAGCATGAGATTTGGGCAGGGACAAATACCCAAACTATATCAAGCAGCTTGAATGGATTGAAATTACTCTTAAATTCTAGGGTATTCTGTTTTCAAGAGCAGACTGCTAACCTCGTTCTGTAAAAATCCCTACCACAGTAATGAAAACCACAACAGTTATTGAATATTACCATGTGTTGGTCACTGTTCTAAACTTGTTAGGATTGTTTCAACATTTAATCATCACAACAACTCTATGTGATTGATTCTATTATTATTAGCATTTTGCCAGGAAGAAAAGGAGGGATGGAGAGATTACGTGATTTATGTTACAGCCCTGGGATGTGGTTCAAACTCAGGAGCCCAATTTAGGAATCTGGATTCAACCAGTACAGTCTATTAGTAAAGAATCTAGTTTTCTAGTGTATGAAAATATGTACTGTTTTTCTAAAAGTTTAATTTTGTTTTTAGTTTATATATAATATACGTATTTATGGAATGCAGTATGATGTTTCAATACATGCATACATTGTAGTGATCAAACCAGAATAATTAGCATAGTTATCACCTTAAACTTGTATCGTTTCTTTGTGGTGACAGCATTCAATATCTTCTCTCCCAGGTATTTTGAAATATACAAAAGTGTATTATTTACTATGGTAACCTTACTGTGCAATAGAACACCAGAACTTATTCTTCCTTTCTAGTTGTAGCTTTGTAATTATTGACCAACCTCTCCCCATCCCCCACCCACCCTACCCTCACAGTCTCTGGTAACTACCTCTATTCTACTTCTATAATATCAACTTTTTTAGATTCCACATATGAGTGAGAGCATGAGGTTATCTGTCGTTTTGTGTCTGACATCTCATATTAATAATGTCCTCCAGGTTCATTCATGTTGTTGCAAATGATAGGATTTCATTCTGTTTTATGGATGAATAGTATTCCATTGTGTGTAGATACCACATTTTAAAAATCTATTCATTCCTTGATGGACACTTAGGTTGATTCTATATCTCGGCTATTGTGAATAGTGCTTCAATAAACATGAGAGTGAAGATATCTCTTCAATGTACTGATTCCATTTCCTTTGGATATATATCCAGTAGTTGCACTAGATTATATGGTAGTTCTATTTTTATTTTTGTAATCTCCCACCCCAAAATGATGTCTATTTAACACTTGGAAGGAAATTTTAAATACACACAGAGATACACACACCTACCCACACAGAGATATACCACACATCACACATATTTATTAGCAACACAGGGTTTATGATTCTCTTTTCTTGTACTGTCTTTACCTGATTTTGGAATAAGGAGTTAAGCAGCTTTTCTTCTTTTCCTACTTTCTGGAATAATTTCTTTCATTGACACAACAATTAAAAATATTGGTGAGGTATATGTGACATTTTGTTACATGCACAGAATGTGTAATGATCAAATCAGGGTGTTTAAGATACTTGTTACCTCAAACATTTATCAATTATTTGTTTGGGGAATATTTAAATTCTTCCCTTCTGCTATTTTGAAATATACAATAAATTATTATTAACTATAGTTATCCTACTGTGCTGTCAAACAGTAGAATTTATTCTTTCTAATTGTATATTTGTACCCATTAACCAATCTCTCCTCATTCCTTCCACTCCCATCCTTCCCAGCCTCTAATGACCATCATTCTACTCTGTACCTACATGAGATCAAGATATTTATCTCCCACAGGAGTGTCCTACTTAACATAATAACCTCCAGCTCCATCCATGTTGGTGCAAATGAATTTCATTTTTTATGGCTGAATAGTATTCCATTGTGAATATATGCCACATTTTCTTTATCCAGTCATTCATTGATGGAAACTTAGGTTGATTCCATATCTTGGCTATTGTGACCAATGCTGCAATAAACATGGAGGTACAGGTATCCCTTTGATATACTGATTTCCCTTCCTTTGGATAAATACACAAGATTGTACTAATTTACATTCGCACTAACAGCTATAAGAGTTTCCTTTTATCCACATCCTCAGCGGCATTTGTTATCTTCTGTCTTTTTGATAATAGCCGTCCTAACTGGGTGAGATAATATCTCATGGTGGTTGTGATTTTTATTTCCCTGATGATTATTGATGTTGAGAATTTTTAATACACCTACTGGCATTGGAATGTCTTATTTTAACAGATGTCTATTCAGATCCTTTGCTCACTTCTTAATTGGATTATTTTTCTTCTTGCTGTTGAGTTGAGTTCCCTGTATATTCTGGATAGTAGGCTTTTTCAGATGAATAATTTTAAAGTATTTTCTTTGATTCTATAGGTTGCATCTTCACTCTATTTATTGTTTCCTTTGCTGTGCAGAAGCTTTTTAGTGTAATGTAGTCTTATTTGTCTATATTTAATTTTGTTGCATGTGCTTTTGAAGTCTTGAACATAAAATCTTTGCCTACACCAATGTCCTGAAGCATTTGCCCTATTCTTTTTCTTCTAGTAGTATTTTAGTTTGCGGCCCTACATTTAAATTTTTAATTCATTTTGAGTTGATTTCTTATGGTGAGAGATAGGGGTCCAGTTTAATTTTTCTGCATACGGTTATCCAGTCTTCCTAGCATCATTTACTGAAGAGGGCGCCCTTTCCCCATTGCACATTCTTTGCCCTTTGTCAAAAACCAGTTGGCTGTAAATATGTGGATTTATTCCTGGGTTATCTATTCTGTTCCATTGGTCTATCCCAAAACCATGCTGTTTCTGTTATTATAATTTTGTAGTATATTTTGAAGTCAAATAGTGTGATGCCTCCAGATTTTTAGTTTTTCAGTCAGGATTGCTTTGGCTATTCAAAGTCTTTTGTGGTACCATACAAATTTTAGAATTTTTTTTTCTACTTTTGTAAAGAACAACGTTGGTATTTTGAAATGGATTGCTTTGAATCTGTAGATCGCTTTGGGTAGTATGATCATTTGAACAAGATTAATTCTTCCAATCTATGAGCATGGGACATCTTTCCATTTGTTTGTGTTTTCTTCAATATCTTTAATCGGTGTTTTGTAGTTTTCATTATAAAGGTCTTTCACCTTCTTGAGTCCCAATTTTATAATGATATATAATGGCAATTATTCTCAGTTCAATAGCCCCTCCTTTTTCTTATCTTTCTCCTCTTTTGAAAAAAAAATGAGAATCACTGGCTCTTTTTGGGCATCTATTCCAGTTTACCTAAGTGATATAATTTGACTTTAAGTTAGATTATTTTGATAGTGGGGTTATCATTTAAATTTAAAGGATCACAACTGCCAAATATTTATCCTTCAATTATATTTCAGAGCCAAGCATGAAATAAATACTTACTGAGCATCTGGTATGTTCTTAAAGCTATTCTAGAAGTAAACAGTAATAAATTACAATATTTTCTGTCAAATAATATCTAATTTGGTTGAAGGAGCAAAACTGGACCATAATAGAAAGTCTAAATAGTAAATAGTATAAAAATGGAAACACATTTGAAAAATATTTGCAATTGGCAGACGGGCAATATCTAATCTTAGTCTCACTACAAACTGCTAAGGATGGTGTTCCATTTTATTGATACATTGATTTTCTAAGATGACGTGATTTGCAAGAGGTCATCTGGTTAGAAGTGCTAGGGTTGAAACCTATGACTTCTAAATCTAAATCCATACAATTTTTCATTTTATCATGGTACCCTTTAAATGACTTGAAAGTCTACAGTTTCCCTTTACATAATCTGAAAGTCCGATAGTGGGATTCTTTAGAAAATCATGAATACATTAACGGGGCTAGAAAATGAAAAGTATATTAATTTAGACTAATTTATTAAAAGTGACAGAAAATACATAATAAGTTAGGCAAAAAAATGAGACTATTTTGGAGAATAGTCTGTCTTTAAACACGTTTATCTCTGCATATTATTTCCAGCTTGGTAGGTTCCTACAACACATTGGTAAGAAATATGAAGTGGAGCATTTTTTGCAAAGCATATGTGGGTTTCTTAGAAATCAGGCCAGATGGGAGAAATTGAGGCCAGTAGGGTGGCGAGGATAAGGTCAGTCAGGAACTGGCTTAATATTTCAAATTAGGCATTGATCAGAGAGGTGCAAGATTAACAGTGTAAAACGGCATGAGAATTTAGAAACCAGGAAGAAGATCAGGGATCTGGAAAAATGTGAAAATGAAAATTACAGGAGAGTATCAAGGAGAGTCTGGTCATACTATAGCCAAGAACCACCTTGTCCTATCCATGAGAAGTTGTATTCAAGTAAGAATGAGTAAACAACTGGGTCAGCCTAAGGACTTGACTAGATTTGACAGGAAGAGAGGTATGGTGGTCTATGCGCCCAATAGTTAGTACACTTTTGTTATAATTATTCTTGTAACTGAACATGTTTTTTTGGTAAAATCCAAACAAGCCCATGTTATGTGTTTGATATGCTTGACCTCCTTCCCTTTTAGCCATAGACATGGCCATGTAATCCTAGTTTGGTTTATCAAAGTTCTCTGTCACCCTGGTCTCAGCAATTGGTTCAAACATGATCTGACTGGACCAAAAACAACCTTCGTAAATATTTTGCTAGAATTTCCTGGAAAAAGATAATATCTTCTCTCTAGATTTGTTAGCTTAAGCGATGTTGTAATCCTAGAACTCCAATTGGGCAACTTGCTCCCTACATTACCTGAGAAGTTTTATTGAAATGAAGGAGGAAGCCCACCTAAAAATGAAGCCAAAATATCTGAAAGCAGAGTCCAGAGATGGAGAAGAGAAAGATTCCTGAGGAAATCATTTGCGTTTCTGAATCTCACCATGCCCAAGGCAGATTTTCTCCCTTCTTAGTTAAGGAAGCCCATATATTCTCTACTTAGTTTAAGCTGGTTTGAATTGAGTTTCTGTCACTTGTAACTTGAGTGTCTACTAATACAGTTAGTAAATGCAGGCAGCCACACCAACCAGGTAGAGTTCCAGGTAGAGTTTAGATTCTACATAGTAGGTCATTGTAAGCCACTGAAATTTTGTCAAAGGTGAATTACATTAGAATTAGAAACTAGAATTCAGTAAACTAGATTGTTGTGGAGAGTAGGACATAATCTTTTTTCTTTTTAATTTTTTCCTTTTAATTATGCATACATATTGGTTGTACGTATTTATGTGGTACATGTTTTGTTACAAGCATACAATGTGTAATGATTAAATCAGGATAATTGGGGTACCCATCGCCTGAAGCATTTATCATTTCTTTGTGTTAGTAACATTCCAATACTGCTGTTTTAGTTATTTTGAAATATACAATAAATTATTGTTAACTATATAGTTGCCCTATTGTGCTAATGAACACCAGATCTTATTCCTTCTAACTGTATTTTTGTACCCATTAACGAGTTCCCTTTATCTGTTTTTTTCCGCCCTTCCTAGCCTCTAGTATCCATCATTCTACTTTCTATCTTCATGAATTCAATTTTCTAAATAATATTTTATGTGAAAATGAAGAATGGAAAAATAAATTTAAAGCTTAAATAGGAAATAAAATTCTTAAAGAAGTTGCTTGTTATTTCTATCTTATGGCTACTTGGTTGTTATAGTTATTTAATAATGTTTTCCTATTTTCTGCAACATGTATCTGTTGATTTGAAATAAATTGGATTGAATCTATGTAGCTGTTAAAATGAAAAAGAAAGCGGCCTTTATGATCATCTACCGGTGCCAGACAGTGTAAAAAACTGTTTTGTAACTTTGTGTCATTATTTTTCCCACGATCCAATGGGAAAGGCATTTTCATTTTCATCTTGCAGGTAAGGAAATTAAAGATGAAGTAGGGGAAGTGATTACGGACGTCACACAGAGTTGGGATCTGAACCCAGTTCCTTTGATCTTTCTTTCTTGCTGCCTGTGTGTGCTCCTACCACCTTCCTAGGTATGGATTCCAAAAAGAAATAGCTCCACATAGGGTATAAGCCCTCTTGTTTCAGTATTAATTCTAAATTATGAGAATTTGTCTCTGATGGATTAACATTATTGGTGGTCCTTGTTAAAAAGTAAAACATACTACTGGGTGCAATCGCAGGTATTTAACCTCTCCTCTCTGCTTGGGAAACCCTGGTTGTGTTTGGCTCCCTGTCTCTTCCTGTAGACTGTGGTATCAGAGCCCAAGGCATGCACAGAGGCAAGTTTCCCAGGTATGTGTTACTTTATAACCACTTCAAATAAGAGGCCATTCCAGCTGACAGCAGCCTAAAAAGAATGTGTTTCTGGTAAATTAAAGGAGGGCCACTGATCGGTGAAGGTAAACAGGTGATGAAATTCCTCATTAGTACCTCATTCGTAATTCTCCTCTCCTGAAGTAGCTGACACAGAGTGAGGCCTGGAGTCGCGGCTGCTCAGAAGTGCGGGCTGTGGGGGTCACAGGGCGGCTTCATCATGGCCAGGGAGAGCGCCGCCTGCCTCGGTGTCAGCCACCGCGCCGATAGCGGACACCAGGCAGGATCTGCTCTTCCTCAAGATGCAGCCACACATTTTGAAGTCATTGGGAGGTGAGCGCGAGCTCCTGGCCTCCGGGGTGCAGTCATTTCCCACGTCGTCCGGCCCAGGAGGGCTTCAAGCTGTGCGCCCAGGGGTTGAAGGAAGAAGGTGCAGGACCCCCACAGTCTAACACCTGGATGCCTGAGTTTCTCTCCCTACGGGGAAGTAAACTGCGATTTGCCCAAGGAGCCACTCAGGACAGGTCCAGCGAAGGGGCTGTGGGGGCGCGGAGCCCAGTCATTACTCCACTGCAGAATGCTTGGCGGAGTCACCAGCCAATCACCCAAACCGGTGTCACCTTGCCTGAGAAGGTTCATTGAAATGAAGCTCTTTCTAATGGAGGCTTTCTCTACCAGGGCCTGGCAAAGCTCTGTTTCTTTTTCCTGTTCTTTCAAAACCCCACGTGGCTTTCCAATATCCTTTTAACATTTTGGTCTTTGCAAGAGCACTTTTTGTCACAGACTGGCGTGGATTCGACCCACGGAACGCGCATCTGAAGGAGGCGTCAGCTCTTCAGGTATAGACCCTGTTCTGGTTTAGACACGTGTAAGTGCTATAAATAGATGTGGGGATGCCACAATTCCTCGTAAATATGGTAAAATGAAGAAAAATCATTTAAAATATTTTATTAAAAATGGTTGAGGAAAAAGGGCACTCCCTCCTGAGAGGGCTTCATGTTCCTGTTTGGACTGCGTTTCAGGCGGTTTTGAAGTCCAGCACCCTGAACCCACACCCCGCTGCGGGAGCCCTGCTGCGCAGCACGCATGCCTTCCCTGTTCAGAACGCCGTTTTGCATCAGCGGGAGCGCCCATATGCAACAGGTCCAGAATATTTAGTCCCTCTTGCCATCTGTACATAGGCCTCTACTGGAAATATCTCACCTTCAGGCGCTCCCCCCTCGCCCCAACGTGCTGACCCGTCTGTGCTCTGGTAATCATAAGGTGTGTTGAAATCTATGTCAGGATTTCCTCCATTCGCAAACAGGCAGTCAGGCAGAGGTGGCGCTGTGAAGCTCGCATTTATCCCGCTGGATTTTTAAAAGTAACCCTTTCCCCAGACGCAGCCTGTTTGTTATAAATCTTTTCAAGGAGCCAGCCACATGACAGAGAATGCCGACATGAACCTACTGTTATCTCAGATTTATCACAAAGGAAAAAGATCCATTTCAGGATTAATAATAGGTGCTAATGCATTGAATTAAGTACAGATTTTGCTTTCTTAAGGAATCTTCAAAGCTACTTTTCACAAATCTAAGCACAAGGAAGATTTAACACATTCCTACTCCGTCCTGCAAGGTAGAATAAATCCAAGCAATCCATACATGATAAACGACTCTGTGGTATAAGGGCATGAGCACCACTGTTTCTGATTTATTCTTCTGCTTGGTAGCTTTCTCAACAGATCTGATGAACCTCTGTTCCTTGTGGCCTGTGTTTATGCATACACAATTCCGTTTGGTGATATAGAAAACATACTTCTTGAAATAAAGGAAAATTGCAGACTCCTAATTTCTTTGAATTTTATGATGGTAAAATATTAACAACTCATATCATGAATTCCATTTTCCTCTTCATCCACAGCTCTGGTAGATATTTATTAATACATGAGAGAAAGATTTGGAAATGAATCATTTTCCAAATGAATCATAGATAGAAGGCTCAGAACTTCTTTTGTCATTTCTGATTGCTGTAATTATTCAGTTATCAGGACATTGCGTTCTAAAAAGCAGTCCCTGGACCATCGCTGACTTTGTGAAGCTATGACATTCCCTTTTACCTGTAACATGGTGATTGCCCTCCATTGTCAACTATTGGATATAATGGAGCAATCTCCAAAATGAGCTATTTCCACAGTACAGGGTCCACTGGAAGAGACTATTTTGTATAATTCTTAAATTTGATCATTAACTACTTTAATAGCTAGTAATGTTTTAAAACTTTGGTAAATTTTGTCAACTCATTTTTACCTAGATGCTTCATTAGTCACATGAAAATAAGCTTAGGAAAATACACAATTTTACAAAATTAAATGTAGGACATATTTTTGTCAAAGTTTCAGCTCTATCTCTTATTTGATGAGATTGCATACAAATCTTCATATTAATTCTAAGATACTGAAAATATTTCTGAGTAAAAATTATTCAATTAACAAGAGAAAGCATTTTTAATCCACTCCTTATTTTAGGATAGATTTATATTTACAGAAAAGTTATGAAGGTAGCGCAGAGAGTTCCCATATACCTCACACTGTTTTCCCTATTATTATTTTTACTGACACAATGTGATTATACCTACTTATGGGGTACAATTTGATGTTTTGATAAACATGTTGTATAATGATTAAATCTGGGTATTTAGTGTGACCATAACCACATGCAATTATCTATCATTTCTTTGTTATAAGAACATTCAAAATCTTCTCTTCTAGCTATTCTGTAACATATAATACCTTATGGTTAATCATAGTCACCCTACCTCTCTACATCCTCTCCTCCCTGTTCCTCTCCCCAGTTGCTGGAGTTTTTGGTAGTTATGGTTCTACTCTCTGCTTCCCTGAGATCAACTGTTTATTTATTTATTTATTTATTTATTTATTTTTAGATGGAGTCTTGCTCTGTCACCCAGGCTGGAGTGCAGTGCCTCAGTCTTGGCTCATGGCAGCCTCTGCCTCCCAGGCTCAAGCCATTCTGCCTCAGCCTTCCGAGAAGCTGGGATTAAAGATGTGTGCCACCACACCTGGTTAATTTTTGTATTTTTAGTAGAAATGGGTTTCACCAAGTTGGCCAGGTTGGTTTTGAACTGCTGACCTCAAGTGATCCCCCAACCTTGGCTTCCCAAAGTGCTGAGATTACAGGTGTCAGCCATCGCGCCTGGCCCAATTCCTTTTTTTAGATTCCACATAAGTATGAGATCATGTGGATTAGGTGATATTTGTCTTTCTGTGTTGGGCTTATTTCACTTAACATGATGTTCTCCAGTTCCATTCCCCAAAAGACAGGATTTTATTCTCTTTTATGACTGAATAGTATTCCATTGTGTATATAGGCCACATTTTCTTTATTCATCCATCAGTTTTCCCCATTATTTACATTTTATATTACTATGGTTCATTTGTCATAGTTAATTAACCAATATAGATGCATTATTAATAACTAAAGTCTATAGTTAATTCAGATTTCCTTTGTTTTTAGCAAATATTCTTTTTTGTGTTCCAGGATCCAACATTATATTTAGTCTTCATGTCTCCTTAGGCTACTCCATAATGTGACAGTTTCTCAGAATTAAGGACACATTCTTAAGTGTTTAGTGTCAGCTTTTCCTTTTGGTTTTAGTTAGCTAGCATACATTTAGGTAGTTTTGTTTGTAGAAATAGAGTTGTTTGGGACAGAGATGGGAAGAGGTAATTAATTCAGTTTCACTGTGAAATTAGCCAGATGGATTAGCTAAACACCTTTTGGGAAAAACTTTAAAAAAAAAAGTCTCTATCAGGAAACAATTAGAAATTTAAGCATACACCTGATGAAAAATTTCCATGTCGGAGAGCGGATCACCTTGCACGTCAATACCGATTTGACTCTCCATTATGGTAATGGAGATAAGAGTGTTTATTTACTGATGCATTGACATATTTTCAAGGCAGTGTCTTACATGTCATTTTTCTGCCTTAAAAGATAAAAAGAAACACTTTGTGACCATTTTCTATTTAAACAGAGTAGTCTTAGATATAAGATAAACAAATATACCAAGGCAATGTATACTGCACACCGCAAATGCATTTATCTAAGTGTTCAAGGCAATTCTGAGCCATCTAAAATAGTATCATTTCTTTTATTTCTCAAGTACAAGAAAGCTCAAGTAGGAGCTGCTAGAGAAATGGGACTAAAGAGGATGGTTTTATTTTGTCCTTATAATCTTATTTTACAATTAAGGAAAAGTACCGGCATGTAAGATGTTCAGGACATTTAATGTTTTAATAAGCATTACAACTGAGCACCAAAGATTAAAAAATTCTCACTTTTATTTATAATTTTGCTTTTAATCTTAAGATAGTACCAAGTAAACTTGGCTATTTTCTAAGTTTCATTTCTTTTTTGTAGATGGTTCAGATTTATAAGCACTATTCCCAAATCAAGTACAATAATATAAAAAATTTGGACAGTCCCTTAATTTTACTGTGGGGAAATTCATTCTCAACATTACCTTATCCTATAAAATTATGGCTTTAGCAGTTTGCTATTCCTGAACTGAAGAAACTCATCCAGGCTATCATGGAAGTTTTATGATGAGTGAATACATCAACTGGGGAAGTGGGTGCAGGTCATTCCTATGTATCCATTCATTCATTCAGTTGAGTCACGGACTGTTTAACAAGTACTAACTATGTGCAGGATTCTGCACTTGGTGCTGGGAAAATAGTGATGAAATACATAATTTGTGCTTTGTGGTGACACATTCTAGCAGCGGGAGGCGGGGAGCCACGCATGTGCGGATGAATAGAAGGGAAAATGTTAAGACATTAAAACCATGATAGTGCAGACAAGGGAACACATATGATGTAGCCATTGTGTTCTCAGTGAGTACTTTCAACACTGGCTTATTTGGAAACTGGGAACAGAAACTCCCATCAGACTCCAGGAAACAGGTCAGTCTGTGCACCAACACCAGGCCAGTAAATGGCTAAGATTCCTCCCTGGAAAGAAAATTACATCAATATCCTTTGGAGGCAAGTTTACACATATGCTGTAGGTTTACATATTACATCAGATGATAGAACAGAAGGGTGTGGGAATATGTTTGAATCAGTAAAGGAAGAAACTCAAGGAATCATGTTGATGATATTTATCTCAGTCTTTTTACATCATATTGTCTGAAATAATCCAGCTTATACAAAAGCCAATTTAGGGTGACCTTTTTTTTTAAAAAAAACGCAAATCCAGTATTTTTTTATTCTAACGAAATCAGCATTTCAAAGAGAATAATTCAAGGAGTTTGTTCAATATGGTAATGGTTTAATTATTATTATATTTTTTGAGACAGAGTCTTACTCTCATCCAGGCTGGAGTGCGGTGGTGCGATCTCGGCTCACTGCAATCTCCACCTCCCAGGTTTCAAGGGTTTCTCTTGCCTCAGTCCCCCAAGTAACTGGGACTACAAGCGCCCATCACCGTGCCCACCACCATACCCAGCTAATTTTTTTTGAATTTTCAGCAGACACAGGATTTCACCATGTTGTCCAGGCTGGTCTTGAATTACTGACCTCAAAAGATCTGCCCACCTCGGCCTCCCAAAGTGCTGGGATTACAGGCATGAGCCATTGCGCCTGGCTGGTTTAATTATTTTTTATTTTTCTAGCAGTTTGAATATTAATATATATATACACATATATATATTAAGATTTCAAATTTGGTGATAGTGTCTTGGTTTCTTTAAATATATTTCTATTAGAGATTAAAATCAGTATCATAGCCATAACCCTAGATTAGTTGATTTTTTACTCAGATTCCTGATGACAAATATAGTTCATAAATCATGGACACCTAATTCCTGATGCACCCCAATATTTACAATGATCAAATTCTGAAAAATTCACTTGTTGGATATGAAAGCTAGCTTACAATGTCTAGATTAAGGCCTAGAATTTCCTACATGATTCAGCTCCAGGGTAGTTGTATCACCAACAGACTTGGTCTTAGGATCTTTTAGGGCTCAACAGCTGGATCAAACTTGAGGAAAATACTTCAGCAGATACTAGAATAACTCAATGAAAGTGACCCACTTTAGGAAGTCGTGTGGATACAGAAAGAGCCACTCATGTAGCACATGCTGACAGGTGGTCTGAGAGACTGGATTTAGCGGCAATGGCTGGATTGTAAAGAGAGTTATGTTAGGCCCTCAGACTGATAAGACTAGGAAATGGGCAATACTTACTGTTGGTGAGATTCTGCCTTTCTTGTGAATCTATTTTCCTCTTTCAATGATGTTTTCTAATTATCTGACATGCTCTCTTGCTGATCTTCTCTTTTGCATATCCCAATCCTATTAATCCATTTTAAAGTATTAACTAAATCTAAACTATCAGACCATAATTTCTATTACAACTTCTTAGAGAATAGATCATTTGTCTTAACCTAAAATCCCAGGAAAAATGCATATTTTTTCATACATGTTTCCTCTTATGGTCTATTCTTAAAATATATTTTTTACAGTTACCCTTTTTCTATTAAAAATGTCTTGATGATATGGCTATGTTCTGCTGGTGTTGTGATGTTCTGGCAGTATGGAAATGCTGTTATGGTTGGTAATGCTGTAATGGTGTGGTGATGTATTGTGACTGGTGGTGCAGTGTTGGTTGGGGTTGCAGGGATGATTGGTGCTGGTAGTGTGAAAATACATTCATTGCTGACGTAGTCATTCAGTGCTGTGAATGACTATAAATGGTTGGCTATAAATGACTGGGTACCAGCCCTGTATGTAACATTCAGAGTTGTGAAGATAATAATAAATGGGTTAAATTAACTTTATTTTAAAATTATCTAATCAATTTCATAGATATTTGCCATCGAGGAATATTTTGCACATGTACCTAAATATAAATTAGGAAGAGAAAAGCATAGCAATAGGAAGCTGATAGCATAGAGGAATCTCTTCTAAAGAGCTCTTTAATTCACTTCTTTTGGTTTCTGAAGATTCCAATCCTGATGTCTGAATTTACCATAGCCCACCTGTATATCAAAACATTCACTGCTAACAAACAAATGCCCATTTAAAAATTCTTGTATTTTTTTATAAATATATTTACTGAAATGAGTGTCCAATGCAACTACTGATTCCACTGCAATAATTGGCAATTAAAATTGATTAAAATATATTGGTTGTGTATAGTCTCTGATTTATTGTATTAACTTATCCTATTAGATAAACCCAGATGTTTTCAAATGACTGAAAATGACATCTACTTAATAAATACATATGATCCTACGATATATTTATATTGAATTAAAGATTTTCTAACACTTCAACTTTAAAAATTGTTTATTTCCTGTGGATTTTAAATTACATTTTTTCTACCATACCTTACTAGGTAATTTTGTTTTAATATTTAAAAAAATTTTTATTTCCATAGGCTTTTGGGGAACAGGTGATATTTGGTTGCATAAGTAAGTTCTTCAGCGGTGATTTGTGAGATTTTAGTGCACCCATCACCCAAGCAGCATACGCTGAACCCAATTTATAGTCTTTTATCCCTCACCCCTCTCCCACCCTTTCCCCCAGTCTCCAAAGACCATTGTATTGAGAGGTGAAGCTGACTGGGCTGCTGGGTCAGGTGGGGACTTGGAGAACTTTTCTTTCTTTTTTTTTTTTTGTGACGGAGTTTCTCTCTGTCACCCAGGCTGGAGTGCAGTGGTGCGATCTTGGCTCACTGTAAGCTCCGTCTCCCGGGTTCACGCCATTCTCCTGCCTCAGCCTCCCGAGTAGCTGGGACTACAGGTGCCGGCCACCACGTCCGGCTAATTTTTTGTATTTTTAGTAGAGACGGGGTTTCACGGTGTTAGCCAGGATGTTCTCGATTTGCTGACCTCGTGATCCACCTGCCTCGGCCTCCCAAAGTGCTGGGATTACAGGCATGAGCCACCTACCCAGCCAGGACTTGGAGAACTTTTCTGTCTGGCTAAAGGATTGTAAACACACCAATTAGTGTTGTGTGTCTAGCTAAAGGTTTGTAAACACACCAATCAGCACTGTGTAAAACGGACCAATCAGCACTCTGTAAAATGGCCCAATCAGCGCTCTGTAAAATGGACCAATCAGCAGGATGTGGGCGGGGCCAAATAAGGGAATAAAAGGTGCCCCCTCCCCCACCCCCCACACCCCTTGGGTCCCCTTTGACTGTGTGGAAGCTTTGTTATTTTGCTTTTCCTGATAAATCTGGCTGCTGCTCACTCTGGGTCCTCACTAACTTTCAGAGCTGCGAAGGTCTGCTGTGGCTTTGCTCCAGAAGTTAGCGAGACTGTGAACCACCAGAGGAACAAACGACTCTGGATGCGCCACCTGTAAGAGCTGTAACAGTCACTGCGAAGGTCCGCTGCTTTGCTCCTGAAGTCAGCAAGACCACGAACCCATGGGAAGGAAGAAACTCCAGACAGCATATTTAAGAACTGTAACACTCACTGGGGTGGCTTCATTCTTGAAGTCAGAGAGACCAGGAACCTGCCGGAAGGAACCAGTTCCGGACACAGTATCGCTCTTATGCCTTTGCATCCTCATGGCTTAGCTCCCACTTATGAGTGAGAACACACAATGTTTGGTTTTCTATTCCTGAGTTACTTCACTTAGAATAATAGTCTCCGGTTCCATCCAGGTTGCTGCAAATGCCATTAATTCATTCCTTTTTTTATGGCAGAGTAGTAGTCTTTTTTTTTCTTTTGAGACCGAGTCTTGCTCTGTTGCCCAGGTTGGAGTGCAGTGGCACGATCTTGGCTCACTGCAAAGCTCCACCTCCCAGTTCACACCATTCTCCTGCCTCAGTCTCCCAAGTAGCTGGGACTACAGGCGCCCGCCACCTTGCCTGGCTAATTTTTTGTATATTTAGTAGAGTTGGGGCTTCACCCTGTTAGCCAGGCTGGTCTCTATATCCTGACCATGGCTGACTAGTATTCTTGTGTGTGTGTGTGTGTGTGTGTGTGTGTGTGTGTATACACCACAATTTCTTTATCCACTTGTTGATTGGTGGGCATTTGGGCTGGTTCCATATTTTCGGAATTGTGAATTGTGCTGCTATAAACATGCATGTAGAAGTATGTTTTTCGTATAGTCACTTCTTTTCCTCTGGGTAGATACCCACTAGTGCGATTGCTGAATCAATCTACTTTTAGTTCTTTAAGGAATCTCCACACTGTTTTCCGTAGTGGTTGTACTAGTTTACATTCCCACCAGCAGTGTAGATGTGTTCCATAATCACCACGTCTATGCCAACATCTATTTTTTTTTTTTTTATTATGGCCATTCTTGCAGGAGTAAGGCGGTATCACATTAAAGTTTTGATTTGCATTTTTTAAATTTTTACAAACTTTGAGGCTTGATGTATTCCAATTCTAGAAATGTTTTAAATTCAGAAAATATATGGCTTTCAAAACTAACTCCCTCTCTCTCTGTGTTTGTAGGGTTAGGTACACACACACACACACACACACACACACACACACATATGTATTTACTGTGTCCATATTCCATCTGAAGCTATCTGCACTTCATATGAGGGCCAAGTGAAAATGTGGCAGATAGCTTCCGAATTTCAGTCTCCTCTTGGTATAAATCTTGTGTCCCAGAACTTACATTCTAGGTAACCCCAATTATTGTCATTAAAACAAACAAAAAGCAAACACACACTGCTGAGATATTAATATAGCAATGCACATACTATCGTTCACATCTCTTCAATTCAATAGGAGATCAGATACGGGAGAAAGAACATTGCCAGATTTCTCTGGACCCAAACCCTGACAGTAGTTACTGGAACGAGTCCAACTCATCCCACACGGGCCCTGCCTCTTCCCATGTTCCCTCAGCTCCATTTCTCCTTTCCACCTCACTGACTCCTTGTCTTTTGGCTTTTCCCTTTAGAGTTCGAAATTCAAGCTGTCAGGTCTAATCATGACATCTGCCTACTGTGTATACAAAGGAAAAGGAAATGCCAGTGGGGACTGCCATTTCAGTTTACCACCATGATACTTCCTCTTGAAATCTGCAGATTTATGCACGACAGCAAAAAATGCAAAGCACAGCGTTCATTTTATGTTATGATAAGTTCACTCTGTATGTGCACATAATTTTGTCTTAGTTTTTGAAGAGATGAAGAAGTTAGTGCAGTCCTTAACTAACATATATTTTTCCTCATCCTAGAAATTTAAGGGATGCTTGATGCATTGAATTATTAAATAGAACTTTAAAGGGCATTAGCTGATCAAAAGGATGAACATATTCAGAATGAGCCACTTTAGCCAAAAATAGGAACTAAGATGATGAGACAGATTTTATAGTGACCTACAAATAAATTTAAGAAGACAGACTATTAATGTAATGAATATAAATCAAGTGATATGATACTGAAATTAAATTTGAGCTATAGAAATGTAGGACGACAATATCTTAGTAGAGTGAACGTGGCTCAAAAGAATTCAAAATGAAATATTACAAGATACCTCTGGAAAGTTTATTAAAAACATTTTGAGTGTGGTTCTTTGTCTTATGAGTTCAGGGATGGTTTCTTTCACTCAGATCAAACGTTGGGAAGAATAGACCTGTAGTTTGCTAATAGACGTGGCATTTATAGTTTTGCACTGGTAACTTGTGTTTCATGGTATCATCCTTTTTGTGCCACTTTTTTTTTTTTCTTTTTTTTGAGATGGAATCTCGCTCTGTCGCCCAGGCTGGAGTGCAGTGGCGCGATCTCGGCTCACTGAAAGCTCTGCCTCCCAGGTTCAGTCCATTCTCCTGCCTCAGCCTCCCGAGTAGCTGGGACAACAGGTGCCCGCCACTATGCCTGGCTAATTATTTGTATTTTTAGTAGAGACGGGGTTTCACCGTGTTAGCCAGGATGGTCTTGATCTCCTGACCTCGTGATCCACCCCCCTCGGCCTCCCAAAGTGCTGGGATTACAGGCGCGAGCCACCGTGCCCTGCCTGAAACTATTGTCATTACATTCCAAAACTTACCTGCGGTAAAGATTTGATAGTCCCCTGGGGGCAGTTTAGTGAAGTTGTAAACTAGCCCCAATGATCTGCAGGTAAAATCTGCAGATGTACTGCAGGCAGGTGAAATCCACGGCTTTGTCATCTTTACAGGATACACACACCAAGCAGGCAGCAGGCAGCAGGCAGCAGGCAGCAGGCAGCAGGCAAGCACACACCTGCCGCAGCAGTTTGCTGTTTAAATGCATGGAAAGCAGGGTGCTTCTGAGTGGTCATCTACTCACATGCTCATGTGAAAACTAGCCATTTCCAGGCTCTGCATTTAATCCAGTAGATATTTTATTTAAACTCAAGGTGTTAAATGTCAGTTTTAGATCTGCACTATAATTCCTTAAGCTTACCCTTCTGAGCTAATGCTTTTTTTTTTTTTGACGGAGTCTCGCTCTGTCGCCCAGGCTGGAGTGCAGTGGCAGGATCTCAGCTCACTGCAAGCTCCGCCTCCCGGGTTCACGCCGTTCTCCTGCCTCAGCCTCCCGAGTAGCTGGGACTACAGGCGCCCGCCACCTCGCCCGACTAATATTTTTTGTGTGTGTTTTTTTAGTAGAGACAGGGTTTCACCGTGTTAGCCAGGATGGTCTTGATCTTCTGACATCGTGATCCGCCCGCCTTGGCCTGCCAAAGTGCTGGGATTACAGGCGTGAGCCACCGCACCTGGCCCTGAGCCAATGTTTGGAAGAGTGAAGAGCTTCTAGTATTGGCTCCTTTGCTAGCTTGAGTATATTCTACTCTGGATTCGTTGTACTACCAGTCACAGAATAAAGGCAGTCTCCAAGGTCCCTCTTAATTCTGACGTCTTAGTTACAGGATTATGTGAAATAAGAGGGAAGCTGAGTGTCAGTGTCCTGTGCCTCTGTTTGTGTCAGCAGCTCCACATAGCGACCCGCACAAGCAGGGGCAAACACATGTGCAAATGCCTGGAAAACATCCTGCAGAAGAGGACTGCTTTTAGGGGCTCAACTGTGACTCTATAGCAGGAATTGCCAACTTTGTTTTTTTTTCTATAAAGGGTCAGAATAGTAAATATTTTAGCTTTGAGGGCCATAAGGTCTCTGGCAAAACGACTCAGTTCTGCTGCCGTAGCTCACAAGCAGCCATGGACAATATGCAAAGGAGTGAGCTGGTTGTGTTCCAATTAGACTTTACAGACCTAAGTATCCCTAAGAATATCCCTAAGAGGCAAAATTGTATGAGCTAGAGATAGTGGCTGAAATGCTGTGGTTAAAAGCCTGGTCTTTAGAACAAGAGGGATACATACTAGCTGTAGGACTTCAGAAGGTTACTTCACTTTTTGTGTTTTAGTTTGCTCAACTGCAAAATAAGCACAATATCACATCTGCATCATAGGTTACGTGAAAATTAAATGAGTAAATATTTTGAAGCATGTAGAACAGTGCCCCATACTAAATGTTGTTTTATTTTTTAAAAAATAAAAAGCATAAACATTTTGATCTTTTTTGAAGAAGATAAATTCATTATGCATGGATAACAATAAATTTTAACAGCATTTAAAAAAAAAATAGGACTTGGCTGGGTGCGGTAGCTCACGCCTGTAAACGCAGCACTTTGGGAGGCCGAGGCGGGAGGATCACGAGTTCAGGAAATCGAGACTTTCCTGGCTAACATGGTGAAACCCCGTCTCTACTAAAAATACAAAAAAATTAGCCGGGTGTGATGGTGAGCACCTGTAGTCCCAGCTACTCGGGAGACTGAGGCAGGAGAATGGACTGAACCTGGGAGGCGGAGCTTACAGTGAGCTGAGATCACACCACTGCACTCCAGCCTGGGCGACAGAGTGAGACTCCCTCTCAAAAAAAAAAAGGAAAAAATAGGACTTAATTTTTACTTAAATATTAAATCAGGATGACTAGTGAGGGGATTATGCAATGGTTATGATAATAAAGATCAGAAAAAAGTTGTTACATGGGATATAAAAAGCAAAATTCTGGCCAGGCACGGTGGCTCACGCCTGTAATACCAGCACTTTGGGAGGCCAAGGTGGGTGGATCACAAAGTCAGGAGATTGAGACCATCCTGGCTAACACTGTGAAATCCCGTCTCTACTAAAAATACAAAAAAATTAGCCAGGCGTGGTGGCGGGTGCCTGTAATCCCAGCTGCTCAGGAGGCTGAGGCAAGAGAATGGCGTGAACCTGGGAGTCAGGGCTTGCGGTGTGCCAAGATTGTGCCACTGTACTCTAGCCTGGGCGATAGAGCGAGACTCCAACTCAAAAAAAAAAATATATATATATATATGAGATAATGTTAGGTTTATTGAATGACTGATTTAAAAAGTGAGGCAGAGACTGAGTTAGGATGACTCCTTGGTCTCCACGTTTGAGGAACTCATGTGTGAGAGAAGCAGCAACTTTAATATAGTGCATAGAAGTGAAGTAGTCAATGTTGAATGGCTAATATATTGGGCCATTCCATTAAGCACTCCTCAAACTTACCCCTGAGCTAGGTTCACTGTCTAGTCTTCAGTGCGTACCTCTAACATTGCTTTTTCACGTTTGTTATTTCCATAGCTGTCAATTTATTGTCTTTCTCCCACAATAGAATATGACTTCCTTAAAGTCAAAGGGGGGAAATGCAGTCCTGCTGAGGTGCTTGATAAAGGGCCAACAGAAATGTGGTGGCAAGTGTGGCATGGCCAAGGGCTAGAGGGTCCTTCTGGCACAGTATGTCCCTAAATAGCTGCAGTTCACGTTGGTTAAATGGATGATAATGAGGGACTGATCAAGACTTGTTAATTTAGTTTAAGTTATGCTGGCTGGGGTTGTGACTTATTCTAACTTACGTGTTATACTAACCCATGTGTCTAAGAAGTCATGGAACCCTGCCTTAGCCTCTCTTCTAGGAAGTAAAACAAAATGGACGGCCACAGTGACTGATCGCTATGCAGTATTTGAACAGCTAACTCAGAGCAGGAGACCCGGACCTTCAGAAGACAGGACTCAGGAGTGGGGCTTCTGGGGCAGATATATACAACTGCAATTTTTAGAAAGGTAAGTATGGAATGTGTGTGTGTATGTGTGTGTATGGTAGAAAGAGACAGACAAACTGAGAAAGATGGAGATTTTCATCTATAGAAAAAGTGTGCATATCAATCCAAATTCTAAACATTCTAATTCCATAGAAAATTAGAGACCTTAAAGACAATCCCATGGCATTTACTCAGAATGTGTCCCCAAAAGACAAAGAGATGTTTTGAAAATATATAAGAGCACTTTTAAGAAAATCATCTGTGGTCCCAGCTACTTGAGAGGCTGGGGTAGGAGGACTCCTTGAGCCTAGGAGTTCAAGGCTGCTGTGAGCTATGAGTGCAGGAGGCAGAGGCTGCAGTGAGCCCTGAAGGTGACCGCACCACTGCAATCCAGCCTGGGCGACAGAATAAGACTTGTCTGAAAAACAGACAAAAAAACTCCCCCAAGATCCTTGTAGTTTTGGCAGAAGTTTAGAGATATTGAACATTGTCATACTTTGTTAGCAAAATATATAATTAATACATATTTATATAAATTATAAAATTATAAATTATATTATATTTATAAATATTATAAACATAATTATAAATATTATAATTATGTAATAAATTATATAATTTATAAGTTATATAATTATAAATTATATAATTATAAAATTTATACAAATTATAAAAACGTATAATTAATACATATTTCCCTCAGAGAAAAGCTCAAACTTTTCTCTGAGAGGTTTAATAAATAAACTATCCTATGAACAGAATGAGCAGGAGGAAATCAGTAGCAGGAAATGAACAAATGAACAATGGTAAGAATTATAAAGTAGGCATAACTATGAGCAGAGAGATATTTTAAAACAAGAAAACTTTGAAACTACCGATGAAATAAGAGATATGTAGAAAAACATAACTTCCATGCATTATCTTAAGAAAAAGTTTTCTTTTTTTTTTAAAGAAAACTTAAACCAACAACTTTTAAAGCAAATAAAATTTTATTCTAGTCTCTCCTTTGATTCCTCCAAATGACAAGGCTAGAGATTTTTACAGGTAACTTCTAAGAAAACATCAAGGCAAATTATTCAGAGAACATAGCAAAAAAAAAAAAAAATGCAATCTATTTTATAAAGCGAATGCAATTCTATTAACAACTTTAGACAAGGAAAATTAAAATGTAGATCAATTTTATGAATATGTTTTTAAAAACTCACCAGAAACACAGGAAAGAATAGCAATATAGTAGTATTTAAAGAAAATACAGCATGGGCAGGTGAAAGTTGTCACAGGAAGGCAAAATTAGTATAGCTGTAGAAAACATATGCTTGAGATTGTTCACATTAGTAGGGTGAATGACAAACAATATGTTCAGCACAATAAATGCAGAAAAAGCATTCCAAAATTTGGTTTATATTTATGGTAATAATCCTTAGCAAAGTGGATAGAAAGTTTTTTTTTTTAACTTTAATGTCTATTAAAAGTAGCTATTTTGTGGTAAAAAATTAGATGCATTCTCATTCTATTTAGGAATCATCCCTAGCACTTAGTATTGCTCTAGAGGTTTTAATCAGATCTAAGACATTTGAATTGGAAAGATGCAAAACTTTTGGTATTGGAAAATAGTAGAGAATTTTTGTAAGATGAAGAAAAATAATATAGTAAAACAATAGATATCATTCATATTAACAAAAACCCTATATGATATTGGGAATACATTTAATGTAAGTTGTTCAAGAACTTTTTAGGAAAAAGCTATACAAAGTTTATAAAAAGGACATAGAAAATCAGAATAAATGGAGATATACATCCTTTTGCTAAATGGGAAAAGCAAATACAAAAAATGTCAATTGTACTCAGATTAAAGATTCAGTGTCATTCTACTCAAGTTAGTAATGGGCATTTGAAAATAAAAGGTGACGCTGCTTCACATGGAAGAGAAAAATATCCAAGAGAATTCTAAATAAGATAAAAGAGGAGGAAAAGGAGAAAATAGAGAAGATGAAGTCACCTTACCAGATCTAATAGTTTTTATAAAGCTAAAAGCATAAATGGTAATTAAAATAATATTTTCTGGGGATAGAAAATTGATAAGGAGAGGATCAGAAGCCATGTAAATTTGTGAGCACAATGTGTGATACTAGTGAAACTATCAATCATTTGGGGAATAATGGACTATTCAATAAATAAGAGCTTACATCAGGACCTTATAAAATTAATTCTATATGGTTAAAGTTTAAGTAAGAAAGGCAAATTTTCAAATATTTAGATGATAGTGTAGAAGTCTATTTCTATGACCTTGGATTAAGGAAGGTTATTTTTTCACTTTTGTTTGTTTGTTTTGTTATATTAAGACGCAAAAAGCAAACACCTAAAAGAAAAAAATTAATATAATAAATTTTACAGAATAAGTTCTTAAAATTGTGTACAACCAAAGATACTATAAACAAAGTGCAAAGACAAATATCTAGAACAATGTATTTGCAAGACATATAATTGAAAATGCATATATAGAGTTATATAATATACATATAGTTGTAAAAGAATATACAGAACACTTATACATATATTCTAGTCTAGTATATACATATATATAGTCTAGTAGAAAATAATAGAAAAATGGATATATAATAAGAGGAAACCCAACACTCTGATAAATATGTGAAGAGTTGCTCATCCTCATTAATAATCAGAAACATGTAAAACAGAGCAAAATGGTAGACCACGTGCATCCATTACATTGGCCCTGACAATACCAAACCTGGCAAAGAAATGAGCCACACTGTTTTTCATACACTGCTTGGGGGACTATAAATTGGTCCAACTACTGTGCAAGTTATTTGACTCTGAAGCAGAGTTGAAACTATTCAAAGCATTTTATCCAGCACTTCCACTTGCAAAAACTTGTGTACATAGTACACAGGGAGATTATCTATCTATCTGTCTATCTGCCTACCTACCTACCTACCTATCTACCTACATTTACTGTAGCATTATCTGCAATGGCAAATATTGGAAAACACCTAAGTGTCTATAATTTAGAGAACATATTTTGGTGTGTCTATAAGATGTGATACTGTATAACAGTGAAAAAGTGGAAAATAGAGTTATTTATTTTACATTGGTTGCAAGAAAACTCATAACCAAATATCTAGCCTTAAAAAAATGTAAAATATTCTGTGTTTTGCCTTTTATGTACTAATCTTACACATAGCTTTAAATTTTCCTGCACCTATTTTATTTCTTGGGATCACAATGGAAAGAAGTAACAGTAGAAACAGGGGCCCAGGTAAAACACTGCTATAGCCATCTTAGCAATGGATGAAGATGGCCAATCAGAGGGGTAGGAGGAGACTGACGTTGAATACATAGCCTGTAGGCAAGCTTAGGTACGTAAGTTGCAGGGCTTAGTGCAAAAATGAAAATGTGAGGCCCCTTGTTCAAGAATTTAAAAGTTTAGGGTACAAAAAAATAGAAAGAATGAATAAGGCTTGTGATTTGATAGCATAATAGGGTGACTATAGTCAATAATAATTTAATTGCGAATTTAAAAATAACTAGAAGAGTGTAATTGGATTGTTTGTAATACAAAGGATAAATGCTTGAGGGGATGGGTATCCCATTCTCGTGATGTGATTATTACACATTGCATGCCTCTATCACAAGATCTTACGTACTCAAAAATATACTTACCCCCTAGATACCCACAAGGATAAAAAATAAAAAAGTCAATCTCTCTCTCTCTAAAAAAAAAAAATTGAAAGTTCAAAACTAAACCAAGCATGAGGGCTTTCTAAGCAAGGGTTGTCCCTGTGTGACTCCATGGGTCACATGCTTGTGAAGCCAGCCGTGGTGCAGAAGACAGAAGGGATAAGATAGTACTTGGTTTGTGTCTTGGAAAGTAGGTGAATTGTGGTGCAAATATTCCCCTGGAATAGAAGGGGACGAGCAGAGTGCCTACAGTGGGAAACTTGAGAACATTGACATTTCAGGGATTGGCAGAGGAAGAGAACCTGTAAGGTAACAGGTAATGACACTCACCACGGAAGGAAGACAACCAAGAGAGCATGGTACCATGGATGCCAAGAGAAGAGAATTGTTCTCTGAGGAAGGCCTGGTCACCAGTCTACAGAGATGGCTAAGCCATGCAGTGAATGATTAAGTCATTAGATTAGCATCTAAAAGATATGTGGGAACTTTGGGGAATAACTGTTTTAGTGGAGCACTGGAAACCAAAGCAAAATTGCATCAGATCAAGGAGTCAGCTGGAGGTGTGAATGTAATAGATGGAGAGAGCAACTGTCAAATGCATTTAAATTGGCTTGGCTGTGAAGGAAAGGACAGAGATAGGCCAATGGTGGAAGGGGAATGTTGGGCCAAAGAAAAGTTTGTTTTTGTTTCTCAAGATGACAGAGACATACAACATACTAACATGTGCACAGGACATTGTGAGTGGAGGGAGAGGTGAAAATCCGGAGGTGGTGGAGGAAGTACTTGGTAGAGGGAGAGTCCTGAAGGAGGTAGGAGAGTCTAATGCAGAGCAGATAGAGGGGTTGTGCTTAGAAGAAGGCTCATCTCCTGCATATTCAGAGGAGTAAAGCAAGAAAGCACTGGTGTGGGCCAAGTCTGTTTGTTAATTTACAAACAGAAAGCTGCAATGGTTTCCATCTCGCTTCCGTTTTCTCTGTGAAGAGGTAAGGCCATTTGTGGGAGTGATAAGGGAAGAGGAATGATCGGAGGCTTATAGGTGTGGAGAGTTCCCCTTGAGCATGGGAGGAAATGATGACTAGGAATTCCGAATGGAATCAAGGGCCCAGAGGAGGAACAGGACTGTGGATCTGAAAAAATATCTTCCTGTGTGTTTGTGTGATTTTTCTCCAATCACGCTCCCATACCAAGTGTGTGCAGGGAAGAGGTACAGCCGAACTGATCCCAAAATATGGATTCAGCACATGGAGGGAAAGAGATGGACAATGGCTACAGGATTTGGGTATTGGCGTGCGTATGGTTGAAGTAGTAAGACTTGGAGTTTGCGCTGAAAAGGGAAAGAAGTGAATACAGTAAGAAACACATGGGAGCAAGGCAGAGGCTTATGGAGTCATTGAGAGATGAAAGATTTCACATAGTCAGAGAATCGGTGTGAAAATGCAGAAGGGAGGAACAAAGAGAAAGTGGTAGTGAAAAGAAACTGTGGCCACAGGGACTTTGGTGGAGTTGGGCAATCAGGGTAATGCCAGAGCCAGGCCAGGCCATGGTTTGCCTGAGTAGGGTGAACACAAGGCCAAGAGGCTCAAGCCACTTACAAAGTCTGGAGGGGAAGAAGGGGAGGACATGACCCGTGTGGCCATGTCTTTGATGAATGAAAGACGTAGCCAGGAGACTGGTCACTCCCAGAAGCAAGGGGAGGGAGATGATAACACAGTTGAGTAGTAGAAGCATCGAAAAAGAAATGATTTGCTCAAGAGAATGGAAGAATAACAGCTTGGAAACAAACATTAAGGACGTGTTGTCCTGAAGGGTGCAGGGTGGCAGGACATGCAGCCCCTGCAGAAAGAACTGTTAGCGCATCCAGCAGAGCCTCACTGAACAGAGGAAGCCCTGTGCTCGCTGGCATTGTTACAGTACACAGCGGACTGAGGATCAACAGCAGGAGGGGCGAGAGCAGCTTCTCTGATAGTCTGGCTGAATGCAGAACTCAAATGTAAAATAGGCTCAGGAATGTAAATAAGAACTCTTCTTGAGATAAGCCAATATAAATATCCTTTTTCTGAAATGAGAGTCTGATAGCCACAGTGGTTTCGATATTATTCTACACAATCCCTCTCTGGAGTTTTGGTATAGTAGCTACATGTTGAGTTAATTTAAGAAGCTGCCGAATTGTTTGCCAGAGTGCCTGTCCCATTCTACTTTCCCACTAGCAATGTCTGCATGACCCATTTTCTCTGCAACCTCACCAGTATTTGGCAATGTCACAATTTTTTATTTTAGACGTTTTCATAGGTGTGTAGTGGAAAGGCAAAGGAGCTAGAAGGGCTAAAGCAATTTTGAAAAAGAAAAATGAAATAAAAGGCATAAGGCTGCCTGGTTTCAAAATTTATTATTCAACGACAGTAATCAAGACTGTGTGGTATTGGCAGAGTTAGATACATAGACTAATGGAACAGAGGAGAGAACTCAGAAAGACCTACATGGATATGCCTGACTGGTCTTCGACAAAGGTGCAAAAGCAATTCATTGGAGGAAAGATAGCCTTTCATCAAATGGTGCTGGGACAATCAAACATTCACAGACCCAAACTTCACACCTCATACAAAAAATTAGCTCTAACTAATCATTTCATTTGAAACTTTCAGAAAAAAATAGGAGAAAATCTTTGAGACCTAAACTAGGCAAAGAATTCTTGGAGGAAAAACTGACAAATTAGTCTTTGTTAAAATTAAAAAGTTTTGCTTTGCAAAGGATCCTTTAAGAGGGTGAAAAGACAAGTTACAGATTGGGAAAAAAAATTTCCAAACTAACAAAATCTGACAAAGGACAGGTGTCTATAACATATAGAAAAATCTCAAAACTGAACAGCAAAAACAGAAACAATTCCATTAGAAAATAGCGAAGGCCGGGCATGGTGGCTCACCCTGTAATTCTAGAGCTTCGGGAGGCTGAGGCCAGAGAATCTCTTGAGACCTGGAGTTTGAGGCCACAGTGAGCCATGATTATATCACTGTACTCCAGCCTGAGCGACAGAGCAAGATCCTGTCCAAAAAAACAAAGAAGGAAAGAGGAAAGGAAAGGAAAGGAAGAAAGAAAAGAAAGAGAGGAAGGAAGGAAGAAAGAAAGGAAGGGAAGGAAGAGAGAGGAAGGAAGGAAGGAGTTAAAATACATTTACAGATGGCATATTAAAAAATGAAAAGATGTTCAACATCATTAGTCATTAGGGAAATGCAAATTAAAGACATAATGAGGTGTCACTGCACACCTATTAAAATGGCTAAAATAAAATAATGACATCACCAAATGCTGGCAAGAATACAGGGAAACTGGGTCACTCAGACGTTGCTGGTGGGGATGTAAAATGGTACGGCCACTCTGGAAAATAGTTTGGCAGTTGCTTAAAAAGCTAAACATACAACTACAACTCAACACAGCAACTGCACTTCTGAGCATTTATTCTAGAGAAATGAAGATACGTATTCACACAAAATCCTATACATAAATATTTATAGCAGATTTATTTATTTATTTATTTGAGATAGGATCTTGGTTTGTTGTCCAGGCTGGAGTGCAGCGGTGTGATCCTAGCTCACTATAGCCTCAAACTCCTGGCCTCAAAAGATCCTCCCACCTCAGCCTCCTGAGTATCTGAGACTACAGGTGTGCACCACTATACCTGGATTAATTTTTTAAATCTACTTTTTGGAGAGATGGGGTCTTCCTGTGTTGCCCAGGCTAGTCTTGAACTCTTGGGCTCAAGTGATCCTCCTGCCTTGGCCTCCCAAAGTGCTGGGATTACAGGTGTGAACCACCATGCCCAGTCTACAGCAGTTTTATTCATAAAAGCTCAAATCTGGAAAAAAACCAGATGTCCTTCAATGGGTGAATGGCTAAACCCACTGGTGCATCCATATCACGGAAGACTACCCAGTGGTAAAAAGGATTCATCCATTTATCTGGATGAACTGGCAGAGAATTATGCTCGGTGAAAAAGGACAATCAAAAAAGGTTATGTATTTTATATATATATTTATATTTATATATAAAATACAAATATATATTAAATAAAAATATATATTAACATCTGTAAAATATAAATATATAAATATATATCTGAGATTCCATTTATATAAAATTCTTGAAATCACAAAACTGTAATATATTAGTGATCCCCAGGCATTAAAAAGGGAAGGATAGTGGTCCTGGACATGTCCTATATCTGGACTGTATCAACACCAATTTCCTAGTTGTGTTATTCTACTATAATTTTGCCAGATGTTACTGTTGAAGGAAACTGGGTAAAGGGTATCTGGGATCTCTCTCTATTAATTCTCTTGTTTTTTTTTTTTCTTAGAGGAAGTGTCTTGCTCTGTTGCCCAGGCTCCACTGCAGTGGAGCCTTCGTAGCTCACTTCAGCCTCAACCTCTTAGGCTCAAGCCATCTTCCCACTTCAGCCTCCCAAGTGGTTGGGACTACAAGTACACGCCACAACTTCTGGCTAATTTTTGTATTTTTGTAGAGACAGAGGTCTTGTTGTATTGCCCATTCTGGTCTCGAACTCCTGGGCTTAAGCAATCCACCTGTCTTGGACTCCAAATATGTTGGGATTACAGGTGTGAGCCACTGTGCCTGGCCTGTTAGGTTTTAAAGAACTTGGTGCATGAGGCTTATGGAATTATCAAAGATTGGAACAATTCAATTATAAGTCGGTTTTGTCTGCCCCAGAGGGGTTAAACTTTTTCTTTGGGATTTTTAGAACATCCCATATCTAATATCCATTACATGTTAATGCATTTCTCAAAAGGCATAGGGTAGACTCTGTTTTATTGCTAACTAGTGTGTGGGGATAGACAAAAACTCTCAGTTTCCACAATATCCGAAAATTCAGCAGGTGAGGGTTTTATTTACTGGGTGAAGCCTGTGAAAGCAGCCAGCATCCCAGCACCCAGCACTGGAGAACCCAGTTAATTGCTGCTGCGATGCCGGAGACAGTGAGGCCCTGAAGCTGCCCTGGAGTGTTCCTGGAAACCGCAGAGGCTGTGCAAAAACCACTCGATGCTTCCGTGTCACTTCACCCCAGAATGGAGTCAGAAGTGCCTGAGGAAAGAAGCAACAGACCTGAAGGGAGCTTGCTGGGAGGTGGCCTTGCTGAGGGGACCCAGCCAGCCCTGCTGAGGATAAGGTAGCAGGATCTCCAGGAATAGGGCCAGCCACCTGTGCCCACCAAAGCCCTGGTGTTGAAGATGCCCTGGTGTTGAAGATGCCCTGGTGTTAAGGATGCCCTCGGAAGACGGGGGTCACAGGGATGTGATTAACATGAACTTCCTGCCATTTACTGAAATTGGGGCATGCCAGGAGATAAAAATCAAGTTACGTTATTTCAAAAAAAATTTTTTTATTTCTTCCAAACAGATGTTTATGCCCCAGACCTTGTACGTATTATATATGGGGACTTCTACAGAACAACGACGACAACAACAAAAATCTGCACCATGAACTCATGTAAAAACTGGAGACAGGAGGCCGGGCGCAGTGGCTCACGCCTGTAATCCCAGCACTTGGGGAGGCCAAGGCGGGCAGATCACGAGGTCAGAAGATCGAGACCATCCTGGCTAACACAGTGAAACCTCGTCTCTACTAAAAATATAAAAAAATTAGCCGGGCGTGGTGGTGGGCGCCTGTAGTCCCAGCTACTCGGGAGGCCGAGGCAGGAGAATGGCGTGAACCCGGGAGGCGGAGCTTGCAGTGAGCCGAGATCGCGCCACTGCACTCCAGCCCAGGCGACAGAGCGAGACTCCGGCTAAAAAAAAAAACAAAAAAAAAAAAACAAAAAACAAAAAACTGGAGACAGGAATTCTGGAGCTCTGGCCAGGACTTGGTGAGAGAGTTGGTGTAAAGAGAGGAGTAGACTCTCTCCTGAGATTAAATCTGAATGGGGCTGAATTTGATGGCGTGTGGAATGCTCTCCCTTTCCTGGTCAAAGCAAGAACGTTTATTTTGTTCTTCTTGTTGCTGCTGTTTTAAGCCCCTTGTTTTGGATTCTGAGTTTCCCAGAGATATTCAGATGTCTCCCCGTAGTCAGAAGTGTGGTGCTATCCAGCTTAGCTTAGTACACAGGACAAAGGGATTGCTTTTACCCATCCACTGATTTATCACAAACTTTGTAATCTAGAACACCTACAGAGACACTGCTTTGGAGAAAAGGTCTGGAAGGATAGATAGAACTCCAGTGTGAGGGAACACAACTGCTAAACTAATTAGAACTTAGAATCTAATTCTAAATTAGAATTAAGAGTTGAGGAAACACCATAATCTTTTAATTTTGTATTTAGGATCCTCAAGCATTTCTAGATAGTGCAGAAGCTAAAGGTGCCAATGAGAAGCTAGTAGACCACTAAGGGGCCACTATTTGTGCACCAAGGGGCCACTAAGATGTGCCTCTTTTGAACCCCATTTCCCAGGTGCCTGGTGTCCAATGGTGAACTACACATTGTAACTTGCGCATCCAAATTGAGCTTGATTATTATTGTATTATAAAGCAAATGCAGGAGTATGTCACTTGAGGCTTGGGCTTTCATAAACATGCAGTTAAGAACAATATTGTCCTTGGTCCACTTTCTGTTATTTCTCTTATGTTGATGATTCTATAGAGGTAAAGAGTGTTTAGAAACTTTACGGAATAAAATCGTGGCTGTCTAAAACCAAGACTTCCCCAAATTTAACATTATTTCAAAATCTCTTGAGGGAGAATATAGCTATACATTTCTCGAGTATGAGAGTACCCTTTATCTTTCCTTATTTACCAGTGTGACACCTTCATAAATGAACTAACATTGACCTTGCTACTCAGCTTAATATTCTGCTTCAATTCTTGAGTCAATTGCTAACAGATAAATACATTTTATTGTCACAGACCAATGAATTTATTGTGAAACTCTTGAGTAAAAACAAGATTTTGTGTTTTGTTTTTATTTTTCAACACAGCTCTTTCATCGGTAGTTGTGATAGCACTATTAGATATTTAAAATACCTGTGCTTATGTTTCTCTTGTTTGAAAGCAGAATGAGTATTTGAAAAATAGAAATAAACCCCTAAATTAAAGATAAAACCACTCAATTTAATGAGAGTTTAACTAAGGTGAAAAACCAGAAGATTGGATGCATTAAAAGTAACTTTAAAAGGAATAAAAAATATTCTTTTACATAGCTTTAAAAGAGAAACTATAACTGGTATTGACAAGGTTTCCTACTTCTGAAATACAACTCATTCCATTAATCCTATATATGTCTACATTTTGTCAAACACACCTTACAGTTAGTAAGTCCAGGCAGTCATGGAGTTGAGCTATTGTCAGCTTCCTTGGTCTCCCTTGTAGTAGTCAGTAATTGTGAAACATAGAAAATGCTTCTGTTGGCTGCGATTCTTATGAAGGAAGAGAGTGTGAAGACAGCTGTATATAGCAGATGAATTGGTAACTTAATGAGACCAGAATGTTACAACAAGTTTAGAAGTGAATATTCTTGAGAGGAAAAGCAGCTCAAGTTTGTGATAGGAATCCCCCAATTAGTAATTTAAACGGAGAAGCTCAGTTAATTACAGTATATTAATAAAACTATGAGGTAATCTTTAAATTCTGAACTCACTTTCCTGCAATATTATGGAAGAATGTGTCGTATCCTTTCTTGTGTGTTTTTATAGGAACTAGTTTGAACTAATCCTGTACAGAAAATCCACCTCCATCAGAAAAGCAAGGTTCTTTCTGTTGCTGAACATATCAGATTTCTGACAATGAATCCATTGTTCAAGATAGAAAATATTTTCATAATAAACCTGCAAGAAGTATTCAAGATGTATAAACTTGTTCACATATACCAGAACAAAGTTATCTTTTATCAGTACTTCTGATGGCACTATTACACATTTAAAATATCTGCATCACGCTTATACCATATTCTCCTGTCTAATTGTGTGTTGTAAGCAATTTTTAAAACAGTAATTGTCATTGTAAAAGCTGTGCACTTCATTTTCTAAGAGGCTGTAGGAATTAAATCAGCTTAAAAACCTATGACCCGTGGATTATCCGGTAAAGTGCAAGAGAGAAGCAGAGAAATTTGGACCTGCCATTCCAATTAAAAAGGAATTTATAGTCCAAACTAACATTCATAATTTCAGAGAAAATATAAAAAACTAGGGCCAGGCAAATAGACTCACTTATTTTGTCCAGTTGTTCAGGGACAGTTCAGTTTAATGATCAGTTCATTTATTTATTCAGCTCTTCTATCATGTAATCATTCATTCATAAGTTACTTACTAATTCCTTGGGTCACAGTAATGAGGACAGTGGCGAGTAAAGAGTAGGCAAAACTGCCATAGACTACCTTGAGTATTTTGGTAGAGGAAGCACAAGGAAGTGCCTTGTGCACTTCCACGGGAACTCATGAATGGAATTAAGCCGATTCAGAAGGTCAGGGAGGGAGGTCTCCGAGGAAAACATGTTTAAGTATAAATGGATGAGATTGTTTCGCATTTGAAATGGAATCACTTGTGGATTTCCATGTGAAATATCTTGGTGTAAATCTGAAGATATTTATGTGACCAGAGTAAGTTAACAACCCACTAGTCCAGATCCCTTGAGGGCGGGACCATGTGCTGTGCGTCTTTGTGTTTTTGGCACCCAGCAGTCTGCCAAGAGTGTGGTGCACACACAATACATGCTATTGAAATAATTCATAAATAAACAAAAGCAATGCCCAGTTTGTTGCTTTTGCAAAACATGCCAATTAGGTAACACGTATTTTCAATTATCAATAAATTTTTTTTTTTTTTTGAGACGGAGTCTCGCTCTGTCGCCCAGGCTGGAGTGCAGTGGCGTGATCTCGGCTCACTGCAAGCCTCGCCTTCTGGGTTCACGCCGTTCTCCTGCCTCGGCCTCCCGAGTAGCTGGGACTACAGGCGCCCGCCTCCACGCCCGCTAATTTTTTTTTTGTAGTGGAGACGAGGTTTCACCGTGTTAGCCAGGATGGTCTCGGTCTCCTGACCTCGTGATCCACCCGCCTCGGCCTGCCAAAGTGCTAGGATTACAGGCGTGAGCCACTGCGCCGGCCTAAGAGCATGATTTTTGAAAAATCTTAATTTTCAATTTTGTTTCACACTATATTTCTGATTTACTGGATTTGTTGAAACTTAACATGTCTGTAGACTGATTTGTATTTCCTCAAAGCTAAGTTGGATTTTGAGGTAAGCAGTTTTGCTACTAATATTGGGTAATACTGGCTTAATCTAGGCAAATACAAACGGACCTCGTTTCCAGAATTGCCTGGGGACTCCATTTTAAATCTGAAAGTTCTTCTATGCCTTTTAATAATCCTTTTCTTGAATGTTATTTATTTTCATCATGATGCTTAATTCTTACTCAGAACTTGCTAAGTAGAAAAAAAAATTAAAATTTCTTTTACTTTATGAAAAAGTCAAATATTTCCACTTTTTATGTTTTCTTCTTATGTTTCCCCTTTTCTCTCCAATATTACCATCTGCTTGTTTTATTCCTGTTCCCAGTGATACCCGCAGTGAAATTTCCATCCACAGTCTCTGTTGATTTATGCTCGGCTGTGTTTATTTCTGGCATTGCTAACTTTCTTGATATGTCTGGGACTTGGGCTTATTACACTAACTCTAGGTTCAGGTTTCCCTCTCACAACATTTACTCCACACCTACTTTGAACTTTTCTTAAGATGAGAGCTTAAATTACTAAATACGTTTCTTTCCCACTACAGATTTCAGGGCAGAAAAGAAGTGGTTACAGGGGAGAAAGACAGTTCAAAATGTTCAAAAATGCCCAACTGTTTTCAAAACTTGGAAGTGAGGACGAGCATTTTTCCTTAATTGAACTTCAGATAGATCAGTCACCCTAGCAGTGGTTACCCTGGGGCATGTTCCCAGCATCCTTTAGGCTGGTTGGCATTTGAATTGGTGATGCACTTCTCTCCGAACCCTGATAGATACCTGATGTTTAAATGGGCTTCTGGACTGCAAACCTTGCAAATGTCCTTAGAAATCACAGAGTGTGCCTGGGTGAAAAGGAGGATCTGCTCATGTGTAGCCAATGTTTGTTTACAACAAAGGCCTGGGCTAGGAGTTTTAGTGTGGCCAACCACTCATTTTGCAACAGATCACTGATGAAATTTGATTGTGGAACTTTCTTTTTCAATCCAGCTGTTAGTTTACATCCTGAAGGATAAGAATTGATCACTCTGCTAATTTTATCCTCCCTGCTATAACTGCAGATGTTATTCAGATTCATAGGCAACTGATTGTCCTAAAATTTTACAGAGTTAATTGTCTCCAGAGATGTCATCTACATATGTGGATATCATGAACAAGGTGCGGGTGATCACTATTGAGACTCCTAGTCCAGGCCTTTGCAGCAAGCAAGCATTTGCTATAGAAGAACAGGTCGCCTTATGACTCAAGTGAACCCTGTGATTTATAAGGAAGATGACTTCTTTAACCACAGAATTCTTCACTTCAGGAATATTTACAATGCCTCCATGAAGTGGAAAAACTTCAGGTATTATCCCCATATACCTCAGTTCGAGAGAATATGAGTATATGATTAAAGGATGTGGATAAGCTTCATACAATGCAGCAGTGGCCAAAACAGCAGCAGCAGCAGCAGCAGCAAAACTTTGACACTGGAAAAAGCTCCAAGTCTGCGGTTTTATTTTTGTTTAGTTAGAGATGGAATGCCACACAGTAAATCTATCGGTTCCAAGTGCCAAATTAATAGAAGTGTTAGTGTGGCATTGAATTAGCAAAATGAGAAGCAGGGAATTGACAAAGAAAATGAATTATCATGCATCTTCTTATGAATTCAATAAGGAGATGCAAGATGCAAGAAATAAATCACCTGAATGGAACAAGGGCCAGATGGTGAATATGCATGTGCACGTGCAGGTGTATATGTCATCCTCTGACATGGAGACTTAGCATAAGGCAGGGCTGGGGTGCAGTGGGCCAGGAAATAAGCTTGCAGTTCTTCTCAGTGTCCTTGAGCTTGAGGTAGTACTGCTGCAGGTGCGTGCAGCGTGCGCTTGGTCTCGGCATCCACAAACACCTCCATGGGATCCTGCATAGACTTCCTGCATACAGGCCAGATCTCTTTGCTGGAAGTGGAGAGGCTAAGGTGGTGGCTACAGTGATGTTTTGTGAATAAAGAATGACGCAAAATGTGAAATGTTGTAATTAGTAGTCTTCATCTTTAGAGGATTTACTTCTAGCTACAGCTCTCCAAAACTGGAAGGAGGGAAGAGAGAGAGATACTAAGATTTCTTCTTCCCTTGGCATACTTGGGTAAAATGACACATTCCAGATACACCAAGGGCCACCTGTGTTGATAGAATAGCATCTACTCAAAGCCCATCGATTGTAGGATTGAAGCTGCTAGTAACGCAAGTTACTTGTGAAATGGGATAATATTTTAGGCTATCTGTGTAGGCTTTGGGGTCTAAATTTTCTTCCTTTATTCCATACTTGGTGGTTTTACAGTCTACCATTTGCCTGAGTCAATTTCAAGATGTAGCAAGACACAGTCCCTTCCTTTACAGAATGAATGTACTATCCAGTGTAAAATATTGGTGATGTAACTTGATAAATGCTATGGTGGACAAGCACAGACTTCTGTAGAATCACAATCTAACTCAGAATTTGGGAAATGATGAGGTAAGGAAAACCACTCAGAGAAGATCATGTCTGACTCAATCCCCATGTGGGATTCCTACTCTTCTTCCTGACTTTGAAATGTCAGAGCACTGTGGCACCCAATCTTTGGTTCTCTTCCCTTTTCTATCCTTATAACCTAAGGCTGAATGAAGACCTATCATTTTAAATTGCATTCATGCACCACACTCACATCTCAGCTCTGCCATCGCCCTTGGTGTGGAGCCTCAGAGTTTCACCTGCCCACGTCCTCTGTAGGTGTCTGCAGGTAACCCAAATTAAGCCTGTGCCAAGCTGACCTTTGGTTTTGTTTGTTTTTTACTCACATTCTTTTTCCTCTTCTTGTATTCCCAAGTTCACACCATTTACAATGCTGCTCAGGCCAAAATGCCTAGAAAACACTCCTAACTCTTTGCCCTGCTTATGTTTTAAACAGATTACTTCTCACTGTGTCCGTCAGCACCACCCCAATTCAGACACCCAGTCCCCAGAGTGAAGTACCTTAATAGTCTTTTAAAGGTCTGCCTGTGTGATGTTGTTGCCACAGGGTTCTATCTTTGTCCTCTAAACCCTGCAGAGCTAGTAGCCAGATTCCATCTGCACCCTCTACTCATTGGTATGGCAATGACCTTGGGAATTGCATCCCCTCAATTCACAGCCAAAGTAGGAGGGCTTGCAGGATGGTTCCTGTTGACAGGGGCTGCTTTATGAGAAGTCTCGCCAGCTCCATCCCTGCCTAACTTCTCAGTCTGTTTTTTTTTTTTTTAATGAGCTGGTAATTCTTTTTTTTTTCTTTCTTTCTTTCTTTTTTTTTTTGAGGCAGAGTCTTGCTCTGTAGCCCAGGCTGGAGTGCAGTGGTGCGATGTCGGCTCACTGCAAGCTCCGCCTCCTGGGTTCACGCCATTCTCCTGCCTCAGCCTCCTGAGTAGCTGGGACTACGGGCACCTGCCACCAGGCCTGGCTAATTTTTTGTATTTTTAGTAGAGACGGGGTTTCACCACGTTAGCCAGGATGGTCTCCATCTCCTGACCTCGTGATCCACCCGCCTCAGCCTCCCAAAGTGCTGGGATTACAGGCGTGAGTCACAGTGCCTGGCCATTAGCTGCTAATTCTTATAATAGATATAAACAATTAGCAACTGCATGCCCTCGTGGCATGTGGAGGAGAATGAGGAACCAGGGCCCTGCCTCTCTCTGCTCTCAGCAACATGGCAGAACAGGATGTGGAAAATAAGCTTTTGGATTATGAAGAAGAGCCCTAGGCGTCTCCAGGGAGCACTCTGGTTCCCCGTAAGAAAGATGTCAAGGGATCCTACGTTTCCGTCCACAGCTCTGGTTTCTGGGACTTTCTGCTGCAACTGGAGCTCCTGAGGTCCAGCATGAGTGCATTCTTCAGGCCACCCTGGGTATGGACATCCAGTGCCAAGCCAAATCTGGGAAGGGCAAGACAGCGGTCTTTGTGCCGGCCACTGTGCAGCAGATCCGGCCTGTCAACTGACAGGTGACGGTCCTGATCTGTGCCACACAGGGGAGCTGGCCTTCCAGATCAGCAAGGAGTGAGAATGAGCACTTCTCCAAGTAGATGCCCAGTGTCAAGGTGTCCGTGTTTTTCGGAGGCCTCTTTATCAAAAAGAATGAAGAATTGTTGATGAACTGTCCTTGTGTCATGGTGGGGACCCCGGGTTGGATCGTGGCACTTGTGCAGAACAGGAGCCTCAACCTGAAGAATGTGAAGCACTTTGTGCTGGATGAGATGCTGCAGTGGCTGGACATGTGGCGGGACATGTGGGAGGCCTCCCACCTGATATTCCAGCAGAAGCAGTGAATCATGTTCAGTGCCACCCTGAGCAAGGAGATCTGGCCTGTGTGCAGGGAGTCCATGCAGGGTCCCATGGATGTGTTTGTGGATGACGAGACCAAGCGCACGCTGCACACACCGCAGCAGGACTACCTCAAGCTCAAGGACACTGAGAAGAACTGCAAGCTTTTCGATCTCCTGGACATGCTGGAATTTAAACAGGTGGCAATCTTCATCAAGCCGGTACAGCCCTGCATGTCCCCGGCCCAGCTCCTCATGGAGCAGAACTTCCTGGCCATGGCCCAGGAAGAATGCCTGTCACGCTATTAGCAGTCCAAGGATTTCCAGCAGTGGATCCTGGTGGACATCAATCTGTTTGCAGTCAGTTGCAACATCCACAGGGATATGGAGGCTTGGGAAGATATTTGGCATAAACCACTGGCTGCAGACATTTTTCTTTATTTATAAAATCTTCAATGGCCTCTGTGCAAATCTGTCGACAACTTCTCTTCTACTCTTTTGTCATCATCCACACCATAATCCCATCCACTTCACTGGAGGAATTTACTGAGGCAGCCCCAAGCCTGTATCTCAGCAGGTTTGCTCAGAGTCCCCGTGTTCACTTTCAGTCATTTCCTAACCATTGTAGGAATTGAGTGATTCAACATCGTCTTAACTATGGCATGCCTGAAGACTCGGACACCTACCTCCACCCAGTGGCCTGTGCAGGTTGCTTTGGCACTAAAGACCTGGCCATCACTTTTGTGTCTGAGGAGAATGATGCCAAAGCCCTCAATGACATCTAAGACCAGTTTGACGTTAATGTGACAGAGCTTCTGGAGGAAAGCAACATCTCCACATATGGTGAGCAGCGTCCCGACCATGGGCCTCGACGGCCTGGAGTGGTCCTGCTGCCCGTGTGTGGCTTCCTGTGTGCCAGGTGGGTCTCTCTTTTGACTGTCCAAAAGCTGCAGATTTGTGTAAGAATATTATTATGGAAAAAAAACCCCAGATAGTTTATAGATATCGCCCCCTTCCCTTTAGGATGTGAGGTTATAAGGGAGGTGAGGAAAGTTTGTTTTGATTGTGCTAAGAAAGAAGCCAATCTTTTGGTTTACTCGAATTTACAAGAATATTATATCATTTTTCCTTTTGAAATGGGTCTTTTTAATACAATGCAGGCACTTAATCCATGTCTACAAAAATGTCAAACATCTGGATGAGAACAAAAATTTAGTCAAAAATAGATATTTCCAAATAACTGGATGTTTGATCTAAAATAAATCAAATAGCCTCATTTTTTTGCTGTATTTTTCACACTGAAATTGGATGCTTTCTACTTACTTGTTGGATCTGACTGTCAAAGCCTTTTTAAAAAAATGAGTAACCGAAAATTAAGACGAAGCTCTCAGAAATGCAACGGGAATGGCTCTAGGTGACACGAGGAAAGCTTCAAGAAACATCTTTCCAGTTTTGGGAAGCTCTCTGCCAGTCCTCCAGGCTGAGAAAACTGAGTCAGCCATGGAGGTTTGAGAGGTTTACTCACCAGTTTCCTAAGCCTCCAACAGGTGCAGGATTACTCTCCCAGTTCTCACTGGAACACACAAAATATCTCCTTTAATCGCGAGGAGAAATCACCTACAAAGGGGCCTCAGTGGACGCCTGGAGGCTTCAGGGAACAAAAGGGTTTTGTTGTCGTAGGGATAGCGTTATCCTTTGTTATGTGTATTAATTAATATGGAGGGAAAGGCAGGACTACATTTGTTAAAACGGTTTGTGGTAAATAAGTCAGCCGTTGTGCTGAGTGATTTACAGTGGGCAGAAAGCACAGTGGCCTATGACTAACATCCAGATCATGGTGTGATTAGATCATAAAATTTTATTGTATGGTTATTTATTTATGTTTCTATAAATTAAACAGGCATTTGACCTGAGTGGTATACAGATTTGTAAAAGAAAAAAGAAAAAGTACTTATTTTGCAGTGTTTGATCAAGGGCACAAATTTGATGACCATCTCCATGAAATTTGAAGCAGCACAAATTGATTTCTTGCTTGCTCAACTGCCTATCTTATTTTTTGTTTGATTTTAGGAAATGGATCAAAGCACACACAATAGCTAATTGCTAATACACTTCTTAAATAAATATGCTAAATGTTCTTGTTTGTTTAATGCACTGGTGGGGCAGCAAAGATGATAAAACTTTTTCTAATCTTGCTTCTTTATTGTTTGACATCTACCAGTACATTGTGAGAAACATCATAGTGGTAGGTAAAATGGTTTTGTACAAAAGTAAGTTTTTTTCCTTATTGTAGATCAGCATCTCTAAGAAGTATGATTATTTATACATACTATATACCAGAATTAACTGCCTGAATATTTTATCTTTGGGATTTTGTTGGTATCCCGGGAGCCCTAGCCCTTATTTTCTCTGGATGAGTTAGCTCCAGGAGGCCAGGAGATGCTATTCCCAGCACCAGGGCTTGGTGTGGGGGGATGGCTGTCTGGGAGTTCAGTATAGGGCCCCAAATCATTCCTGTCAGTCACTTGACAGCAAGAGGGAGACAACTTCACTCCTGGTTGCCTTGAAGGTATCCTAGTCTGCCCTAAAGGCAAAACCTATTCTGACACCAGACAGGTTGACCTAGGGCAGCCATCCTCACCTCTGAAGTGCTGCCAAAAACCATGGTGCACTCAGGAGAGCTTCACACTGCACCTCCACCTCTTCTTAATAAACATCATCATTTCATAGTTACGAGGTGCCATCTATTTACCCAGAAAGATGAATCTGATGACCATTCAGACCTTGCAACTCTGGCTGCTTTGAGGAAGAGTGCCCTCAGTTTCCCTGAGCTCAAGGTGTTCTATTGTGACTGAAAAGTTAGCACTGAAGGAGAAGGATGCCAGTGTAAATGTTCCCTCATGCCCCTCCACTGCCTCCCTTCTGAGTCTGCAGTCTGCAATGTCCATTATACCACTCTGTATGTATTATACCACTCTGTAGGTATTATACCACTCTGTATGTATTATACCACTCTGTTTGCCTTTGCCTACCCATAGCTTAGCTCTCACTTATGAGAACATATTTGGTTTTTCTCTTACTCAGTTACTTCACTTAGAATAATGGCCTACAGCTCCATCTAAGTTGCTGCAAAAGACATTATTTTATTCTTTTTTATGGCTGTGTAGTATTCCATAGTGTATATATATTATATTTTCTTTATTCAAAAATCAATTGATGTACACTTATGTTGGTTCCATGGCTTTGCAATTGTGTACTGTGCTGTAATGAACATACGCATGCAGGTGTTCTTTTGATATAATGATTTCTTCTTCTTTGGGTAGATACTCACTAGTAAGATTGCTAGATTGAATAGTAGATCTACTTTTAGTTCTTGGAGAAGAAAAACAATTTAGCTATAATGATTCAAAATAATAGCCAAAGGAAAATCATGGTCCAGGAAAACGGAATGACCCTCAGTTTCCTTTTGTCCTCTGGCCTCCCAAAGGTGTTGCTTCTTGGGAAAATACAATCGCCCCAGAGAATCAAACGTTTAAACTTCCAGGAAGTCAAATAGTAATTTGTTAAATAAAGGACTTTCCTGCTGTAAGTAAATATGGTACGAAAAAGCTAACCACCTTTCTTTGGAAGGGACTTTTGGAATTGACTCTGCTTTTATTAATTTGGGCTTGGGCTTGGGTTGAGGCAGCCAAAAGTAGTTGTTATTCTCAATGCTGTTTCTACATGAAGCTCTAGTGGAAAAAAATTATGCATGAATTAATTAAAACAACTGCAAAGGCATTTAAGGCAGGTGGTTTAAAACACAGACCAAGGCCGGGCGCGGTGGCTCACGCCTGTAATCCCAGCACTTTGGGAGGCCGAGGCGGGTGGATCATGAGGTCAGGAGATCGAGACCATCCTGGCTAACAAGGTGAAACCCTGCCTCTACTAAAAATACAAAAAATTAGGCGGGCGCGGTGGCGGGCACTTGTAGTCCCAGCTACTCGGGAGGCTGAGGCAGGAGAATGGCGTGAACCCGGGAAGCGGAGCTTGCAGTGAGCCGAGATTGCGCCACTGCAGTCCGCAGTCCGGCCTGGGCGACAGAACAAGACTCCGTCTCAAAAAAAAAAAAAAAAAAAAAAAAAAAAAAAAAAAAAAAAAAAAAAAAAAAACACAGACCAAGTGGCTTTGCAGCAAACAGATTATTCCTGTATGCACGTGCAAAATGTTTGGTCACTCCATTGCTAGAAGTACAACAGCGTAGATGAAAAACATCAGTGTATGTGGGGAATCTGAAGACCACCTTCTTTGTTGGCTGTGGCTGAAGGCAGAAATAACTGTAATCACTTTTTACTGCCTAAAGATTTTATGTAAGCAAACTCAAGCCATAAGCTTGAAAGTGGGATTGTTTTCTCAGCCTTTTCTCCAACTGCCCTGGACCACTTCTTATTATGCTTTTTTGCCAAGTTTTCATAGGTTTGGGTAGTTTGGTCTTTGCAGTTCACCAGTTGGCATTAGGGAAATACCCTTTACTTTTTAGTGTGGTCTCTGTTGATTACGATTTTGGTGGCAAGGTAGAGAATGAGCATGTATTAACAAATAATAAAAGCACATCTCTCAAGTTCATTTGCACTCTGAAGATGAGATTGTGAAAGGTTAAGCTGTCAAGTAAATGGGAATGCACTGAGATGGCTGGACCTTGTCCAACGGTACCTGTAGCAGCTGTCAACCTAATTAAGCCAGATGTGTGTTCAATGTAAACGGACCTCCCAAGAGGAATAATAACAGATTTCAGGCTCTGGAAAGAGACAAAAGATGGGGGAGGGGATGCATATAAGAAGGTAAGGCTAAGATCTATAGAATGTTTCTGATGTCAATGTCACTGCTACCTGGAAGACTGTTAGCTCATTAGTGTCACCTTGATTGAACTTGATTGAAACAGTTCTATGGGTGGGTGAGAAAAGTGGTTTAAGTGAAGTCTGGATACATTTTCATAGTCAATAAACTGATATTTGCTAAACTCTTTCATCTTCAACACATACACACATGCACGCACACACACACACACACACACACAAAACCTTAGCCTGACTTTAAATCCTTAGTAATTTAAAAAATGACATTTAAGCCATGCCAACTTTGACAGCTCTTCAAGGGAGTATGTGAGCCATGAGCCAAGAAAAGGACACCAACAGGCTTTCAGATGCGCTCAGATTACACGCGATTCACAAATCAGGATGCAAGTTAGTTATACTTTCTGCAACCCTACTGACTACTTAAAACAAACATTCTGTAAACCGTAAAATGTGAGGTACAATAGTGAGTGTTATGTTAAAAAAACACTATAACTTCCAGACAATTTTTTCCATTCATGCTATAAAATGTCATATCTCCAAAACAGAAGTGTTTGAGAGACAGACCTTTAAGCTTAGCCAGGAAAATGCTTCTCAGAAAACTTTCCTTCATGTCGCTGAATTTAGTAACTACCTTGATGAAACCAGTTCTAAGTTGCTATGTCTCTAAGAAAATTATAAGAAACAGGCAACCCCTTCTGAGAACTTGGTAGCTGCTTAATACTTTGTTTACAGAGAAACTTCATTGATTTTGATTGATTGACATTAAATACTATTTATTAAACAAACATGGATTTACTCTGTGCCAGACACAGTTTTGAGTACTTTAAGAAATTAACTTATTTCATGCTTATAGCAACCCTACAAAGTAGGTAACATTAATAATCCCATTTTACAAAACAACAGAGCGAAAAAAGATTAAGTGGCTTACTGAGGTCACACAGTCACATTCCTAATATACAGAAATGTTGATGATCTAGTAGGATCCTCTCTTGTAGGAGGGACCAGAGTAAAGAATGTGATACAGATCTTTCCAGAATAGCATAGATTCAACTGCAAATGGCAAACTTCTATCTCAGTAGATGGAGGGGATGTTTTTCTCAAGCAAGCTTATTTGGGAACAATCAGACAAGTGAGATTAGACCCCAGTGTGACATGCAATGCTTATGTGGCCCACAAGAGAATTGAAAGTCAAGGCTGACTCTTAAATCTTGCTCAAATAAAGTGAGCATTATTTAATGTATCCACCTCAACTTTGACACTTAACTGTTCTTATTTGACAGAGTTAGTGATGGAGGAAATTCACTGAATCGTTCATTCATTCTAGGTGCCAGGCACTGTGTTGACTTCTAGAACCACACATGGTACAAACCTTAAGGAACACAGAACCTATATGGTGGATTGAACAGTGTCCTTCCCAAATTCACATCTACCTGGAACCTCAGAATGTGACCTTACTTGGAAATAAGGTCTTTGCAGATATAATTAATTCAGATGAGGTCATACTGGATTAGATGGGCCTCAAATTCAATGATTTGTGTTCTTTTAAGAGGAGACATTCACAGAGACAAAGACACACAGGGAAGAAGGCCGTGAAGGCAGAAATTGGAGAGATAGATTTGCAAACCAAGGAACGCCTTGGAACAGAAGCATTATAACCCAAAAGGCATGGAACAGATTCTCTGTCAGAGTCTCCAGATGGAAAATGACCCTGCCAACACCCTGGCTTCAGACTTTTGGCCTCCAGAACTGTGAAAGAGTAAGTTCCTGTTGCTTTAAGCCACGCTGTTTGTGGTACTTAGCTATGGCAGCCCCAAGAAACGACAGGTTTGGGTACCAGGAAATGAGGTGCTGCTGTAACAAATGCTTAAAAATATGGAAGTGGTTTTGAGACTGATTAATGGGCAGAGGCTGGAAGAATTTTGGGGACCATGATAGAGAAAACCCAGATTGCCTCAAAGAAATGATTTGTGGCAATGTGGAGTGAAAAGAAATTCTGGTGAGAATTCAGATGGCTGTGAGGAACACGGTAGAGAAAGCTTACAGCATCTGAGATAAAACATGACAGCTTGGCAGAAATATGAATGTTAAACATGCCCCTGGTGAGGTCTCAGAAGGAAATGATGAACATATTATTAGGCACAGAAGGAAAAGCCAGCCTTGTGACAGGAAATTTAGCTTGATTTAAGATCTTGAACCATGGGTCCTATCTCCTTTATTATTGCTAGTTATAGAAATGATCGTACAGCAGAAATTTTTGAGCTAAATACTATGATATAATAAAATTATACATATTATCACTTTCAAATTTCAATCCTTCCCCCAAATCGTAAGAGACAAATCAGTTCAACGATTGATGTTCCACATAAATGAATTTTAAGATGCTAAATGAGAAAGAAAAGCAGAGATCTGACTTTATACAACGTTGTTTAATCTCAGTTTTAGAATTGGAAGAAATCTTAGGAATCACCTAGATTATTCCTGGTAGGATGTTTTTATCCCCTTGATACCATCTCTGTGAAATCATCAAATATTTTTAATTGTTTATACATTTTTTACTTCCTATATTAATTTATCTGTGACAGTACAATTCCAGTTATTAAAATGTTTTTCACTCATATGTTGACCAGTTGGGATTCTTTCCCCCATAATGACCCAGGATGTCTCTTAAGCCTGTGTGTTATAGACTTCTAAATATTAGAGAATGTGTTACTTGACAAATCTTGTCTTCATTTCAGTCCTGTGAATTATTCTTCCCAAACAGTGTTTAAGAGCCTTTCACTATCTAGTGACACTGTGTGCAATGTTATAATTGATGTTTCCTTTAATGTATGATGTTTAAAGCAGAGTACCAAAATTGAAGTAAGTCCTGATCACAACAGAACATAGCAGGATCTGCACATGTCTTGTTCTGGCACTCTACTTCTATTAATTCATATTAAAACTACATTTTACTAAAGCAGCCACTTCACATAGTTGCATCACATTATAGTTTAAAGCAATTGATTTCACTCAGTGATATTTACACACATTCTCAAGATGACAAAAAAATTGTCACAATGAAAAGTTTTGGATATTATATAAATACACATGTCAGGTAAAATATAATATGGAAAAGATTTTTTCTGTAATATATTGTATATGTTAATCACTGATGAAATAGAACTATTTTTATACCCAAAAGTATTTTTGGCACATGGACTAAAGGGCAAAAAGTTTTCTCTATAAATCTGTGAAAAAATAAAGTTTTAAATATAGATTAATTGAGGAGTAGGAGATTTGTATTTTCAATTAAAAATTATATATTTCATATTGATAAATACAGCGTAAAATGTTTTGGGGATGTGCAAAGATTACACATCTGACTTTTATAGATGGCCAAATATTAGCTACATTAAAAAAAAAAAGCTGAATTTTTTAGATTTTATAGCAATACTGGTGACTGGTGATGAGGTATTCATAGGAAGCTATTGCATTTGAGATATGCTCCATGCCCTACTAAAAGCTAATGCCTACCTCAAATACCTGAACACCTGTAACAGATAAGGGTTTTCAATTTTTGGTTGTCAATTGCCACTTACTCTTGCCTAGTGAAAACAGTGTAGAAGCTTTGGTTCTATGGAATTAAAAAAATAATAATGCATCAACAACAGTAATAATTGCAGCAATTATACAACATTTTTATTTATCAGCTATTCTTTGAAACTTCTGCTTCCATTCATTATGGAGTAGCTTACAGAAAACCAATAAGCCAACTTGAAAACAAAGAGAAAAATTTGACTAAACCATTTGTTTGAATACAGCGGAGAGCTGCCAAAGCAACTAGAAATTGAAAGATGAGGGGTTTGCAGAAAAAAAAAAAAAACTCAGAAACTTACAAGGTCATTCTAAGAGTCACCCTCCTTTGGGCATTTTTTAATTGGTCCACAAATTAGAAGCCAAGGTTTTAAGTGGAGAAATACAAATAAGAAGCAGAGAGAGACGTTCTTCGCGGAGAGTCGTCGGGGTTTCCTGCTTCAACAGTGCTTGGACGGAACCCGGCGCTCGTCCCGCACCCGGGCCGGCCGTCCATAGCCAGCCCTCCGTCACCTCTTCACCGCACCCTCGGACTGCCCCAGGGCCCCCGCCGCCGCTCCAGCGCCGCGCAGCCACCGCCGCCGCCACCGCCGCCTCTGCTTAGTCGCCGCCATGACGACCGCGTCCGCCTCGCAGGTGCGCCAGAACTCCCACCAGGACTCAGAGGCCGCCATAAACCGCCAGATCAACCTGGAGCTCTACGCCTCCTACGTTTACCTGTCCATGTCTTACTACTTTGACCGCGATGATGTGGCTTTGAAGAACTTTGCCAAATACTTTCTTCACCAATCTCATGAGGAGAGGGAACATGCTGAGAAACTGATGGAGCTGCAGAACCAACTAGGTGGCTGAATCTTCCTTCAGGATATCAAGAAACCAGACTGTGATGACTGGGAGAGCAGGCTGAATGCGACGGAGTGTGCATTACATTTGGAAAAAAATGTGAATCAGTCACTACTGGAACTGCACAAACTGGCCACTGACAAAAATGACCCCCATTTGTGTGACTTCATTGAGACACATTACCTGAATGAGCAGGTGAAAGCCATCAAAGAATTGGGTGATCAAGTGACCAACTTGCGCAAGATGGGAGCACCCGAATCTGGCTTGGCAGAATATCTTTTTGACAAGCACATCCTGGGAGACAGTGATAATGAAAGCTAAGCCTCAGGCTAATTTCCCCATAGCCGTGGGGTGACTTCCCTGGTCACCAAGGCAGTGCATGCATGTTGGGGTTTCCTTTACCTTTTCTATAAGTTGTACCAAAACATCCACTTAAATTCTTTGATTTGTACCATTCCTTCAAATAAAGAAATTTGGTACCCCCACCCAAAAAAAAAGCAGAGAAATCAGCACACTATTTGTTAATCTCACAGGACTAAAGAGGAATAAGCTAAAGTTTGTGACTTCAAAACAGCTGAGATGTGAAATCAAGTTATTGTTGAGAAAAGAGAGATAAAGAATTAGGACATTTTTTTTTCTCCCTTAGAGGCGTTTGCTGAATTCTAAAGAAGGATAAGAAGCACATCAGAAAGCCACTGAAAAACATAATGGAATTTTCCGGAAATATTTAGAGACAGTAATCATACTCAAGAACGGTGACGGAAGAAACCTCAGGATTTCAGGTTGACCAACTGGAGGGCAGTGTCCTAGGAATGAGTGTAAGCTACAAGGAGACAGAGCCTTAAACACATTCTAACCTAGCTTAAGTTAGCCTTGTCCTAAATTAGATTAAGATGATATGCCTTGACTGAATCTCACCATCAGAGGACATGTTGCAACCTTTCTGGAGGAGGAGAACAATCCAGAGTCTCCCTGATTTTTCATATATAATATTTAATACTCAAGAAAAAAATTAGCACACTTCTTACCAATGATCCAGTTAATAGAAGTATGAAAAACAGATACAAAAATAACCAAGATTAGTATGCTCCATAATGTAGAATTCAGGAAATCATAATAAAAATCTTAGAATTGAAAAATGTAATAATGGTAATTAAGAAGTTAAAAGATGAGCTCACAGTAGCTAGGATGTAGTAGAAGAGGGAATTGGTGAACTGAAAAATAAATCACTGAAACTTCCAGAGTAAAAAATGAGTGGAAAATAAAAAGAAAAAAACTAAAAAAAAAGGGATATGGTTAACAAAAATCAAAATAATTATTCTCATTAAGATTTGTTTTAGACAAAATAAAAATAAGAGTCATTCACAAAAATGACAAAACATGATGGAAACATGAAAATGTAAGAGGGAATGAAGAGTAAGAGGATGTAAACATGAGAAAATATAAACTAATATTTACTATAAAACAATAAAAATATAATCTGATATGATGATTTAAATATATGAACAACTAACATTAACACCAAAAATGAGGTGTTAAATGCAGTTACAAGGTTTTTTGAGTTCTAAAGAGTTGCGTGGAAAGCAAAATGATTGATATACATTAGTATATTATAAATAATATAACTAAATATAGATTAGTAAAATAACTGATGCATTGACCTATAATAAATAAAAATTATGTTTTAATCTTTGGGGAAATCACTGAAAATAGTAAAAATAATGCAAGTCAATGTTGAAAAATATTTAATGTCAATATGAATATTGAGCAATTAAACAAGAAATAATAATATATCCACTATGGAGTACTGCTTAGCCTTTAAAACAAAGGAAATCTTGTAATTGCAACAACATGAATGAACCTGGAGGACATTATGTTAACTGAAATAAGCCAGAAAGAAAGACAAATACCACATGATGTCACTTTTATGTGGAATTTTTAAAAGTTGAACTAATAGAAGCAGAGAGTAAAATGGTGGACATCGAGGGCTGGGGGCAGAAGTGTTTGGGCAGATGGTCAAAAGATCCAAAATTTTAGTTCAGTTAGTGCAATAAGTTTGAGAGATTGATTGTACAGCATGTTGATGATAGTTAACAACAATGTATTGTGTTCTTGAAAATTACTAAGAGAGATTTTATGTGTTCTCACCACATACACACACAAAATAAGTATGTATGGTAATGCATATGTTAATTTGCTCAATTTAGCCATTCCATAATGTGTACATATTTCAAAACATGATGTTGTACATGATAAATATATGCAATTTTTATGGGTTACTTTTAAAATAAATTTATTAATTAAAAATAAAAAATACTCTAAAATAAGATCAGAAGATTAAACAGAAAAAAGATGAGAAATACATATCAAATAGTAAAATGTGAGCTGTAACCTAAATATATCAGTATTACATTAAATATAAATGGCCTAAATTATCCAATTAAAAAAAGATTAACAGTCTGGATGAAAACAGTAACAACAAACAATAACAACCCCTATATGTGGCTTACATAGCCATAAACCCTTAAATTTTAGGATACAGACCCTATATATAATGATTTGAAAGGAAAATAGAGGAATGGATAAAAATGTAACAAACACTATTTTTTAAAAGAATTAGTATAGTCAGCTAATATCAGGCAATATTGGTAATACAGTGAGAAAGATTGCAACTTTTATAATACTAAATAAACTCAGAAGAAATAGAAAATATGAATATTCCATATCTGTCAAATAAATATAATCTTTTATTAAATGAAATTTTATAAGAACAGTTTATAATAACAAGAAAATCAAATTTCTAGAAATAAACTTAATGAGGAAGAAATGCTGTGTTCTGCTATGTTTATGGATTAAAAGTTTCAACATGTAAAGCTATCAGTTCTAAAATTTATCTATAAAACCAATCAAATTCTAATCTAAATTCTAGCAAGTTTTCTGTTATTTCTTTTGTAGATAATAACAAGAAATTTTTTTTTTTTGTTACAGATGACGTTCTTGCTCTATCACTGAGGCTGGAGTGCAGTAGCGCAATTGTAGCTTATTGCAGACTTGAACCCCCTAGGCTCAATCAATCCTCTCATGTAGGTGAGATTATAGGCACAAGCCACCAGGCCTGGCTAAGAACTTTCAAATGTTTATAGAGTACTGATGAAGGGTCCCAAGTAACCAAGACTAATCTTGAAGAAGAAAACAAAATTGAAATCTTACAACATCAAATACTAAGACTTAATATTAAACCACATGACACTTAAAAATGGATTACAGACTAATGGAATAATACATAATTTAGATATAGATGATATACACAAGGTTGTTTTATGATATGCTGTGACATAGGGGAAGAATGCAGTCTGAATAAATGTAATTATTTATTCTCAATTAGGAAATTTTATTATTCATTATTCATAATAAAATACATGAATGAATGGGTAGAACAGCTTTAGAGAACAGAATGGTCTTGACTCCTACCATGTATACACAATCAGTACAGTATATACTGGACTATACTTAAAAGTCAATTTCAGATAGATTTTAAATACACATGAGGAAAGTAAAAAAATAAAAAACTTTGCATGTAGGAAAATATTTTGTAACCATTGTGTAAGCAAAATTTTCTTAAAGGTCAAATAAAAACACTGACAATGAAGATTGATAAACAGTTTAATAAATATAAAAATTATTTATCACAAGACATTATTAATTGAGTAAAATTACAAATCACAGAGCATGAGATTTAGCAATACACATAATGCAATGAAAGGCTTATGTCCAAGAATATATAAATAACTCCTAAAGAGCAATAAGAAAACAACTGACAATAAGAATTCGTAATATGAATACCAAGACATTTAACAGATATTTAGCATAAAAAGGAAATTTTATCATCCAATGAACACATGAAAACATGATCTCTTCATTAATCATTAGCCTAATGCAAATAAAATCACAATGAGATAACACTTCATGCCTACTAGAATTCAAAGCCAAACAACCAGGACAAAACAAAACGAGACCCAAAATACCAAAAGTAGGCAAGTAAATGGAGCAATCGATATTCTCATTCACTGTTGGTAAGAGGGTAAATTACAATGACCAATGTAAACAAATGGCTGCTGATATCTATTAAAGCTAAACATTTACATACTCTATGACCTAGAATTCTACTACTATGAAATGTTTATCCAGTGAAATGTTCACCTGTGTGCAAAACGTGAGAAGTAAAAATAGAGGGAAGTTCATCATAGCACTATTTGCAATATCCCCAAATGGAAAATAACCCTAAAAAGGTTTATCAACAATAGAATTAAGAAAAGAATATTGTTATACTCATATAATAGAATACTATATAGTAAGGATAATAAATACACTACAACTAAAAGCAGTAACACGGATAAATGCCAAAAGCATAATAATGACTGAAAGAAGCCAGGCGTGAAAGAAAATATATGCTATACAATTTCTATTTATACAAACTTTAAAAATAAAATTAGTCTTCGGTATTAGAAATTACAATAGTGTTTTTTTTGGTTTTTTTTTTTTTTTGAGACGGAGTCTCTCTCTGTCCCCCAGGCTGGAGTGTGGTGGCGCGATCTTGGCCCACTGCAAGCTCCGCCTCCTGGGTTCAAGCTATGCTCCTGCCTCAGCCTCCAGAGTAGCTGGGACTGCAGGCGCCCGCCACAACGCCCGGCTAATCTTTTGTATTTTCAGTAGAGACGGGGTTTCACCGTGTTAGCCAGGATGGTCTCGATCTCCTGACCTCGTGATCCGGCCGCCTCGGCCTCCCAAAGTGCTGGGGTTACAGGCATGAGCCACCGCGCCCAGCCAGCTGTTGTATTTTGAAACCCTAACAGATAAAAGTGTCATCTAAAGCCGACTGAAGTACTGAAAATAAAAGCCAGTGCAAGAGAGGAGGAGAGATGAAAATATCCCTGAAACTATCATTGGAGCACTTGGACTAAGGCTACCAAATCGACCCCAGAATATAAATACAGTTAAGAAAAAAGTCAACTTGTGTAGTTCTACCAATAATAGCTTTTCCATGGCTGCCTTGTTTTAATTTTAAAGTCGTTAAGCTTCCTGGGGATGAGCATTTTAAAAGATCATATATGTTTTTTCTTAAACAAGTATTAGCGCCTGTTATGTAATAGTCCAATTGCCCTGTGGAGATAGGCAATATTGGCCTTGAGAAAACTGACCAAAAGGGGCAGAGGGTGGAGACTGAGAGATGAGAAGTGAGTTGTTTTGCTGCTTCACTGCTTTACTAATCATGGTAGTGGTCATATTTTTTATCATATGTAGAGGAAGGTTTCTCTCCTGAGTATCAAATGGAAAGCTAAGGTTACAATGGCTGTCCAGTTGTTACTTTACTCAATGCAGCTGTTTTCTGTTATGTGATAGCAATGACCAATCATGGAAGTATTTTCAAATATGCACGTGTGTGTGTGTGTGTGCGCGCGCGCGTGTGTGTGTGTGTTTGCGTGTGTGTAAAACTTTCCATCCCAGACCCAGGGTACATGAACTTCGACTTTTAACTCTGGCAATTATTTCCTTATTGAATATTTTTGATGATTTTACCTAATGGTCTCTGAAGTTATTTTTGGAAACAATTTAAAATCAAAATAAAGAATTTTAGTGAATCCCAAATAACGGTGCCAGACAATGTGTTAAGCCTCCCCAGCTCAGCTCCACTCAAGGCAAAACAATTTTAGCTAAAATAAGAATGGCAGATTCAGAAAGAATTATGACAAAATTCAATCCTTGAGTCTCATGGAAAGATCTGATCCAGCAATTCTTTATTCCTCATATAGAAATTCTACTTCACACATTAAAGTGAGGACTCATAGCTAGAGGCAATATGTACTTCTACAATGAAAATTATTCGCTGATTTTATGGATTGATGAGGCCCCCCTACCATTTCTTAGTAGGAAACATCTATCTCTATTTTTACTTATAGATACAGAGATATAAAGAAAACTAACCCTCATTTGTCTGAGTAACTGTTCAGTTATCTAAACACTTTGAGTTTAACATGAAACAACTTAAAATACTCATTAAATAGTGAAAAAATCAAGGTACACAGAATGCAATAACCAGTTGATATTGTGATATTGGAGAAATGCTTAAATAAATAGCTTAAGCTCAGGAGTTCTTTGGAATAAAAACCCCATGCAATGTGAAAACAGAGATGTAAGTGTTTCTTTATGTTGGCCTTAGCTCCCTCGGTATGTAATTTAATATCCTTTCTCAAAGCCCAACAATAACTATATATTTATTTAAGCTCTTACCAATGTGTATGAGTTATGATGCTGATCTCTTGAGTTGGCAACAAGATGTTTAATAAAATTATGAGATTAGAAGGAATTCTGAGAGAAGATCTTATCTCTCTCCCAGTCTTGAAATAATACTATTCCAAAAAACAAGGCAAAACCAAAAAAAAAAAAAAATCCAAAAAAATGCAAACAGTGAGTTATTTGACAGCTGGAATTTCATTTGTTCATCACAGAAAACCAAGTGCTGAGAACAATATCTGTCCTCAATTAATGTTGGTAGAATAAGTGATTGCTTAAAGTCTAGATGTGCTAGAAGGAAGATTTAATTAAAGTTGGTGTGATTAAAGTCTGTATTTTTCTTGTTTTTCACTAGAATATGATTTTCTGCATTAATATTTTAATACTTCTTTTCATTTAATTCAAAACTTCAAAGGCTGGTTTTTGCTTTAATAATTAAATGCTTAGTCCCACCATTTTTAAATGCGGTTTTTAAAGTCTCTGAACCTCAAACTCCCTGTTCCAAGCTCTTTTTTATAGTTCTAGACTTAATGTAAATGAAGTAATGAAAAAAAATTTGTATAACCATCCTGACCCTCTCCCATCCAAGGACAAATATACAAAGTAAAGGCACCAGTGTTTTTTCTTTTTTGCTTCATGGTCAGTGCTAAATCCCAGAGTGGTTAGTTTTTCTGAGAACTCCAATTTCCATGAAGAATAGATTATCTTTTTTGTATTTCAACAGGAAGAAGTTTTGTGATTTACCTGTCTTCAGCAAGCTGGATAATTTTCCTTATATATTCTCAGAGAAGTTTAGTTTGTTAACTATTTTAACTATTTTCTCTGTTTTCTTGTTAGTTTTCTAGAGATTTTCTCAAATTACAGAAGGCAAAATGAGATGCAGCCACCAACTCATTTGATAACTAATGACCGTGAGAATTGTGCCCCGATTTTTTGTGCTATACAATATATTGTTTTATATGTCTTTTTACACATGCTTTAAAAATTATAGTTCCATACTACCTATGAGTGTCCTTGAAAAGCCATAACACTTAAGGGGTCATTTCTTACTAGAGTGCTTCAAGGATTTAGCAAATCTCCAAAGATCACTATAAAAGGATGTAAGATTTTTACATTGCTAGACTGGTGTCTAGAGGTAAGCGTGTTGGCAGACATTAGTCATCTCTTTGCATTTTGTTTCTCCCATTTGGATTGCTGTAACAGTTAGGTGCTCAATAAACTATTTTTAGTTCCTTTATGAGGTCAGCACTGTTACTGTATATTCCTGCAGTTTGATTTTTGTTCTTTGTAGATCTTTACTCCTCTATTTCTGTCTTCTAATTTTCAAGTATAATGTCACTAATTTTCAAGTATAATTAGTGATCTTCAGTAAGTGCTGTTCTTTCACTCACTCCATTTCGTTGTGAAGGTCTTTTAGGGAAATTTAACTAAAAGCTCCCAAAAAACCATCTGCAACAACGCTTGTACTGAAATTGCTTTTAACCAGAATTGTTAATGACTTCTTTGACATTACATGCAGAAGACCTTTTTTGAAAAAAAATTCAATTAAGAAATGATTTACATAAGTGAAAACGAAGACCTTAAGTTTACAGCTAACTGAATGTTGTGAATACATCCTAATCAAGACATAGAACATTTTATCAACCACAGAAATTTCCCTGGTACCCCTTTTTAGTTCAATCACCTGCCCCTTGATGCAAGCATTGTTCTGCTTCTAATTGCCATAGATTATTTTTGTCTGTTTTTGACATGAATAAATCTTACAGTATGTACACGTTTGTACCTGGATTCTTTCACACATCCTAATGTTTGTGAAGTTCAACTATGTTGTTCCTTGTCTCAGTTGTGCTCCTTCCCTTTTCTTTCTGTCCTTTTTACCTTTTTATTGCTGAGTATTCATTAATATAAAAATACTAGAATTTACTTCACCTTCAAGGGGGGGATGTATGACTCCCTGCACCTAAGTGCGAGCTGTACTGAGCGCCTTCCTCCCAAAAAGCACAATGTGGAAAGGGAAAAAAAAAAAAAAGTAACTGCAGTAAAGAAACCTGAGAAATGCCACCTCAGCCAAGTGACCAAGGTCAATATCAACAGTGATAGATCAAGTTCATAGAATATATATTCTCGGTATAATGTGATCAACACAGCTCTTTCTTCCCCAAAACCATAACACCAGTCTATGCATGAGAAAATAATCAGATGAACCTCAATTAAGGGACATTCTACAAATTACATGGCTGATACTCCTCAAAACTGTCAAGGTCATCAACAACAAGGAAAGAATGAGAAACTGTTAGAGGCAAGAGAAGCCTAAGGAGACATGATGTCTAAATGTAATGCAGTATCCTGGATGGGAAAAAGGAGATGAAGTAAAAATAAGATCTGAGTAAACCATGAGCTTTGGTTAATAACAGTGTATTAGTTTGTTACTGGATGGAAGTCTTGAGTGCAAGTTGTCCAGGTTCTTGGCATATTTAACAAAGAAATTGAAAAAAACACAGAAACAAAACAACAGAAGATTAAGGCATAGATTTATTGAAGGAAAAGTACACTCCACAGAGTGGGAGCAGGCCCAAGCAAGTGGCTCAAGAGCCCTGGCTGTAATGTTCCTTGGGTTTTTAATCAAAATTTAAAAACATGGTAAAACCCCTCAGTACCCTTTAGAGGCCTCTGATAAGTTACACCCTATACAAATGAAGGATTTTGCCCAGGACCAGTCAGTGGCAGGATTCTGCCCAGGACCAATCAGAGGCATCCTGCCTGTGATGTATATGCAAATGAAGGTTCCAGAATGGACCAGTTACAAACATTCTCATTCACTAGGTAGGGGAGGGGAGGTTTGGAGAGAGAGGGGCATTTGGCTCCTAACATTACGTGGTCATGGTGAGGTGGGGTTTTCCTCTCAGTTCATTTCCAAGAAGGCAGCCATGGGTTGGCCTTAGGTTTCCTGTTTCTAGACCCTATTCTTCTGCCTCAAGTTTGGTTCCTTGATTGTAACACCTGCCATACCAATGTAAGATGATAACAGGGAAAGCTGGATATTGGGTATATGGGAATTGTCTTTACTATCTTTTCAGTTTTTCTATAAATCTAAAACTATTCTAAAAATAAAATCAATTTGAAAACAATAAACAAAAAGGTGCATGAAAAAATACAACAATTTGATTACTCATTTTGTTTCTGAAATTGGAGGCTATTTCCAGGTTTTATCTATTATGAATAAAGTTACTATAAATGTTATTATACATGTCTTTCTTGGAAGATTTGCATTTATTTCTCTTGGGGGAATAACTAGGAATAGAACTGTTAAGTCGTAGGGTAGATGTACATCTAACTTTGTAAGAAACTGTCAGTTTCTTAAGAAGGTTTTACCATTTTACACAATCATCACCATATATTAGAATTCAGTTATTTCAGCATTTGGTATTGTGAGTCTTCAATACTTGTGAAATGGAAATGATTGTGGCTCTGATTTGCATTTCCTAGATGACTAATGTTAATTGCCTTTTCAGTTGTTTACTGTGTAGTCCTCTTTTTTTGGTATCTGGTAAAATCTTTTGTCCATTTTAAAATTAATTTTTAAATAATTATTATTATCACTATTATTGAGTTTGATGGGTTTTAAAATATATTCTGGATACAAGTCCTGTTTCAAATATAGAAATTTCAAGTATTTTGCATTGCCTACTGTCTATCTCTACCTTTTGATGGGCACTTTTAATTCTGAGTAAGTCTAATTTATCAATATTTTCTTTATGGCTAGTTAATTTTATTTCTTTTCTAATAAATCTCTTTATAACAATATATTATCTTTTGACTTCTTTCCTAGCTGCCTGATAACTTTAAATTTTATATATAAGTACATGACATAGATTGAGTTAATTTTTAGATATGATATAAAGTACAGGTTAAGGTAGATTTTCTTTATAGGGATCTGCTACTATTCTAGAACCATTTGTTGAAAAGACTATCCTTTTCCCCATTAAATTGCTTTGTTTCCTTTGTTGAAAACAAATGGACCATAAATATGTGTGTGTAGGGGTGGAGAGGAAGTATTTCTAGACTCTCCATTCTTTTCCATTCATCATTTTGCCTAGCCTTATGCCAATATCACTGTTAATTACTGTAGCTTTAGAGCAAGTCTTGAAATCAAATAGTAAAAGCCAATTATTAAATTGCTTTGGCTATTTTTATTTCTTTATAGTTCCTTGTATATTTTAGAGTCAACCTGTTAACTTCTACAAAAAAAATGACTGCTAAGATTTTGATTGGGACTACATTAAGTCTGTAGATTAATTTAGAAAGAAGTGACATCTTAACAAGTTTATATATTATAAAACATGAACACAGTATAGTCAGCGTTCAGTTATATCTTCTCTGATTTCCCTCAGTATGTCTCCTATAGGTACAGTCTTGCACATTTAAATATGTTATTCTTAAGAATTTAATTTTTAATGCTTTATGTTACTATGTATATGAATGGTATTCTTTTTAAATTTCATTTTAAAATTTTTGTTGCTCATATATAAAAATATAATTGGTCTTTGCATATTGATCGCATCCTGTGAGCCTCGTAAATTTACCTTTATTGTAGTAATTTTATTTTTTCTATTTTTTTTGAGATTGCTTTGGATTCTCTATGTAGTTAATTATGTTATGCCTCCAGCTTTGTTCTTTTTGCTTAGGATTGTCTTATGTGGGCTCTTTTTTGGTTCCATATGAAATTTAAAGTAGTTTTTTTCCAATTCTGTGAAGAAAGCAATGGCAACAAAAGCCAAAATAAACAAATGGGATCTAATTAAACGAAAGAGCTTCTGCACGGCAAAAGAAACTCTCATCCGAGTGAACAGGCAAACTTCAGAATGGGAGAAAATTTTTACAATCTATCCATCTGACAAAGGGCTAATATCCAGAATCTACAAAGAACTTAAACAAATTTACAAGAAAAAAACAACCCCATCAAAAAGTGGGGAAAGGATATGAACAAACACTTCTCAAAAGAAGACATTTATGTGGCAAACAAACATGAAAAAAAGCTCATCATCACTGGTCATTACAGAAATGCAAATCAAAACCACAACAAGATACCATCTCACACCAGTTAAATAGCGATCTTTAAAAAGTCAGGAAACAACAGATACTGGAGAGGATGTGGAGAAATAGGAACGTTTTTACACTGTTGATGGGAGTGTAAATCAGTTCAACTTGTGTAAGACAGTGTGGTGATTCCTCAAGGATCTAAAACTAGAAATACCATTTGACCCAGCAATCTCATTACTGGGTATATACCCAAAAGATTATAAATCATTCTACTATAAAGACACATGCACACGTATGTTTATTGTGGCACTGTTCACAATAGCAAAGACTTGGAACCAACCCAAATGCCCATCAATGATAGACTGGATAAACAAAATGTGGCACGTATACACCGTGGAATACTATGCAGCCATAGAAAAAGATGAGTTCATGTCCTTTGCAGGGACATGGATGAAGCTGGAAATCATCATTCTCAGCAAACTAACACAGGAACAGAAAACCAAACACCACATGTTCTCTCTTATAAGTGGGAGTTAAACAATGAGAACACATGGACACGGGTTTGGGAGGCCAAGGCAGGCAGATCATGAGGTCAGGAGGTGGAGACCATCCTGGCTAACACGGTGAAACCCCATCTCTACTAAAAAAAAATACAAAAAAATTAGCCGGGCATGGTGGAGGGGGTCTGTAGTTCCAGCTACCCGGGACGCTGAGGCAGGAGAATGGCATGAACCCGGGAGGCAGAGCTTGCAGTGAGCCGAGATCGCGCCACTGCACTCCAGCCTGGGTGACAGAGCGAGACTCCGTCTTAAAAAAAAAAAAAAAGGAACACATGGACACAGAGGTGGGGGCGGGGCATCACACACCTGGGCCTGTCAGGGGCTGGGGGTGCTGGCAGAGGGATAGCATTAGGAGAAATACCTAATGTAGATGACGGGTTGATGGGTGCAGCCAACCACATGGCATGTGTATACCTATGTAACAAACCTGCACGTTCTGCACATGTACCTCAGAACTGAAAGTATAATAATAAAAAAATTATTTTTTTCTTTTTATTCCTGTTGCTTTATTTCATGTGTTTATATCCCCCTCGTCACTGACCTAGGAAATCGCATGCTTTCTTTTTCACTTAAAATTTCTTCTCATTGTCATCAAAATGATTTTCTAAATCCTCTGAAAAATAGATCCTTGATTATTGTAGTTTACTGATTTCTTTTTATAATAAAACTAAATTTGTGGATTTTTTTTTTTTTTTTGAGACAGTCTCCCTCTGTCGCCCAGGCTGGAGTGCAGTGGCGCGATCCCAGCTCACTGCAAGCTCCGCCTCCTGGGTTCACGCCATTCTCCTGCCTCAGCCTCCCAAGTAGCTGAGACTACAGGCACCTGCCACCACCCCTGGCTAATTTTGTTTGTGTATTTTTAGTAGAGACGGGGTTTCACCGTGTTAGCCAGGATGGTCTTGATCTCCTGACCTCATGATCCGCCCGCCTTGGCCTCCCAAAGTGCTGGGATTACAGGCGTGAGCCACCGCGTCTGACCAAATTTTTGGAAATTTAAAAAAAACCCAAATTCTCTAATTCTACAAGCTTCTTATTATTGGAGCAAAGTGGAATGTCACTATATCTGAGGTTAAAAAAAATAAATAGCTAGTGCAGGTAGTATTCTTTCCAGCAGACACTATATTTTTCTGTTGGGATGAAGTTAACCTTTGATAAAGTCTAGTTGGATTTTTAGATTCCACTGGGGAAAAAAATAACAAAGTATATGATAACCAAAAGAGAAAAAAAGTCAATGAACAACTCAACCAGCAAAGTCAAGGCCAATCTCAACGAATCATCAGTGAGGCTCTATGGAAACACTTGAACTGACTTAGTAACTCTATAATCAGCCGAACTACAGGAAACACCAACAGTCCTTGTCCACAGAAATCCAGTCTGAAAGGTCTGCCTTTAAGAAGGAAATGCAGCCCAAAGTTCATATAATCTAAAAACCAAATTCTTTGGAATAACCCATTTTGTTTTTTCTTTCATGATGAAATTAATGGGAACATAATCATAGTCATTTGCTAAACAGGTTAAACTAGGCTTCAAAAATCTTCACGAAAAAATGTGGCTGTGTTTGAAGATAAATTCTACATCTAACCATCTGTCAGCATGTAACAAGCATAACAAGCCAGTATCCTATGAGGAAATTAACAGGAAAAGCATACCAAGTCTGTGAGTAGACATTTTTCCTTCTTTAATGAAATACTGCAAACTTGCACCTCAGTTCTGAGAACCAGGTCAAGCCATGCCTCCAAACAAGGAAATATCAAAAACAAAATGAGAAAAACAGACAAAACATCCACATTTATCCAAACAAACTTGAACCAATTGTTACACTATCTTATTAAAAGCAATCTGCAAGCCCATGATTGATCAACTAGGACACACCTTGGAAAGATATCTTTCAGAGATTCTCCTTGACTGATACTCTTTCATTTCCCTTGCTTTACTGATGTCACTTTAACCAACACAATTCCGAACCCACATGCCTATATGCTGTCCTCCCTGAAATTTGATATGTGTAAATATATAAATATCTTTAAATGATAAAAATTTTTTTTTGACATCATAGACTCCAAATTCCATAGCCATAGAGTAAGAATGGGAAGGGTTGTTTCATCTTCATTCTATTGCTTTTATGTAATTACAATCGTCTATTAAACAGTTTATGTTGTTCACTTTATTCCTCATCTGTTGGTGATATAGAGAGATAATATTACTTTAATAAAATTATATACAGGCAGTTAAATATAGCCTAAAATATTCAACTTTAGATTTTTTTAAATTAAGTTTTGAATTAACACATTTGGAGACTCTGTCTCTGAACAGTATGCATAAGCAAAATTATCTTACCCCTCGTAGGTGACAATCCACTGTTTTTTAATATTTACATAAAATATTTTTAATGTCAGTTTTAGGATTTTTTAGTTTTTAAGAAAAAGATACAATTTCTCACAAAATAAAAATATATATCAAAATAATTTTTAATGAGAGGCATCACTGCTTTATTCTGAACTCAAAATGCTGTGAGAACGGACATGTTCAGTACTGTTTTACCCTATACTTTCTTATGAAATTGCTCTGATATTTAACTTGAAGTAGCACTGTGTCCAGAGTTGTTCCTTCTGGTGGGTTCGTGGTCTCACTGACTTCAAGAATGGAGCCGCAGTCCTTCCCCATAAGTATTACAGCTTTTTGTTTGTTTTTTGAGACGGAGTCTTGCTCTGTCACCCAGGCTGGAGTGCAGTGACATGATCCCGGCTCACCGCAAGCTCCATCTCCGGGTTTCACGCCATTTTCCTGCCTCAGCCTCCTGAGTAGCTGGGAGTACAGGTACCTACCACCATGCCTAGCTAATTTTTTTGTATTTTTAGTAGAGATGGGGTTTCACCCTGTTGGCCAGGATAGTCTCCATCTCCTGGCCTGGGGATCCGCCTGTCTGGGCCTACCGAAGTGCTGAGATTACACGTGTGCGCCACTGTGCCCAGCCCAGTGTTACAGCTCTTAAAGATGGCATGGACCCAAAGAGTGAGCAGCAGCAGCAATAGCAACCGTTATTGTGAAGAGTGAAAGAACAAAGCTTCCACAGACTTCAAGGGAATCTGACCGGGGTTTGCTGTTGCTGGTTGGAGGTGGCCAGCTTTTATTCCCTTATTTGTCCCAGCCCATGTCCTGCTGATTGGTCCATTTTACAAAGTGCTAATTGGTCCATTTTACAGAGTGTTGATTGGTCCATTTTACAGAGCACTGATTGGTGCATTTTACAAACCTCTAGCTACAGGGGGCTGATTGGTGCATTTTTACAGAGTGCTGATTGGTGCATTTTACAAACCTCTAGCTAGCTACAGAGCACTGATTGGTGCATTTTACAAACCTTTTGTAGGAAAGTTCTCCAAGTCCCCACTAGACCCAGGAAGTCCGGCTGGCTTCACCTCTCAGTACACTTAAACCCAGGCAAGAAAGACTTGCCCTGGGCTCTGAGTTTTAGAGAGGTCCCTGTTCTGGTCTCCTCTGGCCAAGCACCTCTCTCCAGGCCAAGAAAGTCATGGGGCTAAGGACATGCTAATTGGTGCCTGCGTGCTCCTTTTAGACCAAGGTTATCTGGGATCCTGGACCTTCCAGCATCTATGTGGCCTCTTCCTGTGTTCATTGTTCACTCCTCCTGAGGGCAGACCGTGCAGCTGGTATGCGAACCATTAGGCCTCAGGGATAACTGGAAGGTGGATTTGCAGAGGTCGAATATGGCTGGAATTTAGATGTTTAGACCAGTGTATCCAAAAGTGCAGGAAAGAGATCCCTTGCAGGGTGAGATGATGCAGAGGGAGGTTAGAGAAGGACAGGAGCTGCTCCATGTTCCAGCTTAGACTTTTTGAGAGCCTGATACTGCTGAATTTAAACCCAGATTCAAGTTGTTGTTTTAAAGCTATTTATTAGAGTGGAATGATAAACAGTTTGTTAGGTTGTTTGATAATTTTAAAATATTTAGACACCTAGCATGTGGGTCTCCATCTGAACCCTTACCTTGTATTCCACAAATATTAGGGTCCAGTGACTTTGAAAAATATATTTCCCCCACAATACTCTTTCCTCTCACCTCATCTAAATTCAATTTTTTTCATAGCCTATTTTAAGTTCTTATGAGACCTGCTTGGCTTTATATTTTAGATTCTTTTATTTCTTGTGAACCATTGTGTTATCTGCTATCTGCACAAACTGCATGGTATACATCCAATATTAGGATTTTTAAAAATCATTGTATTTGATAGCCCCTGCAGTAGCTTATTGTCAGAGACCATATTGTAACATCCTTTCTCTCTTCCCTCTGGTAACGTCATGAGCAAAGGCATTCAGATTGCGAGCACAACCTGACTCCAGTGGAGGTCTCAATACAAATTATTGCTTACTATTAGCTTTTCAGTTATTGTCTTACTGAAATATTTTAAATGTCTACTGTAACCCAATACAAACACAATGTAAATTGTATTATGTGAGCTAATAGGTTTGTGGATTATTATTTATTCTATCACCTGCTGACAGATTCAGTTTTTTCATTCATAGAAACTGAGGGTTGGAAAGACTGTGCATGTATGCATTTGATGGTGATGGTGATAGGGATGGTGGTGGCGTTGATGGTGCTGATGGTGGTGGTGATAGTGGTGGTAATGGTGATTAATGTTGTGGTGCTGATGGTGCTGGTGAGGATGGTGGTGATGGTGATGGTAGTAATGGTGACGGTGGTGGTGGTGAAGGTGATGGGGTGGTGGGAGTGGTGGTGAGGGGGGTGGTGGTGATTGCTTCAGTGGTGGTGGTGGTAATGGTTGTAGTGGTGGTGGTTTCAGTTTTGGTGTTGATGGTAATGGTGGTGATGGTGAAGGTAGTGGTGGCAGTGAAAGTGGTGGAGGTGATGGTGGTGGTAATGATAATGATGGTGATGATCATGGTGGTAGTGACAGTGATGGTGGTGATGGTGATGATTTCAGTGATGGTAGTAAAAGTGGTGGTGATGGTGGTAATGGTGATGATGTTGGTGGTGAAGAAGTTGGTGGTGCAGATGGTAATGGTGGTGGTGAAGGTGGTGGTGGTGGTGAGGGTAGTGTTTGTGGCGGCGGTGGTGGTGGTAATACTGGTGATGATAGCGGTGATGGTATTGGTGGGGGTAGGCAATGATGATGTGCTTGACAGTAATGGTGGTGGTGGTGTAATGTGTGTTTTAAACGGGGAGCAGTATTTTATCTTCCCCCCATCCCATACCCACCTCTCCTTCCTTGGCCATGTATATTCTGCTACCGTGCATAGTCTTCTCACTTAGATTACAATATTGTGGCATTTAAGAGATGTATTTTAAACTATTTGAATTCTAAAGCCTAGAATGTTATTTTATTTCTAAGAGATACTTACTGAACACGTGTCCTTGATACTGATTCTGGAGTGGGTGTTTCTTCAGTGCCCGAAGCCCAGAGTTTGAGGCAGGATGGAAAATGCAGATTTAAGGTTGGGCAAGTTGGGAGTGAAGCATGAGATTCACCATCTGAAATAGGAGGTGTCCAGTGGCATTGGAATTTTGGTGGAGTTTATTCAGACTTTATAAAAAGTTATTGTACTTTACTATATGCCACTTGCTGTTATACGTGTTTAAGGTAACATCTGTGTATAAACAGACAAGGGATCCAGATCTCCTAAGGCTCACATGTTATCATGAGAAGGCAGAACATTAACAGTAAACACAGTGGGTATGTAAAATTGTGACATGTTATAGAACAATAAACAAACACATCAAGATAAGGAGAAGGGATGTAAGCAGAGGTAGGAGTTGGGGTTGAAATGTTAAGTGGAACTAGTGGAATATATATATATATGTATATATATGTATATATATATGTATACACATACACACACACACACACACACACACACACATACATACATACATATAAAGGGGAGTTTATTATGTATTAACTCACATGATCACAAGGTCCCACAACAGGCCATCTGCAGGCTGAGGAACAAGGAGAGCCAGTCTGAGTTGCAAAACTGAAGAACTTGGAGTCTGATGTTCGAGGGCAGGAAGCATCCAGTACGGGAGAAAGATGTAGGCTGGGAAGCTAGGCCAGTCTCTGTTTTCACATTTTTCTGTCTGCTTATATTCTAGCTTTGCTGGGAGCTGATTAGATTGTGGCCACCCAGATTAAGGGTGGGTCTGCCTTCCCCAGCCCACTGACTCAAATGTTAATTTCCTTTGGCAACACCCTTACAGACACACCCAAGATCAATTCTTTGTATCCTTCAATCCAATCAAGTTGACACTCAGTATTAACCATCACAACAAGCAAAAATAAAAGTAAAATAAAATAACAAAATGAGCACAATTAATTATAAGTATAAATAAAGGAAATATGCTTAGTAAAATAAAGGTAAGACCCTAAGAAACTAGAACATTTCAGCTGTTAAAATAACCACCATTATATTATTATCCAACATAAAGTTAATAAAAGTACTATCTTTCTCTCCAGATTAAGATTGAGGTGGGGACAGAGATCTGGAGATTGGCGGTAATAAATAGAGACTTTATTCTACAAGAAGGAGGGAAGGTGTTTACTCAATGCAAGACGAAGTTCAGAGTGGGTGGTAGGAATATAAAGATAGTAAGCCTGACAGAAATGTTCTAAGCCAGAGTTTAAGGGTTTGAAATTTGGTACATTTTCTTTTGTCCCCCCCTCCCCTTAAAAAGGCATAGAAAGAGGGCTACGGAAAGCAGGGAGAAGAAACGTCAGAAGAGAAAGCTTAGTGTGCACCAAATATCTACTTTGTGCTAATGTTGTATTACTACTCCAAGACATACCAAAGCCTGCATAAATTATCCTGACAGCCAAAGCTCCTGCAATTACATCGGGAAAAAAATGACTTATGTTCAAATTGATACTTAACACATGAACATCAAATGAGGAGTCCCCACCACCAGAAATATGTGCTAGAGGGGAGCTGGAGAAGGTGTTGTCATGAGGGGATGAACCAGGGACAACAGTAGGATTTAAATAGCGTCTCCAAGACAGGATAGGGACTTTTAAATATATTTTTATGATTAGAAAAGTAACATGCTTTTATTATTTAAAAATACATTGGGAAATAAAGAAAAGGTGAAATAAGGAAAGAATAGTCAATTGTCCTATCAGAAAGACTGGACTTTTTAAAAGTCAAAGTGAAGCTGTTACTATGTACCGTTTAATAGTAGGTCAAAATATTTCCTTAATATTATCCACTGCAGCGAATGCGGTATTTTGGCTGAATAAATCATTTGGTGGAATGCAGACACAGCAATGGCAACCACATCCGCTTTTTTTTTTTTTTTTGGATGGAGTCTCGCACTGTCACCTGGGCTGGAGTGCAGTGTTGTGATCTTGGCTCACTGCAACCTCCGCCTCCTGGGTTCACGTGATTCTCCCGCCTCAGCCTCCCGAGTAGCTGGGATTACAGGTGCACACTGCCAGACCCGGCTAATTTTTTGTATTTTTAGTAGAGACGGGGTTTCACTATGTTTGCCAGACTGGTCTCAAACTCCTGATCTCGTGATCTGGCTGCCTTGGCCTCCCAAAAGTGCTGGGATTACAGGCATGAGCCACTGCGCCTGGCCCACATCCACTTTTAAGCAATCTGTCGCCCGTTGCTTTCGGCAGTGTTGACCTACCCTTTGTTATGCCAGAGAAGAGCCTTGTTTGGTTTCCCGGCCCTCTGTTCTTCCATGGGTTGTCACAAATAGACACTGCATTTGTAAGCACCAATCATTTTGCATCTGGATTTTTGATTTAGCCAAAAGATGTGTAAAAATGTATGGAAACACATCTGAAGAAGCAAAGGAACACTTTTTATTTTTCCAACCATCAATGTGATTTATGATCACTAAACTGTTTCCCGATCCCTTATTTGAAAGTTGGCCACAGCAAAAATGGAAGAGACGCAGATCTAAGGATCTGGAGTACTTGGAAAATGGGTATCAGTGGATCAAATGCCTGGCACGGGCTTTGCTGTCAGCACCTCAGGTGCATAATGCATTTCAAATTTTAAAGTGACTACTTTGTTTTTGAGGTAATTCACACTCAACCGTTTCTTTAGATAGGTCTGAGTAATAGCTATACAACAAGAAAGATATTATCTGGAATGGCTTACAACACACTTTTCAAAATTTTCCAACTACAATTAATAGAAATATAATTTTTCTATGGGTACAATAAATGAAAACTTGAAAAAAGTTTTTAATGATCTTCTCCATCGCAGGTGCCAATATGACAAGTGAAACCATAAATCCCAATAGCACATCATGAGGTATTAAAAACAGGCAGGCAAAAACTGAACGCTTCTGGTCAACTTTTTCTGAAATGTAACATGTTTTAAATGATGCTTATGAGAAATCTAGTGTCTGAGCATTCTACAAGAAACGAAAATGCCTTCAAGATCTATAAGAAGTGAAAATGCCTCTCCAAATTCCAGTTTGAAAAGGTTTCTTCAATAACAAAACGTCAGCTCTGCAAAGCAAGCCCGGCTCTTCATAGAAACCTTCCTTTCCGTCGCGATCCCCAGGAATGGGCCCACTCTTGCAGTTCTGGACCATCGCAGATCGCTTCTTGAGATCCATAGCTGCTTCTTGTGGTTATATCATTCAAAGAAGGACGTCTACAGGTCTCTTAAGATATGCTGAAGTGTTATACTTAGGGAAACTAGGAAATCCACCAAGAGATTTAAAGAAAACAATAAAAAACAAGTAAACTACATAAACTGAGACATCAACTCATATCCCTGGTATATTACCCTAGTAATAAAGCCAATCCTATTATCCCCCCTCTGTATTAACTTCTGTATATTTGCTCTTAAGCTAGCCATTCCATGTCTTATTAACAATTCAGCCTGGTCATCCCAAGTCTGTTTCTTTACTGAATATGTCTATATCTTAAGAAATCTTTCCAGAACCTGTCCTTTTCTCAGATTTCGTAGGTAAGACCAGAATATATGGATGAGAATTAAGTAACTGAATACAGAAAACAACTGACTGAAGGAGAATCGTTAAATAATCTATCAACACACAAAAATGTCCTTACCACTTTCCAGACCTCCTGAAACACACACACACACACACACACACACTTTTATTGATAGTAGATACATGATTTTATTTTATTTTATTTATTTATTTATTTTTTTGAGATGGAGTCTCTCCCTGTTGCCCAGGCTGGAGTGCAGTGGCCTGATCTCCGCTCACTGCAAGCTCTGCCTCCTAGGTTCACGCCATTCTCCTGCCTCAGCCTCCCGAGTAGCTGGGACTATAGGCGCCCACCACCACGCCCAGCTAATTTTGTTTTGTATTTTTAGTAGAGATGGGTTTCACTGTGTTAGCCAGGATGGTCTCGATCTCCTGACCTTGTGATCTGCCCACCTCAGCCTCCCAAAGTGCTGGGATTACAGGTGTGAGCCACCGCACCTGGCCAGTAGGTACATGATTTTAGATGTGTCAATATCTTCAACCTGCTTCAGAAACCAAGAAATGGCCTGACATCTCCAAAAACCTCTCTAAAATAAATGGACAATTAAAAAGCCTTGATATGCATTAAGATTATCTAAGAAGTTGGCTATTCTGAAAATCGAATTTTAGCAAAGATGTTTCACAATATTTTTCACAAGAGCAGAGACTGATGGCCTGACATTGGTGGGCTCACTGCAAGATGCATTGCAGACAATGTTTCCAAGGCACACACTGCCCGCCAACGGTGCGACCCTGGCAAGACTGTGAAGGTGTCAGAGAAAAGCTGTCCTTGAGCCTCAATGAAAAAGATCTCACCAGGTACTGTGAATGACTGACGTATCAGGAAAATTCAAGGTTTTGATCTTCAGATTCACATAAAAGACATACTTCACTGCTTCCTGACCAAGGATTCCTTGGAGGCTTTCAGAAGCCACTGACTACAGAAGCAGATATTTTCCACCCGAGATGTAAAATAAGATTAATTTCTGATTCACACACTTTTCTATCTCTTCACTCTACCACTAATCTGGCCACCTTTAGAGCACTAATAATAATCATTCTTTTTTATCACACATATATACATATAAATTTTTAAAAATATAAATAAATATATAAATATTTATAATATAATAAAATATAAATATATACAATGTAAATATACATTATATAAATATGATTATATAAATATTAATATATTTATAAATTAATTATATATTTATATATTATATAACTATATTTATATATTATATAATATATAAATATAGTTATATAATATATAATATATAAATATATATTATATAATATATAAATATATAAATATATATTATATAATATATATAAATATATATATTATATAATATATAAATATATCTTATTTAATATATAAATATATAAATATATAAATATATATTATATAATATATAAATATATAAATATATAATATAATATATAAATATATATTATATAATATATAGATATATATTTATGTAATATATATTTATATAATAATATAATATATATTTATATAATATACATTTATATAATATATTAATATATATTTATATAATATACATTTATATAATAATATATAAATGTATATTTATATTTTATTTCTATGGTTTTCTTCTTTGACGTGAGGAAATCCAAAGCTCTGAACATTTTTCTAAGCCTATAGGGAAAAATGGGTTCTTAAATACTGTTTGCTGGGTCTGAGACCACACCCCCAAAGGTGTTCTTTCAAATTCTTCACAGAATAGATTCCCTTTTTATATTGCCATCTAATACCTAAATTTCCTTCACATTACTACTACCAACCTTCAGTCTTCTAAGATATGAACCTTAATTCGTGTTATCAAAATGATTCTGCTGAGGTCATTACAGTCCTATCAACAAGGACTGGTCAATCCTGAGAACACTAACATTGGGGCTACCCTGACCACTTTGCTGAATTTGTTTTCTTCCAGACACTTTATTTAAAATTGACTCAAAAAATTTGTCTTCAGCCAGGCATGGTGTCTTAACGCCTGTAATCCCAGCACTTTGGGAGGCCAAGGTGGGTGGATCACGAGGTCAGGAGTTTGACACCAGCCTGACCAAGATGGTGGAACCCCGTTTCTGCTAAAAAAATACAAAAATTAGCCGGGCATGGTGATGGGTGCCGGTAGTCCCCGCTGCTCAGGAGGCTGAGGCAGGAGAATTGCTGGAACCCGGGAGTGGGAGGTTGCAGTAAGCCAAGATGGTGCCACTGCACTCCAGCCTGCGTGACAGAGTGAGACTTTGTCTCAAAAAAAAAAATTTTGTTTTCATAAAGGGACACAAAACAGGCTCCTTCCTATTGCAGTAAACAATACTTTCATTCCTAATGCAGTCCGTGTATCGCCAGATCATTCTTTCCTATATTGACAACAGACTGACACCTGCCCATCACACAGAAGCATTCCGTGGGCTCAGGATAATTGTTAGAGGTCTGCAAATATTTAAAGTTATCACACCTCCCGTTGATAATATTTCCGTTGAAAAATTACCCAGAAACTTTTAAAGTGAGGTCTATACAAGTCTATTTATAAAATTTCCTGAAGTGACAATTGTGATAAATCTATATGCATGCTGTGGTCAACAGCAATTGTCGCGTTAGAAATACTGAAATGGAAAGTTAGTCCAAAATCTCTCCTTGACTCTAACAAAAGCCTAAAAATCCAACAAACCACTCTTCTTACAGATAATCACATAGAGCTTGTTTTCCCCTTAACTAGCCAAGAGGAAATCCATGTTATAGGGAACACTTTTCATTACATCTACATACTGCAGGACAAATAAGCTCATGATGAAACTAAGAAAAAAGAAAGTCACCTGGTTCTCTAAAACAGATTCAGCTGGATTCACTGGGTTTTATAATCTCCACCCCTGGCTTCAAAACTTGTTTCAAGGACTAAGAGTTGTTTGTTTTTTGTTTTCCCTGATAACTGCTTTTGTTGCAATCAGTTGAAGTGTCCTGTACAGACTCTAAAGTGCTACTAGGCAGCTACTGTCATGTCCAATGATCCCACAAATCTCCTGAAGCAGGAGAAATTAATCCAAGTCCAACCACAGACTGTGTTCTCTAAACAACTTCCTGCACAGAAAAATATCAGGCATGGTGAAAATCCGAGGGGACTGATTAAGACCCTGTGGCCTAACTTGTTTGCTTTTGGCCAAATCAAGGGGACTGAGGAAGAGAAAAGCAGCAGCTGGCATCCAGGAGCTGGCCTGGCACGCACAGCTGGGCAATGGTGTCCCTCAGTTGAACATAAACCACTTCAACTTCAGGCCAGGCTACTATGATCACGGCAGATAAGTCAAAAGCAAGACCACTTTGTAATCATGTCTGAATCCAGGTAGACACTAGCATTGTCCAAGCCACAAGAGTGACCCAACATCCCCCTAGCCTGGCCACTAGGAGTGACTACTGCTTTTTACCAATTAAAGATTCAACCTTTGGATGGTTTTCTCTCTCAGTTAAAATTTACTAAGATATCTAATCATGGATCTCCATTTCCTGACAACATCAGATCTAGAGGAAATCCCCAACTCTTCACCATCTCCCCAAATCATCAAACAGTCCGAGTCCCACAGTCAAGCCATTCTGACACCTGCCCATGTTGTGTGTTCCCCCTCATAGCAACTGGTATAAAACCAACTTGTTAACCAGGGGTGTGTCCTTGGTGGGCTCTGGATACAGAGAACACTCCCTCTCTTACTCAAGTTTCGTCAGAAGGAAGAAATTTTGTCTGACATTCCCGGGATTCTGAGTTCAGATGGGACGTGGTCTCTTGGAGGACAGAAACCACCTGTTCCAGGTGGTCACATGGAAACTTAAACTCCCTTCTACAGAGAGAAATGCCCCTCAAGGATGTCTCATTTCTTTTTTTTTTTTTTTTTTTTTTGCGACGGAGTCTCACTCTGTCGCCCAGGCTGGAGGGCAGTGGCACGATCTTGGCTCACCGCAAGCTCCGCCTCCCACCCCACGCCCAGCTAATTTTTTGTATTTTTAGTAGAGACGGGGTTTCACCGTGTTAGCCAGAATGCTCTCGATCTTCTGACCTTGTGATCCGCCCGCCTCGGCCTCCCGAAGTGCTGGGAATACAGGCGTGAGCCACCGCGCTTGGCCAACGATGTTTCATTTCATACTCTCATTTTTTTCCACTGATCTCTGCCTGCGTAAGAAGAATCCACAGTGTCCCTGGACTAGTTCTGAACTAGTGCTAAGGCAAAGTGTGAAGAAGTTAGGAAAGTAGGTCAGAGAATTGGCTACAGAGTATTGGAAATCCACAAGATGATCAAGGCAAGAGGTCGGAGAAGATGGGATGAACATTCTAAGAAGGATTCGTAGGCCGGTGCGGTGGCTCATGCCTGTAATCCCAGCACTTTGGGAGGCCGAGGCGGGTGGATCACGAGGTCAGCAGATCGAGACCATCCTGGCTAACACGGTGAAACCCCGTCTCTACTAAAAAAAAGAGCGAGACTCCATCTCAAAACAAAACAAAACAAAACAAAGAATTCTTGAAGCTGCTCTGCAGATCTGTGGCTCCTGTGGGAAGGAAGCAGATATGCAGCTTCTCCTACTTTGTCTCCAAGAGAACCTTGGGTTAGATCAACGTTGTTTTGGTGTAATTCTACACTTTTTAGACAAACTCTCAGTAAATCTACAGCCATATTTGTAGTCAAAAGAAGTAACTTCTGCATTGGTTCTTTGGCATATTAGATAGTCAGGGAAAGGCACATCTGAGAAAAATCAAATAACAAATGCTTGTTTTGTAAAAGATACGCATGTGGGGCAAGCATTGGAGCCCATATGGCACTCCTCCTGCAGCTGTCTGTGGCCACACGGACACGCCAGTCATGCTGGTCTTCTGTAATTACATGGCCATGAAGGTTCACATGGGACAAATGTCCCTCATTACATCTGTAATGTCATCTGATTTCAATACATTGTTGTTACTTTTGGTTTCCATAGCATAATGCCACTTTTTAGAATAACAGTATCTAAATGAAAAAAAAAATTGTGATTTTGTTGGGGCATGTGTCCCGCAGACAATATGACAGAGTACCAAGTCCGGGCTGAGGAAGATGTTGCAGGAAATAGGGTAGGCTAGCAGCCTGAAGCCACCTCACTGTAGATCTTTGCTAGTGCTCTGATAGGGAAGCTTGGGTCTAAGCTAAGCTCTGGGAGCACACAAGCAGGCAAAATGGAGACAACTTTCTGTGTAGGCAGCATTTAGAAAGTACTAATAGCAGTACCATGAGTACTTGGTGTATCTACCCCGGATGTGCAGAGGGAGAGGAAAGGGGAGAATGTTGAAAAATGGCAAATATTTTTAAGTTTTCCTGCTTTCTCAAGTGAGAGCTATGGATATGCTATCCAACTGGCACCCAGCGTCCCAGAGGAGGGTAGGGCGAAAGTCAAAAAGCAACATCCTTATTTAGAAGCACTGAGCTGGATGGAGTTAGAGGAGCCATTTTCTTTCATTTGTTCATTTGACACTATATATATATAGTACATATATACGTGTGTGTACATATGTGTGTGTGTGTGTGTGTGTGTGTGTGTGTGTGTAGAGAGAAAGAGAGAGGTGGCGGGTAGAGAGAGTGACTGAGGGAAAAAGCTTGTCAGTCACACATCGGAGAAACAAAAATAATAACAATTTTGAATTTTTTAAATTTTTGTGTAAGTGATTTAAAAATTAAATGTGCCAAAAAAAGGATGAATTTTGATGATGTGACCGTGTGTAGCACTTGATTTATGACTCTGAGTATTATATTGTACACTAATGGGATGAATACTTGTTTAAACTCACCCCTTGACCACACTGTGCATCACAAGGTCACTCACAGTGATAAAGGTGAAAGAAAAGATGAACAGGCCGGGCGCGGCCGCTCACCCCTGTAATCCCAGAACTTTGGGAGGCCGAGGCGGGCGGATCACAAGGTCAGGAGATTGAGACCATCCTGGCTAACACGGTGAAACTCTGCCTCTACTAAAAATACAAAAAATTAGCCGGGCGTGGTGGTGGGCGCCTGTAGTCCCAGCTACTCGGGAGGCTGAGGCAGGAGAATGGCGTGAACCCGGGAGGCGGAGCTTGCAGTGAGCCGAGATCGCGCCACTGCACTCCAGCCTGGGCGACAGAGCGAGACTCCGTCTCCATAAAAAAAAAGAAAAGAAAAGATGAACAATGTTGATGACTCTAACATCTGGAACTTTTAAATTGCCATTATGATTTTCATTAGATTTTAATAAAATTAGACTTCTGTTTTTAAAAGGTCTCGAAGGAAACATCTGTAGTCTTGGCACCCCTAGATATCTAAATTCTAATATCTATTTTGCAAAATAGAAAGTATATGTTGATATATTCAGTGGAGTCTCAAAGCCCAGATATATTTCTTTAAGCTTTTACACTTTTATACCATGTTACTTTTTTTGGAAAATTTTATTTAAAAAAATATAAAATTATGACTTGATGAGAAAGTTTTCCTTTCTTTCATGGAATTTGTTATCTGAAGGATCATGGAAGACTCCAAAACAAAGTGATAATAATTCATCTATTTAATTTTTCTCCTGCAGAATCAGTCTATAAAAATTCACTAATTCTTGTTTATTTTTCTTTCCAAATGAGGTAGGAGCGTTGTGATAAACAAGTGCAGTTGGACTTGTTTTTCTTTCATGACAACAGTTTGGGGTAGAAGCCCTGGAAAGGGAGCTTGTGGGGAGTTCCTTGTTGGTCCGTCTGTCACAACTAGAGGCTGCTGAGAGTGGGGTTAAGTGACCAGGTGACAGGCTAATCCCAACAGTCCTCCTGTTTCCTGTTTGGAAGCATGAGGATCAGGTCTTAGGAGAAATACTATAGGAACGAAGAGAGAAGCGAATCATATTGTTTTATACCTATTGACCCAGAACCAGGGGAAATGAATCTTGCTACACTTCCTAGAGTAAAGTTTGCCAGTCTGTCAGCAAAGCTCTAGGTAATGTGATCCTTGACCTGGGCTTTTATATGAAAGTGTTGATTGAAAAGCTTACTCCTCGTTAGTTTTGGGGTTTTCTAGGAAGACAGTTAGGGCCTTGAAGTCTCTCTGAAAGATTAACTGAACAAAAAGAAAGAAAGAAAAAATGGGAAAAGGACCTAATAGCCAGAGAGAAGGTAATTACTTGATTTGATAGGAGTCTAACATAACCTGTGTATTGTCCCTAAAAATAAGAATTCTATATTCAAATGCCATCTACTTCTTTCCTCTGCATTGAAACTCTGTTCAGGAAAAGGTTTACCAAGCAGAATTATGAAAACTGCCTGTTTTACTTTCTCACATTGTTACCTAGAGATCTCCCCTATTTAAGGGGGAAGAATAGGACTCATGTTATATATCAAGTGATAACAAAATAAATTGTAATAAAATGAGTGGAGACAAGAGACGTATCTTAGGTCTCTCTTATCTCCATGAGGCGGGGTCAGTAATCTCAGCTCGAGAAAGTCTTGAAACAAAAGGGGCCTCTGGGGGCAGCTATCTGCGGATCGTGTCTCCACTATGAGTCCGTGAGATGGAAGCAGGGGTAGGAAGGCTCAGCTTGTTTTACATGCTCCTTCCTTTTCTCTGTGTCTCCATACAGTCTTCTACAGTGGGATTTCTAAAACTTCTTTTCACCATGCAGTTCGCTGGAGGTAAATCACAAAGCTGGTCTTGTTCTATTTCCTTTCCTGACTGAGAAATTAGAAAACCAGCATTGTCTTGGTCTTAAAAAGGAATTGGGATCACTCAGTATTTAAATAAGTTAATGAGTCAAGTGTACCATCTCAAACATTCTGTAATCAGTTCTAGAAAATTTCAGGAATCTTCTGGTAAACTTCAATATTAATATCATTAATCTGCTTTAAAATCTAAAAGAACTAGTGTTCATTCCTGTGAAATACGATTGAGCTTATAAGCCTCAAATGTGTGCACATACATATGTGTGCACACACACACGCACACACAAATTTGTATGGAATTTCTGTGAGTAGGAGAGAAATTTGGGTTATTTCCCTTAGATAATATATTAGCCGAATTTGTAACAGAATGGCTGTGATACTTTTATGATATTTTCCTACTAAAAATATTTCTAAAGTTGCTAAACCAGGCTTCCAATAAAAATATGCACCCTGTTTGGTTACTTTTATTGATGTTTAGAACTGCTGGAAAACTGACAGCAGCATGCCTGTGATTTCTTTGAACACGTATGTTAAAAGTAAACTAAAGATCTCAATAAATATGCATACCATTCTCTATAGACAAATATTTATATCTGTTTTTCAGCATCCTCAGGTGGGAATAAAATCACCTCATACATATAAATCTGATTTAGTAATTTACTTCTTACAAATTCAAAGAAACTCTTGGGAATACAAGCCTTTGAAATATCAACATTCAAAGTGTTTTTAGGTAGGCTGAATTCTGGACTTCAGTTAGACTTCAGTTATTCAGAGGCACTCACTCAATGGAAATCAGTTAAATAGCCTCAGAATCTTGGCCATTTTTGGGCATATAATGTGCTTTAGAATAAATCACCCTATTTTCCTGATGCATTCATTATCTTTAATTTTTTTTAATTAATCATTTTTTTTTTTAACAGAGATGAGGTCTTGCTCTGTGGCCCAGGCTGGAGTGCAGCGGTACAATCATAGCTCATTGTAGCTTTGAATTCCTGGGTTCCCACCTCAGTCTCTCAAGTCGCTGGGACTACAGGTGCACTCCACTGTGCCCTTCATCTTTTATTTACAGTAAAAGATATGCATGAGTAAAAGGCACACCGTTGACTCATGAACAGTACGAGGCTTAGGGGCTCTGGCCCTAAGCAGTCAAAAATCCACATATAACTTGTGGCTCCCAAAAATAACTACTAATAGCCTACTGCTGGCCTTACTGATAATATACACAGTTGATTAACGCATATTTTGTATGTTATATGTATTATACACTGTATTCTTACAATGACAATAAGCTGGAGAAAAGAAAATGTTATTAAGAAAATCGTAAGGAAGAGGAACTATATGTACTCTTCATTAAGTGGAAATGGATCATCGTAAAGGTCTTCATCCTTGTCATCTTAACCTGGAGTAGGCTGAGGAGGAGGAGGAAGAGGAGGTTGGTCTTGCTGTCTCAGAGATGGCAGAAACTGAAGAAAATTCACATATAAGTCACCAGTTCAGTTCAAACTTGTGTTGTTCAAGTTTCAACTGCATTTCTAAAAATCAAGAGGATGCTTGTACAGAAGTCATCTGTAAAATCAGGCACATTGTTTCTTAAAGTTCTATTAGTCTTGTTCTCTCATTGATTGAGCCCCAGCAATATACTCCATTCCTCCCCCCAACCCCACATACCACCCTCACCACCTCTCTACAAAACCTCAAGTAGTAGACAAGGTTCTAGAAAATACAAATTTTCCAAAATATATTTTACTCTCCAGTGCAGGTCTTTTCCTCCTATATTTCTGCTGTTATTAACATGACATTTTAAGGGCTCTTAAGGTAATAATTTAAGGTGACAGCTAAAGCCTTTGTAGGAAAGTATTTTTATTTTGGAAATCCTTTCTCATGAAAGCTGAAACAAACACTTTAAAAGAGAGAGGTGAAAATAAAGGTTGGAACACGTTTCTGTGTAAATATTCTGCCACCTACAAGCATATGGACCAACTGATTCTCTGCCAAACATTTGTTTACTTTTGGGGAGGGAAAGCTACAGCATTGAGGATGTCTGGAGCAGGCTCTGCACTGTCATTATGCTCTCACTGAGGGATCAAACATGACATAGCAAATCCCAATATTTATTTGTTTCATCTCTAGGATATCCTGAGGTACAGGCTACTATACAGCAATGAAGTAACTGCATTCCTTCAAAGCCTTTTCGAAGAGAACAGGCTTCTAAGCCCATGTAGACATTGTCAACTCAGAGTATGTGATACAAAGGAGGGAAAAGCTGCTGAAGGCTGGACCATCATCAATATTCCAAGTATAACCTTATGTCCATCTGTGAAGTCTAATAATGAAATAAAGTGTATCTATATTGTTTTATTCTTTGTGATGAATAATGTATACCAGTTGCCATTTAGTCTTTTTTGGCTTCAGAGACATGTATAAAGGAGAAACTGCTCCCAGGTTATCAATTGTTTTAACCACAAACAAGAAAACTTTCTAATGTGGAATACCAAAACACTGTAATGTGGAAATAACACAAGAGTCAACACTCTGTAATTGGAAATATTAATCTGTGTGAAGGAAATAGCTAAATTAATGTCAAACAACAATCCCGAAGACAAAGCTGATGCCCCAGACTCAGTTTCAGTTGGGATTAAATAGATATTATTTCAGTGTTTATTAAAAAATGAGACACATTAACTAGGTTATCACTTGTATTTAAGTTTCTTTAACTATACGGGTCTAATGTAGGTACTAAACAAAGTTAAAAATATTTTAAAATAGCTAAAAAATAAGCAAATTTGCATACAGAAAATAAATTTATGAGACACTTTTACATTTAATTACTGACCATTTGTATATCTTCTCTTGAGAAATATATTTTCAGTTTTTGTCCATATTATCTAAACTATCTAAAGTGAGTTTTAAATTAATACTCACCTGGAAGTAAAAGTAAAGTGTGTTAAAAAAAAAAGAAAACAAAAGGGAAAAACTGGCCGCGTGTGGTGGCTCACGCAGCACTTTGGGAGGCCGAGGGGGCGGATCAGGAGGTCAGGAGATCGAGACCATCCTGGCTAACACGGTGAAACCCCGTCTCTACTAAAAATACAAAAAATTAGCTGGGCGTGGTGGCAGGCGCCTGTAGTCCCAGCTGCTGGGGAGGCTGAGGCAGGAGAATGGCGTGAACCCAGGAGGCGGAGCTTGCAGTGAGCCACGCCACTGGGTCACTCCAGCCTGGGCGACAGAGCAAGACTCTGCCTCAAAAAAAAAAAAAAAAAAAAAGTGCATTTGAAGCCGGGCGCGGTGGCTCAGCCTGTAATCTCAGCACTTTGGGAGGCCAAGGCGGGCGGATCACGAGGTCAGGAGATCGAGACCATCCTGGCTAACACGGTGAAACCCCGTCTCTACTAAAAAATACAAAATATTAGCCGGGCGTTATGGCGGGTACCTGTAGTCCCAGCTACTCGGGAAGCTGAGGCAGGAGAATGGCGTGAACCTGGGAGGCAGAGGTTGCAGTGAGCGGAGATTGCGTCACTGCACTCCAGCCTGGGCGACAGAGCGAGACTCCGTCTCAAAAAAAAAAAAAAAAAAAAAGAAAAGAAAGGGAAAAAAACCCCATGGTCTGATATGATATACAGAGTAGATTTGAAATAAGAACATTCCATCTTTGGGTTCGTATATGTGTAGGTAGTGAACAGCGGTGCCACAGAATTGGAACATTTTGCCTTCTGGGAAATCTCTGTGATTTATTTATTTTTGCCTGGAGTAGAAAGTCCAGTTGCTTGTCACTGGAGGAAACTCTTAGAAATATAGGAATTTGTTCAGCTTGCCTTTTGGAGACAATGCAGGCACAGAAGACAGAAAGGAGCTTTAATGCTAACATATCTAGAAAGAGAAATATTAGGGAAATTAAAAGTGAATTCTTCCATAAAGAAGGAGATTTTGAAAAAAGTTTTTTAAGTTATCATGATTTAAGTAAAATATTTCCAGTTTTTCTTACTCATATCGTAACTGGGAATTAGGACAGCTTAGACAAGAGATTTAAAATTCACATAAATACATGCTTCTTTCGGATTTTATTCAACTCAAAGCTTTGGAAATTTTCTGCAAATACTCATTTTTTTTTTTCCCCGATAGTACTGTTCTTTTTGTTTTTACTTCATGGGTGTGTAATTTCCACAAAATAAGATGCCTAGATTTTAAATGCTCAGTGAGATTTAACAATTGATTGCCCATGTGACCACCACCCAAAACAAGATGCTCAACATTTTCAATGCTTAAGAGCTGACCTCAGGCTCCTTTCAAGTGCACCCCAGCGGCAACCGCTGTTGTGATTTCTAAGATTAGTGATGAGCTTCTGCCTGCTCTTGAAGTTGATATAAACTGAATCATGCAGTCATAGATTCTACTGTGTTTGCCCTCTTTCACTCAGTATGATGTTTTTCAGATTAATCCATGTTGTTGCATGTATCAGTAGTAGATTTTCCTTTATTTTGCTATTATTTCACTGTAAGAATGTACCACAATTTGTTTATTCTCCATTCACCATTCATGAATTTTGGGTATTATGAATAAGGTTGCTATGTACGTGTTGAATAAGTATTTTTATGAATATATGTTTTCATTGCTTTTAGGTAAATGCCAAAGAAAAAAGGAATTTCTGGGTCAAAGGTGAAAGTATGTTTAACTGTACAAGAAACTGCCAAACACGTCTTCAACGTTGATAATTCCTCCCACCATCAACGCAGGAGTGCTCAAGTTGCTTCACATCTGCCACCCCTTGGCCATTCTAGTTGGAGTGAAACTGCATCTCTGTGGTTTGATTTCATATTTCCCTGATGACTAAAGATGTTGGGTACTTTTGTCTACTGGGCATTTGTAAGTGTCTTCGCTTTTGAAGTGTCTTTTTAAATTTTTGCCCATATTTTGTAAAATTTATCCCTACATGTTTTGATTTTTAAAATGCTTTTAAATTTTATTTTAAAATTTCAATTTATACTTTTAAATACACATTTTCAGTTTTTACTACTATGTGGAAATATAATGAATCTGTGTATATCGACCGTTTAGTTCTGTGACCCTGATAAATTTATTAATTAGTTTTTTCCCCCTTTTTGGAATATCTCATAAAGTTTTTCTATGTCTACCAATCACACCTTTAAAGAAGTATAGTTTTACTTCTTCTTTTCCAATTTGAATGCTTTCTTGCTTCACGCCTTATGCCTCTGACTGGGGCTTCCAGAACAATGCTGAATGGAAACGTTGAGAACGAACATACTTGTTGCAACCACAGGAGAAAAGCACTAAATGATGTACTATTTCCAAATAGGGTCACACTCACGAGGACTGGGGACTATGACCCGAACGTTTTTCTGAGGAATGCAGTTCAACCCACTACAGTCCGTCCTCTGTCCCCTCCCCGAATTCACATTCTTTCAATATACAAATTATATTCACCCCATTTCAACATCCCCCAAAACCTTAACCTGTGCTAGCATCAACTCTAAGTCCAAAATATCATCTAAATATCATTAGCTCAAAAAGTCCCAAATCTTATCATTTAAATTATTTAAATCAAATATGGGTAAGACTTTGGGTCTTTCACTTGTAAGATAATCTCAAGAATTAATCTGAGCTGTCCCAATAATTTCACTTTAATGTGGCAGAGAGCAATTCCTTGGACTTAGAGAGACCTGTGCCACAAACTATATGGGGACTTTTAAGCTTTGGTTTTAGGCAAATGTTAACTTTCAGGAAGACTTTGGGTATGATTCATTTTTGAGTGAAATTTCTCCCTAGCTGTGGACTTATGACACCAGAGAAAAAGTTCTCTGCCTCTAAAATGCAGTGGTGGGACAGGCATAGGATAGATTTTCTCAGGCCTATCCTGGGGCACACATTTCTGTCCTCTGGGACAACTTCACTGCCTCTGGCCTCTGGCCTCTGCCTCGTTGTTTTTAGAGTCACTCTTCCCTTTTTCTTGAAAGACAACATGCGTTCATAGACGAGTAATTCTATAGGCCATTTTTCTGCCTATGAAATCCCTGAATATGACAATTGTCCTTTCTTTTATCCCATTTCTATTCCCTTCAGTCAAAGTGGCAGGTTTTTATTTTATTTTATTTTTTGTATAACATTATTAAAACCCTTGTGTGTTTCACGTATGTCAAGGGAAACCACACCAGCAGACAAGGGAATTGTCCACTGGTTCTTCCCAGATAATGAATCACTATTCCTGACTGCTGCCATGATGGTTGATTGGATCCTTGAGCAGACACGCCTCACCTCCCCCCTAGAAGGTTGTCCTGCTGTATCCTTGATGTTGTCTCCAGAGCATGCTTCAGCATCTTTTGTAATATGGATAGGATGAGAATTTTCCAAATCATTAAGTGCTGCTTCCCTTTTTGTTAATGGTTCCTTCTTTAATTTATCTCTTTCTTCTCACAATTTATTATAAGCAGCAAGGAGAAACAGACCACACCTTATATACTTTGCTTGGAAACCTCCTCCACTAAGTAGCCAAGTTTGTCACTTACAAGTTCTTCCTTCTTCACAATAGTAATGCAGCTATTCAGCCACATTTTCTACAACTTTATAATGAGGATTGCATTTCCACTGCTATCCAATAATATGTTCATTGTTTCTTTCTGGGACCTTACCAGGAGCATTATTAATGCTGCTATTTCTACCAACATTATGTTTGTAAAGACACAGGTACCACTAAGACTACAGAAGCCTTCTCTACACTTGCAGTCTCTTTTGGACTCCTCTTCCAAAGTGTCTTTACTGTCCATATTTCTACCAACGACTTCATCTAGGCAATCTAGGCTTTTTCTTTTATATGCCTCAGAATGCTTACAACCTCCATCCATAACCCAATTCCAAAGTCACTCCCATATTTTCAGGTATGTGTTACTTAGCACTCTACATCCTGATATCAAAATCGGTAATAATTTTCTGGGGGCTCCATTACAAAGTGCCACAAACTGACTGGCTTAAAACAGAAATTTATTCTGTTACACTTCTGGAGCCTAGATGTCAGAAATCAGGAAGCAGGACCAAGCTCTGCCTGAAAAGCACAACCCCTCCTTGCCTCTTCTAGCTTCTTGTGGTTGCCAGCAATCTTTGGCCTTTCCTGGCTTATAGCTGCATCCCTCAGACCTCTGCCTCCGTCTCCAGTGGTCTTCTCTGTGTGTGTGTTTCTGTGTACAGATTTCCCTCTCCTTTATCCACTGAACACACCACTCATTGGATCTAGGCCTACCCTGATCCAGCATGATCTCAACTTCATTAGATTTTCAATGACTTTATTTCCAAATGAAGTCACATTCATAGGCACTGGGGTTTAGAACTTGATATCATTTTTTCTTTGTTGGGGCCAATGTTGGGGAGCAATTCAAACCACTAGAGCAACCATAACTCCTTTTCCATGTAGCCTCATCACTTCAGCTGTTGCTTTTTGGCAGAAGGGTGACTGATCTGTAGTTAATTATATTTCCCATAATGTTCATTACATATAGACATTCTCAATAGTGTTGAGAGGGGTGACAGGAAGACATAGAAGAGCACATGTCTTGAAAACTGCAGCAACATGACTTGTCTCAGGTTCCCCATCTTCTGTAGCCTGTACTGTCTTATTACTATCATGCTGTGTGCATGAACAGGCCGAACAGGCACCTTTGTTCACAAGTCATGTGCCTGTGCTGAAGAAAGGAAACGGGAGTTGAGAAGTTTGGATAATTTCAATAATTAATCTGAACTGTCCCAATAATTTCACTTTGATGTGGCACAGAGCAATTCCTTGGACTTAGAGAGACCTGTGCCACAATCTATATGGGGGCGTTTAAGCTTTGGTTTTAGGCAAATGCTAACTTTCAGGAAGCCTCAGCCCTATGGTGGTGATTTAGAAGAGATAATTTCCAGGAATAGCCAATCCTAGAATAAGATCAACAGAAGATAAAATAATCATGGAAAAGAAAAGAGGCAGCCCAACTTCATCAGGATAAATTAAAACTGTGTAAAGGAAAACCCACAAACTTCAAAACGATGATGGCGATGCTAGTTAAACTGTTTCACGACAAAGAAATTAAAAATGGGAAAAAACAAACATTGATTCAATAAAGGCAGTAGGATAACCAGGACACTAAAACCTGTTAACAACAACAACAACAACAACAAATGCACACATTCACACTTACAATAACAGTAATAATAGGTGGAATTCATTGAGCATTACTCTGTCCAGGTACTATCTAAAGTCCTTTACTTATATTTACTTATTTCATTATCACATCAATCATTGGAATACATGTGATGACTTTCCCAATTTTAAATGTGAAGGAAATAAATCACAGAGATGGTAAATATCTTCAAGGTTGGAGCCATAAAGAAAGAGAAACCTGATTCAGACTGAAGAAGTCTGGCTTCAGAGTCCCTGTTCTCACGCCATCTTGCCTCTCTCAAGTACAGGCCAGTTCATTAATAAAACCACATGTAAAAACCGTAAGTTAAATAGTAGTCAATAAATTTTGCATGGTATGGAAAGATTATTAGACTAGCCTATATTAATTGATATGTATATTAGGGTATAGACTTAGCTGTTTTAAGAAAGAAACACTAGACCACAATTGCTTAAATATTTATGTATAAATGTATAATTTGTGTATACCTGTATATATAACATATTTATATTTTACATTAAATTTATTTAAATTATACATACATATATAAGTATTTGTGCATATATATATATATGTACATATATATCTCCCTTACCTGAGTCTCTTGTCTCAGGAAGACAGTGGTCCTGACTGATAAACTACTCTGCTTCTTGAGTGAGTCCGGGCTTTCAATCAGGTAGGTGGACTCTACTGAATTCAACAACTAGCTTCCATCTCTCGGTCCAAGGTGGCTATTCCAATTGTTGCTATTTCCCAACATGCCAGAAGGAAAAAGTCTAGAGGAAGTCGGTAGAGAGCCTAGAAAAAGGAGTTACCTTTAAGGAAGTAAGCCACGTGTTGCTGATATCACTTGTGCACACATTCCATTGGCCAGAAATTAACTGCATGGCCTAATTTCAACAAAAGTTGGGAAGTAGCCTCTTTTGAGGTAGTTGTGTGTTCAGCTAAAACTTGAGGAACTTTATTATTACAAGTTTAAAATAGACAATAAATATCAGAGTAAGACTTTCAGAATCTACCAGTATCCCTACGATGTTTAATAAGGACACTGAAAAGTGAGTGTACAATCTGATAAAGACACTTAATAAGCAAGGAAGAGGAGGATATATTTGCTTAACCTTATATAGAACACCTAAAATATCAGACTTATATTAAATGATAAGACATGAGAGTTTGGAATTAAAAGAAAAATTTCTTTACTATCATAGATAATAAAAACAGAAAGAAAAGGTAGGGGTAAACTGATAATTATTTTCATCTATTTGGACTCAAGAAGCAATTAAAATCTGTCAAAACAAATCAGAATGGTTTTGTTTACAAATTAAATACTATAGTATCTAATTATTAGTAACAAACACTTAGAAAATTAAGGAACTAGATCAAGTTTCTCTGGCAATGAGGAATCCATTTAACAGAAAGCTTATGACTAGATTAAAAAATGTATATACCATCCCTCTAAGGGACACAAAAGAAAATGTGAATAAAGATACATATTATAAATCCTTCCAGAAATAATTTAACAAAATTCCAGTCAAAATTCCAAATCATTTGGAAATACTGGCTGATTTCAAAGTTCACCTGGAATAATAAATGCTGAAAAACTGTATGTAGGGATTTAATATAGGACATAAATTAACAAATCAGGAGGAAAATGTAGCATGCTTATTAAATGATATTGAGGCAATTGATGAACTATTTAAAACGTTTACAAATTAAAGCTTCTACCTCACTAAATAAAATTTCATATAAATTTTATGTGAGAAAATGTTAAAAAATTATTTCCATATTTTTGCAACTGGGAAAATCTTTAATGAGCATGCTATAAAGGTAAAACCCCCAGGAAAATATTGTGTATGTTATGTATTTAATGTATATTTTAACCTTCTGTGTCTGTAAGTTTACCATAGCAAAACTCAAAAAGAAAAATATACATGACTAAGGGTTAATCACTAAGCATATAAAAACCCGTATTAGTAAGTTGGAAAATGTTCAATACCCAGTAGAAAAGTGAGAAAAGAAAATAAATAAGCAATTTGAAGAATAAGACTAAATAATTTCTTTTTTTGTTTTTTTTTTGTTTTGTTTTGTTTTTTGAGAAGGAGTCTCGCTCTGTCCCCCAGGCTGGAGTGCAGTGACACGATCTCAGCTCACTGCAAGCTCCGCCTCCCAGGTTCAAGCCATTCTCCTGCCTCAGCCTCCCAAGTAGCTGGGATGACAGGTGCCCACCACCACGCCCGGCTAATTTTTTGTATTTTTAGTAGAGACGGGGTTTCACCGTGTTAGCCAGGATGGTCTCGATCTCCTGACCTCGTGATCCGCCCGCCTCGGCCTCCCAAAGTGCTGGGATTATAGGCGTGAGCCACCGCGCCCGGCCAAGACTAAATAATTTCAATTTTTAAAAAATATGTTTTTCTTACGTAATTTCCAGTGCCAAAATGTGATACTTTAAGGGGCTGGCAAGGTGCAGAAGAAAATGGCACTCATTTATAACAGTTCTTACTGATAACTACTCACTACAAACTTTGTGGCGGGTGCGTTTGCAATGCTCAGCTAATACTTTCAGAGCATTAGACATTTGCATACTTTTGGATGTAGTTTTTTTTCTAGGAATTTATTTTTAAATCGCATCAAGCTTTAAATATACCGTTAATGACTTTGTTTGTTCTACATAAATAATTTGTCAGTACAGAAATCTCTATATTTGGTATTTAAAAAAAATAAATCGGCCGGGCGCGGTGGTTCACGCCTGTAATCCCAGCACTTTGGGAGGCCGAGGCGGGCCGATCACGAGGTCCGGAGATCAAGACCATCCTGGCTAACACGGTGAAACTCCGTCTCTACTAAAAGTACAAAATTTAGGCGTGGCGGCAGGCGCCTGTAGTCCCAGGTACTCGGGAGGCTGAGGCAGGAGAATGGCGTGAACCTGGGAGGTGGAGCTTGCAGTGAGCCGAGATGGTGCCACTGCACTCCAGCCTGGGCGACAGAGAGAGCCTCCGTCTCAAAAAATCAATCAATCAATAAAAATAAAAAAATAAATCATGGAGCCAGGTGCTGTGGCTCATGCCTGTAATCCTAGCATTTTGGGATGCCAAGGCAGGAGGATCGTTTGAGACCAGCCTGGGCAGCATGGTGAAACCTCGTCTCCACAAAAAATAAAAATGAAATTAGCCAGGCATGGTGGCGCATGCCCGTGGTCCCAGCTACTTGGCCGAGGCTGAGATGGGAGAATCGCTTGAGGCCCAGAGGTTGAGGCTGCAGTAAGCCAAGGTCATAACACTGCACTCCAGCCTGGGTGTCAGAGCAAAGTCCCTTCTCTAAAAAAAAAATTAAAATTAAAAATTAATAATGGCATACTCACAAATTAGCATACTGATAGTCCATTAAAATAGTGAATAAAACTATTACAAACTAACAAAAATGCTCCCTATTTTTTTTATTTAAAATTGTGTGCCGTGGATATAAACAATACATGTCTATAAATTAATAATTGATCAATGCTTTGTTTTGGCTTCTTTATCCACAGCAAACATGTTTGGTTTTGAAATGTGGAAAGCATTTTTTTGAAAACTCTATGTAAGAGAAAAACTAAAATAATGCATACTTTGTTCATTTTAAATAGAAAAAATTTCCACGTAGTTTGGAACCTATTGAATCTATTAATAACTGGTCTGTCAGTTGAACTTTTCCATGAAGCTTGTTTAAAATAGCAGAAAAGAATTCATACACACAGCAATTAACCTTTGTTGTGTCTATTAAACTACTACTCCTCACCTTTCCAGTAATTTCTATTGCCTTGCTTTGCTCTTTCCACAAAATCTCGAATGGAAGCCAGCTATTCCTAGACATTACCTAAAGGTCCCCCTGCCACTTCCACATGCTCCTGTGCTGAGTCCATGTGTTCCTATGGAATGAGAACCACTCCAGGTCCGACAGTCTCCTCCTTGGCTGTCCCTCAGCAGCAAAGACACTGACGTCACTGTAATTTAAGTGCTTATAATTAAACTGCATGTTTAGCACCTCATTAAATTAAAAAAAAAAGTAGAGAAGTTCAAGTCTCCTTTGGTGCTATCCTAAAAGGATCAGCATCAATCAAGATGCAAGAGTAGGTTTATGTGCACATCCAGAAGGGGCAGTGGCTTTGCTTTTATTAATAAAAGTGTAGATTAGATTCAACAGATACAATTGGGTCAGATAACAAGCCTTGAGGACTATGTCTGGAATGCTGAACCTGACGTGTTTTGCTGACTTCCCTCTGGCTCCAGGTGACACATGCTACCATCAGTAGTCTGTAGGGCTTCCCCTGAGGCTAAAAAGTCAAGACGACTAAGATGCTACAGGGCTGACACCACTGCTTTCTGCTTCTCTTCATGACATCTCTCTTTCTCCTAGACTCCAGATCTTTCTAGCCAGCTTTTTCCTTTCAAGAACTAGGCTGATGAATCATGCACTTTGAAGCATTATAGACTAAAGGTGCTCCCACTTGTAGGTCTATGCACATTTTTGACAAATATCATAGGAAAAGGTCAATGTTTTCCTTTAAGGAAGAGTTGTTAGTATTGGGATTTCTGGCCTCAGTGCATTTGTATCAAAGTAGTTGGCCAGGCAGTTCAGAGAACCCACAAACAGTCATCTACTGCAAACCAGAATATGACTCCAAGACTATAAGCTGATGGCTGCTAACTTTAATATATTTTTTGTCATTAGGTAATTCTCTGCAAGATGGGCTTTGTGAAGCCGTGTCTAGGAGTGCTATTATGTACTGAGGGACACTTGGGGGGATGTCAGGCTCATCTGTGACCCTTTTCTGGCCTCAGTTTCCTCAGTTCTTGAATAGAATAAAGATAATACTACCTTGCAAAGCTAGCAGGAGGATAAAGTGAGATCATGTATGTAAAAGCCCTTAGGAAGATCTTAAAGCACACACACAGAAATGTAAAAGCGTGCCCATTGCATTTCTGTGTTCCTGGAAAGTGAAGCTACTTTCTCCATCTTCTCTCTGTAACTATATGAGGTAAGCACTGTTAGGGTCCCGGTTTGACTGACAGGGAAAATCGGGCACAGAGAAGTGAAGTCAGTTAGCTGCCCAGTGTCTCAGAATTCGAAAGTGGTCAGGCCAGGATTTAGGCGTACTTGGCTTTGTTCACAACAGAACTCCAAACGCAGTGGCTGGGGGAGGCCAGAAACTCATGATTTCCTTATGAAATGAACAAATGCATAAACAGGAGATGGGGGCACAGACACGAGCTCTCCTTCATACATACTCTGCAGCAAAAAGAACTCAGAGAGAAATGGGGCTTGGAAATCTTGCTGAAGAGCCAAGGGAATTTCTGGGTGAAGAGTTTATAGCTTCAGTTTAAGAGGGGCAGTCAGTGGTTTTAATTTTGCTGTTTTAACGTGATACCCTACAAGGCACATCCCCAATTGCCTGACATCAGATAATATACATTTTCAATCTCTCTTTCAGTATTGCACAGTGAAAGGCAATTAATTGTAGCCAGCAGTGTAAAATGTGTTCTCCACTGGGATAAAGGTTAGTGTAATAGGCTTTTTCTCTGCAGTAAGAGTATCGTACCATGAGAGTATAATCCAGAAAAGCTTTTTAATACTTACAAACACATAAAGGGAACGACCTTTAAATCGCTGAACTAATTAAAACACCCTGAGCTCTGTTCCCTCCCTCAGCAACTATATTTATATGAGAGGAAGAAAACTGATTTGATAGCATTGTATAAAAACAGTCAAACAATTACAGATAAAATTTGAATGGTATAAAGATGGCTTTATGAATATTCTTATTAGTGGCATTTGCCTCAGAAATTTGTAGGCATTTATTTTTAAAAGTAAATTTTCCACACACAATGTAATTAGAAAAAATGGTCTCATTTTATCTCACTTAAAGAAAGTTTTACAAAGAGCACATGTACTACCCAGGGCTGGGGTAGTGGAGAGGCCCTTTGAATCTGTAAAGTGTATATGCCTGGGAAAATGAGACATGGTAATAAAAGCAAGTGCTTGACTTGTCAGATAAAATTTATTGTATGAAAGTATCTAACTCAAAGTCTCTCTACTTCAAATTCCTGGTGGATTGCCAAAAGTGGGCCTGAAGTATTAGGTATTAGGAAATCAAAAATATGTAGGTCAGTAGGAGCCAATAGGCCCTTATGGGCATCTCTTCTTCAAAGGAAGATATTTTTCTAAAATGTAAAGGATTGTTTCAAAGGGATCATGTAGACATCTGCAATAATTCCTTTACATGGCATCATTATTACGTGTTTTGAATTCCAGAATGGATTCAGGGTGACTGAAAAAATTGATGAAAAATTCCAAGGATGGACAGAGAACATAGAGTACAAATACCTTTGCTCTTTAGTCTCCCGTGACCAGCTACACTTGGTTACTCTGCACCGGTCCCAGCTCCTGTTGCATGGTAACCTACAGGCAGCAAAGTTCAGCCTGCCTCTAAGGCAGGGAGACCCAGAGAGCTGATAGAGAGCCCAGGAGCTGTGGGACAGAAGGAGTGAGTGATTATTTACGGAGAAGGCCGCCTTGGGCGACGTCTACGATTGCACCACCTCTCATCTAATCAGGGATGGCTCAAAAATAATGAAATCAAACACTCACAATGCAACAGATGACCCGCTAGAGTCTGCTCAAGTCTGAATGACTAAGATTAATGGCACCATTATCAGGAGCTCACACAACACTATTAAAACGTCTCATCAGCTGTTTTCATAGCCACAAGCTGTCATTTTTGTAATGGAAACAAAAATGTCCCACATCACAAGATAGATTTTTCTATGGAAATAGCACTGTGTCTTCCAAAAGGCTTACTCTTAATCTTTGTGATCATTATTTTGAAGGGGTATTGAACAGAACCAGCTCAACCTAGGAGTCAAGAGGAAATACGAAATACACCTATGTATAGGAGAAGGCGGGCTCCTTCCTTCGCAGAGCATAGAGAAACAAACAGACAAAATGCAGAGTAAAAAATCATTAATTCTATCCCCACCACTACTTTAGAGTGGTCGGATGAACACATGTCAATAACTCTAATGCTTAATTTCTTCATTTGTAAAAGTCATTAATTCTGTATTCTGAGCAATTTTGGAGCAATATGATTGAGGCACAAATGAGCGTTTCTAAATAATGTTGCAGTTATTGCATTTAGGTATAATATAAACACCCCAAGTGTTATGGTTATATAGGTGTGTGTATGTATATGTATGTGTATATATGCATATATATGTATTTGTATATGTATGTGTATACGTATGTATACATATGCATACACATATATATGTAGTTAAGTGTCTGGGAAAGGTTTTGGGGTTCGAGAGAGACTGAAAGAAGTTCATGGGAAAAGTAGAATTGGTCTATAGCAACCTCCTTCTTGTCATACACTTGTGATCCTGTGTTTATTATTTTCTATAGCCAGTGCTGGAATATACGGTGATTGAAACTATTAGAGAAAATAAAGTGAGCTCCAGGTCTAAATATTTTAACGTGCAAAATTAGACAAATAAGAGAAACAGAGCAAGCCTTACTGCTGTTGTTTTGGGCGTGAGAGCAACTTTCTTGCAGGACGTTATGGGCTCCCTGCATGGTTAAGTGCTGTGTGGCTAAAACATAGGCAGAAGCTGGGAGCTGAGGAGTCCTTCGTTGACTCAGCCACAGCCACCAGGACACACAGCGTCTGGTAGTCAGACTAAGACAGCCGTCAAATAAATGCCATTTTAAATTGGGCAAAGGAATGATGTGCAGAGGGTGTTTGGTTTTTTTGTAGGACCTGTTTTTTGTGCCTAATGCTCTGTGACCACCACCAGGTCTGGGATTTCTGCATCTGTGCAGCACATGGCCATGTGTCACTTTGGACACGCTGCGTTGGAAATTTCTCTCTCCTCTGTTTGTCTTCTTTGTACTTCCCTTCTTCTGGTAAGTCCATCAACTATGTTAAAACACCTAACACTAAGTGAAGAAAAAGGGATTGGCCTAAGTTGTCTCTGATGTCCCTGCCCTTCCTTTTTTTTTTTTCCTTTACTTAAAATAAATTAAAAATGCCTCCTGACCACCCTGGACTGATGGACTTGTTTCGGGACCCCACCCTCACCCGCTTCCGTAACAATCTGTGCAGATTTCCACTTATGTGCTCCTTATTTCTGTATTTGATTCCAATTTCTACACTGGACTGACAGGTCTAGATTATCAGGGAAATGTCTCACACATCTTTGTATTTCCAGCAAAATCTTTGTTTTCTCTGCTATAGGAAACACAATAAATATCGGTTAAATAGTCTGAAGAAATAAAAGCAAAACTATTAACAATTTAAGAGGTAGTTGTTCATTGCTAGGCAAGTTCTTTATATGGATGGGTTGTATAATAAAATACAGGCTGGGCGCAGTGGCTCACACCTGTAATCCCAGCACTTTGGGAGGCCGAGGCGGGTGGATCATCTGACGTCAGGATTTGGAGACCAGCCTGGCCAATATGGAGAAACTCTGTCTCTATTAAAAATACAAAAATTAGCTTGCTGGGGTGGTGGGTTCCTGTAGTCTCAGCTACTTGGGAGGCTGAGGCGGGAGAATCACTTGAACCTGGGAGGTGGAGGTTGCAGTGAGCCGAGATTGCGCCACTGCACTCCAGCCTGGGTGACAGAGTGAGACTCTGTCTCAAACAAAAAACAAACAAACAAACAAACGAAAAACCAGATCTCTTAGTGGGAATTATAAGTAGGAGACTATAAGTCACTCAGATTTGCAGAAGTAGATGGACAGTTGAAGTGAAAGGAAGTTGCAGAAGCCTAGGTGGAAGGGCCCAGTTCACAGAGCATCCTCTGAGACTCTGCCTTCTGTGTCTTCTCTAGAACACGCTTCCGACTCTCATTCTTTACATTGCTCTGTTTTCTGTCACGTACCTAATTTTTAGTGTCCACAAGGCTCTGTTCATCTTCTTCACTCCATCCCCTGTTTCTCAGCCTTAGCCAAAATCTGACTGCCCAGGAGAAAGTGTGGTGCCCTCATGAGGACTAATGGCCAATCTGCATTCTCTCTTTAGACCTGGGACAGAAGTCTTCCAGGACTGTGCTGAGATGCGTGCACACCGAGCGGTGTGTGTGTCATGACGGTGGATGGAGGAGGGAGGGAACCCACTGAGATGCCTGAGCATGGAATCCAGGCTTCACACCTCCCAGACAGCCCCTTGACCTGCACGTCCTGGGCTGCTCTGCAGCACCTTGGGTCTCAGCCAGCCAGGTAGCATATTTCACACCATTCTTACCCTCTCTGACCTTCATCCACCCTCCCTACAGCCACACCAGTCCATATTCAGAGTTCACACTCTTCTTACACAGTTGCTCCTGCCCATAGCAAAATGAAAGACAACTGAGAAATTATGCTTCTGACCAAACAATTGCCATGAACAATGTCTACTGAGATATGTCATTGCTGTGTCTTTTTCCCATGGAAAAGTTCCTTACCCCCAAAAGTAAAGGACTATTTAAAACTAGCACTTACTGGTTGCATACTATATGCCAGACATGCTTGGAGCTTTAAATGCATTATCTCATACAATCTACACAGTCAGCCTTTCAAAAGCAAGAAAATGGAAACTGAAGGAGGTTGTGTAAACCTTCCCAGGGACACATCTATAATGAGAATTCCAAACCCAGCTCTTTCAGGCCCAAAGCTTGTGATTTTTTGCAATAAGTAAAAACATTTTCTCTTTACCACATATTTTAGAGACTTTCTTCCTATGATATACGAAATATTTGTCTGATTGATGAAAATTCCACTTAGTGATGTGTATTTCTTTGACTTACATGTAATCAGTAAAAGTTTAATATTGATAATAATATTGAACAACTCAAAACTTTTTTAAAGTGACTAAAAATCGGACTCTATTTATAAGAATATCTTACTGTCCAAATAGCTTTAGTAAATAATTCACTTTGAATTTTTCCCCACATCCTCATAACTTAAAATATTTTAATAGCCCAGAGGTTCACAATTTCAATGTGAACAATGTCAAAATTGGAAAGTTAATACATTTTGGGTGGGGAGAATAAATTATGCCAGAAGACATAGCGAATATAATAAATGATTATCTAGTTCAGTCAGGTTGAGTATCCTGTTTCTTTGCACAAATGCTTACCAAAGTAGCAGCAATAATTCTTTTTCTTGCAATTTTAGTAATGTTACTATCATAGTAGCAAACAGGCCTTGAGCAGTTACTGTTTTCCAAATACTCTTTTGTGATGGGTTTTGGACATAATGTTTCGGTTTGGTTTGTGGAATCAGACTGATGGTCAAATCCAAGGTCGTCAGCTTGCTGGCTGTGAGACCCCGGAACAGTCACATAATTTCTCTGTCCCTCGAGGTCTTCATTTATCCCATCTCGCTACTGTGTGGATAAAGCAAAGCACTTACAACAGTGTTTGATACATTACAGTTGCTCAATATATATCAATACCTGTCTTTTCAAACACAAAAGCTAGATGTTTTTTGGTAATTAATGATTTATGTGTTCATTCTTGTTATGAATTTGGGCCATATAGATATACAAAATTTAAAATATACTGCCAAAATCCAAAATCAGTTTTATTTACTAATGATTAGTAATAAAGGCATAACGTGTTTCTTATCCACGAGCTTATTTGCTTAAAATGTAAAAGGTGACTTGTTAATTATTCTTTCTTGCTGTGTGTGTGTGTGTGTGTGTGTACAAAAGTTATGAAACTATTTGGTTGGTCTCTTAGGTGAAATGTGAGTATGCCACAGAAATTGAGTTCCAACCTAGGAACGTGTTTAATGCGCTGAGATCACAGTTTGGCCTGTTTGTTCCTTGTGACCAGGAGGGAGCTCTCCACCTCTCTCCACCACAGAGAGCAGAGCAGGGAGTGGCTCTTTGTCAGAGGCCAGCTTGTGCAGTGGAGCTGGGGCTGCTGGTGACTTACCCAGGCCACCCACGGCCAGAACAGCACACTGGGAGTGCATGTAACTTAAGAACCTGGACTAAGCCAAGTAGCATTAAAAACACTTAGCTTAAGGGACTTGCTGAATGATTCCATCCTATGGTTTATTCCCAGGGCTTCCTTGAATCTTGAAACTATGCAGCCAAAGCCGGAATACGGGCAAGGGTGGGTGTGGAGGGAGTGTTACTAGGACCCTGGCCGGAGATACAGTTACAGGGATCACACTTCCCCCTGTGGCAGCATGCTGTTATGGGCCCAGGGTCCACGGTTGTGCCTGGGAGAATAGTTGGGCTGTGAAAAGAGTGTGAAGTTCAGACAGTTCAACCACCTGCATATCGAGGGGAAATAGTCACATATATCTTCCGGGCCTGTTGGTCACAGTGACTATTTTTTAAAATAAATCAGTGGGAATGCCAACTGAGGAGGGATGAGTCATTATTAAGCGCATTGTGCTCTCTTTAACCAAAATTGAGCTCAGGCCATGAATCTGAAATCTGAAACGTTTAAGTGTATGTTACATGTATTGCCAGATTCTTTTCTTATTTTTATAAAGTGAAGGTGTGCCACATGATGTTTTGACATAGGAAGAAAAATACTGTATGATCTTACTTTTATGAAGAATCTTAAAAAAAAGTCAAATACACAGAAACAGCGTAGAAAGGTGGTTACCGGGTGTGGGAAGGGGGAGGAAACGGAAGATGTACGCAGGTCAAAGAGTACAAGCTTGCAGTTACAGAGAATGAGTTAGCCTAGAGAGCTAATGGACAGCAGGAGGACTAGAGTTAATCCTATTGCTTTCTATACTGAAAATTTGCCAAATTCTTTCAATGTTCTAAGAAAAAATGTTTTCTCTGTGAGGATGGGGTAAAAATGAATTTTAGGAAATAATTTTGGCTAATGCTTTTTGAACCTGAAGTTTTTAAATTTACTCTTCTGATTCATTTTCAAGGTATTGCATCACTATTATTTTGGAGAAAATATTTTCCTACTATCAAGAGGAGATTTGGATAGGAAATCAGCACTGATATCCAGAGGTAGATGCTATTGTGAGCAACTGAATGGATCCAAGCACTCATTCCTGGGCATATTTTATTTTGGACTAAATCAGAAAAAGAGGTTTATTTGTGTACTTCAGTGAACACATACTAGGTTTTAGGGAACTGCTAATCTTTTGTTAAAATTCATGGTCTTCTGGGATTACTTGGTTATTCATTACAGGTATCAAAGCAGAAACTAAATTCTGCTGTATTGTGAAGCTTGGCTCATTCAATTGGAAAAATCTTAATGATCAAGAGACCATGTGTTTTTACTCAGATATGTTTTATGACATAGCTGTAAAATCTTGTCTCAAATAGACCTACCACAGCCTTGCATTGTTTCACAGACAGTAATAGGACTCACTTCTAAAATGCCTTTGTATTAAGTCAAAAATACTGATGAAAACTAGAGAGCTTCACACAGGAATTATTTATGACTTTTTTATTACTAACACAAGATCTTAAAAAACACTGTGTGTTAGCTTGAAGTGTTAGCTTCAAGTCTGTAGAAATTGTAGCAATGGGTGTGTGACAGCCGTGGGCTGTTCAGAAGAGGCTGCCTGGGTCACTGTTAACAACTGTGCTTAAAGGGTTCTTCTTGGCACAAGAAAGTTCCAGAAGGATGAAAGTGTGATACGTTGGCTACCAATCTAGAAAAAAAAATTTTTCCATAATATTTGAAGGGGGAAATGGACTAAATTGTGTTTTTGACTCAGACTGTCTTCCACAGAGAAAAAAAAGAAAGGCATACCTTGAAAGTTGGAGAACTCTTGTCTTAAGGGGAAGAAGTTCTGTTAACTATGACCACTTAAACATACTAATCAAATAAAGGATTAACATGTAATCAAGCTGCATATGACATTTAATAAATGTGATACAATCTTGTAACACTTTGCCTCAGCTTCCCAATCAATTCTCCATATTTATTTTTTTCGAGGAATCCTCAAAAATTTTCCTCAAGGGAACAGACTGGAAAGACTGATTCACAGGTGGTGGTCTTTAACTGCTGACTTTAATTTTTTACTTTTGATTCATGTCAGACATAGTTCCATCTCTAGTCCTAAACTCTCAGTTGTCACTGGGAAAATGTCACAAAGACATTTTTGGGAATATGGTACCACCTTCACTTTTACCCTCTTCAGATATCAAAGACATACTGTAAAAATAATTCTATGGACATAACATTTACTCAAAGCATGTAATGCACACCAACGCTGTGCCCGGTCACTGCCCTAGGGCTGCTTATATTCTGGCATTTATCATATGCCAACTACACAATCTCATGAGTTATCAATATTTGAAACGATGTTGACAATGAGGGCTGCGTCTTAGACATCTAGGAATCTTTTACTATTCATAGCAAGTTAGCCGCATCTTGTGTACAGTGAGTGTTGAATTAAGAGTTGAGTGATGGGAAGCAAAAACGGATAAAAAGTCTTTCCTTAAGAGAGATATCATGCAGTGTCAAATCAATCATATTTTTGAAACTCACTATTGAGGTGTGACCATCATACCCTGAATTGACTCCTACAGTTACATCCAGACTGTATCTCACAAAATAAAGTTATTATACGGGATACGACCTGTTATGGCTGAATTGTTCCCCCCAGCCCCACAAATTCGTATGCCAAAGTCCTAACCCTCAGTACGTCACAATGGGACTGAATTTGGAGACAGGGTCTTCAAAGAGCTAACTAAGGTAAAATGAAGTCATTCCAGTGAGCCCTAATCTAATCTAACTGATAACCTTATACAAAGAGGAAATGAGGACTCAGGCACATAGAAGGGGAAGACCATGTGAAGACACAGGGAGAAGATGACCATCTTGAGCATTTTGTATATAAGCTAAGGAGAGAGACTTTAGAAGAAACAAACCCCGCTGACACCTTGACCTCGGACTTCTAGCCTCCAGAACTGTGAGAAAATAAATTACTACTGTGTAATCTGCCTAGTCTGTGGTACTTTGTTATGGCAGCCCTAGCAAACTATCTACTAATACTAAACTCCATTTCTTTTTTTTTTTGAAATCTACATAAAAAGATTATAAAACCAACATATGTATTTCTTTGCCTTTATTTTTTTGTTGGCTATCATCTCTGTATATGTATATGCATCCGTGTGCGTGGATGATAAGTTAAACTTTATATAATGCTTACCTGTGTCTGTGTTATGAGGAATATCTGAGGCTAATGTGTTGAGCTCTAACCCTCTCTTGTGGAGATCTGGCTGTGAACATCACTGTGACGAGCTACACTCCCAGGAGTGGCAGAGAGCCCGAGCATGCTGGATAACTATGAAGAAAGGCATTATCCAAGTGCAATAGGCATTGAGCATGCTTTGCAGAATGCAGAGTTCTATTTTGTAGTCAGCTAGTCTTCCAAGCATAGACATAGCTTTCTTGAGGATAAGGTAACTTTGGTGGAGCGTTTGAGATGGATAAATTGGACTTGGCAATGTGAAACTCTGAATTCACTAGCAATCATCCAGAAAGCTTTGTTGGCAACATTATGCACGGCCCTGAAATGCACAAACTTGGCTGAGAAAGAAAAACCTTAAAACAAATGCTATGCAGCAAAGATACTGGTTTCAGCCACAGTTAAGCTCTTTTCTCTTCTATATGAGACCATTGCACCATGCTTCCGATATGGAAGGGAAGTGCTGGGAAGGGAAGGGCGGGGTGCCTTTAAATGACAGGGAACAGGGGACGTGCTGGGTAGAGGAAGGCCATGGTCCCTGGCTAGGGCTCCACCCTCATGGACCTAGGTGAGGACAGGCATTTTTGTTTCATTTCCCAAGACCGCCCTGGCCTGCCACGCCCCCATCCTGGGCCTATAAAACTGCCTGAGACCCTAGCAGGCAGACACACAAGCTGCTGGACGTCGAGAGGAGCAGATAGGCAGAGGAACACACGGGTGGCTGGATGTCGAGAGGAATACAGTAACAGGCACCTGCATGCCGGCAGGCCACCGATTTGCAGAACAACAACGTGGAGTTTGGCTGCGGCAGTGAGAGGACAGCCCAGGCTGCTCAGCTGCCGGGATCCAGGAGAAACCTTCCCACTCCATCCCCTTTTGGCTTCCGCCATGTGATATCTCCACTCAATACAACCTTGTGCTCATTCTCCAAGCCCATGATGTGATCTGCTTCTGGTACACCAAGGCAAGAACCCTGGGATGCACAAAGCCCTCTGTCCTTGTGATAAGGCAGGGGTCTAATTGAGCTAACACGAGCTGTGTATACCTAGCTAAACTAAAAGAGTACCCTGTAACACATTCCCCCTGGGGCTTCCGGAGCTGTTAACATTCACCCCTAGACACTGCCCTGGGGTTGGAGCCCCACAGCCTGCCCGCCTGTATGCTGCCCTAGAGGTCTGAGCCTCGGGGCACTGAAAAAGCGAGCCACTCCGCTGCCCCATAGCAAGACCCGCCATGGGGATAAAGGAATTTTTCCTGTTTCAACTGGGGACTTCGCCTGAGATCCTGGAAGGTGAGTGTGAACGAATGCGAAACTGTCGGGTCTGTCTCTCTTCCAAAACCCTGCCACCTCTCTGTTTCCTGCAGGTACAAGGCTCTGCTTCCTTTCACAGCTTCAAAAACTCCACCCTAAGCTTGCAGTGAGCCCAGATCGCGCGACTGCACTCCAGCCTGGGCGACAGAGCAAGACTGCGTCTCAAAAAAAAAAAAAAAAAAAACCACAAAAAACCAGAAACCAAAACCAAAAAAACAAAACAAAAACCCTCCACCCTAATGAGGCCGGTCGAGACCTCCCAGACTCTGGGGGACAAGGGAACTTCTCCTGTTTGACGTCCTTGGATGGGCATAGGGTAGAGATGGAGGCTGTGAGACTCCAAGGTGTTCCGACTGGGTGACTTATTTGTGGTGCCAGTAACTGTCTGATTCCTGTCTTTCTTACATGAAAAAAGTCATTGAAAATGCAGCAAGTTTCCTACAGTGTATCAGGGTTTGCGTCTCTGCTGTGTTCCTCACTCATTATCTCTAAGAGAGTCTTGGAAAACTGTGTACAGCTGTAGATAATCTCCAGATTAATTTACCAATGTGGAGAAACAGCAGTGAGACCTGCCAGGCAAGAAAGTGCTTCCGTCAGGTCAATATTGGTAGAGTTAGTGTAGAGGTTAAATTGGAATGAATACAATTCAGCCATGGCTTAATTTAGATTTTCATGCTTTGAAAAAAGCATGTTATTAAAATCCTTTTACTACCTAGACATTCTTCTCCGAATAAGAGTTGCTGTCTTTGACTCCAAATATAATCCAGGACTTGCCAGTTCCTTCACCACTGTCCATTTTCTTTGCTTCATGACTAGTAGTTTAGAACGTTCCAGGGCCTCTCAAGCCACCTGGATCCAGTGACTTGGGCTATGACTGACATTTGGCTCCTTATTCCCCAGTGGCTCCCTGTGGTTTCTTCTATGAATTCTGAGTTCCTCCTCCTGTTTTTCATGCCCGTGCATGGAAGGCCCCTTAGACAACTGCTTACTCTCCTCTCCAGCCTGCTTCCCATTTGCTATTCACTATGGTTCCATGTATCTCACCATAGTCATCCCTGCCCCTTGCTTTTAGGAACCCTAAACACTTTACCCAAGGGTCTTCCCCCTTCTTTATTTCCTTTGGTCCTTGCTATGACTTGTCCCCAGTGAGATCCTCCCAGTCCCAGCACCCTTCCCTTGCTTAGGTTCAAGTGTTGTGCTTCACTGTTGGATGTGTTCCTGCTGGTCCACGTCTGTCGTCACCGTGTCTCTGCACCTTGTAGTTAAGAGTTGGCTTTGAAACAGTCAGACATGGGTTTGAAGCCCAGCACCACAACTCCGAGTGCTGTGCACTTTGGAGAGTTGCTCCAACACCCTCAGCTTCTTTATGGGTAACGTGGAAGAAATGACCATCCCAAAGAATGCATTCAGGGGCCCAGGGGCACAGGGCCGTGAACTTGGAAGGACTCCTTGCTTGAAATTAAAGCCTCTGTGGTTCCCGTCTTGAAATTTTAATAAATTTAACTTTCGTATTTGCATTCTGTGGAGTCCAGTGGGACGACTGAGTGTGGGGAGTGGGCACAACCTGGGGCCTCAGCTCACACAGGTTTTTTCCTTGGCTTCCTTCATCTCCCCAGGACTGGTTTCCAGCTATCTGCCTGCCCACCTCCCCCACACCCTCCATGGTCAACCCAGGGCACGCTGGGCCTCCCCTTTCCTGGTCTGCACAGGGCCCCAGGGACCGCTGCTGCAGCTACACCCACGGCAGCTGGCAGTGCCATTGTCCATTCAGCAGGAGACTCAGTGGGGCTGTTCCAGGTGCCCGCCCCAGCGCACACTGGCGTGGATGTTGCCACACTCTTAGGGGCTGGCTGTCCACCATGCTTGGGGCTGCATGTCCCTGGGCAGGGGGCATGCACGTGCATTTATCTGGTGCCAGCGAGGGGTGGGGCACCAGCTGGGGGCCTGCCCCTGGACACCTGTGAGGATCTGCACTTACCCAGTGAGTGCCCTGTGCATAAGAGTGTGCAATATCAAAATAGCAAGCAGAAAACACCAGGAATGGTTGAGGGGACATGGAAGGGCTAAGGTTTTGTGCTTCAGTACCATTAAATAAGGCAGTTTTTCTTGCCTTTTTTTTTTTTTTTTTTTTTTTTTTAGCAAGGGATCCCACATTTTGGCCTACAAATTATAGAGCAGGTCTTGTGTAGAATTAGTTTGGGAATTAAAGCAAGTAACTCATGCTAAGCACGTGGAAAAAACTCTATGAAAGGCCATTTGTGTTTTTATGAATGAATGTGTAAGCTCCCCAACTATACTGTGATTTCCTTGAAAGCCAGGGTTATGATGCCTACCAATATTCCTGCTTCCAACTTGTCTAGGCCAGAGCTGTTGTGCTACAGTTATAGTAAAAGTAAAAAATGCTTTGTCAGAAGTTGTTAAACTAAAGCCAGTGGGGGGATTTCATGAGAGCTCAGAGCTGCCTGAAATAGCAAAATTGTGTGTGATTTTGCAGACACCTTTCCCCTCCACAATCTATACATTTCATATTCTTAAAGGGGCTTATCACTTCAAAAAGATTAAGGATCACTGCATTTAAGCATTAAGAAAGAACACATGCCAGATCACTGGAACCAAAGAGAGAGCGGTCACTTGAGCACGTCATGTCTTTCCATGCTCAGGAAGGGCTGAGGAGTAGAGCTTCCCAAGCAGGTGCCTTTAATTATCCAGAAACACATGACTGGGATGAAATTTAGTTCATCATTTCCTAGATACTCAAATAATTCCCATTTTTAAAAAATATATTATTTGGCTCTTAATCTTATTTATCTGAAATTCCTTTGTCCGACATCCTATGTAAAACACATATTCCAGCATTCATTTTCCTGTGGATGGGTCTACAGCAGAAAACGGGGTTATATACCAGGTGTTACCAACCTTCTCTCCAATTAGATGGCACCACTCTTGAGAAGCTAGAAGGAGAGACCTGTGGCCATGATCCACAATTGTAAGTATCATTAACATTAACATTGAAATGAGCATTTCAACAACCATGTCCACATTTTTTAACTTTTGCTAGAAATAACACACATTTTTATGTGGTAAAAAAAACAAGGTAGTATCATTTAAGAAACATGGTTATTGTAATTACACCATCACGGACCATAAATGAATCATAAACTAACCACATTTGATGTGCCTAGTAAAATGTCAAAGTTTCTTTTTAAAAAGTTTGTATAGAATTGCAATCCAGAAGTTCTGTGACTATTGAGGAAAGACGGTGGAATCATGTAAAAGAAACAAGTTTGGTACATACTCAATTTTGATAAAAAATATTGTTATTATTATTTTCCATCATGTTGCAAGAAGTGGACCTGTAATCTACCAATGACCGTGCCTTATTTCCTGCATGGTTAACAGTTCTGTTACATTTCTGATCACTGCAAGAATTGTGTTAGCCTCTGGGATATTTGGAAGTTATGTGGGAAGTTGACGTTTGCTCTCATTTACTGTACTTTCTATACAATGCCTATTCTGAAGAGAAATCAAGTACTTTTTTGGTCCTCAAATAGCTGAAGACCTAAGGTGAGAGTCTGAAGAGTGGAATGATAAATGAAGCTCAGTGGTTCATTCCAGGCTGTACTTCTTTGCTCACTTAGTAGCCTTTGCATAGAAGTTTTGAGAAAATTCCTGGATATCACCTCTAAGTTCAGATTCTAATCCAAGATTTCATATGTGTTTGGTTCTCTCCAAATAACCTTGTGACCCTGAGTCATTTGGAGAGAAGCAAACACATATGAAAAGAGAAGCAAGCTACCCAACCAAAAAAATTTAAAAATAGAATTGATGAAGAGCAACAGTGTTTTGCTTTGAAAAAGACATACAACCAAGGATAGTCATAGAATTTCTGAAAACTTTGCAGAATTAGAGATAAGTCCTTGTCATTGATATTGCTAGATATTTTATGAAAGAGAATTATAACTTGGTCCTAACATATATTTTTAACTTTATGTTTTGAAATAAATTTAGATTTATGGAAATGCTGCATATACGCTCACTCAGCTTCCCCTAACATTAACATCTTATATAAGCACAGTACAATTATCAAAACTAAGATGTTACCGGATTTTATTAGATTTTACTTGTTTTTCCACTGATGTCCTTTTTTCTGTTTCAGAGTCCAATGCAGGAACTCATATCAAATTTAGTTGTCATATCTCCTTCATCTCCTTAGGAGGATAAGGTTATCCCTTATCTTCCATAACCTTGATACTCAAGGTGTACTGGTCAGTTACTTTATAGGATGTCCTCAAATTTGTTTTCGTCTGTATTTTTTCATTACTACATTAAAGTTACGCATTTTAGGGGAACAAGATCACAGAAGTGGTGTGTGTTTCTTGGTGCATCATATCAGGGCCAGATGATGCCTGAAAGTTTTATTAGCAGAGACGCTAACTTGATCACTTAGTTGAAGCGAAGTCTGTGGGTTTTTTCCATTATACGAGTTCTCTTTTCCACTTGTAATTAATTAATAAGTATCTTGGGGGAGGTATTTTGTGACTATACAGCTATTCTGTTTCTGCTTAAATTGCAACTTGTGTTCTTCTTGATGAATCTTTCCTGCAACAATTATTACTGTGTTGTTCTAATGTTGATTGTGTGTTTTCTGCATTCCCTCTTCTTTTATTAACTGGAATTCTATAAAGAAGAGCTCTCTTTTTCTCTATTTATTAGTTTATTCAATCTCTTGCTTATATCAGTATTTCAAACGTATGGATATTCATTTTATTCTATGGGCTGTAATTCAGTATTGTATTTATTTTGTTGCTTAAATTATTCCAGTTTTGGCCTTTGGAACGTCTTTCAGGTTGGCTTCTGTGCCTTCTTAAGATGGCCCCATTCTCTCTTGAGCACTGTCTCACTTTCTGGCACCGCAAGATGCTCCAGGACTATCTTGCATTCTCCATGCCCACATTTTGAAATCAACCACTTCTTCAAGGAGCCCTGACAGATATTAAAATGGTAACTCACACTTAGTTTGGAAACACCTTGATGATAGTAGGTAACAGTGATTGATAATCCTCTGTGTGCTGCTTGACATAAATACCAAATTTCTTTTCAGCCTCAAAACATTAGAAACAACCCTCTGTAGTAAATATGATTATTGCCATTTTGCTGACGAGAAAATAGCTAAGTAAAAGGAAAAGTAATTGCCCAAGATCTTACACTCCTGAAGGAAGGAGCCGGATTGACCTAGAACTGTTTTAAGCTTCAACGCTTGATTCCCCTCACCTCACCTGAATCAAAGCAAAATATTGAACACTCCTTATTGTGGTTTTTTTGGACAGCCAAAATTCACTACGGTGAGAGGCAGTTATAGTAAAATCGTTTTGCAGAAACTGACGTGTCAGCCCTCTCTTTTATGAAAAAAAAAAATCTGAAATTTTGACCAAAACACGTCCTATGTTCATCTGGGATGAAAAGCTGTAAAGACTGAGTTTGAGTTTGAGTTTGAAATTATAAAATAATCCAAAGGAAATATGCTTAAGTCACAAGAGAAATATTTCTAGTGACAAAATGTACCCAAACACAGATCGCAAATCAGAAATCAGAGAGATATCTTTATACTGAAGTTAGGGAGAAGCAAAGTAGGAGGAAGTGAGACATTTTCTTTTCCCATTCTGTGCTACCATTTTTGAAAACTCCAAGTTTCATCAGTTAGCCTACATCTGATGAAGATTGGTAAATTCATGCAAGAAGGAATGTTCCTTGGACTACCATAAGCTTTTCTTACCCATTTTACTTTGATTGGGTAACAGCTGACAGTTTATAATAGAATAACAGGCTATGGTAACACGGAAAAAAACATAAAATTTAACATTTATATATTTCCAACTCTTGGTCACATGTCAGAAGGATTTAAAAAGGATTAAGTGAGAAATTTATAGCTTTGTACAACCACATTTACAGCAATAATATTAAAGCTTTCAAAAGGATGAAAAATGGAAAAATTATGTCAGGTTCTTTAAGTATATAGTCTGCCACAATGAAGAACCACCTTGAATACATGTGTGCGTATGCATAATCAATTTCTGGGAAAAGGGAGACTGAAATGACATTAGAAGACAAGTCTGCTTTCCCACTATTTGAGGAAGGAAAGACAACTGCTCATAATGTGTCAAACCAAAAACAGGATTTTCATGTGTATAACTTCACATCTAAGTTTCATTTCTGAGTTAAATGTGATTTTGATAAACTCCACATCTTTCCACCATTTCCTTACATGATTCTGAAACCACCAGCCAAAATAAAAACAGTAGGAAACTGACAGTTGTTGAATAATTATTAGGTACATTCCTGCTTCCTGATAGCATATATGGAATTGTGAACAAATGTATATATGGATAAACAAGGTGAAGTTCCTCCCTTTAAAGCACCTTATGGGAGAGAGAAAATGGAAGAGATAGATGACATATATATCTTACTATGTAGAAGAGCCATGCACATATACATTGTGCACATATATTTGTGAATATAAAAGTTAATACATAGTGAATATATGTGTGTGCATGTATATATAAATTTATATATGCATACTTATATATTTTATGTACATTAATTAGTTTTGATAGACATTTAATATTTATATATAACATTTATATATATATAATAAAATATATATATATATAAGTATATATATAAAAAATATACTTATATTACTATATAAATACATATACAGACTTATGGGTATAAATATTTTTTATATATATAATTACCTTTATGTGAAAGCTAATTGACAGCCAACATCTAGATGCAGAATTCCTTAATAAGCAATGATGTTTTCATCCAATACTAAAAAACTAATACTCCATCTCTATGTATCTACCAAAAAGAAAAAGAAATAACTGGCAATTTAGGTGTAATTTGATGAAATGTTAATTAATATCTCTGGATTTCCTGACAGAAATGTCGCATATGTTCCCACTGCTGTGCAGAGCAGAAGTCTGCAGACCTGTTATTGCAAAGAAAGAGGAGGCCATCTACACCCGAAACCAGCTGGGGGACAAGGGCTGGACAACTGTGTGGCAGAAGAAATAAAAGAGTATTTCAGGGACTGAAATTTGAGAAGTACCTTCTTTAGTCTAAAAATACCTTGACAATTTGTAGCCCCGGTGTGACAAGGGAACAGAGTGAGATGTCGAGGCCCGAGGACAGTAACTAGGGGTGGGTGTCACAAGAGGCTTTTTGAAGTGGGAATGAGCCTAGAAAGAGAGGAGGGGAAGCGGGAGAGAAGAGAGTGGCTGAGCTCCCATGGCAGCCGGCAGCTTGTGTTGGTGAGAAATGGTCAAGGGACAATCGAATTTAAGCTGTCAGATATTACAGCAATGTAATCCCTTGCTTCTTTCATTGTAAAGTCTACTTGATATCAGCCTTACAGGGATGTGAGTTGTAGACTAGGGGAACTCAAGCAACAGGGATTCACAGAAATCTTGACGAACATGGAAACAATGAGATAGAGTTTTGAGCCAGTTTTAGCTAAATCTGAAGAGTTTTTAATAAAGCATTTTTCTTCTAGTCCACTAGAAAATTACTATGTGGGAGACTAGGAAAGATGACCGAATAAGAACAGCTCCGGTGTGCAGCTCCAAAGCGAGATCAACCCAGAAGGTGGGTGATTTCTGCATTTCCAACTGAGTCTCCACTGGTGATACCCAGGCAAACAGGGTCTGGAGCGGACCTCCAGCAAACTCGAGGAGACCTGCAGCAAAGGGGCCTGACTGTTAGAAAGAAAACTAACACACAGAAATCAACATGAACAAAAAGGACGGGCACACAAAAACCCCATCTGGAAGTGACCAGCATTAAAGAGCAAAGGTAGATAAATCCACAAAGATGAGGAAAAACCAGTGCAAAAAGGCTGAAAATTCCAAAACCCAGAACACCTCTTCTCCTCCAAAGGTTCACAACTCCTCGCCAGCAAGGGAACAAAACTGGACACAGAATGAGTTTCATGAATTGACAGAAGTAGGCTTCAGAAGGTGGGTAATAACAAACTGCTACGAGCTAAAAAGGAGCATGTTCTAACCCAATGCAAGGAAGCTAAGAACCTTGAAAAAAGGTTAGAGGAATGCTAACTAGAATAAGTTTAGAGAAGAACATAAAGGGCCTGATGGAGCTGAAAAACACAGCACGAGAACTTCGTGAAGCATACACAAGTATCAATGGCCGAACTGATCAAGCAGAAGAAAGGATATCAGAGATTGAAGATCAACTTAATGAAATAAAGCAAAAAGACAAGATCAGAGAAAAAAGAACAAAAAAATAAATAAATGAACAAGGTCTCCAAGAAATATGGAACTATGTGAAAAGACCAAACCTACGTTTGATTGGTGTACATGAAAGTGACCAGGAGAATAAAACCAAGTGGAAAAATACTCTTCAGGATATTATGCAGGAGAACTTCACCAACCTAGCAAGACAAGCCAATATTCAAATTCAAGAAATACATAGAACACCACAAAGATACTCCTTGAGAAGAGCAACCCCAAGACACGTAATCATCAGATTCAGCAAGGTTGAAATGAAGGAAAAAGTGTTAAGGGCAGCCAGAGAGAAAGGTCGGGTTACCCACAAAGGGAAGCCCCTCAGACTAACAGCAGATCTCCCTGCAGAAACCCTACAAGCCAGAAGAGTGGGGGCCAATATTCAACATTCTTAAAGAATTTTCAACCCAGAATTGCATATGCAGCCAAACTAAACTTCATAAGCGAAGGAGAAATAAAATCCTTTACAGACAAGCAAATGCTGAGAGATTTTGTCACCACCAGGCCTGCCTTACAACAGCTCCTGAAAGAAGCACTAAATATGGGAAGAAAAAGCCAGTACCAGCCACTGCAAAAACATACCAAATTGTAAAGACTATTGACACTACGGAGAAACTGCATCAACTAATGGGCAAAATAACCAGCTAGCATCATAATGACAGGATCAAATTCACAAATAACAATATTAACCTTAAATGTAAATGGGCTAAATGCCCCAATTAAAAGACACAGACTGGCAAATTGGATAAAGAGTCAAGACCAATTGGTGTGCTGTATTCAGTAGAACCATCTTACATTTAAAGACACACATAGGCTCAAAATAAAGGGATGGAGGAATAAGCAAATGGAAAGCAAACAAACAAAAAAAAAGGGATTGCAATGCTAGTCTCTGATAAAGAAGACTTTAAACCAACAAAGATCAATAAGACAAAGAAGGACATTACATAATGGTAAAGGGATCAATGCAACAAGAAGAGCTAGTTATCCTAAAAATATATGCACCCAATACAGGAGCACCTGTCTAAGGCAAGCTCTTAGACACCTTAGCTCTTGTCTAAGGCAAGCTCTCACACACCAACAAAGAGACTTAGACTCCCACACAATAATAATGGAAGACTTTAACACCCCACTGTCAATATTAGACAGATCAATGAGACAGAAAATTAACAAGGATATTCAGGACTTGAACTCAGCTCTGGGCCAAACAGACCTAATCGACATCTACAGAGCTCTCCACCACAAATCAACAGAATATACATTCTCCTCAGCACCACACCGCACTTACTCTAAAATTGACCACATAATTGGAAGTAAAACACTCCTCAGCAAATGCAAAAGCAAGGAAATCACAACAAACGGTCCTCAGACCACAGTGGAATCAAATTAGAACTCAGGATTAAGAAACTCACTCAAAATCGCACAACTACATGGAAACTGAACAACCTGCTCCTGAATGACTACTGGGTAAATAATGAAATTGAGGCAGAAATACATAAGTTCTTTGAAAACAATTCAGATACAATGTACCAGAATCTCTGGGACACAGCTAAAGCAGTGCTTAGAGGGAAATTAATAGCACTAAATGCCCACAAAAGAAAGCAGGAAAGATCTAAAATAGACACCCTAACATCACAATTAAAAGAACTAGAGAAGCAAGAGCAAATAAATTCAAAACCTAGCAGAAGACAAGAAATAACTAAGATCAGGGCAGAATTGAAGGAGATAGATACACCAAAAACCCTTCAAAAAATCAGTGAATCCAGGAGCTGGTTTTTTGAAAAGATTAACAAAATAGACCACTAGCCAGACTAATAAAGAAGAAAAGAGAGAAGAATCAAATAGACACAATAAAAAATGATAAAGGGGATATCACCACTGATCCCACAGAAATACAAACTACCATCAGAGACTACTATAAACACCTCTACGCAAATAAACCAGAAAATCTAGAAGAAGTGGATAAACTCCTGGACACATACACCCTCCCAAGACTAAACCAGGAAGAAGTCGAATCCCAAAATAGACCAATAACAAGTTCTGAAATTGAGGCAGTAATTAATATCCTACCAACCAAAAAAACCCCAGGACCAGACGGATTCACAGCCTAATTCTACCAGAGGTAAAAAGAAGAGCTGGTACCATTCTTTCTGAAACTATTCCAAACAACAGAAAAACAGGGGCTCCTCCCTAACTCATTTTATGAAGCCAGCATAGCATCACCCTGATATGAAAACCTGGCAGAGACACAACAAAAAAAGATTTCAGGCCAATATTCCTGACGAACATTGATGAGAAAATCCTCAATAAAATACTAGCAAACCAAATCCAGCAGCACTTCAAAAAGCTTATCCACCATGATCAAGTCAGCTTCATCCCTGGGATGCAAGGCTGGTTCAGTATACAAATGTCAATAAACAAAATCCATCACATAAACAGAACCAATGACAAAAACCACATGATTATCTCAATAGATGCAGAAAGGCCTTCGATAAAATTCAACATTCCTTCATACTAAAAACTCTCAATAAACTAGGTATTGATGGAACGTATCTCAAAATAATAAGACCTATTTATGACAGACCCACAGCCAATATCATACTGAATGGGGAAAAGCTGGAAGCATTCCCTTTGAAAACTGGCACAAGACAAGGATGCCATCTCTCACCACTCCTATTCAACATAGTGTTGGAAGTTCTGGCCAGGGCAATCAGGCAAGAGAAAGAAATAAAGGGTATTTAAATAGGAAGAAAGGAAGTCAAATTGTGTCTGTTTGCAGATGACATGATTGTATATTTAGAAAACCCCATCGTCTCAGCCCAAAATTTTCTCCTTAAGCTGATAAGCACCTTCAGCAAAGTCTCAGGATTCAAAATCAATGTGCAAAAATCACAAGCATTCCTATACACCAATAATAGACAACCAAATCATGAGTGAACTCTCATTCACAATTGCTACAAAGATAATAAAATACATAGGAATACAATTTACAAGGAATGTGAAGGACCTCTTCAAGAGAAGTACAAACCACTGCTCAAGGAAGTAAGAGAGGATACAACCAAATGGAAAAACATTCCATGCTCATAGATAGGAAGAATCAATATTGTGAAAAGGGCCATATTTCCTAAAGTAATTTATAGATTCAATGCTATCCCCCTCAAACTACCATTGACTTTCTTCACAGAATTAGTTTTAGAATTAGAAAAAACTACTGTAAATTTCATATGAAACCAGAAAAGAGCCCATATAGCCAAGACAAGCTTAAGCAAAAAAAGCATGGCTGCAGGCATCATGCTACCTGACTTCAAACTGTACTACAAGGTTACAGTAACCAAAACAGTATGGTACGCATAACAAAACAGACATATAGACCAATGGAACAGAACAGAGGCCTCAGAAATAAGACCACACATCCACAACCATCTGATCTTTGACAAACCTGACAAAAACAAGCAATGGGGAAAGGATTCCCTATTTAATAAATGATGTTGGGAAAACTGGCTAGCCATATGCAGAAAACTGAAACTGGACCCTTTCCTTACACCATATACAAAAATTAACTCAAGATGGATTGAAGACTTAAACGTAAGAACTAAAACCATAAAAATCCTAGAAGAAAAACTAGGCAATACCATTTAGGACATAGGCATGGGCAAAGACTTCATGTCTAATATACCAAAAGCAATGGCAACAAAAGCCAAAATTGACAAATGGGATCTAACTAAACTAAAGAGCTTCTGCATAGCAAAAGAAACTGTCATCAGAAAGACCAGGCAACCTACAGAATGGGAGAAAATTTTTGCAATCTATCCATCTGACAAAGGGCTAATATCTAGAATCTACAAAGAATGCAAACAAATTTACAAGAAAAAAACAAACAACCCCATCAAAAAGTGGGTGAAGGATATGAACAGACACTTCCTGGAAGAAGACATTTATGTGGCCAACAAACTTATGAAAAAAAGCTCATCATCACTGATCATTAGAGAAATGCAAATCAAAACCACAAGAGATACCATCTCATGCTAGTTAGAATGGCAATCATTAAAAAGTCAGGAAACAACAGGTGCTGGAGAGGATGTGGAGAAATGGGAATGCTTTTACACTGTTGGTGGGAGTGTAAATTAGTTCAATCATTGTGGAAGACAGTGTGGCTATTCCTCAAGGATCTAGAACCAGAAATACCATTTGACCCAGCAATCCCATTACTGGGTATATACCCAAAGGATTATAAATCATTCTACTATAAAGACACATGCACACGTATGTTTATTACAGCACTATTCACAATAGCAAAGACTTGGAACCAACCCAAATGCCCATTAATGATAGACTGGATAAAGAAAATGTGGCATATATACACCATGGAATACTATGCAGCCATTAAAAAGGATGAGTTCATGCTCTTTGCAGGGACATGGATGAAGCTGGAAACCATCATTCTCAGGAAACTAACACAGGAACAGAAAACCAAACACTGCATGTTCTCACTCATAAGTGGGAGTTGAGCAATGAGAATACATGGACACAGGGAGGGGACCATCACACACAGGGGCCTGTCAGGGGGTTGGGGGCTATGGGAGGGATAGCATTAGGAGAAATACCTAATGTAGATGACAGGTTGATGGGTGCAGCAAACCACTGTGGCACATGTATACCTATGTAACAGACCTGCACGTTCTGCACATGTATCTCAGAACTTAAAGTATAATTTTAAAAAAAAGAACATTACTATGTGAGTGTTTCACAATTCATAGTCCTTAAGTCTTCAGATGGCTACTATTCAACTGTGTAGATTTAGGAGAAGGTGGCATATACATCATGGCATGGGAGAGGAATAACTTAATTAAGAATTCACAGTAATTAACATTTGTACATATTACATCTGAATTGCCCGAGTTATTTCTTTTTCATTTTGGTTGACCCCACTCACAATGATCAATGGCATAAATTTTACTTTAGTAAACCTCATTATCACTGAGTGACCTGTTGTGCCCTGTGATAGGTGTTAAGTATGAAACTGAGAATGAGGAATGATATGTGACTTCACAGAGTTATAATGAAGTGTGGAAATAGTAGATACCACTGTAGAAGTAGAGGATGGAGGCTGTGTGGTATATGAGTTGGGGATGTAGACTTCAGAGACAAAAGGACCCATCATTCTTTACTTTGTGAGCTTGGACTAATTACTTGTATGTTCAAAAGTTCAGTTTCTACCTCTGTAAAAAGAAAGATAATGCTACTTACTATCTGAGGAAAATAAAACTGAAAATAAGCCAAAGTCAAATAACTTGTTTAATAATGAAGGAAGGCTTTTTCAAAAAAAGTTACTCACAAAAGAAGATTGTAAAAATATTTCTAGCAAGTCACCTTTTAGTAAGAAATTATCAAATCACACCAAAGAAGGAGGCAGGTGAGCATTTAGAAAGAATCATCAATACGCCTTTTTTTTAAAAAAAGTAAGAGCACTCCAAATGTAGTTTTTCTCTCAAAAGATGAGGCATTAATCATGCTAAATATTTGACCACTAGGGAGCAGGATTAAGAAAAACAACATGAAGTAGAAGTATTATGAACAGACATAAAGTAAACTTCTGGAAAAGTCCTAACTGATCAATTGTTGGTCTTAACTGTTTACTTCCTTCATGAATTTGCTTATACATTCAAGGATATGTTGATCGTTTGAGTAGGTGCTTATGAGAATATGGAGCTATAAAACATGATCAGATAATTTAGACAGAAGTATTCACATTTTGGATGTGTTTATTAAATGTTTATAATCAAAAAGAAGAAAAATCCCTATTCTTAACATATTCATTATAGCACTATGGACAAGTGGAAGAAACTGAAAATTAGAAGTATCCCAACAGTAATGATGCAGGCGGGTAGGTGAGCCCCAAAGTTGGGGCTTAGCTTGGGAGGGTTCTTGGCTTCACCCAGGAAAGAATTCAAAGGCAAGCTGGTGGTAAGAGAAAGCAACTTTTATTGAACCAGTACTGCTCCTTGCAGTACTGGCAGTGTGCCCAGATATAGCAGCATATAGGCTGTTGGCAGCTGTACTTATACCCACTTTTAATTATATGTTAATTAAGAGGCACGGTATTCAGAACTTTCTGGAAAGAGGGTTGGGAGTTCCAGGAACCATATAAGGTAACTTTCTAGCCATTGCCATGGCCTGTTGCCATGGCATCTGTAAACTGTCATGGTGCTGGTGGGTGTGTCTTTATGCTAATGAGCAGTGAGGGCACCTAAAGGTCACTTTCATAGCCATATGCTGGTTTTGGCCCGCTTGTTTGCTGTATCCTGTTTTGATCAGAGCCTGCTTTGATCAGCAGGGCCATGACTGGAAAACAAGTCCTGCCAGCCCCCTACCTCAGTAATACAACAGTTAAGGAAGATATAGCTCAGCAACCTAATGGAAAGTTATGCAGTCACAAGAATTATTATTCAATCAACCTATGAGCCGATCATTTAATGAACACCTATTATGAGTCAAACAGTGTGCTTGGAACTAAGTATCTAATAAAGATGGAGATAGAAGTAGACTTTGCTCCAAAGAGTTTAAAGTCTACTGTCAGACACAAATGGATATTAAATAAATAATTACGCTCAAAAATATTTATTTTATGTTCTAGGAAGTGCTATTAAGGAAATAAGCAGGATACCATGGAGGATAAAATTAAAAAAGGGGCAATAGGGCTTACATAGTGCCAATTAGTGAAGGCTTTTCTGAAGAATGGTCAGGAATTAGCACAGGAGAGGAGTAACGGGGCTGCATTGTGGGAAAAGGGGAGGTGGCTGAGGAATTGAGTTTATGTGGAGACATACAAATATTTATCTATGCTGTGATTTCATTTGTGGATGAAAGAAAAACCAACATTAATTGAATGTGAATCTATGCTAGGCACCATGGTAAGTGCTTTGCATTTATTATCTTATTTAACTCTCAAACAATGCAGTGATGCACGTTTTTACTAAATAGGTTAGCTGACTTGTTGAAAGTTACACAACCAGGATTCAAACCAAGATAGTCTGAATGAAAGCCTTTGGTCTTATTCACTATGCTATGGCTGTATACAAGTTTGAATAAGACTATGAAGATAATTTTGTTTATTGGGGAAGCAGGATTGCAGAGTGTATTCTTTAATGTTGCTCGCTCTCAAAGGTGTTATAATACTTTGGCCAGAAATAATAGTTTTTGTTAATTAACATTTCCACTTTTCTATATTAAAGAGAAATGTTGAAGTAGTCTTCCCCTCCTACACAAAAATGTTTTCTTTTTAAAAATAGGATTTAATTTCTTATAAAACTCTTAAGTGTTTAATTTTATCAAGGTAATAATACATATAGATTCAAAAAGTACCAGCAGGGTGATAATTAGTAACACAACTGTCCAAGAATAAACAATGGTCCTGGCCGGGTGTGGTGGCTCACGCCTGTAATCCCAGCACTTTGGGAGGCCGAGGTGGGTGGATCACTTGAGGTCAAGAGTTCAAGATCAGCCTGGCCAACATGGTGTAACCCCGTCTCTACTAAAAATACAAAGAAAATTAGCTGGGCATCGTGGTGCACACCTGTAATCCCAGCTACTTGGGAGGCTGAGGCAGGAGAATTGCTTGAACCTGGGAGGTGGAGGTTGTAGTGAGCTGAGATCACTCCAGCCTGGATGACAGAGCAAAACTCTGTCTCAAAAAAAAAAAAAAAAAAAGAAAGAAAGAATGGTCCTTTGCCCATTCTCCCAGTTTTGTTTCTACTTGCCTATAGTTTAGTTGTTTCTAATGTCATTTACCTCCAACTTCCAAATGAAATGTTTGGACAGCTGTTTCCTGATTTTTAACCTTTAGATGGTATCTATTACTTTCCTTGTATTGAGGTTGAGAAATAATCTATTTTATAAAATCTTTGCTAGCTATAAACTCACACAGAGCACCCCTCATTCTTCCAATATACTTATATCACCCTTTGAAATTAAATCAATACTTAGGGTTTACACTTCTATGACTATGCAAATATTCCTTACAGTTAAGCAGCCTATTACATTATGGTTACGCCTCCTTTCTTGAACAACTTTTAATTGTATAACAACAATGACAAAAACAAAACCCATTTTAGTCATCTTATACAGAATATAAAATGATACTTTTAAAAAAATGTTGTGTAAGTAATACAATAGCCTCCAGGGCACCTACTATTAATTTTCTAAAAGTTAGTTTTAGATGTTCCTTCACTTATGAAAACATCCAGTTGTTAGAACCTTCATTTGTATATTTCTATTAAAGATATGATTTAAGTAACATTAATGCTCTTCCAGTCTCAATCTATTTTGAATTGAACTTTGTCTCAGATTTGTCTCTAATTGATATTTCTTGTTTTTCTACGAAAATGTGTTGATCAAAGTTCAATCTCATGTTTAATAAAGTTCCCAAGTAATTCATCATTGCCTTATTTTATCACCTAAAACCACTTGAAAGTTTTCTCTGCAAAAAGCACCAGTAAGTTGAGACAAAAAAAAACACCAAAATATTAAAAAGTAAGTTTTAAAACTGAATCACAACAGCAGAGCAGCATGTTCAGTATTTATCCCAATTGGTGACTGAGCTGAGTGTGAACAGACGTAGGTGGAGAAGCAAAGACCCTGCAACATCTGCGACCAATCCCATAAAAAGAGAAATGACAGGGACGTTTAGTGATGGGATTGTTTCTTTGCCAACATTTTACTTAGAAAGACCTTTCAAGATTCTACTTAGAAATAAAAACAGCACAATGAGTATACCATTTCTGTGAGATGTAACACCCGGGTACTCTAAGTTATGTGAAGAATGTATTTAAGTATCTGCTTGAAATCTGGGACCATTATCAAACTATCCAGAGCTACCGACACTGTTGCTTGATCTCTTCTTTCAGTCTTTTCCACCCACAAAAATTCTTTGCATTACTTGTGCATTGAATTTGCTAGTATTGAATGTCCATCAAGATAGTAATTTATGAAGTGAAAAAGCCTCTGCTCTAGACTTGATTTCTCCTTGCATGTATTCATTTTATTCTGGGTCTCAGGCCCTACCTCTTTGTACTTCTCTCCTAGTCTCCTACACTTTGTCTTTAGGTCACTTGTGGAGATTGTGGAGAGTCATAAAAGTAGTCTGCTCAACAAGGACTTTTGACCATAAAAACAATTAAGCAGGAAATTCAATATTTGAAATAAATCTCTTTGTTCCCTGCCCTTTAGATGTGATTGTTATGAGTTTTTAGTACATATTCTATTGTTTATGTGTCTAAATAATATAACATGTGCAGGACTAGTTTTCCCTTACATTTTTCTTCATAATGGCAAAATTGGACTCACAGTAAACATTTCTGAGAAGTAGAAAACCAGCATTTTGTTTACAGGACATTAACAAAATAAGATAGAGACAAAATAATGTTTGATATGTGGAATTAAAGCAATAGGTTTCAGTACTGACAGAAACCTGACCTGAATTTTTCTAGTTACAAATGTGACCCTTTCCACCTGATTTCTAAAACCACAGTTTAAATTAAATATATAAATATATATAAATATATGTAAATATAAATAAATATATAAAAATATAAATATATATAAATGTATATATTTAAGTTGATTATGTTATCTATGACTCAATGTGTAAGTTTGGAAGTACTCTAGGTACTTTATCTACCTATACAATTCAGATAATTCCAGCCCTTTCTCTTTGTTCCTGTTGAAAATTTTATGAAGATTAAAGTTCTGAAAAATATGAAGTCCCAAATTGTCCTGATTATCATCATCTGGGCACACCTAGAAGAGACTGTTCTTTGTCGTTGTCTTGTTTCTCAACACCTGTGCATCGCCAGGCAGTTTGGTGAGTTCCCTGTGCTCAGATGTGCTCAGTTGCGTCAAGCCCACCAACCGTCTTGTCGCTAGAACAGCTGTTCACTTCTCACCACCACAGCTCATTAAGTAGCAACCCTCATGTGCAAATGTATTTTGATCATGTCTAATGGGAATGTTTTAGTAATAACACATACTCTCTGGTATTTTTAAATTACATATTATATATTTGAATTATTTTACCCTGTGTATCCAACAAAAGGGTATGCATATTTATATGTATGGTACTTAATAGCATGCCTTATATAAATGAAACTGCATTTGAACACAAATTCAAGTCTCTTTAGTTAGGAAGAGAGGAAGTGGCCAAATAAATATCTAAAGTGAGTAGATTTCAGGTGCTGTTACCACAAAACAAACAAAAACTATGTGAGAAGAAGGATGTGTTAATTTGCTTGACTATAGTGGTCATTTACATATATATATATATATATATATATATATGTATGTATATATATATATATATATATAAATATTACATTGTCGACCTTAAAGATTTACAGTAAAAAATAGCAGTTATTTTAAGGTTTGGAAAAGCCTGAGAAGGGAATAGCGATGGAGGGATCATAGGGGAAAGAAGGAATCCAAAATCATGGCGAGACCAGAAGCTTCAGTGGGAAGTCAGCCCAAGAGATACTTTTTTATGGAGATGCCTATTTTCAATCTCTTGTAATATTTGTATGTGTGTACATAAATGTGTATGTGTATATGCATTTGTGTGTGAAGAGAAAATATGTTAACCTTTAATATATTAATATTATTGTCAAATCACAAAGAGCTACTAAATGAAATAATAGCTTTTTACTTAAAAAAGGAATCAGCAACAGTTTTTTTTTCACTTAGTTATATTGAATTTCACATGATAATGTTTAACTATGTATGGAAGAAAATCATCCTGTATTTGACATACTTCAATGTTTCCTTCTGTAAGATGTAAACTTACATGTATTTTTCCAGTGTCTGATGACTGAACATTCCCCTACTAGGGCTGGAGTAGAAGGAGCCACTTGTGTAGGGTGTGCAATTTAAAGAAATATAAAACAAGTCAGCAATCAAGATTTTCCCTTTTGCCTTAGTCTCCAGTATGACTGACTGTGCATGGGACTGTTTCTAATTCTATCTTTAAGTAAATTTTGATATTTTCTTCATTGTAAAATTTTTTCATTAATATTTATTTTTAAAAAAGTACTATTTTAAAATATAATTTATCTTGATTACTAAGTTTTTGGTCCCTCTTAAAGTTTGAGCTCCTGGAAATGCTTTACTTGTCTAACATTCATTCCAGCCCCCTTCCTAAAAAGATAAATGTCTTTATAATAAAATGCAGCAACATCTCAGTTAACTCAAATAATAGAAAAATAGTTTGTTCTGATGGCATATTTCTTTTTAACTGCATGTTGATCTGCTGAAATGGTAAAATTGCCTGTAAGAAAGGGGATTTATGATTATCCTCCCATACAATTGCTAAAGGGATTTTTATCCATAGAACACTTGTTCATTTGTAAAGTTTTATGAGTTGATCTCTCAGCCTTGTACTTAAAAAAAATATTTTCCTAACCACAAAATTGTAATCTAGTAACCAGATGTTAACTACAATGTCAGTGCTTTTGAAATATGCTACACTTAAAAAAATGGAGAGGACTTCCTGTTCCAGCTCCAACACTTAGAGAGCTTGGAAATTGTCACTCTCATCCTTATGACAAGGAAAAAACTAAACAAATGAAAATCAATGACTTTTTGTTTTTTGCACCCAACAGATGATTGAGATTGCGGGGCAAACTGCCACCCTAAAATCTAGAGAGACAGACAAATTTGGAGAAATATAGCTGAGATCATTTTACATGGAACAGAAGTCACTGGAGGTGTAATCTGGTAGGCACACTTAAGTGGTGATGCTAAGTTTAGACAGGATTGATAATGAATAACTGCTGGAGGCTACAATCCACTTACATTCATATTTCATGGATTTTTATATGAAAACAATGCCAGCAGGTTCTCATAATAGTATTCAAGAAAAATCACCTTGTGTCTTTAGCATGAGAAGATAAAAATAATTATTTTGAAATCTGCCCAGTGTGTTCTCCATGACAAAGGCCCACTCTCAAGTGAAAATGAGTTCACCAGAGCCTAATCTCACGCAGGTAGAAGAGTAATCATCCAACTCCAGCCCACTCCAACCTTTCTGTCTCATCTAGGAAGGGGAGAAAAAAATAGTGAGAAGTATTTGTGAAAATCACAGCAGAGGGACCTAAAGAGACTGAGATAACATTATAAGAATATAGAATGCTTCTCCTTTGCCACTCCTTACCACCACATTAACAGGGCTTTTTATAATAAAAGTGGATAAAGCTGTCAGACTCTACTTAAGAAGGAGTCTCTAGGGAAATGTAAATACAGCAGGGGAGATAACCCATGGACACCAGAGGAATATTAGCTTCAGATACCTACAGCCACAGGAAACAATAAATATAACCTAACCTATAGCCACATAAACATAAAATGTCTCACTAAAGGCCTATTTATCTCAGTTTTTTTTTTTTTTTTGCTCAATACACTATATAGAGTTTTCTACAAAAAATTACAAAGCATGCTTAAAAAATTACAAGTCTGCAGATGCCAAAGCAAGAATCAGAACTGGACTTGGAAGAGATTTTGGAATTTTCAGACAAGGATTTAAAAATAACTGTAATTAACATGCTAATAGTTCTAATGGAGAGAGTAGATTACATGCAATAACAGATTGGTAATGTAAGCCCAGAAATGACAACTCTAAGAAAGAATGAAAATAAAATGCTAGAATTTAAAACCAAAGTCATAGAAATAAAGAATGCCTTTGATGGACTCAGTAAGCTGAACTTGGCCGAAAGAATCAGTGAATGTGAAGCAATACCATTAGAAACTTTCCAAACTAAAATGTAAATAGAAAAAAGGATGAAAACACAGAACCTAATATCCAAGATCTGTGAAACATTTTTAAAAGATAAGACATACATGTAATTGCAATACTAAAAGAAGAAAAAATGAGCAGAAGTAATATTTGAAGCAATAATTGTTGGCTGAGAATTTTCTAAAATTAATGTGTATATATATACACATCAGCATGTATATATGTACATTATATATGTGTATATGTGTGTGTGTATATATATATTATATATATATATCCAGGCTTACCATATCCAAACAAATGGAAACCAAAGGAAAAGAAAACTTTGAAAGAAGCCAGAGGGAAAACATTACATTTATAGAGAAAAAATACAATATTATATGTTACATTTTATCAGAAACTTTGCAAATGAGAAGAAAGTGGGTGAAGTATTTAAAGTGTTGAAACAAAAACAATAATTTTATATTCAGAGAAATTAACCTTCAAAAATGAAGAAAATGTAAAAACTTTCTACATAATTAAGAAAAGCTTTGGAGAAGGAATAAGTGAAAATAAAGTAAAATCTTTGTTTATCTTATTCTTAATTGATAAGATAGATATTTTCTCAAAATAATAAGAATGTATTATGTGACTGTAGCATGTGGTAGACTGAAATTAATGACAGTAACTTTATAAGTAATTAGATGGAGAACTTTGAAATACTTTACAGCACCTGCAAAATTCATGAAGCAGTATAAACTTATTTGAAAGTAAACTTAGGTTAGTTATAAAATGTATATGGCAAACTTTAGGGCAAACACTAAGGTTTTTTAAAAGCAACACTTAACTGAAATGCTAAGAGAAGAGAGAAAATATACATATACTGAATTAAAATCGACAAGCCAGACAAAAGAAGGTGAATAAAGGCTGGGTGCGGTGCCTCAGGCCTGTAATCCCAGCACTTTGGGAGGCCAAGGTGGGCAGATCAACTGAGGTCCAGAGTTCAAGACCAGCCTGCCCAGCATGGCGAAACCCTGTCTCTATAAAAAATACAAAAAATTAGCCAGGTGTAGTGGCGGGCGCTTGTAATCCCAGCTACTCAGGAGGCTGAGGCAGGAGAATCATTTGAACCCCGGATGCAGAGGTTGCAGTGAGCTGAGATCGTGCCACTGCACTCCAACCTGGGTGACAAGAGCGAAATTCCATCTCAAAAAAAAGAAAAAAAAAAGGTGAATTAAAAAACAGGGAAAGCAATGAATAAAATACAGTTACAAATATGGTAGATATTAACCCAACTATCAATCATCACTTTGTCAGTGGTCTTAATACTTCAATTAAAGATAGGTTGCTAGAGTGGATTGCAATAAAAAAGACCCTACTATAAATTTTCTACAAGAAACCCTCTTTAAATATAAAGACACAGGTTTAATCTAAAGAGGTGGGGGAAAGATGTATCATACTAACACTAATCAAAAGAAAGTTGGTATAGCTGTATTAATTTCAGACAAAGCAGATTTCTGAGCAAGAAAAACTGTAAGAGAAAAAAGAGTCATTACATGTTGATGAAGGTGTCAATTCTCTAAGAAGACAAATCCTTAATCTGTATGTGCCTAATAACACAGACTCAAAATACGTGAAGCAAAAACTGATAGAACTGCAAGGAGAAATAGACAAATGTATTATTAAAGCTGAAGAATACAATACCCTTCTTTTATTAATACATATATATCAAGCAGGCAGAGAATCAGTAGGATGCAGTTGATCTCAATAGCTTTATAATTAACATATTCTAATTGATGTTTACAGAATTCTTCATCCAACAACAGCACAATATATATTCTTCTCAAATTCACATGGAACATGCAACAAGATAGACCCCATTCTAGCTCATAAACACACCTTAACTAGTTAAAAAAAAAACAGGAATTATGCAGAATATGTTCTCTGACCACAGTGAAATCAAACTACAAATCGATAACAGAATGATATTTGGAAAATTTCCAAATATTTGAACAATACACGAAGAACTTCTAAACAAAACATGGGTAAAAGAAGTCCCTGGATAGATTTTTTAAAAAAATTGAACCAGATGAAATTTAAAACACAACATCAAAATATGTGGAATGCATTGATAGCATTATTTAGAGGGAAAATTACATTATTAAATGCTTATATTAGGAAAAAAAGCTGAGGTGATGGTGATGTTAATTAGCTTTATTGTGGTGATTATTTTACAGTGTATATATCAAATAATTGTATACCTTAAGCGTATACAATTTTTACTAGTCAAATATACCTCAATAAAATTTTTAAAAGGAATGATAATAAAAAAGGAAAGAAAGATCTAAAATCAATAACCTAAGCTTCCACCTTAGAGAATTACAGAAAGAAGAAATAATTTATGCTTGAAACAGCTATAAAAAATCATAAAGATTAGAGTAGAAAGCTCTATTGTAGAACATCTATAAAGGAAATCCCAAAGAATTAACAACCAAAAAACCCTCCTGGAACTAATAGGCAATTACAGCAAGGTTGCAGGATGTGGGTTGATAGGCAAATGTCAGTTGCTTTCTTATACACCAGCAATGGACAATTGAAACTTGAAATTAGAAACATAACACCATTTATATTAGCACCAGAAAACCCACCATTTATATTAGCACCAGAAAACCCTTTGATCTAAGTTTAACAAAATATGTACAAGATCTTTATGAGGAAAGCCACAAAATTCTGATGAAAGAAAAAATTCTGATAAAAAAGACCTAAATAGGCCAGTCGCGGTGGCTCACGCCTGTAATCCCAGCACTTTGGGAGGCCGAGGCGGGCGGATCACCAGGTCAGGAGATCGAGACCATCCTGGCTAACAAGGTGAAACCCCATCTCTACTAAAAAAATACAAAAATTAGCCGGGCGTGGTGGTGGGCGCCTGTAGTCCCAGCTACTCGGGAGGCTGAGGCAGGAGAATGGCGTGAACCTGGGAGGCGGACCTTGCAGTGAGCTGGGATTGCACCACTGCACTCCAGCCTGGGTGAAAGAGTGAGACTCCGTCTCAAAAAAAAAAAAAAAAAAAAGACCTAAATAAATGGAGAGCAATTCCGTGGTTCATAGATACGAAGTCTCAGCTTTGTCAAGATGTTAGTTCTTAATTTTATGTATAAATTCAACACAGTCCCAGTCAAAATACTAGCAAGTTACTTTGTGCAAATCAACGAACTACTATAAAGCTGTAGTAATAAAGGCAGTGTATTACGGGTGAAATAACAGACGAATAGACCAGTGCAATGGAATAAAGTGCCCAGAAGTAGACCCATATAAATATGGTCAATTGATCTTTGGTCAAAAAGCAAATCAATTTAACAGAGAAAATATTTTTTCAAAATGGAAACATTTATTCGAATGTTTCTTGGAGGTTTCAGGTATTTTTAAAAATATTTGATTACAAAAGCAGAAAAAAGATGGTTCTAAAATGCAGCCCAATAAGATGCAATGTAACAACTGTAAAACACTTAAATATTTAACACAAATATAAATTGCAAGGTGCTTGGATCAAGCTGGTATATCTCCTCTTCTTAAGCAGATTAATTTTCGTATGGTATTTCTCAATTCAAAACTATAGTTTCCGTGAATTGAAAGCACAAGATATGGTTTAAACCTGGAGGGAACTTATTCAGTTCTTGCCAAATAGCAGATAAACTGGTAAAACTAAATTATAGTGGACCTAATCTCCAAGTTGTCACAGGTGGTATGGTATTCCTTGAGTTGTATTCGTGTTCAAACCTGGCATTAGTCTTTAGATAGCTATAAATTAAACTTTCAAAGTAACTCTTGAACTTTTGTACTTTGACATCATTAAAACTATTCGGAATGTCATTCTTCCAAGATAGAAGGAAGATATTGAATTAAAAAAATTACTTTATGCTGGGACTTTTTTTTTTTTTTTTTTGAGACAGTCTTACTCTGTCGCTGAGGCTGGAGTGCAGTGGCGCGATCCTGGCTCACTGCAAGCTCTGCCTCCCGGAGACAGAAGCTCGTGCCATTCTCCTGCCTCAGCCTCAGTCTCCCGAGTAGCTGGGACTACAGGTGTCCGCCACCACGCCCGGCTAATTTTTTGTATTTTCTAGTAGAGACGGGGTTTCGCCGTGTTAGCCAGGAAGGTCTCGATCTCCTGACCTCGTGATCTGCCCGCCTCGGCCTCCCAAAGTGCTGTGATTACAGGCGTGAGCATCACGCCCGGCCTATGCTGGGACTTTCTTTGAAGGAGGAACGCAACAATTATCCTACATTTTAGTAAACACAGGCACTTATTTATTTTAAAAATACTCCTAACTAAAACTATGCAACTTGGGATCAGTTGGCCACAGTGAAACCTAAATAACATGCAGGACTTGCCTTGCATATTCAAATAATGCTGTAGGCCTATCGTCATACTGCTGACTGGAGGCCAGAAACCAATGGAGCAAGACGCTAGCAAATTAGTTAAAGGCTTCAGAAAAAAAAAATGCTACAATTTATAATAACCTACAGATAATACATTTGATACATTTGCAAACTTGAACACCTTAAAACTTTCAAACACATGTTTGAACAGTGGACTAAAGGAAATGTAATGTTTCATTTTCTGAAAACACCAGACGCTTTGTAATTTATTATTTAGAAGTCTTTGTGATATGTAGTGAACATCAGCAAAACATGATCTGTTCAGCCCCAAATGTAGAAACTGGGAAATGGTAGTTCTCACAGTTCCTTAGCCATTTAAATCAGTAGGGCAAGGGGCGAAAAGAGGATTCTGAGGATGTCCAGTAACACACATGCCCTGGGTTAATGACACGTGTTTCACTGCAAAGCCAAATTATATTTACTGTGGTAAGAGTGTATCTCAGACAGAATTTGAGTTCACCAGAGTTCAGAATGCTCTGAACTCTGCCTTTCCAGATGCTACCTTTCCTACCCTGCAGCCAAACCCCCAGCACACTTCTTTGCTTATTTGATGAATATGTATTGCACACTGTTTAGCAGGAATGTGTGGAATTAGAGATGGTACCCATCTCCCAGGTTCAGTTTCTAGGCACTATGGCAAAGTTCCAAAACATGAGTGCGTAAAATCAAATTTAGAAAAAATGGCTAAGATAGGAAATTTTACGTTAGCTGTACTTTATCACAATGTTTAAAAATCAAAGTTATATGTTCAAAGGCATCATGTTGGGTGGTATAAAGTAGTAGCTAACATTGTTCTTCCCATCTGCATTAGCATACATCCATCACACATAGGGTAAAGTGCATTATGTTGTATCAATTACTGCACCTCTACTGGCTTCATGTGTCTTCATTCTCAAAGCAGGGTTTTGTGTGACAGATGATTTCTAAAATCCTTTGTAGCTGTGTCTATCATTCTTTGAGTCACAGATAAAATATTTTTCCAAGACAATGTGGGCCATGTTTTTTAGGGAGAAAGCTTATTTTTTGTATGTTCAATTTGTTCACAACCTAGACATTGGTTATTATTCATTGATATTCCTTAAAAATCCTATCCTTAAACAAAATTAGACCTTTTGTAGATTTTGAAGACCAGTCTTGTTCAAAATAGCTTGATGTTACCATCTAGTAGTCAATAGCTTTGTTGAGGCACAATTGCCATATTTGTATATAAAATTTTAATTGCCCAATGAAAAAATTTTTAATGCATTATTCTTTAATATCATTGTATACAAAAACATTAAGAGTGCTAGTATTAGTGGAAACATAGGTCACATGAGCAATATAAGGACATCTTTAGATGTGTCAAAATCAAAAAACATCTATTCATAGTTGGATACCCATTGGAATCAAGGCCAATGGCTTAGTGTTAAACACAGTTAAAGACTATACAAGAAAATCTACAAATTTATTGCTGAATATCATATCTAAAATTTAAGATGCTAAAGTAGGGATTTTTCTATATATTTTACTTCTCTCGGAATAGAGCCCCCTTTTTGACTTTGAAGTCTTTAGTTCAAATTTTTCACATCTCATTTGAGATGTGTTTTTAGGAATATATTATTAAACAAAGTCCAGCACTTATTGAATTGGCAACCAGAATAATATCTCTCAGATTAAAAGACATATAAAATATGGTGGTATTTTAGGTCAGGTGCAGTGGCTCACGCCTGTAATCCCAGCATTTTGGGAGGTCGAGGCGGGTGGGTCACCTGAGGTCAGGAGTTCAAGACCAGCCTGACCAACATGATGACACCCCATCTCTACTAAAAATACAAAAAATTAGCCGGGCATGGTGATGTGTGCCTGTAGTGTCAGCTACTCGGGAGGTTGCAACAGGAGAATTGCTTGATCCTGGGAGGCAGAGGTTGGAGTGAGCCAAGACTGCACTCCAGCCTGGGCTGCAGAGACAGAATCCATCTCAAAAAAAAATTATAGTATTTTATACTTCTATCTGATGTCTTTCCATTATAATTTTCCACTTACCAGTTACAGATGTGTTTATCCCACATAGTAGGTATGCACTTGTGGCTTGTTCAAGTATTAGCTATAAAAATAGCCCTATTCTCATATGACTTTTGAAGTAATAGAACACGGAATTTAATCAGCACCAATAAATGTCTGCAAATACAACTACAAACATGTATGAGGATGGGAAGAAGTAGGCTGTAGAATTGGGAGGATCGGGAGTTTTTTTGAGACGACGGATCTACACATTTCAGTGGAGCAGAAGAATGCTGGGAAAGTGAGTGGATTAGGTAAAGACTTGGAGACTTAGATGGGGTGATAAAAATCAAGTTTCATCAAAGTAGGATGCTCAATTGGGAGTATAAAGAGTGGACTTGCAATGAAATGCTGAAGACCGTTGTTAACAAAATTACATATGAGGAAGATGAAAGATGACACAGACATGAATAGGGACATTATTAAGTAACAATTGGAAAAGAACTTTAGCAGTGCTAAATTCTGTCAAATCTTCTTTCTGTTTCTCTTTCACAGACTATTTACTTTAGCCTTGCCACATCTGCTCTGATTTGATGTTTTTCAGCTCCTGCACTAGCTGTAGCCTTTCAAATGGCCGCTCTTCAAAATTTTCTCTTGCTTCAATCCATTTTATTGGGCTATGAGATTAATCTTCCAAAAACAGTATTCATAGTGTTAATTTTCTCCTACGAAATCTTCAGTGGTTCCCTAAGACAATGTATCCCTCAAATCTAAAACCTTTACTCAAAAACTCAAGTGCTCTCCATTTGTATCCTAGTTTCCCATGTTTTATATTCCTCAAAACCTTTACTGAAATTTATTGCTTTACCCTGCTATTCTTTCCACTTGGAATAATAATGCTTAATATTAAATTCTTGCATGAAGAATATATTTATTCATTCATTTATGGTATATTTGCTTAACACAGTGCAGTTGATTCTTCTTTGAGATTCTGCAAAAGTTTACCTTTCTCTATGATGTATTCTCTTTCATTCTCCCAGAAACAATTCTTTCAGTAACAGAGTTTGCATGGGTTATATTCCATTTGTCACATGGAATTGCCACCTACTTTTCTAGGTAATATTGGAGGTTGTACAAGAACAGAGACTATGCATTGTTCAAATGTGCATCCCCCACAATGCCTTGCATAATGCTTTGCTGAAATATATGTTAACTGAAGTAATGAAATAAATCGTTTTCCTAACATAAGTTTTCTATAGAGGAACGGCACTGACTAACTGAAAGACTGAGAGAACAAGGGATAAAGAAAAGCCCAGTCAAAATTAGAGAACTGTAACATCAAAAACAAAATTTCCCCATCACAATTTCATCTTTAGCAGCTCTAAGTTGATTTTTATTTTTATTGTTTTAATTGACAAATAATAATTGTGTGTTTGTGGGGTAAATCTGATGTTTTGATCTATTTATATATTGCAGAAAAATTCAATTAAGCTAATTAACATATCCATCACATCACCAAATTATTATGGTTCTGTGGTGAGAACATTAACAATCTATTACTTTAAAAATTTTGAAATATAGGCCGGGCGTGGTGGCTCACGCCTGTAATCCAAGCACTTTACTAAAAATACAAAAAATTAGCCGGGTGTGGTGGCGGGCGCCTGTAGTCCCAGCTACTCGGGAGGCTGAGGCAGGAGAATGGTGTGAACCTGGAGGCAGAGCTTGCAGTGAGCCAAGATCGCACCACTGCACTCCATCCTGGGCAACAGAGCGAGACTCTGTCTCAAAATAAATAAATAAATAAAATTTTGAAATATATAATACATTATTATTAACTGTGGTCACCCTGCAGTGAAATAGATCACTAAAAGTTATTCAGTCAATTTAATGGAAACTTTGTACCCTATGACTGACATTTTCCCTTTTGCAATCTTTTCCCCTTCTTCTAGCCTCTGGTAATCACCTTTCTACTCTCTGTTTCTATGAAATTGCTTTTTTAAAATTCCACATATAACTGAGATCTTACAGTATTTGTCTTTCTGTGCATTTCATTTAAGATAATGTTTTCCAGTTCTATGCATGTTGCCATAAATGAGGGAATTTGCCTCTTTTTAAACACTAAATAATATTCCATTGTGTATGTATACCACATTATCTTTTCATCTGTTGATGAACACATAGGTTGCTTCCTTATCATGGCTATTGTGAAAGATACTGAAATGAACATGAGAGTGCAAACATCTCTTTGACATGCCTATTTCGATTCTTTTGGATATATACCTAGAAGTGGGATTACTGGATCATATGATAATTATTTTAGTTTTTTGAAGAACTTACATTTTCTAAAATGGCTATACTAATTTACATGACCATGAACAGTGTATAAGTGTTCCCTTTTCTCCACATCCTTGCTAACGCTTTTTATCATTCATCTTCCTGATAATAGCCATTCACCAGGATCAAGAGGAATTTATCCCAGGGATGCAAGAATGGCTCCACATACATTAAGTCAATAAATGTGATACATCATATTAACAAAATGAAAGACAAAAACCACATGATAATCTCAGTAACTACAAAAAGAGAATTTAACAAAATTCAACATTCATTCATGATGAAAATTTTCACAAAATAGGCATAGAAGGAATATACTTCAACACATAAGGCCATATATGACAAGCCCACAGCTATCACCATAGTGGTGAAAAGTTGAAAGCTTTTCCTACAAAAATCAGGAACAAGACAGAAATGCCCACTCCCACCACTTCTATTCAACATAGAACTGGAAGTTCCATCAAGAGCAATTAGGCAAGAAAAAAAATAATAAAAGGCATCCATATATCAATGGAAGAAGTGAAATTGTCTGTTTGGTGATGACATGATCTTCTATATGGAAATCCCTAAAAACACCACCAAAAAGCTGTTAGAATTAATAAACAAATTCATCAAAGTTTTAGGTTACAAAATAAATGCAAAAAAGTTAGCATATCTATACACTAACAACAAACTATCTGAAAAATAAGAGAAAATACCATTTAAAATAGTATCAAAAAATAAAATACTTAAGAGTAAATTTAACCAAGGAAGTGAAAAATCTGTACACTGAAAACCATAAAATACTGATGAAAGTAATTGAGTAGGACACAAATAAATGGAAAGATATCCTGTGTTCATGGATTAGCATAATTGATATTGTTAAAATATCCATACTACCCAAAGCAATCTACAGATTCAATGAAATCCATATCAAAATTCCAATGTCATTTTTCACAGAAACAGAAAAAACAATCTTAAAATTGGTATGGAACCAGAAAAGATCCCAACTAGCTAGAGGAATCTTGAGAAAAAGAACAAAGCTGAAGGCATCACACGTCCCAATTGTAAAACATATTATAAAGCTATTGTAATCAAAACTGTGTGGTACCGGCATAAAAACACACATGAACCAATGGAACAGGATAGAAAGCCCAGAAATAAACTCAAGTAATTATGGTCAATAGATCTTTGACAGAGGTGTAACAACTCTACTTTGAAAACATATTTCATTTTTCAATGACTGAGACCAACAATTTAAATACTAACTTGTTAATAATTTTTGTCTGTTTTTATTATTTTCCCTGAATTTATTTTTTAAACATATTAATATGTTGCTACAATTCACCAATAGTACTTGGATTTTTATTTTTTTCTTTAACAAAATTTTCTATCAGAAAAAAAGATTTTTAGAACATTATAAACTATCAATATATATTCCAACTATGAAACATTTCTTGCTCTGTTAGTTTTGTTCTAGGATTTATAATTGGTGAACTTGATTTAAGATCAAAGAGTAAAAGAAAAATCATGTAAACCCCTCCAAGAGCAATATCATATCCAGACTAACCTGTTGTTTTGGTTCCTTCACAAACTTTTAAAAGAATCATATGCACCAAACACCGGATACTCTCACTCATAGGTGGGAATTGAACAATGAGAACACATGGACACAGGAAGGGGAACATCACACTCTGGGGACTGTTGTGGGGTGGGGGGAGTGGGGAGGGATAGCTTTAGGAGATATACTTAATGCTAAATGATGAGTTAATGGGTGCAACACACCAGCATGGCACATGTATACATATGTAACTAACCTGCACATTGTGCACATGTACCCTAAAACTTAAAGTATAATAATAATAAAATTAAATTAAAAAAAAGAATCATATGCACGATGTGGTTTGGAATGAAAAATGGTGTAAATGTGCATTTCAGGGGAAATTCTGCTGCAGACTTATTTGTCCCTGCTCAATTATTTTTTATTTATTGTCCTATAAATTTATAAAATTCTCAGAAACCACATGTAATAAAATCTAATTATAGAGTACATATTATTATGGAAAACATAGTAAACCAAAACCGAAATGTTTGCAGATTCCAAGAAGATTATACTTCATGTTATTCATGCACTTAACGGTCTATGCCTTGTATAATAGTAATTTTTGTCCATGTGTAGCTCATCTGTTTGTCAATTATCTGTTTCAAAAATCTGAATTTCCTTTACGGAAAGGATCTTTACAAAAAAAATTTTTGTATCTCTCACAGATACTGATGGTGTATCTTGCACACAGTAAAAAAGGTCAATACCTGTTACTTAGCATGTAGGCTGAGGTATGATGCAAATAATAACTTTTACAAGTGGGTAGTTACAAAGCTACTACTGCCGGTAAGACTCGCTGGACACAAAAGAAAATTTATAAAATTTCTGTTTACTCCTTTACTCCACTAATGTTTCACAGAATCTACATCGCAAGATTTCTCTCAAGAGACCAGAGAGGTAATGAAGGGAGAGTACTGGTGGAGGTGGAGCCTACCCTAAAAGGTTTACTAAGAGTGGGTCCTGGAGAGCCAGACCTGGAAAGGAGAATTTGAGGGATGTTAATGGCGAAAAGCCCAGAGACAATGGAAAAGAATTCAAAGCAAAAGCAGAAGCAGAGAGATTTACAAGAGTTGCCTGTGGAATTGAAGCATATGCCCTGCAATTGTTTCTATCCATCAGAACATTTGATATCTTTGTGTTTGTGGGTCAAGTGGTTTAAGCCTCAGGGTCAGGATGGACTCTCCTACTGAACGCTAGAATAATGGCCCACATTTACTTATCAGAGTTTTGCAGGTAAGTTGATTCTCTAGTTTAGCTGACAGATGCCAGTGAATAAAATTTGAAGAATACTGCTAATGTAAGAATGGAAATTATCACAGCGTTTCTTGATGTGTTCTAAATAAGTTAAATACAAAGACAGAACATATAATGAGATGTGGACAGAGCTTTTTATCGTAGGTGCTATATGAGATTTTTTTCCTTTACCACAAGAGCTGGGCCGAAGTTTAAATTATATTAAATCATCAGGGCAAAAAACGATTTAGGGTTTTCCATTTGGACTGTATATTTTTCTATGATGTTTATTGAAGTTTCTTAAGGATGACTCAATGAATTTATTTTTTTTGAGACGGAATCTCGCCCTGTCTCCCAGGCTGGAGTGCAGTGGCAAGATCTGGCTCACTGCAAGCTCTGCCTCCCGGGTTCACGCCATTGTCCTGCCTCAGCCTCCCGAGTAGCTGGGACTACAGGCGCCTGACACCATGGCCGGCTATTTTTTGTATTTTTTAGTAGAGATGGGGTTTCACCGTGTTAGCCAGGATGATCTCGATTTCCTGACCTCGTGATCCGCCCGCCTTTTTTTTTTTTTTTTTTTTTTTTTGAGACTGAGTCTTGCTCTGTAGCCCAGGCTGGAGTGCAGTGTGGCGGCATCTCGGCTCACTGCAAGCTCTGCCTCCCGGGTTCACGCCATTCTCCTGCCTCAGCCTCCCCAGCAGCTGGGACTACAGGCGCACGCTGCCACGCCCGGGAATTTTTTGTGTGTGTGTTTTTAGTAGAGATGCGGTTTCACTGTGTTAGCCAGGATGGTCTCGATCTCCTGACCTCGTGATCCGTCCGCCTCGGCCTCCCAAAGTGCTGGGATTATAGGCGTGAGCCACCGCGCCCAGCCGAATATTTCTTTATACTTACCTGTCTACTTTTAAACTCCTTTCATTCTTAAATGGGTTAGCAGCATAAACTGCTATCTCTTTTGATTCTCACTAGTATACTCAAATTCTCTCTGTGCCTCACTTTCTTGATTTCTGAAATGGGGATGGTGATAATGCTTGATCCACAGTATTGTTTTGAGGATTGTCAAATAAATTAACATCTGCAAAAACACTTAAAATAATGCTTAACATGTAAAACACACTCAATATATTTTAGTTTTTATTATAAATGCAAAACTAAAATTTTAAGTTATTTTTTGTGTCATTATTAATTTTATTACATTTTATTTTTAAGTATATGAGAAAGTCGTGGGTAGATGCTCAATGTAAAAAATTCAGACATTACAAATAAAATACATGCTCTCTTGAACACCAGTCCTTTCCGTGTAACCATTATCAGTTGACTATGTAATTTTCTACATAGGTTTCACTATATACACACACACACACACACACACACACAATATGTAGTACATATACTATACATAATTTTTAGTAGATAGTAGATGTAATTTTCAAAATTAACAGAAAATTGTAGAACAAAAAAGCCTGAACATGTATTGATACAAAAATTTAATAATAAATAATTTGCTAAGGAAATAAAAATACTATAATATATAATATTTAATGTATTTTTACAGGCATATCATATTGTATGTCAGAGTGAGTCTACAATATTCATTTTTTGACTCAAAAAATTGGGTTGAGTTTTTTTGAGGTCAAGAAATAAACAGAGAACATTCTTTTCTATCACATATATTCCATTGTATTATATCCTATATAATAATTACCTCTATTGGACACTTAGATTATTTTCTGTAAATTATTTTCCATTTTTTCCCACTAAAACCAAAGATGAAATAAATTTATCTATGATTGTCAGTGATTTCGTAGGATAGCTATTTTAAAAGTGAAAGAAAATTGTTGGTTTAGATAACATGATTTTCAAAAAAATTAAATACTTTCAAGTAATCTTGGATCAATAACTTAATAAAATTAAATACCCTGAGTAGTCCACTAGTGTGCTAGTTTCTAGTCACCCTTCAATATTGATGTTACTGAATGCAAATTTGTCAATCAGATGAGTAAAAAAGTTTGGCATTGTGGATCTAATTTTAAATTATTCTGGTTACTAGTGAGGACTGGCATCTTTTAAAATGCTTATCAACTATTTCTATTTATCCTTTGCCAGTTGTGTATTCACAGACTGTGCCTCTTTCTATTACGTTGTTTGTCTTTTCCTTACTGAGTTATAAATGCTGTAATGCAATGTTATTAATACTGTATTTCCTGTTTTTTCCTTTTTATGTTAACAGAATCAAACTTTTTCTGTTTAAATTTGTTTGTAGTGCCTTTTTTTTCACACAATGTAGTGTTTTTATTGGGCAAGACTTGCTTTTTATATTTGACATGAGAATGCAATATAACCCTTCCTTGAACAAAATGACCAGGTACAAATAAAACCATCTTTGCAGGAGTGTTTAATAAACATATTTTATTTAAATAAATCCTCCAGTAGGAAATGGAGAATTCACTGCCTTTACTTAGAAGGCTATGTAAATAGCTATCTGTCAAATTTATATATGCAGCTCACCAATATTCCTTTACTGGAAACATCAGTATTTCCACATCACATCACAGTTCCCAAAAGGACTTTAAAGTCTCAAAATCTGTAGTGCCTTTTTTTATTTAGAGTTTTAAATTCTGATGTTTCTGAAGTTATCAAATAACTCATTTAAAAAAATCAAGTTTACTTTTTGTCTTTTAAAATTTGTTTCATTATTAAATCCTTCTATTTTCTTGGATGCATTGCTATTTTTCAGGTTTCTTTGACTAAGTTATTGTTCACTCTGTTTTTATTTTTTCATCACAAAATTTTTTAATAATTAAAATTTTCAGACCATATTATCCACTTTGCTGGTATCCCATAGGTTTCAATATTAAATAGTTTCTTGTTCATGAATTTCTGCATTCTTTATAATTTTCATTTAAAAAATTTCCTTAGAACATCGCATATTATTAAATTTTCTTTAAACAAAATTTAGGCACTTTTGTTCCATCTTTTTCTGTTACTTTTGAAATTATACAATTATGGTCCTTGAAGAGTATTATTTCTGCATTTGAGGATTTATTGAGATTTCTTTTGTGATCTAATACATAAAATTTATTTTGTTGTGTTTGCTTTGTTTTGAGAATGTTTTCTGTATGACTGGAAAGAATACATATTATTAATATGCTAAGAGCCACAAATATTCATAAAATTATATGTTTATGTTAAACTGGTAAATTTTATTATTAATCACAACTATTTTATATGCTTTATCTGGAAATGGTGTATTAAAGTTTCCTATTATAACTATGATGTTAATTTCTTCCTTTCTACATATGATTTGCTTCTTTTCTTTGGTCCTTTTCAATAGATTTTATGTTTTTACAGCATTTTTAGGTTCACAGCAAAATTGAGCAGAAGGTAGAGAGAGCTCTCTATACCTCAGTCCGCACACACATACAGCCTCCCCCACTATCAGCATCCTGCACTGGAGTGGTGCATTTGTTACAACTGATAAAACATAACACATCACACCAATTCCATATTTACATTAGTGGTCTCTCTTAGTGGTGTATATCCTATGGGTTTTGACAAACGCATCATGACATATTTTCACTATTACAGCATCATGCAGAATAGCGTCACTGCCCTAAATATCCTCTGTGCTTCCCCTTTTATCCCTCTCTCTCCCTTCATTCTTGGAAACCACTGATTTTTTTACTGTCTCCATAATTTGGTCTTTCCCACAATGTCATATAGTAGAATCATACAATATGTAGCCTTTTCACATTGGCTTCTTTCACTTAGTAATGTGCATTTAAAGTTCCTCCACGTCTTTCCATGAACTGATAATTCATTTCTTTTTTTTTTTGAGATGGAGTTTCACTCTGTTTGCCCAGGCTGGAGGGCAACGGCGCAATCTTGGCTCACTGCAACCTCCGCCTCCCGGGTTCTAGCAATTCTCCCGCCTCAGCTTCCCGAGTAGCTGGGATTACAGGCCCTAGCCACCACGCTTGGCTAATTTTTTGAATTTTTAGTAGAGACGGGGTTTCATCATGTTGGCTCCTGACCTCAGGTGATCCACCCGCCTCAGCCTCCCAAAGTGCTGGGATTACAGGCGTGAGCCACAGTGCCTCGCTAATTCATTTCTTATTGGCGCTGAGTAGTATTCCATTGTCTGGATTTACCACACTTTATTCATCCATTCACCCACTGGAAGACATCTTGGTTGCTTCCAAACTTTGACAAAGATGAATAAAGTTGCTGTAAACATTCATGTGCAGGTTTTTCTGTGGACATAAATGTTTAGCTCATTTGAGTAAAGATCAAAAAGCACAAATGCTGGATAGTAGTGTTAAGAATATGTTTACTTTTATATGAAACTGACAAAGTGTCTTCCACACAAAGCGGCTGTACCATTTTGCTCCACATCTTCACCAGCATTTTGGTGTTGTCAATGTTCTGGATTTTGGCCATTCTGATTGGTGCGTAGTGGCATCTCATTGTTATTTTAATTTGCCATTTCTTAAAGACATACAATGTTCAGCATGTTTTCATATGTGCATTTGCCCTCTGTATATCTTTGGCCAGTTATATGTTCATATCTTTTGCCCCGTTTTTAATGGGTTGTTCATTTTCTTAAGTTTTAAGATTTCTTTGTATATTGTAGATAATAGTCCTCTATTACATGTTTTTTATAAGTATTTATGTCAGCCCATAGCTTGTCTTCTCATTCTCTTGACATTGTCTTTTGCAGAATACAAGTTCTTAATTTTAATGAAGTCAAGCTTATCAATTATTTCTTTTGTGGATCATGCTTTTGGTGTTTTACCTAAAAAAGTCATTGCTAAACCCAAGGTCGCCTAGATTTTCTTCTACATTATCTTCTAAGAGTTTTATAATTTTACGTTTTACATTTAGGTCTATGATACATTTTAAATTATTTTTTTTTTTGAAGAGTGTAAGGACAATGCTTAGACTCTTTTTTATGTGAATGTCCTGTTTTTGTTTTTGTTGTTTTAAATAATTACAACTTTCAAATTCAGGGGGTACGTGTGCAGGTTGGTTCAACACCATTTGCTGAAAAGACTATCTTTTCTCCATTATACTGTCTTTGCTCCTTTGTTGAAGATCAGTTCGCTATGTTTAAATTAATCTATTTCTGGAGTATCTATTTTGTTTCATTGATCATTTTTCCATTCTTCTGCCAATACCACACCATCCTGATTACCATACCTTTATAATAATTTTAAAGTCAGGTAGTGTCATTCTCTCAATTTTGTTCTTCTCCCTAATATAGTGTTGGCTATTCTGGGTCTTTTGCCTCTCCATATTATGTCATAAATGAGGGAGCAAGTCCCCTTTCTGGGGTCTTTAAGGATCATACCAACACAGCCATGGAAATTACACTTAAGATGCATGTGAAATTAAAGTACTCATCATACTCACAAATCCTGGAGAGGATCTGTGGCATGGCAGGCCATGCAGGGGGCCATATGCAAGGAGTGCCAGGGGAGCAAGCTCAGCTAGGCAGGTTCGGAACCAAAAAGGAGAGAGGATCTGTGAGCCAGTGCCTTTCTTAGGAGCTAGAGGGAGCACACAAAGACATGAGGGGATTTCATTGATGGATTTGAGTGATCTTAGGTCACAGACAGGGAAGGGCAAGAAGGGGAACTTTTGGCAAGAACCACTCTTATTAACTAGTGCACCTGGTCACCTGGGCAGGGTGTTCACAGCCTATTTTAGGGAAAATATAAAGTTTCAAAAAATTTTAATACACCTGTTGTGATGGTTAATACTGAGTGTCAACTTGATTTTATTGAAGGATACAAAGTATTGTTCCCAGGTGTGTTTGTGAGGGTGTTGCTACAGGAGATTAACATTTGACTCAGTGGATTGGGAAAGGCAGACCCACCCTCAGTCTGGGTGGGCACCATCTAATCAGCTGCCAGCGTGACCAGAATAAAAGCAGACAGAAAAAAAAAAAAAAAAAAAAAACAAAACCTGAAAAGACTAGACTGGCTTAGCCTCTCAGCCTACATCTTTCTCCCTTGCTGGATGCTTCCTGCCCTTGAACGTCGGACTCCAGGTTCTTCAGCTTTAGGACTCGGACTGCCTTGCTTGCTCTTTGGCTTGCAAATGGCCTATTGTGGGACCTTGTGATCATCTGAGTTACACTCCTTAATAAACTCCCCTTTATATATACCTCTATCCTATTAGTTCTGTCCTTCTGAAGAATCCTGACTAATACACATGTAAATTTTAGAATAAGTTTGTCAGTATCCACAAAATCACTTGCTGAGATTTTGATTGGAATTGTAATAAATCTAAAATCAAGTTGGGAAGAACTGACATCTTTACAACATTGATTCTTACCATCCATGAATATGAACTATCCCTCCATTTATTTGGTTATTCCTTGATTTCTCTGATAATTTTTGCAATTTTTCTCATGCAGATCTTGTATCCATTTTGTTAGATTTATACCTAAGTATTTTATTTTGGGGATGCTAATGTAAATGGTATTGTGTTTGTAATTTCAAATTCCACCTGCTCATTCATGGCATATAGGAAAATGATGGCTTTTTGAATATTAACCTTGTATCCTACAACCTTGCAATAATTGCTTATTGGTTCCAGGAGATTTTTGTCAAGACTTTCAGGATTTCTACATAAATAATCATGTTATTTGTGAATAAATGCAGTTTTAGTTCTTCCTTCTCTATATCTATCTCTATCTATCAGTCTATCTAATCTATCTATATCTATCTATCTATCATTTCATTTTCTTGCCTTATTGCATTATCTAGGACTTCCAGTATAATTTCAAAAAGAAATGATGAGAAAGAACAGTCTTATATATTTCCTACCTTAGAAGGAAAGCTACTTCTAGTTTATCATCATTAAATATAATGCTAGCTCTAGGTTTATTGTAAATATTTGTCTTAGTCCATTTTGTGTTGCTACAACAGAATGCCACAGACTGGGTAATCTATAAAGGACGGAAATTTATTTCTCACAGTCCTAGAGGCCGGAGAGTCCAAGATCAAGGTGCTGGCAGGTTTGGTGTCTGGTGAGAGCCCAGTGTCCATGTCCAAGATAGGGTCTTAAGTGCCGTATCCTCCAGAGGGTAGGGATGCTGCCACACACATGGCAGAAGAACAGAAGGGGAAGGCAAGAAATCCATTCCTGAAAGCCTTTTTAAAAGGCTTTAAACTCAGCCAGGAGGGCAGATCCCTCATGGTCTAATCACCTCTTAAAGGCACCATCTTCCAATACCATTACGTTGGCAATTAAATTTCAGCATGAGTTGTGGAGGGGGCAGACATTTAAATCATATCAATGTCCTTTATCCAGTCGAAGAAGTTCCCCTTTATTCTTAGTCTGCTGAGAGATTTTATCATGTATGACTGCTGGTTTGTCAAATACTATATGGATTGATATGATCATATGATTTTTCTTCTTTAGCTTGTTGATAAAATGAATCACATTAATCAATCTTCAAATACTGAATACATTTTTCATATCTGGGCATAAATCACACTTGGTCATGGTGTGTAATTATTTTTATATTTTGTTAAATTTGATTTGTTAATATTTTGTTGAGGATTTTTGCACTATGTTCATGAGAGATACTGGTCTGTAGTTTTATTTTCTTGTAAAGTCCTGATCTGGTTTTGGAATTAGGGCGGTGATGGCTTTATACAGTGAGTTAGAAAGTATGCTCTTTTCTTCTGTATTCTGGAAGAGATTTTAGCTGTTTAGGAGAATTCACCAGTGAATCTATCTGGACCTTCTGCTTCCTGTTTTGGAAAGTTATTACTGATTCAACTTCTTTAATATAGATGGGTCTCTTTAGTAGATTGTATATTTATTCTTCTGTGAGTTTTGGCAGATTGTGTCTCATAAGGAATTGATTCATTTGATTTAGGTTATCAAATTTGTGGGCATAAAATTATTTCCAGTATTCCTTGATTATATTTTAATGTCCATGGAATTTGTAATAGTGCTCATCTTTCATATCTGATAGTAGTATTTTGTGTTTTCTCCCATTTTTTCTAAGTTAGCCTGGCTAGAGCCTTAATGATTTTAATGATCTTTTCCAAGAACCAGCTTTTGGTATTTCTGCCTACATAATAGTGAGTTCTAGAACATGGTGAGGTTGATTAGAAGCAAAAATACTGAGAAATAATTCTGGAAATGTCAGGTGGAGTTGACTTGACCTTCAATGTCTACCCAAGGCACTGGATTGAATTCTGAACAAGAAGGGCAATGTTTTAATCAGACCATGACTTTGGGAAGATTAACCTCACAGCAGCCTATAAAATTAGTAGAGGGCAAGCTTAAAGTCTTTGAAACTGGGCTGGAGGTTACTGCATTGTTCTGGTGAGAGACATGTGGGTCTTAACCCAGAGTGCATTTCCTGGCTTTTTCTTGGGCGTGGGATAAAATCCTGATCACAGCCTCCCTCTCCAGCTTCAGCTATATTATTTCTATGCCACACTCTATATTGCAGCCCCAAGGGCCCTTCAGTGCCTTGATGCTCCTCAGTCCTCTCCATCTGATGGATTCACACGTGTGTCCTCTTCTTACACCATTTTTATCTCTATGGCACATCTGGATGGTACCCACAACCTTAGTTCTCAGCCCAATGCCCCTTGCTTATTATTAGTCCAATTTACAAGTGAGGAAACCAAGGCCTAGGGAGGTTACATAACTTACTCAAGGACACACGACTAATAAGTGAATAGCTAGCTGGGTTTTGTACCCAGGAAGTCTATTTACAGATGTTACATAGTGTGGCTCACATAGTGTGGCTACTTCCTGGACATATTTGGATTGCCATTTGAACCAGTCATCTGCCAGGAACAAAGGATGCTTTCAGCTCCAGCCACCTCTCCACCTCTACAGTCAATCTTCTTTGTGTATCCCCTGTAGCTTTCTGTCTCTTTTCTGATTGACCAGACCGTGTTGCACTTTTTGAACACAATTTTGGGTGGAGTTAGAGAGAACATGTAGCTAATCACCTATGTCTCCACTGTGTGATACCCTCTAACACTAATGCTCACATGAGCACAGCCCTGTGAGTACTAAAGTTTAAACTAAAAGCTGACATTGAGTATAGTGTGCATTGAGACTGATATATTAAATGCCAATTTTACAGAAGGGGAAACTGAACTAATTTAGGGTCACATATTTGATACTTTGACTTTTTAAATGTTGCCATAATTTTTTAAATGCTTTATTTTCCCCTTCTAATCTATCATCTTCTTCTGTATGTCTTTATCTTATCTTTCTCTCATTTGATAATTCTATTCCATCATGTAGATCGGGAGTCAGAATCTACGTAGAGATCATTTTCGTTTACCATCTTAAAATTAAAACACAAATTCATTAAATAGGTAAATATTCTAAATGATCACAACCAGCCATTTTTATTTCTAACAATAGACATGCCAATTTCCTTTTGATTAAGTTTGCTTATTTCTTCTATAGAAGCTTTCTATCAATCACACAAGGTAAGTTAAAACCATCCCATTTAGTTTATTTCGCACATATACTTTTTCCTACTGGTTTTAAAACTAGATGACTGACACAGGTACAGAGATGGAACCTGCATGTCAAGAGATTTTTTATTAACACATAGTACATGCAGGCAGGATTAAGAGGATCAGACTTGGAGTTGGAGAGACCTGGGTTAAAGCTTGGCGGCTCTTCCTCCCTCAATGTGACCTGGGTAAGTTCACTTAGTGTCATAAAGTTTTTAATCTTATGGACTGTATATACAATTCAAATGACCTGGTGAAATTATTATTGATTATATGAAATTATTATTGAGTGGTTGTTTTGAGGATTAAATGAAACAATATATTTAAAGCATTAGCAAACATTCCTAACACAGAATCAACATCCACTATATGGTAACCATTGTTAGTAACAGTCTTTTTATATGTGGAATACATTAAACTATATAAATAGGGAATATAATATCCTTTGGTAAATAAAATACTCTTAATTCACTTTTATATATTCTAAATGTATTAATTGTGGCCTTAGTAATGGTAGGGTCCACATATGAATAATTGTTTTCAAAGTCTTCACAACATTTTTAAGTGTTATTGGGTCTGGTATGTATATACGCTTTTCATAAAAACTAATTTGAAAAGTTGATAATGAATACATGTAGGTAAAATGGGAATTTATATATGTAAGTGCCAATAAAGAGGAAATTAATGGAAGTAATTAAACCTGGGTTTACTCCAGCTTTGGCACTTACTAGCTGACCTACAGCAAGTCGCTAAATTTTCCAGAGATCCAGTTTCCACTTCTGTACAACAGAGATGATAATAATACATTGACAGCTTTTTACTTGAGATGACTGGACAGGAACTTATGATTATGCTTCAGAGAGTCTATTCATCCTGAATTTGTAGGCATCGTTTTGATGTTTGGGGATGTGTGGAGACTGGGAAGAGGGAAAGGTTGAGATCGGCACTGTCCAATGAATATATCATATGGGCAGCGTATGTAATTTCAGTTGACTAGCAGCTACAGTAAAAGTAAAAAGAAACTGTAAAGTTTATTTTAATTCTGTACCTTATTTCAGGGGGTCCTCAGACCCCAGGCTGTGGGCCGGTACCAGCCTGTGGCCTGTTAGAATCCAGGCCGCACAGCAGGAGGTGGGTGGTGGGTGAGTGAGCATGATCGCCTGAGCTCCGCCTTCTGTCAGATCAGCGGCCATGTTAGATTCTCATAGGAGCACGAACCCAATTGCGAACTGCGCAAGCAAGGGATCTAGGTTGCGCACTCCTTATGAGAATCTACCTAATACCTGATGATCTGAGGTGGAGCAGTTTCATCCCAAAACCATACCCCTTCCGCCCAGTCTGTGGAAAAATTGTCTTCCATGGAATCGGTCCCTGGTGCCAAAAAGGTTGGGGACCATTGCCTTAAAACTTAACATATTCAAAATATCATTTCATTGTGAAATCAACACATAATTATTAGTCACCGATTTTGCGTTGTTTTTCTAAGTCTTTGAAATCAGAGTGTATTCTATACTTACAGTGCATCTCAATTCAAATGCCATATTTTCATTGTAAATATTTGATATGTATTTTTGTTTTATAAAAAGTAGTCACATACTCATGTTGTTCTAAATATACTTAAAGATTTTCCAGTAACTCGTCGAGTATCAGTTTTCAAATTTAAATATAAATAAACTGTAATCAAATCAAATTGAAAAATTCACTCCCGGTGTCACACTAACCACATCTCAAATGCTGATGAGCCACATGTGACTAGTGTCTAACTTTTTGGATAGCCCTGATTTAGAACTTTCAACAGATTTAAACAGGGGTCTGTAACAACAATAACAAAACTGTGTAAGCCTCACCCTATTGAATATTTCTCAGGAAAATTCACTTTTCTGAATTAAAAAATAGTTATTTCTAATTGATTGAAAGAACAGTACATTCTTGATGAGAACACATGCACACATGTGCGGAACAACACACACTGGGTCCTGTCAGACGGTGGGGGTGGGAGGAGGGAGAGCGTCAGGAAGAATAGCTAATGGATGCTGGGCTTAACACCTAGGTGATGGTATGATCTGTAGAGCAAACCACCATGGCACATGTTTGCTCATGTAACAAACCTACATATCCTGCACATGAGCCCTTGAACTTAAAATAAAAGTTGAAGGAAAAAAAAGAACAGTACATTCTTTTGGCAAAGTCAGGCTTTTCAAGACACGTTCATGAATTAGAGGTGTGTGAGGGTCCTGCGAGAGCAGCAGTAGGGAGATACTACGGTCATGTTTAGTTGCTTTCAGGCAGCAAGACTTCAAGTACCTAAAAATATCCACAGACATCAACATTTCAATAGTAACCAAAACTTCTAACAACAACAAATAAAATTTAGAGACCTTATACAAAATTGGCAACTGTTTAATTATGTCTAAGTAGAAGTGTTAAAAAACAAAAATAATTGTGAGATAGTATCATCATTGTTTCAAAAGAGGAAGGTGGCTGGGGTGAGGAAGCAGTGGGACTCCCATCCAAAATAGTAGTAAGAATTTGTTGTCAGAGAAAAGAGTTTTTCCCTAGAAAGTTCTGCTGCCAAACTTATATTGAAAGCATCATTCTTACTGCTTTATTTTTCTAAAAACTTCATAGAACAAGACTGCTGCCAAAAGGGCCTGTGAGAGCCTACAATTTAAAGGGGTATTTTTCCATCTGAGTACCTGACATCCTAGAGGGTTGGGAAATCAATTAATGAGTCCAAATAAATATTTTGGTTTTAAATAAAAAGTAACTGAAATCATGCCAAAAAGGAAAAAGAGAATGAGAGGGAACAAACAAACAACAACAACAACCAAAAAAAAAAAAAAAAAAAAAGAAGAAGAAGAAGAAAAAGAAAAAATAAAGACTAAAATTTGTTTCATGAAATTCTTTTTTGAGTTCTGTGGGTGTGAATCTTTATTAGGTCACTTGTAAAATGTTCTTATTATAGGCCCTAGCCAGATTATTGAGAAAAACACTGGTGTAGAAATAAGCACAATAAAACCCTGCTTTCAGGTGACTTCAAATTTTCATCCTGTGTACCATGAACAAACTTAATGAGCAAATGTAGGCCAATCATTTAATCTTTCCTACCTCCACTTATTTTTCATTCATAAAATGGGTGTGAACCTCCTCTGGCAAATGAAAGAAATGTGAAGCCTTATAGTATGGTCTTTAAAGGGCCACATAAGCATGAGAGCTTATTGTAAGTCTCAAACAGCTTAAATTTCCACCAATTATGACAGTGAATGAGTTGGCATCCATGGGCTACTGAAAGTCTCACCAGCAATTCCCTCTTCAGTTTGGGTTTAGAATAAACAATGGCTGCCTTGATGGTTTATTGGAATATCTGACTTTATTTCTCTATTATGTCTAAAATCAAAATTCACAAACCATATATTTTCCATGTCTATTATTACTGTAATTAACATCTTCAGACATCCTACTTGATACTCATATCAGGCTGGAAATATAAGAGGTGAAATAGTGACAAAATATATCTTAATATGTAAAGCACATTGTCAGAGAGGAAACTTTTCCAGAGTGTTAAGCAAGAAAAACTCTAAGGAATGATTTTAAATCTGAACCACACTTGAGTGGAAGGCAGTGGAATAGAGAAGCATTTGCTGGGAGCATTGGGAGAGCTCAGACTTTTTCATTCTTGCACCTATGAGCCTTGCTTTTCCTCCAAGTCCTTGCAGGCTGATTCAGAGAAAAATGCTTTAATAAGTGTATGAAGTGTATGCCTTATATTTGTTTATTCTAAATGATGGGATTTTCTTTTTAAAAATTTTGTATTTGTATAAATTTATGGAGTCGAAGTGCAATTTTGTTACATGGATATACTGTGCAGTGAAGAAGCCACAGCTTTTAGTGGGCACATGACTGGACTAACATACTTTGTACTTCTTAAGTAATTCTCATCCCTTACTCTCTGCCATCTCCCCACCCTTCTGAGTGTCTACTGGTTATCATTCCACACTCTTACATCCATGTGTACACATCATTTAGCTCCCACTTATAAGTGAGAATATTCAATATTTGTCTTTCTGTTTCTGAGTTGTTTCACTTAAGATAATGGCCTCTGATTCCATCCATGTTGCTGCAGAAGACATAATTTTATTCTTTTTCATGGCTGAATAGTATCCTATTTTGTGTGTGTGTATGTAAATATATCTATATCTGTATCTATCTATCTATATAATTTTGCTTATCTAATCATTCATTGATGGACACTTAGGTTTATTCCACATCTTTGTTATTGTGAATTGTGCTGTGATAAACATGCAAGTGCAGGTATGTTTTTGATGTGATTTCTTTTCCTTTGGGTTGATACCCAGTAGTGGGATTACTGGATCGAATGATTGTTCTATCTTTAGCTCTTTGAGAAATCTCCATGCTGTTTTCATAGAAAATTGAACTGATTTGCATTTCTTCTCACAGTGTATAAGAGTTCCCTTTTACCCGTGTGCTCACTAACAATCTGTTGTTTTTTGTCTTTTCAATAACAGCCATTCTGACTGGAGTAAGACGATGCCTCATAGTGGTTTTAATGTGCATTTCTGTCATGGTTAGTGATGATGAGCATTTTGTCATATGCTTTTTGGCCATTTTGTCTTATTTTGAAAAATGTTTATTCATGTCCTCTGCCCACTTTTCATGGGATTATTTATTGTTATTTGTTGTTGTTGTTTGAGTTCCTTGTAAATTCTAGATATTAGTCCTCTGTCAGGTGCACAGTTTGCAAATTTTTTTTTTCCATTCTACACATTGTCTGTTAACTCTGTTGATTGTTTCTTTCTCTGTACAGAAGATCTTTCATTTAATTAAATCCCATTTGCGATGTTCTTTCATAAAGGGTTTCCTAAACTGAAGAAAGTAATTTGTCTGTTCTGATCCAGTTCAAGCCCCTTGATTTCACTGTGAGAAAAGTGAGCGTTAGGGAGGCTACGGCCATCCAGTTAATAAATTCCTGAGCCAAAAGTCAACTGGGATCTACTCCCTGTAGCTCACTGATGTCCTGAATCCAAAAGGGGAGAGAATGCCGTACTAGCAAGTTTCCTTCTTACTCTTTTTAAACTCTCCTTGGGGGACTGAATCCATACACTGATGATAAAACCAAAAGAAGTTAGCAAACACAGCAACCTGAAATCAATGTGGAGAGAGCAGGGAAAGGTGAATTCATCCTCTCAGAAGGTTCAAATGTGCTGTTTAGACAGCTTTGCACTCACCATGGCCGTGGCTGTGGTCATGCGACCTTTCAATGGCATCTCTGAAAGTAGTTTGACCCTGAGTTGTCAAGGATTTTGGCGTCTATCTTCTCTTATCTTCAAAGGCATTTTCACTAAGAATTTCCACCCCAAATTTTGGAATCCTTGTAAACATCTCATCTATTTCCGCCCTTTGCTTTGGTAACTTGGAATATATTTGTGCCAGTAACAATCTCACAAAATATCAAGGGGTAAAGCAGGAGATTATTTTCTGTCCAAACTCTGTGTGTTGGAAAGCAGTTTGCTCCCTCTGAAAGTAACCATGACTAATGCAATGCTCTGATAAAAGCTGTCCTCCTGGGAATACTTCAGAAGGATCACAGCCTTTAAAGCCATAAAACCTGTCTGGCCGAGAGATATGCAGACATGGTGTTATTTCTGTTTGCTCATGACCAGAATTGGACTGGCCACTCCTTTTGAAGTGAAGTTCATCAATGTCTACAACCTAACATTTTCACTTAAATGTCAAAAGTGTAAATTTTCTTTTTGTTCCCAAACTATTAGGGATTGCAGGCAGAAATGTGATAAAGGTTTGAAAGCAGGAAAACAACAAAGAAACATCAACAACAACAGGGGAAATTATGAAGCATTTGCCTATGGTGCTATCTGGTTTGACCTCAGAGGTAGAAAAAGTCTAATTTTTCTCTACTGATCAGTAGTCATCCTTATTTAATTTATTTTATTGTATTTTACTTTTTGAGACAGAGTCTTGCTCTGTCGCCCAGGCTGGAGAGCAGTGGCATAATCTTGGCTCACTGGAACCTCTGCTTCCCAGACTCAAGCAATTCTCCTGCCTCAGCCTCCCGAGTAGCTGGGACTACAGGTGCATCCCACCACACCTGGCTAATTTTTATATTTTTAGTAGAGATGGGATTTCACCATGTTGGCCAGGCTGGTCTTGAACTCTTGACCTCAAGTGATCTGCCTGCCTCTTCCAAAGCGGTGGGGTTACAGGTGTGAGCCACCGTGCTCAGACCATCTTTTTTAATAATAACCTGTTGGTGATATGTTGTTCCTTCAGCTTGTTATATTTGTTTTTAATCTTCCTTTATTTCTTATGGTATTATAATAAATAAGACGCAAATATAATTCAAAGGATTTTTAAAAGTCTCTTCTATCTCTTTGCTCTCCAGAGTGCAAAAATCCAAACAAGTAAAAGTTCACATTGTTAATGCATGTGCTTACAAACCATCTATATCTACTATTCAGCAAAAACAGTTTTTATTCAACAACATACCTGATATTTTTCCAGGCGGACTTGTTTAGGTAAAATTAATATAAAGCTTCAACCCGCTTATCTAGAAAATGGGAATCTTATCTCTATACATAATGGTTGGGTGGGTTGTGCCTGGCACATAGTAGGCTCTCAAATTCATAAGTTTGTTTACTGTCATTATGGAGGAAAATAGTGCAGTACAGGTGTAATAATTAACTGCCTCGTTTCTGCTATTCCTTGTTAATGTGGTTATATTTTGTAGAAAATACGTACAACTTGTATTCCATGAAAGCTATCTATTCAAATCAGTCCTTAAGTCATTGCTTGTCTTCTATTTGCCCTACTATATAAAACCATATATACTGAATAAAAGTACATACCTGTTGATGAATACTTACTGCAAACTTGCGCACTAGCTCCCCTTTGCTAAGAGATGTCTAAAAGCTTTCTTTCTGCAACAGGCACTAGAAGATTCAAACCTCAGTCATTGAAGGAATATTTAAGGCATCATGGCTTGAAGGCTCTGCGATTGTCTAATTCATCAATACATCCCTGCCATCTTTCTTAGAGTTGTATTTTTTTGTACGTTTAAGTCTTTTATCCAGGATAACATGGTAATACTATACGAAGAATGACGTATGCTCACTTTAAAAAATATTAGTTGGATTTCAAAACAGAAACAGAAATAGCTGGAGTTCCAAAGTAGAAATCTATTCATACTGATATCTATGTAGACTCTTATTTTCTCTTTCATGTAAGTCTTGTTTTTGCATGTTTGCCCTTTCCTTATGCTTGGGCTGTGGCTAATATACTAATTGTTCATCTAATGTAGTGTACCAGGGGAGAGGCAGGGAGGGAAATTGCTGATTTTAAATATCCCCAAAGCATACTGCTTTATAAAAATGTAGGTCCTCCATATCTGGATATAGAAATCTTCTGCATAGATGAAAAAAAAAATGGAAAAATGCAGCCCTCTGCTCTGCTGGCCCCAAGTCCTGGCAAGAACATGTCGGTGTCTCTGGGAACTGCTGAGGCTGAAGGAAGGATCTGTTACCAGCTCGGCTCCCTCTCCCACTGACCCCATGCCGGCGGACAAGTCCCTTGAACAGATTGTGCCAGTCTGATGCCAGGTAATTGCCTTTCAATTCCTGTTTTTGCAGATCCCCTGCTTCCTGTGGGATTGCAGGCTGCACACATTCCTGCTCAAAGCTCAAGAGCATAGCGCCGGGACGTCGGGAAACCTTCCACCCTTCGCAACCTGCCGTGTCAACTCCCAGCAAGCTCAAGCTGCAGTTTACACTGGTTAAGGATTGCTTAAACAAAGGCTTGAACAGAATGATGTTGACTGTTTCACAATGAAAAATAATAGTTTTAGCTTAATCCACATGCCAGTTCTGGATCATTTGCAACACTTCTTACAATTATTGATGTCCTTCCCAACGTCCATTTCATGCTCAACTGGGCTTCTAGGTGATTTTAAAGTTTTGTGTTATTTTGCTTTGTTTGGTTTTGTTCCCTTGAAAAGAAGACGGTTTGATTTCTGGGACAAACATATTGCTATGCAAATACACCCAGAATAAATGAAAGAGCCACTCAGACAACCCATTTTTGCCTCTTCCCTTAGACTTTCAATTTGACTCCTCTCCAATGAAAAAGGATTTAAAGACTGCTTGTGGGGGTCACAGGAGTTCCAGGGGGGCTGTTAGGAAGCCAGCTCTGCAAGGTTGATGCAGGGAACAAGTTGGCACATGCTGTTTTATGTCACGGAAGAGTGACAACCACCAAGAAGCCTTTCTATCGAGCCAGTTATCGACCCGTAAGGAGTGATGAGCACAGGACACGCCTTACCTGAAGCCAGCATCTCAACACCCATGTGCAGAAGTCCAGTTATCTTCATCCAGGAGACGAGAAGACGAGTTGAGGCTACAAGGCATGTTTCAGCGGGCTCATCTATGCAGCACAGCTTGAGCGTAGTGCAGATCTTCAGAGCACACAGCTCAAAGGAAGAAGGTACGGGCTGCTCCTGTGTGTACCGAAGATGGGAGAAGGGTAGGAACAGAGCATCAGGAGAGCTGCCATTCCCCTAACTCTGTCCTGGGGTGATGACAGTGGCTGGCCTAGTGTCTGAGTCTGTGCCATTCTCCTTTTGCTACTGTGTTCCTCCTCTGACACTCCAGCACAAAGAGTAATTCCCTGCTTTTAAGCCATGGCTTCCCATGAGGTTGGATCCAGAGGTGCCCCCTATGGGGACACCAGGTTCTGGGCATCGGGAGTGGGTTCCCAAAGCTCTGCAGACTGGGTGCTTTCAAACCACAGCCAGGCCCTGCTGGTGATATGAACACAGACACAAGGCCATCACCTCTAAGAATCATTTTATACCTGTAAAATGACCTTGTGGCTTTGCCTGGCAGTGGCTCATGAGGGAGGGGCCTCTATAGAGGGGCTCTGAGGACCAACTTGTGAGTATCAATTATTTGTGTTCTTCTCATACTTCTTACTCTGCCTTCAGGTACAAGTAGAGATTAGCCAATGCTTTAGAACCTACAGAGTTTCTAATTTGTTCCCAAATGCTGAAAACATAATCTGAGCTTTGGGATCTTCAGGACAAAAAATAAGACTTTTTTAATGTGATGTTTTTTCTTTCCTCCTACTCAAAAAGTTATGAATCATAGGAATGAGTTAATGTTTCAAAGATGTTTATTGCTTTTTTTGTGGGGGGAGGTGCATGATGAAATATGCTGACCCATAGTGCTTCCAGAGGAGGAAGTACAGAAACAGGTTCCTGTAGAGGATGTCAGCCTTGAGCATTTGATTTTCACCAGCAGAATATAGTGAGGTGTAAAGGATCCAATTTATCTCTGTCACTTCCCTCTAGACTTTTGTTTGTCCTTGGTGACCCATGGGTTAATTAAAACACTGTACCAACATTTTTGGTGTTTATATATGCATAGATTATAAACCAAGCTCTTGCATGTATCATCAAAATACATACACATGTATGCTTTCTACGTATTAAATTTTCTATTTTTGTGAAGTATGTATATAAAATTCAAGAAAGATAGATAAAATTAAGGTTCCTAATGTGTTATAAAAACTGGAACTTCATAGCCCACTTTGGAAAATTGGCCTGACTCTTCCATGTGATTATTATGGCATGAATCAGTATTTTCCTTGACATTTATTCACTTAAGGTTACCAAACCTATCTTTTGAAACTGTGGGGACACTACTTTGATTTTACTTTTCCATTACTTATTACAATTTTTGCATTCCTAAGTATGCATATTTTTGCTATACTTTTATTCTACTTTAAGGAATGTATAAGTCAAGACCCAGGATGGTGACTTGATAAAAAAAAGTTTGCATTAACTATATAGAGATTTATTTACAAAGCTTGTTCAATTTGGTGTGTGCAGTTTGAAGAAAGTGCAATGCATGTGTTGCCCCACTCTGAGGAAAATGTTAACTATACATTTTGTAGGTTTTGACCAGCAATTAAAAAAAATTTCTCCCCAAATCTTGCAAATCAGGATTACTTTTTTATTATTTAGATACAATGAGAAGTGATATCTCCTGGACTCTCATGATTGTCCTCTACCCCATTTTGCTCTGTGATAGTGGACATGCAATTTGGTGAAAGGACTCCACATTTTGCTAGAGCAGGGACACAGGCTGCATGCAGATGCCACCACTCCAGCACTCCTTCCTGTACTGAATTATGCCATGGCATGCCACACACACAAAGTGAGGATGCTGTTTCTGACTTGCTGTTTCTCTGCTTCCCGATGACTGCACCTCCCAGGCATTCATTCTCACTGCCTTCCCACAGGACTCCCTCTTCCACTCTTCCATGATAGCCACATTCATGCCTGTATACGGAGACACTGTTTGTTGCTCATTACTGGGAGACATTTCAGCACCCTGCCTTTTCCGCTACGACAAAGTCTACACCTGCTGGAGTAGAGGACAGAGCTGTCCGAGGGCTGCATCTTGCTGTTTCTCCTGTCTCATCTGCTACTACTTTTTGCCTTACTTAAAAAAAAAAGTACCTAATGAAACTTAGATAAAAATATGGAAAACTATATGAAGTATCTATGTATTCACCATGAAGACAGAAGAGATATTAAGATTTTCATACACTTGCTGTAAATATACCTAATTTACTGAAACGGCCACCTGCCATTTCTTCCTTTCTCACTTTTCCCAAAGACATTAATGTTCTTAAAGATTGTAAGCACATATATGTATACTTTTAATACATAGGTGTCTATGCATGTCTAAAATAGACCATACAAAATTATATAATACAATGTTTGATTATTTTTATTTATTTTTATTTTACTTTAAGTACCGGGATACATGTGCAGAACGTGCAGGTTTGTTACATAGGTATACATGTGCCATGGTGGTTTGCTGCACCTATCAACCTGTCATCTAGGTTTTAAGTCCAGCATGCATTAGGTGTTTGTCCTAATGCCCTCCCTTCCCTTGCCCCCGACCCCCGACAGGCCCCAGAGTGTGATGTTTCCCTCCATGTGTCTGTGCAGGGACATGGATGAAGCTGGAAGCCATCATTCTCAGGAAACTAACATAGGAACAGAACACCAAACACCACATGTTCTCACTCACAAATGAGAGTTGAAAAATGAGAACACATGATTATTTTATTTTATTTTTAATTTTTAATTATACTTTAAGTTCTAGGGTACATGTGCACAACGTGCAGGCTTGTTACATATGTATACACATGCCATGTTGGTGTGCTGCACCCGTTAACTTGTCATTTACATTAGGTATATTTCCTAATGCTATCCCTCCCCCTCCCCCCACCCCACAATAGGCCCCGGTGTGTGATGTTCCCCACTCTGTGTCCAAGAACACATGATTATTTTAGAAATATTTTTTCTTACTTGGACTTCAGATGAAAAGAATTAGGTAAATAATATTTCACAATTTATAGTGTACTATTGGTATCAGTTTACACAAAGTCTCTCTCTAATCTCATTTTAATATTTTCCCTCTTCCCCATCCCTACATGAGCCTCCACTTATATGCATGTAATATGAAATAGAGTTTTAAATAGGCTAGTTAGGGAAATGTTTTTGGAAAAGAAATATTCAAGTAAAGACTTAAGGTGAGTATATATGGTACCCTTGAAATAACTTCATCTTAGAAAAGAGTCCATTTTATATCTCACAGTGCTTTGCCAACAAGAATATGATGTTTTGCTTAATAAACAAATTTAAAAAAAGACTGCATCCAACCAGATAAGGACACCAACAAGCAGACTTTTCCACTATCAGTACTCACCAGAGGACTCTGTGACTGTAAAAGAGCAGGCCTCCAGCAGCTCGAAATGGCCCCCTTAACTGATACCATCTTGCAGTCACTCATGATAAGAACTTGGCGTCTGCCACAGAAGGCTCTGCCCCATTAACAATTCTTCCTTGCAAGACCTGAGACCATCCGCCCGGCCTAGACCAGAACTCCTTTTGTCTTCTTCACTCCCTCTGGACTGATTCATTAACCCTTTCTCCTATCTCTTTTTCCTCTTGATGTTAAATGTTACTTTGTCGTTGAATGTTTAACCTATAACATTTGTATATTAAGTATATTATTATGTATGGTTTGCATTATTGACTGACTTGTGGAGTGGCTTGAGCCTGTGAGCCCAAGGCTGTGTCTACTAAGTAAATGGGAAGGATTAAAGAGAATTGCCTCCTTGGGAACTCCATTGTAGCTCATGGCTTTTGTGATTGAAATAGCATCAATAAAAGCCTGGCATTGCAAAAAGACACAAACATGCATGGACCTGGTTATCTCTAAACTTGCACGGCTCATGACAGTCAGGAGTTTGCCATATAGCTATTTGAAGGGCATGGTGGTGTGGAAAACACCCTTGCAGAGAATAGATAGTGCAAGGGTCTTAGCTCCTAGCATCATGTTTGATGGACTTCTTAGGCCTGTGTCCACTTAGCAAATTGTCACGCAGAGAATGGACCACTGCGATGTTCAGTGGCACATCAGGACAATCAGGGCCTTTCAGATAACATTATGACAGAGATGGGGCTACAGGCACACTGCATTCAGAGATAAGTTGACTCAGGCCAAGATTCCATGCTGACTGGGGAGCCACAGTGGTTTTGTGGGTCTCCAGGAGTTTCTGTCCCTTAAAGTCCCATAAGAATAACCCCCAGAAAGACCTGTTATTCCCTTTCCTCAGTGCATCCTGGCAAATGGCAGCAGATTCCTCCAGGAAAGGTGCCAGGAAGCTCCAGAACATATCTACCTATACCTGCACTGAGGGCTCTTCCTCCCAGGGACCTGGATCTGCCTTCCTTCTCATTCCAGGTGCTTTGTGTTTCAACTGTGTCCACTCAGGACCAGGTAAGATGATGTGAATTTTCTATATAGTGCCTCAAATAATGTTTCTGCCCATCACATCTCAAAAACATGTGTGTTAAGCAACAACTTGGTAGGTTGCCCCGCTATTTTACCACTACAGAACGCTGTATATCAAAATGTCAGATTATGAGCCCATCCCTGGGGCTTATTGTGGTAATTGCACCACTTGGGCTCTGACTTCTACACCAGAATGTGTTATTCTCATAGAGATCATAGTGTGTGTCTGGCTTAATCCTCCAGCATCCCCTCCGGCGTGGAGAGGGCACCACCACAGAGCCTTTTCTCCCCCTCCTCCTAATACTTTTCTTAATGGTGAGAAGGGAGTGCTTTCCGAGCCATTTTAGAAACCGATAGGGGAGTTGAGAAGCATGCACATAATCCATCCAATCCAACACCTTCCACTTCCTGAGCCCTCAGACATCTTTCTCCACAGTGTGTCAGGGGAGTTCCAGCATTGCACATCATTGATCATAAGCCACCATTAAGTCCAGGCAATCATGAGCCAACTCAATTTCCCCCAAGGGCTTAGATCAATGCATTATATCCCAAATCTTAGGTAATTTAGCACAAGAGTTTATCCTTCTTGGTGTAATACCCAAGAACCGATTCCCACCTTGCTCTGCCGATTCCTACTGGTACAACTTGGGAAGTCCCGAAATTCTTAGCAGGACTTGGCTTCATACTCTCAAGTCTGGGATCTTCTGGGACATGATTCTATGAACCTGCATTCAGGGAGGAATTGTGGATGACTCCTGGAGACAACTGCCATCACTTGTCAGGCAGTCACCCCAGAAACAGCTACTGAGGGAGGTTTGTGTCTGGGAGAAACTTCTTTCCTCTGATTAAGTGGAGGAACTGCCCTAACCGGCAAGGTGATCTGAGGGATTAGGGGTTTTGAAGAGCTCAGCTTCTTTGCGTGTGCTCAGTGGTCTTCCTCCAACATCTCAAGATCCCTCTTTTGCTCCATCTGTTCCCAAACCATCACCTAAGCAACCTGACAGGGTTAAGCAACACATCTCTGCAACCCTGCAACTCCAGTGTGAGGGAGTCCTTCATAGGCATAATAGAGTACACTTCTACCTCCCACCACCACCACGTTACAAGCCAGTCATTGAAGGCAATCAATGTGTCTTCTTCCTTGGATACAGTCTCTACAGCCAGCAGCATTAGCTCTCTGCCCTTTCTACCATAATTACCATTATTGCCAAAACAACTCGAACTCCTGATGCCTTGATGTCCACCAGCACTTCTTCCTATGGAAATGCTTCTATGAATAATCAATGTCACTGCATGCCATGAATTAGCAGCGTCTCATCCCACCCAGCAATGAGATTATCCCTATCTTTGTTGATCCTGTAAGAAACTCAATTTAGAATCCCATTTTAAGGGTTATATTTTGAGGACCTTTCTGCTGAAAAGTACTATATCAGTTAGAAACCCTTACAAGACACAGATGGTGCAGTCACATGAGAAAATTGACAGAAGTTTAATAAAGTACCATTTGCAAAGAAGTAAGGGAAACTAAAGGTTAGTGTAGTACCCTGAGGCTAGCAATGGTGGGTCCCCATGCATATCCTGACGGGGCACAGGGAGATGGTGATGCCAGAACAGTGAAAGTGTAGCTAAGAGAGTGCCACCTGATAGGAGCTGTGACTTTCAGCAGATGGACAGGATCAAGTTTTAGCAACCCAGTAAGAAGAGAGCAGGCGGAATAAATACCTCAAACTCACCGTCTCCGTCTGACCCTTCATTTCCTGTTCATACTTCTTATTTGTGGAACCCAACTGAAAGCCATATTCAAGGAAGCCCCTTGATGCAATCTACAAACTATGGGTTGAGTATCCCTTATCCAAAATGCTTGAGACTAGAAAATGTTTATGACTTTTTTTTTAATTTTAGAAAATATGTGTGTGTGTGTGTGTGTGTGTGTGTGTGTGTATATATATCTATATATATATATAGATAGACAGATAGATAGATAGATAGATATGTTGGGGAGATGACCCAAGTGTAAACACAAAATTCATTTATGTTTATATGCGCCTTATACACGTAGCCTGAAGGGAACTTTATACAGTATTTTAAATAATTTTCTGCATGAAATGGTTTTTGTTAAGCACTAATGTGTGAAATTTAGCACTTGTGGGGGCTTAAAAAGTTTCAGATTTTGGAGCATTTTGAATTGTAAATTTTTGAATTAGAGATACTCAACATGTATCAGGAAATAGAGAAAAATGTAGAAAACTATTATCAGCATAGCACATAGAAATAACCATTTCCACCTTTTAAATGTGTAAGACCAGCCATCACTATACCTCCAGGCCACGCTTTTCCCCTGCTGGAGCCAGGGAGACTGGACAACTTGGCCCCAAGAGGTATTCCCCACAGCCCAGCACACCGGCTGTGGCAGTCCGTAGCCAGATTGCTTCTTCAGGCTGGACACTGACCCATTCCTCCTCATTGGGTGGGGCCTCCCTGAAGGAACTTCAAAAACTCCAGCGAGGGGTTCAGGGACAGAACTCTGATCTCCCTGGGCCTGAGCCCCTAGGGGGAGGAGTGGCCATATTCTCCACAGACCAGCAGACTTAGTCTTTCCTCCTGCTAGCTCTGTGGAATCCTGGCAGTCCAGATGAGTGGGTTTTCCCCCAGTGCAGCACACCCCCTCCACCAAGGGACAGCCAAAGTGCTTAGTTAAATGGGTCCTGCTTCCTGTGCCACCCAATTGGGTGAGACCTTCCCAAGAGGGGTTGCCAGACACCCTATATAGGAGTGTTCCTACTGACATCAGGTCAGTGACCCTCAAGGTCAGATATCCAAGAGGAAGGAGCAGGCACTCAACTCCAGTCTCCTTGAGTGGCATCTCCAGGCATGGGATTGAACCAGATGAATAGCACCTGAAGCGAACCCCCAGAAAACAGCAGCAGCCCTACAGAAGAGGGACCTGACTACTGAAAGAAAAACAAGCAAACAGAAAGGGACAACAATAACATCAACAAAAAATGCCCCACAAAAACCTCATCCAAGGGTCAGCAGTCTCAAAGATCAAAACTAGACAAACTATGAAGATGAGAATCAATGAAAAAATGCTGAAAATCTCTTCTCCAAATGATCACAACATCTTTCCAGTACGGGTGCAGAACTGGAGGGAGGATGAGATGGATGAATTGACAGAAGTAGTCTTCAGAAGGTGAGTAATAACAAACTTTGCTGAAGAAAAGGGGCATGTTCTAACCCAATGCAAAGAAGCTAAGAACCTTGGTAAAAGAAGGTTACCGGCACTGCTAACTAGAATAACCAGTTTAGAGAGGAACATAAATGACCTGATGGAGCTGAAAAACAGCACTAGAAGTTTGTGAAGCATACAGAAGTATCAATAGCTGAATTGATCAAGAGGAAGAAAGGTTATCAGAGATTGAAGACTATCTTGCTGAAATAATGCAGGCAGACAAGATTAGAGAAGAAAGAATGAAAATGAACAAACAAAACCTTTGAGAAATATTGGACTATGTAAAAGACTGAACTTATGACTGATTAGAGTACCTGAAAGAGAGGGAGAGCATGGAACCAAGTTGGAAAACACACTTCAGGATGTTATCCAGGAGAACTTCCCCAAACTAGTAAGAAAGGCCAAAATTCAAATTCAGAAAATGCAGAGAATCCCACTAAGATACTCCACGAGAAGATCAACCTCAAGACACAAAATCATCAGATACTGCAAGGTTGAAATGAAGGAAAAAATGTTAAGGGCAGCCAGAAAGAAAGGCCAGGTCACCTACAATAGGAAGCCCATCACGCTAACAGCAGATACCTCAGCAGAAATCTTACAAGCCAAAAGAGAATGGGGGCCAGTATTCAACATTCTTAAAGAAAAGAATTTCATATATCTGCCCAAACTAAACTTCAGAACCAAAGGAGAAATAAAATCCTTTTCAGCCAAGCAAATGCTGAGGGAATTTGTTGCCACCAGGCCTGCCTTGCAAGAGCTCCTGAAGGAAACTCTAAATATGGAAGGGAAAAACTGGTACCAGCCACTGCAAAAACACAGCAAAATATAAAGACCAATGACACTAAAAAGAAACTGCATCAACTAGTGTGCAAAATAACCAGCTAGCATCATGATGACAGCATCAAATTCACACATAACAATATTAAACTTAAATGTAAATGGGCTAAATGTCCCAATTAAAAGACACAGACTGGCAAATTGGATAAAGAGCCAAGTCCCAACTGTATGCTGTATTCAAGAGACCCATCTGACAGGCAAAGACACACATAGGCTCAAAGTAAAGGGATGGAGGAATATTTATCAAGCAAATGGAAAGCAGAAAAAAGCAGGGGTGGCAATCCTAGTCTCTGACAAAACAGATTTTAAGCCAACAAGATCAAAAAAGACAAAGAAGTGCATGACATAATGGTAAAGGGATCAATACAACAAGAAGGGCTAACTATCCTAAATATATATGCACCCACTACAGGAACACTCAGATTTATAAACAAGTTCTTAAGAGACCCACACAGAGAGTTAGACTCCTGCACAATAATAGTGGGAGATTTTAAAACCCCACTGCCTATATTAGACAGATCAATGAGACAGAAATTTAACAAGGATATTCAAGACTTGAACTCTGCTCTGGATCAAGTGGACCTAGTAGACATCTACAGAACTCTCTACCCCAAATCAACAGAATATACATTCTTCTTAGAGCCACATGGCACTTATTCTAAAAGTGACCACATAATTGGAAGTAAAACACTCCTCAGGAAATGCAAAATAACTGAAATCATAACAAGCACTCTCTCAGACCACAGTACATTCAAATTAGAACTCAGGATAAGAAACTCACTGAAAACCACACAGCTACATGGAAATTGAACAACCTGCTCCTGAATGACTCCTGGGTAAATAATGAAATTAAGGCAGAAATCAAGAAATTATTTGAAAACAATGGGAACAAGGAGGCAATATACTAGAATCTCTGGGATACAGCTAAAGCAGTGTTAAGAGGGACATTTATAGCACTAAACGTCCATATCAGAAAGCTAGAAATATTTCAAATCGACACCCTAACCTCACAATTAAAAGAACTAGAGAAGCAAGAGCAAACAAATTCAAAAGCTAGCAGAAGACAAGAAATAACTAAGATCAGAGCAGAACTGAAGGAGACAGAGACATGAAAATCCCTTCAAAGAATCAATGAATCCAGGAGATGGTTTTTTGAAAAACTTAATTAAATAGACCACTAGCTAGACTAATAAAGAAGAAAAGAGAGAAGAATCAAATAGACACAATAAAAAATGATAAACGGGATATCACCACTGATCCCACAGAAATACAAACTACCATCAGAGAATACCATAAACACCTCTACACAAATAAACTAGAAAATTTAGAAGAAATGAATAAATTCCTGGATACATACACCCTCTCAAGACTAAACTAGGAAGAAGTCAAATCCCTGACTAGACCAATAACCAGTTCTGAAATTGAGGCAGTAATAAATAGCCACCAACCGAAAAAAAGCCAAGGATCAGACAGATTCACAGCTGAATTCTATCAGCAGTACAAAGAGGACCTGGTACCATTCCTTCTGAAACTATTCCAAACAACTGAAAAGGAGGGAATCCTCTCTAACTCATTTTATGAGGCCAGCATCATCCTGATACCAAAGCCTGGCAAAGACACAACAATAAAAGATAACTTGAGGTCAATATCCCTGATGAACATCGATGTGAAAATCCTCAATAAAATACTGGCAAGCTGAATCCAGCAGTACATCAAAAAGCTTATCCATCATGATCAAGTCGGCTTCATCCCTGGGATTGAAGGCTGGTTCAACATACACAAATCAATAAACATAATTCATCACATAAACAGAACCAATGACAAAAATCACATGATTATCTCCATAGATGCAGAAAAGGCCTTCGATAAAATTCAACATCCCTTCATGTTAAAAACTCTCAATAAACTAGTTATTGATGGAACATATCTCAAAATAGTAAGAGCTATTTATGACAAACCCACAGTAAAGATCATACTGAATGGGCAAAAGCTGGAAGCATTCCCTTTGAAAACCAGCACAAGACAAGGATGCCCTCTCTTACCACTCCTATTCAACATAGTATTGGAAGTTCTGGCCAGGGCAATCAGGCAAGAGAAAGAAATAAAGGGTATTCAAATAGGAAGAGAGGAAGTCAAGTTGTCTCTCTTTACAGATGACATGATCTTATATTTAGAAAACTCCATCATCTCAGCCCAAAAGCACCTTAAGCTGATAAGCAACTTCGGCAGTCTCAGGGTACAAAATCAAAGTGCAAAAATCACAAGCATTCCTATACACCAACAACAGACAAGCAGAGAACCAAATCATGAATGAACTCCCTTTCATAACTGCTATAAAGAGAATAAAACACCTAGGAATACAGCTTACGAGGGACGTGAAGGACCTCTTCAAGGAGAACTACAAACCATTGCTCAAGGAAATAAGAGAGGACACAAACAAATGGAACAATTTTCTATCCTTGTGGATAGGAAGAATCAATATCATGAAAATGGCCATACTGCCTAAAGTAGTTTACAGATTCAACACTATTCCCATCAAACTACCATTGACATTCTTCACAGAATTAGAAAAAAAAGTACTTTAAAGTTCATATGAAACCGAAAAAGAGCCCGTAAAGCCAAGACAATCCTAAGCAAAAAGAGCAAAGCTGGAGGCATCATGCTACCTGACTTCAAACTATAAATGAAAACAGCATGGTACTGGTACCAAAACAGACATATAGACCAATGGAACAGAATAGAGACCTCAGAATTAACACCACACATCTACAACCATCTGATCTTTGACAAACCTGACAAAAACAAGCAATGGGGACAGGATTCCCTATTTAATAAATGGTGCTGGGAAAACTGGCTAGCCATATGAAGAAAACAGAAACTGAACCCCTTCCTTACACCTTATATAAAAATTAACTCAAGATGGATTAAAGACCTAACTGTAAAACCCAAAAACCATAAAAACCCTAGAAGAAAACCTAGGCAATACCATTCAGGACACAGGTGAGGGTAAAGATTTTATGATGAAATTTCCAAAAGCAATTGCAACAAAAGCTAAAATTAACAGACTGGATCTAATTCAACTAAACAGCTTCTGCACAGCAAAATAAACTATCATCAGAGTAAACAGGAACCCCACAGAATGGGAGAAAATTTTTTAATCTATCCATCTGTCAAAGGTCTAATCAGAATTTACAAGGAACTTAAACAAATTTACAATTTAAAAAACCATATCAAAAAGTGGGTAAAGGACATGAACAGGTACTTCTCAAAAGAAGACATTTATGTGGCCAACAAAAGCTCAACATCACTGATCATTAGAGAAATGCAAATCAAAACCACAGTGAGATACCATCTCATGCCAGTCAGAATGGCAATTATTAAAAAGTCAAGAAACAACAGATGCTGGTGAGCCTGTGGAGAAATAGGAATGCTTTTACACTGTTGGTGGGAATGTAAATTAGTTCAAACATTGTGGAAGACAGTGTGGTGATTCCTCAAGTATCCAGAACCAGAAATAACATTTGACCCAGCAGTTGCATTACTAGGTATATACCCAAAGGAATATAGATCATTGTATTATGAAGATACATGCACACGTATGTTTATTGCAGCACTATTCACAAGAGCAAAGCCATCGAACTAACCCAAATGGCCATCAATGATAGACTGCATAAAGAAAATGTGGCACATATACACCACGGAATACTATGCAGCCATAAAAAGGAAAGAGATCATGTCCTTTGCAGGGACATGGATGAAGTTGGAAGCCATCATCCTCAACAAACTAACACAGGAACAGAAAACCAAACACTGAATTTTCTCACTCATAAGTGGGAGTTGAAAAATGAGAACACAGGGACACAGCAAGGGGAAGAACACACACCCAGGCCTGTTGGCGGAGTAGGGAGAGGGAGAGCATCAGGACAAACACCTAATGTATGTGAGGCTTAAATCCTAGGTGACAGGTGTAAAGGTGCAGCAAACCACCATGGCACACATATACCTATGTAACAAACGAGCACATTCTGCACATGTATCCCAGAACTTAAAGTAAAATAAAAATAATTATAATAAGATGAAAAATAAAAATAAATTTGTAAAATGCCTTGGTAATTTTGATAACTTTCTTTTTTTATTTTTATTTTTTATTTTTATTTTTTATTATTATACTTTAAGTTTTAGGGTACATGTGCACAATGTGCAGGTTAGTTACATATGTATACATGTGCCATGCTGGTGCGCTGCACCCACTAACTCGTCATCTAGCATTAGGTATATCTCCCAATGCTATCCCCCCCATCCCCACAACAGGCCCCAGAGTGTGATGTTCCCCTTCCTGTGTCCATGTGTTCTCACTGTTCAGTTACCACATATGAGTGAGAATATGCGGTGTTTGGTTTTTTGTTCTTGCGATAGTTTACTGAGAATGATGATTTCCAATTTCATCCATGTCCCTACAAAGGACGTGAACTCATCATTTTTTATGGCTGCATAGTATTCCATGGTGTATATGTGCCACATTTTCTTAATCCAGTCTATCATTGTTGGACATTTGGGTTGGTTCCAAGTCTTTGCTATTGTGAATAATGCCGCAATAAACATACGTGTGCATGTGTCTTTATAGCAGCATGATTTATAGTCCTTTGGGTATATACCCAGTAATGGGATGGCTGGGTCAAATGGTATTTCTAGTTCTAGATCCCTGAGGAATCGCCACACTGACTTCCTCAATGGTTGAACTAGTTTACAGTCCCACCAACAGTGTAAAAGTGTTCCTATTTCTCCACATCCTCTCCAGCACCTGTTATTTCCTGACTTTTTAATGATTGCCATTCTAACTGGTGTGAAATGGTATCTCATTGCGGTTTTGATTTGCATTTCTCTGATGGCCAGTGATGGTGAGCATTTTTTCATGTGTTTTTTGGCTGCATAAATGTCTTCTTTTGAGAAGTGTCTGTTCATGTCCTTCGCCCACTTTTTGATGGGGTTGTTTTTTTTTCTTGTAAATTTGTTTGAGTTCATTGTAGATTCTGGATATTAGCCCTTTGTCAGATGAGTAGGTTGTGAAAATTTTCTCCAATTTTGTATGTTGCCTGTTCACTCTGATGGTAGTTTCTTTTGCTGTGCAGAAGCTCTTTAGTTTCATTAGATCCCATTTGTCAATTTTGGCTTTTGCTGCCATTGCTTTTGGTGTTTTAGACATGAAGTCCTTGCCCATGCCTATGTCCTGAATGGTAAAGCCTAGGTTTTCTTCTAGGGTTTTTATGGTTTTAGGTCTAACGTTTAAGTCTTTAATCCACCTTGAATTGATTTTTGTATAAGGTGTAAGGAAGGGATCCAGTTTCAGCTTTCTACATATGGCTAGCCAGTTTTCCCAGCACCATTTATTAAATAGGGAATCCTTTCCCCATTGCTTGTTTTTCTCAGGTTTGTCAAAGATCAGATAGTTGTAGATATGTGGCATTATTTCTGAGGGCTCTGTTCTGTTCCGTTGATCTATATCTCTGTTTTGGTACCAGCACCATGCTGTTTTGGTTACTGTAGCTTTGTAGTATAGTTTGAAGTCAGGTAGTGTGATGCCTCCAGCTTTGTTCTTTTGGCTTAGGATTGCCTTGGCAATGCGGGCTCTTTTTTGGTTCCATATGAACTTTAAAGTAGTTTTTTCCAATTCTGTGAAGAAAGTCATTGGTAGCTTGATGGGGATGGCATTGAATCTGTAAATTACCTTGGGCAGTATGGCCATTTTCATGATATTGATTCTTCCTACCCATGAGCATGGAATGTTCTTCCATTTGTTTTTATCCTCTTTTATTTCCTTGAGCAGTGGTTTGTAGTTCTCTTTGAAGAGGTCCTTCACATCCCTTGTAAGTTGGATTCCTATGTATTTTATTCTCTTTGAAGCAATTGTGAATGGGAGTTCACTCATGATTTGGCTCTCTGTCTGTTGTTGGTGTATAAGAATGCTTGTGATTTTTGTACATTGATTTTGTATCCTGAGAATTTGCTGAAGTTGCTTATCAGCTTAAGGAGATTTTGGGCTGAGACGATGGGGTTTTCTAGATATACAATCATGTCATCTGCAAACAGGGACAATTTGACTTCCTCTTTCTATTTGAATACCCTTTATTTCCTTCTCCTGCCTAATTGCCCTGGCCAGAACTTCCAACACTATGTTGAATAGGAGTGGTGAGAGAGGGCATCCCTGTCTTGTGCCAGTTTTCAAAGGGAATGCTTCCAGTTTTTGCCCATCCAGTATGATATTGGCTGTGGGTTTGTCATAGATAGCTCTTATTATTTTGAAATACGTCCCATCAATACGTAATTTATTGAGAGTTTTTAGCATGAAGGGTTGTTGAATTTTGTCAAAGGCCTTTTCTGCATCTATTGAGATAATCATGTGGTTTTTGTCTTTGGTTCTGTTTATATGCTGGATTACATTTATTGATTTGCATATATTGAACCAGCCTTGCATCCCAGGGATGAAGCCCACATGATCATGGTGGATAAGCTTTTTGATGTGCTGCTGGATTTGGTTTGCTGGTATTTTATTGAGGATTTTTGCATCAATGTTCATCAAGGATATTGGTCTAAAATTCTCTTTTTTCATTGTGTATCTGCCTGGCTTTGGTATCAGGATGATGCTGGCCTCATAAAATGAGTTAGGGAGGATTCCCTCTTTTTCTATTGATTGGAATAGTTTCAGAAGGAATGGTACCAGTTCCTCCTTGTACCTCTGGTAGAATTCAGCTGTGAATCCATCTGGTCCTGGACTCTTTTTGGTTGGTAAGCTATTGATTATTGCCACAATTTCAGATCCTGTTATTGGTCTATTCAGAAATTCAACTTCTTCCTGTTTTAGTCTTGGGAGAGTGTATGTGTCGAGGAATTCATCCATTTCTTCTAGATTTTCTAGTTTATTTGCATAGAGGTGTTTGTAGTATTCTCTGATGGTAGTTTGTATTTCTGTGGGATCGGTGGTGATATCCCCTTTATCATTTTTTATTGCGTCTATTTGATTCTTCTCTCTTTTTTTCTTTATTAGTCTTGCTAGTGGTTTATCAATTTTGTTGATCCTTTCAAAAAACCAGCTCCTGGATTCATTAATTTTTTGAAGGGTTTTTTGTGTCTCTATTTCCTTCAGTTCTGCTCTGATTTTAGTTATTTCTTGCCTTCTGCTAGCTTTTGAATGTGTTTGCTCTTGCTTTTCTAGTTCTTTTAATTGTGATGTTAGGGTGTCAATTTTGGATCTTTCCTGCTTTCTCTTGTGGGCATTTAGTGCTATAAATTTCCCTCTACACACTGCTTTAAATGTGTCCCAGAGATTCTGGTATGTTGTGTCTTTGTTCTCGTTGGTTTCAAAGAACATCTTTATTTGTGCCTTCATTTCGTTATGTGCCCAGTAGTCATTCAGGAGCAGGTTGTTCAGTTTCCATGTAGTTGAGTGGTTTTGAGTGAGATTCTTAATCCTGAGTTCTAGTTTGATTGCACTGTGGTCTGAGAGATAGTTTGTTATAATTTCTGTTCTTTTACATTTGCTGAGGAGAGCTTTACTTCCAATATGTGGTCAATTTTGGAATAGGTGTGGTGTGGTGCTGAAAAAAATGTATATTCTGTTGATTTGGGGTGGAGAGTTCTGTAGATGTCTATTAGGTCCGCTTGGTGCAGAGCTGAGTTCAATTCCTGGGTATCCTTGTTGACTTTCTGTCTCGTTGATCTGTCTAATGTTGACAGTGGGGTGCAGAGCTGAGTTCAATTCCTGGGTATCCTTGTTGACTTTCTGTCTCGTTGATCTGTCTAATGTTGACAGTGGGGTGTTAAAGTCTCCCATTATTAATGTGTGGGAGTCTAAGTCTCTTTGTAGGTCACTCAGGACTTGCTTTATGAATCTGGGTGCTCCTGTATTGGGTGCATATATATTTAGGATAGTTAGCTCTTCTTGTTGAATTGATCCCTTTACCATTATGTAATGGCCTTCTTTGTCTCTTTTGATCTTTGTTGGTTTAAAGTCCGTTTTATCAGAGACTAGGATTGCAACTCCTGCCTTTTTTTGTTTTCCATTTGCTTGGTAGATCTTCCTCCATCCTTTTATTTTGAGCCTATGTGTGTCTCTGCACATGAGATGGGTTTCCTGAATACAGCACACTGATGGGTCTTGACTCTTTATCCAATTTGCCAGTCTGTGTCTTTTAATTGGAACATTTAGTCCATTTACATTTAAAGTTAATATTGTTATGTGTGAATTTGATCCTGTCATGATGATGTTAGCTGGTTATTCTGCTCGTTAGTTGATGCAGTTTCTTTCTAGTCTCGATGGTCTTTACATTTTGGCATGATTTTGCAGTGGCTGGTACCAGTTGTCCCTTTCCATGTTTAGCGCTTCCTTCAGGAGCTCTTTTAGGGCAGGCCTGGTGGTGACGAAATCTCTCAGCATTTGCTTGTCTGTAAAGTATTTTATTTCTCCTTCACTTATGAAGCTTCGTTTGGCTGGATATGAAATTCTGGGTTGAAAATTCTTTTCTTTAAGAATGTTGAATATTGGCCCCCACTCTCTTCTGGCTTGTAGAGTTTCTGCCAAGAGATCCGCTGTTACTCTGATGGGCTTCCCTTTGAGGGTAACTCGACCTTTCTCTCTGACTGCCCTTAACATTTTTTCCTTCATTTCAACTTTGGTGAATCTGACAATTATGTGTCTTGGAGTTGCTCTTCTCGAGGAGTATCTTTGTGGTGTTCTCTGTATTTCCTGAATCTGAATGTTGGCCTGCCTTGCTAAATTGGGGAAGTTCTCCTGGATAATATCCTGCAGAGTGTTTTCCAATTTGGTTCCATTCTCCCCGTCACTTACAGGTACACCAATCAGACGTGGATTTGGTCTTTTCACATAGTCCCATATTTCTTGGAGGCTTTGCTCGTTTCTTTTTATTCTTTTTTCTCTAAACTTCCCTTCTTGCTTCATTTCATTCATTTCATCTTCCATTGCTGATACCCTTTCTTCCAGTTGATCGCATCGGCTCCTGAGGCTTCTGCATTCTTCACGTAGTTCTTGAGCCTTGGTTTTCAGCTCCATCAACTCCTTTAAGCACTTCTCTGTATTGGTTATTCTAGTTATACATTCTTCTAAATTTTTTTCAAAGTTTTCAACTTCTTTGCCTTTGGTTTGAATGTCCTCTCGTAGCTCGGAGTAATTTGATCATCTGAAGCCTTCTTCTCTCAGCTCGTCAAAGTCATTCTCCGTCCAGCTCTGTTCCGTTGCTGGTGAGGAACTGTGTCCCTTGGGAGGAGGAGAGCTGCTCTGCTTTTTAGAGTTTCCAGTTTTTCTGCTCTGTTTTTTCCCCATCTTTGTGGTTTTATCTACTTTTGGTCTTTGATGATGGCGACGTACAGATGGGTTTTTGGTGTGGATGTCCTTTCTGTTTGTTAGTTTTCCTTCTAACAGACAGGACCCTCAGCTGCAGGTCTGTTGGAGTACCCGGCCGTGTGAGGTGTCAGTCTGCCCCTGCTGGGGGGTGCCTCCCAGTTAGGCTGCTCGGAGGTCAGGGGTCAGGGACCCACTTGAGGAGGCAGTCTGCCCGTTCTCAGATCTCCAGCTGCATGCTGGGAGAACCACTGCTCTCTTCAAAGCTGTCAGACAGGGACATTTAAGTCTGCAGAGGTTACTGCTGTCTTTTTGTTTGTCTGTGCCCTGCCCCCAGAGGTGGAGCCTACAGAGGCAGGCAGGCCTCCTTGAGCTGTGGTGGGCTCCACCCAGTTCGAGCTTCCTGGCTGCTTTGTTTACCTAAGCAAGCCTGGGCAATGGCGGGTGCCCCTCCCCCAGCCTCGCTGCCGCCTTGCAGTTTGATCTTAGACTGCTGTGCTAGCAATCAGCGAGACTCTGTGGGCGTAGGACCCTCTGAGCCAGGTGCCGGATATAATCTCCAGGTGCGCCGTTTTTTAAGCCCGTCGGAAAAGCGCAGTATTCTGGTGGGAGTGACCCGATTTTCCAGGTGCCTTCTGTCACCCCTTTCTTTGACTAGGAAAGGGAACTCCCTGAGCCCTTGCGCTTCCCGAGTGAGGCAATGCCTCGCCCTGCTTCAGCTCGCGCACGGTGCGCCCACCCACTGACCTGCGCCCACTGTCTGGCACTCCCTAGTGAGATGAACCCGGTACCTCAGATGGAAATGCAGAAATCACCCGTCTTCTGCGTGGCTCACGCTGGGAGCTGTAGACCGGAGCTGTTCCTATTCGGCCATCTTGGCTCCTCTTGGTAATTTGGATAACTTTCAAGAACTTTTGCTTCATTGTTTTATTTCTACCAGCATCACTCTGCTTTATATAAGATAGTTTTAGAATGCATTATAATATTGGGTAGAAATCTTCTGGTAGTCTGTTTTATTTTTTAAAAAAATTATGAGCAATTTTTGCAGGTGTAATTTTTCAGATGACAAATAATCATGTTCAAAAACATCATTTAAATTATAGATAGAATTGTGCTAAGTTTACAAATGGTAATTAGGACCATTTAATAACAACATTAAACACTGAACAGCCAATTGAATTCAAATATACTAAAATGCCATACTGACCTAACGTGAAAACAGGACATAAACCAACCTTGAACTTAGATTTTTTTTTTTGTCAACTTGGGGCCTCTCCTGATAACCCTTATCTAAGAGCAGTACAGGCCACCAGTACTGTTCTTTTTCTGTGATAATGATCTCCACTAATTGCCTTCATCATTCTTGTCATAAACTCTGGTCACTTTGGTCAGTGGCTGTCTTCACTGCTTCTTTTTGTTCTGCCATTTTATCCCTCATTTGGCATAGACGTGGCATACATAGATTTCAAATAAATGTTATGTGATATTAAGTAAATAAATCAGGGTACCTATTTTTCTAAATACTGAAGGGTTCATACCATGTTTTAAACAGGCAAGATAGATATTGTTTGTATTCCATTGTCATGTGGTTTGCCCAGGAATTTGGGTTTGTGAGGGAACTTAGAGAACATGGATTTTAATTAGATAATTGACATGAGGAGCCTGGGGAGATGCAGCATAGTGGAAGGAGTCCTCATTTGCTGTCTGAGGTTGGTACAAATGTTGAACAGGACTGACACTGACAAACCATCAAGAAACGATGAGTTTCCCTATGTTATTATAATCAGGTCTTTAGAAGTCAAAGCCAGCCAGACATTCATTCAACTACAGATAACATTGATTTGTTTCCCATTTTTGTTTCCAATTTTTACTTTAAATATCTTATATCGGCCACCCTCTTCAGCTTGCTTCTGTTCCCTCCATTGCCTGTTGCTTAAACGCCACTGCTACATAATACATTGCCTGCCTTCGGAGAGCAGGCAATTTGCCATTGCAGCTTGCACTTGGTTTAGAGGCTAATGTTTTGTAGTATTGCTAATTACACATCTTTCTCTTCCTCTAGGCTTAAAATTTCTCAAGAATATAGTATAATTATAAAAGCACAGAAAAAGGGCTTATGTCCGTGTCCGAAATACCCCTTTGAACGACTGAATCATTAACTTTCTGGCTCGCTTTTGGGCTACAGATTCCCTCCTTTTTCTGGTACCTGGAGATTACACTTTATTTCTGCTAGATCAGTTATGCATTTTTGCATGTTTTTATAATATACTAAATAAGTATATCTATTTGTTGTGGAATGAAATGTATGTTAGTTAAGTTTTGAATGAGAAGTTGGGTGTTGAATTTTATCAATTGTCTTTTGGGCATCTATATGAATGATTGATTTCTTCTCACTTACTCTATTAACCAAGAAATGTACAAAAATAAAAATCCTGATAATAAAACATGGAAAGAGAACCAGGAGAGTTGAGCAGGAGTGCAACTTTTATTAATCAGACAAGTCTTCACTGAAAAGGTGATATGTAACTCAAGAATTGAAGAAAATATAAATAGGCATGAAATCCTTGAAGCAAGAGCTTGCTTAGTATGTTAAAGGAAGGGCAAAAACCAGCCGGGCTGAAACCGAGTGACCATAAAAGAGTAATAGAAAGTGAGGTCACAGAAGTAGGAGATGGAGAACAAACTGGGTTTTGTCTCTCCAAAAGTGATGTCCATCCAGAACCTCAGAATATGTCTTTATTTGGAATTATACAATATTTGTCCTTTTGTGTCTGGTTTATTTCACTTTGCATAGCATCTTTAAGGTTCATCAGTGTTGCAGCAGATGTCAGAATTTAATTTCTTTTTAATTTTTTCACAGACAATTTTTTAGGTTCATAGCAAAACTGAAAAAAAGGCACAGAGATTTCCCATATACCCCTAGCCTCTACCCATGCACAGCCTCCCCTACTATCAATATTCCATACTAGAGTGGTGCATTTGTTACAAATGATGGACCTACACTGAACCATCATGATCACCCAAAGTCCATTGTTACATTAGCATTCACTGTTAGTACTGTACATTTTATAGTTTCAGACAATTGTATAATAACATGTATGCATCATTATACTATCATACAGGATAGTTTCACTTCCCTAAAAATCCTCTGTGCTCCAACTGTTGATCTCTCCCTACCCCCATTTCATTATTTTTAAGGATGAATAATATTCCATTGTATGAAATACATCACATTTTGTTTATCTGTTCATCATTTGATGGGCATTCGGACTGTTTCCACTTCTTGGCTATTATGAATAATGCTGCTAAGAACATTGGTGTGTAAGTTTTGTGTGGACCTATGTTTTCATTTCTCTTGGGTATGTACTGAGGAGTAGAATTGCTGGGTCTAATCTTAATTGGATGAGACTCTTTTCCAAAGTGACTGTCATTTTACATTCTCAGAAACAATGTATGAGGTTCCCATTTTTTCACATAGTCATTGATACTTGTGTGTCTTTTAAAAATTTTAGCTGTCCTAGTGGGTGTGAAGTGGTTTTTTTCCTGTGGTTTTGATTGCATTTCCCTGAGGACTAATGATGTTAAACATCTTTTTATGTGCCTATGGCAATTTGCATACCTTCTTTGGAGAAAGTCTATTCAAATCCTTTGTTCAATTTTAAACTGGAAATTTTATCTGTCTGTTGTTGACTTGTAAGAATTCTTTATGCTTGCTCTAATTGTTTTAGATCTTAATGTTATTAATTTTATTTTTTCCAGGGTCAATTCTGCTCATGTTTCATTTTATGTTTTAAAATTTATTTTTCTCCTGTAATTTGTTCTTTTTATATGTCAATTCTCATTTATGTCATCCTGTTGTCTTATATTTATGCCAGGGAATTCATTTTTTCTGTAATTTCTATGAGCAACAATTGTGTGGATTAAAATACACTTTGGGGGAATACAGGTAGCATTTGTCAAAAATGTTTGTCTTTGTTTACTGTTCAAATGTTTTTGATAGGTTCCTAATGTGCTTCCTCAACCTAGTTCAAATTGTACTATTGACAGTTAATATTTTCTGGAGTTTGAGGTATGAACTTAGCTCTTATCCCAATTTTAGTGTGCATGAATTATCTTCTCCTTTTTTGTTTACTTTCTTTCTTTTCACTGGATTTGAAGGTGTGTAGGGGTCGGGGTGGAGACACATTCTGCTTTTTCTCCAAATCTGCTAGTACTTATGAATGAACAGCAGCTACAATAGCATACTATTATCTAGAGAGCATTGTGGATTAGGTCAACAGCAAAATAAATTTGATACCGTCAACCCTTTTAGTACCTGGGTTGTTTTCTAAAACCAAGAAGGTCTTCCAGATTCCCATCTGCCTTCATGGGCATGCAACAGTAAACCAAGGCCAGCCAGAGAATATGCCTTTAATATAAAGGCATTAATTATAAAACCTCAAAATAAATTGTACCTGTCCAAGACAATTACATAACAGCTCTATTCCGAAAAACGCTAGCTTCATCACCTCTGGTGAAATGCTGGTTTTTCCTTTTGAAAACTCTGCATTTATAGGAGGTCAAGGGTTAACCCAATGCCATAGAGTCAGTGCAGGGAGTGGGAGGAAAGAGACTAGGTTCTTTAATTCTCAGCCCAAGTCTCTAACCGCTAAACCACACTACCATTCCCTCTAATTACCCTTTAGGTAATAAGTGTAAAAATATGTTTTTGAGGTGATGAGATAAAATTAGAAGTTAGGTGATTGGGTTAGTCTTCATCTTCATCTTAGTCACTAAAACAAAAATTCACAATGAATACATGGGACCAAATAGTTTCTTAGCAAAATAGAAAGTTAGTGGAGATTCTAAATAAATTCACACCACAAAACCAAAGAGGCATTTAGGAATTTCCCTAATACCCTCAAAGTGGGACATTTTCTAGTACTTACTGGAAAATGATACAATTAAGAGGATAGAATTTTTTTTTTTCATACACCGAAAACTTTCCTTCCAGAACTTCTTGGCAATTTTATCTTCAGGAAGTATATCTATGCTATTTGGTTTTGTCATTTTGAAATGAAAACTCATTTAATAAATTATGAAGATTTTGTTTTTATTTCTCTGCAATGATCTTAGTAACTACTATCAGGATTACAGGCTAAAATATCTGGAAAAGTTTTTCCCAAATGAGGAAAATGGACACTCTGCAACATGATAGTCATTAACAATCTAAGAGCAGTCTCAGTCGCTTTGTCTTGTAGAAAGTTCTACCATTGTTATCTTGATACAAAGAACCTCACTGCCAACATCAGACTTTGCATTCTAATACCATCACTTGGCTATTAATACAGGTTATCCAGGTAGATCATGCTACATTCAAACCTCAGCTTCGATATTTTTAAGTAGAATTATGAATTCCTGTTCTATCTATGTTACAAATATTACATAAGAATAAAACACTAAGACATGGAAATATGTAAAATTTTGAAAATTCTAAGCTAATCTCTTAAATTTGAATTAAAATCTCTTAAAGGAAGATTATAAAAAAAACCCCTGCAGAATGCTTTGTTGCTTTCTTCTGAAGGCAAAGCATACTAAATTTGGTTAATTGACATGCTTCTCTATCCACTAGAGGGTGGTCTGTTCACCTCCAAATTAGAAATGAAAATATACAGGATGTGGAAAAACATTTTGATCCTAAAGCGAATGTACTCTATTTCATCTTATGTGATTCTATTACTTACTGACCCTATTAACTTTTCTAGTGTTCTTTTCTTTTTCATCCTTTTCATCCCTAAGTTTTTGTTTTGCAATCATAGTTATCGATTAAATTTATATGTACACTGCACATACAGTTGTAAAAAGTAGGTCTGGCCAGGTGCGGTGGCTCACGCCTGTAATCCCAGCACTTCGGGAGGCTGAGGTGGGCAGATCACCTGAGGTCAGGAGTTTGAGACCAGCCTGGCCAACACAATGAAACCCCATCTCTACTAATAATATAAAAAGTAGCCAGACGTGGTGGTGTGCACCTGTAATCCCAGCTACTTCAGTGGCTGAGGCAGGAGAATTCCTTGAGCCTGGGAGGTGCAGGTTGCAGTGGATCACGCCACTGCACTCCAGCCTGGGGTACAGAGTGAGACTCTGTTTCAAAAAAAAAAAAAAGTAGGTCTATAGGAATTTAATGATGTATATTTTAATTTTAACTTAGTTCCTGATTCCAAATGAGTATGGTGTGAGACCAGTGTAATTAATGGGAAGCGATATGTTGTTATCATTAGCAAAGCATGTTACTTTTCAAAAATACAAATCATACTTTATGAATTTGTGAGTGAATGGAGATTGTTCTGAATTACACAGAAACTAAATTATCAAATTTTAATGGTTTTAGAATTGTAGTTTTATTACTTTAAAAATGAATCAGTTGGGCCGGGTGCGGTGGCTCACGCCTGTAATCCCAGCACTTTGGAAGGTGGAGGCGGACGGATCACGAGGTCAGCAGATCGAGACCATCCTGGCTAACACGGTGAAACCCCGTCTCTACTAAAAATACAAAAGCAAAATTAGCCGGGCGTGGTGGCAGGCGCCTATAGTCACAGCTACTCGGGAGGCTGAGGCAGGAGAATGGTGTGAACCTGGGAGGCGGGGCTTGCAGTGAGCTGAGATCGCGCCACTGCACTCCAGCCTGGGCTACAGAGTGAGACTCCATCCAAAAAAAAAAAAAAAAAAAAAAAGACATATAGTATCTAGAGATAAAAATACAGCATTAGAAATAAAAAATATACATAAATATACATAATTGGGTTATTATCAGTTCGATGTTTGATAGCAAAAGTAAAGACCAGTAACCTTGATAATACAGAAATAAAAAACACTAATAGGGAGATGAAAAGAATCAAGACTGCAAAGGAATGAACAGAGCATCAGGAAACTGTGGTACAATATCAGGCAGCCTAAGCAGAGTCCCTGAAAGATGGGATTGTGAACAAAACATATGATAACTTAGGGAAATTTTTCAAAATTTGGAGTGTAAATATAAAATACATTTACCACACTTTAAAATTTATTGTAAGGACAATTTATGGTATAAAGCAAATATAGTAACAATATATTGTGTAACTTATAGCATACATAAAAGTAAAATGTGGGACTAAATAGTTTAAAAAAGAAGAGAATATAGAAATAAAAGAACGCCATTGTAGGACTCCTACAATATATGTGAAGTGTTATAGTATTATTTGAACATAGGCAGTTACAAGTTTAAAAAAATAGGAATTGCAAGTTCAAGAATAACCACTACAAAATAAAACAAAGAGGGACAACTTATATACTATTAGGAGTGATAAGGCAATAATAAGTTTTAAAGTGTTCAGTCTAAAATAAAGTGAGAAAAAAAGAACAAAAAGCAAGATGGTAGATTGAAGCATAATCAGATCAATAATTCCATTTAATCTAAATGGTCTAAACACAAGTAAAAAGCAAATTATCATACTGGATATAAATGGCAAGATCAACCAGGACCATCTATAAGAAACACATTAAAAATAAAAGCACACATAGGTTAAAAGTTTATAAAGTTGAGAAAACCTACGTCATGCAGACATTAACCAAAAGGAAGCTGAAGTAGGTATGTTGATCAGAGAGAGAACATTTTAGAACTAGATACATTATGATGAATAAAGACACTTATTTCTTAATGACAAAGGAGTGAACTCATCAAGAAGACATAATAGTCCTAAATACACATGGATTAAATTATAGGGCTTCAAAATATATGAAGCAAAACTGAAAGCACTGAAAAGAGAAATAGACAAATCCAGAATTATTTTGCCTTATGCCTAATTAAAATAATTCTACAGAAAATTAGTAAGGATAAAGAAGACTTGAATAATATATCAACCAATGTAAACTGATTAATATCTATAGAATGCTGCTCTCAGCAACAGCAAAATATGTTATTTAAAAATATACAGGGAACATTCACAAAATAGACCATGTCTGGGGCCACAAAATTAGTTTCAATGCATATAAGAGAATTTATATCATATAAAATATGTTATCAGATTACAACAGAATTAAGGTAGAGACAAATAACAGAAAAATATCTGGAAATTTTTCAAATGTTTGGAAATTAAGCAACACATTTCTAAATAAATCATGAGTCAAAAGGAAATTGCAAATGAATTAAAAATATTTTAGTTTAATGAAAATTAAAATGCAACATGTACAAATATGTGCTATACAACTGACTGTACTCTGGGGGAAATTCTAGTATGAAATTACAATAACAGATTAAAGTCTCAAAACATGAATTAACATTCAGCCTTAAAAAGTTAGATCAAGAAGAGTAAATTAAATCTGAAGTTGTCAGAACAAAGTAAATAATAAAAAAGGAAAGGCCGGGCTCAGTGGCTCACGCCTGTAATCCCAGCACTTTGGGAGGCCGAGGCTCACCTGAGGTTCGGAGCTCGAGACCAGCCTGACCAACATGGAGAAACCCCGTCTCTACTAAAAATGCAAAACTGGCCATTCGTGGTGTCGCATGCCTGTAGTCCCAGCTACTCCGATGGCTGAGGCGGGAGAATGGCTTGAATCCGGGAGACGGAGGTTGCTGTGAGCCGAGACCAGGCCATTGCACTCCAGCCTGGGCAACAAGAGTGAAACTCTGTCTCAAAAAAAAAAAAAAAAAAAAAAAAGGAAAAAAATTAAAATACTGGAAACATAAATAACATCAAATGTTGGTTCTTTGAAAACATTTAAAAAATTGATAATCATATTTTCAGACTAATCAGAAAAAAATATAAACATCAAGAATAAAATAACAGCATCATGACATCTCCTACAGACATATCCTACAATATGAAAATATGATAAATGACTTCCTGGCAAAAAATGCAATACCTTAGATTAAACAATTTCTTTGAAAAATGCCAAGTGCTGAAGTTCAATAAAGAAGAAAGAGATAACATGAATCAAGCCTTCTTTATTGAATGTGTTGTGTAAAGTATTTAAAAAATTTCACAAAGAATATTCTAGGCCCAGATGGATTCTTAAGCAATTCTATAAAATATTTAAGAGGAAATTATACCAATTTTACAAACACCTTTTCCAGAAAAATGAAGTAGAGGGAATTGATCACAAGTAATTTTAGAAGACTAGCATTATCCTGATATCAAAACTAGGTTAAAATATTAGTAAAAACTACAAATCAATATTTCCCATAACTGTAGACACATATATTCTCAGCAAAGTTGTAGCTGATCAAACCTGGCAATGATTAAAATGAATACAGCATAATCAAGTGGGATTCATCCCAGAAATAAAAGAGTGGTGTAACATTTCAAAATCTGTCAAGTTAATTTACCATATTAACAAGAAATATTTTCCTTTTACTTTTAGTTGACACATGATAATTGTACATATTTATCAGCTACCGAGTGATATTTTGATACATGCACACAACATGTAATGATCAAATCAGAGTAATTAACATATCATCACCCTAAACATTTACTATTTCTTTGCATTGCAAATATTGAAAATCCTCTCTTCTAACATTTTGAAAATATACAATAAATTATAGTTGTTCATATTCAGCCTCCAGTGCTACAGAACACCAGAACTCATTCCCCGTCTACCTGTGATTTTACAGCCGTTAACAAACATCACCCAATCTTCCCATCCCTTTTACCATTCTTAGCCTTCAATACCCACAATTCTACTCTCTACTTCCATGAGCTCAAAATTATTTTGTAGCCCACACATATGAGTAAGAACATGTGGTATTCATTTTTCTGTGCCTGACTTATTTTGCTTAACATAATGTCCTCCAGGCTCATCGATATTGCTAGGGAAGTTAGGATTTCATTCTTTTTATGGCTGAATAGTGTTCCATTGTGTATATATAATCACATTTTCTTTATTCATTTATCTGTGATAGATATTTAGGTAGATTCCATATATTAGCTATTGTGAATAATGCTGCAGTAGACATGGAGTGCAGGTCTTGTTTTGATATAATTATTTCCTTTCCTTTGGATAAATACCCAGTAGTTGGGTTGCTGGATCATATGGTACTTCTATTTTTAGTTTTTTGAGAAACTTCCATACTTTTTTCCATAATGGCTGTACTAATTTACATTTCCACCCACAGTGTATAAAGATTGGTTTAACATGCAAACATCTATCAAATTAATTTGCCATATTAGTGAACCAAAATTAAAAGGAATAATAATCTCAATAAATGCATAAAATACATAAAAATTAACACACATCTATGATAATAACCACCAGCAAACTAGGAATAGAAGGAACCTTTCATCTGATAAACAGCACCTATGAAAACTAAAGAGTTAACCCCTATATAATGATGAAAGTCAGAATGCTTCCTCTCCACCACCCCCAAGATCCAGAACAAAGCCAGAATATTCACAGTCATCACTTTAATTCAAAAGGAAGTATGACTTAGTAAATTAAGAAAGCAAATTTTAAATAAATATTTATTAAAAAGGAATAAGTAAAACTTTTTTATTCACCAATGACATGATCATCTATGTGGAAAATCCTAGGAAATCTACAAAATTGCTTCTAGAACAAGCACATTGGTTTAGCAAGTTACAATTGCAATGCCACTATGCAAAAATGAATTGTATTTCTGTATAATGATAATATATTATCAGAATTTGGTATTTGAATAGATACTTCACCAAAGAAAACACTCAGATGGAAAATAAGCACATGAAAAGATGCTCACTAATATCATCAGTCATTAGGAAAATGCAAATCAGTACCATAACGGGTACATACTCACAAAAATGTCTAAAATATGACTGATGATATCAAGTGTTATTAAGGAGGATGTTGAGTAACTGGCGCTCATACTTTGCTGGTAGTAATGTTGTTTCTTATAGAAATTTTATTTACCAGGTGACCCAACAATTCCAGTAGGTATATACCAAACTTAAACAAATTTACAAGTAAAAAACAACCCCATCAAAAAGTGGGCAAAGCATATGAACAGACACTTCTCAAAAGAAGACATTTATGTGGCCAACAAACATATGAGAAAAAGCTCATCATCACTGGTCATTAGAGAAATGCAAATCAAAACCACAATGAGATACTATCTCACACCAGTTAGAATGGCCATCGTTAAACAATCAGGAAATAACAGATGCTGGAGAGGATGTGGAGAAATAGGAATGCTTTTACACTGTTGGTAGGAGTGTAAATTAGTTCAACCATTGTGGAAGACAGTGTGGCAATTCCTCAGGGATCTAGAACTAGAAATACCATTTGACCCAGCAATCTCATTACTATGTATATACCGAAAGGATTATAAATCATGCTACTATAAAGACACATGCACATGTATGTTTACTGCAGCACTATTCACAATAGCAAAGACTTGGAACCAACCCAAATGCCCATCAATGATAGACTGGATAAAGACAATGTGGCACATATACACCATGGAATACTATTCAGCCATAAAAAAGGATGAGTTCTTGTCCTTTGCAGGGACACGGATGAAGCTGGAAACCATCATTCTCAGCAAAGCAACACAAGAACAGAAAGCCAAACACCACATGTTCTCACTCATAAGTGGCTGTTGAACAATGAGAACACATGGATACAGGGAGGGGAACATCACACACTGGGGCCTGTTGGGGGCTGGGGCGCTGGGGTAGGGATAGCATTAGGAGAAATAACTAATGTAGATGATGGGTTGATGGGTGCAGCAAACCACCATGGCACGTGTATACCTATGTAACAAACCTGCACATTCTGCACATGTATCCCAGAACTTAAAGTATAATAATAATGTAAAAAAAAACCAGAAATGTGTGAAAATTTACATATATTTTGTCTACACATACTCTATGTTCTATTATTTTTGTTTCAAGTGGTTTGAATCTGTTTTTATCTTCTTTCACATTTATTTTCTTCACAAATAGACACTTTTATACTTACAAAATATCAGTTTTAATCCTGATAATATCTGCTTTTCCAAAACTAACTTTTATGACATTTATGTAGCCACCTTAGCTTTTATTTGGTGTTTGTATATCTTTTGACATTATCTGACTCATAATCAATCTAGGGTTGTATATTTAAATTTTTTTTAATTTTTATAGACAGCATATGGTTAGAGCCTTTTTTTTATTCATTCTGACAATCTCTGCTTTTTAATTATAGTGTTTGGCCATTTACATTTAATGTGTTTTTCAATATGGTTGGGTTTAAATTTATCATCTTGCTATTTGTTTTCTACTAGTTCTATAATACTTTATTCCTTTTTTCTTATTTTCCCTTAGCTTTTTTTCCTTGAATATTTTTGGCATCCATCTTATCTTATTAACTTTTTAGATCTTCATATCATTTTCAGTGGTTTAATTCTTCAAATGTAATTTTAGCTTGCCACATTCCACCTTCATATAATGTTATACCACATCACATATAACTAACTTTTATATATTACATATTGCATACAGACTGTATGATATTGTCCTTGCTCTAACGAATTCCATTCAAAAATATTTTCCAAATTTAAAAGATTTTGTATTATTCCACCTAATTACAATTTCTATTTCTCTTCATTCTTTGAGTAGACACATATTTGTGTTGCTGTTATGTTTTAATCTGAAATCATTGTAAGAGATTTAGCTTACTTGTCCAGAAATATTTATAAGTACATATATAAGGGTATTTGCTTCTGTGTTTATTGTGAAAGTATATATTAAACATGTGAATTTTCCCTCAAAACAGTAATAAGTAACTAGTTACAATTAGTTACAGTTTCAAGTAAACCAGTTATTAATATGTAGAAAAGAGTGTCAGTCCAGACATGTTACATAGTGAATTGCATACCTTAAACGTTTGCTTCAAAAGATAATATCTAGTCTGCTTTATCTGCTTGGCATGGCCCTGACAGCAAAAGTCTTTAACATTAAGGAATCCATTATTATAATAAATGTGCAGAATCAAAAGAACGTCCACTGAAAAATTATGGCTGTAGCTGATAATAAAACTATTATGAATTTCACCATGACTTTAGTATAATTGCAACCAGGATACTAGCTTTTATAATACATTTGAACCCTATAAATTTTTTAAAAGATATTTTTGTTTGTTTCACTGAAAGTGTGTCACCATCTAACATTGATCAAAATAATGAGGCACAGTCACATATGTTACAAAATGTAGACCTTTTTTTTTCCTGTTACTTAAGGCGAGGACAGAGTGTGAGAGCTGGTAGTGGTCAGCTTTATGCTATTAGAGTAAACTGGTAGAGCTGTCCTTCACAATTTATTCAAACATCTGGCTACCACAGTTAAATAGGTTAGGGAAGAGCATATGGTTCTCATTTAGAACACTGCAAATATCATCCTGATGGAGACTAAAATGTTAAGAAAGGGCAATACTGTTTTGATTATAATCTCAGACAGGAAGAAAAAAACCTGCATGTTAAGCTAAGAATCCCAGTATCTTATAAAAGTTTATATTCTGTGTTGTGTTGTTATTTTGATTTTTACATTAAAGGACAGTCCATTAATACAGGAGGATAACAGTTGACTTTTTTGTGCTTTTCAAATAAAATGATAGCCAAAAAATAAAAAAAGGAGAAAATTATAAACTTTAGGAACTTTTGCTTTTAATAACAATGTTTATTTGGAATTTCAAAGTTACATTTTTATATATTAATCCTATTGATTAGGAATACAGGTGTATGTATTTTCCAATTAGATTGTAGTTAAATAGCAGGCTTCTATCTCTGTAAAACAGATGAAAGGGCTGTTAGGTTAATCCAGCTGCTTAAAATGTGTGTTGTATTTGACCATTTGCCAAAAAAAACCTGTGGCTACATGAGCCAGCTGGCATGAGTTGGAGGGTGGGAATCTCTCAGCTGATTATGACCATGGCTGAGGACATTTTTATAAATTCTACTTTCAAAATGACAGTGAAAAACTGTACCTTGGCTGCCCTACAATTTTGCCAAGCAATGATATCTTCAGAAATTATTTACCTTTTAAAATATACCTTCCCACTTATATTACTTGAACCCCTAAACAGGTCATTTACTTATATTCAAAAAGTAAGAGAAAAAAATTTTTTAAGATGTATTAAAATTTAGGAGCCCGGGATTTCACTTTCTATATTTTGTCATATTTCCTACATAAAAAAGGGGGAAAATTAACTTTAAAATAAGTAACTCAATAAGGATATTTATGTCAAAAAATCAATACCTCATTGTGTAATTTTATGATATTATTTTATTATTTGTTATTAGAGACCATAGCTAAGCAGAGTTGCTTAATTTTTAAAAATTGTTCTCATCATTTGAGTTATTATATATAATATTATAAGAACCCATGTTTTTAACCATCAAGAAAACCTTAAGTTACTTCTATACATTGACTCATCTGCACATGTATTTATGTGTGTGTGTAGGTGTGTGTGTGTGTGTCTCCCAGGTGTGAGGCCCACCACACTAACAAGTCCCAAGGTACACTCTTCCTTTGATTATTTTTTTTTCCCCAGCTAGTACTTGCTACAGCAACATGTCTGAGTGGCCATTTGAGTTATCTGAGAAGCTGTCAAAAGGCTGAGAAGATTTGGGAAGATTTCAAAAACCTGGCTGAGCCTGCTTTCTCAAGAATAATACTTTATGACACTTTTATTCTCAATCCCAAACCTCAGACGTTTGATTTTTTTTTTCACTGTTGAAATAGTGGCAACAAGAAGGATAGGTGGAATTAGGATACTTCAAGAACATAAAAATCACAGAACGTTTCAGCTTTCACTGAATTGCAGACATTTATATTTTCAAATTATAACGTGATAGATGGAGTCTGGTTTCACTATAACAGAATATAAAAGAGAAATCTCCATTAATGACACATGGTTTCTAGTAGTCCACTTATAGGAATATTTAACTTTATTCATATTTATTTTTATGTATTTACATTATTTTAATAGGTAATGCAATTACATCTTCTAAAATTCAGAAAGCATAAAATACATAAGAGAAAAACTCATCATCCAGCCCTATCTCAGGTTGCCCTTGAGGACGCTAGTTTCTGAACCCACACAGCTAAACCTTGTTACAAATTACTTGGGTGTATTACCTGGCATTGCCAGGTTTAACAAATAAAAACATAGGATTCCTGATTAAGTTTAATTTTCAGATAAATAATTAATGCTTTTTAAGTAGAAGTATTTCCCAAATATTACAAGAGACATGCATATATTTAAAAATTATTGTTTGATATCCAAATTTAACTATGCGTCCTATATTTTGTCTGGCAACCCTAATCCTTCCCCAGGTTCTTATGCAAATAGAGAAAATATGCACTCTTTTATTATCCTCCGTCCCTTTCTTTTACAGAAATGATAGAATGCTTTATTTAGTATTCTGCACCTGTTTTTAGTTAACCACACTTTTGGGGATTGTTCTGTATCATAAAAGATATTTCTCTTTTTTACCATAATGTATTTCATTAAACCCTCTTGATGTATTCACAGGTTAGGTCCCATATTTTGCTCTTCTTTTTTTTTTTTTTTTTTGAGACGGAGTCTCGCTCTGTCTCCCAGGCTGGAATGCAGTGGCGCGATCTCGGCTCACTGCAAGCTCCGCCTCCCGGGTTCACGCCATTCTCCTGCCTCAGCCTCCCGTGTAGCTGGGACTACAAGCGCCCGCCACCACGCCCGGCTAATTTTTTGTATTTTTAGTAGAGACGGGGTTTCACCGTGTTAGCCAGGATGGTCTCGATCTCCTGACCTCGTGATCCGCCCGCCTCGGCCTCCCAAAGTGCTGGGATTACAGGCGTGAGCCACCGCGCCCGGCCCATATTTTGCTCTTCTAATCAATGTCACAATGAAGAATCTGTCATAAATTCCCAGAAATGGCATTACTATGTCGAAGGGAGAAGTGTATATATAATTTTAGTAGATGTTGCAAATCGTCCTCCATAATGGTTATAACAATTACTATCCAATCAGCAAAGGGTGACAGTGCTTATTTTGATCACAATTTACTAACACTGTGTTACCAATCTTTGGATTTTGTTGTCAATCTGCGAGATAAAAAATGGTGTTTTAGTTTAATTCTATTTAGTTGTATTTTGCATTTATCTTTTAATGAGTAAAACTGAGAATTATTTTTATATGTTTATAAACTGTTTATATTTTTTCTTTAATTTTCTAGTTATACTCATTGCAGTGGTTCTACTGTGGTCAGTGTGTTTCTTCTAAAGTTCTTTGAGCTCTTTGCATATTAAGGATGTTGACTCTTTGTGATGTAAATGGCCAATAGCTTTCCTAGTTTTTCATCTCCCTTTTCACTTCACTTGTGAATTTTTAAATGGATTCATTTTTATCATTCTTTTAGCTTATGACTTCTGCGTGTCGAACCAAAGTCAGAAAAGCCTTTCCCACTTAAAGACTATAAAGGAACTCACTGTTTTTTATTTTTGTACCTTGCTAGTTTGAATTTTTTGTTTTATATTTAAATCCTTGATCATCTTGGTGTTTGCTATTGTCTGTGAATGCAACTTTACCTTTTTTGGGTAACTTCACAGTCGTTCCTATTCTATTTATTTGAACATCTGTTATTGTTTGTGCTGATTTGAGATCCTTCCTTCATTGTACATTAAATTCCCTTCTGTATTTGTGTCTATTTTAAAACTCTAAACTGTTCCCTTAGCATTTATTTGCCTATAGCACAACAGTATCTGACTGAATTTATTATCTAGGTTTTGTACCCTAAAATAACCAGAAAAAAAATCTCACTTTCATATTTCCCCATGATTTGCTGCAGGCTGAGAAACCGTATTGAAATCTTGCACGCTAATGTGTTCCATCTGATTCTCCTGGTATCAACTATAGTTTTGTTTTTAAACATCGTTTTTATATTTTGTGATGTATGGCCTATTCTCATATCCTCATTTGAATTTCACCCTTCAGCATTAAAAATTCCTCTCTTTTCTTTTTTTCTTTCTACTGTGTTCGTAACCTGAATTTCACTGGGTCACTTAATAAGACGACACACCTCTGCTTCGTTCTTTTTGTTGTTGTTGTTGTGTTTTTGTTTTGTTTTGTTTTGTTTTGAGACAGGGTCTCGCTCTGTCGCCTAGGCTGGAGTGCAGTGGCATGATCTCAGCTCACTGCAACCTCCGTCTCCCAGGTTCAAGCGATTCTCCTGCCTCAGTCTACCGAGTAGCTGGGATTACAGGCATGCGCCACCATGCCCAACTAATTTTTATATGTTTAGTAGAGACAGGGTTTCACCATGTTGGACAGGCTGGTCTCGAACTCCTGGCCTCAGGTTGGTCTCGAACTCCTGGCCTCAGGTGATCCACCCGCCTGAGCCTCCCAAAGTGCTGGCATTACAGGCATGAGCCACTGCACCCAGCCTGCTTTGTTTCTATTGCATTTGTCTTGTGTAACTTTGCCCATCTTTTCATTTTCAATCTTTCTAATGACTTTGATTTATAAAATTACTCATTAAAAATCAATTTTCTTTAACATGTGGATGTGTCTTCTTTAGCTTATGTATATTATGGCCATTACTGTTGTGTTTTCGTTTTAGATTTCTATTTATAATCTTAAAAATTTGTCAAAATTGATGGGGTACTTGAGAAACTTTTTACGTGTATATAATATGTGGTGGTCAAGACAGGGTACTCAGGGTTTTCATCATCTAAGTCCAATTTTTCTTTTTTTCTTTCTTTTTTTTTTTTTTGAGACAGAGTCTTCTCTCTATCGCCTGGGTTGGAGTGCAGTAGCATGATCTCTCACTGCAAGCTCCACTTCCTGAGTTCATGCCATTCTCCTGCCTCAGCCTCCCGAGTAGCTGGGACTACAGGCGCCTGCCACCATACCCGGCTAATTTTTTGTATTTTTTAGTAGAGACGGGGTTTCACCGTGTTAGCCAGGATGGTCTCCATCTTCTGACCTCGTGATCCACCCACCTGGGCCTCCCAAAGTGCCGGGATTACAGGAGTGAGCCACCACGCCCGGCCCAATTTTTTTTTTAAGTATTGTTCTACTCTGCTGTCAAACATTGAATTTATTTTATACCATTTTATAATGTGATCTCTTTCTTCTCTTTGATTTTTTTCTTTATAGGGTCTTGATATTTTGGAAAGTCTATATTTTTGTCCTAGTGGCAACTGTTATTATATTTATACTATATAAAATATTTTTAATTATGCTTTCTTATTTTCTGAACTATAAGCATTTCTAAAAGTACCACATTCCATATTCCTTCTCCTCCTCCTGTCCTCTATCACCTAATTTTACACAAAAATATCTCGCTGCCCACAATGGCTCACACCTGTAGTCCCAGCACTTTGGGAGGCTGAGGCGCGCGGATCACCTGAGGTCAGGAGTTCGAGACCAGCCTGGCCAACATTGCAAAACCCCGTCTCTACTAAAAATACAAAAATTAGCTGGGCATGGTAGTGCGCGCCTGTAATCCCAGCTACTCATGATGCTGAGGAAAGAGAATCACTTGAACCCGGGAGGTGGAGGTTGCAGTGAGCCGAGATCGCACCACTGCACTCCAGCCTCGGCAACAGAGTGAGACTCTGTGTCAAAAAAAAAAAAAAAATGTGCATATACACACACACACACACACACACACACACACACATAATCTCTTTAATCTCTTTCAGTGTCTACCCTTTTACTTCTATTACGTGACTTCAGCATTATATTATCTATGATCTTTATCACTCAGCTTTAGAGGTGAGACCATCTCTACTTCTCAATATCTTTGTACTTCCTTATTTTTGTTTGTTGTAATTTTTCTGTATTTTCAGTATAACATTGGCATCTTTTCCTTCATCACCCCATTTCTTTTAGTTGTATATAGATACATACAAAAATTTCTTGCTTATCATCAGTCATATTGTTGCAGGGTAGTTTCCCCATTTTTTGTTTGTTTGGTTGAAAACTCTACTAGTTGCAGAAAACACCCTCAGTTCACTAACAAGGGCTCAGAAGAACAATATTTTCTGAATCCTTTCGTGTTCGACCCAGTTAGCTTTTATGCTTAAAAACACTTTTAAAATAACTTGTGTTATCCTGCTTTCCTTTGAGGTTTCAGAAGTCACCTCTATGTGCCTTTGTACAAATTAGAAAAAGGGGCCTCTCTCTGGCACATTCAGTCCTGGGTACATAATGCTCGCTGAGAAGAAGGGAAATCAGAACCCCTCATGCATGCTAGACAGGCACTGGCCTTCCTGCCACCTCCAGTTCTGTCCTTGCTTCTGAGGTCGTTTTTTTTTCTACTTCTTTCCTGAAGTTTTTTGATTCTGACATTTTTATATAGCATTGGACTATATTTGTTTATGGTTAATTCATGAGTCTCTCTTAATAATTTTTTTGTTATTTATATCTAGTTTAATTCCACTGTAGCAGAGACTACACCGTATGTTTGAATGATGTGAAATTTGGTGATATTTGCCTTATGGTCCAGGCTATGTGCACTTGAAAAGCTAAGTGCAGTGATCTGCATATGCCAATTAGGCCAAATTTGTTAGGCATGATGTTTAAATAGTCCATGCATCATTTTTTTTTCTTTTTAGTGTTCTATTGGTTATTGAGAGTGGGATATTAGTCTTTCACTATGAGTGCGGACTTGTCTGTTTCTCCTTTCAGTTCTTTCAGCTTTTAGTTTTATATATTTTAATGTTATTCTATTAGCTGCCAACAAATTCAGAATTCTGTCTTTCTAGTGGACTAGCCATTTTATCATTAGGAAATATCTTTGTCTCCAATAATGAGCATTGCCTTAAAGTCTGCTCTGTCTGATGTCAGTAGGGCTATCCCAGTTTGTTTTCATTAGTTTTTACATGTTAAATCATTTACGTCTTTTTACTTTTAACCTTTATGTCCTTACATTCAAGGCATATCTCTTTAAAACACTGTATGTTTGAGATTTTAAAAAATCCTGAATCCGTGTTTTTTTAATGGAAACATTTACTGGCGTTATTTGACATTAAATCTATGCACTATTTACAATAGGTCTTCCCAAGTTCATTTTGTACCTTTCTGGAATTATTCAAGTTTAATGAAACATTTATGGTTCTATTTTTGTTTCTTTTTTATTAGTTTATTAGTAATATAGCCTTTCATCATTATCATTATTATTGCTTTAGGGGTTTCAATATAAATCCTTGATTGATTAGGGCCACTCTAAAAACAGATACTTTCCATCATTTCTTCATCAATACAAAGATTGAATTTTACTAGCCTCACCTTATTTTTGCTATTACTAGGGTCAGGAACTTTCATTCTACATATATTTTGAAGCATATGACATTATTAACATTGTTATACAGGAAAAATAGTTATTTAGATTTACCCATATCATCACTTTTAAATTCTTTGTTCCTTCCTGTACTTCCAGGTTTTCATCATTTTCCTATTGCGTGAAGAACTCCCTGATTATTTCTTTCATTGCATATTTGCTGCCAATAAATCCTCTGTTTCTGTTTATAAAGATCTTTATTTTCAAAGGATTGCTTTTGCTAAGTCAAGGATTCAGGATTGGCAATTATTTTCTTTTAGCCTGTTAAAGTTGTTATTGCATTTTCTTTGTGCTTAGATAATTTCTGTTAAGAATTCAGCTCTGGGTATCATTGTTGCTCTTTTTAAGATAATGTGCCTATTTTCCCTTGGCTGCTTTGAAAACTTTCTTTGGCTTTGGCTTTTAGCAGTTTTACTATGCTGCTAAATGTGCAGTTGTTCATTTTGTTGTTCTTAATTTAATTTGCTTGTGGTCCGTAGTTTTTCTTTAATCTTTGACTTGGGTCCTTTGTCTGTTTTGAGAATTCTCAGCCATTATGTCCTCAAATACTGCTTCCACCCCATGCCTCTCTTTTCTGTTTAGAACACCAATTATACACATTTTATATCTTTCAAAATCTCCTTTGTTTTCCATACTGTTTTTCTTTCTCTCTCTTTTTGTAAATATTTCTTTCTGTGTTTCAAATAAGGATATTTTCTACAGATCTGTCCTCCAGCTCACTAACCCACTCTCCTGCGTTTGACCTGCTGTTGAAACTGTTTATTGAGTTGCTGATTTCGGTTACTTTACAGCTTTAGGATTTCCATTTAATTCTGTTTCATAGACTCTCATTTTCTGGTGAAAATGTCCATCTTACCATTTACTTATTTAAACATATGACTCTGATGGCTCTTTATCATCTGTGGAGTTGCTACTACTTTCTATTTAATTCTGTTTCACAGACTCTTATTTTCTAGTGAAAATGTCCAACTTACCATTTACTTATTTAAACATATGACTCTGATGGCTCTTTATCATCTGTGGAGTTGCTACTACTTTCTATTTTTTCTCTTGGTGTTTGGTCACCTGGTCCTATATTTTTCAAAGCCTGATAATAAATTACTGAATGACAACTGTTGCTTGTTACAGCAGTATCTCTGAAAACACAGTTGCTTGTTACGACAATATCTCTGAAAGATATTATCTTCATCTAGGAACTATTTCCCTTTATCTGGATGATTGTTACACTAGGTACAGATCAACTTGATCCTTTCTGGAATGAAGATGTTTCAAATGAGCTTTCTGTCTTAGTGAAGGATAGACTTTTTCTAGTTTGCTTTCTCTCCTAGGAAATAATACATTGGAAGCCTTACCTGAAAGCTTGTTAGTGTTTGCAGTGCCTTTCTCTGGGTCTTGCCTTAATTTCCAGTGTTTGCATTCCCAGTGGATGCTTAGTGACTGCTTTGCTTGACTTCCTGGCCTCTCACCTGCACCATATTCCCTCACTCTCATCCAACCTACAAATAGGGAATTTCAGGCTCACCTTCCATGGTTACCTTTCCGACAGGCTTGGCTCCTTCTAAATCCAGGCCACCTTGGTAGCTCTACATTTCAACTTTGTCTCCCCTAACCTATAAGCTTGCTGGAGGTCTCTCCACTGCTTTCATTTGATCTTCCGAGGCTCGTGCCCCTTAGAACTTGGTAAGTGTCTGGATAAGAGACGTGATGGGTGACATTGGGGTCACCTCAGTGCCATTTCCCCCTCTCAGGGCATCTTGGCCACTCAAGTTACAGATATCTTGTCTGTTCTCTATCATCTTCAGAAGGCTGTTGTTGCTGTTTTAATTTCGCAACTTTTTACAGCGTTCCAGTTGAGAGGTGAAGCTGTGTGGGCTTCTGGGTCGGGTGGAGACTTGGAGAACTTTTCTGTCTAGCTAAAGGATTATAAATGCACCAATCAGCACTCTGGTGTGTCTAGCTAAAGGTTTGTAAACGCACCAGTCAGTGCTCTGTGTCTAGCTAAAGGATTGTAAATGCACCAATCAGTCTAGCTATCAGGTAGGGGACTTGGAGAACTTTTCTGTCTAGCTAAAGGATTGTAAATGCACCAATCAGTGCTCTGTGTCTAGCTAAAAGATTGTAAATGTACCAATCAGCACTCTGTCAAAACAGACCAATCAGCACTCTGTAAAATGGACCAATCAGCACTCTGTAAAATGGACCAATCCGCTCTCTGTAAAATGGACCAATTAGCAGGATGTGGGTGGGGCCAAATAAGGGAATAAAAGCAGGCCACCCGCCAGGTCCAGGGATTCCCTGGGGTCTCCTTCCACATTGTGGAAGGTTTGTTCTTTCTCTCTTTGCAATAAATCTTGCTGTAGCTCACTCTTTGGGTCCACGCTGCCTTTATGAGCAGTAACACTCACCATGAAGGTCTGCAGCTTCACTCCCGAAGTCAGCAAGACTGTGAACCCACCAGAAGGAAGAAACTCGGGACACGTTGGAACATCAGAAGGAACAAACTCCAGACACACCATCTTTAGGAACTGTAACACTCACTGCGAGGGTCTGTGGCTTCATTGTTGAAATCAGCGAGACCAAGAACCCACCAATTCCAGACACACAAGTATGCTAGTTACTCTGATAAAAGCTTCTCCATCAGAGCCATAGGCAAAGATGCTGGCCACTTCGTACCAGTCCCACTGCCACCGTGAGATGTGAGTACCCACTGTGTCTTACCTGGAATACTGCAGTGGCTTCGTAACCAGACACACTGTGTCCACCTTGGCCCTCTTACAATCCATTCTCAACAGAGCAGCCAGAAAGATACCTCAAAACGTTAACCAGTTCATACCAGATATTTCAACGGGCTCCCCCGAGCCTCAGAGTAAACATAACATTCACTGTGAAGAAAAAGCGCTCCCCACCCTGCTCTCACAGATCTACAAGGCCCTACACACCCCCCACCATAGTCCTACTCTGCCCTGTCCCACTCTGCTCCAGCCACACTGGCCTCCCGACCATTCCTGGAGCACCAGGTGCCCCTCCACTGTCGGGCCTGTGCCCTGGCTGCCTACTCTTCCTGTAACATCTTTCCCCAGGTACATGATGGTTAATTGCTTCATCTTTCAACTCCTGGTTTAGATGTCATATTTTCAAAGAAACCTATGCTAATCACTTTATTGAAATACATCCTTCTTCACCCGTCTCTAGCCTGATACTTTGACTCCCTTCCCCCAACTCTACTTTCTTCTTTTTTCTTCATCCATGATATTGATCACTTTCTGGAATAACTTATTCTACCATATTCTTTACCATATTTATTGTTTTTATATGCATTTAGTCCCCTTTCACCTCTTCCCAGCTAGACAGTTAACTCTAGGTTGTTGGGAGGAAAGCTGAGTGTTGGGAGAGAAGCTGAGGCAGGGTTTGGAACATGTAAGGGGTCCAGGGTCTAAAACCCTTCCTGGTCTCTGGAATGTGTATAGACTTGCTGGCTCCTTGCTTCTAGCATTTTCATTATCTCAAGTAGCCATATGTTTCAAAGAAAATGCTAAACCGTCACAGCTGTAGCTCATTCTCTTGATACGCTGCTTCCTTTCAACCCCCACATCGTCACAACCTGTTTCTTTGTGTGATCACCAATTAATAGCATGGGACCCCAGAGCTTGGGGCCTTTGCAGCCTCCATACTACCGTTGGCTCCCTGGTCCCACTTTCTCTCTTGTCTTTTTTCATTCCTTTGACTCTGCTGGACTTCGTAGCCCCCACAGCCTGGTGTTGGGTCTGATCACCCCAACACAGGAAGAGTAGAATATTTGCCTGCTTTAGTTTTGTGTGTGTGTGTGTGTGTTTTTTTTTTTCCCCCGACATATTCTGAGTACTTACAAGCAGAAGTCCTCAAAGGACCTGATGAATGGTAAACAACTAGAAATATTTTGGTAGAGAAAGGCAATCAAAATCATCATATAATCAGGGAATTTATCAAATATTTATTATCTACAATAAAAGGGTACTAAAATAATAAACAAAACAGGCATTTGGAACTTAAAAACCTTCTCTAAAGAGTTATTTGCTACTTTCTCGGTGTTCTTGAAGTGATTGCAAATGTTCCCTCATGGCTCTAGGAATTCCTGCTTTTTCTGCTGAGGTAAAGATAAAGATGCTAACTATCATATTACTAAGAGGGACAACCATGCGTACATTCTTCCAGATATCTACTCGGATTAACTGTTCACCATAGCCACGAGGAAGCTAAGGCACACATCAACTTGCAAGGAGCATTGCAATATTAACAAACACTACACTGTACACACTGTACACCAAAGGACAGCATCACACTCAAGAAAATGGTGAGGTTGTTGATGTTTCTACTTTAAGGTTATTTACAATACACATATTATACTGCTTCATGCTTCTTAAGCTCAGATCCCACAAAAGGTAGAAACAATATATTCTAGTTTTAGATCTTGAAAAGGCTTATTTTTTGTTATTACTGTAATAAAAACGACTACCATTAATAAGCAACCATTGTATTTCTAGGACTAAAGTAATTAATTTAGATTTACTACCCGTGACCTAACAAAATAGTTATTTTTGAATATTTGTCCAAGAGCATATAGAGATATGTATGATATTACGTATTAATATCTATATATTATATAATGTAAACACCCACACATATATAATTATATCTATATATTTATATAGTATATATAATATATATTATAGCACTTTCATTATCTCAAGTAGCCATGTTTATATAATATATAATATATAATATTTAATGTTATATAATATAATATATATTATATCTATATATAATGTTAATATATAATACCACCTAAGAACATTCCATCCATATCCCTACAAGATATTCCTACGAGATTCTCTTATCTAAATACTTATACCAGCCTCGGAAATGGCCACAACTATAATTATAGGTATAATTATTGATATAGAAGAAACTGAGAAACAAAATAGGATGAAAGAAAATTAATCTGGGCCTAATTAATAACATTTAGAAACGCTTCTCATCAACTAATAGGTTGAATTATGAAAGGCTCTTTGTAAAGTCCATTTGGTTATAATATTATAATTTTTCCATTACTTTCAATTTTTCAAACGTTAAATCTTCATTTTTGCTGGATGGGAGAGCTCCAGCATCACAGCTCGCATATATATCCTGTGAAGAAATGTCCAAAACTTGTGATTCCCCAAAGCTAATGTGTTCCTCTTCACACAATCCCAATTTTGTAACTCTCTGATAGCTATAAACTTTGTATCTCTCCACCAATAAGACATAAGAGAAGGGGAAATGAAGGTTGGGACAACACTTTCTTTTTTACCATAAGAACCTTCTTAAGAAGACAGAGTGCTAAATGACATAGAAGGAAATCTTAAGCAATTATGTAAAAGTTGGCACTGATACCCACTCCTCTGAACAAACCCCATTAAGTCAGACTTAAATCTGCACATTTCCCTGGTGAACAGTTTCTCAAATTTTTTTTAAAATAACTCATCACTAGATTTGCCTAATTAGAAACATTTCTGAGTTATTTTCTGTGTAAGGCAGGTATACGAGCAAGAAGGCAACTCCTGAGCATTCCTTGGAAGCAATAACAGGAGGAAGAGGCTGAAATCTACAGATATTCAGGGAAGGTGGGGTTTTCTTACCCAGCTGTGACATTAGGCATCATGGTATGCTTACTCTTACTAACAGTTGCAATCTTCAAAAGTAGGCAGAGAGACAACAAACATGCCCAATGCTAATGACCAATGTGATGGACATTTTATGTGTGACCCATGGACGAAAGTACTTCTCTATTATATTAGGATTATGCTAAAAATGCAATTTCCTGTAACTCATTCCAATCATAAAATCAGATTCTCTGGAGGTGGGTCCCAGGAATTTTCAGTTTAGTAAGCCTACCAGGTGATTCTTACGCACACTAAGGTTTGAAAACAACTGAGAGATTTTAAAAACAACCACAATGACCTCTAACAACATCTGTTGATGGTGAGCAGTGTTGACTCACTCTTCCTCTGTTAGATCTTAAGTTGAGTTTTTGTAAATAAAGTTGCTTTTGTTTATACTACTACTTTTAGTTTTTGCTTGGTGTTCTGGGAATCTGTCTGTAGGAAAACCCTTGGATGTAGTGTAGATGTATTTTGGAAGAAAATACTTGGCTATGTTTATCCGAGTGAAATTAGAAAGAGCTGAAGATTGAGATGCCAGGGAGTAAAAGAGAATTAACATTAACATTTATATTTAAGGCCAAAACATATGCTAGAAAACAAGAAACATTTTGGCAGTGTTTAATACATAGTTGAAGGTAATAGAAGTGGTTCTGAAATGCTGTACACATTGCAATCCCCTGACTGCTAGGTGGTAATCATCATCATCATCAATATTTGTATTGTGCACTACTTTTATTAGGTCTCCTTGCATGCATTATCCCATTCAAGTCTCAAAAGAGCCTAAATGGCTTCTAGATCTTTTTTTCTTCCGATACGATTTGTCTTTCCTTGTTCAGTGTTCCAATTCCATTAAGTGTCATATTCATTTCCTCAACTGGTTATGCCCGTAACTTGGAAGGTGTTCATGAACCTCTCTCTCTTATGCCCCTTTCCCTCCCTACTGTCCAACATACACACGTCTGATGGGTTAGATTTATTGGCTCAGAAAACCATTTAGACACTCATAAAAATACTTGGTAGATGAAAATAAGAAGCCCAGGGTAGTACCTTGTGGGTATACAGACTTGTTAGCATCGTGATGATGCCATTCAAATGCCTAACACTTTTTACAGATAAAACAGACAAACAAATGTAATCCCTTATTGACCAGGAGAAAAGGGTTTGAAGTCATTTAATAATGATATCGGTTTGCTGATCTTGCTGCTACTATTAGGGTGGTCAGCTCCTGCTCACCTTTATTAATACAGTCTGGTAGCCCACGTTCCACTGCTTCCTCCAGGTACATCCTACTGGATAGAGACTACCTCAGATAACACCTCTCCCTACTGACCTCCACTACCATCAACACATACATATGGCATTTAGCTATTTCTCCAAAATTTGTCATTTGTAAAATTTTGGTTTGTACAATACCTGTGCCCCTCTGTTCTATCTTGATTCTTGGTTGTTTTTCTGTGTTTAGTATGTGAGGGTAACTCAAAGCTAAATGGTTACATTTCCTTTGTTAACCTCAGTGGATGAGGGAGTATTTAAGCCTGCTCTCACTAGTACTTGACAATTTGACAGTGCTCTCCTCAGATAAACAAAAATTGAAATAATTCATTAGATGCATATCACCTTACAGGACACACAGAAGTTCCTTAGGCTAAAAGCGAATGACCCCATACAATAATTCAAGTCTACATGAAAAAGAGCACTGCTAATAGTAATTATCCCTAAATTACTTAATTTATCTTTGCATACCTCTTCTTTCTTCTAAGTTATTTAAAAGTAGTTATGTAAAGTAATATTTATATAATTGGACCTCTAAAATATAGATATGTAATATCTTTAAGAGGACAAAGGAGATGTGTGGGAGCAAAGTTCTATTAGAAGAAGAAAATAGCACAAAATTGTTTATCAAATCCAGAGGAACAAGTGAAAAGAATCAGAAATTGTAAATACAAATGGCTAATACAACAAACTCTGTAAATATATACTTGTTTCTATTTATTTAAAAGGAATAAACTTACATTAGGAAGTATGTCAATGTATTTTTGGACTTTTAACATATACTGATATTCTGTGTACCTGGAGGAAGCAGTGGAATGTGGGCTACCACACAGTGTTGATGAAATTAAATTAGTATATATCTGCAGGTAATTCTAATTAGGAAGCATATTATAAGCCATAGAGCAGCCAGTCATAACTTTAAAAAACTATATTAAAAATCATTAAAGGAACTTACATGTTACAATAGAAAATACTAATTAATGTAAAAGGAAGCAGGAAATGAAGAACTGAGGAATAAGAGATATAACACATGCAGTAAAAGAAGTTAAATGTCAGACATGCATCCAATATATCAATAACACTAAATATCCATGAATTTAAAAATTGAATCAAAAGGCAACGATTGTCAGACTGAACAAAAATATATTTAACTATATGCTGTCTACAGGAGACACATTTTAGATTCAAAGATACAAATAGGTTGAAAGTAAATACATAAGAAAAGATATATCATTTTAACAACAACCATAAGAATACTGGAACAGCTCTACTAATATTAGACAAAATATATTTAAAATGAAAGTGTTAGTAGAGATAAAGGGGTACATTTTGTGGTGATAAAAGTTTCAATACACAAGGAAGATATAACAATTGTAATCTTATATGTACCTAACACCAGAGCCCCAAAATATCTAAAGGGAAAATTGATTAAACTAAAGGGAGAAATCGATAATGTGACATACCTATTGAAGACGTGAGTACGCCACTTTTAGTAATAGATGTAAAAAGTAGGCGATAAATCAAGGAAATAGAAGACTTGCACAAGGCTATACATAAACAAACCTAACAGACAATTACATAACACACCAATGCAGAACATGCATTCTCCTTAAGTGCACATGGTACATTCTCTGGGACAGACTATATACTGTGCCATAAAACAAGCTCACTAAATTCACAATGATTGAAATCATACGAAAGCATGTTCTCTGACCAAAATGGAATAAAATTACAAATGTATAACAGAAAGAAATTTGGGAAATTCACAAATAGTTGGAAATTAAACAACATACTTCCAAATAACAAATGGGTCAAAAAATCATAGGGAAATTAGAAAATACTTTGAGCAAAATGAAAATAAAAACACAGTATAGCAAATGTTATAGGATGCAGCTGAAGCAGCTGAGAAGGAAATTAATAGCTTTAATTGGCTAAGTAAGTCTAAAAAGAGCTCAGATCACTAAACTAAATGTCCGCCTTTATACACTGGAAAAAGAGCAAAATAAACACAAAGCAAACAAGAGGAAGGAACAAAATTTAGAGCAGAAGTAAATGAAATAGAAAATGGAAAATTAATAAAGAAAATAAATAAAACCAGAAGTTGATTCTTCAAAAATATCAGCAAAATTGACAAACCTGTAGCTAGACTGGCCCAGAAAAAGGGAGAAAACCCAAACTACTAAAATCAGGAATGAAATAAAAGACGTTAGTGTAGCTCTTGCAAAAATTTTATATATTATATATATCTACATATGAGAATACAATTACATGAACAACTGTATTTCAACAAATTTGATAGAATAGACAGCTTTTACAAAAAACATTAAGAAATACAAATTTTGAATAACAAGTGAAGCATAACAAGTAAACAAGTATAATGAGCAAAGAGATTCAATTAGTAATCAAAAAACTTCCACAAAGAAAAGCCCAGTATCAAATGGTTTCACTAGTAAATTCTGCCAAACATTTAAAGAAAAAATTAATATCAATTCTCCCGAAATTCTATCAAAAAGTGTAGGAGTGAGAACACTTACCAACTCATTTTATGAGGCCAATATTAGGCTGATATCTAAAGTAGACAATACTATCCTAAAAAAGAAAACTATAGACTAGTATCTCTTATGAATGTAGATGCAAAAAATCTTCAGCAAAATACAAGCAAATATTTGTATCAACATGTCATCTGTCAACATGTAAAATGTTTTATACTTTTTATGATGAATTGGCATGAATCTCAGGAATGCAAGGTGGGGGGGTTACATCTGAAAATAATGTAATCCACCATATTAGTAGAATAACAACAAAAAACACGTGACTATTTCACTGGGCACAGAAAAAGCATTCAACAAATCTAAAACCCTTTTATGATTAAAAAGAGAAAAACACTCAACAAAATAGGAATTGAAGTGAACTTAAACTGATAAAGTGTATTTATGAAAACTCCACAGCTAACATGATATTTAAAGGGGAAAGACTCAATGCTTTCCCCCGTTCTCATCATTTCTGTTCAACACTGTACTAAAGGTTCTATCCAGAGAGATTAGGCAAGAAAATAAAATGAAATGCCTTCAGATTGCAAAGGAGGATACAAAACCATCTCTACTCACAGATGTCATAACCTTGTATATAGAAAATACTAAGGAATCTACACAACCATAAAAATAACAAATTCAGCAAGACTGCTGAGTACAAGATCAACCTACAAAAATCAACTATAATTCTCTAAAGTAGAAAAGAACAACCTATAAATTAAGAAAACAATTCCATTTAAAACAGCATCAAAAATAATAGAATACTTAGAAATAAATTTCTTAATAGAAGTGAAAACTTTGTGCTCTGAAAACTACAAAATACTGTTGAAAACTAAAGAAGACCTAAATAAATGGAAAGATATTTCATGTTCATCAATCAGAAGACTTATTATTGTTATGATGACCATACTGCCCAAATCGATCTATATATTGAATGCAATTCTTACGGAAATTCTAGCTGGCATTTTTGCAGAATCCTACAAGGTGAACCTAGAAGTCATAATGAAAAGGAAGAAACCTGGCTGGGTGCGGTGGCTCATGCCTGTAATCCCAACACTTTGGAAGGCCAACGTGGGCGGATCACGAGGTCAGGAGATCTAGACCATCCTGGCTAACACGGTGAAACCTTGTCTCCTAAAAAGTACAAAAAATTAGCCGGGTGTGGTGGCGGGCGCCTGTAGTCCCAGCTACTCCAGAGGCTGAGGCAGGAGAATGCTGTGAACCTGGCAGGCAGAGCTTGCAGTGAGCCAAGATCGCGCCACTGTGCTCCAGCCTGGGCGACAGAGCGAGACTCCGTCTCAAAAATAAAATAAAATAAAATAAAATAAAATAAAGAAATAAAATAAAAAGAAATAAAAAAAGGAAGAAACCCCAAATAGCCAAAACAGTCTTTAAAAACAAAAATAAATATGGAGGACTCATACTTTTTCATTTCAAAAATTATTACAAAGCAACAGTAATCAAAAGTATGATACTAGTATAAGGCTAGAAATATGGATCAATGGAATAAAAGTGAGAGTCAACAGTATATCCTCACTAACCTCATTTTAAGATTAGTTGATTTCTGACCAAGCTTGTAAGATAACTAATGAGGAAAAGAGTAGTCTTTCTTTTCCTCAAAGAAAGACTCTTGGAGGAAAAGACACTTTTCCTGAAGAAACTGCTGGAAGAACTGCATATCTACATGCAAAATAATAAAGTTAGGTCCCTACTTCACACCATATACAAAAATTAACTCAGAATGGATTATAGACCTAAATGTAAGAGTTAAAACTATAAAACTCCTACCAAAATAGAGGATTAATCATTGTAACTTTGAGTTAAGCAAAGTTTTCTTAAATATAACACCAAAAACACAAGTGACAAAATAAAAAATAGGTAAATTGGACTTCATTCAAGATTAAAAACGTGTGCTACAAAAAAACACCACCAGGATAGTGAAAAGTGAAGCCACAAAATGAAAGAAAATATTTACAAATCATGTATCTGATAAGAGACTTGTATCTCAATAAAGAACTCCTACGATTCAGAAAAAAAGGACCCTGTGAAAAAATGGGCAAAGGATCTGAATATCTTTTTCTCTAAAGAAGATATGTAAATGGCTAATAATTACATGAAAGAAGCTCAACACCATTAGGAAAATGCAAATTAAAACTGCCTTGTTGTAAGATATGGTCAGCAATATTCTCCATAGGTTTTTTTCAGCAGAGAGGGTCAATGTTCAGTTGTACAACTTTAACACCTCACAGGACCTGGAGTGGAATGACCCAGATCTTTAAGAATAGTTCAGAGAAGGCCTCATTGCACCTCTGAGCAGTGAATAGACATGTGTCTCTGAAACCTCAGGCTCCCTAATTTATAGACTCCTTGATGAGGGGAAAATCATGACCACTGACAAGACCAAACATTCTGGAGGCAATCTTGTACCAGAACTACATAGGAAATATACCATGAATTTAAAAGATTTCTCTGGCAGCTTTGTGGAAGTGTGTAGAGTAGCAAGAGAGAAGTGTAAGAATTCAGTTAGCATGTCATTGATTCAGGAGAGAGATGATGGTGTTTGACCCATGCTTTTGCAAAGGAAGTAGGGAAAATCAGGGTGCCATGGTCAGATGTACCATATATTGTGAATTTGGAACAGTCAGGATTCTCTAATCAATTAGATGTTTGCTGGAGATGAAAGAGTGGTAGGAGAATAAAGTAAAAAGTGATTCTGAGGTGTTTGGCCTGAACAACTGGATAAGCGTTATTTATTTAGACAAGGAAAAATGAGAGAAGCAAGTTTGGGGAGGAGAATCAAAAATTAGTATTGGATGTATTAAATTTGAAACATCTAAGTGGATTTTAAGTAGAAAGCTAGAGATTGGAGAGTGGAGCTCGAGTTCAAGATTATGCCTAGAGAGAGAAAGCTAAGAGTCAGCAGTGAATACATGATATTTAAAGCATATGATTGTATGGGATCACCTGCAGAATAAATATGGGGAGATAAAATGATAAGCCAGAGCTCTGGAGCACTCCCCATCTAGAAGTCAAGGTGACACACAGCAAAGAGAATCGAGGAGTCAGCAGAGAAGTCAGGAAAAATGAAAAATAGTGTTCTACAAACTTAGTCATCACATTTTTAAAGGAAGATGTGATCAGTTTTGACAAGTGTTGCTAAGAATGTAAGGAACAAGGACTCATATTAATCATTGGATTTGCCACAATAAGATCTTGGGGGCCTTTGGAAGTTTCAGTGAATGGAAAACTTTACTGGGGAATGTTCGAGGAAGCATAGATTCAGACCATGTCTGCTGTAACATGATAAGAGAGGTGTTTTCTACTCCAAGCTTCTTCCTCTGGCCTTTCTTCTCCATCAGTTATGCCCATCAGACACACCCACAGGCCTATTCACTACCACTCCTGCAGAGCCGAGCCATGTAAAAGGGATTATGGGCAAAACAAGACATATAGGAAATACACATTATTTATTTCATGTGAAAAGCTATGAAAACAAAAATGTTACTTAACCCGAATAGCAGTTTTGGGAAATATTGACTTATGTTGATATTTTTAAGAAATGTAACACAAAAAAACAGCAATAAAAAAGCACATTTAAAATATGAGGGCAGAAAAAGTCCTCTCTCAAAAACCTCTATTAGCAGTAGGTTTTAAATTTTCTTTTTCAACTTTTATTTTAGAAGCAGGGGTAAATGTGCAGGTTTGTTACAAGGGTATATTGCATGATGCTGAGGTTTAGGGTCTGATTGAACCCATCTCCCAGGTAGTGAGCATAGTACCTAATAGGTAGTTTTTCAGAAACTCCCTCTCTTCCCACTATAACAGGCCCCCGTGTCTATTGTTCCTTTCTTTATGTCTATGTGTACCATTTTTAAGTGAGAACATGCAGTATTTGGTTTTCTGTTTCTGCATTAGTGTGCTTAGCAGCAGCAGTAGGTTTTTAAAGATATTTACCCACCCAATGGTGATTGGCAGGACTATGAGTTTAAAAAGTTATAATTATTTACTGCTATTCAGAATTTTTTTGGGAAAAATGCTTATCATTTTTCACAATACAGAAACAAATGAACCATTGGCACAGGATTTACAAATAATGGAAAAGGTGTGTCTCCATCTACAGATGTGGTAAGAGCCAATTTCTAAAAACCAGTCAACATGGAGAATTTGTTACAGAAAGGGCAAACAGAGGTGTATTGATGACAGAGGTGAACAGCCATTGAACAAGAGGTTACTTTCAGTATGACTTAAATTTAAGGTACTTACTGATTTGGGGACACTGTGGTCAGAAGGCAGGAGCATTTCACCCGGATCTTAATATTGGAGTCAAACTCCTAAATCCGGAGTTAAAGAAAGAAGAGCACTGCTGTGGCTGCTTCCCGTGATAACAAAGGCTGCTGCTCCGGAGGTTGATGGCCAGCCTTTGACTGTGTGGCAACTATTGCCTCTATGATGAATCTGGGCTAAGAGGAAGCTTGGCCTGAAGCACTCTGTATTTCCCTAAGACATGGTCCAGACGGACAGGATCTACTTATGTTTCCTGAAATAATGAGACCAGCCACTGCAAACAAATTTACTCCAAAGAAAGAAGCTGACTGCAGGGTGTGACTGTCGAGAGATTGGGCCAAAGACTTTCAGCAAGGCAGAACAGAGCAGTGGGAGAGCATTTGCTGTTGAAGACCAGGCTCCTGGATTCAGATGCCAGCATCGTCACTTCCCCTGTGAAGCAATGGGTGACTTACTTAGCCTCTCTGTATGACAGTTTCCACATTTATAAATGGAAAGATGATAATGTCTACTTCATGGAGATGGATGAAATAGACTGGAACATGTAACATTCTTAGATCAGTGCAGGGCATATTCCATGTACTAAAAATGTGTTCGATTTTTGTTACTGCAAGAAGTTATTGGGGTTAAGGAACATGCCAGTGTCCTGTAGTTCAGCAATATTTGAAGTGTGGAGCTGCATGAAGTTGGAATTAGAGTAAGTAAAAAAAGATATGAGGAATATAAAAAATGATATAGGATGTGGTACAAAGAAGGGATTCCATGTTATGTTTGTGGAAAAAAATGAATTTCAGTTGGCAAAGTGTAGCTACATGTCACTGGAATTGTATTTAGTGGGACATCTGTGGCTTAAAGTTGCCCTATATCAGTTTTTATAGTCTGAAAGAAGCCCATAACTCAGAGCTGGGATATACAATTGGAAAGATCCAATAATTATTAGTAGGACATTTTTATATCTTTAAAAGAAATAACTACTGTTTGTTCATTCAAACACAAATATTGTATACTCAAAATGATAATAAAATTAAAAAGTGAAAGTACAGGTACTAGACAAACTTTGAAGCTTTCATTTCTGTTATCTGTGATTAATGTTATAAAAAGTGAAAATAATTAATTGTGCCTAGCTCTTTTCTGGGAGGCTGTAAAGTCTGAAATACTTTTTATTTTCCTTTTTATTTTGAAAATATACCATAAAAACTGGTGTTAGCCAGACTTCACTTTCATTGCCTCAGCTACATTAGTAGAAAGACCACGGACCTGTGTTGTCCCACATAGTAGACCTAGCAACATGTGCCTTCTGAGCTCCTGAATTGCAGCAGGTAAGACTGAAGAACTGAAATCTAAATTTATTAATTTTAATTATCATTTATATTTAAAAACTGATACTTGATTAAGCTGTTGAAAAACTTTAAGTACATCTGGAACAACTTGGGTATACAAATGTATATTTCTCAACTGTAAATTTTATGGAATCTAAATACTGATCAAGTACTTCCAATAAAAACGTAGCTTTCAAATTGAAATGTTCTATGCAAGTGAAATACACACCAGATTAAAAAAATTTAGTATAGAAAAAACAACTCATTAAAATATTTTTTATATTGGTTTTGTGCTGAAATTGTATTTTGAATATACTGAATCAAATAAAACATATTATTAAAATTAACTGCACTTGTTTGTTTTTACTTCCTTTTTCTGTGGATACTAGAAAATTAAAACTTACATCTGCAGCTTGTGTTATAGTTGTATTGGACATTGCTCTCATGTCTAAGAAGGTACAAATTCCTCAGAGGATGAGAAATTATAAATGCAAAACGAGACTTACTTTTTAATATTAATCCTTTGAATAAAAATAATTTGATATGCATATTTCAGAAACCAAATGCTCACTTATGATTTGTGCTAGGAATTTAAATGACTCCCCCACTCTTTTAGTGGGAAGCTACACAGGTCTTACCCAGTTAACATGAGTGTGATAAGGTAACCTGGGAGTAAACTTACTTTATCACTGTATCAATGAATAGCTGACTTATGAATATCTATGATATAATGTAGTCTTAGAGAGGTTAGTGACTAGTTATTTTTAAATATTTTTTAATAATTAACATTATGTAGTCTGTGTTGCTGAGAGTTTTATTTCATTTACTATCTTGTATTTTTATGCAGAGACCTAATTGTAGCACCACACACATATATATATATAAATTATGCTATGTATAAATTCATTTAGAACATATTTTACTTAATATGTTAAAATTATTTTGTAACTAAATCAAATACCAAGATTTACTTCAAGAAAAATTGTCACTTTAGGCATTTAATTTTCCTAGTCTCTATCAATATGTGTACCTACTGTGTGGAATAATGTACAGCAAACATGACTTCCCGGTATAAATAGAGGTTTTGTGTTCCTTTTAGGAATAACTACTGAATGCCAAATAGGAATTCAGGAATTCACTTATTATTAAGTGTGTATATTAAGTTTCATTTATGTTTAATATATGGAGAATAATGAACAAATACCTTATTTTTTGCATTATTTTTGTTCACTTTGTGTTATGGAAATTTTCAATCATTCAACAGAGTTTAGTGCAATAAATTCTCATATCTCCATTAGCAAGATTTATCATTATTTTTCTAATCTTATTTCATCTACATCCCTATTATAAAGCATCATGGTATCCACCTGTAAATGTTCTGATAAGGATATTTGATTTTGTTTACCATAGTTGTCAAAATGCCTAATAAAATATTGCTTAATATGATCTCCATATGCAGGTATCATTTTAGAATTGGTTTGTTTGCATCAGGATACAAACAAAGTTGTACTTTTTTATGGTTTTGGAGTTTATCCTCAGGGCCGGCCACCTCCTTACCACACTCACAGCTGTGCAGTGCATACATCTGCATGCTCCTCGGCTCACAACGTGGCAGCTTTGCATCGGCTGGGCCTCATTTCTCTTCGTAGCTGGAGTTGTTTATAAACACTATCATTTGTAAACTTTTGTAGGATAAATATTTAGTTTGGAAGCTGGTTACAATGAAATTTGTATGACATAACAGCAAAGAAAAGAGAGAAGATGAGAAATAGAAGGTGAAAAAGCTAAGACCAGTAAGTTTGGTCTTAAATTTTTATTTTTTTCTATTTGTTTATGTATTTATGTATGCACCTATGCATATGTATGTATGTACACCAGAATGGATGGATAGGTAGGTAGGTAGACAGACAGATAGATAGATAGATACATACATACATACGTGCATACATAGATACATAGATGATAGAGTTCTTTTAGAGTTATTTTACTGCAAAGAGAAGGACTGGAAAGGAGTTATAGCTGGAAGACAAAGTAAGTTTAATGTAATTTTACAAAGTTGTATGCTGAAGGGAATGAGTTAATAGCAGAAACTGATGACGTAGGAGAGAGGGCCCCATTTGTAAGGTGCTTTATCACATCATTCCTGATCTGTTCTCTTCATCCACCATGATACTTCCCCACCCTCCTCTCCACATCACGCAATGTAGATGCACGTGTTGCTGTATTGCTCTAGTCTAAATTCTAGGAAGAGTTTGTAATGGTGAGAATCTTTGGTGTGATCCACCTACATCTTTGTTGAGAACGCCTATATCGAGACAGGCTTAAGTCACTTTATTATTAGCTCTTATGTATCTCTTCAGCCCAAGAAGGAAATGGCATCTTCTCAGAGACTGATTGTTTGCCACCTTGATCCTTGCTGTAGTTTGAGTTGCTCATGAAACCAAGAAGTGTCACAAGGGCACAGGCCCTTCTAGCTTGTGTCGAGTTCCCCTTGGGAGTGCCCATTCTCTTTTGCTGAGCCACCTGGGATGTGTGCTAGTGACACGCTGTCTAAATAGTATCAATGCTAATACTTGGTAGAACCAGATAAACACCAAGACATTAGGAGTTTTGACAACTTCCTTTTTCATCTTAGAGTAACTTAAAAATAGGCTTTTTTTTTTTTTTAAACGACAACAACTGTGAAACATTCTTCTCCATTCACAAGATTTAAATTATTGGTGATTTGAAGAAATGATTCGACTTCAATGCGAGCCCACACAGTTCTTCCCTGGGATTTCATGGCAAATCGTGTGGAATGTATTTGGCAAACGTACTCCTTCCAAAATTCCTTCTAGTGAATTATAAGTGTTGGGCACAAAACGCCCACTAAAGCAAGGTGTGTAGTGACTTCTTCATGTAAGATACTGTTTCACAGAAAATCCTCCCTCTATCCTCCTCTTCACACCTCGCTGAATATTTCTATTTCCTTCCAAATTCAGGATTCTGGTTTTACATTCTAGGTCTTAAAAAATGTTTTCGGTTTCCTTCCTCACTCCCATTTTCTTTGTTCTCATTTGTTAGGTTTTAAAGAAATCATAAATCAAAGAACTAACCATATTTCACATATCACATCTCCTTAAAATCCATAAAGAAAGGAGCACTGCAGAAAACACAAACCCAGATGGCCGTGCCTCTGAAAGACCGCTAACCCTGCTTAATCCTGCATCTGATGAAAGATGTCTGTCTGCACATCTGAAGGAAATTTGCTAAAGCCTAATCTCAGGATCAAAAGGTCTTAAGAACCAGAGCTCCAATGAAAGACAAGGACAGAATTATTAAACATGACTACGTTCCATCATAAAAGATTAATTATTTACAGTAGAATTAATGGACTATAATGAAATTAAAATCTATCAACTATTTTCACTTAACCAAAGCAAAAAGTAAACCCAAGAGCATCCTAGTGACAGATAACAATTTGATCCTTCTTCAGCCTTTTTTTTTAACCTTTGGATTAGAATTATTGATGATAATTACATTTTTGCAGCAAAGAGATTAGGCAAATAATAAAAAGTTTGTCACTGGAAGCCATTATTATTGGATGGTTTGCTGGAGTTCAAAAATCATCAAAATATAGATAGAGTAGTATTTTATACTTACATAATAAGACATAATATTAATAGGCTTACAACTGTGATAGATTTGAATGACAGAACACAAATATACACTTTTTTACATATAAATTGCTAATAAGAACATATTCCCTTAAGTATCCACAGCTAATGATATATTATGGACTACAGATATTAAAATATATGTCATTAAAAACTGAACAGTCTGGGCATGGTGGCACACACCTGTAATTGCAGCAATTTGGGAGGCTAAGGCAGGAGGATCACTTGAGCCCAGGAGCTTGAGACTAGCCAGGGCAACACAGGGAGTCCTTGTCTCTACTAAAAAATTAAAAAATTAGTCAAGCTTTGGGGTGTGGGCTATTTTGGAGGCCGAGGTGGGAGGACCACTTGAGCCCAGGAAATGCAGTTTGCAGTGAGCCATGATCACACCACTGCACTCCAGAACAGATTCCTCAAGACGTAACATAATTAATCATCCAAAAACACTTAAACTAAAATAAAGTTTAGTTATCCCAGAAAGAATGATGTAGTATTTATGTCTTTCATAATAGGGGTGTTACCGAATACTCCTATGTATATTGTATTTTAAAATAACTTATATTTAGGTATACTGTACCAACAATATTATACAGCCACTCTAAGTGTATAGTTAGGTGAGTTTTGAAAAATGCATACGTACATCTAACTACCTCCTCAGTCAAGACATTAGAACATGTCCATCACTGCTAATAGATTCCTCCCTCATATCCTCAACAGTTAATTTTTCCCCCAGTCTGCTTTCCATCACTATAAATTAAATATGTTTTTCCTAGAGTTTCCTATAAATGGAATCTTATAGGCTGTGTGACACTCTTTTCTGCTTGGCTTTGTTTCCTCAGCATAATATCGTTGACACCCATGATGCTGAGTGTATCAGTGGTTTATTCCTTTGAAATGCTGAGTAATATTCCATTGCGTGAATATAGCACATTGTTCTCTTCTCCAGTTGATGGACATTTGGCTTGCTTGTAGTTGGGGAGCTGTTATTTATAGAGCCTCTATCAACACTCATATAGAATTATCTGATATTATTTATCTTAGGTAAATACATAGGTGTGGAACGGTGGGGTGGTATGAAAAGTGTATATTTATTTAATTTACAAAAACTGTCAAAGAGCAGTTCAAACTAGTTGTAGTATTTCCATTCCCACTGAAGCATGTAAGAAGAGATCTAGATTTTTCACATCCTTACCCAAAGTTGGTATTGTGTAAGGATAGCCATGTAAATCAGTATCAGTCTTAAATTTTTGCTGTTCTACTTGAGATGTAGTAATAGATCACTGTGGTTTTTGCAAGTCCCCACTGACCAATAATTTTGAGCGTTTTTTTCTAATGTACATTGGACATTCACACATCTTTTTCAGGGGGTTTGTCCAATGCTTCTGTCTCTTAAAAAATTGAGCTGCCACTTTGGGAGGCCAAGGCGGGCGGATCACGAGGTCAGGAGATCGAGACCATCCTGGCTAACACGGTGAAACCCCGACTCTACTAAAAATACAAAAAATTAGTCGGGCATGGTGGCGGGAGCCTGTAGTCCCAGCTACTTGGGAGGCTGAGGTGGGAGAATGGTGTGAACCCAGGAGGCGGAGCTTGCAGTGAGCCGAGATTGCGCCACTGCACTCCAGTCTGGGCAACAGAGCGAGACTCTGTCTCAAAAAAAAAAAAAAAAAAAAATTGAGCTGCCTTCCTTATTATTAATGTGTTATTTATTTATTCTAGATAAAAGTACTTTGTGAAATATTTGAGTTGAGACTAATCAAATATCTGAATTGAGAATCCCTGCTATTGGTTTGCCTTTTTATTTTCTTACCTGTTTTTTTGAGGAAGAAATATTTTTCATTTCGATGAAGTCTACTCTATCAATTTTTTCTTTTATGGTTTGCATTTTTTGCGTGCCATATCTAAGAAGTCTTTGCCTATCCCAATATTATTTTTATTTTCTCCTTTTATAATATTGTATTTTATATGTCAGCCTGTGATCTTTTCTATCTTACCTTAATCTACAGTATGACTTAAGGACTAAGGTTCATTTTTTTTCTATGTGCATATCCAGTTGTTTCAGCAGCATTTGTTGAAAAGGCCGACTTTTCCCATACTGAAGTGCTTTAACAAAGTCTGTGGAAAATTAATTGGCGCTACATGCGTTGGTCTGTTTTTGGACTCTATTTTCAGTTCTGTTGGTTCATACACTTGTCCTTACACAAATACCATTATATCGTGCATATTGTCATTATCTAATGCATCTTGAAATTAGGTAGGGTCAGTCCTCCAATTTTATTAATTCTTTCAAGATTTTTCTGGATATCCTACATTTTTTAAATTTTCAAAAATTATTTATAATTAGTCAATTTCTTTTCTAAAAAGTTTGCTGTGCTTTGTCCTGGGATAGCATTGAATCTACAGTTCAGTGATCCTCAAAGAATAGTTCCCAACACCAAAAGCAATGGCAACAAAAGCCAAAATTGACAAATGGGATCTAATTAAACTAAAGAGCTTCTGCACAGCAAAAGAAACTACCGGCCGGGCGCGGTGGCTCACGCCTGTAATCCCAGCACTTTGGGAGGCCGAGGCGGGCGGATCACGAGGTCAGGAGATAGAGACCATCCCGGCTAAAACGGTGAAACCCCGTCTCTACTAAAAATACAAAAAATTAGCCGGGAGTAGTGGCGGGCGCCTGTAGTCCCAGCTACTCGGGAGGCTGAGGCAGGAGAATGGCGTGAACCCGGGAGGCGGAGCTTGCAGTGAGCCGAGATCCCGCCACTGCACTCCAGCCTGGGCGACAGAGCGAGACTCCGTCTCAAAAAAAAAAAAAAAAAAAAAAAAAAAAAAAAAAGAAACTACCATCAGAGTGAACAGGCAACCTACAAAATGGGAGAAAATTTTCACAACCTACTCATCTGACAAAGGGCTAATATCCAGAATCTACAATGAACTCAAACAAATTTACAAGAAAAAAACAAACAACCCCATCAAAAAGTGGGCGAAGGACATGAACAGACACACTTCTCAAAAGAAGACATTTATGCAGCCAAAAAACACATGAAAAAATGCTCACCATCACTGGCCATCAGAGAAATGCAAATCAAAACCGCAATGAGATACCATCTCACATCAGAATGGCAATCATTAAAAAATCAGGAAACAACAGGTGCTGGAGAGGATGTGGAGAAACAGGAACACTTTTACACTGTTGTTGGGACTGTAAACTAGTTCAACCCTTGTGGAAGTCAGTGTGGTGATTCCTCAGGGATCTAGAACTAGAAATACCATTTGACCCAGCCATCCCATTACTGGGTATATACCCAAAGGACTATAAATCATGCTGCTATAAAGACACATGCACACGTATGTTTATTGTGGCACTATTCACAATAGCAAAGACTTGGAACCAACCCAAATGTCCAACAATGATAGACTGGATTAAGAAAACGTGGCACCTATACACCATGGAAAACTATGCAGCCATAAAAAATGATGAGTTCATGTCCTTTGTAGAGACATGGATGAAACTGGAAATCATCATTCTCAGTAAACTATCACAAGAACAAAACACCAAACACCGCATATTCTTACTCATAGGTGGGAATTGAACAATGAGAACACATAGACACAGGAAGGGGAACATCACACTCTGGGGCCTGTTGTGGGGTGGGGGGAGGGGGGAGGGATAGCATTGGGAGATATACCTAATGCTAGATGACGAGTTAGTGGGTGCAGCGCACCAGCATGGCACATGTATACATATGTAACTAACCTGCACATTGTGCACATGTACCCTAAAACTTAAAGTATAATAATAAATAAATAAAAGAAAAAAAAAGAAAAAATAAATAAATAAAGAAAGAATAGTTCCCAGGTAAGCAGCATTAGCATCTCTTGAGAACATATTAAATTATAAATTCTCAATCTCCACCCCACATCTACTGCATCAGAGAAAACCTGGAGGTGACGCCCCTCCTTTGCACCATTGTCATACATTACTTCCACAGGTAATATGAATCACAAACAGCATTGTTATCTCTCCTTTTAATAGTTGGTTGTCTTTTCAATAGATTTAGAAAACAGAAAAACAAAAATCTTCCATACCTTCCCATGTATATATCATTCTGTTTCTATTCATTCCCTTGTATAGATTGGAAGTCTTCTTAGAATCATTTTCCTTCAGCTTGAAGAGATTCTTTTAACATCTCTTGTGGTATATATCTACTAGTGACAAATTCACTCAGATTTTATCTGAAACTCTTGTTTATTTTAAAATAATTTTGTTATGTTTAAATTTATGGGTTGACCATTCTTTCGTTGCTATTTTTATTTTTAGACTAAAGGAGTCATTTGATTCTTCTGCCTTGCATGGTTTCTGATGTCAGCAGTCCCTCTTATCTTTGTTTGTCTCTATAAAGCTATTCCTTTTTTTGTATGAAGTGGACTGCCTTTATGATATTCTCTTTATTATTAGTTTTTACTATTTTTGTTATGATGTCTTGGTATGGCTTTCCTTGTACGTATTTTTCTTGGCATTTATTGAGCTTCCAGGCCCCGTGGAATGTATTTTCATGCACTTTGGTACATACTTTACCCTTACTTCTTCAAATATTTGGGTATGCACCTTCCTTCTTGGAGCTCTATTGCACATGTTTGACCAACTGATATTGTCCCACATGTTGCTGAGTCTCCTCATTAAAAAAAAAATTTTTAAATTAAAAAAATTTTTTTTAAAAAATTTAAATTAAAAAAATTTAAAAATTTTTTTTTAATTTTTAAAAAAATTTTACATTAAAAAAAAATTTTTTTGAGATGGAGTCTTGCTCTGTCGCCCAGGCTGGAGTGCAGTGGCACAATCTCCACTCACTGCAAACTTCACCTCCCAGGTTCAAGCAATTCTCCTTCCTCAGCCTCCCAAGTAGCTGGGATTATAGGTGCACACCACCATGCCCAGCTAATTTTTGTATTTTTAGTACAGACTGGGTTTCACCATGTTGTCCAGGCTGGTCTTGAACTCCTGACCTCAAGTGATCTGCCTGCCTCAGCCTCCCAAAGTGTCGGGATTACAGGCATGAGGCACTACGCCCAGCCTAATCATTTTTTAAGCTTTTTTTTTTCCTCTCTCTGTTCTTCGGTTCAAAAGATTTTGATTACACTGTCTTGAAATTAGTTATTCTTTTATTCTGCAATGTCTAGTCTACTGTTTAGTGTATCCGGTCAATTTTACCTTTCTTAAAAAATAGTTTCAAATTTTATTTCAGATTCAGTGGGTACGTGTGCAGGTTTGTTATGTCAGTGTACTGCATGATGCTAAGGTTTGGGATATGGATCCTGTCAGCCAAGGAGTGAACATAGTGCCTGATAGCTGTTTTTTTTTAGCCATTCTCCTTCTCCATCTTTCCCTGCTCTGCTAGTCCACAGTGTCTGTTGTTCCCATCTTTATGTTCAGGTGACCCAATTATTAGCTCTGAGTAGAGTCTAATAGCTATTTTGGGTGAGATATTTTAATTATCAAAATTTATCACTTAACATGATATTGCATACCTTAAGTATACACAACAAAAGGTATTTTTTAAGAAAACTAATTTTTTTTTTTAAGAATGATGCTAATAATAGTAATAATTCCCACATTTTACTAGGGCTCCAGAGTTTATAAAATGCTTTCTAGTCCACATACGTTGGACCTCACACTAGTTCTGTGATGTGTATCAAGTGATCTTATTTCTTTATTTTTTTAATATACTTTAAGTTCTAGAGTATATGTGCACAACGTGCATGTTTGGTTTGTTACATATGTATATATGTGCCATGCTGGTTTGCTGCACCCATCAACTCATCATTTACATTAGGTATTTCTCCTAATGCTGTCCCTCCCCCAGTCCCCAAAAGGCCCCGGTGTGTGATGTTCCCTGTCCTGTTCCCAAGTGTTCTCATTGTTCGATTCCCACCTATGAGTGAAAACATGTGGTGTTTGGTTTTCTGTCCTTTTGATAGTTTGCTGAGAATGATGGTTTCCAGCTTCATCCATGTCCCTACAAAGGACATGAACTCATCCTCTTTTATGGCTGCACAGTAGTCCATGGTGTATATGTGCCACATTTTCTTAATCCAGTCTATCATTGATGGACATTTGGGTTGGTTCCAAGTCTTTGCTATTGTGAATATGCTGCAATAAACACACGTGTGCATGTGTCTTCATAGTGGCATGATTCGTAATCCTTTGGGTATATACCCAGGAATGGAATCACTGGGTCAAATGGTATTTCTAATTCTAGATCCTTGAGGAATCACCACACTGACTTCCACAATGGTTGAACTAATTTACATTCCCGTCAACAGTGTAAAAGCATTCCTATTTCTCCACATCCTCTCCAGCATCTGTTGTTTCCTGACTTTTTAATGATGGTCATTCTAACTGGTGTGAGATGGTATCTCATTGAGGTTTTGATTTGCATTTCTCTGATGACCAGTGATGATGAGCATTTTTCCACTTGTCTGTTGGCTGCATAAATGTCTTCTTTTGAGAAGTGTCTGTTCATATCCTTTGCCCACTTTTTGATGAGGTTGTTTTCTTCTTGTAAATTTGTTTACATTCTTTGTAGATTCTGGATATTAGCCCTTTGTTAGATGGGCAGATTGCAAAAATTTTCTCCCATTCTGTAGGCTGCCTGTTCACTCTGATGATAGTTTCTTTTGCTGTGCAGAAGCTCTTTAGTTTAATTAGATCCCATTTCTCTATTTTGGCTTTTGTTGCAGTTGCTTTTGCTGTTTTAGTCATGAAGTCCTTGCCCATGCCTATGTCCTGAATGGTATTGCCTAGGTTTTCTTCTAGGGTTTTTATGGTTTTAGGTCTAACATTTAATAATCCATCTTGAATTAATTTTTGTATAAGGTGTAAGGAAGGGATCCAGTTTCAGCTTTCTACATATGGGTAGCCAGTTTTTCCAGCACCATTTATTAGATAGGGAATCCTTTCCCCATTTCTTGTTTTTGTCAGGTTTGTCAAAGATCAGATAGTTGTAGATGTGTGGTGTTATTTCTGAGGCCTCTGTTCTGTTCCATTGGTCTATATATCTGTTTTGGTACCAGTACCATGCTGTTTTGGTTACTGTAGCCTTGTAGTATAGTTTGAAGTCAGGTAGCATGATGCCTCCAGCTTTGTTCCTTTTGCTTAGGATTGTCTTGGCAATGTGGGCTCTTTTTTGGTTCCATATGAACTTTAGAGTAGTTTTTTTCCAATTCTGTGAAGAAAGTCATTGGTAGCTTGATGGGGATGGCATTCAATCTATAAATTACCTTGGGCAGTACGGCCATTTTCACGATAGTGATTCTTCCTATCCATGAGCATGGAATGTTCTTCCATTTGTTTGTGCCCTGTTTTATTTCATTGAGCAGTGGTTTGTAGTTCTCCTTGAAGAGGTCCTTCACATCTCTTGTAAGTTGGATTCCTAGGTATTTTACTCTCTTTGTAGCAATTGTGAATGGGAGGTCACTCATGATTTGGCTCTCTGTTTGTCTGTTATTGGTGTATAGGAATGTTCGTGATTTTTGCACATTGATTTTGTATCTGGAGACTTTGCTGAAGTTGCTCATCAGCTTAAGGAGATTTTGGGCTGAGACGATGGGGTTTTCTAAATATAGAATCATGTCATCTGTAAACAGGGACAATTTGACTTCCTCTTTTCTGAATTGAATACCCTTTATTTCTTTCTCCTGCGTGATTGCCCTGGCCAGAACTTCCAACACTATGTTGAATAGGAGTGGTGAGAGAGGGCATGCTTGTCTCGTGCCAGTTTTCAAAGGGAATGCTTCCAGTTTTTGCCCATTCAGTATGATATTGGCTGTGGGTTTGTCATAAATAGCTCTTATTATTTTGAGATACGTCCCATCAATACCTAGTTTATTGAGAGTTTTTAGCATGAAGAGTTGTTGAATTTTGTCAAAGGCCTTTTCTGCATCTATGGAGATAATCATATGGTTTTTGTCGTTGGTTCTGTTTATATGCTGGATTACGTTTATTGATTTGCGTATGCTGAACCAGCCTTGCATCTCAGGGATAAAGGCCACTTGATCATGGTGCATAAGCTTTTTGATGTGCTGCTAGATTCGGTTTGCCAGTATTTTATTGAGGATTTTCGCATCAATGTTCATAAGGGATATTGGTCTAAAATTCTCTTTTTTTGTTGTGTCTCTGCCAGGCTTTGGTATCAGGATGATGCTGGCCTCCTAAAATGAGTTAGGGAGGATTCCCTCTTTTTCTATTCATTGGAATAGTTTCAGAACCAGTAGTACCAGCTCCTCTTTGTACCTCTGGTAGAATTAGGCTGTGAAACTGTCTGGTCCTGGACTTTTTTTGGTTGGTAAGCTATTAATTATTGCCTCAATTTCAGAGCCTGTTATTGGTCTATTCAGAGATTCACCTTCTTCCTGGTTTAGTCTTGGGAGGGTGTATGTGTTGAGGAATTCATCCATTTCTTCTAGATTTTCTAGTTTATTTGCGAGGAGGTGTTTATAGTATTCTCTGATGGTAGTTTTTATTTCTGTGGGATCGGTGGTGATATCCCCTTTATCATTTTTTATTGCATCTACTTGATTCTTCTCTCTTTTCTTCTTTATTAGTCTTGCTAGCGGTCTATCAATTTTGTTGATCTTTTAAAAAAAACCAGCTCCTGGATTCATTGACTTTTTGAAGGTTTTTTTTGTGTCTCTGTCTCCTTCAGTTCTGCTCTGATTTAGTTATTTCTTGCCTTCTGCTAGCTTCTGAATTTGTTTGCTCTTGCTTCTCTAGTTCTTTTAATTGTGATGTTAGGGTGTCGATTTTAGATCTTTCCTGCTTTCTCTTGTGGGTATCTAGTGCTATAAATTTCCCTCTGCACACTGCTTTAAATGTGTCCCTGAGATTCTGGTACATTGTCTCTTTGTTCTCATTGGTTTCAAAGAACATCTTTATTTCTGCCTTCATTTCGTTATTTACCCAGTAGTCATTCAGGAGTAGGTTGTTCAGTTTCCATGTAGTTGTGTGGTTTTGAATGAGTTACTTAATCCTGAGTTCTAATTTGATGGCGCTGTGGTCTGAGAGACAGTTTGTTGTGATTTCTGCTCTTTTACATTTGCTGAGGAGTGCCTTACTTCCAATTGTGTGGTCAATTTTAGAATAAGTGTGATGTGCTGCTGAGAAGAATGTATATTCTGTTGATTTGGGGTGGAGAGTTCTGTAGATGTCTATTAGGTCTGCTTGGTGCAGAGCTGAGTTCAAGTCCTGGATATCCTTGTTAACCTTCTGTTCATTGATCTGTCTAATATTGACAGTGGGGTGTTAAAGTCTCCCATTATTATTGTGTGGGAGTCTAAGTCTCTTTATGTATCTCTAAGGACTTGCTTTATGAATCTGGGTGCTCCTGTATTGGGTGCATATATATTTAGGATAGTTAGCACTTCTTGTTGAATTTATCCCTTTACCATTATGTAATGGCCTTCTTTGTCTTATTGATCTTTGTTGGTTTAAAGTCTGTTTTATCAGACACTAGGGTTGCAACCCCTGCTTTTCTTTGCTTTCCATTTGCTTGGTAGATATTCCTCCATCCCTTTATTTTGAGCCTATGTGTGTCTCTGCACGTGAGGTGGGTCTCCTGAATACAGCACACTGATGGGTTTTGACTCTTTATCCAATTTGCCAGTCTGTGTCTTTTAATTGGGGCATTTAGCCCATTTATATTTAAGGTTAATATTGCTATGTGTGAATTTGATCCTGTCATTATGATGTTAGCTGATTATTTTCCCCATTAATGGCTGCAGTTTCTTCATAGCATTGATGGTCTTTACAATTTGACATGTTTCTGCAGTGGCTGGTACCGGTTGTTCCTTTGCATGTTTAGTCCTTCCTTCAGGAGCTCTTGTAAGGCAGGCCTGTTGGTGACAAAATCTCTCAGCATTTGCTTGTCTGTAAAGTATTTTATTTCTCCTTCACTGATGAAGCTTAGTTTGGCTGAATATGAAATTTTGGGTTGAAAATTCTTTTCTTTAAGAATGTTGAATATTGGCCCCCACTCTCTTCTGGCTGTAGGGTTTCTGCAGAGAGATCCACTGTTAGTCTGATGGGCTTCCCTTTGTGGGTAACCCGACCTTTCTCTCTGGCTGCTCTTAACATTGTTTCCTTCATTTCAACCTCGGTGAATCTGACAATTATGTGTCTTGGGGTTGCTCTTCTCGAGGAGTATCTTTGTGGTGTTCTCTGTATTTCCTGAATTTGAATGTTGGCCTGCCTTCAAGCAATCTTATTTTTTTACAGGAAAATACAGTGCTTCTTCAAAGTCACATAAGCATTGAGTCAAACTTACGTCTGTGGACACCGGTTGCAAAGCTGCTTTTTGCATGAAATATTTCTAATTATTCTACGTAATTCTAATTTTGGCCTAAACATGAAAGATTGAAGAAATCCTTATCAGGGAAGGCAATGTAACCTACTCTCTCCCTTAAATTCTGATTCTTTATCCCACTGTTTGCAGGCTTGGGTTCGAATTCAATACCCAAACCCTTTTTATAAGACAACTTTATTGAGATATCATTGACATAAAATTGTATATATGTAAGATGTATAATATGATATTTTGATAAACATATGCATTGTGAAATAATCACTATAATCAAAATAATCTGGCCAGGTGCAGTGATTCAAGCCTGTAATCCCAGCACTTTGGGAGGCCAATGCAGGCGGATCACCTGAGGTCAGGAGTTCGAGACCAGCCTGACCAACATGATGAAACCCTGTCTCTACTAAAAATACAAAAATTGGCTGGATGTGGTGGCAAGCACCTGTAGTCCCAGCTACTTGGGAGGCTGAGGCAAGAGAATTGCTTGAACTCAGGAGGTGGAGGTTGCAGTGATGTGAGATTGCGCCACTGCACTCCAGCCAGGGCAACAGAGAGAGACTCCTCTTAAACAACAAAAAAATGTACATATCAGTTAGCTCTACATGGTTGCCATTGTGTGTGTGTGTGTGTGTGTGTGTGTGTGTGTGTGTAGTGGCCAAGTTTTATATAAGATTTGTCTTCTTAGCAAACTAAAAGTATACAACACAGTATTGTTGAATATATTCACATTATTTGACATTAGATCTCCATAAATTATTCATCTTGTGTGACGGAAACTCTGTACCATTTGACCAACATCACTCATATTTTTCTTCCCCCAGCTCGTGGCAACCACCATCCCACTCTCTGCTTTTGTGATATGGCATCTGCCATATTTGTCTTTTTGTGCCTTGCTTATTTTGCTTAGCATAATGTCCTCCAGCTCCATCCATGCTGTCACAAATGGAAGGATTTTTTTTAAGGCTGAGTAATATTCCATTGTGTATATGTATGTACCACATTTTCTTTATCCATTCATTCATCAAAGGGCATTTAGATTGTTTCCATATCTTGGCTATGGTGAATAATGCTACCATAAACATGGGAGTGCAGAGATTTCTTCATGATCCTGATTTTATTTTATTTTTTTGGATTTATACCCAGAAGTTGATTGGCTGAATCATATGGTAAATTTTATTTTTAGTTTTTTGAGAAACTTTCACACTATTTTTATAATGATTTTACTAGATTACATTCTCAGGAGCAGTATACAAGTGTTTCCTTTTCTTCACATCCTCTCCAACTCTTGTCTTTTGGTAATAGCTATTCTGACAGGTGTGAGTTGATAGCTCATTGTGCCTTTGATTTACATTTTCCCGATGATTAGAGATATTGACCTGCTGGCCACTTGATCATTTTTCTATTGTGAGAAGTGTCTGTTTAGGTTCTTTCCCCATTTTTAAATCTAGTCATAAGTATCTTTGGTATTGATTTGTATGAGTTCTTCACAGATTTTGGGTATTAACCCTTTGTCAGATAAATGGTTTGCAAATATGTTTCCCATAGAGGCAACATAGGTTGCCATTTCATTTTGTTGATTGTTTCCTATGCTGTGCAGAAGCTTTGTAGTTTTATGTAGTCCTACTTATCTATTTTTGCTTTTGCTGTCTATGATTTTGGTGTCATAACCAAAAAATTGTTGCCAAGATTAATGTCAAGAAGGTTTTTCCTTATTTTTTTTCCAGGAGTTGTACAGTTTCAGGCTTTACTTATGTTTAAATATTTAATCCATTATGAGTTGATTTTTGTGTGTGGTGAGAGATACTGGATACCCAGTTTTGCCAATACCATTTGTTTAAGAGACTGTCCTTTCCCCTTTGAGTGTTCTTGGCACCCTTGTTAAAGTGTAATTGACTGCAAATGTGTGAGTTTAATTCTGGGTTCTCTCTTCTGGTCCACTGGTCTATATCTGTTTTCATGCCCAAATCATATTATTTTGATTACCATAGCTTTGTAATACAATTCAAAGTCAAGAAGTATGATGCTTTCAGCTTTGTTCTTGTTGTTCAAGATTGATTTGGGGCTGGGTGTGGTACGCATGCCTGTAATCTCAGCACCGAGTTCAGAGGATCGCTTAAGGCGAGGGGTTCAAGACCAGCCTGGATAACAAAGTGAAACCCTGTCCCTCCAAAAAATTTAAAAATTAGCTCTGTGGGGTTGCATGTACCTGTAGTCCAGGCTACTTGAAAGGCTGAAATGAGAGGATTGTTTGAGCCCAGGAGTTTGAGGTTGCAGCAAGCTGTTATCATACCACTGCACTCCAGTCTTATCAACAGAGTAAGACCCTGTCTGAAAAAAAATATTGCTTTGGCTATTTATGGTCTTTTGTGGTTTTGCATGACTTTTGAAACTGTGTTTTCTATTTCTTAAAAATATGTCATGGGAATTTTGATAGGAATTGCAGTGAATCTGTAGATTGCTTTGTGTAGTGTGGCAATAAAGACATTTTAACAATAATAATTCTTTAAGTCTATGAACATGGGACATCTTTCCACTTATTTATAGCTTTTTAAATTTCCTTCATCAGTGTTTTACAATTTCCTATGTACACTGAAATTTCAGTATTTCACCTCTTTGGTTAATTCCTAAGTATTTTTTCTCTTTTTGTTGCTAACGTAATGGGATTGTTTTGTTAATTCTCCTTTTAGATAGTTTGTTGTTAGTTTACAGAAATGTCATTGATTTTTGTATCTTACAACCTTACTCCAAGCACTCTTTATTCATACTTGTATCCTTCCTTCCACAGTCTGCATATCAGTTTCACTTTGTGATCTCTTAAATATAGAATTCCACTGCCCAGCTAGAGACTGACAGTGATTGGTTGTGCTGGAGTCCAAACGCTTTAAATATACATTTTTATTTTTCAAAAAAAATACAATGTACTATACATACATACAATAAAATAAAGTATAAAGCATCATGACTTTTTACATGTACATAGCAAATTTAACCATCATTCAAATGAGGTTATAGAATATTTCTAGTACTCCTGCAAATTTCCTAGTTCTCCATCTCATTCAGTAACAATTTCCATTGGCGACCAATAGTTTAATGTCTATCACTATGTATTTATTTCACCTGTACTTGAACTTCATATAAATAAACTTATATATGGTAGATACTTTTTGTTTCTGAATTCTTTCAATCATCTTTTTTTTTTTTTTTTTTTTTTTGAGATGGATTCTCACTCTGTTGCCTAGGCTGGAGTGCAGTGGCATGATCTCAGTTCACGGCAAGGTCCGCTTCTTGGGTTCACGCCATTCTCCTGCCTCAGCCTCCCAAGTCGCTGGGACTACAGGTGCCCACCACCATGCCCAGCTAATTTTTTGTATTTTTTAGTAGAGATGGGGTTTCACTGTGTTAGCCAGGATGGTTTTAATCTCCTGACTTCGTGATCCGCCCACCTCAGCCTCCCAAAGTGCTGGGATTACATGCATGAGCCACCATGCCCAGCCTCACTCATCCTTTTTTTTTAACATCTGTCTAGGTTGTTTGTATAAAACGTTTGCTATATTGCTGTGTATATTCTATAATATAAATACAGTAAAGTTTATTTTTCTTCTCTTATGCTGAAGGAACTTTGTGTTGTTTCCAGCTTTTGGCTGTTAAAAATTAGGCTACTCCAAAACGCCAAAACCAATGGCAACAAAAGCCAAAATTGACAAATGGGATCTAATTAAACTAAAGAGCTTCTGCACAGCAAAAGAAACTACCATCAGAGTGAACAGGCAACCTACAAAATGGGAGAAAATTTTGGCAACCTACTCATCTGACAAAGGGCTAATATCCAGAATCTACAATGAACTCAAACAAATTTACAAGAAAAAAACAAACAACCCCATCAAAAAGTGGGCGAAGGACATGAACAGACACTTCTCAAAAGAAGACATTTATGCAGCCAAAAAAACACATGAAAAAATGCTCACCATCACTGGCCATCAGAGAAATGCAAATCAAAACCACAATGAGATACCATCTCACACCAGTTAGAATGGCAATCATTAAAAAGTCAGGAAACAACAGGTGCTGGAGAGGATGTGGAGAAACAGGAACACTTTTACACTGTTGGTGGGACTGTAAACTAGTTCAACCCTTGTGGAAGTCAGTGTGGTGATTCCTCAGGGATCTAGAACTAGAAATACCATTTGACCCAGCCATCCCATTACTGGGTATATACCCAAAGGACTATAAATCATGCTGCAATAAAGACACATGCACACGTATGTTTATTGCGGCAGTATTCACAATAGCAAAGACTTGGAACCAACCCAAATGTCCAACAATGATAGACTGGATTAAGAAAATGTGGCACATATACACCATGGAATACTATGCAGCCATAAAAAATGATGAGTTCACGTCCTTTGTAGGGACATGGATGAAATTGGAAATCATCATTCTCAGTAAACTATCACAAGAACAAAACACCAAACACCGCATATTCTCACTCATAGGTGGGAATTGAACAATGAGAACACATGGACACAGGAAGGGGAACATCACACTCTGGGGACTGTTGTGGTGTGGGGGGAGGGGGGAGGGATAGCTTTAGGAGATATACCTAATGCTAACTGACGAGTTAATGGGTGCAGCGCACCAGCATGGCACATGTATACATATGTAACTAACCTGCACATTGTGCACATGTACCCTAAAACTTAAAGTATAATTAAAAAAAAATTAGGCTACTAAACACAAAGCTACTATGAGAAATTTTGTCCATGTTTTTTGGTGAACTTATACAGGTATTACTCCTGGGTGTGGACTTAGAAGTCAAATAGCTGGAGTATATAATACATAGACATTTAGCTTTAGTAGATACTGTCAGTTAGCAACAGTGAACATATTAATTTATAGGCCCAGTAACAACGTATGCACATTCCAGTGGCTCTATATCGTCAGCAAACACTTGGTATCTTTTTCAGGATGTATGTCTTTGCATTTTAGAGTCTGCAGTAAATAAGAATGTTTACAACTTTTTGAAGATATAGCAGTTGTTGGTGAGGATGTAGAGAAAAGGGAACACTTACACAGTATTGGTGGGAATGTAAATGAATACAACCTCTATGGAAAACAGTATGGAGGGTTCTCAAAGGACTAAAAATAGAACTATCATTCGATCTAGCAATCCTATTACTATCTACCCAAAGAGATAGAAATCATCATTACATCACAAAGATACCTGCACTTGTATGTTTATTGCTTCACTATTCACAACAGCAAAATCATGGAAACAACGTTAAGTGTTCATCACTTATGGTGTGGTGGTATATATCAAATATCACATATTCTCACAAGTGGGAGCTAAATGTGTGCACATTGTCATAGAGAAGGAAATAATAGACACTGAAGACTCAAAAGGGTGAGAGGGTGTGAGGGTGGAAAAGGTTGTGGGATGAAAAATTACTTGATGTGTACAGTGTACACAATTTGAGTGATGGCTACACTAAATACCCAGACTTCACCACTAAGAATATATTCATGTAACAAAACTGCCCTTCTACCCCCTAAATCTATATTTTAAAAAATAATCTAACATTTTAATTCTAACTATATCCCTCCTGCCTTCTGTTATATTGCTGTCATACATTTTTACTTGTATATTTTATAAATCCTACAAGATAGTATCATTATTGTTGCTTCAAACACTAATTCATTTTCATATTCACCTGCATATTTACCTTTTCTGGTACATTTTCTTCTAGCTGTCTTATATTTCCATCCGGTATCATTTTCCTCTAACCTCAAGGACTTGCTTTAGCATCTCTTGTTAATACACAGCTGCTATCAACTTTTATTTTTCTTATATCATTTTTATTCTTTCTTCCACCTTGAAGAGTATTTTTGCTTTGATGTACAACTGTAAATTGATAGATTTTTTTCCTTTTTGTACTTTAAAATGTCAATTCATTGTCTTCTGACTTCCATAGTTTCTTTAAGGAAGTAAGAGATTTACTTACTATATGTATAATAATTATTTTATAGACTTTGCCTGATAATTCCAATATTTGAATAGTCTGTGTTTCTTCTATTTTGCTTTCTTGGCCGGGTGGGGTGGCTCATGCCGGTAATCCCAGCACTTTGGGAGGCTGAGGCAGGCAGATCACGAGGTCAGGAGATCGAGACCATCCCGGCAAACACGGTGAAACCCCGTCTCTACTAAAAATACAAAAATTAGCCAGGTGTGGTGGTGGGTGCCTGTAGTCCCAGCTACTCAGGAGGCTGAGGCAGGAGAATGGAGTGAACCCGGGAGGCAGAGCTTGCAGTGAGCTGAAATCGCTCCACTGCACTCCACCCTGCGTGACAGAGCAAGACTCCGTCTAAAAAAAAAAAGAAAAAGAAAAATAATAATTATTTTATAGACTTAGCCTGATAATTCCAATATTTGATAGTCTGTGTTTCTTCTATTTTGTTTTCTCTTTATTTTTGGCCTCATTTTCCTGTGTCTTTGCATATCTCATGAATTCTATTGTGTGCCTGATATTGTGTAAAATAACTGTAGGGCATCAAGTCGATCTATTTTCATCCCAAATGGATATGTTCTCTGATCTGTTAAGCAGATAGTGTAAGGGGATAATCACCTCAATGTGCTTAGAAATTTAGCTGGATTAGGACTAGGTTGCAGTTTCATTTAGACTCAGCCCCCTTCATGTTTGTCCTTTTTCATTTGGAGTGGTTATCTTAGCCTTTGATGGAGAGGATGTTATATTTTTCTTTCCTCATTCCTTAAATACTCCAAAAGATTTTGCCTGCTCTTTGAAGAGTCAAGCGTAACATTTCAGTACTGTACAACAAACAGCAGAAAATTCTTGCAAATATTTTGTAGGGGGATATAATTTGTGTTCATTGCAGGCTGTTTGCAGTAGTGGGTCACTGTCGCCAAGGCAGTGTGAGACTGAGAGATTTTACTCTGCATTTCCAAGTAGCACCTCCAGAATTTTGTCTCACTGAGCAAACATCATATGTGAAAAATATGAAAAATAGGACATGCACGTGGGAATTCCTCTATATTACAAGTCTTCTGGCTGTCCAGTGGTCTGCGTCTTTTTTTCTACAGTAGAGTTCCTCTTCCTCTGCCAAGCCCAATCATCAACCTCTTTCCAGCATCACAATTGCCTCTAGGAAATAGAATGACTCTTAGTTGTCAGCTCACCTTGAAATGGCTTTTCCCTCTCCGGAACTTTTTAGTTCATCCAGACCTTTTTGCTTCTGCAAGTCTCTAGTGCTTTTAACAGTAAGATTTTTGTAATTAGTCAATTTTTCTCTAGTCACTCTAGTAGGAGAGAGGAGTGCTTGCTGTCTACTCCATCTTTCTCAGCATCGAAAATCCGTTTACTTTTTGTTTCATTTCTCTGAATTAGAAGAGAGACTTCTTGCATTCTCTTGTGTTATCGAATGGCTTCCTGCTTATCTTGGTTATTGATGTTCTTTATTTTCATTAAAGTTGATGAGACCTGTAAAGGACTTGGAGATCATCGTTAGGCACAATGTTTGGTTTACCTTGTCTTGGATTCTGTCCAAGTAGGTGAGAACATGTAACCTTCAGGCCAATTTCTACTTTCTTTCATACATTTTAAATTCTATTTATGTTTTTATGATAATGTTTTCTTCCAACTTGGATCTCCTCACTGTCTGATATATTGATCAATAGCCTAGCTAATTGAGTAACCTGTCTCTGGCTTATGTGTTTTCATTATCACTGTACATTCTAACATCTTCTCTTCACTTCTAGGTCAGCCTAAAACACATTAACTCTGATATGGTAAATTACTTCAAGTCTCTATGTCTTAATTTTTCTTCTGTAAATTAGAGATAATAATAGCCTCTTCCTCATAAGAGATTTTTTAAAGGATTAAGTGATGTAACAAATTTAAGAAACAGAACAATATCTGGCATGTAGTAAATACTCAGTAAATATTAGCTATTATTTAATTTGTAGGAAACCCAAAATTATGTTTCAGCTTCACTCCTACTAATACAATATAGCCAGAAAAATATGTGAAGGTAGAGCTTTGATCTTAGTTAATATGCTTTTCAAGGCTATGTTCTTTACCCTATGCTACAAGAAAACAAAGCTCATCTGTGCAAGTTAAATATGTTTTCTATTTGTTAGCAGATCACACACACACAAATATGGCTGACATTATTTTTGCCAAACTTGATGGTTATGTTGGTAATGATTTTATTTAAAATACGCTATTTTAAAACCTCAAAGAGAAAGCAGCCATCTTTCTGAAACTATTTTTGGTTATGAGGTACAATGATAACCACATACAATATCTAATAAAATAAACATGCCATGTATTTTAAGAGAGGAAGAATAAACATTGGTTTCACTGATATGGTCCCAGTCAACATTATAAGAGCAGGCCCTCTTAACTGTGTACATGACTGCATGCATTATCCTGGCAGCCTCTCTTGTGGAGAGCTTTACGTGGCACAATTAGCAGCAAGAATTTGTTTACTTAACAATGGCTGGTATTTCCCCTGAGCAGTGCTAGATGGATCAGTTAGAGAATATTCAAATGAGGGTTTTTATATCCTTGGCCCGTTTCTCAGATGACTCGCTGGATTGTTGGCTTGCAAGCTGGGGAAAACACAGGTTATCCAGTCCAACTAGCCAACTTGTCCTTCCAAACCTGGCAATGTGATACTGAATTTGTTGAGTTTTTGAATATCTCTTTGGTCTGTACTAAAATAATCTTTTCAATTTTATCATTGCAAATATCTGTCTTTCAAAGGATCCTGATGAACACCAGCTACCAATCAGGCAAGATATACACACGAAAGACTTTTTTCATAGAAGGAAGTTAGTAAGCTAATCCAAAAGCCAAGATGCAGCCATTTTGGGTTTAGAACTTTTCTTTGATCCATCACTTTTGTACAAAGATCTTGGTGAAATAATTGAGAGAAAAAATACAATTTGGTCATATGACAACTATTGCTCATACCTGTTTCTGTAACTTGATTTATTGTTAAAGCATGTTTTCGTAATCATATAGACACAACCATTGTATCAGTAATTTGTTTATTTGTCCTTATTAGGGGGTACATTTGTCTACTTGGTTTGGTCACAAATGTCAGAAAACTCAACAATGGTTTAAGGAAATTAGGAATTTACTTCTCTATCATGTAAAATTCCAGGAGAAGGTAGTCCAGCTATGTTATTGTGGACCCGAAGTGTCAGGGACCCTGGCTTCTGAGGTTTCTATTCCTGAGACAATTTATGGACCAAGATGAGTTCCAGACATTATGTCCTCATTCCAGCAAGTGGGAAAAGGAGGTCGGGGAAAGGGCATGACATCTCCCTCCCTTTCCAGGAGTTGCCATGAATTGAATGTTTACAAGTTATTGCCTAGAACTTAGTACAATGGCCACACTCAGGTACAAGGGATGGAGGTAAATGTAGTCTTTCTTGGATAATTGTGTGGCCAGCTAGAAATTGAAGGTTCTATCGTAGAAGAATAGAAAGACATTGGAGGACACCCAGTGGTTTCTGCACTGATGAACTAACTCATTTATACAATTTTAACAGCTTGACAGGATTAAATTCTCTAAATACAGTATTTACTTCCCTCACTGATTAAACAGAGGATACTGAACATGATTTCATTTTTTTCTCAGTTACTTAGAGTTATTACATTAGCATCAATGAGCATCCAATGCATAGATAGTATAGTCAATAACATAACTGTTTCTCTAGCTCTTCCAGATCCTGGAATCAGAATTCACTGAGGAGATGTTTTTGTTCCAAGACCCTCTCCAGTAAAGGCAGGATGGTCATGAATAGACAATGCCATGACTCCCCTTCCCCATGAGCTCACCTCTGTTTCCCACTTCAACAGACAGGTAAATGGATACATCTGCTGGAATGAGAATCATGCCTTGTTCCTCTATCCTAGATTTTTGACATGGAGGATCACTTCTTGGTGCAGATTTCACTGTAGGATGTTGCTGGCCAGATCTAGGATCTGGTGCATATTAAAAAAAAAATGCGTGTGACTCCTTATTCTAGCATATTCTCTCTCACTTCTACTGCCTCTTACCCACCATCCTGGCCTAGGTTCTTTTTGCTGTCTAAGCATTTCAGCGTAACTGCTATTTTTGCAGTCAGCTACGATACTAATTTACAAGAATTAGAAATTTAGCTAAAATTAGCTTAGATATAAAGAAAAATTATTTCATTCATACCATTGATTTTATCAGGAAGCACTGTGTTTGAATCTGGCACTGTGCTAGATTCTGGGGATAGAGAAGGGGGCCAAGTCTCTGTCCTTTTATGGGTCATTCAGACAGTGAACAGTATAGTCTAATATCAGTAAAAGATAGGTACATTCTAGAAGAAAGATAAAGCAGGCTAAATAGATGTTAAAATTGCCTTGGGCAGTCAGAGAGGCCTCTGTTGTACATTGAAAAGATGCTAGGCTTCCAAAAACCAGAAGGAAAAAGGCATAGCCAAGTCTCAGAGATGAACTGGACCCTGGATCTCAATCAGAACTGGGGATTGCCCTCCTGGCTGCTTCTCTCAACACATCTGTTTCATTCTTTCTCCTTCTGTAGACTAACTCTGCTTCTCTAGGCTACAGGACTGAAAACAAGAGTGTAAAATGTCAGTGCCCACACTTTATGTCTTAACGATTTCAGCTACCGGGAAAGATTACCCTGCTCTTATTTCCTGACCTCCTGATTATATATTCTGATATTGATCACTTCTAGATTTAAATCTGAAATCACTGATATCTAAATTGTTTGCTCATCTGCGATCAGACACTGGCCCCCCACCACCCTAGGAAGTAACCCTATGACCAGTTTTGACTTGTGTTTCCTGTTATTAGCATTAATATTAGCTCATATTTATTGAATGCTTGCCATATACCAAGCTATTCTAAGTGCTTTTCATGAATTATCTCACTTAACACTTCTGTACACTCTGTGTGAAACATATGCCAGCTCTTTAGAGTTTTGTCTACTTGCTATGAAGTTTTGTTGTAGATGGCTACAGCTGCTTTAAGTTTGACCTAAAATAATGACATGGTTTTTCAATTCAAACTAAATAATTGATATGAAGTTCACCTGCCATGGATGTGAGGTGACAGGTGTGGTGCAGTTGTCACAGACGCAGATGCTGGAGCTGGGTCTAATTCCCTGCTTCACCTGTTGTTGGCCATGCACCCTTAGTGGGGTTGCTGCACCACCCTGTCACTCACTCCCCATAGAAGAAAACCATGCAGTAACTGGGCTATGTGACTCAATGTATGGGAACATGTGTGATGCCTAGAGCTGGGCACTTGGCTAACAGCAAGTGATACAGAATTGCAAGACTCCTTGTGCAAGAATTCCCACAAGAAGCCTCCTCCCTGCCACACACACACACACACACACAAAATTAACTTTATTGAAAAGTCATTTATATTCAATAAAATGCACCTATTTTGAGTGTATAGTGAAATAAGTTTTGGAAATTGATGCAACCTTATAACTACAACCTCAAACAAGATATCAAACAAGATATAAAAAAGTCACATCACCCCAAAGCCCCTGTGACCCTTTGTAATCAACGCCTCTCGCATAGGCAAACACTGATTTCTCTAACTGTAAGTTAGTTTTGCAGTCTAGAAAATTTCACATAAGCAGAAATATGCAGAATGTTCTATTGTATCTTGCCTCTTCTTTTTCACTCAGCATAATGTTCTTGAGGTTCCTCTATATTGTTATGCATATCGGTAATACATTACTTCTATTACTGTTTTGTCTCAACTTGCTGTGTGTCAAGTTCAAGCTAGTGACTGGGCAGGCCGCCACCACCTGCCAGACATTCACTGATATTATATTCAAAATTATGATTTAGGGCTAAGGAAGATTTATGCTTGCTTACCCAACAGAGAGACTAAAATTAAGACTAAAGCCCAATACCATCACCCTTGGTGTGGAATGGAGATACAAGGATCCTCACACAAAGCCCTAAGGATTCCAGGCTTTTCAAAATGTGCGTGTGACTGCTGTCAGAGAACATTTGCTGACAAATTGTCTCTCTTCTCATGTTTGCCGTCTCTTCCCACTTGCATCCATGTTAAGAGAAGCAAGATTTAAAGAGTTTCATGGATGACAAAGAAAACACAATAATACCAGGTCTCCAGAGCCAAGTAGAAAATTCCAGCTAGTAGTAAAAAAATAAAAAAATATATTGTTCTAAGAGCTGGGCAGACTGATTTCACAGGTGTCAGGAGGTGATGAAAGGAAACAGACTAGGAGAAAAGTCTGCAAAATTATGACATGTTTCATGCCACAGACACAAGATAACATAGGTAGGATCAAGATAGTGCTTTGGCTGCAGAGCACCACCTCCAAAAGGCGCCCATGTCAGAGAGAGTTAGAGATGGGCACCCCACAAGCTCTGCCGCTATGTCTCGGTTCTTGTCATACACTCTCTGTACAGGTTGGGGTTTCCAGTGTGTCCTCTCCAATTTCGCTTCATAAAATAAAGCACATCTCAAAAGAAATCCAAATTACGTTCCCCATGCCTCATGCTTTTTCGTATGCAGCACTCCAACTGGGTAAACCAAAGCACACGTCAGATCGTCTTAGATCAGAAACCAAGACAAACAACACAAAACAAACCAGGAGATGAGTCAACACCAAGGAAACACAAAGATGCTACTGAGCTACTGAGCTGTTTTAAATGTGCAAATTTTTCCCTGGAGAAAAGTGTTATTTTTGAAAAGGGACCCATGCTTTTGGAAGAAGAAGCATTGCCTTGCTGAGGAAGAAGAAATCTTCTTTCTGCCACGTATCTTTAATAACCTACACCCAAATAAAAACAGCTACAAAGCTGTGCCCCCTTCACCTGACTCTAGGTGTTTTCTTTGGCTCTTTAAACTTACAGGAAATAAACTATTTGCAAAAAGTTTAGGATTCACAAGATAGATGATTTTAAAAGACAAACATATTTTTCTTCAAATCATAAAAGAAAATACATCAAATCCTAGAAAAAGTGAATCTAACAACATTTTAGTTATACTTCTAATCATTGTAACTCATAATCATTAATGAGAGAGCCAGGGTATGTCTGAGAATGCCTTCCTGAGGATTTTAATTCTACTTTTCCTCATTGACAAAGGTGCACAATGAATAAAAAGTATCTGCTTTTAATCTGTTTTATATATATACACACACACACAATTAACTTTATTGAAAAGTCATTTATATTCAATAAAATGCACCTATTTTGAGTGTATAGTGAAATAAGTTTTGGAAATCGATGCCACCTTATAACTACAACCTCAAACAAGATATCAAACAAGATATAAAAAAGTCACATCACCCCAAAGCCCCTGTGACCTTTTGTAATCAACGCCTCTTGCATAGGCAAACACTATCTGATTTCTCTAACTGTAAGTTAGTTTTGCGGTCTAGAAAATTTCACATAAGCAGAATTACACAGAATGTTCTCTTGTATCTTGCCTCTGCTCTTTACTCAGCATAATGTTCTTGAGATTCCTCTATATTGTTATGCATATCGGTAATACATTGCTTACGTTACTGTTTTGTCCCAAATGATTTTCCTTTGTGAATGTAGCATGGGCAAATTGATGTTGATCCATTCATCTTTTAATAAATGTATGCATTGCTCCCCATGTTTGCCTATTATAAACGACGCTGCTGTAAACATTCCTGCACAGTTCTTTTGTGGACTACTTTTCCCTTGGGTAAAATATAAGGAGTGAAATTGCAGAGTTGTAAGAAACTACCCAACTGGTTTACAAACGGGTTGTACCATTTTACACCCTTCATTTTCACCAATGTGAAATGTAAGAGAATTCTAGTAGCTTCACGTCGTCACCAATATGTGATGTTGTTGGTCACTTTAATTTCAGCCATTCTAGTATGCAATTATCTCATTGTGGTTTAATTTACATTTCCCTGAAGGCTGGTAATGTTGAGCATCAGGTCCTTCCTAGCCATTCCTACATTTTCTCTGGTGAGGGTCTATTCAAGTCTTTTTCCATTTGCATTTGGCTGTTTTTCTTCTTTCTATTGAATTTAAGAGTCCCTTATATGTGCTGAATTCAAGTCCTTTGTCAGATATGTGTACCAATAGTATTATCTTCCAGTCTGTGACTTGTGTTTTCCTTTGCTTAGCAGTATCTTTTGAAAAACAGATTTTTTTTTTTTTTTTGAGATGGAGTCTCACTGTCACCCAGGCCGGAGTTCAGTGGAGCGATCTCGGCTCACTGCAAGCTCCACCTCCCAGGTTCATCCCATTCTCCTGCCTCAGCCTCCCGAGTAGCTGGGACTACAGGCGCCCACTACCATGCCCGGCTAATTTTTTGTATTTTTAGTAGAGACGGGGTTTCACGTGTTAGCAAGGATGGTCTCGATCTCCTGACCTCGTGAATCCGCCTGCCTCGGCCTCCCAAAGTGCTGGGATTACAGGCATGAGCCACCGCGCCCGGCCCGAAAAACAGATTTTAACTTTGATGAAGTCTAAGTTAGCATTTTTTTTCTTTTGTGATTAGTGATTTTCTGGTAGTTTTTACTACACTAAGGTTACAAAGCTTTTTCCTATTTTTTTTTCTAGAAGTATTATAGTTTCAAGTGTAAATTTTAGCTCTCTTATTCATTTCAAATTAAGTTTAAAATATGGCTTGAAGTGGAGGTCAAGAGTCTTTTTAAAATTGTGTGGAACCACAGATACCCAGTTGCTCCACACCATTTATTGAAAATTCAATCTTTTCCCAGAAGTATTATGTTGGTGACATTTTAAAAAATCAATTAATCATAGTTTCAACTCCCTGTTTCACCACTGTACAGTAGAATTAACAGATGAGGCAGAATGTTAGTCGCACATGTAATTTTACATTTTCTAGTAGCCACATTAAAAACATAAAAAGATACAGGTAACATTACTTTTAATGAAATGTTTTATTTGCCTAATATATTCAAAATATTATCATTTCATCATGCAGTCAATATAAACACAACTGATAGTTTTGTCAATGAGACAGTTTACATTTTTTATACAATCTTCAAAATCTGACGTGTATTTTTACCAGCTGCTACAGCAAATCTCAATTAAAATCAGCTGCATGGCAAGGGATGAATAGCCACATGGGACTTAGTGGCTACTGTGTCACTATATCCAACAGCATGGCTCCATTTTGTTCCATTGATCTTGTGGTTAACTTTATGCCAGTTCCATAGTCTTCATTTCAGTAGTTTTATATTAAGTTTTCAAATCAGGTAGTTTAGATCATCAAACTTTGTCTTACTTTTCAAAATAATCTTGGCTACTTTAGGTCTTCAGCATTATGAAGTACTTCATGTTTTTAAAATGACATTTAAAAACTGTATTTCTTAAATTTTTGTTGATATTATACACAAAATTAACTAAATTTTTAATTGGTCTTGTTTCTTATGTCCATACCTAATTCACTTATTAATTCTGGTACCTTTTTTTTTTTTTTTTTTTTACATATTTCTTACTTAGGCTTTTCTATTTTGATAACTATGTCTTTTGCAGACTGGTCCATTTGTCTTCTTCCTTACCCCTACACATTTCATTTCTTTTCTTATTTTGTTGCCCTAGTAAGGATTGGAAGTGAAATCTTAGCTTTTCTCCTCAACTTGGTCTCCTCAATTTCGTTTTTCATCATTATGTATGATGTTTGCAAGGTTTTCATAGATGCTTTCTAGCAGTTTTAAGATGTTTCCTGTGATTCCTTGTTTGCTGAAAAGTTTTTAAGATAAATGAGAGTTTAAGTTCCTCTAACGATGCTTCTGCATCTATTGATTTGATTCTATGATTGATATTCAATATTGAACCAACCTTGAATTTCTAGAACAACTCTACTTGGTCTGGATCTGATGATAAACATTTTATGTAATCCTGGATAAGATATGCTAATATTCTGTTACAGATTTTTGATTCTACGGTCATAAGGCAAGCTGTTCTTAATATTTTTAATGTCGTATTCTGGTTTTTGTATCATGGTAGTGAGTTTGCGTAAGATCGGTATTATTTGTTCCTTAATTTTTCAAAATTCACCAGTGAAATCATATGGATTTGAAGTATTCTTTGCAGGACATTTTTAAGTAGGAATTTAATTTTTTAATAGAAGGCTGTTCAGATCTTCTGTTTCTTTTCGAATCAGTTGTGATAAGTTTTGTCTTCCTTAAAAATTGTGGTTTTTTCAGCCCAAGTTACTAACTTTATTGACATAAAATTATAATACTATTCTATTTGTATTATTTCAATTGTAGACTCTCCATTTTCTTTTCTGATATGTAGAAGTTGTGCATTTTCTCCCTTTTTAAGAAAATTAACCTTGTTAGGGATTTATACATTTAGTTGATCTTTAACAAGATGCAACTTCTGGATTTTTTCTTCTTTGTATCTTTTACTTCATCAATATCTACTCTGATTGTTATCATTTCTTATTATGCTCCTTATATTTATTTATTTATTTTATTTAGCTTCTTAAGCTACAAACTTGAATTTCATTGATTTTAAAACGTTTAATCTTTTCATATATAGGCACTTAAATACATAAATTTTCCTATTGCTTTGGCTGCATCCCACCAATTGTGATATATTGTGATTTCATTATTAATCAGTTTGAAATATATAAAATTTATCTATGGGCTCATTTTTCAACGAGTTACTTAGAAATATGTTATTTAATTTCCAAATATTTGGAGATTTTGTAGTATCTTAGATCTATTGAGTTCCCATCTAATTCTTACCAGACACCAACTCAGCTGGCACCTTGATTTTAGACTTCTAGCCTCCAGAATGTTCTCTGTAAAGTTTCAGTCTCTTAAAAGTTATTGAGACCTTATTATATCCCTGCATATGGTCCACCTTGGTAAATAGCTTGTTGGCACTGGAAAAGAGTGTGTGTTTGGCAGTTACTGGGAATTATGTTCTGTACATAGCAATAACATGAAGTTGGCATGTAATATTTTTCTGATTCTCTATCATCCTTACTGGTTATTTTTTGCTGTAATTGTTTAACATTGAATCTTTTTTCTAAAAATGAGTTAATTATTTATAATTTTTATGCACAATAAATTATTGCTGATAATTATATGCAATGATTATTTTATGCAATATAACAATTATATGCAATAATTATTTCTAATAATTATATGCAATAAGTTTGCTAATAATTATATTACTAATTATTATTACTATTATTACTAATAATTACTAATAAATCTAAAATGATGCAAATATTATACATAAATTAAGTAAAACGTTTGCATCATTTTAGATTTATTTGGCAGAGAATAAAAGAAAGGCAGGAAAGGAAAGATAGTCTTTTGGGTTAGCACTATTCCAGTATGTAATCGTTTATTACATATTTGTAATTGCAATAATAATTATTGCTAATATGTAATAAACGATTACATATAAGAATCATCATCATTTTAGATTTATTTGGCAGCAAAGGAAAAGAAAGATAACCTTTCAGGTTAGCATTATTCTATTCTAGTACGTAATCGTTTATGTGCTAACCTGAAAGGTTATCTTTCCTTTCCTTTGCTGCCAAATAAATCTAAAATAATGCAAATGTTTTACTTCATTTATGTTTTTCATGTAAAAGGAATAAACTCTGGATAAATAACTTGCTGTGTGAATGCCTGGTATTTCAACAGAGGGAATTTAATATGAGGAACTCGTGATAAAACTATTGGAAAAGCCACGAGGGCTAAGAAGGGCTACAGGAAGCTACCACTCATTCAAGGACTGGAGGAAAAATGGGAAGAAGGTGCTGTTACCAGAGTCCAGGAGCCGGGGCTTCCTGGCAGGAGGTGGGACTCCGAAGGAATCACAACCACTGCTGGAGAATGGACAACAGAGACAAGGCCAATCCCCTGGAATCTCTCTCTCCTTTGAAACCTACGGTTTCATACCAGGGTTTCCATTTCAGAAACCCAGATGAATATCAGTTGACAAAGTGTTTGTAGAGTGAAACACCCTGAATACAGAGCAGAGCAAAGAGGAAAATGGGGTCGAATCTGAGAGCAGACAGGTGAATGACTAGCACAGATGCATCACTCTTGATTGATTACTATATAATGCCACAGGTCTAAGGCACCATGTCTCACTCTAGGTGTATGCCTGGGGATATGTGGTGATACCTTAGAATTTTGAGGAGCCCATGAGGCAGCATACTCTGTTGAAGTCTGAAGACATATATTTGGATTCTTAAAATACTGTGACAGCAGATTAAAGATGAGAAATTACCCAGAGCTGAGTCTGATATATGCTGTTAGTATACTTCAATTCAGCCTGATTTCTGAAATCAAAGGACTTTAAGACAACCATGTGTGAATCATTAAACATTTTAATGTCAATAAGTTACTTTAATATTCAAATAGTCATATAAGTAAAATGCACATGACTTTTAAAGACAGAAAATGAAACCTAAAGAAATCTTCTCCTTCCCAGGATGTAATCCTCACTGCCAGACCTCAGTCACTGTACTAAGCCCCAGACAAGAAATATTAAACATGGTGTCTGGCCTCAGTGAACTTACTGACTTTTGGGGGAGAAAAAAAGTAACAAAAACATTTTAAAAACACACACATGAAAAATATTGCAAAACAAATATTGAACTATTTAGGGAACATACATTTATTAGTTACCTACTAAAGAACGCCCTGTGCTAGAAAACTGATTCATTTATTCAAAAACATTTCTTGATTATCTACTAATTGCCAGCCTGGTAATAAATGGAATGTGTTAGTTGCATTAAAGATAAAAATCTGGTTTGTAGGCTTGTCTTCTCCATTACACTCTAAGCTCACTGAAGATAGGGGCTCTGCTTTATTTATCTTTTGAATTCTCAGAGTTTACTTCAGTATCTAACCAATGCAAAGTACTCAATAAATATTGTTGACCCAAGAAATGACTGTCTACCTTAAACCTGTTTATCTGTACTATCACCAAGTCTCACCCACAGTTTTGCTTTTTATCCATTTGGTTGTCTATTTGCCACCATCCTGCCAACTCGCCCCACCCTGCACCTAGAATAATCATGTTCTTTACCCAAACTCTAAACCAGTTCCTTTCCAAGGAGGTCCACTGATTAAGCTATGTAGTAAATTGAAAAAAAAAAAAAATGAACTACTGATACCAGCACAAACATGCATACAGACAAAATTAAATTTTAAAAAATTCCCACAAAACATTCTGAAAAATGTGAAGTGTGTTTGAAATCACCTAATTTCCTATTGCAGTTAATGTCACTACCAAACTTCTTAACCAAACTTATGTTGCCCTAGTAGTTCCAGGCATAGCACCTTGTCCATTTGTCTTGCTGGATCTCAGTTTAATCCAGGAAGGGTCTTTGCTGATGTCCAAGTCATTATCCCAGAGCTGCATCATGTAAAATTCATTGCACACAGCAGAAGAATTTGCTTCACCAGGCCTAGTACTTGGGTATAGAGCTATGTTTTTATTTGTCAAGAGTCCACCATTAGTGACTGAATATTTCACGAGACCACTTCCTTGACAGCTCTTTAAGAAAAGAAAACAGAACATAGTTCTCCAGAATAGGGCAAGTGATGTGGGAGGAAGGAGGTCAGAGAACACTGGCTGAAGCTCTCTGCAGGGTCAGGCTCAGTTTGGTCTTGCTTTGTTTTTAAAATAATCAGCCGCTTCTGCGTCTTTGAAGCCTTGAAAGAGCAAGATGAAGTAGAGAATACTTCAGGACTCTGTGGGGATTGCGTCTGGATTTTTTCCTCCGTGCTTTGCTGTGTGTCTAACAGAAGGTCACTAGACGCTAAATGAGCTCTGCCCTGGGTGGTCTCTACCTATTGCCTCCCAGCTGATGATTCGTGTTTCTTTCTGTTTCCATAGAAGGGGCAAGTAAGGAAAATTCAAAAGAACTGGCAATCTGTCCTTTGGATACAGCGACCTTTCTAAATAAGCATTCAGCCTTTGGAACTGCAGCGTACAAGCATTTTTTCCTTGTTGTGGATCTTTTCAAAAGCCACACACAGAAGTAAAACTAGAGACAAATTTGAAAATACATTCATTCTGGTTGTTTTGAGTAAAGTTGAATAGGTAATGCAAAGAAGGCATGCTTGCACTAATTGTATGAATAAAAATAGGTTTTTTAAATACTTAAGCAAAGAAATGATGTTTTCACTTACTTAATTTTTTAATTGTCCATAATAAAACTCTTAATTGGAATCAGTGAAAAAGTAATTAATATACATATGTGTATACGCAGTTGTGCATATCTATGCAGTCATGGATGGACATGTGCATAAATATTTGTGCTCTCATCTTTTATTTTTTTTCAGTTAAAACCACCAATTAATTACTTGACAGTGTTTACACCTGCATAGGGCACATCTTGTCAGACCTGGCACACAAACACGCTGTTAGAGTCTACTTGCCATTTAAGAGAGAAAAGCAAACCTTCTATTTGAACTCCAGAGTAGTCCACCCTGGCCGGGCAGTTGTAAACTGACTAGGATAAATCACTCATACATTGCTACATTGTTATTGTGGTATTGGGCAAAAATATTTGGCAGGCATTTCAAAGCAAATGCTTCAATCGGATGACGGCAGCTAAAGAGAAAAATGCCAAGACTAAAGCAAGTGCATACTTTGCTATGAAAGAGTTTTTTTTTTCTAAGTGGAATATTTAATAAAATGAATTTCAGTCATACCTAATTTAATTAAAATGGTGGTAACTTTCTTTAGGAATAAGTGGAAAGGTCAATTTTAACAGAAAATATTTTTCATTAAATTATTAACTTTAAAAATAACAAATGTAAACATGTAGAAAATCTCTAAAATAAAATGAGAAGAGGTTTTCAGTTCATTTCAGTCATGATAAATACCCAATTCTACTTTGGAATTCCTCCCTGGAAATATAAATTGATTTTCCTCACACCAAGAATGTGGTATGAGTTTGAATATAGGAAAACCAGATTTATTATCATTATTATTATTCTTGAATCACATTGCCTTACCAGAGCTTAAGTGGGTCAAAATTTCCATTATAAGTTGGTGTTTTCATAAGGACTTTATAACTTGGACATGACAGTTGGCTTTATCCTTTAACTTGGTAAATAACATCTCAGCCTGGGACAGGCTTTCTTCCTCTTGTTTTAATAATACCAAAGGCAAAAATCAGGCAAAACGGCTTTTTTTCCCCCTTTGGCTTTGAAGTAAAAGTTAGGAAGATATGTATCAGTGTCAAAGAAAGATCAGCTTAGAGGATTTTTTTGTTTACCTTTAACCAAAAAGAGCTATTAATTGAAACATTAAGTTGCCTTTTTTTTTGAATTTCATGAAAAATCTAAGATTAAGTTTCTCAAATGATTAGTTTATATGTGACACAATTTAACTTCATCACAATTTAGATTTTTAGTCCAAACTCTATGATCAGTATTCTACATAAAATAACTTCTCTGTTTGTACCTTGTCTTTTGGGAGTGTAAAATTTATTAAATTAAATAACACAAAAAATTAAAAAAATACCAAAGAATTTCTTAATTTGATTACTCTAATGGGTCATTCAATACTACATAATCTGAAATAGAAAATGTGTTTCAGTTTTGAACCTATTATTATTTTTTCCTCTTCCACAGCTGCATATTTAAAATAAATTGAGGCCAGGCATGGTGGCTCACACCTGTAATCCTAGCACTTTGGGAGGCTGAGGCAGGCGGATCACAAGGTCGTGTATTTGAGACCAGCCTGGCCAACATGGTGAAACTCCGTCTCTACTAAAAATACAAAAATTAGCTGGGCATGGTGGCACATGCCTGTAATCCCAGCTACTTGGGAGGCTGAGGCAGGAGAATTGCTTAAAGTGGGACCCAGGAGGCAGAGGTTGCAGTGAGTCGAGATTGCGCCACTGCACTCTAGCCTGGGCTACAGAGGGAGAGTCCGTCTCAAAAAAATAAACAAATAAAAATTAAAAAATAATAAATAGATTCTATAACTTTGAGGAAATTAAATTGTCCTGAATATCTGTGGTTTGAATATGGTTTCACCATTGCAAATCATTCTCAAAGGCAAGCGGAGGTTAGAGGGCCAGGGATAATGGAGGGATGGGGTTTGGCAGGGAGCAGCAGAGCTAAGCTTGTGGCTTTCAGCTGATCCTTCAGACTTTTCACTTGGACCTAAATTTCTATGGCCCATGTTGGAGTTGTCTCCTCTTGATAGCAACCTAGGGCACTGTCTCCTTCTGACGACTCCCTTTGAATATGATTCCATAGCTGGACCATAGCACTTGGGCTTCAGCCATAATTACTTTTCTTGCTCCACATAAGGAAACCAGCATCCAAGGCAAGGTGATTGTCAGCTTTCCCATCACAACAGCCAGGCATCGAGCAGAAGTATAGAAGTATTTCTGATTCTTGGTTCTGGCTGCAATCTTTCATCAGTAGGTTGATTGTAAATATATATATGTATATATATTTTTTTCTTTTACAAAATTTTGTCTGGGTCATAAACCCATTAGATAATTTGAGCAGAGCTATGAACTCCTTTCCAGAGAAATGCATATTTGGAGAATATCCACCTATACATTTTGCAGGGAATCTATGGATAGTCTAAAGGCCATCTACACACTATTAAATCCATGTACCCCACCTAAGAAACTTTGCTGTAAATAATGCCCAACAATCATTAAACACTAATCATATATGATTATTTAGATCTTCTCTTGCCCTCCAACTTCAGACACTCATTATCACTCTCAGCTGCAGCCCTATTTCACTAAGAAAATAGAAAGAGCCAGGAGAGGTCTCCTACCAGTATACACACCCACCTGGCTCTGTCTGTTTCCTCGGCTGCTCTGCTGTTTCTATGGATGATTCCTGGTGCTTCCAGCGAGGCCCAACTCCTTCATCTCCATAGTGGTTTTGAACCATTGTGGTCTTGGTCTCCAGTGATTTGCTGGTCCCTCTGTTGCATCATTTATTTTTTTTCTCTGTTGAATCTTTCCCATTGGCATACCAACAAGTTGTTATTTCTTTTATTTTAAAAAAAGTAATTTAAAATAAGCAAAGCTCTCAACACTGCCTCATCTGAACCTACCCTTCCATTGCCAGTTATTGGTGCATTTTCATCTTTGCTTAACGGGGAAAATCCTTAAATGTGATGTCTCTACTGCCTTCCAATTGCTTGTTTCTTCTTGTTTTCTCGGGAACAAGTCAGGCTCTATGATACTCCCTCACCCACCACCACCTAAGTTGTGAAGGGGACCAGTGACTTCCGTGTTACTGAATCCTTAAATCCCAGCTCAGGCTGCGTCTTGCTGGACCAAGGAAGAGTTTTGATTTGGTGATATCTCCCTCCTCTTGTCCCCAGCCTTTGTTAACACCTGGCAATCAGAAGAGTATGCTCTCCTGATCGTCCTCCTTCTCAGTCTCTTTGGGTGTTTCCTCCTGATCTCCCTGACAGCTAAATAATAGTTCAAAATGAAGACCTCTCTCACTTCATGATCTACACTCACTCTCTTGATGATCTCAAAATCTGATAGCTTGACATTCCATGTATGTGTTGATGACTCCAAAGTCTAAAACCACAGACTAAATATTCTCTTTATACTCCTTCCCTGATTATTTTTCCTCGTATTTATGACAACCTGACGTGCCATAAATCCTACCTTTTTATTGTATTAACATCTTTCTCCTTCCACTAGAAGGTCAGCATTAGAAAGACAAGAACTTTGTGTGTCATGGTGATTACTGCATCCCCAGCACTTAGAGCAGTACCAGACACTCAGAGACAATGAATATTTATCAAATATCAATTTTTGCAGTTAATAATAAAAGCTATTTATTACAATTAATAAAGCCTTTTATTGCAATTAATAATTGCAATAATAATTTATAACTTTTAAATTTAAAAAAATTATTGAGTTTCTACTTTGGGGCTAGTACTTGGTGAAATGAAGGAGCTCACTGATTTCACACCATCCACAACCTAATGCCAAGAGACAACTCTTGTAATATGAATTTTACAGATGAGACCACTGAAGACAGTTTAGATCAGGATTCAGCAACCTACTGTCTTAGAGCCAAATCTGGCCTGATGCCTGTATTTTGTAGTCCAAGAAATGAAAGTGTTTACATTTAGATGACTAGGAAAAATTTTAATAATACTTTATGATACACTAAATAAAATTCAAATTTCAGTATCTATAAATAAATTTCTGTTGGAACATAGCAAATTCGTTGTTAAATGTATCTTTCTAATGTGTCTGTCTTCATGCTACCACAGCAGGGTTGAGTACCTGTGACAGACACTGTGTAGTCTACAAAGCATAAAGTATTTATTATTAGACCTTTACTGAAAAAGTGTGGCCACCCCTAATTTAGATTTCTTGTCCAAAGGTATGTAGCTAGTAAGGAGAAGGGTGGGATTCTAACCTGCAGCAAATTGATTATAAGTCTGTGTTTCCCATTGCTCCACATCAACACTGATTTTGAGTATCTTCTTTAAAGTTGCAAAAAATTTGAAACAATTTTCTAAAATAAAGGCTATCTCCTTACAAAATTACTTATATGTCACAGAGCATGTTTGAGGAGGAGATTGTTGCAGTATTAAACAAGTGATGAGAAAATCGCTCATTTACACAAATGCTGATCATCCAGCGTCATGACCAAGCAGTGCTCCCTGGGAAGAGAGAGGGCAGCACCCATTCTAGACAAGGCTCCACAGCCTTGGCTCAGTGCTTGCATATCCTAGTTGGAATACTTCCTTCTTATTCTAGGAAAAAAGAATTCTTCCATTGAACATGGTACACTGGAAGAATGTACACCATGTGGTAGCGAAGAGAGAAATGGATAGTGTCAATTTATGGGCTTTGTGAAAAAGAAGGGAAAGTCAGTTGCCAAAGGGCAATTCAATCTACTTATTTACTAGTGGGACAATCCCTCCTTTTTACTTTCAAAGGTGGACAAACAGCAAGAAAACTGCTGGCTCTATTTAATTCCCTTTCTATCAACATGGTGAAAGCATGAACTGTTGGGCCTGTGCTAGAATCCTTACTCTGCCCCAGTCAGCTGCAGGACCTCGGGAAATACTTACCTTTATTATAAATGTCCATTTAACATTTTGTAGCCGCCTTTGGCTTCTCTATAAAATGTAGATAAATAGCATACCTAATCAATATATTTGTTGTGATTAAACGGATAAAATTTTCTGATGTGCTACCTCATACGTACTGATTCAAAGTGATGATTTTTATTTACTATTATCTTTTAACATTAGAGAGAAGAAACTCTTGGGAGTTCTTCCTGAATTTTCTGTGGAGCTACTATGACACTGATAAAGGGAAAAATATAGTTCGACAAATGGAGCTGGAAAAATCAGTTATTCATTTGGAAAAAAATGAAAATGGATTTCCTACTTTTAACCATACACAAAAATGAAATCCAGATGGATTAAGAACTTAAATGTCAAAAGTAAAACTTTAAAACTTTTAGAATAAAATGTAAGGGAACAGCTTTATGACCTCAGGGTAGGGAAATATTTCTTAAACATAACACCAAAAGTGCCAAACATAACAAAAAAGAATTATTCATTTGATTATACTGATTTTTTAAAAAATCTGTTCATCAAAAGACATCTTACATAAGGCGAAAGACAAGCTACAAACTGGGGGAAGATATTTGGAACACATAAAAGTGACAAAGGGTTAGTATCAAGAATATGCAAAAAACAATGACACACACACAACAGAAACACATTTTCGAAGGAATAAGAGAAAAGACAAACTACACAAGAGAAAATTGAACAAAAATCAAGAACAGGTATTTTGCATAAGAGGAAACACTAATGGTAACAAACATGAGAAGACATTCAAAGGCATTAATTAAGGAAGTGCAAATCAAGATCAAATAAAGTGCCATCTTAAACCCCTTTAGCTGTTGAAGACTAAGAAGTCTGACAATACCAAATGTTGGAAAGGATGTGGATCTGTGGACATTTTCATACATCACTAGAGAGAGTACAAATTGTACAACCACATGGAAAACATTTTGGCACTATTTTGTGAAACTGAACATTAGCACACTCTATGAGCCAGGAATTCCATGCCTAGCAGAACACCCAGATATGTGTCTATCAAGAGACATTCCAAGAATGCTCATAGAAACCATTTCCTTAATTACCTTAACTACCAAAACCTGGAAATAACCCAAATGCCTGTTCACAGAAATTAAGACACATACAATGGAATGTCATGAGCAGTGAAAATTAAAGAATGGCAGCTCATGCAACAGCACAGAAGCATCTCTGTAAAGTCACATTTGGTCAAAAAGAAAATATCAGAAGAGACGTTCAGAGTAATTCCCTGAAACATGTAAATGTAGACAACATATTATTTAGGCCAATTTGTGATGGGTTGGGGAAGAGCATTTACGTGAATGGGCAGGTCTTTGATGAGGAAGTGGTTCACAAGAATTTGATATATTATTAAATGAATGAATAAATGAAAGTAAATGAGTAAAACAGGGCTATACATGGACCCAGGATTATAGTGTGATTGTGTGTGTCATTAGCCATTGATTATGATTAATTCAATATGGACACTTGAGATCTGAAAAAAAGCAGAGAGAAAGAGAAAGAATGGACAGAAATGGTGAAGTTAAGGCTATTAATACCAGACAATGGGGACTATGCTTATGTACCAGTTCCATAAAGAGTCTCAGCTAAGGCTTGAGAATTCAATAGACATGCAAGAACCCATTATGCTTCGGGTACTTATGAAGGTATTAGCACCGGCCCGGCATGGTGGCTCATGCCTGTAATCTCGGCAATTTGGGAGGCTGAGGCAGGTGGATCACTTGAGGTCAGGAGATTGAGAGCAGCCTGGCCAACATGGCGAAACCCCGTATCTACTAAAAATACAAAATTAGCCAGGCATGGTAGTGTATGCCTGTAGTCCCAGCTACTTGGGAGGCTGAGGCAAGAGAATTACTAGAACACGGCAGGTGGAGGTTGCAGTGAGCTGAGATCACGCCATTGCACTCCATCTCGAAAAAAAAAAAAAAAAAAAGCAAACTGACACAGAGAAAAGTTATCCACCTTCATGAAACTCTTTCCAGAGGAAAAAGACACTTGTGGAACAAAGAAACAACCAGAGAAGTATAAAAATAAATTTATGAATCAAATTAAAGTCCATATCGAAACAGAAACCAACAGTGAAGCTGATGGCTGATAGTCAGCACATCTCCCTTACTTCTCTCCAAATTTCATTTTTATTAGAATTCGAAACATCTAAATATCACATTTCCTGACACTTTCCTATCCTAGCTATTAATCAGGCAGCCTGTAAGAAAATATTTGCCCCCATGTTTGAACCTCCTACCTCAATTTTCAAGTCGTTTCAAGTCAGAACAACTATTTTTTGCACCTGAGTTGCAAACTCCTAGGAACAGGAATTCATAACAAAAACACAATAGCCGTAGGATTTTCTGGTTCATTACCCTTGGGTTGATCCATAAAAAATTTAAAGTGGAGACAAAGTTAAGAGATGAGCTGATGGACTGAACGCACTCGGCAGCATTGAAAAATGACCTCTCCGGTGCAAGCAACCCAATCCATCCATTTCTCAGTGTACACACTTCAACATTATTCATTCCACCTCCCCCTTCCCACCCCGTCTCCTCAAAAGAACTCTTCTGGATTACGGTGGGGCTTTCTTCCCCTAACCCTCATACCCGACCCCCCCGCCCCTGAATAAAGCAAAGTTGACTAAATGGTTCTTTTGCTCTAGGGAGAGACAATTATAAGTGACAGTCTGGGTAAGAGACCACCAACAAAACCCTCTACAGGAGAAAAAGATTTTTCCCTGGATAAGCAGATTCAATACCCAGGTGAACACTTAATTTCCCATGAAAAGTGTGTGGAGGCATTAAAAGCAGCCTGCCTTTTACAGAGGGTGACCATATAATTTATTGTCTCAATTGGGATACCTTTGAGGGTGAGACAGGAGTCTATTAATAATTAAGCTGAGGCAGGTGACGGGAACCCGATCTGTGCGGGCGAAGCGCATTTATGCTGCCATAGCCAATGCAAAGGAGGCTCTTTCCCCAGCTCCCACTTCCGAGCAGCCCACTAAGGCAAGAAGAAGATATCGAAAATGTGACTTAGAGTTCGACAGAATTTTATTGATTTTTTCTTAACATTCAGTACTTGACTATTATTGTGATATTAGTTTGTCTTGGAAACAGCTTTTAAAAAAATGATATTTCTGTGTAATCAAAAATGTACAAATGTGCACAGATTATTTTTAAAGCTGGAAAGGAATACACCCATGTGTCAATAGTGTTAACAATAGTGTTAGCTGTTGGATATGGGATTGTGAGTCATTTTAAAATTCTTTTTATGCTTTTTCTTTCAACTTAGCTACAAAGAAATGTATTATATTAATGATGAGGAAAAATCTCACATTTTGTCTTCTACAGATGTTTTGGAAATCAAATTGTCTGAAATTAGCAGCTAGTGAGGACATACTAAGGATGTCTACATTCTTACAGTGTTTCATTATAAGACAATTACAGGACAATGAGGCATTGATTCATCTCTGATGGAACCTTTCCCTTTCAATGTGTGGAAACTGTGAGTTCCACTGTTTTGTGAAAACGCTGGTTCAGAACCATATAACACAGCTAGAGGACTAGACACTATTTTTGTGAGCATTTGCCACATAAAATCTGTGCAGGTTCTCATTTCCTCTGGCATAAATATTCATAGCACTATATAGAATTTTCCCTAAGATTTCAGTAACTGAATGTCCCTTGTTGATCTTCTCAGCACGTCACGTCACATGGCCATGAGAAGTCTCCACCAGAACAGTTTTCTTAGCAGAGCCCCGAAGAGCTGAGCACGGACACTCACACAGGCCCCGCCTGCAAGCAGAGTGGTTAAAATCACCCGTGGCCTTGTACAAGTGGAAGCATGGCCTGGCAGCAGGCTGTCAGATAGGATGGAACATTCTTAAATCTAAAGGAAGATATTTTATCTGACCTTAAAATTGATGCTTTTCGTTGAAATGATTTGAAAATACTACTTTCCCTTGAGCGAAAGCTAAAACGGGACAATGGATGATGTGGTTTTCCTGTGTGTATTTTTAAAATGCCCATCTGGAGGGATGCACCGTTATAGCCCTCTCCCTGCCAGGCCGCGCTGGGTGGGAACCGTGCAGGACAGGCGTCAGGGCCACAGTGCCCCAGGCTCACGCAGCGCTCCTCGGAGTGGGGCCCTATTTTTGTGCTCCAGAAAATGGCTTGAGAAGATCCTGTGGGGCCACTAGAGTAAGTGAAGACCCTCCCCAAAGATTAGATCATCTAAAATAACAGAAGCTACTCTGTGGTAGAAATCAGTTTTTCCAGGGTTAAAATAATTTTAAGTTTTGAATGCATGTCAAAGCGTAAGATACTGGACATTTAAAATCTGATTTTCTCTGAATAGTCTCAATAAACTGTTTCCTTGTGCTGCCTTTGTTCAGTAGGGCCTCCTCTTATCTTAGTTTCTAAAGAATTCAAACTGCTACCACAGAATTTTCTCAAAAATTCAAATATAAGTTATAATAATAAATCTCTTTTCACTATAATAATCAAGCATAAGCACAATAGCTAAATCACAGTTTAAACAGAAAAGCAGCTGGAAAAAATGTATTCTGAGGAAATGGAGCACTGGGAGGTGTCAAGCTAAGAGCTCCAAGCACGACCATCTCTTTATAGGCAATAATTCCCTCTCCAAATTCCAAATTCCCCTGAGAGAAATATGGATCTGACTAGTGAAATACGATGGAATCACTGTTTCCATTTTTCTCACTTCACATGCTTTGCCACAGAAGCACATTTGCTTTAATTGATCTGACTTTGAAAAAAACCAAACATGCAAAAACATCAAATTGAAATAAAAATTAAGTATGAGTTTAGTTTTTAAAAATATCTGTCAATCACATCAGAGCATGCAAAGTCCACCTCTTGCTTCTCAGAGGATGAAGATGAGGTGAGGAGTGCCCTTGTTCTGTCTGCCCGATGGTACCTGTTGTAAATGCTAAGGACAGAAGGCGACAAGAACAAGGGTCCTCTGCCTCCTGCCCTACACACTAGAGCCTCTACCCTGTAGAGTCTCTTAGTCTGAGGCAATATCAGGACTAAAACACCATTGATAGATGACCCTGACTCGCACAGTGACAGCAGGCGCATCACAATTGTCAGAGCTCCATCTGTGGCTGCTGAACCTAGTAATGTTTCCTTTGAAACAGAAAAAGTTGGACATGTCAGAGGCTGGGAGGCTTAAAGTAAAGTGTGGTAGGTGGTCTGTCTGATGAACTAGAACAGATGCCTCTTTTATTTCCACCCTAATTGTATCAGTCCTTCTTGGTGGGAGATTTAACACTTAAAAACAATCTTTTGGAGGGAATAGTGTCACATTCCTCTTTTTTTTCCACCTTAACTCCCAAGTGTCTTAGATTCAAAGTCTGGTTTACAAATGGGAAATTCCTAGATGTGCTTCCCCTCCCCTTTGGAGCCCTGGGTTCAATGCATTCTTAACTTTTGCACCAGCATTTGTTCTGTACCTATTGTGCTCCCATTATAAGACAAGCAGAGAAAGTAGGTTTGGTCGTTTGCATCTCTTTATTGCACGAGTAAGCTTTATAAAAAGCTGAAAGTGAGAGTAGGCAAGTAAGCAATGTCATGATGTTATCTTTGGGGCAATGAGTTACGAAGGGCTAAAATATTTTTCTTTTTGTTTTCTATTAAATCAAATTTGGTTTATTTTAAGTAGGTATCTTTCTAATGTTGGCAGGGCCCCGAAATTGCACACAGTGTGGCCTGACCAGACTTATATCAGATTAGTAGGAGATCTGGACCCATTAAAATAATTTTAAAAAATATTTTTTCCAAAGGAATAATTAAAAAACACACACAAAACAAGAAAACAACAACTTAGCGTTTACCTCTTCTGCTGTCAAGATGGTTAAACACAAAACAAAATAAAGCAAAGACACGAAAAATATATATTTTTAAAATTTCATTCTGACTTTTTCAGCTTAGTTTTTGAAGCTCTCTTCCTCTGTTGCTTCTTTCAATGATTTCACCCTAAGTTATCTTTTACTCCAATACACAAACCTCTTGTTTTACTCAGGTAAATGTGTGCCTTCTCTGTGTTCTGAGTTTGTTTATGTCTCTATTAGGACTGTTTCCTCTGCTGGTTCTGCTTATCCCCGCAAACTTTGTCCTTTGTTCCACGAGCACATGTATCCTCACTTATTGTCAATGTTAGTTCAAAGCTACCTGCCCCCAAGACCAGGCTTTGATAAGTTGCCCTTTCTCCTCTATGTATTTTCCCTACCTAGTTGATTGTCACTTAAGCATTACGGCAATCTTATATGATCTAATTTTCTCATAAGTGCGTATTTTGCTTCCTTGAGTAAAATAGATCATCTTCAAGGGCAGTAGATTACACTTTCTGCAAGGGCAGAAACTCTTCTTCTCTTGCCTCTTGTAAGGACCCTTATAAGGTCCACCCAAATCATCCAGGATAACCTTCCCATTCCAAGATATTTAACTTAATCATATCTGCAAAGTCCCTTTCACCATGTAAGTTAAAATAAATAAAATAAAAAACTTTATTATTTTATTTTATTTTATTTTACTTTTTTACTTTAAGTTCCGGTATACATGTGCAGAATGTGCAGGTTTATTACATAGGTATACATATGCAATGGTGGTTTGCTGCACCTATCAACCCATCATCTAGGTTTTAAGCCCTGCATGCATTAGGTATTTGTCCTATGCAGAAAAGGTCTTCTATAAAATTCAACATCCCTTCATGTTGAAAACTCTCAATAAGCTAGGTATTGATGGAACATATCTCAAAATAATAAGAGCTATTTATGACAAACCAAGAGACAAAAATCACACTGAATGGGCAAAAACTGGAAGCATTCCCTTTGAAAACCAGTACAAAACAATGATGCCCTCTATCACCACTCCTATTCAACACAGTATTGGAAGTTCTGGCCAGGGCAATCAGGCAAGAGAAAGAAATAAAGAGTATTCAAATAGGAAGAGAGGAAGTCAAATTGTCTGTTTGCAGATGGCATGATTCGATATTTAGAAAACTCCATCGTCTCAGCCCAAAAACTCCTTAAGCTGATAAGCAACTTCAGAAAAGTCTCAGGATACGAAATCAATGTGAAAAAATCACAAGCATTCTTATACATTAACAGTAGACAAGCAAAGAGCCAAATCATGAATGAACTTCCATTCACAATTGCTACAAAGAGAATAAAATACCTAGGAATACAGCTTACAAGGGACATGAAGGACCTCTTCAAGGAGAACTACAAACCACTGCTCAAAGAAATAAGAGAGGACACAAACAAATGGAAAAACATTCCATGTTCATGGATAGGAAGAATCAATATTGGAAAATGGCCATCCTGCTCAAAGTAATTTATAGATTCAATGCTATCCCCATCAAACTACTATTGACTTTCTTCACAGAATTAGAAAAAATTACTTTAAATTTCATATGGAACCAAAAAAGAGCCTGTATAGACAAGATAATCCTAAGCAAAAAGAATAAAGCTGAGGGCATCATGCTACCTGACCTCAAACTATACTACAAGGCTATAGTAACCAAAACAGCATGGTACTGGTACCAAAACAGACATATAGACCAATGGAACAGAACAGAGACCTCAGAAATAACACCACACATCTGCAACCATCTGATCTTCAAAAAACCTGAAAAAAACAAGCAATGGGGAAAGGATTCCCTATTTAATAAATGGTGCTGGGAAACCTAGCTAGCCATACACAGAAAATAGAAACTGGACCTCTTATATCCTTTATACCTTATACAAAAATTAACTCAAAATGGATTAAAGACTTAAATGTAAAACCCAATACCATAAAAACCCTAGAAGAAAACCTAGGCAATACCATTCAAGACACAGGCATGGGCGAAGACTTCATGATGAAAACACCACAAGCAATTGCAACAAAAGCCAAAATTGACAAATGGGATCTAATTAAACGAAAGAGCTTCTGCACAGCAAAAGAACCTATCATCAGAGTGAACAGGCAACCTACTAATGGGAGAAAATTTTTGCAGTCTACCTATCTGACAAAGGTCTAATATCCAGAATCTACAAGGAATGTAAACAAATTTACAAGAAAAAAACAACCCCATCAAAAAGTGGGCAAAGGATATGAACACTCACTTCTCAAAAGAAGACATTTATACAGCCCTTATTTTTTCAAAGCAATAACACAATGTACACCAACAAAAGTACACCCTATTAATAAAGCCCTCCCAAAAGCATTATTAGTTTTTGTTTTCTTCAAAAATATGTATTATACTTAAATAATAGTATTATGTTGCTTCTGTAACAAAAATACAAATCCTCATCGTGGAATATTTGAGAGTATGTGGAAACAAATAAAACAAAAACCATAAACTTCAATATACATTTATACCCATAAACTTCAGTATACATTTTGTCAGGTATGCTTCTAGTTCTTAGAGCTTATACATATATTTACCCACATACTATTTATATCTACCCATCTTTCTATTATCTGTTTTTCTTTCTGAAAATAAGATGTTTATTTATGTTCCTCTAACAATGTGAATTCATATTGTAGCTGCTGTTCTGTAGCTTGCTTTTGAAATTTAACATCGTGAACAATTTAGGATGTCGTTCTTCTACAACTTATCTTTTTACTTACTATTATTATTACAACATATCATTATTATTACTATTATCATTGTTATTACAATGCACATATGGACATAAATTTAAGATTCCTCCATTTGAGCCAGACTTAACTACCTTTTAAAAAATGTGTAGTAGTGTAGTAGTCTATCATTAGGAAACACTCTATTTTTAAAAATCCCCTATTATTGAAAATTTAGATCTTCTGTGTGATAGATTGCTACATTAATGAGCCTCAGTGAATCACATCTTCTAACTTTTAGATTCTTGGATGATCTTCTTCCATGTTGCTTCTGGACTTGGATATGTGATGTGTGTATTAGTTTCCAGTTGTTGCTATAACAAATTTCCACAAACTGAGTAGCTCAAAACAACACCAATATATTATTTTATAGTTCTTAATGTCAGAAATAGAAAACTGTTCTAACAGGACTGAAATCAATATGTCAGCAGAGAAGGCTTCCTTCTGAAGGTTTTAGGGGGGGAACTCATTCCTGTGTTTTCCAACTTCTAGAGGCCACTTATGAATCTTGGCTTGTAACTGCATTACTCCAGCCTCTGCTCTTGTTATCAGGTCTCCTTCTCTCACTTTGACACTGCTGCCGCTTGCCTCTTGTAAGGACCCTTATGAGGTCCACCCAAATTGTCCAGGATAACCTTCCCATTCCACGATATTTAACTTAATCATATCTGCAAAGTCCCTTTCACCATGTAAGTTAAAATAGTCACGAGTTTTGGGGAATTGTATGTGAACATCTTTGGGGAGGAGGCATTATCCTGTCCACAATGAATTGTTTTGGCTAATGGTATATCAGCAAATGTAATCCAAGCTAACACTGGATAAGCACTCAAGCATTGAGTCTTGTTTTCTGGGAAACATGCTGCTACCATATACAAAATCTGATGGAGAGACCATTTGGAGAGGAACTGGAGTGTCATGGTCTTAGCAAAGTGCCAGATGTATGAGTGAGGCTATCTTGAATCATCTAGCCCTAGTCAAGTTGTCCAATGACTACAGCCACCTGAGGAATCTCAGGAGAGACCATCAGGAGAACTGCCCAGCCCAGTTAAGTCTGGTTCAAATGGAGGAATCTTAAATAAATCAATCATTATAATTTTGAAACACTATGTTTGGAATTAATTGTTAAGCAGTAACATATAACTTGTGATTTAAACAAAATTGTGATGAGCAATAGTGCAGGTACATCTTTGGGGAACATATGAACTAGATGATAGCACTCTTAAAGATAGGAGGAAACCCAAACAACAAGTCTCCAGTGATAAAATTTCAAGCAGCTCAATGAGTGGAAATAACTTTCTTCTGTTGAGGACTTGAGTCATCCTCAAGTCCAACTGAATTGCTAGCAATACAATCTAGTGGAAAAGAGAACATTAACTTTGGCATAAGCAGACTCTTATTTGAATCCTTGCCCTTTTCTGAATAATTCACTACTGACCCAAGTTTCCTAACATCTTTAAGTCTTCATTTTTTCATCAGGAAAATGGAAATAAAGTAAAATAAAATAGAGAATCGGTTGTTCCTCTTTTTTTGTGGTTGCTGTTAGAAATCAGTAAAATCAGCCACTATGGAAAGCAGTCTGATGATTTCTCAAAGAACTTAAAACAGAGCTACCATTTGACCCAGCAATTCCATTGCTGCATATAGATTCAAAAGAAAATAAATCATTCGACCAAAGATACATGGACTTGTATGTTCACTGCTGCACTATTCACAGTAGTAAAGACAAGGAATCAACCCAGGTGGCCATCAATGTTAGACTGGATAAAGAAAATGTGGTACACATACACCATGAAATACTATGCAACCATGAAAAAGAATGAAACCATATCTTTTGCAGCAACATGGATGGAGCTGGAGGTCAAAAACCTCAGCAAATTAACTCAGGAACAGAAAACCAAATACTGCATGTTCTCACTTATAGGTGGGAGCTAAATATTGAGCACATATGAACATAAATATGGAAACAACAGACACTGTGGAATGCTAGAGGGAGGAGAGGAGGGTTAAAAAACTACCAACTGGGTACTTAGCTCACTACCAGGATGACAAGATTCATACCTTAAACCTCAGTATCATGCAACATTCCCATGTAACAAATCTGTGCATGTACCCCCTGTATCTATAATAAAAGTTGAAATTTAAAAAATAAATAAATACAATTAAAAAGTGCCTTTGAAACTGCAGAACACTGATTTGTGGGAGTGCTTCCTTGGGTTGTCACTAGGTGTGTTAATGCACCAGATAGAGGATGGAATTTGTCAGATAGCACTGAGTACAAATTCTGACATGACCATGGCCACTTGCTTCCTCTCTCTGAACCTTGGTTTTCTCTTCCATAAAATCTTTTGGGTTTTCTACTTTTATGAGTAGTTTTGGGCACTGCATTAGATGCCATATGTAAAACCCCTAAGGACGTGGGACTTGATGAATTTCTCCTCCTCTCTTCTTATTCACTAAGCTCCCCAACAAACCACACTGACCATTGATACAACTGTGTTAACTGTATGTATTTTTAGCCACATTTACTAAGAGTTAAGAATAGTAGATATACTCACTGCTTAATACTTGCCAGAACGCTCTGCTAAATAATTTGTATTTCTTATACTCTTCTACCCTGATACCTGGGAGGCTGAATAAGGGCCACAGGATTGAAGAGACAGGGAATGAACAGTAAAATATCTAGAAATGGGAGGTGAGCTCTAAAATAATGAGAAAGCATGCAGGAGTTAGCCAGTCAGGAATTTCTGGTCATTAGTAAAAAGCAAGTGACCTAATAATTCCAACATTGATAATATCAAAGATATCTATGATGATAGATAAAGTAAATAACACGTGCAGGGCTCCTGTTGCCCTGGATAGGAATGGTTAGGAACTCATTCAAAGATTCAAGTCAGGCTGGGCGTGGTGGCTCAGGCCTGTAATCCCAGCACTTTGGGAGGCTGCGGTGGGTGAATCACTTGAGGTCAGGAGGTCAAGACCAGCCTGCCCAACATGGTGAAACCCCATCTCTACTAAAAATACAAAAATTAGCCAGGTGTGGTGGCGGGCGCCTGTAATCCCAGCTACTTGGGAGGCTGAGGCAGGAGAATCGCTTGAACCTGGGAGGCAGAGGTTGCAGTGAGCCGAGATCATGCCACTGCACTCCAGCCTAGGCAACACAGCGAGACTCCGTCTCAAAAAAAAAAAAAAAAGATTCAAGTCCATTGAGTGATTTGGGATTTGCATTTATGTACAATGCATGCATTAAATAAGTAGCGAATATAAATCCAATGGCATCTCTAGCCCCACCTCCTTCAGGAATTTTGCCTGAATGACCCAGCTTTTACTCATCTTTCTTGCACTGTGAGCTCCATATATAACGTAGCTTCTGTCTCAATTGATTTAGTAATAACTTTTATTTTAGCACTTAATTACACTTACAAATAATATACTTAATTATACTTGTAAATTATTCACAATTGTTTCACACATGTGACTCTTATCTTTCACTTAGATTATAATATCCTCAAGGAAGAAATCTAGGCCTTACCTGTTTTTATACTTTTTCTTTGGCCTCTCGAAACCCCCCAACTAGTTTGGAAAAATAACAAAATATTCTAGAAGTGAATGAACAGGTGTCACAGTAATGGCAGGGCCACGTTTTACAATCATTCTGAAGGCCTGCTTTGTGATTTTTTTAGTGGTAAGGCAAATGGGGTGGGTCAAGTTTTCTGAATAACTTTTAAGCCTACCAAAGAGTTCATTGCATGAAGAAGTTGACGAACTAACGATGACCATTTTAACTTAGATGTACATACTCTTGAAGCTCTCTCTTGAATGGATTTCTCACCATAGATTTTGAAGTTCTTACCTAAGCAATATAAATTACCCACTGGGATTTAGTTCAAAAATTTATGACAGAATCAGAATAAAAACACAACATCTAGTAGAATACTGTTTTTATGGTCCATCTCATAATAATACTCCATATGTGGGCAATATTTTAGTGAATTGTAAGGCATTCCTTGAATGCCCTATATGATTAACCTAAATGAGGAAGAAATCTTTATTGCAGAATTGTATTTTATGTATGGGATATAGATCTCTATATGGGATATAGAGAATACATATGTCCTCTGTGTAGATATACCCTCTGACAATTTGAAAAATAAGAAAATGCTTACATCATGGTTTGTTTTGTTTTTTATTTTGGTAAATATAGTGTCAACTTTATGACACTTGCATCAGATTCTACTGGAATGCATATTTTGAAACTCAGATTCCTGACTCCAGACCAGATCTACTGATTCAGAATCTCTGGACATGTGCCAAGGAATCTGTATTTTAAACAAGCTTCTGAGGGATTTTTATGGATCCTAATGTTTGAAGCCATTGTTTTGTTTTTAATCATAGCTTGATTTCCTAGGAATCTATGTGTGTTTACCCTCCCTCCTCCTCCTATTTGGCCCATAGCCTCTTCAATCCACTCACTAAAGCTTGTTTTTTGTTTTGTTTTGGTTTGATTCTTCTAATACATGATGTTCTGCGGGAACTTTATGCCTTAGGGTAGTAGTTCTCAAACTCAGCTTGCATTGTCAGAATCATCACTGTAACTTAATAATGCCCAGGCCCTATCCCAGATCACAGATTCACATTCATGAGGACTGAGCCCAGGGTAGACATTTGCTTCAAAAGCTTAGGTGTGACTCAGGAGCCAGAGGAGGAGGAACACCACCTTTAGAACAAGCCCACCTCCACATGAAAGACCACCACTGTCTTTCAGTTGTGTGAAGCCCCTTATGGTGTGCACAAATACCTTTGGTGGCAGTGTCTCTCTGACTCTGCTGGCTGGCAACCCTACTTGGTTGGCAGTCCCACGTGTGCACATGTCTGGGTGTCTGGATGCCTGGCCTCTACCTGCCTCTCCCAACATGGGCTCATGCTACAAGTCTGCAGCAAGTCAGTGTCTTAAAAGACTCTTCCCTCTTGCACGCCTAAGCTGACAGCCATTCTTCTTGGAGCCTCTGATGGCCAGTCCAGGTGCAGTGCTTCTGCTAAACCTTCAGAGGGAATTATAAAATTTTCCAGCTCATTCAAAAGATAATTTATTTCTGGGAACACTCTAGATTCACCACAAAGCATTGTATTCCCGGCTCTGTTTCTCTCTGAGCAGGAGGACAGGGCAGAAGCTCATAAGCTTCCCTTGCCAAAAGCAATCATTTATATTCCAAATTGGCCCTTCTGGGTGGAGCAGGGTAAACACCATCACTCCTTCTAAACATTATCCAAATGCAGATATCAAAAGGCACTTGGTATATTCTCTACATCTCTATCAGATGACCTTCTCAATATGCCAGGAGACATCTGTAAATCCAGCTTTAGGAATAGCCATACAAATCTGATAGCATGCCTTGGTAAATATGCAAATTAAATGTCAGCAGTAAGCCAGATTTCAATGGTGAGGTTCCAGTGAAAACATTTTCATATCCAGACAAGCCAAGGACATGGGCAGGTGGTCAGTGTGCACGTATGAATTACAACCACTTTGGTAAGTTTAACACCACTGCTCTCTATTTTGACTTTAGGAGCTGGCAAATAATATAGCTAAAGGTTTTAGAGAGAACAAAAGGCATGGTCCCTATTCAGAGACCTCCCATATTTTGAATTTTTGCTGGCTTAGGTCAGTCCATGAACTATAGTGCTCTTTTAAAATGTAATCATAACCACAAAGGTACACACTGGAATTCTTACATTGCTTGGCATTTGGTGATTAAAGTTGACATTCGTTGGGCTGAGCTGGAGTTTTAGAATTGATAGACCTCAACTAATCCCAGCAATAAAAATGGTCACAAATGAATGCTGTGACAGGTTTCGAAACAAGAAAAATCATCACTGAGCTCACTAGAAAAGATTAAGAGACTGTCAAGTTAAAAAGTTATTGGCCCCGTTTACACTTGTGTTGGGTAGTGAATGCTGTTTTATCCATTTGTACTTGCTCCGTCGCCTCTTTTACATTTCTTGTTATAATAATTTCCAAAGTCATAAACAAAGAAAATAAGACATCATCTCAGATAAAATGGCACAAGATTTAATACAAGTAAAAAACATTAGCTATGGAACAACCTGGCCTCAGAGAACAAAGAGCTTTAAAATTCATCTTACTCTACAGTGTTAGAATGCTTTATATTAAATATTGATTTTTCTCTTGATTATATTGTTACACATTCCACTGTTCCCATGCCATCAGCCTTGAGGACTTTATTATTTATGTAATTGCAAGATCTGAGGCAGAGTGAATGCGTCTGATCTCAATGAATGGCATAGGATCTAAAAACTTATCAGTAGATTTCAGGGGAGAGGAAAAGACCATTTTAATTCTTTTGCAAGACTATTGATTAGTAACAGATGTTGCTCTTCTGATTGAATTATTTTTGATTCATTTTTTCAAATAAAAATATGTATCTGTCAAAGTATTTTAAATCATCTAGAGATAGAGGTTATTTAAACAAGATTCCTTTATTTCTGTTTTCAGGGAGAGTCTCTACCTTCAAGTTCTCCGGGTTATATGGGTACGTAATTTAGAGTGACATATGCTTGAATATATAGTAGTGCCAGCTTTATGGGTGGGGGTGTCCCTAGTGGAAAGAGGAAGCTGATGGGTCTATTCTGGTATTAAGGGCCTTTGAAGAGCAGGATGAGCCTTGTGAAGAATGTTGTGTAATGGAGTCTTCGACAAAAAGTCTCCTTCCTAGACTTAATGAAGAATTCAGAAGTTCAATCAGCAGGCCTTCCAGAGTGTAAATGTTCTTCTCACAGCAATAAATCTTTCTGAGAAAAAGTCTCTTTACACTTAGTTTATCTCTAGCTGCCTAATGCTCTACTCTACTTGAATAGGAGAGCTAACCTCAAAAGAGGAAGATGGGGAGTCTAATTTTGAAATAAGAAGCTAGATTTCCAGGAATGTGTCCCAAGAATCTTCCAGTGGATTTGGATTTCATCTCCAAAAGAATTAACAAGCAGTTTTCCTCTCGTTTTCAGAATTTAGGTAATCCATTCTCTATACACTCCCAAATTTCAGCATACAGGGAAGGTGAGTAGAGGAAAAAAACCTAGAAGATGAGCATCAAATTCCAAATAAGGAATTTGAAAATAATAATAATAAATTAAAACTAAAAATACCTTTTCTTTGACTCTATGACAAAGACTAGAAAGTGGTAACTCATTGGAAAGTTGGGACCCTCTTTGAATTTCACAAAGAAACTAAGTAATACAAATATAAAAATGATGACATATTAGATAAAATTGGAATCCCTGGCTTCTCTTAAGAAATAAAATATGACACCTTGACTCTGGTCCAATATTCCCACCTGGCACCATTTCTGAGGGCCCGGTAGATATCCATCCTCAGATAGAGCTGTGTCCTCCTCCTCTTTGCCATTCTCGCTCCACATTTTCTCCTTAAACTCAGCTTCCCTTTTGTAAATTACACCCCTATGCCTTCTGGACAGTGGAGTTAAATCCACCTATTTGAAGGCAAAATCCCCATTGAGTTTATTCAAAACTAAGCTACTTGGCCTTTAAACTTTGAATTTCTAATTCAGAACCTAGGTATACTATTTAGATTTACCCCCAAATCTGAGTTTTTCTTTTCTTTTCTTTTTTTTTTTTTTGAGAGGGAGTCTTGCTGTTTTGCCCAAGCTAGAGGGCAATGTCGCCATCTCTGTTCACTGCAACCTCCACCTCCCAGACTCAAGGGATTCTCCTGCCTCAGCTTCCTGAGTAGCTGGGATTACAGGCACCCACCACCACACCTGGCTAATTTTTGTATTTTTAGTAGAGACAAGGTTTCACCATGTTGGTCAGGCTGGTCTCGAATTTCTGACCTAAAATGATCCGCCTGCCTCGGCCTCCCAAAGTGCTTGGATTACAGGCATGAGCCACCATGCCTGGCCTTCTGAGTTTTCGAATAGCGGTCTTGGTGGCCTGGAATTGACAGGTGTATGTGTTGTTGGGGGAAGGATGCTGTTGACAATAGGGCAGGGTCCTCTGCAGTCCCTGGATTCAATATTGCAGCAACTCTGCTTAGAAAATGAGTGATATAATCCATGAAAATATAATCACATTTTAATAAAAAGTGAACTTTTACAATTTATTACTCTATGGATTTCTATTATGTCTCACTGTGAGCAAGTGTAGAAAAGTTGATTTGGGGAAAAGAAAATGAATGAATAGACAGGCGGAGATTTCCTGACTTCTAGTCTGCATTTTCCATTAATAAGACAAATTGGCTCCAAAATAGTACCCATAAACTTTTAAAATGAAATTGAGAAAATGCGTCAAGTGAAAATGCAGCATTGAAACTGGAAAAAAGAGGCAACTAAACACCTATGCCCAGGAATGCCCTCGAAGAGCCACCCCTCCTGGGCTTCTGTGGCCCTCTCTGAGGCTGGCTCATGACTCTTTCTTGAGAGGCCTCCGGTAGTTCTCTCTAGGATGATTGGCTGACACTTTTCCTATTTAAAAGTAATAATTTAGTAGAGATGAGATAATGACTCATTTCTTAAGGGCCACATCAGGTAGGAAAACAGAAAATACCATATGTAAGATGTATAAGTCTATATAAATTGCTTGAGCTGGTGAATGAGCTAGGTAAGCAAATAGGAGTTTTCAAGTTGACTCATACAAGCCCAAAGCTGTTGCTGTAATCAAAACATGCAATAGAGGGCAACTGTGTCTGGCATAATGGAGAAACCTAGCAATATAGATGGTACACAAAATCTAACATAGATAAGGACAGTGACTGATTGCATTTCCCATCTACAGGTCAGATCAAACACTCCAGAGAGCCAAAGATTTATCTTGTGCAGAAAAATGTAAGGTGAATTGCCAACTTGGACAGGTTTTTGTGGATCCATGGAGGCTTGGCATTGATTCTCTGTTGACTATAATCAGACTCCTGGTGCATTTCAGGCATTTGTGGTTCTCCCCAGTCATACTGATCCAAGTCTGGCTGAAGATAATTGGACATCGGCCTTCAATACAGTGCACATAGTGCAGACTGACAGGCTGGAAATGGTCCTTATGGTCACTCTTTTTGTAGTTAACAGTGCTGACAAATGTAACATTTCTCCCCTTCTCAAACACATTCATATGATAGCATCTCCAGGTATTCAACTCTTTCTTTGGATTCTGTCCTGAAGCAAGAATAGTGTTGGTTTGAATGTCTGGGATTTTAAGAATGTTAAAATGATCACCACTATAGGTTGAATAGCAACATCCAAGAAATGTCTCCAAGCAGAGCTAAGACAAAGCTAACTCTCAGTGGCCTTGAAATTTAATACAAGGGAAGAAAATCCTTCCCAAGTGTGATGTGAGACAAATACCATAACATTGGGACTGCAGGTAAGTGTTTCAAAAACTCTCAATGAGTTTTCAAGAGGAAAAGGATAGAAAACATAGAGAGAGGGCAGCATGGATTATGAACATAAACAAGCATAAGGGACATAAAATCAAAGCCTTGGTCAGTTCAACCTCAAGTTCACAGAAACCGGGGCCGGATGAAGGCTCCAGGCCATCTGAGATGATGAGGAAACTTTAAGATACATTTGCCTCAAAAACAGAGTTCCTTAAAAATACTCTTTGAGGGGCATGATTCAGAGATTTGACAGCTGGTTGTAGAGATGAGACATGGGTTTCAGTTCCTGTGTTTTGGAAGAAAGAAATGACAGGAAGAGAAAGAGTGGAGTGGTGATATATTTAAAACCCAAACTTACAGAGTGTGTGCTAGGAAAGACTCTCATATTCTCAGAGTGACAGACTCCTCAGAAGAGTGGAGATCAAAGAAAATCTCTGTTCTCTGCTCTCAGATGGAAGATATCTCATTTAGTTATGGCATGTTCAAGACCAATCAACAATAAAAATTGTTTTAAAACTAATTCAAAACTTAAAATGACTTATAAAAATATGCTACAGTGGCAAGAGACCTCGTTTGGATCACAGGATATGACCACAGCCCTGGCCAAGACTGTACTTGATGTGTGTGTGTGGCTTTGTGCACGCAACTTTGCCTGTTGAGCTTCAGTCTCTTAACTGAACAGTTACATCTGCCTTAAAAGACAGCTAAGGTCAGATAAAGGAACCATGTGTGAATATAAGTTCTGAAGTTCTAAGCAAATGGAAAGTACTATCATAATAATTTGTAATTATTACATCATATATCAGAAAAAATTACCCTTTTCTTTGATGTCACTTCTGCTCAATTAAAGAGACAGGAGACGACACACTCTGGTGTAAGCAGAAAAGGCAGGATGAATGAGCGCCTAAGGTTGCTGTATTAGATCGTTCTCACATTGCTATAAAGAAATACCAGAGACTGACTAATTTATAAAGAAAAGAGGTTTAATTGGCTCATGGTTCTGCAGGCTTTATGGGAACCATGATGCTGGCATCTGCTGAGCTTCTGGGGAGGCCTCAGGAAGTTTACAATCATGGCAGAACGCAAAGGGGGAGAAGGCATGCCACATGGCCAGAGCAGGGGCAAGAGTGAGAGAGAGAGAGAGAGAGGATAGGGGGAGGTGCCACGTACTTTTAAACACTGAGATCTCACGAGAACTCACCCACTGTCTCCACTATCGCGAGGACAGCACCAAGAAGATGGTGCTAAACCATTCATGAGAAACTCACTCCATGATTCAATCACCTCCCATGGGGCCCCACCTCCAATACTGGGTATTACAATTCAACATGAGATTTGGAGGGGACATCCAAACCTGATCAGGTGCCCTGCCTCCTCACTAACTCAACCCCCCTTTTCCTTTTACTGTCACTAGTTGGTTTCTTTGGGCCATTCTCTTTAGTAAAAGGGAATTGAAGATCACACCAGGAAGAGACTGTAGTAACTGGAACTAAGTGAACACATAATATGTAAAGTAAAGCAAAGGAGATATTTCAGACAGAATTTGTTAGGACCTAATGTGGAAAAGCTGAAGTAGGACAAGAGCCTCTCTAAGATGGCATATATATGGCTTACTTACTAAACTCTATCTTTAATTCCCGAAGTGCTCCATTAGAAGTCCTGGATTAAAAAAAAAAAGAGGCCGGGCGCGGTGGCTCACGCCTGTAATCCCAGCACTTTGGGAGGCCGAGGCGGGCGGATCACGAGGTCAGGAGATCGAGACCATCCCGGCTAAAACGGTGAAACCCCGTCTCTACTAAAAATACAAAAAATTAGCCGGGCGTAGTGGCGGACGCCTGTAGTCCCAGCTACTTGGGAGGCTGAGGCAGGAGAATGGCGTGAACCCGGGAGGCGGAGCTTGCAGTGAGCCGAGATCCCGCCACTGCACTCCAGCCTGGGCGACAGAGCGAGACTCCATCTCAAAAAAAAAAAAAAAAAAAAAAAAAGAAATAGCTCACTAGCCCTGAACATTATGCATGGTATTGTATTAGGTAATTCCTCAAAATTAAAGATTAAATTCCAACTTACTTTTCAAAGAATAATTATACCTCTGTCATATTGATTGGTTTACATGATTGTCAAGTGTAATATGTCATTTAAGTTAATTAAATATCCATTTCTACTTCATCATGCATTTTTATCAATTAAAGGCATTGTACTTTAATCTCCACAAATACACAACTGTTGGATTCCATAACAAGGTTCAGTTATGATTTTCATGTATGACTTGCATTTCAGTCTTCCTTACTAAATTGAGAGTACTCCAAAAGAAAAAAAAAATTTGTATTTCCAAAATCCAAGATGTTAGCTAAAATAATGTAATACTTAATGAATATTTGATAAATGAATGAATGACTCACTGAACAAATCCACCTTCTGTAATCAAACTTAATGTCTTACTATGATTGTCCATATAGAAGAAAACACCTTAAGTTTCTAAATGCAAAATTTCATATAGTTTTATGCCTTCACAAGTATTGTTTTCAAATAAGGTTTTTAAAACTTTTATTAATCTTTTACCTGTAATTAGGATTTCTCAACTGGGAAGTCATGATGAGGAGCAGGATAATAATTTTTTTTTCGAGATCACATCCTACTTTTTAGAATCACTGAAAGAGGAAGCCACTCTTATAAATGGCAGTTTGTAGTACCTAAGTACCGAGAACTTGAAGTACTCAAGCGTCTTCAAGGGGAAGAAAGATTGACAACAAATGTTTTAATAGAAATCAAGCTGTAAATGTTGTAGACGTGGTATAGTTATGCTTAACATCTTAACGTTGTAACCGCACACTAAGATCTATCATTACCTAATGGGTTCATAAGGTCTCTTTCTTGGAAGAAAAAAAAAGAGGAAATATGTAGATCTTCTTGTTAATGTGTTTGCTTTTTAATTTTGAAATAATTGTCAATTTGTATGGACTTGACAACAGTAGTATGATATCAAAACCAGGAAATTGGCATTGATACAATCCACAGATAGTATTCAGATATTACCATTCATAAATGCACCCAAATGTGTGTGTGTGTGGTTCCATTTACTTTAATGGCACGTGTAGATTTGTGTAAATACTACCACAGTCAAGATAAGGAACTTTTCCATTACTACTAAGTTCCCCAGTGCTACCCTCTTTATTTTCAGCCCGTATCTCTACCTGGAACCACTAATCTGTTTTCTGTATCTGTAGTTTTGTCATTTAAATAATTTTATATAAATGCAATCATGCAATATGTATCCTTTTGCAATTTGCATTTTTTACTCAGTTTAAACTTCTTTGAAATCCATCCAAATTGTTATGTGTACCAAGTTTATTTATTTTTATTGCTAAGTAGTTTGGACCACAGTTGTTTAGCTAGTCATGTTAATTAAAGACATTTGTTTGTTGGTTTGTGTTTTAGATTTTGGCTATTAGAAATATAGCTACTGTAGGCCGGGTGCAGTGGCTCACGCCTGTAATCCCAGCACTTTGGAAGGCCGAGGCGGGTGGATCACAAGGTCAGGAGATGGAGACCATCCTGGCTAACATGGAGAAACCCCGTCTCTACTAAAATACAAAAAAAATTAGCCGGGCGTGGTGGCGGGCGCCTGTAGTTCCAGCTACACGGGAGGCTGAGGCAGGAGACTGGCGTGAACCTGGGAGGCAGAGCTTGCAGTGAGCCGAGATCGCGCCACTGCACTCCAGCCTGGGCGACAGAGCGAGACTCCGTCTCAACAAAAAAAAAAAAAAAAAAAAAAGAAATACAGCTACTCTAAAACAAGAAAATTCTGAACTATTATCTAGAGAAGCTGTACCATTTCACTTTCCCACCAGCGATGTATAAGAGATCAAGTTCTTCATATCTTTCCCGGCATTTGTTGCTATCACTATTTTTAATTTTAGCCATTTTGATAGGTAACTGATAGGTGTAGTGGTGTCTGATTGTGGTTTTGGATTGCATTTCCCTAATGGCTAATGATGTCAAATATCTTTTGATTTGCTTACTTGCCATCTGTATATTATCTTTGGTAAAACTTCTCTTCATGTCTTTCATCCATTTCTACTTGGGCTGTTTGTTTAATGTTGAGTTTTGAGAACTCTTTACATATTTTAGGGGTAAGTTCTTTGTCATCTCTATGGTTTACAAATATTTTCTCCTAATCTGTAGTTTATATTTTGTCTTAACGAGGTCTTTCATCGAACAAAAGTTTTTAGTTTGGTAGAACTTCAATTTATCATTTTTTGCCTTTTATGTACATGCTTGAGATCACTGGGTATTTTTCAGTTGGAAACAATCACAGTTTTTCACACTGGCAAAACTACAGATGTTACAGACTTTAATTTTCACTTTGCCCTTCTTCCAGTAAAAATGAAACATGTAGAAATTATGATTGCATGCAGCACTATGGTTTTTGTTATTTGGTTAAATGGGAAATGGGTCTGGTTTCTGGTTTTAGAGAGAAGATCAAAAGCTAAAGAAATGTGACATATGAAGGCTGTACAGGATCTGTGGGAAGAAATCTTCCACAGCTCTGTATTCATTCTGGAAAGATTTTGATTCTAGATTAAAAGGTTTATAGTGAGCTAATCATATTTAAAGCAAAAAATATGAAAACTAGAATTGTACTAAGTAGTGATTAATGATTCATGAGAAGTCTAAATTATTTCATTGTACCAGTACATGCATTTTTCTTTCTTTCTTTTTTTTATTATACTTTAAGTTCTAGGGTACATGTGCACAACGTGCAGGTTTGTTACATATGTATACATGTGCCATGTTGGTGTGCTGCACCCATTAACTCGTCATTTACATTAGGTATATCTCTTAATGCTATCCCTCCCCCTCCCCCCACCCCCCGACAGGCCCCGGTGTGTGACGTTCCCCTTCCTGTGTCCAAGTGTTCTCATTGTTCAATTCCCAGCTATGAGTGAGAACATGCAGTGTTTGGTTTTTTGTCCTTGCGATAGTTTGCTGAGAATGATGGTTTCAAGCTTCATCCATGTCCCTACGAAGGACATGAACTCATCCTTTTTTATGGCTGCATAGTATTCCATGGTATATATGTGCCACATTTTCTTAATCCAGTCTATCATTGATGGACATCTGGGTTGGTTCCAAGTCTTTGCTGTTGTGAATAGTGCCGCAATAAACATATGTGTGCATGTGTCTTTATAGCAGTATGACTTATAATCCTTTGGGTATATACCCAGTAATGGGATGGCTGGGTCAAATGGTATTTCTAGTTCTAGATCCCTGAGGAATCGCCACACTGTCTTCCACAATGGTTGAACTAGTTTACAGTCCCACCAACAGTGTAAAAGTGTTCCTATTTCTCCACATCCTCTCCAGCACCTGTTGTTTCCTGAGGTTATAATGATTGCCATTCTAACTAGTGGGAGATGGTATCTCATTGTGGTTTTGATTTGCATTTCTCTGATGACCGGTGATGATGAGCATTTTTCCATTTGTCTGTTGGCTGCATAAATGTCTTCTTCTTTTGAGAAGTGTCTTTTCATATCCTTCACCCACTTTTTGATGGGGTTGTTTGTTTTTTTCTTGTAAATTTGTTTGAGTTCTTTGTAGGTTCTGGATATTAGCCCTTTGTCAGATGAGTAGATTGCAAAAATTTTATCCCATTCTGTAGGTTGCCTGTTCACTCTGATGGTAGTTTCTTTTGCTGTGCAGAAGCTCTTCAGTTTCATTAGATCCCATTTGTCAATTTTGGCTTTTGTTGCCATTGCTTTTGGTGTTCTAGACATGAAGTCCTTGCCCATGCCTATGTCCTGAATGGTATTGCCTAGGTTTTCTTCCAGGGTTTTTATGATTTTAGGTCTAACATTTAAGTCTTTGATCTATCTTGAATTAATTTTTGTATAAAGTGTAAGGAAGGGATCCAGTTTCAGCTTTTTACATATGGCTAGCCAGTTTTCCCAGCACCATTTATTAAATACGGAATATTTTCCCCATTTATTGTTTTTGTCAGGTTTGTCAAAGATCAGATGGTTGTAGATGTGTGGTATTATTTCTGAGGGCTCTGTTCTGTTCCATTGGTCTATATCTCTGTTTTGGAATGAGTACCATGCTGTTTTGGGTACTGTAGCCTTGTAGTATAGTTTGAAGTCAGGTAGCATGATGCCTCCAGCTTTGTTCTTTTGGCTTAGGATTGACTTGGCAATGCAGGCTATTTTTTGGTTCCATATGAACTTTAAAGTAGTTTTTTCCAATTCTGTGAAGAAAGTCATTGGTAGCTTGATGGGGATGGCATTGAATCTGTAAATTACCTTGGGCAGTATGGCCATTTTCACGATATTGATTCACATCACAATTAAAAGAGCTAGAAAAGCAAGAGCAAACACATTCAAAAGCTAGCAGAAGGCAAGAAATAACTAAGATCAGAGCAGAACTGAAGGAGATAGAGACACAAAAAAACCCTTCAAAAAATCAATGAATCCAGGTGCTGGTTTTTTGAAAAGATCAACAAAATTGATAGACCACTAGCAAGACTAATGAAGAAAAGAGAGAAGAATCATATAGATGCAATAAAAAATGATAAAGGGGATATCACCACCGATCCCACAGAGATACAAACTACCATCAGAGAATACTATAAACACCTCTACACAAATAAACTAAAAAATCTAGAAGAAATGGATAAATTCCTTGACACTTGTACCCTCCCAAGACTAGACCAGGAAGAAGTTGAATCCCTGAATAGACCAATAACAGGCTCTGAAATTGAGGCAATAATTAATAGCCTACCAACCAAAAAAGTCCAGGGCAGACGGATTCACAACCGAATTCTACCATAGGTACAAGGAGGAGCTGGTACCATTCCTTCTGAAACTATTCCAATCAATAGAAAAAGAGGGAATCCTCCCTAACTCATTTTATGAGGCCAGCATCATGGTGATACCAAAGCCTGGCAGAGATACAACAAAAAAAGAGAATTTTAGACCAATATCCTTGACGAACATCGATGCAAAAATTCTCAATAAAATACTGGCAAACCGAATCCAGCGGCACATCAAAAAGCTTATCTACTATGATCAAGTGGCCTTCATCCCTGGGATGCAAGGCTGGTTCAACATATGCAAATCATTAAACATAATCCAGCATATAAACAGAACCAAAGACAAAAACCACATGATTATCTCAATAGATGCAGAAAAGGCCTTTGACGAAATTCAACAGTCCTTCATGCTAAAAACTCTCAATAAATTAGGTATTGATGGGACGTATCTCAAAATAATAAGAGCTATTTATGACAAACCCACAGCCAATATCACACTGAATAGGCAAAAACTGGAAGCATTCTCTTTGAAAACTGGCACAAGACAGGGATGCCCTCTCTCACCACTCCTATTCAACATGGTGTTGGAAGTTCTGGCCAGGGCAATCAGGCAGGAGAAAGAAATAAAGGGTATTCAATTAGGAAAAGAAGAAGTCAAATTGTCCCTGTTTGCAGATGACATGATTGTATATTTAGAAAACCCCATCGTGTCAGCATTTTTCTTTAATTCTTGCACAAATTTTCACCAGTATTAATATAGTAAGAAAATGTCGTAACATTTGCTTTACTGTTTTCTTTTCATGTAAATTTAATATTGCTTAAATGATGATACAAAGAAAAATAACAGTGCATTATTGGTTAACCACGCATGGCTGTTTAGACTATGCATCCTGGTCATGGGTAGCCCCTGTGAGAAAACAGAAACTCACCTGAAATCCAAAGTAAACATCACTACTTACTTCAGGACTTTTCTCATTATTTTAAAAATATAAACATTAATCTCAACCTGCTGTAACATGTTCACTAAATAAGAAAAATAAACCAACTTTTACCTTTAGCATCCATCTGTTTCTAACATGAAGACAGTTTCATTTAGCAGGAAGTTTAACTCTGGCATAATTAATATTCTACAATTACTAGAAATTTCCAGGTAATCTAAAGTCATTTGGAGACCTTGGCTAAATTCAATATCATAGAAATATACTTACAAAACATAACATTAAAATGAAATCTTATGATGAAATAGTAATCTGATTTATCAGTTCTCTATGAAATGATTGTTTTATATCAATTCTATATTCTGTATCTTCTATTCACATAAAAAAGCATTAAACATTTTTATTTTGTCTATCTATGTGATTTCCTATAATTAACCTATGTGCTTATGTATTAGTGCCACTTGACAGTACATTCGTACATAGTATTGCAGTATTTAAGTACTAAAAAATATTATATTGTATTTTTCATACATATACTTAAGTATATAATACTAAAAATGAAGTGCTTTCAGTTGTCGTTATTGTTTTTGTTGTCGTTGTTGTTTTTTTTTTTTGAGATGGAGTCTCGCTCTGCCGCCCAGGTTGGAGTGCAGTGGCAGGATCTCGGCTTACTGCAAGCTCCACCTCCTGGGTTCACGCCATTCTCCTGCCTCAGCCTCCCGAGTAGCTGGGACTACAGGTGCCCACCACCACACCCGGCTAATTTTTTGTATTTTTAGTAGAGATGGGGTTTCACCATGTTAGCCAGGATGATCTCGATCTCCTGACCTCGTGAACTGCCCGCCTCGGCCTCCCAAAGTGCTGGGATTACAGGCGTGAGCCACTGCCCCCGGCCTATTTTTGTTTGTTATTTGTTATCTCAACTGTGATAATTCTTAATTATCATTATAATTATCTTGTAATAAAGAAAGGTCTTTGAACACTTCATCAAAATTGTATTGGTAACATTTGAACAGTGAGAATAAACTTTCTTGAGGAACTTATCCACTTGTATGGTTTCTACTGTACTTGTTTCTAAAATTATAATTGCACTTACTATTGTTTTCTTGCTAAAAACTAACATGTTTGGTTTACTCATTTACTGGCCATATTTTATCGACAGCCTTTTCAAACCTGAAATTTAGAGTGACAAGTCACAGAAGAAACAAAGGCCACTGTAGAGACAAATAAGAAGACGTGTGAGTGTTTCAGAGAGAGATTTCACAGTGAATACAGATGCATGGCTAATTCATCAAGGAAGGTATCCTATGTCAGAAAGATACAGAAGCTCCAGCTGGGCTCAGGTAGGTTTTTCAAGATGGCAAATCCTTAGAGTCTACCAATATGAGCTGTGTTGACTGATGGGGGGTGGCTGGGGACTAAAGTAATTTCCTTCTAAACCTTATTATTTGAGATAAATTTATATAATCAATTTTTAAAAGACAACAACCACAAAAACAACCTACAGAGATAAATTAGAAAATATTTTCTTGCTGTCATTGTGTTTATTAAACACATTGAATGCCTATCATGCGCAGCCACAGTGCTCTGTCCCTGCTACCCTGTGCATTGCACACGAACACATAAACTTTTGGAGCCCAGCTTATCAGCATAGCATCCTGTGATTTTATTAAATTTATTTTATTTTTAAACTTTAATCACCATCCTCCTCATCATTATCATAGCAGGCATTGGGTACTTTGTGCATACCCAGGCACTGTACTAAGGGCATAATATGCATTGTATCATTGAGTCCTCAAACAATATGAAGTATGTTCAAGTGGTAATCTGAGTTTATAGAGAGGAAATTGACGTCGCCTATAGCCACACACTTGTAGGAATAGATCCAGGACCCAATCTCAGGTTTGTATGCATCCAAACTCAGGTGTCTTAACCACTGTGTCCTTCAGATTTATCATTTGCTATGTATGAAGTGTCATTAACAATGAGGCGAAATCATTTAAAAATGTATTCAAATGCTGCTGGCTCTACACTCAGCTTTTCTTGCTTGTTATCTATCTATCTATCTATCTATCTATCTATCTATCTATCTATCCTATCTATCATCTATCTATCTATCTATCTATCTATCTATCTATCTATCTATCTATCTATCTATGTATCTATCTATTTTTAGAGACAGGGTCTTGCTCTGTTGCCCAGGCTGGAGTACGGTTGCAAGATCACAGCTCACTGCAGCCTCAAACTCCTGGACTCAAGCAATCCTCCTACATCAGTGCCAAGAGTAGCTGGGTCCATAGGCACAGGTCATCATGCCTGGCTAACATATTTTTAATTTATTTGTAGAGACAGAATCTTACTATCTTACCCAGGCTGGTCTTGAACTCCTGGGCTCAAGAGATTCACCCTCTTCAGCCTCCCAAAGTGCTGGGATTACAGGTGTGAGCCACTGTGCCCTGCTTTTTCTTGCCTGTATAGACACCTATTCTTTTACCTATAGACTTTCTGTGGGAGCTATTCTGAAATGGAATGTGAATGTCTCCTGCCTCCTCCTACCTTCCTTTCCTTTAAGACCAGTGATTCTAAGGCCAGATGGACTTTCAGCACTGGGCTGAACACTTGTATTTCCTCAGAAGATTTTTGCAATTGAGTGTTTAATGCTAACCCAACATAATCTCCATCAAAACTGAGATGGGGAAAGTATTTTCGTAGAATGTAAAGTGTTGTTAGCTTATTGCTGACTGCAGGCTGTAAAATATTGTTTTATCTCATTTTTTTCCAATATGAAAGTTCAGACAGTGACAACCTAACATAACAGGCCCTGACTTGACTCTGTTCACAAAGCAGGTCTCCTTAAATATAGAGACATTCTATACCACTTTAGCTCTCATTGTGATAATTATTATCATTTTAAAAGTCAAAGGAATTCCAAGCACAGAACCGGAATTAAAAAAAAACCATCTCCTCTTACCATCAAATTAAAAAATAAAGCACAACCTAAACTGTACACAAAATAAAAATAAAAGGTGGAAGAGATTCTAAATTCAAAAGAATTTCTTTTTTAATAGGACTCAGTGCTAGTTGGAAGACAATTAAAGCAAGATTCTACAACCACATTCAATAGGAGCTCTCTAAGAAGGTGATGGCTGATAGAACTTCCTACATTGACGGCTTGTTCTGTGCTGCCCAATATGACAGTCACTGGCCTCGAGTGGCTATTGAGCACTTGACTGTGGGTAATGCAACTGAGGAGCCGAATGTTTAATTGTATTTAATTTTTATTAACTTTAATTTTAAATGGTCACGCGTTTACTGGCTACTGTATTGGACAGCACAACTGTAAAGTATAAACGTTTAGCTAATGAAAGCCACTGGAAGCTTTATTTACCATGCCTGTACTATCCAAAGTTAAATGCATTTCCCCTCCTAGGTGCTCCTTGTGTAACTACTCAAGATAGCAGGAGCTGAGGATCGACCGCCCTTTATCTGAATTCTGACAGACGCCAGGTCAAAACTGATCAGCAAAGGAACAGGGGCGTTACCTCTAAAATGTAATTAAGCCACTGTGCATGGGGCCCTGTGCCTTCCAGAATCCCGCAGGACAACTGGAATGAGATTTTGTGTTGAAAAGGGCCCATCATGTTTGAGAATAGTCTGAAAGGTAAAGATCTCTGAAATAAAGAAAATAAATTGCCCAGATCTCGGGGGACCAAACTGGGCATTTCACCTCCAGATAGATCAAGGAGAGCCCAGTGAAGCAGGAAATGCCAGTGTGATGTTGCTGTGTTCTTGTCCTCATCAACCCACCACCAGCAATACTCTGAGGCAGAGGCTGAGAATGTGAGGAGCTGGCGCTGACAAAAAGTGTAGTAAAAGGCAGTGTTAGGGTGGAAGCGTCTCCCAGTTTTCTTGATTCTAAAGATGAACCCAAAGGGGTGCTATGGAGAACATGGTAGCTCTCAGCGCTCTGCCTGGCCTCCATCCATCCTCGCTACCACAACTCCTAATTTCTCTCTCACATTCTTACACACTCACACAGCGTTTGGGCTGGTCATTGGCCCTGGCCTCACAGTGTGCACCCTCCATCACCCCACTTCTGCACTGTCCTATGGCAACAGCAGTCAGTACTGTAAAGGTGAGTGGATTCCTTCCCTCTCCAAACTCTAATGCCTTGGACAGACCGTCGGGCCCTGGAATAAAAGAGCACAAACTCCTTACTGGGGCCCTAGCCTGGCCTCTCAGATGATCCAGGAGATAACTCGGGGCATTTTAAATGTCTTCAGCACCAAATGATTACCTCCTCTTGCTTTTCAGAGTGTATGTCTAATCATTTGCTGAGGGTTTCTGCCCTCTTTTTCCTTTATAAAGGACCATAAACATACTCTCTCAATCATGTGGAGTAGAAGGAGCACAATTGGTTGTCTTTGAGTGAAAAGTGACATGAAACAGAATGGTGCTGAAGGGCTTAGAAGCTTGTTGCAATAGTTCAGGGCAGGTGGTGCAGCCTAAATAGGCACACAGGGCTGACAGCAGAAAGGAGAGAAGCATTTCTGGGCTGCTGTGGTCTGAATGTTTGTGTCCCCCCAAAATTCATATGTTGAAATCCTCACCCCCAGGGTGATGGGATTAGGAAGAGTGGGCTTTGGGGAGTCCTTAGGTCAGGAGGGAGGATCCTTCACGAATGGGATTAGCACCTTTTAAAACAGGCCTCAGGGAGTTTATTTACCCCTTCCACCAAGTGAGGACACAGACAGCAGGCACCATCTTTGAAACAGAAAGCGGCCCTGGCCAGGTACCGAATCTGACAGCACTTGGATCTCGAACTTCTCGGTCCCCAGAACTGTGAGAAATAAATCTCTGTTGTTCACTCTATGGTATTTTGTTATAGCAACCCAAAAGGACTAAAACCTGTGTGTAAAAAGCACTTCTTCCAGAAAGGCTTCCCTGAAGATCCCTGCTCCCTGAGACGGCCCTCATCTCCACGCTCTGCCACAGGAGCCTGAGAGGACCTGATTACAACACACCATGATGTGTTCCTGGGTCTGTTTCTGCATTCTGCCCAACAGCCTCACAGCAGCAGCCATACTTTACATGTCTCTGTTTCTCTTGTGCTTAGCATGGTGACAGACACATTTGGCTGGGAAATAATGAACTAGAGCTTGTAAGTTTATTCAAATTATCGTATACCACATTATTTTCTTTCTTCTGCTCTAATTCCTCTACTTTAACACCAGTTTTCTTACTGATAAACTAAATGAACACTAGCAGTAAAGATTGGCTGAACGTTTGGAGGGTTAAATGCCATACTTAGACTGTTCTGGGAATTGTTCTGAGCTATCACCGGAGTGAGTTCAGTATATGTCCAAACAAGAAAGGAGAAAAGGAAGAACCAAATGACATCTTAAAATAAAACTAGGAAGGTACCAAACTTTTTGGATCCTGTCTTCAGTTTTATTCACCTCCTAGGCCTCTTCAAGGAATTTATTTAAAGTATATATAAGCAAACATAAAGCTAACTTAATTTTAGTTCTTTGAATAAGCAATGAAATTAAAATCCCTGCCAGAGATAAAGAATCAAGATGAGCTGAGTCGCTGTTTTGGCTTTGAAGCAGGGGAAGGCAGTTGTCTCCCCATGGACATCAGTGGATTTAAGAACTAAAGCTTGCACACCACTACCATGATCTCCAAAAGACCTTGCTTCCCACACGACCCAGAGCTGTGTCAGCCAGCAAAGGGCGGCAACCACAAATACAAAAATTAAAAACACAATGAAAAGAAGAAGAAAAAGGAAAATCATTAAACACAGAAACCATCTGTGTCTCTGCTCCATGCGGGCTTATTTTTCCAATACCTCACATACTTCAAATACTTCAGTACGACTCCTACGTTTGAGTAGAAGAAAAGAAAAATAACAAAATTCAATATTTTATTAAGCAGATTATCTATATTGACATGAAAAATTGGATACTCTTTTTGAAAGACAAATATATCTTATGTTTGTTTTTGGAAGCTTCTTGTGTCTGCCTCTTTGGCCAGAGGAGTGTCTTTCCCACATTATTCTTCTGAGCTGAGAGGGAACATGCATCCGCCCTCAGGTAGCCTAGTGGGGGTTCTTCCACGCTGTCTATGTCACGGGCTGTCCTAGTACATTTCAGCTGTGTTAACAAAATACCATAAAGCGAGGAGCTTATAAATAACGCAATGTACTTCTCACAGTTCTAAAGGCTGGAAAGGCAAGATCAAGGGAGATTCAGTGTCTGGTGAGGGCCTGGTTTCTGGCTCCCAGACCACATCTTCTTGCTGTGCTTTCACATAGCAGAAGGGGTGAGAGAGAGCTCCCCAAGCCTCCTTGATGAGGTTCCTAAAGCCATTTATAGGGGCTCCACCCTCATGACCTAATCACCTCCCAAAGACCCCACCCTGTAATCCTATTGCCTTGGGGGTTAGGATGTCAACACAGGAATTTTGAGGACACACAAACACTCAGATCTTAGCACAGGGTAAGACTGAAAAAAGGAAAAGAAATGAAGCAAAATTGCTAGTAGGCCTTTAAAAAAAAATTCTTTTACAGCACATATAAGTCATAGTGCTGACAAGGAATTTTAAATAGAGGCCAGGTATCTATTTTCCTCCTTAAAAGTAATCCTTGTCTCTGTAAATGCCTCATTTGTTGAGTGTACTTTTTAGATTTAAATAATCTTTAGTACAATTTTTCTCTTGATTGCAGGGTTTGAAGATGAGAAATTGAGCAGGTCGATGCAGGTGTAACTTAGCAGACAGACCATTATTTCCTTGTATAAACTCATGCCATCAACTCTTCAACCAGAATGTGGTTGCAGAGGCATTGAACAGATTTTATAATTATGAGTTTATTTCATGGGGTGTAAGGTTTTGTAAAACTTTCAAGAAACTCTTTTACACCCCTACTCTTCATTAAAATGAGTTTTTCTAGGAAATTTTATTTGAAAACATGTGTTTCTAAGTAGATGCTTGTACTGTGCAAACAATTATGACCTTCATTCAAAAGCAATCCTTGACCTTCTTGTACAATTACCAGACAAATAAAATAAGATAAACATTGCCAATGCAGTACAAACTTTCTGTTTATCTGGAAGCAAATGGAACTAAGAGACTGTGTGTTTAAAGTTTCGTTCTACACTTTTGGAAGCCCTGATCTTTGAAGTTGTTCTGTATTGCTTCCTTGGAAACCTTTAGTCCCTTGAGTGAACACAATATAGCTTCCTCTACACAGGAACCTTCCCAAAGAGCAGTGGTAGAAAAGTCTTACTGGATCTCCCAAAAGAGATTTCTTCCTCCTTACTCAAAAGAATTCAATATGCAATTCGACTCTGTATCACATAATATTTTACATGGGGATATAATGTTGATAACTAGAGATACTCGTATGCTTAAGCTGTGTGCTCTTATGATCTTCCTTCTTGGGATTAAAGGCAGTAGCTATTGCCATCACGTACCTACCACTGTTGGCTTTTCCGTGCATTTCTCTCAGGAGCTCTTCAAAACCTTGTATATAAGTGGGCCATTGTGTCTGTAGCTTCTAAGGACCCTTCTGGTTGCTCCTGTTCTTGAAGTTCCATTGCCATACCCATGGCTTTAGAGAGTGGCTTCCAAGTGTCCTAATGATTTTTCTTTTCTTTTTAGGAATAGTTTTCATGATTCAACTTATTGAAATAAACAAACAGAAAGCTAGTCGACAAAAACTTCCCATTCTGAAGGTACAGAGAGCATTTCTCCACTGCTGTTTGAGCAATTTTGCATCCTGCCATCCATCTCATGATGACTTCGAAGTCACCATTGCTGATTCTGGTATCAAAAAAAAAAAAAAAAAAAAAAGGAAAAACCTAAATGTGAAGAAAATCTATAGCTATTGAATTTGCACTTATATCATGTTAATGGAACATATTATTCAGCAAGCCTGTGTCCTCTGCATAAACATAGTTCTTTTTAGTTCACGTTCTGAGTACTTCTGCAAATACTGTATTTGAATGCTTAGTGTTTCTTAAACTACAAAATGTTTTACTCCCTTTGTTCTTTTTGTTCAACTCTTATATGCTAGCTGCTCAGAGTTAACCTAAACTATCCATGTATTCTGACCTGTAACTGTAAGAGACAAAGAAAAGAGTAGTGATTTCGGCTTCCCGGAATTTTAGATTTGTATTTAATTAGCTTTCTATAAAGAGTGCTGGTAACTAGGATTTGTTCTTCACTTGTAGATGTTACCCTTCTTTAGTAGCAATAGCTATTTAGCATTGTCATATGTAAAAGACATATCTTTTACATATGATGATCTAACATCATCAAGCATGTGGAAGGAGATAGCAAGTGGCAGATAGTTTGCAAGTACGAGTGCCATTGGTTGTGACAGGATGGTGGATTTTTTGCTAAGTTTAGAATCCCCTTAGGCGTATTGAGGTTCAAGTACCATTAACTCTTGGCAAAATTCTCCTTCCTAATTCAAAGAAGAAAGGATTACTAAAGCTCATAAAAAGGATTCTCAAATTTCAAATAGCTTTTAAAAAACATTTAATGAGTTAATACTAATTGAATCAGAAACATATGGATGAAATTTTTCTTGAAATTCATAAGGGTTTAATATTAAGGGAGAGGTAATTCAGCAAAACCACCTAAGACTAGTCAATCTCAATGTTTTAAGACCAACTTGTAACACCTGTGAATCTTCATCACCACTCACTTTTCTTTGTCCAAAGAGTTTTGTGGTTTGGGTAGTATTGTGTTGTCTATAATTCTACCAATGGATAATATATCAGTCAATGGAAGAATTCATTACAGCTGCTGCATATATCACAAGATTGATCTATTTATCTATATGCAATTTAACTATGTATTACCTTCTCTGGAACTGGTTTTTCAACCTGTTCAACCAATATGGACATTTTAAAACAAATCTAATCACATGCAGTTTCACAATATAGTCAGACGGGGAGCAGGAAAAATAGGGTCTTCAGTCCTATCTACAGTAGCTCTTAAGCTACTCCTTAAGCACCCCTGTAGAATTATGGAATACAATTTATACATCTTTGATCTAGAATCTAGTCAAGAATAAGGAAACATACAAAGTAAAGGGGAGGGGCTGATTTCTAAGAAGCTAAAATGAACATTACAGAGTCTGTGAAATTATTTAAAAATTCCTTCATCAGAACCTTTATGTCCTTACTTTATGAATAATTCTCACAAGCTTTGATATTTAGTCTCTATATCCACAGAAGATTGGCAGTAACAAATTGGGAGAAATACAATATTGGGAGAAATACAATATAGGAAGGATTGATGGAAGGAAACAGGAAAAGAAAGATCTAGACAATTTTTTAAATGTTTAGCAAGTCTCTCTTTTTAGCTTTGGGAGAAATAGCCGATTACCTTGTATATTTTCAGAATATCAGTGCCTCAAATGCAATATATTAAGTGGCATGCATAATTAAGACCTTAATATTTATGTTCATTAATACCCTAGAGCCATAGCAACTAGCGTTGCACCATTAGCTTTTATTCAAATGTACAAAGCCTTTGTTGTAGGCTCCCAAGAAACAGTAAGTATGCAATGGTACAACCTGTGCTATTCCTATCGGCCCCCTCTACCTCTTTTGTGCACATTTCTTCTAAAGCTTAGTTAATATAAAGTGGCTGGGAGGCCTAGTCAGTAGGGGCAGAAATACCTGGCTCTCTGTGGTTCTGTGAGGCTGTTGTAAGAGCCAGTACAGTTTTGGGACAGCATTCATTCCAATAACTAGGTAATCTGCAATCCATAGAACTCAATTACATCTCTGTTTTCAGACACAGTGAATTCTTTTTGGAAATGTGGTGGCAATGTGTTAGGCTCATTCCTGGCTGGAGTCAGATGCAAGAGTCAGAGTGACAGGAAATGTGAATACAGAAAGAAATACCAAATTCCCTTGGGAAATAAAAAAAAAAAGCAGGTATATTATCTCAGCACAGAATCAGGTCTAGGTGTAACCTTCAAAGATGTGTGGAAGTGACTAACAGTAACAACTTGGACTTGTACAGATTAAACCTCAGAATACCACAATACAGTCCATGCCTTGCTTCCTAACACCACAAGATAGGATTCTTGTTAGTGAAAAAAATTATAAAATGATATTTAGGATTCTTTTATTTAGATGTGTGGAAAAGAGATTCCCAGAGCCTAGATAATTTAAATAAAAATATTTTTTAGAGGCCAGACATGGTGGCTCACAACTGTAATCCCAGCACTTTGGGAGGCTGAGGTGGGCAGATCACGAGGTCAAGAGATCTAGACCATCCTGGCCAACATGGTGAAACCCCGTCTCTACTAATATTTTTACAAATACAAAATACAAAATATTAAAAAATACAAAAATTAGCCGGGCATGGTGGTATGCACCTGTAGTCCCTGCCACTCGGGAGGCTGAGGCAGGAGAATTGCTTGAACCCGGGAGGCGGAAGTTGCAGTGAGCTGAGATCACGCCACTGCACTCCAGCCAGGTGACAGAGTGAGACTCCGTATCAAAAAAAAAAAAAAAATTCTTTTTAGAATATTTGAATTCTGATGATGAATGTTACCGAGAAAGGCTCCCCATGTTAGAAAGAAGTTCCAAGCAATTAAAGGGCTCTGAAAATATTCACCCAGGGCTTGACCTTTTACAATCATTTAAAATTGAACCCTAAAAACCGGAAACCAAAATGAGAAAAAAAAGGAAAAACCAAATACAAGGGCACAAATGCAAAAGTGATGCCGAGGTAATTCATTCCTCATCCAAAACTCATTTTGTAGCAGAAATAGAGCTATTTCTATGGATTTGAAGATTTTGCAGAATAACTGTTGCAAATTTAATGTTACTATTTCATTCCCTTAAAACCCTCACACCTATCAAAGAGCCCTGCCAGTTTCCATCCAAGCACAACAAAGACCTAACTCTCCTTGAGGCTAAGCCAAGATCTGGTCTTCTGAGTTGAACGTCCACGTCAGCAGTGCTGCCAAATGTCTTGAGCCCTGGAACCTCCCACAGATGCGTCTTGACTGCTCCTGGATGGGGTTCTGCAGTCCCGTTCCATGGGAGGAAGCATATTCTTCTGGGGCTTGAAGCACCATTCCCCTCCACCCTTCAGAGAGCTGGGTGTACAAAACATGTTATTTTGCTCCACTGTACCTTCAGCTTGGCAATCATAGGAGAAAAGCTATGATTCTGATGTTGAAAAGCAAAAGGTTGATTTGTGACTCATGCAATACAAAAGAAATAATGCTGAAGGAAAATGGCTTTGAAGACATGATGTACTGACATATTTAACTACCATGGGGAGGGTGAGCAAGAGGTTTTGTGCAGTAAAAAGAAAAATATATTTATTTTTCTGCAGTTTTCAATTTCAACAAGGTCTTGAGAAAAATACCAGATACTCATAGTGGAGATTTTCACATGAGCAACCAGCAGTTTACTCTCTCATGGTTGAGTGCTGTACTCTGTATATTGACAAAGGTTTTTAAACATTCAACACGTTGCTTTGGTGGGAGTAAAATGGCAGACTGCAAGACAATTTTCAAATAAAAAATACGTATCTTTTTTTTAATTGTGCTAAGCTGAATCTTTATGTAACAGAAAAACTCATGTTCTAATATTCTGAAAGCCCCAATAACTTTTTATGAGGAAACCCGAGAATAGTATGCTGAAGTAAAGCACTTGGGTGCAAGTCACAAGCACTCTCTGTGTGCTGGGCTAAAGAGGAGAATGTTTGCCTCCCGTGACAGTCGGAGATGTAACAGACCAAAGGCAGCATAATTTTCTGTATGTTTAAACACACTCTAGCCTCCAGGTAGCAGCCCATCCATTCCGTATTGATGTCCCATCTACAGACTGTGTGCAGACCCCACCCACATTTGAAAAATCATTCAGCATCCCTCAGAACCAGAGCTAGAGCCATGTGTGTGTGTGCATGCATTTTTCCTAAAGTAATATGTGCTCATATTTAAAAATAAAATAGTACTTAGCACTTAAAATTGAAAACAAGAATGTCCTGCTTCATGCACACCCCACCCAGCTCCACTTCCAAATAGGCAACCACTATTCACTAGCTTGGCAGTTTCCCCTGGCAGTGACTCCATTTCTCTGAAAACACGAATTTTTATCCCTCATTCTTCATTAATGCATTATACCCATTACCTATTGACTTACTTTAATGGCCCAAGATAATTTAACTTAACTAAGCTCCTAACAAACTTCTACTTCTATTTTAATTCCCCTGTCTTTGTAACTTTAGATAACCCATGTGTGCCTCTTTTCCTTGTTTTTTTTTTCTAAGTCTCTCTGTGGTACACTTTCAGCAATTACTTGAACCCCTAACAACTGAATGGTAAAGGCTGCCGTCTCTCTAGGTGTCAAGCAGTTCAAAAGTGAGGCCCAGGCAGGACATCCCAGGCTGTGTGGATCTGTTTTCTGAACCATATAAGCCCTGCAATGCATAGCAAATAAACTCATTATGTGGCTGCCAACCTTTAATTTGTAAAGAGAATAAGTTATTTTGTGACAGGCCACACCTTACTGCCAAGCGGCGGGGCAATGTGCTCTCCACCTGGGCAGCCAGGTGCCTACCTAAAAGCTATGGCGTCTATTCATGGAAGAACGGAGCAATGACAAGTCTTTGCCACCTTCCCTTCCCACTCTCGATCACCTTAGACCATCTATAGACATTTCTTCATGTCAGAAAATCCTTACTTCTATTATTAAAGAAAAAAAAGAAAGCTCTTCATCAACTCTGTGTTTCTTTTTATTTCAGCTAATCACAACAAGTGGCATTCTTCTTCCTATGACAGCTTTATTTGATAACAACATTATGCTCTCTCGCCCTCACAAGGTTCTCTGGTTCTTTAAACATGAGTCATTTGGAAATGATCTGTGCGGCCCAAGTCATCCCTGTTGCAGTTCTCTGGACAGATCTCATCTGTCTACTCCTCTTTAATAAGCGTGTGGGTTATGAAGTGGCTTCTGGACAAAACTCTGGCATTAACCAATTGTAGGGCCTTGGCATGTCACTTGAGCTCTCTGATCTGTGGTTTCTCTGTTTATAATATGATTGCTTTTTTAATGTCCAAGAGCAACATGAAAATCAGAGAACTATAGAATCTTAAATGGGAAAAAAATTTCAAAAGTCTTAAAATTCCATCTCTTTCCAAATGCATAAATCCTTTCCCAGTATCCCTGGAACGTGTCAGCTAGTTCCTGAACTCTTGTAGTAACGAAATTGAAACTGATACTTCAAGTGTGGTCTGACTTGAGCAAAGAACAGTGGCATTATTAACACCCCTGACCTTGACACTGTCTTGTTAAAAAAAAGTTCGTACTATATTCATATGTATTTTTTGGCTAATGTATCATACTTTGGCTCATGTGGTACTCATGGTCACAGATAATGAGAATTATGCACACGCGCGCGCACACACACACACACACACACATCCTTTCTACCACATTCTGAACTTAGTCTGTTTTCCTCCAAATGCAACTGCCTGATTTTTGTTTTCTAAATGGTTTGTTGCTTTTGTTGATGTTTTTCTCTGATCAAACAAGTAATTCAGGCCTATTGCAAAAAAAAAATTTGAAAGGTCAAATGTGATTTGAAAAGTTGACTATCATTGTAACCCAGAACATTGTTACATTCTGTTGGGTGTCACTTCAGACTTTTTTTCTCTCTGTCTGTATGTCTCTCTTTATCTGCCAATGCTCATATACTTACACACACATGCACACCAAATCATGGTACATTTGATTTGGATAAGAGAAAAGCCCACTTAAATCAATCGATTTGAATGACTAAGGGGACTGGGGGTCTGTGTGGATCTGAGGCCACAGGCAGGGTAGCTTAAAGGTTTACTGATGCAGCGGCTTAGCGATGCCAAGTTTCCCCGCTCTATTCTATTTCCTATGGTATCAGCTTCATCCAAGCCTGTCTCTTTTTTTTTAATCGTATCAGGATTGGTCCCGAGCACTGGTGGGGACAGATGTAGGCATACTCATACTCAAGGAGAGGAACTGAGAGCCATTTATGAAAGTTATCTTAGGAGAGCAAGAATTGTCATTATCACAAGTTCTTAGCAAGCATATTTCCTCATCTCACTCCTTGAGAGGACTTACTTATTCGCTTCTGAATCCACAGTTGTAGCCACGTGATGGGGTTACTCTGATATCAGTTTAGGCCTTAATCAGCCGCTCCACCCCTGAGACCAGAGGAAGAGTTAGCTTCTTCTAAAACTCACAGGCTTGAGTGGACAATCTATAAATTGCTAGACAAAATTTACTATATATATATATGACATTGTGGTTGCTACACCAGGATCTATTTTCCTTCCCTTAGTAAATTTAAAGGGTGATCACCCTTTAAAATACATAGGGGGATGGATGGGTGAGAGGAAGGGTGAATTGATGGATGAACAAATAGGCAGATGAACAGACGTGTGGACAGATTGGCACAGAAGATCAAATTAAATCACATTGCTCTACAACCTGCTTTTTAGTAACCGTATTCCATAAATACTTTGTATGTCAATCTTCATTCTTATATCATTTTAAATGATAAATAATATCCTGGTATAATGACTAATGATTTGAATCATTTCCTATTATTGAACAATAAATGTTTAAAGTGATGGATATGGTGATTACCCTGATCTGATCATTATATATCATGTGCATGCATTGAAACATCACACTGTACCCCATAAATAGGTACGACTATAATATGTCAATTATAAATATTCAAATTAATTAATTTAAAAAATTTCAGACAAGCAGGCTCTATGCAGATCATGAATAAACAATATAGAGCAAAATAAACATGGGCCCCCCTCTACATAGAGCACATAGCTTAGTAGAGGGAGACAGATCATAAACAGATTAACAAATAGGTAATTACAGACTTAGAAATATGCCATAAAGGCCATGCTTAGGTAAAAAATTAATGAAGGGTTGTGCATGGATCCTATTTAGGTGAAACATCAGGGGAAGCACATGTGAAGGACAAGGGACAAGGTATCCCAGGTACGAAGAACACCATATGCAAGCTGTAAGTCAGGAAACGTTGGTCAAGACTCTGCAAAGATCAGTGTAGTGAGGATAGAGGATAGAGTATGGGAATGAAAGGGTAAGCTGAGGCAAGTTTAGGAGAATAAGCAAGACATCATAAGCCACAGTCTGAGATGAGATTTAACTCCAGGAAAATGCAAAGTTAGTGCAGCCTTTTAAGTCAGAGAATGGTAGGATGATATTTAATCAAGAAAAATTTGACTCCATGTGGTGTATTGACCTTGAATAGAGTAAGGGGTCAGGCCAAGAGAAAAGAAGAGATCTGATAATAATGGCTCAGATTTAGGTAGAAGCACTGAATACAGAAAATGTAAGGTGGGTTCAAAGTATGTTCAGAAGACTCAACATGCAGAATTTACTGCAAACTGAATGTGAAATTGAAGAGTGTGACATCACTTAAAGAGATAAGAAAGACTTAGAGAGCAACAGGATTGGAAGGGTGGGATGGGGAGCTCAGTTTTGAGGGTGTCAAGGTAGATGAGATATGATTCCTCATACAAGAAAGGCGTGGACTTAACACACCAGTATGGAGCTCTGAGTAGGCAGAGGGTATTAGAGCCGAGAGGGGGAGTGCAGACATCCAGCTGAAGTCTGAGAAAGAAAGTAACAGGGACACAGGCAATCCTGGGGAATCAGATTTTTATCAGAAACCCAAAGGAAAAACTCCGGAGAAGCACTCAGTGGAGCTCAGAGGTAAGGCTAACAAAGGTGGGGAAAGCTATGGTGCCATGAAAGCCAGCATTCTGAGGAAGAGCATAACCACCTGTGTGGGACGCTGAGAGTGAGGCAGTGGGAGGAGGACCAGGGTGCCCATTGGATGGGCCACTGGAAGGTAATAGGCAACCTCGACAGTGGCAAGTCGGTGGGTTGGTAATGTGAAGGATGACTTGGGAGCAGTTCCTAAAACCATCAGAGCTCTGCCTATCACGCTTTTGGGTAGAGACAATTTAGGGAACGGACCATCCAGGGCAAGTATTACTGAGCCGTACAAGTATACTGAGTATGACGATCTCAGGCCAAACAAACAAGAATCACAGATTTGTGTATTTGTATTTAGACAGATTTGTGTGTCACCTCCTTTGTGGATGTGTAAAGCAGTAGGTGATGGTGGAAAGAACATTGGCTTTGGGGTCAAAGGATGAACCATGCCAGAGCCACACAAGAGCCCATGATTTGTGTTAAACTTTGATTTGGGAGCAAAGAATGAGTCTGAAGCCCACAACTATTTTCATGAGAGACTTTGTGAGATCCTGAACACAGGCTGACCCACCTTGGGACACAGGTAACCACATAAGCAGGAGGGTACCATGGGCATGCCACCTCTGCTCAGAAACTCCCATCCCATTCTCACATCCTGAAGAACATGGCTTTGTGGCTCTTAGGAGATGCCAACATGGCGTGAGGGCACCATCACTAGTGGGAGCAGTGATGCTTCTGTTAGAACCAAAGCAGGAGAGAATAATCAGGGCATATATTGCATGGTGCTACAGTCGGCAGAATGGCTCCTGAGCTTCACACTGATGCTCTCTTTGGAGAGTCCAGAAATTGTTAAAAGTGGGAGGAATGGAACTAGATTGGAGGATTGGAAGGCCTGTTTGAGAACATTTTAAGTTGTTACACAGGCTGATGAGGCATGCCTACCTTTTATTTAACTATTGAAATGCCAAAGTAAGGGGCAGAGCAAAATTTTGACATTCACACATGTCTTAGTTCGTTCTGGCTACTGTAATGAAATATCATAAAGTGGATGGCTTATAACAAAAGAAATTTATTTCTCATGGTTCTGTAGGCTGGCATGTCCAAGATCAAGGTGCCAGCCTGAGTAAATGAAAAGGTAAAGATAGGCTACCCAGGCCAAAAGGAGCTTGCTAGGCAATGACACAAAGACATGGCCAAATGTAGAATGTTCTGGGAATGGTTAGTTGTTCAGTGTTGCTGAAACTGAAGGTGCACAGAAAGGAAGAAAGAGAAGAAGGAGATGACTCTGGAGCAGCAGGTTTGAGCTCCACGGCAAAAGGCACTGTGAAGCATTTGTTCAAGGTAGCGAGAGTCATAGGAAGTTTGTTTTGTTTCTCCTAAGCCAGAGGGGTGATAACATCTTACGTGAACTTTAGGAAGATCTCGCTGCAGCTGTGTGGGGGATGGGTCGGCTTTTCCCCAGTCTACAATGAGACAGTGAGGTTATGTGTTCCAGGAGGGACATGGGCTATGGAGTCACTAAAGAGGGATATTTGTCAGTTGCACCAGCATTATTTCCTAAGTATATTTCCAAATATTTAACAGGAAACTTTTATCTCTAAAGAATGTTTGCCCACCATACATCACAGAGGGATGATAAAGATATAGGTCGTGGACCTGGTGGCAGCTGGCGGGAGCTGACTGAATCATGGGGGGCAGATTCCCCCATGCTGTTCTCATGATAGTAAGTTCTCACTAGATCTGATGGTTTTATAAGTGGTGGTTTCCCCTGCTTTTCTCTCTCCTGCCACCTTGTGAAGAAGGTGTTTGCTTTCCCTTCTACCATGATTGTAAGTTTCTTGAGGCCTCACCAGCCATGTGGAACCGTGAGTCAATTAAACCTCTTTCCTTTATAAATTACACAGTCTCAGGTAGTTCTTTATAGCAATGTGAAAACAGACTAATACAGTAAATTGGTGCTACAGAGAGTCGGGTACTGCTATAAAGATAACCTGAAAATGTGGAAGTCACTGTGGAACTGGGTAATGGGCAGAGGTTGGAACAGTTTGGAGGGCTCAGAAGAAGACAGGAAGATGTGGGAAAGTATGGAACTTCCTGGAAAATTGTTGAATGGTTTTGACCAAAATGCTGGTAATGATGTGAACAATGACATCCAGAATGAGATGGTCTCAGATGGAGATGAGGAACTTCTTGGGAACTGGAGCAAAGGTCACTCTTGCTATGCTTTAGCAAAGAGACTGGTGGCATTTTGGCCCTGACCTAGAGATCTGTGGAACTTTGAACCTGGGAGAGGTCATCTGAAATAGAAACTTATGTTTAACAGGGAAGCAGAATATAAAAGTTTGGAAAATTTGCAGGCTGACAATGTGATAGAAAAGAAAAACTCATTTTCTGAGATGACATTCAAGCCACTGCAGAAATCTGCATAAGTAACGTGGAACCAAATGCTAATCATCAAGACGATGGGGAAAAAAATGTCTTCATGGCATGTCAGAGATCTTGGCAGCAGCCTCTCTCATCACAGACCCAGAGGACTAGGAGGAAAAAATAGTTTTGTGGGCCGGGCCCAAGGTCCCGCTGCTCTGTTCAGCCTCAGGACTTGGTGCTCCATGTCCCAGACACTCCAGCTACAGCCATGACCGAAAGGGGCCAAGGTACAGCTTGGGCCATTGCTTCAAAGGGTGCAGGCCCCAAGCCTTGGCAACTTCCACATGGTGTTGGGCCTGTTCCACCAGCCAGTTCCTTCTGTTCTTGCCATTCATTTGTGTATTCGATGATCACCAGCTGATTTACCTGCAGTGTGCTGTACAGAGGGCCTGGAGTGCCCTTAAGGTGTAAAACACCTGGGTGGTGACCGCATGGCTGAGTTGTACATACAATGTTTGGCCTGTAAAGACAAAAAGGCCGTGCTTTTTTCAAGAGCAGGCCTTCACCAGAAGTGACCAAGGGTTCAGGCTGAAGCTAAGTGGTCAACCCCATCAGCACAGTGGAAGTTACTGGGGAGAAGGGTGGGCAGCAGGAAGGAAAGAAAGGCCAAAGAGGCTTCCCAGGGAGAGGGAGTGGCCTGTGCAGACAGAGGCCCCCCAATCTGACCATGGTTTGCTCAGACAACTTCAAATATTTGATACATCTGAAAGGAGGCAGAGCAAAGGCAGTGCTAAGAGATAAGAACAGACACATCACATCATCAACACCTTCTGGTCACGCTGAGAGACTAATGCATTACACTTACGTGACAGAGAGTGCCTGCAGAATCTAAGTGGTCGATGGCTTGATCAGCTTTGGGTCTCGTAAGCATCACTTTGATGGCTGTGGAGGAGGTTGGCCTGGGGGAGGGAGACATTGGATATAGAGATGCAAAGAGAAATGTATTGAAGCCACTCTTGCTTCAAAAATCAATGACAAAGGGAATGAAGAAGAGGGGGCAAGTTTGCAAACATACTTAGGAAGGCAAATAATCGAAAGAATGGATCAAAGATGTTTACTGTGTCTGTTTAACTAATGACAAATTTTAAAAGGCAGGGAGAAGCTCAATGATGGCATAAAATGTGCTTCGGGTAAATTGCCATCTTTCTTGATGTCTGCATATTATGTTTTTTGCAACTGCCTTACCTCCTCCTACTTTAACACACCCCGTAAAAATCTGCAATTAAACACACACACACACACACACACACACACACACACACACACGATGACTTAGCCCTTTACCAACAAATATTCAGAAAACAGGAATAGTGAAGTCTTGGTTAGTGGTTCCCAACTGGACAAGTCATCAAAAAGTACAGAAGCTCCAGCCCCCGCTCAAAGGTTTTCTGGCTCAGTCCATCTGTAGCAGCTCTCTACCTTCAGCACAGACAGCAGTGATGCCCAAAATGCTGAACAGCTGGCTCTGGCATATCCCAGTGACAGCAGCGGCTGAGGCACTGAAGCACAGACCCTCAGCACCCTTGCACCTGCATCCTGTGTCAGGCATCTGTTGCCACTGAATTTTGGTGAGGGCCGGGTGATGCAGGGCCTGGGAGAGAAGGGGGAGCATCCAGTCACATCGAGGATAAGAAGAGTGGCTGGTTACCACCCACTATGGAGGGACTGTGATATTTAACCACCACTCTGCACCAAGGAATGTGGCCCAATTACCTGTGTTCAGCACTTCTGTGGAGTAAGAAGCTGTCACGAGTAACAGTGACTCACATCAACAGTATTCCCTATGTGGGGGGTTTGAATACGCCCTGTTTGGGAGAGGGTATAGCATTATTTCCAAGAGCATGTGCAGGGAGTCTAAAAGGCACTCTAGATGATCCTGATCTCTCTCCACCAAACCTCACCTGCTGCCAACCCTCCAGAGTTCAGTAAGGACATCCAGCTCTGCAAATAACTGTCCCCTTGAGTATGGACACCTGCTCTCTAATCTCTGCAGATCTGTCCAACATCCTGAAAAGTGCCTGAATCCATGCATTTTCAGGCCATATACTTCCTAATAAAAGAGGGTCCAGCAATCAAACCTGAAAAGGTTAATTTGCCGGGACAGAATCACACTTCATATCAGAGGACAAACTTGGACAGGGGCCAGCAAAGAGACACACTCATGTCAAGAGAGTTCAAGGTGTCACTGCAAGCAGAGGTAGCCTGAGACCAGAAAGCAGGTATACAGGCATAGAATCAGACGGCAAGCAGGCTGGAGCCCCTGCTGGTGAGGAGGAAGCCGGTGATTCATTCTCTGCAGCTGCTTCTTGACCTTGCTTAACCTTCAGGCTGGTTCAGTGGGCAGAGACCCTGACTCAGAGAGATTCCATTTTAGGGTTTAACCTTGGGTTGCCATGCCTTATGCAGATGGTGGCTTTAGTACTTGACAGCAACAACCTGAAATTTTCTAAATGTTTGTTGTTTGTCTAACTGTGGACAAAAGATGATATGTCTCTCCTACTTTCGCTATATTTTTATGACTAGCACCATGATGTCACTGCATACTCATAAAGAGCAAGTGATGATTTTAAAAACAAGTCTCGCGTTAAAAAAAAAAAAAAAACCCTTTCTTTGGTGAGAGTATATATGTATTCCATTCTGGATGGAAGTAATTTCAGTGTAATCATTACAGGAACAGGCATCCCAGCTCTGGCAGCTGATTCAGGGTTCCTCCTTCGCCATTTTGGCCCCTTTGAAATTCCCACTTCCCTGCTTGCTGTGTACAAGCCAAATGCCCTCTCTGAGCCACAGTGCCTTTCAGACTCAGGCACCCGGGATGGCAAGAGGCCCTGCTCTCACAAAAAGACGAAGGAGGAATGGAGCTCTCACTCCCTTCACGCTTGCCACCCGAAGGACCTCCCTTTCCTTCCTCCCTTCTCACCTGTGTCATAAAGGGGACAGCAGAGAGGCTACCAGAGGGAATTCTAAGTTTCTATATTTTTTAAATGAATATTTTATTTAGAATAGTTATACATTTACAAAAAAGTTGCAAAAATAATACCAAGAGTTCCTACATGCCCTGTGCCCAGTTTTCCCTATTGTTAACACCTTATATATTACTATGGTATTTTGGTCACAACCAATTAATCAATACAGATCATTATTATTAACTGAAGTCCATACCTTATTCAGATGTCCTTGGTTTTCACCCAATGTCCTTTTTCTGCTCATGGATGGTATTCAGGAGACTATATGACATTTATTCATCTCGTCTTAGGCTCCTCTGGGCTGTGGCAGTTGCTGGGTCTGTCCATGTTTTTGGTGACCTTGACAGTTCTGAGGAGTACCGGCCAGGCACTTTGCACTCTGTGCCTCAATTTGGGGTTTGCTGATAGTTTTCTCATTATTAGAATGGGGTTATGGGCTTTGAGGAGGAAATGCTCTTCTCATCACCACATCACATGACCACATCATGTGAGTATATACCACCAACATAATGTGTCGCTGTTGATGCTGACCTTGGCCACAGGGCTGAGGTAGTGTTTCTCAACTTTATCCGCTGTGTGGTTGCTTTCCTCACCTTTCCATACGCATTCCTCAGCAGAACAGCACTCTGCATAGCTCGCACTTGCAGGGTGAGATGTGATCCTCCACTTCCTGGAGGGAGAACAGAATGTAAATTATACATTAAATGGAATGATTCTGCACAGGGCTTGCATCTCTTCTTCTTCATTTATTTATTTATTCAACCATTAATTGATAACAATATGGACACATGGATATTGGTCCTAAGCACTGGGTTATGATCCAATCCTGTGATAGTTTTTGGTTGCTCAAATTGCTGTGTATTTGGCAATCTGGGCTCCTTCAATTGGCTCTTGTGTCCCTTGGACATAACCCCCATCGTCGTCAGGTGGGTTTTTGGGGTGCTTTGTTTGTTTTAAATGCTGTCTTACTTACTGACACTACAAGATGCCCCAGGCTCAGCCTCCTTTTTCTGCCTCAGCCCTAGAATCACTTATTTCTGCAAGGGGCTTGGGCTTCCTTTGTTGGAGAATAGTATTAGAAGCCATGATCTGGGCAGGAGGTGTGCTAATTGCTACTGGGGTGTTATTGCTTCTGGGCTCTCTCAGCTGACAGAGAAAGGAAACATATTGCCACCAATATACACTTTATTACATTGTATGTCCTTAATGACTACCAAATTTCCTCCAGGCTGAGGAGAATGGCCTGGGATGAGGTACAAAGTACATGAGCCAATAAACTAGTAACTGAGAAATATTTCTACTAAACAGAACCCACATATAGCTTTGTAAAGCAACTGTAGAGGTCCTCAGAAGTTTCATGACTTGAAATATTTAAGATTGAACCTTTGCATAAGTGACGTGTCCTAAGAATGATTCATCTTATGAATTTTGTCCCAAAGCTAACTGTTACCTGCTGACTTCCACAGCTCTCTGTGCAAATGGGAGCTAGGTTATAATCCAGCTATCTTTTAATGGTTTCTTTTTTTATGCTTTCTTCATCCATGTGGTTGTTAATGAATGAAAGTCAGACTTCAGGAGTATATCTTGTATTCTGGACAGCTGGATCAAGTGCCTGGTGCATTCTAAATAATCAATAGACATTAGGTGAATAAATGAGTGCATAAGTAAATGAATTGCTGACTGAGTTATCATAACTAAACCAAGTAGGATATGTCATGAATAGAGTACTCTAGTTAATGGTACTTGGAAGTATGTCTGTCACTTATAAATACCCTCAGAAATTTATGCACCATGGTTTTAGAAGGCCTGGAGAAGATACCAAATTATGATTTTCCAGCCTTGGAGCTCACTTAGGGGCATATGAAAAACAGATGACATTGCCATGCCAGTGCCACCTTTCTCCAGATTGCTCCCAGGGCCACTCTTTCAGAGCCTGAGGGCTCTGATGATGGGAAAGCACTGGCTTCTCATCCTCCCCATGCTGTCTTCCAAAGCTGTTCCTATTCTCTCATGACTGATGATGCATGCAGTCACGTTAACTTTTCCCATCATAATTCCTTGGTTCATATTGCAAATGCCAACATCCAATTTATATTTTATTTAAGAACCAAAGTAGTTTTGCAAGATTATTTTATTTTCAAAGGCAATGGAATCACTTGTTTTCCCATGTTTTCAAAGTTATCTTAAGTAGTGTAATGGATCGACTCACACAGTGCCTTTCATCCTATTCCAGGTAACAGTGGATGGCAAATTATTTACCAGGGCTTTTAAACTGGGATCCACAGTGAAGCAGCTTAACATGCGGTTCATTCATCTTCCTCAAATTCTATCACTAGCCCCCTCCTAGCCAGTGTGGCTCTTTCTGCTTCTTAGCACTAGGCATTGAAAGTTTTCTTAGGCAGATGAAGGAGTGATGGGCTCTTTGTGGATGCCTGCAGTTCCAGCAGGCAGCTTTATGGCTTGTGCTCTGAGACGCTTGGATGGATTCTTTCTCTTTCCTCTGGGCCCACTGGTTAACCGTATAATACATTGCTTTATTCCCTGTCCCAGCAGTCAAAATGTGGGGCTTTGGAGAAAAGCCAATCGTGCATGCTCTTATGACACTAATCCAAATATGTGTTTATTCAAGGGTGCAGTTGTGCAACCTTTGTGCCCTGAGGCTCCCTGGACAATTGTGGCAGGCTAAAAATGGTCTGATTGGCCTGCATTTCTCACTGGAGAGCTAGGCTACAGAGTTCGTTTTGCTCATTACCGGCCTCTCTCCCAACCCAGTCTGCAGCCCTCCTTAGGGCTGGGTTGCAGCTGCAAACAGTGTTTTTGTCTACAGTGCCCTCTCTGAAAATAGTTGTCTTTGTTGTGACTGAGATATTTAGGTCTTTTTTCAGCAGCACCCTTATTTGATTGACTGATGGGCCTGTAAGTTATTTTTGAATCTGGGTTATTTCTATTTCTGATATAAGTTGCTAGAGGCCGCATAATTGCTCAACTCATCCTTTTTATTTGATAATCTATACTAAAAAAGTAAACTGTTTTGTTGTAAAGTCTACATTTTTTTTTCAGAAATATTGATGGTCAGAACCCAACACTGGGCGTTTCCCCCAAACATAAATTATGTTGCTTAGAGGTACAACATGTCAACATCTTTGTGTCTAGTGCTTTCACAAGAATCTTTTTTAGGATTCTTTTTCTGGAGGAAAAAATAAATAAAAACATATCAAATTCTCTTGTGTAAATCATCTGCGAGGCCCACAAAAATGAAGGGATGCTGTCTGTCAATGAAGATATTATCTGGAGGAATTTACATTAATAATTACATTGAATGTGGTGAATTGCTTGTCTCAATGACGAGAGTTTGATAAATTGAATTATTCACACTACACGGAAATTTAATTAGAGATGGTATCTTAGGCATAATCTATAAAAAGAAGGTCATGAGAGTTTGGAGACAAGTGACTATAGAGCCAGGAAAGAAAATATTGCATTTCTGCAAACTCAGCCATGCAGTTTGCACATGTAGTAAAAATTATAAATATTTTCTGTGTTTTTAAATGTCAAATGTGTATTGTAAATTCAAGTAGTTTTATAATCTTTCTTGAAATAGTATTTTTAAATTATAAAAATGAACAAAAATCTAATTGGACAAGGAAGTCATCTAATGATCTACTAATTATTAAAGTAAGTGATTAGACTAAGAACAATGGTGCTGAAATTCTTAAGTCACAAAATGGTCATCCCAACTCTCATTATAGTTGAGTGATTAATTCAAAACAATGCTGTTTTAATAAACAATAAATAAATAAATAAGCAATAAACTTAGATTCTGCTCTTGGAATATAATATACATTTATAAAAGACAAAGGGAATTTTTACCAAAAAACTTATTCATTCTACATAAAAGATTATACTATGAAGCGAGGTTATGTGGTGAGATAAATAATTGCCAAGCTAGAAGAAGCATCTAGGTAGGACTTTATTAAAAATGTTTGCAGACTTAACATATTTCAATAAATTTTTCCTCAACCCATGTATCACTTTTATCTAATTGCCTACATACTCAGGGCATGAAGGATAGTTCATGAAATTATAGGTTAAATTTAGAGTAAAAATATAATCAATTTTGTTTGGCTTTGGTCTTGTATAGTTTATATTTATATAATTTATTCAGATTTAATGACAATTAGTAAATGACTACATCAACCTGTAATGAGAAACTCACTTTAGTCTTGCAACTAGCTGTTCAGCAATTTATGTCAGATTACGTGTATTGGGAATAGGGAAAACAGGCATAATACGTCATTATCTTACTCAGTGAAACCAAACTTTTTAAAAAATAAACTTTTAAAAAACTCTAGAATATTCTTAGTTGACAAAAAGTTGCAAAGACAGTATGGAGAGCTCCTATATGAAAAACCAAGGCTATATGAATAAAGCATAACTTCAGTTAGTAATAACATATGAATATTGTTTCATTACCATGGCTTGTCACAGCTAATGAAACAATATTCATATGTTATTACTAACCGAAGTTATGCTTTATTCATATAGCCTTGGTTTTTCACCGAAAGTCCTCTTTCTGCCCCAGGACCCCATCCAGGATACTGCATTACATTTAGTTGTTATGTCTCTGTAGGCCCCAGTACAATGTGACGCTTTCTCAGATATCTCTTGTTTTTGATGACCTTGACATTTTTTAGGAGTCCTGGTGTTTTGTACTATGCTCATTTTTGGGGGTTTGTCTGATGTCTTTCTTATGCTAAGACTGGGGCCATGTATTTTGGGAAGAAGACTGCAGAAGTAAAGTGCCCTTCTCATCATAACAGATCAAGAGTACACGCTGTCAATATGTATTATCGCTGTCAATATGTATTATCACTGTCAAGGTTGACTTTGATCATCCGGCTCAGGTAGTATTTGTCAGGTTTTTTCCACTGAAGGTTTAGTCTTTCACTATTTCCATACTGTACTCATTGAAAAAATGTTTTCACTCTGCACAGCCCACATTTCAGGGATAGGGAGATATAGTCTGCTTCCTTAAGAGTATCTGTATAAAGTATTTGAGATTCTTCTGCACAGGATACTTGTCCACTTTCTCCTATTTATTTATTTTATCATTTATTGAGTATGGACTCATGGATATTTATGTTTTGAGTAATAATGCAATACTATGTTATTTATTTTATCAATCAAATTGGAACCAAAGTATTTTATTTCATAGTTATTGGCTTATTTTTTGTCAGTCAAAATCTTGTTTCCTAATCAATATTCACAAATTATTATTATTATTATTATTTTGAGACGGAGTCTCGCTCTGTCACCCAGGCTGGAGTGCAGTGGGGCGATCTCGGCTCACTTCAAGCTCCACCTCCTGAGTTCACGCCATTCTCCTGCCTCAGCCTCCCGAGTAGCTGGGACTACAGGCACCTGCCACCACACCCGGCTAATTTTTTGTATTTTTTAGTAGAGATGGGGTTTCACCATGCTAGCCAGGATGGTCTTGATCTCCTGATCTCATGATCTCAGCTCACGCACCTCCACCTCCTGGGTTCAAGCGATTCTCCTGCCTCGGCCTCCCGAGTAGCATGCCACCACGCCTGGCTAATTTTTATTTATGTATTTATTTTTTGTATTTTTAGTAGAGACGGGGTTTCACCATGTTGGTCAGGCTGGTCTCGAACTCCTTACCTTGTGATCCACCCACCTCGGCCTCCCAAAGTGCTGGGATTACAGGCGTGAGCCACCACGCCCAGCCCACAAAAAAATTTTAATGACATTTAAAAAAAACTAATCAGAATTCACTGTTTATTCATTTTGTTATAGTTTTCTTCTAGAACCTATGCACAGTACTATGTAAACATTACAAGATCAATTAAATTTCTTTAGTGTTAAAATGTCTACCAAAAACATTTAAACATTAATTATGCTAAATATTTTTAATTTATGACTACCTTTCATGTACCTCACAGTTTATTCTTAGTTGTTCAAGAAGAAGCGTGTTTATCTGCAGCTTATTTATATGGGTAAAATTCTTAGGGGAAATCTCATGTATCTCATATCCATGTATCTCTAAACAAACAAGGTTAACTCCATAAAGAACAAAAAAGTAAGGTTTATAACAGATCTGTGTATTAGATAATAAATCATAATGACGTGACTTAGGAGAAATTCCATTTTCAAGTATAACAGAATAGCTTAGGATAAGACCTACACTCCTTACAAGAAAAACAAAATTTTAAACATTGGATAAAATACACACAGATAAATCTATTTAAAGCCTTGGAAGAGCTACTAAATCAGACATCACTGGAGGATTAAGATCCCAGGGAAGTGACACTGCTGGGGTGCTGGATGACTGACATTCTGCAACATTTTTACTCTGGAGGCATTAGCTTTATCTAGAGGAAGGTAAGGAGGTGAAAATGCAGGATTTTCCGCGTCAGAGGACTGCCACTAAGTACACGGGAACCTGCAGAGGCGCTGGTAGTCCGATGGAGCTCAGCTGGAGAGACAAATTTAGAAACTTGAAAGGCCAGCATGTCAGTGGGAAGGAGAGTAAAAAACTGAGCTTGCCACTGTTTTGGGGTTTTTAAAAAAATATGCTTTATTTTTAAGAGCAGTTTTAGGTTCACAGCAAAATCGAGCAGAAGATACATACATTTTCCATATATCCCCTGTGTATTTTTTTTTCCCTAAAGACATCTGAGGAATTCTGAAGCAGCAAGTTTAAGCAGAAGAGAACCTCTGAAAGGCAGAACAGAACTGTCAACAGTGCAGGTCTAGGAATTGCAGTAGAGACCTCACCAGGAGAAGAGGCCCCAGGAAATTCTCCAGACTCTGAGTTGGAAGCCTTCAGCAGGTTCTGCCAAGAGTATGATCACATCAAAAGCAGAAGAAACCTTATGAGTCTGCAGTCCAGTTGAGAGTCAGTTTAATCTCAAATTGAGTTAAATTAAAATGATCTTTCCTTCCTTCAATTACCCTGCCGAGGAAACAGGGGCTGTTCTCTGCAGGATGTAAACTAATTAGGAGACTATAAATATTTGTAAAGACACTGTTTGATATTTAACCAAAAATTTCTAGAAAATTTAAGAAAGGGAACCACAGAACAAAATCTAAGGGGAAAATTACACAAAAGAAATAGAACTACAGGTGATCTAAATATTGGAGTTGGAAACAAAGTTTTGAAAATATTTCTGGTTTTTAAGATAAAGGAAATAAAGAGAAAGATAAAGAGAAATAGATAAAGAATATAATAAAGGTTGCAATTTTAACAGAATATTACTATCTGTAATAAGAATTGAGTAGAAATCCTAGAAATGAAAAGAAACAAAATAACTGAAATCAATAAATTGACAGTTTGGTTTATAAGAGAAAAGAGGATTAATTCTGTAGGACAGATCAATAGAAAGTTGATCTGAATCACAGAGAGGAGCTGAATCAGAGAAAAATTGAATCAAAGAGAGGACTAAAAAAATTTAAAATGAACAAAATAAAAGAGACGCATGAAATTTAATGAAATGTTCTAATATGCATAATTGCAGTTTCAGAAACAGCAAAAGGAGAAAAATGAGACAAAAAAATATAAAAACAGATAAACTGAGAATGTTCCCAAAGTGATTTATGACATCAACTTTCAGATTCAAGAAGTGTAGGCAACCTAAATAGAATAAATACTAAGAAACACACCGTAAGGCAGATCTTAGTGAACGCACTAGAAACCTAAGACAAAGTGGAAAAAGTTTTAAAGCAGTCAGAAAAAAAGACACAACTTTTTTACAGAAGCAACTAAAACTCCAAAAAAGACTTCCATTTCATCGTGTAAACACAGTTATCTTTAAGTACTGAAATGAAATAGCTTCTAATCCAGAATTCTATATCCATCAAAAATCCTTCAGAAATAGACACAAAATAAAGACATTTTAAGACAAGCCATAATGAAGAAACTACACCTGCACTCAAATACTAAAATGAGTTTTTCAGGGAACAGAAAAATGGCCTCAGATGGGAACATGGAAATGCAAGACAGAATAAGGAATAATGAGAGAGTAACTATGTGGGGAAATATAAATACCTATGACCTATACAACAGTAATAAATGACAAGGTCTTCTGGGGTTTAAAAAATAATAGAGTTAAAACACAAGATAACAATAACGCAAAAGGGTCAGATAAAGGGAAAAGTTCTTAAACCCTATTACGTGGTAAAATGTCAGGGACAGCATGTCTCAGGGAATAATAAGCTTGGAGAATTGTAAGTAACCACTTAATAAAGGGGAAAAGGAAAATTAATAAGTAGTTGATTCACACACTTGAAAAAGAGAAAAAGGAATAGCAACATGCAGATAGGTCAAACAGAAAAAATGAAAAGTAAGATGATGCCTATAAACCCAAATATATCAGCAATTGGATTAATCATGAGTAGACCAAATATTACAATTAAAAGTCCAAGATTCTTACAGTGGATAAAATAAACAAAATCTAGCTATATTTGCTTATAGGAGAATCATTGTAATAGATGCACGCAAAAGTTGCAAGTAAAGGAATAGAAAAAGGGTATACTATATAATCACTAACTAAAGGAAAGCTCGTGTCCCAATATAATATCAGGCAAAGTAGAATAATCACGGCTTTGTTAAGGCAAAAAGCAGTAATAGTACATAAACAGAGACAGAGAATGATAGTTTATTATGATAAACAGGAAAGTATAACAATTATGAGCGTCTATGCACCAGTTAATATTTTAAATATATAGAATATAAATAATATAAATAGGCTATAAGTTGTGTAAATAAATCTTACAATAAATAAATATGAGGTAAGGATAGAAGGATAGAGACAGAATTTAACATCTCTCTCTCAATAACTAATAAAAGAAGGCAACCAAAAGACTGGCCAATATTAACAGACTCATTCTAATTGTAATGTACAGAATACTATCAGAATACTACAACTAACAATAATGGAATAAAACTTCATTTCAATAGCATGTGTAAATTTACCAAAACTGATATTAATACATTTTTAAATATTCAAATAAATCAGAGTATATGCTCTTCCCACATTGTAATTAAAATAGAAGTAAATAATGAAATGCTAAATATAATATATCCAACTATTCAGAGAGTAAGGAGGAAGCTTCCAAATAGCTCCTCTGTCAAGGTAGAATTAAAAATGAAAATTAAAAAATATTTTAACTGATGAAATACCTATCAAAATATGGAGTATACAGATAAAGCAAGTACTACTTAGAAGGAATTATATAGAAGGAATATAGAAGAAAAAGAATAAAGATAGAAAATCAATAACCTAAGTTCCCATTTGAAGATTAGGAAAGAGAATGCTGGCCAGGTGCGGTGGTTCACACCTGTAATCCCAGCACTTTGAGAGGCTGAGGTGGGTGGATCACCTGAGGTCAGGAGTTCGAGACCAGCCTGGCCAACATGGTGAAACCTGGTCTCTACTAAAAATATAAAAATTTGCTGGGCATGGTGGCAGGCACCTGTAATCCCAGCTACTCGGGAGGCTGAGGCAGGAGAATCGCTTGAACCCCGGAGGCGGAGGTTGCAGTGAGCCGAGATCGCACCACTGCACTCCAGCCCGGGCAACGGTGCCAGACTCCATCTCAAAAAACAAAAGAGAATGCTAAATCAATTCCAAAGAAAACAAAAGGAAAGGAACCATAGATGTAAGTGAAGAAATCAATCAGTAGAAAACAAACATAATGCGGAAAATCCTCAGAACCAATTGTTTTTTAAAATAAATTATAAAAATAGATAAACCCTAGTGAAAGAAACTTAATTTAAAAAGAGAGAAAGCGTAAATAACATGAGGAATTAAAAACAAGACATCACTACAGATTCCAAAGATATTGTAATGATAAGAGCATTTGAGGGAAAATGGACAAATTTCTTAACAAAACACAACGAATCAAAATGACTGGAAGAATTAAGAAATCTGAAGACTCCTAAATAAGTCAAATTAGTTACTGAAAACCTTCCCCTAAAGAAAACTCCTAAGACATTACGTTAAGTGAAAAAAGCCAGACACAGAAAGATGAATAATACACGATCTCACCTATATATGGAATCTAAAAAAGTTGAATTCATAGAAAGAGAATAGAATGGTGGTTAGTAGGGGCTGGGAGTGGGAGAAATGGGGAGAAGTTGGTCAACAGGTACAAATATTCAGTTATAAGATGATAAGTTCTGAAATTTAATGTACAGCCTTGTGACTATAGTTAACGATAATGTATTGTATACCTGAAATTTGCTTAGAGAATAGATCTCAAGTGTTCTCACCACAAAAATAAACAAAAAAAGGTAACTACATGAGGTGATTGATACGTTAATTAGCTTGATAGTGGTAATCATTTTACAGTGTATCTGTAAATAAAAACATCATGAGGGCAGGGCGTGGTGGCTCACACCTGTAATCCCAGCACTTTAAGGAGGCCGAGACAGGCGGATCACGAGGTCAGGAGATCGAGACCATCCTGGCTAACACAGTGAAACCCTGTCTCTACTAAAAATACAAAAACAAAATTAGCCAGGCGTGGTGGCGGGCGCCTGTAGTCCCAACTACTCGGGAAGCTGAGGCAGGAGAATGGCGTGAACTCGGGAGGCGGAGCGCATTGCAGTGAACCGAGACCGCGCCACTGTACTCCAGCCTGGGCGAAAGAGCGAGGCTCCGTCTCAAAAAAAAAAACAAAAAAACAAAAAAAATCATGTTGTGCAACTTAAATAAATACAGTATTTGTCAATCATGCCTCAAGAAAGCTGAAAAAAAAAAAAAACAACTTCCTGAGACCAAGTTTCACTAATGATTCCTCCAAGTATTAAAAAGTAACAATGCCAATCTTATGAAACTCTTCCAGAAAAGAGAAAAAAAGGAAATACTTATAAATGTGTTTTAGAAGCCTAGTTTAGCTGTGATGTAAAACCTAAAAACGATATATAAGACAAATAAATTATAAACCAACTTCTCTCATGAAACAGAAGTAAAATATCATAAGTGAAATATTAGCAATGTATAAAAGTATAATTCATTGCAACCACAATGAGGTTTACACCAGAAGGTCGAAAGTGTTTGTATGTTCTGGTCACTCAGTGTAATTCACCATATTGTTGGAAAACGAAAAGAAAAATTTTAAGATAATCTCAGCAGTTGAAGAATAATACATTTGATGAAATTCAATAGACAAATATCATGAAAGCTTTTTAACAAACTAGGATTAGAAAGAAATTTCCTTGATTTAATGATGAGTATCTAACATTTTTTTTGCACCAAATACTGAAATATGGAAAGCTTTCTTCAGAACAATGGGAACAAGACAGATTCTCCTGCTAGCACTTCTATTCACCATGTTATAGGAGAGACAGTACAATAAGAATACATTTTTAAAGATTTCTTATAAAAGGAAGAATAAAAAGACATCATTATTCAGAGTTAAGATGATGATGTATACAGAAAATCCTCCCAAAATCTATAGCCAAATATTTAAATTAATAAGTAAATTTGGCAAAATTACTGGATAAATTGCCAGCATATTTTAATAAAAATATTTTTTTACATCTCAAGAACAAATAGAAAGTGAAATTTAAAAATATTATTTACGACAGTATAAAAATAAATACTTAAGAATAAATCAAGCAAGAATAAAGCAAAAGATGTGGAGGACCTCTATAATGAAATGAGAAAACATTATTAAGAGCACTTCTAAATGACCTCAATGTATCTGGAAGGGTACACCATGTTTGTGAATAGGAACGCTCACTATTGTAAATATGTGTATTCTCTCTATATTAATACATAGATTCAGTGCAATTCCAATCTATATCACAGCAGATTTTGTGAAAATTTGCAAACTTAATCATAAAATTTACACGGAAATGCAAAGGCTAAGGATAACCAAGGCAGTTTTGAGGGAGGAAAACAAAACTGAAGGACTTGCATGGTTAAAATAAAAAAAGACAAAGTGACAAGTGCTGGCAAGAATTTAAATAATAGGAACTCACTCTGTTGGTGGGAGTGTAAATTGTAATAGCTTCTTTGCAAAATTGTTTGGCGGTATCTATTAAGTCTGAGTGTATGTATATATATATATTCAGGAATTCAAGTTCTAGGATATGTTTTAGACTACGAATAACTGAAAGGCATACACGTGTTCATCAAAAGATATTTAAAAATTCATAGTGGCACTATCCATAATAGCCTAGACTTGAAATCCCAACGCCCATCAATAGACTATCAGATAGATAAATTGCGATTTATTGATGAAATAAATACTATACAGTTAATGAGTATGAATAAAGTATTGCTACATGCCAAAACATGTCTGGATATAAAAATATAATGTTGAAACAAAAGATCCTAAATATACTATTCTATTCTACCAAGTTATAAGACAGGTAAATTAATACATGGTGTTATAAACCATGATAGTGGTTATTTTCAGGAGTAGATAGAGGAATGGAGCATGAGGAGGGCTTCTTGTGTGCAACTAATGTCTATTTTATGTTTTGATCTGACCACTGGTAGATAATCATTTATTTTCTAAAGCTTAATCTAGCTCTACACATCCTCAATAAAAATGTTATTTAAAAAATTATACATGGTAAATGGGATAGAAAAATCTGTCCTGCAGTAAAATGGACTATTTTGAATTAAAACACTGTGAAAAACATAAGTATCAAGAATGAATGCAATTAAAAGCATCGCTCTCGTTGACCAAGTCCAACTCCATCCAGCCCTAATAAATGTTTCAGTAGCAGAGGTTGACCATAATAAGTACTTTTGCAGGCCCAAAGCCAACCCCAGATAAGCCTCAGTAGGACTTTGTCCAAATTCTTAATTCAAAAATGCAGTATTCATTTTAAAAGCTAATTTTAGTCATCCTGTTAAATCTTTGTTACACTGGGCTGCTCTATTCACTTTTCTCAGTGTTTACTAATCCTTGAAGATAATTGAAAGCAATTTTATAGAAGCATGAAATGAGTTTTCATGGATTTTAATCTACATGAAGTGGCCTTCAAAATTATATTTGATCCTGAGTAGATTATCTGTTTATGTTTTTTTTCACTCTCTCCTATTACCTTACCTTTGCCGAGTCTCATGTTGTTCACAAGAAGAATTTTATTAAGTAATTGTTAAACAACATAAGTGAGAACATACAATTTTTTGTCACCAACTTATTAACTAAAAAGTATGTTATAATGCTTATCCTGAAAAACTACTTCTATTTCTTGATAGACTAACATATGCCACTAATTTGTATAGCACCTGTTATTTTGATTATATAAAAAAAGGATGAATATATTCTTCATGCCAATATTCATATAATACAGAAACATATATATATATATATACACACATGACCATAGATACATGTGATACACATACACATGTAATAACGGCCCCCCCCTCAAATCTAATTTCACTTTCCTCTCCTTGTGTCTTTCTTTGGGCTGAATGACTACACTGTATCATTGCTGAAATGACTGTCTTTAAAAACTTGCAGAATCCTTAAAGCCAGAGTGGTATTTGACATACCAATTTCTATTTCTTATATGAAAAATAAATCTTCTATTTAAAAAAGTCCTATTTTCCACAGGCCTCAAAGTGGCGGTAGTAATAAGGAACATTTATTGTTTCTCCATAAGGACAATTTACTAAGCACTTTCAAAAGCCATCTCGCTTTATCCTCCTAACATCCTGTGTTTTAGGTATGTACTATGTCCAATATGGAAATACCTCCCTGGAGTAGGGAGTAAATACCTAGAATCACAATTATTACGTTGCACATCTGATGCCCGGTAGGGTGGTTCACACTTGTAATCCCAGAACTTTGGGAGGCCAAGGCGGGTGGATTGCTTGAGCTCAGGAGTTTGAGACCAGCCTGGGCAACACAAGAAAACCCCATCTCTACTAAAAATACAAAAACTTAGCTGGGTGTGGTGGCATGCGCCTGTAGTCCCAGCTACTTGGGAGGCTGAGGTGAGAGGATCACTGGAGCTTAGGAGGTCGAGGCTGCAGTGAGACGAGATGACACCACTGCACTCCAGTCTGGGGTCTCAAAAAAAAAATCTGAATTTTGAGTTCATGAAATCTGACTCCAAAATCTCAATTAATCCATGGAACCATTAACTAGTTCTTATCTGAGCCTTAACGAATCTCTCATTGGAACATAATACTGAGAGGGTATTAGGTGATCATATGGTACCTGTGAAGCACTGGGGACCATCAGCTATCTCAAAGTCACAAAGGTACCAGCATATTTCCCAATATGTTTACCAAGCAGTTGATTGCAGTTTAGAAAAAGTTGTCTAAAGAAGCGATGACTTACATTTCATTATGATTAAGTTAACAAAATAAACTGTGAGAGCCTGAGTATATCTGGCTTTAGCCTCTGTGGTAATTATGGATAGCATTCCCAGTTATCACACATTATCTTCATTTTCCTCGCACTACTCCAACTATCCATACTTAGAACACTGTTTAAAATGAGGGATAACAACATGACTTGCTTTGGCTAATGAGATGTGAGCAATGCAATGTGTACAGCTGCTGAGCATCTCTTGGGGCTCCGTTTACCACGATAAAATCCGGAGTTTCCTGCAATGACTCCAGCATCGCGGGGTGACAGGACCTCCTCCACCTGAGGGACCACGTGTGCAGCTGAGTTGGTCCCAGCCCCTGCCAGGCCAGCTTGGCTACAAGTGGTGAACTAGAAATAAAACATGAGCAGCCAAATATTTTACCCCCAAAATCTATTTCTTTGATATATTTTGAAATGCCCCTGCAAAGTTGTCTCTTATGGGGAAAATCTGCATTCTGTAGGGAATCTCCTTCCCTTACCAGGTCTTTTCCTGAGAGTCTGACACCTTTTAAGGTCCAATAAGTGACATTTACCATCTATTCTCTCTGAACTTTGGCTTCCACAACCCCCTTTTATCTTAACCACAGCATTTCTGTCTTCGCCTGTAACTTTTGCTCCCTTAAAATGTATAAAACAAAGCTACAGACCAACTACCTTTGGTTCTCAGAACCTCCTAAGCCTCCTGAGGCCTGTGTCACAGACCACGGTCCTCAGATTTGGCTCAAAACAAAACTCTTCAAGTATTTTAATTAAAAAATAATAAATAAAATGAATGAATCTTGCTTTCATAGAGTTGGTATATGTTATATCTTATTTACTCACAATTTTATGTTAGGTGTTACCCATAATCTTCTTTAATAGTGATGGCTGAGGCCGAGCGTGGTGGCTCACGCCTGTAATCCCAGCACTTTGAGAGACCAAGGCGGTCAGATCACCTGAGGTTGGGAGTTCGAGACCAGCCTGACCAACATGGAGAAACCCAGTCTCTACTAAAAATACAAATAATTCGCTGGGCGTGGTGGCACATGCCTGTAATCCCAGCTACTAGGGAGGCTGAGCCAGGAGAATCACTTGAACCCAGGAGGCAGAGGTTGCAGTGAGCCAAGATCACGCCATTGCACTCCAGCCTGGGGAACAAGAGTGAAACTCCATCTCAAAAAAAAAAAAAAAAAAAAGTAGTAATGGCTGGAAACATAGACAGCACTTACTATACACCAGGCCAGAGTCTAGTCCTCTTAACAACTCTAAGGAAGTAGGTGGTATTATTTTTTTTCCATTTTGCCAATGAGAAAACATGTTCTAGATCATACAGCTAACAAACAGTACAGGTAGGTAGGACTTGAACACAGGCTCTCTGCTCACACAGACATGTGAGAATGTCTTGAGGAAAAATGTGCCTCAGATAAATTAAAAGAATACACAGCTATACAGGGACTGTAGAAAGGCTTGACTGGAGGATCTGACTTCAGGTTCTCTGAGGTTTTGTGAAACTCCCCTATAAAAGGTATTTCCTTAGGTGTTGGTAAACACCTAAAGAAATAAATTTAGAGGAAGTTAATTATTGCAGAAATATTATTATTGCAAGTAATATTATTGCAGAAATAAATTTAGAGGAAGTTAATTATTGCAGAAATATTATTATTGCAAGTAATATTATTGCAGAAATAAATTTAGAGGAAGTTAATTATTGCAGAAATATTATTATTGCAAGTAATATTATTGCAGAAATAAATTTAGAGGAAGTTAATTATTTCTCCCCTTGCCTTCTCTCTCACTCTCTTTCTCCCTTTCCCTCTCTACTCTCTCTATTTTTGTTTTTTGGTCAGGAATTAATCTTCAAACCTGAGATTTTAATTTTCCTTTTGTTTGAACTTCCTAATAAATACTAACAATAAAAAATGTTACTAGCAAAATGACATACCTAATGATATGATGATGCAATGGGTAACTTTTGGAAGACATACTTAACCCTCTCTAATTTGTTACCTGGTTCTAGAAACAACTAAAACTCTGCAAAAGTCTCAGTTAATATCACTTCTTCCTATGCAGCAAAAAATCAGAAGAGTTAAAATTATTAGTTGTAGTTTGTTTGTTTGTTTTTACTTTTCTCTCAATATATATAGAATTATATAGCTGAAAAAAAAACCCAGTCTTTTCTTGATAGATAGTATAACATCTAAATCAATCTAGATTGTTTTCCAGCCTTTTAAAAATACATAACCCACATAAAAACCAACTCAACAATTTATTTATTTTCTTTCTCCACTATTTCCAACATGAATTTCTTCACATAGAAGACTTCTAGGTTTCTACTTCCTGCATTTGCTCAGAAGTTATTTTTGCCCACAATGTTACCTTTGTCATTTCCTTTCTGTCTGCAAAAATTCTCCTGTTCTTAGTGTCCAGTGTGACTTCTGGCTCTCCTTAAACTATTTTGTCTCCATTAGTTTAGTTCATATGATCAGTTCTGTCTTGTTATTCCCAGTAACAGTAGGGGCTGCTTTATATATTTAACAGCTTTTATGTTTGCTTTCCATGCTCAGATTATCTTCTGATGTGTTTTCCTTCATAAGGTGTAAGCTCCTTAAAGAAATGACTTGTTCATGCCTGTAATCCCAGAACTTCGGAGGCCGAGGCGGGCGGATCATGAGGTCAGGAGATCGAGACCATCCTGCCTAACACAGTGAAACCCCGTCTCTACTAAAAATACAAAAAAAAAAATAGCCGGGCGTGGTGGCAGGCGCCTGTAGTCCCAGCTACTCGGGAGGCTGAGGCAGGAGAATGGCATGAACCTGGGAGGTGGAGGTTGCAGTGAGCTGAGATCGCGCCACTGCACTCCAGCCTGGGCGACAGAGTGAGACTCCGTCTCAAAAAAAAAAAAAAAAAAATGACTTGTGCTTTCATATATAAGAAAGAATCTACTGCAGGACTGTGAATGCAATGTGTAAATGAATGCTTTTTGAGTCAACTGTACACAGTGATATCTTATAATCAAAAGTTGCTTCTAAGTGATTGTTGTATACCATAAAATATTACAGCGTTGATTCAAGCAAACAACTGACCCTTTGTTAACCATTGATGATATCACCAATGCTTCTTTTATGGCTTTTTTAATATGAAAATCCTGAGATGCAGGACATGCTTTATCTTTTCTCCTACCAGTACATCAAAAGTTCCCCTGTTCCTTTCTCAACATGGATCCCATCTACCCTCTGAAGGGGCCACCATCCCTACTTTTTTAATGATTAGTTTTTTCTCTTGCCATTTTGTAACCTATATTTCCATTTTGAAACATGTTCGGTATGATTTCAATCTTTTTTTTTAATTATACTTTAAGTTTTAGGGTACATGTGCACAACATGCAGGTTTGCTACATATGTATACATGTGCCATGTTGGTGTGCTGTACCCATTAAATGACGATTTCAGCCTTATAAAATTTGTGGAAGCTCGATTTATATATTCAGTTTTGAAAAAATGTTCCATGTTCATTTAAAAGAATATTTTTTTCTGTAGTAGTTGCGCACCATATCATTTACATGCCATTTATACATACTCAACCAAGTTTGTGAATCACAGTTTTTCTCTAAAGTTTCTGTCAATTACTCAGGGGGACAGGTTAAAAATCTTTTGCCATCATTATGATCATGGGTTTATCTTTGTTTCTTCTTTCAGTGGTTCTCTTTCTCTCTCCCTCTCTCTCTCTCTCTCTCTCTCTCTCTCTCTCTCTTCCCTTTCCCCCCTCTGTCTCTCTCTTCTTTCTCTCTTGGCCAAACCCGTTAATGGTAATTTTTCTTTGAAGACTCTATCAATTACCCAAATAGATTAGTTAAAAATCTGCCACTATAATCATGATTGTGAATAAAAGGGAAAAAACAATTTTGAAATACAGAGCATGTACCACAAATTATGTAACTTGTGGAGCAGGGTCAGAGCAGCATCCTGTGTTGAAACACATTAATATTCTACAGCAAAGCCACCACTATTCATATGAAATGAAATAAATAAAGACTATAAATGACATTACATAATTTCAGCTCGGGTTTTGGCAGCAAATTTGCAAGTCTTTCAATTTTCAGAGCTTTGTGAATTTCATCATTGTAGAAGAGAGATTTTATATGTGTATTCTGAGGGAATGTGACATGCAGTATAAATGATGTTATCTTTCAGCAAGTGGGCATACAGTTCTGTTCTTCATCTCAAGGAATGTCTTTCCCTCTGAAGTCTAATTTTCTAATATCAATGTAGCTTATATCAATGTATATTGTCATTGCAGCAGCAAATCAATGTATATGTGATAGTCTACTCATATAAGGACTATTGATAGTCTATAAAACTGTAGTTGGTATTTATGTGGTGTATCTTTTATACATATTTTAGATATGTCTTCTATAACAGTATATAACTAAATTTTTAAAAGTCTAGTCTGGAAATATTTGCATTATAGTACTCTGTTCCTTTATATTTAATGTAATTGCCATATTGCATTTAATAAAATGTTTAAATATATTATTATGTCTTGTATTTTTGTATCAACTTCCTATTTTTTATGCTTTCTCTCTATTCTTAACTTTTTTGATTAATTTGTATCCTTTTGTGCTTTCTCTTTCTTAATTTGGAAGTTATTTCCTTTCCTATTACTTGTTAACCTTAGCAATATACTGACTTGTCAAAATCTAAAATTAATTAATACTTTTAATCTCCAACTAGATAACAACAAGAACCTTAAAACAATATACCTCCATGCATCCCCCCGGTTTATATGTTATTTTGGCTGTCATAGTTTCTATCTCTTCTAAAACAATTTGGGATATGATGATTTTTGCAGTTTTATAGTCAGTTATTGTTCAGATTCCCCCATGTGCTTACTACTCTTTCTGTTTATTCTCTTCGGCATTTTGCATCTTTAGTCTTTTTATTTCTAAAAGTTCCATTTGGCTCCTTTTCAAATCTGTTACATTGCTTTATACAGCTTTCTGTTTCCTTGAAGTTTCTTTAAACCCTTAAAGCCTAGCGCTCTTTAAAATATAGAAGTATAGTTGATTTACAATCTGCCTAATAATTTTAACATATAAAGTCTTTGTTCTATTTTTTTCAAAAAAAATTTCTCTTATATTGCCTTGTATTCTTGCGTGTTTATTGTTGACTCTTCTGCATATTTTTCCAGGAAATCTGTGGAATTTATTTAAGACCTTGAACAAAGGTACACTCCTACAGATGAGTTTTACTTTTGATTTTAAAAGGCATTTAGAAAATGCCTAAAATGTCTTAAAATTGAAGTTAAGGTTGAGTATACTTGGACTCTCCAGGCATGTGAAAGGGCAGCCTGGGTTACAAGTCCTGCAGAGTGTTCTTTAACTCTGGCAGCAAGGCAGCCTCTGGGCAGCCTCCGAGGCGTGGGCACTTGGGGTGCATTTACTTTGAGTTCCCATTTTCCCTGAAGCTCTGGCTTTGGGGAAATCCTTCCTTCAGAGGAGCCACTTTTCCTATTTAGATTGAACATGATGGTAGGCTCTTGGTTTAGACTCATTCCCTTTGCCCCAAGAGACCTTCAAAACAAAAACGTAGGCTCAGCTATATTAGCAAATGCTCTCGGGTTAAGGCTGTTTAAGCACTCAGCTTGTTTCTTTGGGGCTTTGCATTCACTTAAATTACGAACCTCATAGTTTTTAACAAATCCATCGGCTCCTCAGTATCTTAAAAATATATTTTTAAAATTGCATATACATTTTAAGTATGACTCCTCATGACTTTTACAACCATATATTTAATGCGAATATGTATTCATTTATTAACAAATTTGTATAAGCACTTACTGGTATGGGACAGATATGCTTAAACTTACTAATAAGAGAAAAAAAACAATGTTTGTGAAAATACTGGGGGTGTCATTTTGCTATTCCATAGAGGTATTTTTTGGTAGGTCAATCTGTTATGGGGAAATCTAATGCCAAGGAAATGGTTTGTTCCATATCTTTCCAGAGCACGATCGTGTGTCTTCAAGACTTCACATGTTCCATGATCAATCTATTACCACATTAAAAATACTCCAACACTTTCATCCTGGTGAATTAGTCAATAAGGGTTCCTTTCTTTTAGTATTCAGAACTCCCCTCCTCTTTGCAAGAGATCTACAAAGCTTGCCCAGGAGCCATGCTGACCTTTGCTGTTGGTCAAGGTCCTCCAGGGCGTACTGCATTCTCAGGGCTTTGTCTCTCTTGAGTCAATGAGGCCCCTAAAACGTGGGTTTAAGAAGGCACAGAGCCACTGTCACAAAAAAATGAGGCCAGACTGCAACAGTTCTCGAAAGATCTTCTGAAAACCTGGGAATACTGTGTGAAAAGCACAATTCAGAGAAGAAGAAAAAATTCTTTTTCAGGTGTCACTTTTTCCAAAATCCAATAAAAGACCAATTCCCAGGTAATTCCCCCATAGGCTACTCCCTCATTAGGTCAGAAGTGTTGGGACTATTCTTCTTCTAACCTGAGTCCTCTCTCTCATTTCTCCCCAGAGTCTCATAGCCTCAACTTCCTTCTACTGGCCCCATTATATATATATACATAAAATAAATTATATAACATTATCATAATTTATCTGGAGCCAGTGCTTTACTGACCTTCAAAATAGCCTTTTATAATATTATTTTTTTAAAAAAGCAGTATAGCCATTGTTGAAAAACTTTAGACAAATTAAATTAAACAAAGCTTACTTGAGCAAAGAATAAGTCATGAACCAGGTAGCACTCAGAGCCAGAAGAGGTTCAGAGAACTCCCATCTGCAACAGTGATCTATTTACATTCAGAGTATTTACAGACAGAGTAAGGAAGTAAAGTACAAAAATAACTTGAGTGGTTACAGCCATGCATTTGCCTTATTTGGAAATGGTCTGATTAGTTGGCTGCCTGTGATTGGCTGAAGCTTGGCTGCTCATGATTGGCCAAGACTTGGCTGTTTGTTATACTCCTGAGTTAGGTTGTTAGTTTGTGTATCTACTAAGTTAGGTTGTAGTTTGTAATGTAGGCACTCAAAGTGCAAAGACAGCCTCAGGCCAATGGCCTCCTGCTTGTGTAATTTACCATTATTTTGTCTCAGCCTCTCCCTTCATGAGTAGACTTAGTGCCTTAATTTTACACAAAGAAGGGCCCTCCAAACTGCCCCCACTGCACCAAATAAAAAGACAAGTCTTCGCAAAAAGGTCAGTTATTGCCATCCCACAAAGCACAAACTATACAATCTATTGGCAACACTGCCCATCCAGTGTGGCCCTGACTTTGGTTACTTACATTTCTGTACATTAGAGAAATATCTAACCCACTGCCAAAGCGTTATGCACCAGTTCACTTCCTTTGCCCTGGCCCTCACTATTCCTCTGCTTTTATGTTTTGTTATGTCACTTATTGTTATCTGGTGTCCTTATTTATCAAAGGCCTCTCCCCACTAGCTTGTAAATGCTTCTATGATGGGGTGTTACAGAGAGAATTGTGTTCCCTGCAGAAATTCGTATGTTGAAGTCCTATTCCTCAGTATCTCAGAATGGAACTGCTCAATATAGACACACACGGAGGGAAGATGATGTGAAGACTCAGGGAGAAGATGGCCATCTACTAGCCAAGGAAACAGGCCTGGAACAGTCCTTTCCTTTCAATCTTCAGAAAGAACCAAGAGGCTGACATCCTGATCTCAGACTTGAGAACTGGGAGGTAATACATTTCTCTCTTTTAAGCCACCCAGTCATTGGCACTTTTTTATGGTAGCCTTAGCAAATTAATACACAGGAGATTTTTGTTTTATTTGTTTCAGCATCCTCATGGTTTGGAAAAAAAGAAATAAAGGGAAAAAATAAAATAAGTAAAAAGAAAATAATAAAGATGTGGTAAAATCAATGAAATTTAATGATTAAATACCAATAAATGTTTATTATAACAGCTAAAACAAGTCAAGTTTATGGCAAGATTGATGAAGAATAAAAAAGAGAATAAGAAATCAGACAGGCTATGAATTATTGGATGATAACAGAGTTCTACTAACTAAACACAATGAATATAAAACACCCTGTAAACTATCCCCTTTGGAGTGTTCGTTGCTGACTGCTATTTAAATTCGTATAGACTTAATGACACAGGAAAATTTGCAAGACTTTAAAATTTCAAACCCTAAATGCAAACATTTATGCAAAAGATTAAAGAATACATCCCCTAAGTTTTTTTCTTGCAGAGTAACATTTTGAATAATTTCTTCAAGTTTTCTGCAATAAGCATGAATTTATCTTATGATGAGGAAAAACTCATAAAATGTACTTTTAAAAATAAACACAGAAAATGCATAGAAAGAGATTCTGCAAAATCAGAGTGCAGAAGTAGATTAGAACATCCTTCCTACAAAATATTTATGAGGTCATGTGGTAGGTAAATAATTTTTTGAATTAAAAAAATTTGGACATTGACGAATCATTATCACAAAAGCAAATGCAAGACTTAGAATGTCTATGAAGTACTGAACACAGAGGTAGCAGTGTATTGTACTTTTTGACTTATCTGGAAATTATTTTTCAGAAATTCAGTATTGAAGAGTAGTTAATAACATTTAACATGTGAGAACATTTACTATTTCTAACCAAAATTATTCTATTTCTGTAAAAAAAAGTTACATATTTTAGTCAACTCCTTGGAAATTAGCTTTTCTGTAATATCATCTATTGAGCTAATAAGAAAAGAGAGAAATATTCCACTGAAATTACCCCCAAAAAAGTCTGGTGACTATATACTCAGTGAGAGAGAAGGGTATCACAAAAAACTATATTTTATTTCCAAATATCTGAAAAAATGCCTGGCAGTCTTCAACATCATTTAAATACAAAATGGCTTGGTTGTCGTATATTGTGAATAAATATAAGTACTGAAAGAAAAATTTATGATGGGAAACTGCAATGGTAAATGCATCAAATAGATCTGAAAGACCCAATGAGTAAATGAAACTTAGAAGGGAAGAAGTATTTGCTCAACTGACATTAAAACACCTTCCATATGAGAATAACAATTTTCTCCAAATGCTTTCCAAATGAGATTTTGTCACCACTCTTAAGTTTGGCTGAAGAAATCAAAGTCATGAGGTCACATGAGATCAAACGAAATGAAAAGTTTAATTAATCATTTTATGAATTAAATCAATGAAGAAAACCAAACTGGAAGATAAATTGTCTTTTGTTTTTGCCAGTAGCAGGTTCTTAAGAGCCTGAATAATTCAGGTGATAGCCTGACATGTTTTATTAATTAATTTTTTACCTTTTTATTATATGATATATCAATCATTGTTAGATATCATCACAAGTTTCCCTCTTCTCTCACATTCTCCTGTCCTTTCTATTTTTTGAAAGCACTAAACACTGACATGTTATGTATCTGAGTATTTTACTATCTTCCCCCACTACAATATGAGTTCTATGTGAGAATAAAAGCTAGAATATAGAAGTATGTGTAATTATTGGAAAAACGTTCTCAATTAAAGATGTGTTTTAGGACTTCATGTGTTTAAAGTTAGTGCCTAAATCCAACAGAGTAGAGGAATTTTATAACTGATTAGAAGTACTATGGAATCCCCACATTTGATAAGTGCCATTAAAAAGGCAAAGATATTAGTTTTTAAAAAAACCTCATTAAAAAGCGGGCAAAGGACATGGAGACACTTCTCAAAAGAAGACATTTATGCGGCCAACAAACATGAACAAAAGCTCAACATCACCAATCATTAGAGAAATGCAAATCAAAACCACAATGAGATACCACCTCATGCCAGTCAGAATAGCTATTATTAAAAAGTCAAGAAACAATAGATGCTGGCAAGGCTGTGGAGAAACAGGAATGCTTTCACACTGCTGGTGGGAATGTAAATTTGTTCAACCATTGTGGAAGACAGTGTGGTGATTCCTCAAAGACCTAGAGCCAGAAATGCCATTTGACCCAGCAATCCCATTACTGGGCACATACCCAAGGGAATAGAAATCATTCTATTATAAAGACATGTGTGTTTGTTACAGCACTATTCACAATAGCAAAGACATGGAATCAACCCAAATGCCCATCAATGATAGACTGAATAAAGAAAATGTGGTACATATACACCATGGAATACTATGCAGCCATAAAAAGGAAGAAGATTATGTCCTTTGCAGGGATACGGATGGAGCTGGAAGCCATTATCCTCAGCAAACTAATATGGCAACAGAAAACCAAATACCGTATGCTCTCGCTTATAAGTGGGAGCTGAACAATGAGAACGTATGGATACAGGGAGGGGAACAACACACACTGGGGGCTGGTGGGGGTATTGGGGGTGGGGGGAGGAACAGCATCAGGATAAATAGCCAATGCATGCTGGGCTTAATACCTAGGTGACTTGTTGACAGGTGCAGCAAAAAACTCTGGCACACGTTTACCTATGTAACAAACCTGCACATCCTGAACATGTATCCGAGAACTTAAAGTAAAATACCATATATTTCAATATTTAAAATTTCATGTTGTCCTAACAACGACAACAAAAATCTCTAGATGATACTGTTAACTGTGTTGCTTATTTAACCTAACCAAAAATTAAGTTTTGAAATGGGAATAATATAAATTGACATTTTTACTTGCAATAGCAAGAGTTTTTTGAGGGCTCATCTCCTAAGTCTGTAATGCAGGTACCTGCAGATCCCAGGATAGGAGCCCACTGAGAACCTAGAATGAATTTTTTAAAGCACATAACAATAATACCCTTTGGAAAATATTTAGACTGACACCTCTGGTCTCAGCATTGCAAAAGACTTTTCTTTCCCTGGAAGCAACATCCTTTTATTTGCATGATTCTTTTGAGAGACTTTCTTGCTTTAATTGACTAATTAAGTTAAAGGCCACAGTATAGTGCTAGAAGTATTTTCCTCTAAAAGGAGCACTTTGGCCTTTAAGTGTTTCAAAGAATGGCCTCCTTCACCACAAGTGCCATAGGGCTTGGCACCTCTGTCCACATGCATACCGTTTCTTTGAGTCTAAAAGGGAAGAGGGAGATAGAAAGAAAAAATCTGCCAGTCTTTCCTGCCTCCCAACTTACTCATTTCCAACGAATGCCTTAGTGACTGGCTGCTAAGTGGGCGAATCCCAGCAAACCACATTCTGCTATGTGTGGAAACAGTTCAAAAGTTTCAGTCGTTCGGTCCAACCAGTGGATGGTCTTTTCCTGTAAACGTGGCCCAAAGACGTTTATATGAAGTTGTAGGTGGACTTGACCTTAGTCAGGCTTAGAGGAAAAGGCAGTCTTCCAAGAATTCTAGAACTCAGTGCTTCACATCCAGTTAGAAAGAACCCATAAACAGCTGTACAGAGGCCATGTGGTCCTCTCCCAGCTGAAAACCCTTAAAAACAGCAAACTAAGTAAATGGCTGTGGTATTTATTTATGCTGTTTATCACTCTGGTAGAATGTGGACTAGGATAGTAGCCTGGGAGATTATCTTGTGGCGATGATGCAATTATAGCCCAGTGCTGCACAGCTGATAAGGTGACCTACAACGTCCTCCCCGAGATGAGGGGTTTTGAGATTGCAGAAGCCAGTCTGTTCTGAACGCTGGTGCCTACTGTAACGGGAAAGACCCCTCACCCACTATCGCCAATGCACGGCAATTCTCTGATGGTGCCTTTTCTTGCTTAAAACTACTGTTTTAATGTTTTGATGGGTGTGACCTTTGTAGACAGTAAGTAAAGTCTTTCTCGTGCTGTGACTGGTACTTGTTCAGGAAAGTTGCAGAGGCCACAGGACAGAAGCTGAAGCCAGGAGTTCATGGCCAAAGCATCCATGAGCTCTCTGGCTATGGCTGGCATATCGCTGAACACCAATTTTTGCTCTACTTGACCCTTTTGGAAAATCAAACTCACAATCACTTTCTTCCAGGAAGGATTGAACAGAAACTTATTTTTAAATCTTTGATGGTAAAACTAAGCAATAAAAGATTTCTCCGAGCAATTATTGCAAATGCTTGACTATATTTCTCATTGTTTCCTGATTCTTTCCCTACCATCAATGACAAATTATGACATCTCCACTCATACCTCTCTCTTTTCCATTTTCATTGCCATCATCCTTACTCAGAGCCTCACTATCTATTCCCTAAAATCACTGCAGTAGTTTAGTCAATTTTCCTTTCAATTTATGCTAAACACCACAGCAAGATTAATTTTTCTAAAGTATACTATTGATCTAAAAAAAAAACAAACCACCAACTGATAGATGTCTGCTGCCTATCAAATTGAGTGAGATGCCTTAGTTGTGTACTAAACACTTCAATGTGTCAACCCTTTGAGCCCCAACTTTTTAAATATCCATTATCCTTTCTCCCATATATCAGTCTTAACTCCAGTTTTGGGGAGATGCCTGTGCTTTGGGTTCAGCTTAGATTAGATCATCAGGTTTTAGAAAACAGCTGAAGACTTTGAGCAAGAGAATGATGTGGTCATAGAAATGTTTCGGGTGGGTCTGGGTTATGGCTTTGGAGGGTGACTGAGCAGGGTAAAAGCCACTGCCTGTGTCTGGGCAGGCAAGGATGAGGGCTTACACCAGACAGCTGAAGGAGGCATGCAGAAGGCGGCGATGAGCTCAGGCACCAAAAGAAAGGATTTCTAGAAAGGACAATATTTGATAAGGTGGAATGAATTAAAAATAAGAGAAAAAGACAACTTCCAGATTCCACATTCAATTTGAGCTATCTTTTAAGACTGTTTCTGTAACAGGCCTTATAAGTGAAGCATGAGGTGGTAAGTCAATGACCTTCAGTTTAAAATGGCATATGTATTATTTCATTTCAAACACCACTCAGATTAACATGACTCGTTTTTCCACTAATTCCCTACTCCCAGCATTTATCATCTTTTTAACCACAGGCCTATCAAATAATCGGATTGTCTTCCTCAGAATATTTTTAGTACCTCTGTCAGTATATGGCAAATCATCAACATGGTGAGTTTGCAGTTAACCATTATTTTAATTGCTATGTACTTTCTGACTGTGGAGCACAGACGAAAATATATTCACTGTGAGGTCATTTAAAGCAATATTTTAACACACAATTCCTTTAAACAGACACAGAATGATCTGCGATATCTGCAGGAACACTAAACATGGTATAGCTATGCTATGCTACATGATTAGTAGCACTGGCTGTACCCGTGCTCAACAAACGTTTGTTGACGTTTTCTTCAAATTCTAAGATATTCTTCAATGTTGTCAAGTTGAAAATACAATGGTACTATTAGAGAAAAACAGGTGCAATAGTTACCGCTACCACCCCAGAAAGGGAAATTGATATAGCACTTTCTAACTTGTTTGGACCATTGCTTTATTTATAAAAATATGTGTGGGCAGTTTGTTGTTAAATTCTTTGAAACCTTTATTTAGAAAAAAAAATGACATAAAAGCTTTTTTGCTTGTTGGGAAACAGAAGGGTTAGGAAAATGTTAGGCTGTGACTTGCTCCTTGAGTGAACGTGGTTCTCATTAACTCACAGGAATCAGAAAGTAAAGAACACCAGAGGCTAGGAACTCTACAGTGAAAATGCTGAATATCTGATGAAATGTGTCTTACAAATAAAATCTCAGACTCTTTTCAGAGCTCTTAATACACTCTCAAGGGTGAAATGTGTTTGTTTTTAGCAAAGTAGATTAGCTTACATCTTGTGATGGGAAAAGTCTGTGTAATGCTCGTGTCCTTTAGCTCTCATTTCGGAGCAGTTCGTTCGGGTTGTATCTTTTGGCCATAGTTGTGGATCTCAATTTTCTACCCTGTCTGGGTGTTAAATCGTTTTCTGTCTGCTGTCAAGCTGTCTCTTTTAGTTCCCATACCCTCCTCCTCTTTTTGTAAGGTACTTACTTATTTCTAAGGTCAGGTGGAATTCAACTTTAGTTTTCTTTCTTTATCATGCACTTCAAAATCTAGCATTGCTTCATATATCTGACTGCCAAATATGGCCAGTTTTAACCAGAATATAAATTACTGGACTCTAAACATTTGTACAAATTTTGTACAAACCACATGTTCAGTGGGACTGGCTCTTTTAGAGCCCAAAGAAGGTGGAATAGGCATTTGAGCAACAGACAGGTTTTGAACAATAACTATTCCCAGTAGTTGAATGATGTGGAGAACAAGCCAACATGAACCACCACCATTGTCTGTACCATCTTTTACGATACTTCTATGCTTTCAAAAACCCGGAGTGAGGTACCATTCCCAAGCCAGCAGGCCACCTCCATCAACCCTCCTGGATTGATTCCCCCACTAAGCCGGGGCGACCAGGCCTTCTTTTATTCTTTCTCATGGCAAATAGTCCAACAGATGTTTCCTAGAGGGCTGTAGTGGCAGGGAGATTGATTTCTTGGCTTTCTGGGGTGTTAATATAGTATCTTGAAAATTATGTCATGTGGATTACAGTCCTTACTCTTGTCTAAAAGAAACTTTACACGTGTTTGGAAGAGGATACATGTCTATATGGAATTACTTTGGCAATGGCCTTTATTTCGGCTTCCAAATCAAGGAGGGCAACTTCAAATACCAAAAGACAGCTTCAGCATGATTCAGAACCCAAGTGCAAGATCTCCATCACAAAGCAATGTTATGCAGCTCATCACAGATATGTACTATAATGAATTCTGGCAGGCACACTATTATTGTCTCCTGATGAAAAGTATGACAGTTTATCAAGACTATTTTGAATTCTAATCCTGTTCTCCAACCAGCTTGCCTAGCTTCCACATGTTGGTAATAATAGCTAACACTGATATAGCAATTTATTCTATACCAGGCACACTTAAAAACAGTTTACATATATCAATTAATTTAATTTATTTCTCACAACCACCCTATGATGTAAATATTATTATGACTTCGCGTTAAAGATGGGGAACTGATACACAGAGGAGTTAAGTAACTTGCCCCATATCCAATAGCTAGTGAGTGCTAGAATCAGGATTTGAACCCATTAGTCTCAGTATGAGATGTAACTACTTCATTCCCTTCTTCAGCCCCATTCAAAATTGGTAAGTCATTAATGTAAAATCTTTAAAAAACAAACAGTTTCAGAATGAATTCCAACAAAACAGTCTTGATTTTTACTTCATTCACTCATGGTTATTAAGCAGTGAAGTCAAATTAAGATTTTTTTGCTAAGGCAATCTATGGGGGAAATGTTACAGAGTGGGACTCTGAGGAGCACAAGCCCAGAGCCAGAGAGGCCATTTGGGGGGCTATTGCAATGGAGATAAGAGTTGTAAGGGCCTGGAGCTGGGCAACAGGACTGTAGTGGTAAAATTCGTATTACGGTCAGGAGTTACAACCAGCATTTGGTGCTTCATCTCTGCTTCACCACTTATCAGCATGGTGTTCCTGGGAAAGCTTCTCAGCTTCTTTGTGCCTCAATGTCTTTATCTGTGAAATGGTAATAAAAGTCATATCTGGCTCATAGAATAATTTTGAGAATTAAATGAATTAACATATATAGAACACTTAGAACAGTGGCTGGCATGTTGTAGTCACTCTGTGACTGAATATAATTACTACTACTATTATTAAGTACATATGGGCATGAAAGATAAAAACAGGCAAAATTGCTCCCAATTTCTAACTTGAGTGACTCTGGAAATAATGGCATCATTGACTGAAAATAAGAATAGATTAAAAAAAAGAGGCAGGAGAAAACATTAACCATATAGTAGAAAAGATGCCTTATTGATGGAACAAGATCCTAAAAGAAACCAGGGAGAAAAGGGTCAAGAGGAGGAGAGCTTGGTCTTGAGATGACAAGGGCTAAATGAGATAATAATGGATGCAGCTGTAACTACCTTCGCTTCAGAGAAAGGGGAGCTTGGGAATTGTTCGTGTCGTCAGGCCTCAGTTCCCTGGATGAATGTTCCTGAATGGGATACAATGAAATGGCAAGAATGCAAGAGAGTTCAATGAGAAAGCATCCAACCACCAGCTGTACTCAGTCTAGAAGGAAGAAAGTGAATGAGGCTCGGTGTATACTCATAGACTAACAGAGCAGGGGTAATTGAGGAATCAAGGAACTGAAGGACTCCAAGTAACAGGGAGCAGGTATGGTGAACCTTAAAATATGAGAAAGATAGGAGGATGAGCAGTAGTGATGGGAGAGTTTAAATTTTTTGTGGTATTGAGTCAGAGTAGGAAGTTGAAGTATGCTGAAGGTCAATAGAACTGACAGTGTCAAAAAACCTTGAGGCAGAAATGTTGGCTAGATTGGCCCCATGTGTGTTGAAATTGTTCAGTTTGAAGGCACAACATGGGCTGTAGAGGATGACTGTGAGCTGGGTGCTAATGTCATCAGTACTTGCAGGAGAATCATCACAGTGTGGGTTGTTTCATTATAACAATAAGAATAGCTAAAGGTGAGAACATTGGGTGGCATGAACTAAGAAGGAAAGCAGCTCGGCATAAAGACACAAGAAAAATTCTTTATAAGTGGCATCAAATAGTCCAAGGAAGACCAATCCCTCTTGCAGGCTTTGAGTAGACCAGAAAAACCTTCCTTTCTGAGAGTAACAGAAAAGGAAAAAATTCAGCACAGAGCCAGGATTTCTTTAAGAGTTGGAGGGAACATCTGTGAAAGGTTGGTGGTGCGAGAGGAATTTATACCACCTCTGAAAGGGAGCTCTCAGAGGACACAGGTGATGGATAAAAAATTAGGAAAAGTGGGGAGGGGAGACGAAAAGAATCAAAGCAGTGTGAGGAAAAAATGTAGTTGAACATTGAGTGGGGCGTGGGGGAGCAGAGGGAGTACCATGGCCAAGAGTCAGAGTGTGCACGTCATGTTCAAAAGCTTCCAGAGCTGCACTCTGGCCTCAGCACGGAGAACAAGGCCAGAGCAGCAGGAGAAGACGATATGGCTACAGAGCTCATTAATTAATCTGAATATCTAGATTGCTTGCAGCTGAGTAGATAGAGCGCATGAGACAGGTTACAGGTTAGTCTCACCTATAATCAAAGTACAGCAGCTCTTCATTAAACAAAAAAGGGAATCAGAGACCCAGTTATCAAGTGTGTTCAAATATACCATGGCATCATTAAGAACCAATTAGATTAATTTTGCAGCTCATTGCCAACATCTGGTATCCACATTCTAATGTGGTGTCAACAAGCCGTGGAACACTGGAGTAGAAGTAATGGTAAAGCAATTTAAGTCATCGGACTTGGAGTCAGAAACTGAACAAGTCAGCTGGAGATAATGGAAACTGATAATAAAATCTTGGTGGAAAAGAAACAAGAAACGCATTACTTTGCCTTTTCAAAGAGTTTGCATGGACACTGTTTATTTTTCTCCCTAATTTTCCATTTGGCATGGTCTAATGCATAAATTAGAAATTAGTCTGTTATTAGTTACTGTTTTAATTGGAAAAAATACTTTGGCTTTGCAATTTCTTAGAATGAAAAAACTTAAATACTCATGGTTTTTGATGATGTTTAAATGTTAAACTTCCAGTCTCATCTTTTTGTTTTATCAGCAAAAAATACCTAAACTGCCACTTTTCTTCAGGAAAACATTTTTTTCACAGCTCAAAAACACTTGCTGCATGTATGTAAAAAGCTTTTAGAATTAGTCATAAAGTTAAAACTTCATACCTCAAATTCCAATCTAGCCATATTGAAATATATTTATAATCATTTTTACACAATTCAATAGTAGAGCTACCATTTTTTCCATGAAGGTCTTCTCAATAGTGTAATAGTCATCATATCATGAGAATTGAGAATGAGAAATAACTATGCCTAGAATTGGGGCTTAAGTGAAACAACTTTTTACAGGATTAAAATGCAATACGTTCAGGGAAATGAACAAACAAGAAAGAGACTAGGGAATTTACAGTTGGCTGCCATGATCAGAAAAGGGATCTGGTAACATTTTTTCTTTGCTTTTACCACTAAATCCCTGAAGGAAGTATTTGATGCTTTGGATTTGTAGACATGATCTCAATTTTAAACTATTCTAGAACCCATTCGGCTGATCATAAACTACAGGGGTAAGCAGTATTCATGTTTACCTAGGAATAGGAGAATTTATCTTCGAATTATTGTGGGAATGAGAAATGGAGATTTTTTCCACTCTATGACCCTGTGTGGTATTTTGTGGGCCACCAGGTATGAAACAAAATAAACTGTATCTTTTCCCCAATGTCTTAAGACTATTACTACCTTTCTTTAATCTTTAAAGGGAGAGAAGACAGAGATAACCAGCTATACACAACACACACTTTGACCAAATAAAATCATGTTTTAAAAATGTTATCATTTGAATGTCATAAAGTTAACTGGGAACCTTGATGTAAAAATAGCAAAACAACACCTTTTATTATCTTTACTATTTTGTCTGATAGGCAACAGGATCATTGTCTAAAATGAAAAATTTCCACTGGAATTTGGTATGGGGGTGAGGGGAAGTGGCAGACTTTTGAATTTGAAAGTAGGGTACACTGGAAAGTTTTAGGTCAAAGACTGACCCAAATTGTTCCATTATATGTGAAGGATAAATATGGTTTTAGAAATTGTTGCGCTGGATTCCAAGTGACATTTTGAAATACGGATATAATGAGGAAAAAGTGTATCTCTCTCACCAAAAGATGATTTTGATACATAAATGAAAGAGAGTTTGTCTGCTGTTACCAACCTTCTCCAAAACTTGAGTCCAATTGCCCAGTTTACTGAATGTTCCCCTCTCTGATTTGCTCTCAGTTGAGCTCACCATTTCTTTGCTTTCCCAGGCACCATACTCTTGTCTTCCCGGATGCCTCTCTCCCAGGCCTTCCCTCCTAGCTTAGCAAACTTATCTATAACCAGTCATTTATTTTGAATACTTCATTCTGTTTTTGGTAGTCCCCCATTTCCCCATACTGGTATTCTCAAAAGTGAATTTCCATTCATCTCACCATGCCCATGTTTTTAAGAGTACCAGTATCCTAGTAATAGGGAAAATAAATTTCTAAAAATGCTGTGCATTATATAGGAATATTCTAGATTTTTTTGAGACAGAGCTCACTCTGTCACCCAGGCTGGAGTGCAGTGGCATGATCTCGGTCACTGCAACCTCCACCTACCAGGTTCAAGTGATTCTCCTGCCTCAGTCTCCCAAGTAGCTGGGATTACAGGCGTGCACCACCATGCCAAGCTAATTTTTGTATTTTTAGTAGAGACGAGGTTGCACCATGTTGACCAGGCTCATCTTGAAATCCTGACCTCAGATGATTCTCCTGCCTTAGCCTCCCAGAGTGCTGGGATTACAGGCATAAGCCACCGTGCCAGGCCTATTATAGATTTAAATACACTCAAAGTGTTTGAGGCATTGTAGTCCCTCCAATTATCTTCCCTCCTCAAAATGTGTGGGCATTGTGCCCACTGAGTCACCATCACTCCAGGACAAGCAATCTCAGACTGAAGATGCTAAGGCTTTCTTCAACCTCAAGGTAAATGAGCCAAGACCTCTGTCAACTATTCTGCATCCAGCAGTCTCCAGTAGACCATTAGGACAAAATCCATGAGGGTCTGCATCCCTCTTCATGAGTCCATTCTGTAATGTTCTGCACTTCCTGACTTGTGACCTAGACCTCCAGTCCTCACTGCCCAAACACTTCGAATACAGCTTTGGGAACTGCCTTTGGATAACCAATGACCTACCATCTATATGCACGCTCTTCTTAGAGATTTCCTTGATCTCCTTGACTTAACTTCAGCCTTTCACTGAGGAAAGTATTTCTCTGTACCTCTCCTCTAGTACATCAGTTTATTCTCTCACAACTCAATATTCCAAGAAAAGAAGGTCAAGTAGGTGTTCTTTTTGCCTCTCACTGATGCTTCCAGCTGTTTTCCCACTAAGCACAATCTTTGGGCATTTGTACCACTTTACCACTCTCCTTCCCCTCCTCACAAATGCTACCTACCAAACTCTGGGCCTTTCCTTTCCTTCATCTGAGACATTGGAAAATGTCTCATAGCCTTACTCTCCATCCTAAATCCTGCTACTATGCTGTGTGAGATTACAGTATCCCCTTCATAGCTCATCAAACATTTCTTTCATGGATGATGAACCTTTCTCCTCTTTGCTAGATTCGTTAGCTACTCTATTATGAGCCTTCTTTAAATACCGTACATAGTCATCTCGAATTGAATGAGGCAATCTAACAGTTTAGTTGAAAGTATAGATTGTATAGGAAGAGAGATTTGGTTTGGAATCCTGACATAACAATGATTACTTGTTATCATTTGGAAAAATTACCTAACCATCCTCATTTTTTCCACTTCTAAATTGGAGGGGGTCTTACCTACCTAAAATGAGTGACAGATGATTGAATGAGGTAATGCATAAAACTTCTTGACATGTCATTCATTCATTCATTCACTTCTTCAATACCCCCCAATTTGTTGAATACTGAGTATATATTGCACTGGGCAGAAGAAAACCCTCAGGCAGCAAATATGAGGCAGGCCCTTCACTAAAAAGCGTATTGAATAATATATGATTATTTTCATATATATATATGATTATTTAATCATATATGTGATTATATATGTATATACATAGAATTATATGTATATACATATATATGTATATACATATGAATATATATGTATATACATATGAATATATGTATATATGTATATATTATATATGATTATTTTCATATATTATTATTGAATATTGAATATTATTGAATTATTGAATATTATTGAATTATTATTGAATATGATTATTTAATAATATTGAATAATAATGAATATACATATTCATTATGAATAATATATATTATGATTAATATTATTCATTATGAATAATAAATATTATGAATTAATATTATTATTCATTATTATGAATAATATATATATGAATAATATATATAATAATGAATATATATATTCATTAATCACATAATCAATTTAAGAAGTGTGCAATTAAAAACTACTTAAGGACTCTAAAGAAAAGGAAAGATGGGCTTAATAGGCAGGTGGCAAGAAAGCTGACCTAAACTGGCTATTCACAAGGGCTTTACCAAACAGGACATCTGAGCCAAGATCTGAAGACATAATAGGCACTAGCTTGATAAAGAGCTTTACTTTTTTGTTTGTTTGTTTGTTTTAAAATGATTTTACTTTTTAGAGCAGATTTAGGTTAACAGCAACATTGAGAGAAGGTACAGAGATTTCCCATATACTCCCTGCCCCTACACATGTACAGCCCTCCCCATTATCAACCTCCTCCATCAGAGTGGTACATTTGTTACAACTGATGAAACAAGCATCGCTGACACATCATAATCACCCAAAGTCCACAGTTTACATTGGTTCACTCTTGGTGGTGTACATTGTATATATGAGTTTGGACAAATGTGTAATGACATGTACCCACCATTATAGTATCCCACAGAGTAGTTTCACTGCCCTAGAAATTCTCTGTGTTTTGCCTCTTCATCCTTCTCCTCCAACCCCCAAACGCTAACAGCCACTAATCTTTTTACTGTCTCCATAGTTTCAGCTTTTCCAGAATGTCATTACAGTTGGAATCATATAGTATATAGCCTCTACAAACTGGATTCTTTCACTTAGTAATATGCATTCAAAGTTCCTTCATGTCTTTTCATGGTTTGATAGCTCATTTCTTTTCACAGTGCTGAATGATATGCCATTGTTTGGATGTAGACACCTAACTAAAGGGCATCTAGTGGCTTCCAAGTTTTTGGCAATTGTGAATAAGGCTGCTATAAATACCCTTGTATAAGTTTTTGTGTGAACAAAAGTTTTCAACTCTTTGGGTAAATATCAGGAGCACAACTGCTGAATCCTTTGGTAAAGAATATGTTTAGTTTTGTAAAAAACTGACAAACTGTCTTCTAAAGTTACTTTATCATTTTGCATTTCTATCAGCAATGAAGAGGGTTCCTGTTGCTTTACATCACCACCAGTACTTGACATTGTCAATGTTCTGAATTTTGACCATTCTAATAGGTATCTTATTGTCGTTGTAATTTGCCTTTCCCTGATGACATATGACGTGGAACATCTTTTCATATGCTTATTTGCCATCTGTATATCTTCTTTCATAATGGGTCTTTTAAGGTCTCTGATCCAAGTTTTAATTAGGTTGTTTTCTTATTTATGAGTTTTAAGAGTTCTTCGTACATTTTGGGTAATATTCCCTTATCAAACATACAAGGGTATCTGGGTTTTCTCCTATGTCACCTTCCAGAAGTTTTATAGTTTTGTGTTTTACATTTAGGTCTGTGATTCATTTTGAGTTAATAGTTGTGAACAGTATAAGATCCATGTCTAGATTTTTGTGCATGGATGTCCAGCTGTTTCAGCACCATTTGTTGAAAAGACTATCTTTGTTCCATTGTATTTTTTGCCTTTACTCTTTTATCAAAAATCAGTTAACTATATATTTATGTAGGTATACTTATGGGATCTCTATTTTGTTCCATTCATCTATTGGTCTGTCCTTTTGATATTACCACACTGTCTTGATTACTGTGGCTTTATAGTAAGTCTTGAGGTTGAGTAATGTCAGTATTCCAACTTTGTTTTTCTATTTTAACACTGTATTGGCTATTCTGGGTCTTTGCCTATTACTACAGACTGTAGAATCAGGTTTTCAATATCCACAAACTATTTTGTTAGAATATTTATTGGGATTGCATTGAATCTATTGATGAGGTTGGGAAGAACTGTTATCTTGACAATATTGAGTCTTCCTATTCATGACCATGGAATATCTCTTCATTTTTTAACTTCTTTGATTTCCTTTATCAGAGTTTTGTAGTTTTCCTCATATATATCTATTTTTTGCACTTTTATGTGTGATCTTATTTTTGAATGTATTTTGTTAACAATTGACTTTTGTATATTAACATTGTATTCTGAAGCCTTACTCTAATAGTTTATTAGTTCCAAAAGGGTTTTGGTTTATTCTTTTATATTTTCTACATACATGATCACGTTATATGTGAACAAACACAATTTTAGTTATTTTTCCCAATCTGTATACCTTTTATTTCTATTTCTTCTCATACTGAATTACCTAGAATTTTCAGTATGATGTCAAAAAGGAGTCAAGAGAGGGGACATCTTTGCATTTTTCCTGATCTTAGTGGGAAAGTTTTTAGTTTTTCACCATTACAAATGGTGTTAGCTATAAGTTCTTTTGTAGATATTCGTTATCCAGTTGAGAAAGTTGTCATTGATTCCCAGTTTTCTGAGAGTTTTTGTCATGAATAGGTACTTGATTTTGTCATCTTTAAATTTATTGATATTATCATGATTTTTCTTTTTTATCCTATTGATGTGATTGATTACATTAACTAATTTTTGAGTGCTGAGCCAGCCTTGCACACCTGGAATAAACCCCACTTGGTCACGGTGGATAAATCTTTTTATACATTTTTGGATCAAATTTGCTAATATTTTGTAGAAGATTTTTGTATCAATATTCATGAGAGATCTTGTTCTGTAGTTTTTGCTTCTTGTAATGTCTTTTGCTGGTTTTGGTATTAGGTTAAGGCTGGCTTCATGGAATGAGGTAGGAAGTATTCCCTCTGCTTTTATTTCTAGAAGAGATTGTAGAAAAATGGCATAATTTCTTTCTTAAACATTTAGTAGAATTCATCAGGGAACACATCTAAGCCTGCTGCTTCCTATTTTGAAATGTAATTAATTATTGATTCAATTTATTTAATAGATATAGACTTATTCAGATTGACTATTTCTTCTTGTGTAAGATTTGGCAGATTGTGTCCTCAAGGAATTGGTCTATTTTACCTGTTATTTAACTCACAGACATAGAGTTGTTCATACTGTCCTTTTTTATTCTTTTAATGTCCATGGGATCTGTGATGATGCTCCCTCTTTCACTTAGATTTTAGTAATTTGTATCCTTTCTCTCATTTTTTCAAATTAGCCTGGCTAGAGGATGTCAATTTTATTATTCTTTTCAAAGAATCAGCCATTAGTTTTGTTGGTTTTCTCTATTGATTTTTCTCTTCTTTACTTTATTGATTGCTCCTCTAATTCATCTACTTATTTATTTTTCTGCTTATTTTGAAGTAAGTTTTTACTTCTTTTTTAAGTTTCCTAAGGTGGAAACTTAAATTATTGATTTCAGACATTTCTTGTCATCTAATATACGCATTCACATGCTACAAAATTCCTTCCAAGCCCTATCTCTGCAGCATTCCACAAATTTTGGCATGTGTTCTTATCTTCATTTAGTTCAAAATATTTTTAAATTTTTCTTGATATTTCTTCTTTAACCATGTGTTATTTAGAAGTAGATTGTATTTTTCCTCCCCGTTTTAGGTAGAACGGAATGGGTGGGGTTGGACAGATTGGGTATTTTCCTTCTCCTACATGGAAGGCTAGAGTTGGCTAGGGTTGGGTATTTTTCTCCCATCATCTAAGCTCAGACAGTACTCTGGCAAGTCAGGCTCTTGTTAACAAGTTTCTCCTGAGACCAGGTATTGTTATGAAGAACAGGGTGCACTAGCATATTTCAAGATGGTTGTTTTTTTTCTTCCCCTGCTGGAAGCATGAGGGGATTTTTTTCTCAGATACTTACCATGAGAACCTGGTTGAGCTCCTGGAGGTAAAATTCACAAAAGTGTGAATGGCCTCTATGACTGAGTCCCGCTGGACTTTTTAACTCTCAGATTTGCCCACATCTAGTCTCCAGTAATTCATTAATTATGCCTCAGTTATTTTTGACCCCAGCACTGGTTTCCACTCATGACTGACTATTCTGGTATGCCAGAATTTCATACATTTCCCTATCTCACCAATGTTAGGGTCAGAGGTTTGTTGTGTGTCCTCATGTTTTTTGGATCCACAAAAAGTTATTGACTTTTTTCAGTGTGTTTAGCTTTTTATTTATTGTTAGGATACAGTGGTGAGTTCCAAGCTCCTTACCTGCAAAACTGAAAATCAGAAGTCTTCTTTTGTTTTGTTTTGTGGCAGGAGAGGGAGAAAAATTTTCAGGTAGAGGAAATAGTATGTGCAAAGACCTTATTATGGAAGCAATTATGTTGGATTTTGAGGATGGAGAGCATGACAGTGTAGCTCAGATAGTGAGGAAAAGATCAGGGACAGATGTGATAAGAGAAGTTAATAGAAACCAGAACATTGAGGCACTTTTACACTGTATTAAAGATTTTTTTAATATTGTGAGAACAATTGGAAGATATTGAAATGTTTTAGGGAGACAGGTATCGCCATGTTTTTATTTTTTAAAATTTACTTTATGGAGAAATCAACTACACTTATCTACCTTTGCAATAAATAATCTAAAAGTGAAATTAACATAGTTCTGTTTACAATAATATAAAAAATACTTAAGAACAAATTTAGCAAATACAGTGGAACACTTATACTCTGCAAACTTCAAAACATAGTTGTAAGTAATTAAAGAAGACCTAAATAAACGGAAAGCCATCCCATGTTCATGGATCAGAAGATGTAATACTGTTATTATAGCAATAGTTCCCAAATGACATAAAGATAAAGATTCAACACAATTTCTATCAAACTCCCAGCTGGTTTCGTTGCGGAAATTGAAAAGCTAGTACTAAAATTCATATGGAAATTCATGGTAATAGTCAAAATAATCTTGAAAAAAGAAAAAGTTGTAGGACTGACACCAGTTTCAAAAACTATTACAATTCTACAGTAATCAAGACAGTAGTGAAGACTGGCATAAAGACAGTCATATACAGATTAATGGAATAGAAATAAGAGTCCAGAAATAAAAACTCTTGAGTGACATCAGTGAAAATGGTGAAGGAGTGAATTCCAATTCTGCTCCTCCACAAAACTAATAAATAAACCAGAATAAACTGTCAGGATCAAATTTTTCAAAATTTTAAAAAATAATCAAAGCTTACAGCATCCATAATTTGGCTTCATTAAGAAAATCCAGTGGACCTTGTGAGGGAGTTTTGTGGTGTTTTAAATTACTCTGGTTTCATCCTACACTCCCCAGCTCAGCAGCAGTTTTGAAGAAAACATCTGCATCATTCATACAGTTACCTAGTATCACAGAGAACAGAACAAATCTTATTTTCAGAGAATTATAGTTGCTTGTTTCACTCATAACTCTCCAGTGACTGAAGTGATTACCACAGGTGTGCTTTAATATTTAAAATCAAATGTATTAGTTACTTCCACCTGAGACAAAGGAAAACAGTTTAACAATAAACTAACTAAAATGCTTTGTAGGAAAAATAGGAGTGAATCTGATTTTCATAGTTGCCATATTATACAATTGAAATGTACAGTCTCCAAAAAAAATTACAAGGTATGCAAAGAAACAATAAGCCATGGCCTATATGCAAGAAAGAAAAGAAATGAATAGAAACTGTTTTTGAGGAATTAGACAATAACTTTACATTAACCATTTAAAATATTCTAAAAGAGCTGAAAGACATCATGTAAAGATAAAGGAACACTGAGAATCATATCTTACCAAACAAAGAATATCAGTAAAGGAATAGAAATGACAAACAGGAACCAAATAGAAATACTAGAGTTGAAAAGTACCTTAATTGAAATGAAAAATTTACAGAGAATGCAATGGCTAGTTCAGCAGGCAGAAGAAAGAATCAGCAAACTTGAGTTAGATAAATTGAGATGATCAGTCTGAAGAAAAGAAAAACAATGTATGAAGATAAATTAACAGTCTCAGAGGCTTGTGAATCACCTTCAAACATACCAACATATACACAATGAGAGTCTCAGAAGAAGAAAAGCGAAGAAAACAAAGAATGTTTGATAAAAGCATGGCTGAAAAGTTCCAAAATTGGGTAAAACACATTAATGTACACATCCAAGAACCTCACTGAACTCAAAGTAGTATAAATAAAAGATATTAACATCAACACATATAACCAAACTGTAGAATTCCAAAGACAAATAGAGAATCTCAAAAGTAGTAAAAGAGAAGTGACCTATCATGTATGTATACAAGACTCTCAATAAGACTGACAGCTAATTTCTCATCAGAAACCATAAAGGTCAGAAGGTGGTGTAATTAGGTATTTAAAGTGCTGAATCAGTAAAAAAATTGTCAATCAAGAATTCTATATCCAGCAAAACTATGTTTCAAAAATTAAAGATAAATTATGTTGATCCAGAATTCTATATCCAGCAAAACTATCCTTCAAAAATCAAGGAGAAATTAATGCATTCCCAGGTAAACAAAAACTGCGTGAGAGATTATTGTAGAGTTTTCTTCAAGGGCTAGCAGACCTTCCCTAGAAGAAATTCCAATGAGAGTTTTTCTGGTGTAAACAGAAGGAAAGTAGTAACTCTAATCCACATGAAGAAATTAAAAATACCAGTAAAGGTAACTATATAGGTAAATGTAGAAGTCAATATTAATGCATTCTTTTGTTTATCCCTTATCATTTTGCTATATTATTTAAGACACAATTGTGTTAAACAATAATTACAAATCTATGTTGATGGACATACAATTCATAAAGATGTCATTTGTAACAATAACAGGATAAGAAGGGAGTGGTATCAGAGCTATATAAAACCAAAGTTTCAGGATAATATGGAACCTAATTTGGTGTTAATTTGAACTAGATTAGTATATGTTAAGATGTTATTATTAAGAAAATAACTAAAAACAGATAATAAATAAAACAAGAAGGGAATCAAATGGCACACTAGAATATATCTATTTAACATAAAAGAAACCAATCATGGAAGAACTGAGGAATAAAAAAGGCAAGAGACATATAGAAAACAAATAGCAAAATGACAGAAGTAAACTGCTGATTTTCACCATTTACATTAAATGTGAATGTACTGAACTCTCCAATAAAAAGGCAGAGATTGGAAGAATGAATTAAAAAGTGATCAAACTGTATGCTGTCTACAAGAGACTTCAGATCCAAAGATACAAGTAGATTGCCATTAAAGGATGAAAAGACATATCAATCTTAAATATTTATGGTCATTTTATTTTTGACAATGTTTCTGGGATAATTTATTGGGAAAAATAAGAGTCTTTGCCATAAATGGTGCTGAGATAACTGAATATCCACTTGCAAAAAAATAAAGTTTAATCCCTATCTTACACCATAAATAAAAATTCTCTACAAATTTATCAAATTTGCTTGAGCCCAGGAGATAAAGGCTGCAAGTGAGCCACGATTCTGTCAATGCATTCCAGTCCGGGTAATAGAGTGAGAATTTGTCTCAAAGGAAAAAAAAGAGTAATTCCACGGGTAAAATCACAAACATTTAGGATGATGGATTGGATATAATTGTGTAGGAAGCAAAATGTCCATAGAGTATAAGCTCTATGAAGGAAACACTTTGATGTATGTTGTTCATTACTGTAACCCTCTAAACAGAACAATTCATGGTTGACAGAAGGTATTCAATAAATATTTGTTAAATAAATGCATAAATGGCTTCTATATTTCTTCAGTGCTCAACAACATAGATAGTGGTGCAATTCCAAAACTTTCCAGCTGAATTTATAAGAAAAGATACATATCAAATACCAAAAACCTTTGAATTGGCATGTACCATGTATAGTGTATGTAGGGTAGTGTCTTCCTACTGATAACAGTGAACAGCACTGGTTTCAAGTGTGGGGTTGAACACACTTTTCTTTGACATATTGAATTTGAGATGCCTTTGAGATATCCAAGAAGAAATCTTCAGTACACAGTTGGAGATATTGGTCTCAAACAAATGAATGTCCAAGGCTGGCTATTCAAATTTGATAATCAAGATTGTGCATGCTTAAGTCCAAAAGATATGTACATATAAAGAAATAAACAATACCCAGGACTGGACCAAGATAAATTCCAAACATTTAGCTTCCAGAAGAACAGAATGAGATGGTGAAGAAAAAACTAGAAATGATCAGAGAGGCGGAAGATTAGCAAATTATAATGTCACAGAGGACAAGAGACAAACATTTCTGAAGATTTGAGAGTTGGTCAAGTGTTATGTTGCTAAGAGATTAAGCAAAAAGATTTTTAAAAATATACCATTAGATTTAGTAGTGTGCAGGTTATTAATGTTTGTAGAGCTGTATAGATAGGATGATGAGGAAATAAGCTAGCCCTAAGTAGATTATAGAATAAGCATGAGGAAAAAACTAGAGAATACAATAGACAGCTTTCTTAAGAACATCTGTTGCATTAAAGTTAGTGCTTATTACATGATCCATGTAACACATTACAAAATATCGAAATAATCAGTGGATTTATTTCAGATGCATAGTCTCTGCCCTGATGCAGCTTACATATAAATGTGGATGTTTATGTGCATATGCATGTGGAATCTTAAATTGCAGGGCAATACTTTCTTTTATTTTCTAAAATGTATTAAGTGATGGAATAATATTAATAATTACTAAATAATTAATAACAATAGTTATTAAGTTATTCCATCACTTAATACATTTTAGAAAATAAAATAAATATAATTTATTTAAAATTTTACTTATGTTTTATCATTTAAAAAGCATATACATTTATATTATAGTAAATCTTTGGAACAAGGAAGATAAATTGATGAAGGGAGGATAATAGACAAGAACGGCATTGTTGAAGAGTCCAAGGAGAACAAAAGGAAATGTAGTTTGCGTATGGGAGACCTCTTGTCAAAGGGTTACAACCTTGAAGGTAAACTTAACCATGTATTTGTTAATTCTTTTCATTGACATCCAGGTGCTTAGAATTAATTCTTGGACATCAATATAACTTTTCTTAGATATATTTTTTTCCCATTTATTTTACTTTATTTTTAAATGTTTAAAAAATTTTAATAGCGTTTGGGGCACAAGTGGTTTTTGGTTATATGGACAAATTATATAGTGGTGAAATCTGAGATTTTAGTGCACCCTTCACCAGGGTACTGTACATTGTACCCAATATGTCATTTTTTAATCCTTTATCCACTTCCCATCCTCCCCACTCTGAGTCTCCAAGGTCTATTATACCACTCTGTATGCCTCTGCATACCCATAGCTTAGCTCCCTCTTATAAGTGAGAATATGCAGTATTTGGTTTTCCATTCCTGAGTTACTTCACTTAGAACATTGGCCTCCAGCACCATCCAAGTTGCAGGAAAGGATGTTATCTCATTTTTTTTAATGGCTGAGCAGTATTCCATGGTGTATATATAATATTTTCTTTATCCACTCTTTGGTCAACAGACACTTACGCTGGGTCCATATCTTTGCAATTGTCAATTGGACTGTAATAAACAATATGCATGCAGATGTCTTTTTCAGATAGTGATATCTTTTTCTTTGGGTTAGATACCCAGTAGTGAGATTGCTGGATTGAATGGTAAATTCTTTAAGAAATCTCCATGCCGTTTTCATTGTGGTTTCAATTTGCATTTCCCTAATGAAGTGGTGTTGGACTTTTCCTTCATGTTTGTTGGCCAATTTGTATAACTTCTTTTGAAAAATGTTTATTTATGTCATTTTCCCACTTTTCAATGGTTATTATTTTTTTCTTGCTGATTTATTTCAGTTTCTTATAGATTCTGAGTATTAGTCCATTGTTGGGTACAGAGTTTGCAAATATTTTCTTCCATTCTGTGGGTTGTCTGTTTACCCTGATAATTATTTCTTTTGCTGATCTGAAGCTTTTTAGTTTAATTAAGTCACACTTATTCATTTTTCTTTCTGTTGCACTTCGTTTTGGGGCCTTCATCATACATTCTTTGCTTAGGCCAATGTCCAGAAGAGTTTTTCCTAGGTTTTCTTCCCAGCCTATGCTGGGACTTTCTTTGAAGGAGGAAAGCAACAATTATCCTACATTTTAGTAAACACAGGCATTTGTTTTCTGAAAACTACTTTATTTCTCTTTCATTTATGAAACATAGTTTTCCTGGATACAAAATTGTTGGCAGACAGTTATTCTGTTTAAGATAGGACCCCAATCCCTTCTGGCTAATAAGGTTTCTGCTAAAGATAGGACCCAAATTGCTTCTGGCTTGTAAGTTTTCTGCTGAGCTTAGATTATATTTTTACATAGAATTCACATAGTGTCTAAAACTCCAACAGCACTTTGCATGATAGTGCTCTACAGATCAAGCATGGTAAATTTGAGTTCCTAAACTCCAAAGCCTTCAGGGCCTTGGACTATAAAACACTAGGGTTTCTGGTACCAGAGACAGCATATTCACCTAAAAGCATTCAAACTCAAAGCTTTTTAAAGTACTTTATTAGCTCAAGAAAACATGGCTGCCAGTTTTCAAACACTAGTTTAGAGCCTCCTGTCTTCTGAAGAAATATTAATAGAATCTGAACCAAAGAATTGACCCTCTCTTTGTATTCTTTCAATACCGTAATACTACTACCTGCTCATTCCACCTTTTGCCACTGCTTTGCTCCTCATAGATAATGCACTATATTCCTAAATGACTTTACCCTCTCTTTTCTTCCCCAGGAAACTCTCAGTCCCTCAGTGCAATAATGTAAATTAACTATTAAAGATAAATGTGAGCTAACGAAATAAAAATCTATGATATTGGTAATTATCTATAACTATAACCTATAATTTTCCGAGGAGGTTTTTCATTAAAATGCATAGAAGTTACATCAAAATGCAACTTCTACGACTCTTTATGGGGACTTTCCTTAAGGAATTAGTTCTATCGAAGGTGCATAAGCATCTGTTACTTTGGCTTTGATAAGTTCATTCCTGCATGTAATGATAAAACTGGGTATCTTTATGGTTCTCATTCTATGAACAAAATTATACATAAAATACTCTACTACCAAAGAAACCATTATAATAGGTTGCACTTACACAAAAATGCCTCAGGACAAACTTTTGAATGCTGATCTGTTGGATATTTTATCACGAAACTGAAGTGCTTTGGTCGTCAATATAGTAAGAGCAAAATCAAGAACTGAAACAGAGTTAAATGTACTAGAGATACAGCAATTCTCCCTGAGCCTTCCAAGACAGCCCTCACTAACCTGGGGTTATATAATGAGTTCAAATAAGTCCAAACATGTCCGCTTTACATGATAACTTATTCATGGAAAAGTGAGCAAGTACAGAATGACATGAGACATTCAGACCACTGCTGCCATTGAAATAAATATCTGTCAGTTATTGGCAATGGCTTTTAAAAACAAGCTGCATTTTACATGTCTTGGTGTATTAAAGATCACATCACAGCCAACATATTATCAAAGCTCAAAAACAAAGAAATGTACAGCACACTTGCCAAGACCTTTTCTCAGATTTTTATTGCTGACAATACAGCTAGTGTTGTGTGAAGCATGTTAGTTGGCCAATTCACAAATACCATGCTTTGTTCTCTGTCTAAACCTGCTCCTGCATGACTTCAGGACTAATGCTATTTATTTTTGTTGTTGTTATTCAACACAATTTGGCAGAAATGCACAAATTCTGTAATCATTTAGTCAGTCTCTGAAATGCTTGTGAAATTCTTCCAGAATGGCAAGAAAAAATAACATTTCTGTGCAAAGATTAAAACACCTAAGTGACACATAGTTGACCTTGACAGTTTCTATTGTGAAGAAAGTTGTTGTGGATGAATCAGAGACATAAGGTCTTACCTAGACACAGGTACATGAGTAAACAAAGGAGTATGAGATGCTGGAGGTCAGGAAATGCTCATGATAGAATTAAATTCCTTCACAAATTATGGTTTGAGCAATCATTGTGTCTGATGTTCTGTGTTTGATTCTGAGTACACTTACAAAGATCTATGAAACAAAAGGCCTTTCCTGAGAGGGTTATACTAGCAATGGATGACTCAAATTGAGACCTTGCTCAAAAGGAGGACAGATAGAGTGGAATCCAGTTCACTTAGGGTCTAGTTCAGTCTCTGACTCTAATTTGTGATCTTTCACAAGCCTCTTTAATTTATGCCTCTATTCCTCACCTTTAGTACCTTTAAAACCAAATTAGCCAGTAATCTTTAAATTAAGCTGAACGGTGAACTGAGGTTCCCTTATGTGAAAGAACCTGGCTCAGTTAGGTCCAAGATTCCATTACCAGTCTTCCAAGTGACCCATTTCCTTTTAATCTGCCATGGATGTCCAATATTTATGTAGAGTTTCCAGCTGTCTAATTATAAAACTCAGGTTACGGTAGCTTTTATTCAAGCATATAGCATTCGATGGATAAAGCTGCTTTCCAAATACATCTAGTTTTTAAAATTTCTTCAAATAGTGTGATAAATGATCTCTCTGCAGCAAGACCTTAAAGCCTCAAAGCTAATTTTTTATCAAAAAATATATTGTCATTATTCCATTTAAGGTTGCAGAAAAATTACTATATCGTGGCACTCAAGATCTAGAAAAAGTACTCAGTAAACTCTACAGGTAATGACCCACAGTATCTGACATTCGTGTGGGTGCAACACCAAAGCTTCTACTCCATTTGCATGACTGGGCCATCTAGTACAGAGAGGCATGACATTAGCTGGAAATGTGATCTAGGAATACATGTTAGGTGTGATTAGCAGCTGTGCTCTCAACTTCCCAGCAAAGCAGCTTGAAAGACACACTGCAAATATACATTTCATTTCCAACATCTCTCACTGTAAATGAGGGCCAACAACCAAATGGTGTGCCAGAATCTAAGAGAAATTCTCAGCTACTAAAATATAGAGGGTGCTAACATACCTTCCTGCCAGAAACCAGAGGAATCATGCTGCCAGAATGTAGGCTGTCAGCCCCATAGTTCACAAATGTGAGAGAGGCACTGTGATTGTCGCTTTGCTGTGGGTTGCAAATCTGGGCTAGGGGAGGCAGGGGAGGCCTCCAGAGTACCAAAATTCTTCTATTTGCACCAGTACTTTTCCTCCTATATTCATTCAAGTCTGTGGCTCTGCAACTGAGGGCAGAGGAAATGGATTCATAATGAGGCACTGCATTTTGGAAGGTGTTGTCTCTAACAATAAAATACTGCAAACAAAAATGAAGACAGAAAAATCCCTAATAGCAGTGCATTCCATGTTGGCCTTTACAGAAAAGGTTTCCCAACTCCAAGTGTACATTACTATTGACAGAGATTTGAGAAGGGCTCTCTACAGAATGAGATAGTAAGGCAGGGAGAGTGAACGAAAAGCAGGGCAGGAGCAAACTGGGAGATTTAGGACCCGAATGACAACAAAAGCAAACATCATCTGCTCTGTAATTTCGCCAAAACCCACTTCGCAAATATACATCACCTGATGTTTTGTTTATAGTCCTTCTAATGCCTTTTCCTGATTCACCTTCATTTTAAGATATAAAATAATGCAGCGTTGTTCTAGCCTCCAAATGCAGCAATCTTTATTTTTTCTTTTTTGAGTTGGTGGCCTAGGCAAGAGTCCCCATGCAAATGACAGATGGGAGGAATACTCAGATCGCCATAGTTCCCTTTCAATTTCAGGTAACAATCCAGAGAAAGTATGTCTGACCAACCAACGCAAATCCTACAGGGGAACAGTGCTGTTTGTATATTTGTTTTTCTCCTTAGTTGAAAGAAAGATCACTAACAATTCTTTTTCACATGAGTGAGATTGTTTCTAATAATTGGGCCATGCTAAAAAAAATGATTTTGAGACAAATAAAATAGTTAAGTCATAAGGTTGGATTGTAAAACAATATCACCAAGATAAAAGAAAAGGGCTGTTTATATAGAAAACAGGCTGGGTATTTTCAATGAGAAAAAGACAACAGCATTCAAGAGGATTTTAATATGCCTCCAAAGGCAATGTACCAAAAAATGTATTATTTTTTTTTAATCCTTTCATGTACTCTTCTCAACATCGAAGCCTTAGGCTCCCAAAGGTCGCATGCAATCTGATTAAGTGGAAACAAAGAAAGGGAAAAGGTCACCTACAGAGTTCACAGAAAGTTTCTATGCTAAACGGGCCACTGAACAGCGAAGACTTGTTAAAAGGGCTGCCCAGTTTGGGTCCTTTTCTAGGTGCTTAATTTGAAATCTTAAAATCTATTAGCCCCGTTAAAATCACCACGTGTTCAAGGATCTTTGTAGCAGGACTCGCTGATGCAAAACGAGCACAAGAGTCAAGGAATCAACCCTTTCAGTGGGGTAGTAATGAGGCTGCTTGAGGTGTTGGTGCCTCACATTCAGAAATCTTGATGGGGAGTTAGGTGAGCTCACAGCCAGCCAAAATGCTTTTAGCAATCATGTAAAGGATCACAGAAGTGAAAGATGAAAATATGATAGTGATTTTCAAACTTTATTTTTAAAAATAAAATATACAGAACAGCATTTATTCACCATTCATTCCAACAAATGTTTACTGAGCATCTACTCTGCACAAAGAACAGGGTGGTACATCAGTAAGGTTCCTGTCTTCTGGAAATTAATATCCAAACAAGCAAGTTATTGTGAAATAAAGAGAAGTGGGAGATCTCCTTACCTGCTCTGATTCCAAGATAGACTTTAAAATATATTTGAGCAACCCTTGGGTTTCATGTCACACTTCAAAAAATACGTCTAGAGCATAAATGCTAGACCACTGCTAAAATAAAATTAGAAAAAAAAAAGTGATTACTAATGGTAAGAGAGTACTATCAGGAGCACAGAAAAAGGAGAACATGCTCTTAATATTTGTAATTATGTATATGCACTTCTTCTACGGATACAAACTTTGAGGTTAATTGAAGACCCAGCAACAATAATGAGCTGAGAGAAGCCAGTGATGTAGCAAATGGTGCAGGGCATTTTTGATGTTTTACCACATGGATGGTATTTCCTTTACAATTCACTCTGGCTTAAGCTTAAAAGCCTACTGTGTTTTTAAAAATGTTCAAGACAGTCAGTGAAGGTGTTGGACTGAATTTCAGTTCTTACATACCACTAACTTTTGTGATCTGTATTCCTAGTTTCCATGATCCAAGTAGGCAAGACAGGTTTTTATTTGCGTTCATCTGGACAATGTGTGTGTTTTAAAATTTCCATACCTCGACCACTGCTTGTGAACTGTGAAGTGTCTGGAAGCTCAAACAGTACCTGTATCTACAGAAGATCTGTGCTTCTAGTTGGAAATGAAGAAAAGCTTCCAATAAAGACCAGAGGGTAAATTGGGTGATTTTGAAACTTAACAGGTCTTCTTATTGCAAACTCCTTGGGAAAGGAAGGAGCTGAGAAAGTGGAGAAATGGGGGAAGGGCAAAATTAGGGAAAGAGAAGGAGGTAGAAGGTAAACTTACTCGAATTCTGCAAGATCAGAATATATAAAGTGAACCTAGTCACTACAGGCGTTGCTCAAATTCCATTCTGAGACTTAGTCACTAATATTCGGCATTTTTTGTGATTATTTTATAGACATGATGTCATTGTTTCAGTGTTTTACTAATCACCAATGACACAACTGCCAGAGAGCACAGTTATAATGTCATGATGTTATGAGTGGAAAATGTTGAATTGTGGTGGGCGGGGAGGGGAGTGGTTCAGATGACGGTCAAAGTATCTGGCGTGGACTTTCTTGGTGAACCAAATCTAGACTTTTGGGGGGTTCTATGTCCTAGAAGCATATTTAAGAACTCACTGTTTTATAGCTTTAAAAATACCCATAAAATTTAAAGATTCTGAAATGGGAATCTTGGGGAACATGAATAAAACCCAGACATTCCAACAAAAACAACCTTCTTCTTTTGGACAAGTCCAGGTTTAGACATTCCTGGAGTTTATTACCACAAAGCAGATCAAGCTGGCAAATGTACCAACAGGCCCCTCGGTCCTTCTGCGCAGTGTCCTCTCACAGCTGCTCCCACAAACACACTTCCCCAGGGATGATGAATGTGCCCTCTGCCAAGGGAAGAACCAGGCAAATGCAGATGTTTCTCCATGAAGAGGCGACATGCATTATGCATTTGTGATCTGGGCTCAAACTGCAGCTGCCAGTGTGGCATGATGCATGGAGTCAGACTCTAGGAGTGTTCTTGGCTGGGCCATCGGGAAGGGGACCAAGGGACCAGGGATATATAAACCTCAAGCCCTTATTGTGGATTTTTGCTTAGTCCTTACTCTTTTCTCTTCCTTTGCTCCACACCCCAGTTCTGTTTCCAACTTATCGCCCTCACCTTATTTCATCTTCTCCCTTAGCTGAGCTAATTATGAGCTTGATCAAGGACAGATGTTTACTCCTCCCTGGGAGAAAGGCAATTCGGACTCACTTCTCTGCGAATTTCCAAATGGGACTTACTTAAATTAATTTACATTTGGAACAGTAGGGAAACTAACAACAAATCATAGACCCTAAAGAAAAATAATACCTTGGGCCGGGCGCAGCGGCTCAAGCCTGTAATCCCAGCACTTTGGGAGGCTGAGGCGGGCGGATCACAAGGTCAGGAGATCGAGACCATCCTGGCTAACACGGTGAAACCCTGTCTCTACAAAAAATACAAAAAATTAGCCGGGCGTGGTGGCGGGCACCTGTAGTCCCAGCTACTCGGGAGGCTGAGGCAGGAGAATGGCGTGAACCCGGGAGGTGGAGGTTGCAGTGAGCCGAGATTGCGCCACTGCACTCCAGCCTGGGCGACAGAGCGAGACTCCGTCTCAAAAAAAAAAAAAAAAAAAAGTATACCTTCAACTGTTACATGAAAAGAACCACAAAGAGCCATCTAGCAGTTTTCTTTGTTTCTTCCAGTTTTTCTGAGTCCTAGCACTGGAAATCATGAGGATATTTATTTATACTGCACATCCTGTGAGTTCTTCAGCAGTAAGGGGCAGAATAAATGAAAGAGTACTATGGACTGAAGGGGTTCCGTGACTGAGAAATAAGCTGTTCCGATAAACTGAGTATTGTCTTTACTGGAGAAATGTAAGCAGTAATTACTCAAAGTTATTCTCTGAAATAAGAAGAACTACTAATATAGAGAGATTTATGCCTCGGGAAACTCCTTCTTTCAGATGTGTGTAATTGGGATAGCAGGTACATGGTGTTACATTTGGTGTGATGTGTACTTGGAAATAAAAGGATTTAAACTCTCTCAGCCTGGGAATCATACCACCAATCAAACCTACTGTGAAGAATTATACAAATACAGTGAAAAGTCTCTGATAAATAAGCAGAATATATAGGAATAATACAATTCACACCTTAAACTTCACACAGCTAACAAGAAAAAGGCTTTAGATACATCACAGGTATTTTTAAACAAATGTGATTTTTAAAAGTCGAGATGTGATTCTGAAAATTATTTGAGCCACTGGAAAATTGTAGTTAAGGGGACAGTGTATATATAATAGTCATTTTTGATAAAAATATCAACCCCACATTTCAAAATAATCTCTTAAGGAAAAATAATTTGAATATGCTACTTCAGAATAAAAATTATTTTATCATTTAAAAGTACAGAAGTAGTATGGGCATAGAACCTGTTCAAAAGTAACAGATGAATGCAAATGTAACCGTGGCTAAAGCGTTAGCTAGAGACTTGGATGGCACCACTATTCTCCCAGGATCCAAGGTAATTTGGGGAGAATTGCGTTTTCTTTTCTTTTTCTCTAGTACCTTCTAGCAGATGAGTTAAATTTCTGTATAGAGATTGTCCTAACTTTTATCTACTGTACTCCTGTTTCTACAGGGGTTTATCATACTCCTTAATAGAGACATGGTAGGGTAAGACAAGAGAGGCATTTGCTGCTAGCACAGAATTTAAGAGGTGTCAGTAAATTTGGTAATCAAAATGCATAGTATTTAATGCAATATTTACAAGAATCAAATGCAAAAAAAAGTTCATGATGAAGAAAATGCTCCACTTTTAAATAAAGATTGGATCTGCCCCTGTACTGATGGACTCAGCCTCACAGTTCTTTGCTCACTCAGGCCCTGCTTGTTAAGAACATTGTTGCCTGCTGTCAGTTGGCCAGGTCATTACCAATACTATCATCAGGTTTTTGCATCCTGTAAGAATGTCTGTGATATGTGGAATTAGAAGGAAGAAGTGAAGGAGGAAAGGAAAGAAAGATGGAAGAGATTAAAAGACATTAAAAATGTGTTTTAAAAGAAAGAAGACAACTAACAAATTTCCCTTTATTGGCATTTCCCAGGCTCCCTTTTGTACTCAATAAAGATGTCCAAAAAACAACAAACCAATAAAAATGCGTCATCCAAGACATGAGTTCCCATCCAATATAGACTCTGAGATAGCGCCAGGAGCGAGAGTACCAAACAAGAATGAAAACTGAGGACAAAGTGGCTCTTTTGAAACTTAATGCCCTTCTCTGTGAGTTTCATGTATTAAATAGCCTCATTCTAATGGAACTTGGGCATCATCTACACTGCTCTGAGAGCAATGAACTTGGAAATCAATTTCTTTCATAATAATTTCCATTTCAAAATCAGGATATCCAGAAAATGTGAATGCAAACAGCTCATCATATTCATAAGTAGCTGTGGAAAATTTCTCATCTGATAATAATGCTATGAACACCAGAGGCCTTCAATTGGCCAATAGTTAACTTTCAAATATTACAATTTCACAAATGTTTACAACTCATACCCATGAAGTTATAAGCAGGGCAAATTGTTTGATTAATGATAGGTTGCTGAGGGAAGGCCCAAGTGATGTAAACCAAAAACAAAAGTCATCTCAGCATTTGAAAACACACATTGGCTGGCTGGCTTTTATCAGATACTCAAAAACCATCTGCTCTTTTCCTGTGCCTCCCAGGCCTACGTTATATCCCTAGCTTTGTGCGCAGCCTGTGGAATGAGTTCTCCAAAGCTGGTTCAGATGAAGGATCATTTTTCAAATACCATGTGCATTTGAAACATGTGTAGCAAATGCCAGCTCCATAAGCAGAGCTCAGCAAGAGATGGCATTCTGCACTTAGGACACAGATAAAGGGATTGAAGAAGAGTGGAGCCTTATACATGAGCTTCTCTTCTAAGAATCCCATTAAGTTCAGATGGTACAGGTAATTGGAAAATGTCTGCTGGTTAGTCCAAGGTGCCCCTTAACAGGTGAAAGCTAATGCCACCTGTGGCTATATTTTTTGCTCTGGCGCATACCTCTGGATGATTGATTTTATGAAAATGCATATGTTGGTAGGTAGAAAAACTGCGATGATTATTATGAAAGCTCACCATCCTCCCCAGATTGTCTCTCTTAGAGGTTTGTATGTCATCAGTGAGAACCTCAGATGCGGTGGGAAATTTTGAAATTACAGTTAAAAAAACTCTAAGTGTAGTATTTACTAGATGTCTGACCGTGGACAAATTATTGCAACTCTCTGGACCCTTTCTCCCTCTTTAAAAAAAAATACTCTTGCAATATTTTGCCTAAGCACAGCAGAGATGATAATGTAAAATTGCATAGTTCATTTCTGTCTTTGCTGTGAGGTGCTCTTATCTATTTTAATGAGTTAAAGTTCTGGAAAGAGGCTGGGCCTTTAGTTGTTTCATCCTCACAGTAAAAATAGAATTATTACTATAGAAATGGCAGTGGTGATATTTATAAAAAACAAGTAACAATTAACAAAGAAGGAAAGGTCCACTATGTATATTGAAAATATTTTACCTCATTATGTAAACAAGAAAATGTTAAAATAAATTCATGAAGAAATCTATTTTTTCACTGGCAAAATTAGAGTTCTATTTCTAACATGTTATCTAATGCTGATGGGTGTATGTGAAATAGAAATCTTATGTATGCGTTGCTGAGGCAATATATGTCCCAAACTTCTGAAAACAGTCTGGAAATAGTTATTTAAGCAACTTAAAATTTTCTCACCCTTTCTCACTGTTCAATAAGGCAATCATCTGCAATAAAAATCTGAATTTACAACATATACTCAGATTAAAAATAATCTAAAATATAAAACAGCTTTATATGAAAAAAAGGGAAGATATAAACCTATTCTATATTCAGTGTTGACAAACTAGTTAAGTAAATTGTTATCTCCTCTTATTGGGAACATTTGGCATTAGTTATAAACTGAAAATTTATGAACCAGTTTATCTGATTTCAGTACCTAAAATTCAATATTTGCAGTGATTTTACATATGTAAAACAAATATAAAAAGAAATACACCAAAACAGTTGTTCTCTTTGGGTGGCAAATATGCGAAAGGCATTTGTTTTTCATGATTATAAAAGTTACAATCAAGAAAAACTTATAATTTTAAAAGAATGGTAAGAAAACATAGAACTCCGAAGACCCAACAACTATATCCAAATAGAACAGAAGCAAAATCCTTTTATATAAGACTAGTAAAAAATAGAAAAATAAAAATATTATTCTTATTTTACATTTCTTCCTGAAATGCAGATAAATAAGGTATAGGATAGTATATGATGATGGATGACAACCAGTTTCACCCCAGTCTTTGGATTCATGTTAAGATTATGAAAATACAATTTTAGTACTCTCAAAAAACACAATTTCAACAAGTTTAGTTTAAAATCTGTCTTTTATTCACAATTCATGAATTGAGCAGCATTCCAGCTGTGGATCCACAGGCAGTCTGATGAGCTGAGCAGAGGGGATGGGCTCTGTAGGCCGTAAAGTACTGAAGAAAGCAGAAATAGGCAACCAAAGCGGATAGGTTTTTTCCAAGTGACTTTCCTTACAGAGATACAACAAAGGGACCTCCTTATCATGCCAGCTCAGGAAGACTGGGCCTTCTGATCAGTTGCTGTGAATCTACTGTTTTGGGGGAAAGAGGCCTGTTTCAAAGTTCAGTTTGATATGACACCTGGCATGAATGACTTTATTCTGGTTTGGTCTGGTCTGTTGGGGCTGAGTGCAGCAGCTCGGTCCAAACAACGGCCTCCCACAAATTCGATTTAACCATTCCACCAACTCACGCTACAGAAAGCAAAACCCTAATGGGGCTCTTCAGATCTGTCCCATAATAAGCTCCAACTGACCCTGGAGAGTTCCAGGCCTTAATATGCCTAATATACATTATGTTTGGAATTGATGCTGTTTATATCATTTATACAGGAAACTACTTAGAAGGTAAGAACTATGTCATATCCTTTGGATTTGAAATTCCATAGGCTCTCAATCACTCAATAGATGTGTATTTTGTCTTCTGTGGGTAATGATAAGGTGAGAACCAGAGGTACAATCACAAGGAATGAGACGACTCAGAAATATCCGTACAATCTCTACTTTCAAGGAGACCACAGTCTAGCACCTGAGATCTCTGGCCTCTGTTCTCTTGGTCTCTATATCTTACTCTTTATCACAAACTCCTTTAAGTCTTCTCCTGGACATCTTGCTATATCATGTTTTTCCATATCAAGAAAGGCTTCAAAATGTGGGCACATTATTCTTCCATACTTACTTTGCAGTAAGTCCTTGGTATGTGGTATTTTTAAAGATACATATTATAAGAAGTTTAGGTTATCAATATAAAATTAGTTTAAATATCTGGAATAAATTTGCTCCCCTCAAAATTTACATATGGATACTTATTTTTAGCATCTGATAAATCTACACCACAGTCTCAATCTAATTGTATAGGACTTTTTCTGCTTGAAGACACACCAGGTGCTGGGTTACAAATCCTGAGGGCAAGAGCCAGGGTTTAAACTTTTCTCATGTACCAACCCTCCCCTTGGTCTCAGCAAGTTACAGACAGTCACCAATCACCTGTCCAACCTCTACTGGGTGCCATCTAGGTGATGTTCTAGGGGCTGAGGGAAACAGAAACAAGAGAATGTTTGTGCTTTGTAGAGCTTGTATTTTTATAAAAGGAGATTTATTTTTAAATATAGGCAGGAAATGTAGTAGTAGATATTTCTTAGGGCTATGCTGAGAGTTAAAGTACATTGGTATGAGAAAGGCACTGTGTGGCTGACTGCACTAGATTAGAAAGAATTATTGGAGGAGGTGATATTTACAGTGAAATCAAAATGAAAGGAAGGGGCCACCAATATGTTGATCATCATGAAAAGATTATCGGGCAGAGGGGAGAGTTAATGCAAAGTTCTTAGGATGAGAAAGAGCTTGGAGTATTTGATAAAGAGAAATAAAGCCATTATGCCTACAGCTTAGTGGGGAAAGAGAGAAGTAGTATGAGATGAGGTCAGAGGGATAAGTAAGACACAGCCCATTCAGAACCACCTAAATGTCCTTCTCCAACATGAACTTGCTATTGGACTTGGAGATATAGTTCCTCTTTATGAGACTCAATTTTCCCATCGTGAGACTAGTAATGCATATCTCACATAATTTTGCAGGTTTAATGATACAAAATATGAGTCTCACATAGTCTCTTACACTTGCCAGAAGTTAGATGAATTTAACCTGAATATACATTTTTCTTTGCATTACAGTAAGAAACAGGATGAACATAATATAAGAAGAAAAATGGAAAACATGCATTCAAAGATGAACTACATAACTTTGAAATATGTGACATAATGATAAAAGTAGAGCAAGGGGTAGACCTATTGAGCTTGGAACACTAGGAAATGGGGTGAGGAAATTTCCTTCCTCCACTTAAGTAAGAGCTGCAAATGGCAATAAACCAAAGATCATTTGTGTGCACAATGAAGTATTTTTTTTCAAATTGTCCGTCAGCAGAATGACCCAGAAAGTTGAAATCCTTGTGATTTTAAACTATATTCTTATGTAAATATATTCATCTCTGACAACTATTTTTATGAACAAATAACCTCTTTCATGAATAAAGAGTATAAATATAAGTTACTACCTTCCAAATTTCAGTTCTCTTTTGCATGGGGGAGGGAATATTCTTAAAGCATGTAGCAGTGACTAGTTGGGCTTCAGCCTATGTTTTTCTTGCTTCTCAGGAGTTCGTGTGTTAGTGAAGAAAAACAAGTACTCAGCAAGCCGGATGGCCGTTGAACGTCCAGGCCTGGCCCAGCCCAGTGAGCCCCTCAAAGCTGTGCACCCCAGGCTTCCACAGAGACCTTACATTCTGTTGCCATCACGCATCTTTATGGAGCCTTTTGATTTGGGCATAAAAGTTCTTTACTCCTCTGGAACTGCATTCCTAGGAGTAAGGGTATAGTATTTTAACAGTGAGGTCTACAGCAACTTAGATATTAAGAGGACATAGAAGGGCAGCCTCTCCAGCCCTCCCACAGGCTTAGTAACAGCCCTCACTGTGTGATGTAACTGCCAGGAAAATTCTAGAAAAGATGAGGAGACTAGCCCATCCAGATAGTAAACTATATTGTAAAGCCACAGAAGTTAAAACATCTTCATCCTCAGTGATTATTTATTGTCTCTAGACCTCAGCTTTCTCATTTGCAAAATGAAGAGTTAGGTTATGCCTTCACTGAAAATCCTTCCACCTCTGTATCCTTCACTGATATGGAATGAGGCAGAGACACATGGACAGGTTCTGCCATGTGTAGCCTGTGAAGTTCATTTCTATGCTTGTTTAGAACTTAAGGGGAACAAAAGAGCATCCACAACATGTATATAAGCTTTTAAGAAGGTTGTGCTACAAATATAACTACTGTTGTTAACATCAAAATGAAAAGTACTCGCTAAGTAATTTCTAAAAAAATTCAATGTGTTTCTTCTGATTTCAGAAGATATTTTTCAAAATGTCTCATACTACACCATTTTAGTCATTTTATAATGAATAGGTCCTATATAAATGATGTGTAATATTATGGCAATAGGAAACTCTTATTTATTTTGATGGTTGTTGACTTAATGTTTAATATATGTATAATGCACTATGTATCATGCCAAAGACCTTTTTAAGCTACCCTGATATTAGAAATATCAGTGAGATTCTTTATCTATTATAATTATAAAAAGCAATTTTTAAAACCTCATAGTTTCACAGTTTATAAATATTCATATTTTACACATTTGAAGTGAATATATTATATATATATGAGAAATATAGGAAAAACATCAAAATATTTCTTATTTTACACACAGTTAGGGAGAGAAAGATAAGTATTTTATATCCAATTCATCCAATTGAAGTTAGCAGAATTGGAAGTTTGGCAGATATCATTTCTGACTTTGTCTATTTTGTATGCACATTTGCATGCACTCACAATTTATTTTATAAACATGTTATCATATTGCCATGTAACTTGCTTTTTGAACTTAAAAATATGTCTTGAAAATTTTGCCTTGATCCATGGTTCTTTTTAATGCTGCATAGAACTACACTGTATAGATTTACCACATTAATTTGTAACTTCCTCTATTAAGTATTTTTAGATTGTCTCCATTTGACCTCATGAATAGTATTGATTGGACACCCTTGTGTACGTATCATTATACACATGAGTAGATATTTCTGCATGATAATTGTCAAGAACTAAAAGTGCTGAATAATAGGATTGTTCATTTTTTATTTTGTGAAAAACCTCCAAATGATCCTTCAAAGAAGTCATGCCAAAATATAGTGCCACCAACACTATCTTATACTCTGTTTCTCCATACCCTTGACAAACTGGCATGTTACAGTCACTCTGTTTATTTGTTTGTTAGTTTTGGAAATGTAGTGAATAAAAATGGTATCCCGTTATTTTAATTTGCCTTTGTCCGCAATTGGCATTTTATAGCTTATTACATTTTGTATTTTTTTCTTTTATGAATTAGTTTCATGTTCTTATCTTGTCCCTTTTTTCTATTGAGCAATTCATCCTTCTCATTGATTTGTGGTCGCCATCTGAGTATTAGGAATATTAATCATACTTATATCCTGTGTTGCAAATACTTTTTCCACAGTGCCTCTTAAGTTTTTTTTTTTTCTTTTTCTTTTTTCTTTTCTTTTTTTTTTTTTTTTTTTTTGAGATGGAGTTTCGCTCTTGTTGCCCAGGCTGGGGTGAAATGGCATGATCTCGGCTCACCACAACCTCCACCTCCTGGTTCAAACCATTCTCCTGCCTCAGCCTCTTGAGTAGCTAGCTGGGATTACAGGCATGCACCACCATGCCTGGCTAATTTTGTATTTTTAGTAGAGACGGGGTTTCTCCATGTTGGTCAGGCTGGTCTCAAACTCCCAACCTTAGGTGATCCACCTGCCTCAGCCTCCCAAAGTGCTAGGATTATAGGCGTGAGCCACTGCGCCTGGCCAGTGCCTCTTAAGTTTTAATGCTATTAATGGTATTTCCTCTCAACCACAGGTTTTTGCATTTGATGTAGTTAACTCTTTTTCTCGAAGTCTTCTGAATTTGAAGCCTTTCTTCACAAGGCTTTCCATACCCCAGAACCATAAACACATTCTCCTATATTTTCTTCTGTCATATTTTGAAAATCAAATGAATCCAGTTCCCTCTGTAGTACTCCTAAAACCTGGAAGCCTCATTTCTGGATTCTGTTTGAACAACAATGCCTCTGCACATAACCTCAATGTCCCCAAACTGAAACTGCCAAAATAAGGGAAGGTGGAGATGCTTTCCAGTGGGGATCTGCTCCAGGATTGTAGGCCCCACTCCCAGGGTGGCATCTAACCAACCCCCATTTGGCCTGGGTGCAGAGCAAAGGAATTGGCTGGGAAACCTGGCAGTGAGGATTGATAAATGCTGGCATACATTACCAAGGTCAAGGATGGAATCTCTTTCCATATTAGATGCAGAGATTGTTATCACTCTGTCATCAATAACCATCTCCCTCACCCTGCCTAACAACACATAAGAGACAAGATGTCAGAGCCAAATTATACAGTAAAGATGGAATAACTGAGCTCATGTAGATGGGGCATGAGTATCTTTATCCAAATGAGTTTACAAAGAGAAATAGTAGTTCCATTCTCAAAATTTATCTGCAGTTGCACCTACTTTCAGTAATAATAGAAGCACAATTGTGATTGTAACTAGAAAGGAGTTGACATGTACAACATTGTTTTCTGGTGGATTTTCTCCCTAATAGTTCATAAGTGCCATTAAATTATGTGAATAATGTGCTTTATGATTTTTTTCATCTATTATGTATTTTCTCCCCTTGGTAGTTGCTCAGCACATACACTATTGTTAGTAAGCTAGTCAAGTTTCAGAGTCTCAAATCAGTTTTGAGACTAATTTAAAGTTCCACTAGATCTGCTGCAGCTGTCAAAGGAAATGCCCTAGTTGCTATTCTGGGGCCGTCTTTGGTGTTTCTCTTCAATCCTTATTATCTGGAAAATCTCTAAATAAGTTCTATAAATGTAACTTTCAGCTGCTTTTACCAAAAGTGACTTGGATTATAAGGTCTAAAGGTCACAAATTTTTATTTGGAGCTAACTCACGCTACAACTCATATGACTTAAGCATCATATATCACCTATTTAAAAAGCAAAGGAGAGAGCTCAACGGTCTATCTTCTGAATATTACAATGTATCATAATGTGCAGAAGGTAGAATGTTGAGGTTTCTTCCTATTTCTTCCTTTCTTCCATATATATATATAAATTTATAGATGAATATATACACACATACACAAATGTGTGGGTTTATATGCAGGTATATATAGCTATGTATATATGTATATATGTGTGTGTACATATATTCTTTTTGTGCATTTATCTCTCCCAGTCTTATATATTCATATTCATTTCTGTTGAGTAGGTATTTAGAGCAGACTAAAAAAAAGACTAATAACCTCCTCGCTCCTCTTATTTTTTGTTCCCCTTAGAACATTATTGTTTTTAATCTATTAATTTGGAAGAAACACAGAGTCGTTAGAGAAGTTTTATTTTAGTTGATGATAACAACAACAACAACAAATAACGTCACTGAGTGCTTAATATATGCCAGGTGTTGTACGAATTATTAGCCCATTTATTTTCATTTAATGATAACTCTAATATTTTCTAGCTACCATTACCCTATTTTCCAATGAGGAAAGTAAGGTATAGAAAGCTAGTTACATAACCAAGAGTGCACAGCTCTAAGTGGAGGAGCTGTCTGACTCCAGAGCCCAGGTCTATAACCTCTGTGAAAGCCATCCTTCATGGTAGAGACACTAGAGGTCTCAATAATGTGGATGGCCAGTGTCCACCACTGGGCTTTGTGACCAGCAGGAAATCTAAGAGTTCAAGGAAGAACAAGACAAGCAAGAGTCCTATGACACAGAGATCCTAGACACAGCTACCAATGCACGGCAAGTAACTAAGGAGGTTCTCAATAAGAGAAAACAGGGGTATGTTTAGGACGATATAGAAAGCACAAAGCTAGGAAATACGGGGCAATTAGCTACAGGCAAAAAGCTAAAGGAAAGACGGTTAATCACGGAAACTCTCTGGGAAGAGCCCAACAGTTGGTCTGTGGACAGCAACAGATAATTTATGCTAGATGAAATCTAGCACTGACATTAGTTTGTGGTGTTGGAAGTCATGGCCATGGGCCCAATCCATGTTTGGAGACAAGAAAAACGTTGTGGTATGCCAGGTAAATAATCAGAACAGGGGCTGAGCTGGGGGAGCAGGTGGGCGTAGGAGGAAGACAAGCTGGGAACCTAGTTCCCAGAGTAATAATAAAAACACAAGAGTTTATTTAGCTCTAGAGTTTATAAAACTTTTTGCATCAGTATTACAGTTGATCCTCGTATTATCTCTGTGAGGCAGGGGTTATGACTTGCTTTCTACAAATGAGGAAATTAAATCTCAGAGAGATTAAGCCAACTTTCCCCAAAGCACACAGCTAGTAAATGGTAAGGTTGAGACTCAAAACCAAGGTGTCTGAATCATCTATCCTAAATTATTTTTGTGTTAATTCTTTCATCTTACCTATTAAAAATATTTTAAGGTCGAATTTTGTTATGTTTATTCTGAATAGTACCTGATGTAAGGCAAGGAGTATCCAATTAAAAAAACCACTGCTTCCCTGCCTATGTTGTAGGGAACCAACTGAGTCAGTCAAATGGAGACTAAAAATATCATTTTCACTGCTGACACAGTCTAAGTTAAAGAGTGTGTCTTTGGAGCTGTTAACTGAGTGAGCAGGCCATATTGTTCCTCTGAACTGAATTTGCCCACCTAGTTACAACCCTGAATAATCACAGTCTTTCTCCATAGGATAAACAGGGTGCAGAGAAGAAGAGAACAAAATTGAGTCAGGCAATCTGGTAAGTCACTTATTGAAACTAGGAGAAAGAGGAGAGGTCATACATTACTCAAATGGGATCTTCATGACAGCATAAAGAGAATGAAAAGGGAATTCTCTCTCCAGAAAAGCACCTGGTGTTTAATCAGCACTTAGTTTCTTGACCACATCATGAATGATGAATAGATGAATGTTGCTCACCTACTATTTATGATCAGTTTACATTACAGTATATCAGCCTCAAATTTCTTGATTTTATCCTATTTTTGATGCTTTCATCCCAAATCCTCTTTATTGCATACCCCTTTGCTTTGAAATTTTATTACTTTGAAGCTCTGTTCTCATAATTAGGAATAAGAAAACAAGTGGGAGGTCATAGATAACAGGTGCCATTGGGTATTAGAAGGGAAATGTGGAATGGTCAATGACTTGAGACAATTAAGAAGACAACCACCATTTGTGTTTTACTGTTTACAAGGAATATTCAACCTTTGATAACCTAATTCAACTTGCACAATCATTTTAGGAATTTGTTTTTCTTTGCAGATAGAGAGAGAACTTGCACCTGAGTGATTAGGAGACCTGGACAACCACTAGTTAACGGAAAATCTGAGACATTAAACTTATGTCCTGTGGCCTGTAACCTGGTGTGCAATCACACCAGGTAGCATATACAAAGGTTTCCATAAAACAATCTGTAAATGCACCAACCTCAGCTGTTCCATTTCTTCTCTGGCAAAACGAGAATTATTCAGCATGAGCATCTATGGATTCCCCACCACCACCATCAGTGGAGCTGCCTGGATGGGCTCTACCTGTCCTTCCCGACTAGCAGAAGAAAATGGCAGGATTTTGCATAAACCAAATCTTATGAGAAACAGATCAAAGCAAAAGGCAGAAGAAGTGGGTAACCCCAAGTCTAGTATGGGAAGGAGACAGTGTAGAAGTGCTGTGGGTGCTGTAGCAGAGTGTGAAGTAGCACATAGAAGAAGCTGAGTTTGGAAGGAGAGGTGAGATGAGGAATAGGGTGGGATGAAAGGAAAGCGAGTGCATCAATGAGAATTTTATTTTTTTCTTCCCTGCCTTAGGAGAATGATGTTGGGTGCTAAATAATAATAAGATCAAGGAAAAGTTAATAATGAGTTTTGAGCTTTCAAGGACTGCTTAATTTGACCCCACAAAAGACTTGAAGACAACACGAGAAAAAATTTGAGCTTGGGGTGAGTTTCCTTAACTATAACACTGCTCCAGGACTGGCTTGCATGGGTCACTGCTCTATGAGCCCTTCACCATCTCTTCCCCCAACCTCCACAGTCATTTTAGTGAATTCCCAGGTCAAAACTCACACTGCCCAATATATTGTTTTTTCCTTATGCTGTACCATCATCTTCACATACTTTATTGACTCTTTTCATCAAGTGGTATCAGCTCTACTATCTTAAGCATGCCTTTATTTCTACATGTTTAGCTGAGTGTATTTTCAGGAACAGCCATTTGTTATATCCTCCAGGTTCAAGCCAGCTCTCTCTGTGACACCAGGGATGTTTCTTCCAATAACTCCACAGGGAGCCCTCTTTCTGATGAATACTCAGACAAGGTGAACTGGACACAGAAACCACATGATGCCTAGTGCCTCACCACCATATTAAAATATTTTTATATACTTCCTTTAAAAAACTTTCCATTCTTTCAAATTCATTGCATTTCTTTAATCATTTCATTCAAACATTTCTTCAGATACCCAACTGCATGGCAAAAAGTGTGAATACTCCCATTGGCAATTGGCTTGACTCCTACTTACTTGGGCAAATAAAGTTGTGGTGACACTTTTCATAAACTCATGGATCAACTTTTTATATTTTAAAAAACACTTCAAAGAAATGCCAACATGCTTATTGAGAATGGTGAAGTTTAATAAAATGCCTCATACAAGTTTATTTTGTTAAGTTTTCAGGTAGTCGCTTTTAAAAGAAAGTATTAGGAAACTCCAGCAAAGGTTCATATGCCCATCCCATCACATATGGAAGCAGATTTTATTATCAGCAACCAAGCTGAGTTGAACCCATTTGAAGAAGCAAGCAGTAATTAGTTTTAATTTGCAGCTATAATCATTAATTATTTACCAACAAATGCACTACAAAATATGACTTATTGCACTAGTAAGAAGAGATGCCTTCAAACCACTGACTCTGGGTAAGAAGAAAACTCCATAGCTCCAACCTCCTACCTGGACAGGAAAACATTCTATTTTATTCTAGAGAAATAGCCACTCAGGTCTATTTGATGGAGAAGCACTAAAACTTGGAAATGTCCATTTTGTGTTAAGCCAGTTTGCTCTTTTGTGCCTTTTGACAATTGTTCATAGTTCTACCTTCCAAGAGGAGTGCAAAACAAGTCTATGACATCTTCAGCATGACGGGACTTCAGCTACGTAAAAGGCAGTGAGCTTGTTCCCCAAGGGCCTTCTCCTATCCTGTCTAAATATCCCCAGCTCTATGATGTTTCCCCTATGTGGTGTTTGTAATTTTCAGATCCCTCACACTCATTTTGTAAACAGCTCTTTGAAATGGTGCTGGCCAGATTGAACACTGTGTCCCAGATCTGACCAGGGCTGAAAACAGTGCCGTGACATCTTCCTTGATGCAGCATTCACAGCCTATTAGCACAGTTAGAGACTGTTACTACAGTTGAAAGAAATGTCACTGTTTTCATTGTTTTTAAGTTCATGGGTAACTAAAAATAGAAGCCAATGATTTGCTATCCTCCTCGTTCAACACACAGAGAGAGAGAGAGAGAGGCAGAGAAAGAGAGAAGAGAGAGAGAGGCTGGCAGAGAAAGAGAAAGAGAGAGACAGAGAGAGAGAACTGCTGGGCAACATGACCCTCACATTCCATGAATAAATGAGATTTGAAAGCTCAATTCAAGACTTTAATCCTGCTTATTATCTCATTCCAGCATTCTACTCTTTGGTATATACTTGATTCTATCCCTATGGAATAGCTACTATGGTAATAGCTGCTTCCCCTCAGCTTATATAAACTACATAAGTAAAGATATTCCTTATATATATTCACAGGGATCACAGATGAACATGGATATGACTAGAAATGGAGCCACCATAAAGGACACTCCAATTAACATGTTCTGGGGATACGGTTTCAACAGATGCAGCTCTGTAAGGAGGCTCTGTCAAATACCTGTTCCTAAGATTTCAAAAACATAGAAACTATAGCAACGTCTCTAAAACTTTAGACCAGTAAGACGTTTTTAAGTGAGATCCACAGTTTTATTAGGTTCCTATCATATCAGCACAGATGACACTATTTCATACTTTCCACTGTTGCAAAAAATGGGTTGCCTTTTTTCACCGATATTTCTCCTCTGTCCTTTCAGCCTTTGTTCACAGTTTCCTTGAGAGACAGTTTCCTTGAGAGACTTCTAGCTTCCACTGGCCCCGTGGTTTCTAAAACAACACCACACGCTTTAGATTTCTGGTATGGCAGCACTCCACTTTGGGGTACCAATTTCTGTTTCTAATATCTAATGCTGTAGATCAAACTACCCAAAACCTAATGGTTAAAACAACAATCATTTTACTCTGTCTCATGATTATATGTGTTGGCTGGGGACTAGCTGATGGGTTCTTCTGCCAGTCTCCTTGGCATCTGTTACATGATTACATTTAAGTGAATGGACACTGTAATATTCAAGATGGAGCTCTCACCTACATGCATGGGCCCTCAGTATTCCCCCAAGCAGCCTGTCTCTTCATGTGGTGTCTCATTCCCCAAGGCCTCTCCACATGGCTTCTTTCTCTAGCAGGCTCATCTGAACTATTTATGTGCTAGTCCAGAACTCCAAGAAGGTCACAGAGGATGCCTTCAAACCTGTTTAAGAATTAGGCCTGAAATTGACACAGCATAGCATCACATCCACCACATTCTGTTGGCGAAATCAAGTCACAGGGCAAGTCCGGGGTCAAAGTGGAGGGAATTGTGCAAGGGCATGGGAACCAGTAGACATACATTTATTTATTGTATTATGCAGAAACGCCTTTATAGTTTGCAGTAAGCTCATTTAGCAGCAATGAGAGAGAGAGAGAGAGCAAGAGAATAATAAATACCTAATAATTGTTTTCAAGGTACTGCATTTTTATTTCTCAGAAAGAGGGTGATCATTGTTTAACTTGCACAAAATATTCACTGGCATTTATCGTTTACTCTGGGAGCAGTACAGTTTCAATGACCACACAAATAGCAGAAGACACAAAACATCAGCTTCTGCTTCAAAATTCGTAGTCATTTTTAGAAACACTTTGTCACAAATGACCATTTTCCACATGCAACTGTGTTCGCATATGATTTTATAAAACAAATCTTGCCATTTAGACCAAATAGTTGCTCTCCTTAATAGCTTTTGAATGTAATTTTTTGTGAATGTGAAGAAAGTGAGCTGATAGTTATTCAGGTGTTGACTCTATCAGCAGAAGAATCTTATAAATAGTTCGATAATGCAAGGATTCTATTAATGTCATCTAGTGATTCAAACAGAATATCAAATAGAATATTCAAATAGAATATCAACTATATTTCAACACTAATTTTTCTCCAATTTTGTTGTCCTGGCATTTGTACTTTTCATTTTTTTCACTACTGCAAAACATCTCACTAGATTTAGATAAAGATTTCCATTCTGTATTTCTACCGAAGCGCTCTGCTGTGTCGATATTTGCGGCCAAATTCCGGGTTGTGTATTTTTTTGGTCCAGCCTCCAAACTCTTCCTCTAGTCATTCCCTCTGCCAAGTGTGCCTTCCTGGCTATTGCCATTGCAGGCTCCTTCCTCATATCCAGACCGCAGTTCTCCTTCTAAGAGCAGCCTTCGCTCACCACTCTAAGGCTATCCACCATCCTAAGAACTTAAACCTATAATCATTTCTTATTTCTTCTTGACTCATACTGCCAGCTAATATTTTTCCTTTCTTTATAACTTATTGTCTGTCTCCAACCACCATAAAACTAGAATGTACTAGTGTGGACACCTTCTTTCACCTCTTCATCACCTATCTCCAGGGCATAAAAATATGGTTGGCACAAAACAGATATTCAAAAAGTATTAGTTTTAAAAATAAGCTGTATGCTGCAATGAACAATCTTAAGCCATTAATTCATATTATTAAAGTTGGGGCAAAAATATATCATAACCACAACAATGGAAAACAGCAGATGTAATAACATATAAATAGCAGGAAACACCATCAAGATATTGGTGACCACCTATATCTTGGGTCACCAAGATATCAACCTAACCAAGGAATCAACCTAATTCCCTGTTAGCTGAATAACATGCTGGGTATGTGTGTGTATATATGTGTGTGTATGTGTGTGTCTTTAAATAATATATACAATTACATAATATATATATTTATACACATACATATGTATATGTATATGCATATGTAAAACTTTTAGTGGCATAATGTTTTTAGAAATAAATGAGATTTAGGCCGGGCGCAGTGGCTCACGCCTATAATCCCAGCACTTTGGGAGGCCGAGGCGGGCGGATCACGAGGTCAGGAAATCGAGACCATCCTGGCTAACACGGTGAAACCCCGTCTCTACTGAAAATACAAAAAATTAGCAGGGCGTGGTGGCGGGCGCCTGTAGTCCCAGCTACTCGGGAGGCTGAGGCAGGAGAATGGCGTGAACCTGGGAGGCGGAGCTTGCAGTGAGCCGAGATCGCTCCACTGCACTCCAACTTGGGCGACAGAGCAAGACTCTGTCTCAAAAAAAAAAAAAAAAAGAAAGAAATGAGATTTATGTGAAAATCATAATTGATCTGACCTTTTAAATTTGTAAAATGTATAAAGCAAAAATTAAAACTCATTTACTTGCTTCCATGAGCAAACTGTCTAAGGACTACTTTACAGAAAATCAAGCACCACCAGTGAGCTACAGAAACATGAATCTAGAGGGTCTGATATAAAGATGTATTTATTCCTTTTTTGTTTATAAGAAAATTTTTGCTTCGTGCATGTTTTTCTCTGTCGTCCCTGTTCAATGCGTGACTTCACTTTGCTCCTCCATGCCAATTTACCCTTCTCTCTCCTATGTTTAATGTCACAACTATTCTTTTTTTTTTTTTTTTGACATGGAGTTTCACTCTTGTTGCCCAGGCTGGGGTGCAATGGCGTGATCACAGCTCATCGCAACCTCTGCCTCCCGGGTTCAAACAATTCTCCTGCCTCAGCCTCCAGAGTAGCTGGGATTACAGGCATGCACCACCACGCCTCGCTAATTTTGTATTTTTAGTAGAGACGGGGTTTCTCCATGTTGGTCAGGCTGGTCTCGAACTCCTGACCTCAGGTGATCGCCTGCCTGGGCCTCCCAAAGTGCTGGAATTACAGGCGTGAGCCTTCTATTCTAATTGAAATTCTAATCTGAACAGATAACCCCAAACACCCAATACTTCTGTTCCTTAGAAACGAGACCAACAATAATACCAAGCACACATACGGTGCTTAGGGCTACATGTCTGACCTGCCACATCAAAATAGAACACAAATTCTTACAAGTGCCTTTACCTGTCTCTCCTTCCACATTATTTCCCAGAAACCCACCTTAGTATTCTTGAGTATATATTGTTATACCTTTGACTTTGCTTTCCCAAATGCAATTCTAATTCATCCCCTTAACACGTGTTATCACAGTTTACAATAAACTCAATTTGCATTTCTTCGTGACCTAGTATTTCTGCAAGTGTCCATGGTGGCTAGAAGGCCCGATTTAACTGGATGGCCATAGGATTTTTTTTCCTGCAAACATTCAGATGAAGTCCCAGATGGCCATTACAAAGAGTGCTTTGAATGACATTTTCTCTTGCTTTCTTCTCCCATCAGCAGAACATGATGCCAGCTACAAAATGGGAAAAATAGTCTCCCAGAGAGTCTCCTGCCCTGCTTAGATGTTGGCTTAAGAAGAAGTTTGAGAGAAATTACATGTTTCATTGTGCTAGAAAGTTTCCTCTTTTGTCAACTGTAGCATGGAAAGAAGAACTTCTCAACCTCCTCTTCAATGTTTTAAGGCTGGCATCTTTTGTTGAGAGAGTAGAAAAGGTAGCTATAGGAATTCTAACCCATAATTTTGTGTAACATAATGGGAATGGAACATGTAGCCACAGAATAACTGCAAGTTTCAGCAGATTACCTCATAATATTTTTTAAATTATCAAGTTACTTGAAACATAATTACCACATTACCTGACATTCTCAGATCTCCTTACAGCTCTCCAGAAAACAAAATGATACAATCTTTTCGTCATTACAATTCATTTGTTATTGTGTAGGTATCTGGCAGAGAGCTCGAGTGTATTAGTATGCCAACTGTGTTATCTACAAAACTATCAGGAAATAGCATGCGTTTACACTATAATTAATGGGTAAATTCCTGTGTGGTAACTAAATTTTTGAGAATGAAAAACATGTTCATCATGACACAATCCCATGAAACCTTCACAGTATTAGACTTTACCCCTGCAGGGTAGGGTTTCACCTAGAAAATACCACTCCTCCATATGCTGTTGTGTCTGTCACTTGTCTGTTAAAACTCTCTCACGTTCAAAAAGAGCCTCACAAGAATATTATATGATGAATAAGACTCCCAAATGGAGAACTGGTTTGTCAAAATCATCTTGTTTTTCTACATGTGATTACAAAGCAGAATTTAGCATAAAGGATTTAGAGGTTCTACTCAAATTACTGAAGTCAGCAATGACTACTGTAATCCTATTTCATCTATATTGTGGGCCCATAATACATCTCTTAGTATAGAATTATTTTAAGACGAAGAGTACATTTTCTTTCTGTGAAAGCCTACATAAAATTTGACAGCTCGAACTTTATTTTATTTTTGTTTGTATCAAAGAGTAGCCATTGTTCCCTCTTGAGGAAAGTGTATTATCACAATGGACAGTTTCTAGATGTTTGGGTCCAACTGCTTATTTCTTGTTGGCTGGCTCAGTTGATGGGAGGATGGAATTAATGAGACCAGAGCCTTTTACACAAACCATATCTGAATATGCAAGATCCTTGCTGCTACATGGCCACAGATGGCACTGGCTGCAGCCAGCAATCTCATGCTGATGTACATGGTCATCAGGAACGGAGAAAATGAGTCAGATCAATACAAACTTATCACCTGTACCAGAGAAAAAACTCTGCTCTGCTTAATTATGTCAGGACATAGGTATCACCTATCTATGCAAATGGCATTATCAAGATGTTGAATAATGTAAAGATGAGGTACGTTTCCAGGGTGAAGTCAATATTTCACCACCCTTACCCAACAGCAGGAATAACTCTGCCAGACTTCATACAGTTGTGTATCTAAAGAAAAGAAGCCAAAATTATAATAAATAGTGGTTGCTAAGATGTGCATAAAAATTGAAAAATTCTCTTAGGAGGCCAGCATCATCCTGATACCAAAGCCTGGCAGAGACACAACAAAAAAAGAGAATTTTAGACCAATATCCTTGATGAACATTGATGCAAAAATCCTCAATAAAATACTGGCAAACCGAATCCAGCAACACATCGAAAAGCTTATCTACCATGATCAAGTGGGCTTCATCCCTGGGATGCAAGGCTGGTTCAACATATGCAAATCAATAAACGTAATCCAGCATATAAAGAGAACCAAAGACAAAAAACCACATGTTTATCTCAATAGATGCAGAAAAGGCATTTGACAAAATTCAACAACCCTTCATGCTAAAAACTTTCAATAGATTAGGTATTGATGGGACATATCTCAAAATAATAAGAGCTATCTGTGACAAACCCACAGCCAATATCATACTGAATGGACAAAAACTGGAAGCATTCCCTTTGAAAACTGGCACAAGACAGGGATGCCCTCTCTCACCACTCCTATTCAACATAGTGTTGGAAGTTCTGGCCAGGGCAATCAGGCAGGAGAAGGAAATAAAGGGCATTCAATTAGGAAAAGAAGAAGTCAAATTGTCCCTGTTTGCAGATGACATGATTGTATATCTAGAAAACCCCATCATCTCAGCCCAAAATCTCCTTAAGCTGATAGGCAACTTCAGCAAAGTCTCAGGATACAAAATCAACGTGCAAAAATCACAAGCATTCTTATACACCAATAACAGACAAACAGAGAGCCAAATCATGAGTGAACTCCCATTCACAATTGCTTCAAAGAGAATAAAATACCTAGGAATCCAACTTACAAGGGATGTGAAGGACCTCTTCAAGGAGAACTACAAACTATTGCTCAATGAAATAAAAGACGATACAAACAAATGGAAGAATATTCCATGCTCATGGGTAGGAAGAATCAATATCGTGAAAATGGCCACACTACCCAAGTTAATTTATAGATTCAATGCCATCCCCATCAAGCTACCAATGACTTTCTTCATAGAATTGGAAAAAACTACTTTAAACTTCATATGGAACCAAAAAAGAGCCTGCATTGCCAAGTCAATCCTAAGCCAAAAGAACAAAGCTGGAGACATCACGGTACCTGACTTCAAACTATACTTCAAGGCTACAGTAACCAAAACAGCAAGGTACTGGTACCAAAACAGAGATATAGACCAATGGAACAGAACAGAGCCCTCAGAAATAATGCCACATATCTACAACTATCTGATCTTTGACAAACCTGAGGAAAACAAGCAATGGGGAAAGGATTCCCTATTTAATAAATGGTGCTGGGAAAACTGGCTAGCCATATGTAGAAAGCTGAAACTGGATCCCTTCCTTACACCTTATACAACAATTAATTCAAGATGGATTAAAGATTAACATGTTAGACCTAAAACCATAAAAACCCTAGAAGAAAACCTAGGCAATACCATTCAGGACACAGGCATGGGCAAGGACTTCATGTCTAAAACACCAAAAGCAATGGCAACAAAAGCCAAAATTGACAAATGGGATCTAATTAAACTAAAGAGCTTCTGCACAGCAAAAGAAACTACCATCAGAGTGAACAGGCAACCTACAGACTGGGAGAAAATTTTTGCAATCTACTCATCTGACAAAGGGCTAATATCCAGAATCTACAAAGAACTCAAACAAATTTACAAGAAAAAAACAAACAATCCCATCAAAAAGTGGGCGAAGGATATGAACAGACACTGCCCAAAAGAAGACATTTATGCAGCCAAAAAACACATGAAAAATGCTCACCATCACTGGCCATCAGAGAAATGCAAATCAAAACCACAATGAGATACCATCTCACACCAGTTAGAATGGCAATCATTAAAAAGTCAGGAAACAAGGTGCTGGAGAGGATGTGGAGAAATAGGAACACTTTTACACTGTTGGTGGGACTGTAAACTAGTCCAACCATTGTGGGAGTCGGTGTGGTGATTCCTCAGGGATCTAGAACTAGAAATACCATTTGACCCAGCCATCCCATTACTGGGTATATACCCAGAGGATTATAAATCATGCTGCTATAAAGACACATGCACACGTATGTTTATTGCGGCACTATTCACAATAGCAAAGACTTGGAACCAACCCAAATGTCCAACAATGATAGACTGGATTAAGAAAATGTGGCACATATACACCATGGAATACTATGCAGCCATAAAAAATGATGAGTTCATGTCCTGTGTAGGGACATGGATGAAGCTAGAAACCATCATTCTCAGCAAACTATTGCAAGGACAAAAAACCAAATACCGCATGTTCTCACTCATAGGTGGAAACTGAACAATGAGAACACATGGACACAGGAAGGGAAACATCACACACCGGGGACTGTTGTAAGGTGCAGTGGGGGAGGGATAGCATTAGGAGATATACCTAATGCTAAATGACGAATTAATGGGTGCAGTGCACCAACATGGCACATGTATATATATGTAACAAACCTGCATGTTGTGCACATGCACCCTAAAACTTAAAGTATAATAATAATAATAATAATAATAATAATGATAATAAAAAGGAAACCACTGTCACAGTTTTTGATTAGTATCAGTAATTATTACCACTGAAGGCTAGGCAAACACCCCTCTTGAGAGAAAAAGGTTGATTGAAAGCAAGGTAGACGCATTTCTAGAAACTCTTGAAAGCAGGTGTGCATGGGGATTTCATCTCTCTCTATATTGCCATTGTAATGACTTCTGGATGAAGATTACACTATTCTCCAGGGCCAGCAAAGCTGTGAAGTAGGCATCTGTCTTAGTCCATTTTGTGCTAGTATAACTGGATACCACAGACAAGGTAATTTATAAAGAAAAGAAATGTATGTCTTGTAGTCCTCGAGCCTGGGAAGTCCAAGATTATGAAGCTGCATCTGGTGAGGGCCTTCTTGCTGCCTCATAACATAGGAGGAGCTATCATACGGTGAGAGAGTGTGCCTGAGAGAGAAAACCAAACTCATCCGGTTATCAGGAAACCACTCCTGTGATAATGGCATTAATCCATTCACGAAGACAGAGCCTTCATGACTTACCAACTCTTACAGATTCCAAAACCCACCTCTCAACACTTGCATAGGGGATTCAGCTTCAACACATGAACTCTGCAGGACACATTCAAACCACAGCAGAGACCAACTGGATTCTTTCAGTGACACCTACGTGTTCAGTCTCTGGTGTTCCTCAGGGAACATAGCTTTGTTTAGCCCATGGGCCCCTTGTAGTGGTTTTGGTAGGGCTCCCTTCCTCTATATTCTTGGCCACACCAAGCTATTACACTTTACTCATTGCCAGCCAATTGCTCTGTTTTTTTCAACAATGTTCTCGGATACGAATTGCTCCATAAACTAATTTAGTCAAATTCTGGCTCCCTTGAAGAAACAGTTTCTGATGTCAGTGCTTGTTCTTTCTTTTGGTTCCAGGAGAACTCCTCCCAGTTGTTTCAGCCCCTAGTTCTCTCCTGCAAACTCACAGACCTTCAGTTTAACCAGTATCTTGAGCCTCCCCTCAATTACCTTTTGGCCAAAATCTCAACTGTTCCTGAGAGTACCTTTAGGTTTGAGTACCTATTTTAATCTCTGATGCAATTGAAGTCAGTCCCTTTCAGAAGAAATTAGGAGGTGTTTTATGGCCTCTTTCTACCACCAGGCAAACATCTCTGTTCTATTAGCTGACCATTTTTTAGGGGAAAAACAGAAGACTAGGATCCTCTCTATTTCCCTCTCCTGGCATAGAACCCACTGCCTCACGAGTCTGGTCATGAGTGATCAGGGCTCCATTATTCTCAACACACTGCATACAAGACAAAATCCCTATTTTATTAGTGGGTTATGAGAGGTGGGTGGAAGCAGGGGATCCCCACCTCTCAGCTACACTAGCCCAGAACTTAGCCCCCACAATAGGTAGCTGGGAGCTTTTGTATTTTTCATCTTTTTTTATTCTTTATTCTGGATTTTTTTCCTACATTCTACATGTGATTACATATCTTCAGCAATTGACTTTTTAATTTTAAATATTGGATGTTCAATTCTACCATATTCTATTTAATTCATTTTTTTGGATCTCAATTCCTCATTAAAATTCTGTCTTCCATTTCCTTAAATTTTTCTTTGTTTTCTTTCACATATTTATGAAGTTCTTATTTGCTTATTCCCTCATTTATAGTCTTTATTATCAATCACATTTATCTGCCTCATTTCATATCTGCTTTTAATGTCTGTATTTTCTCTTGATTACCAGTCACATGTCCTTTTCCCTTTGTATGTGTCAATTTTTATTATATCTTGGACAACATTGTGTATAAAATAACTGTAGAGGCTGAAAATGATGTTGTTCTTTTCCTAGAGAGGGAAATGATGTTGTTTTTTTTCCTCCCTCTGTTAGGCAGGTAATGTGAAGGGATGATCACAAGTCATAGGTCCCTCAGAATTTAAGTTGGGACAGGGCTTGGTTTCACCTTTAATTAAAACCTTTACCACTTTTTTCAAATGTTTTAAGTTCAAGATCCATCACTTTCTCTTTTCCATTTGGGACTGGCCCTCCTGTATCTTCGTTTAAGAGTCTGATGGTTCTGCTTCTCTCTTCCACCATGAAATTACTGCCCTTTGGAACTTGAGAGTTTCATTCTTTGGCATTCTGCTCCACACAGATTTGAAATATGGCAGCTATTATAAGGGGGAAACTTAACTGTATACTTGTTACTTATCACTTCCTGTAGTGTGACTTTGTCTCCTAAGCACTGACAGGCTTCAGTTGATTTCAGTCCTGAGTCTTTCTGAATCAGCTGTTACACTCTTAGCCTATCTCAAAACCCAGCAAATGCCCATACGAGAAACTAGCCACGTGTTTGGAGTTTATCTAGTTTTGATTGGTCAGTGTCAGCATATGTGGCTGTCAAGGTCTCCACTGGTTTCTCTTTGTCCTAATGGAGTTCTACTTTCTATGGTGAGCCTAATCCTCAGCCCATGCATAGAATCAGCACATGTCCCTAGAAGAAAAGTGGTATCCAACCGCAGCTCACATAGGAAGAACTCGACCTTCTCTGATATTTGCATCTACTTACTTAGTCCTTTTTATTTTATTTTCATGTCTCTCCATTGTGTTTTGAAATATGATCTTGATCATTTACATTTGTCCATTTGTTGGAGTGTGAATGATAGCTTTTCACTATCTACTCTGTCCTCCTTAAAAGAGAAGTCACAAAAAGTTGAATATTAATAAGTTAGAAAGTCATATCAAGAAATCACTTGAATAAGAAGCCATTTGAAAATAGAGAAAACTGTCTTGTTGCTTCTTACATCATCCTAAATACTTTTTTTGGAAAAAATGCTAGTCTTCAGATTACCTTAGAATATACCTATACACACACACACACACACACACACACACACACACACACACACACACGCTCTCTCTGTCTCTAAAGGAATTCTGGTAAAGTTCATGCTGAAGATTCACTGGGATGCTTCAGAATACGTAAAAAATTACTTCCTTAATTTAGTTAAGATATTTAAGCACCCACTTTACTTAGACGCTCAGATTCATGTTTGTTCTTTAAACATTGATGGATCATACTTCTGTTACTCTTATATGCAGAGGATTTGCCAGAACTGGAAACTGTCTTCCTACAGAGAGGAATGGCAAAGACACGCGGTGTCCAGTTAGGTTTCACTCAGAGAAAAATGTGCTTTAAATGGTTAAGTGGGAGTCCTTGAGCTAGTTGAAGTTTTGAGTGTGCTTTCAACATTTTTGGTAGAAAAAACCTCTCTCCTATTTATTAATAATTTTTAAACACCTTATGGCAATTAATACTGTAATTAATTTAGAAAATCCTAATTTTAGAAGAGAATATTTTGATAGTATATAACAGCAAAGAATGTGTAATGATAGGAAAACTGGTGAAAAAAGATAGAATACTTTATAGCAGAGTAAATGAATGGTTATAGAAGGTCTTCTCTGATTTCATTTGGAAAACTATTATAAGATATGTTTCATTCAAACTGAAAATTTTAAAGCATTAACACACATTTGTCAGTACTCCTTTTAGAAATATAGTCCTCACTTAAAAAGAAATTCTATTTATAGCATATATCTTACATTAGAAATAGGCTTCAAAATTGTACACAAATGTTTCTCAAAGTCATTCTCTCATTCTTAGTTATTATGCTTAGATGCAGATATAATTTTTAGATTCTACTGACCCCATCAACTGGCTAAAAGGAAGCAAACATTTTCTTTCAAATATAGAAACCTGTATCAGACAGAAGAGAAGAAATCAAAGAAAACCAAACATAAACAATACGTAATTTGCTGTCAATCTATCAAATATCCCATATTCTCTTTAAGCTCTATCCAAACATATTTAGTCTCTTTTTTATTAAATTCACATATAATAGATTACATTTTGAAAGGCTATGTTGTGATATTACATAACTTTAATTTTTAATTTTTCTTCAATTTTTTTTATTTTTTCCTAATTTGTACCTTATTATTTTTGCTATGTTGATTCCAAAACTAGAATCTATACTAATCACTAAATTTCTGCAAGACCCTAGAGCATAAGTCATATATACAATAGTTCCTAATCTAAAGGAATTATAATCTAGCCAACAAGACAAAGATCTAGTAAGGTAACGATATAAAGTAATGCATTGTCATTGTGAAATGGGAGGTGTCTTGTATATACACAAGCATATTTTTAAGAAAACAGTTTAGTAATTAAGAGTTAGAAAAAAATAGGAGACACAACTCTTAACTTCCAATTGGATTATAACCACTTTCACTTAAAGACCTCTGGAGAAGCCCCCTATCTCCAGTATTTAAGGAGTATAAGGCTAGCAGTAGTCAGACTGACAGGTTTTATGCTCCTAGCCATCCAATGAGGAGGCCCAACCACCAAGACTAAGACCACAGCAGCTGCAGGCATTATTCTTCAAAAAGCTATTCATCTCATCCAGAATCTTCACCCTACTCGAGGCTGCCCTGATGGATTCACGGAGCATATGTCATCAAAACACTTTTCCAAGCAGTCCTGGTTTTGCTATAAGAAACCCAAGCTTGCATTTAAATAGCCTTATTCTATGCTTCTTAAGAGGAACTGTACTCATCACATAAATACAGGCCCAGATTTGTGAGCTAACTCCTAGTATCCAATTCAGGAGGATTTCCCCAGACATATTTACCACCACAAAATACTGTAGGAATTAAGTAGTTAAAATTGAAACATACATCAGATCTCACTGTATTATGGGAGACATGATACAATTTGGGCAGCTTATTAATCTTTCTGTTCTGCCACTATTGTTAGAAGTATGGGTGGCAGATGCTGGAATGTTTGAGAGCTTTATTAGAATGTTTTCTTTAATTAAATCGAGTGGTCACCATATCACTTTCTGGATAGTCCAAGATTGTGACCAGACATAGAATTCAAGGGAGAAGAAAAATAATTCCTTTGTGCAGTAAGTTTGGCAATTGGGTATAATCTTGTGCCAGTGCACAGACTGCTTCTTTGAAAATAATTGATTAGATAATCCAACTGGGGCCCTTCTTTTTGCACCTTATGCCACTCTGATTTAGGAGTGCATAGATATAGTTATCAAAAATCTGGGTCTCATTTTATAAGCTAAGCCTTTTAAAAGTTGATGAGCAATAGCAAAATAAGAAAAACTATAAGACTGGGAGCCTTGTATTAAATAATAATACACGTACATGTGCATGTCTCCCCATGTAATTCATTCCATTTGAGATACATATCTCTAGTTTCTTTTCAAAGCTGAGTCATTCTTGTAAATATATCAAGACAGCAAAAAGAAATTGCCAGTTTTATATTGGCTAATCCCTCTAACAAACAAACCCAATATCACAGTGGCTTATCATAGTAATTGTTTAATTTTTTATTCATACAACTTCTACTGCAGGTGTTCCAGTGTGAGTGGCATCCTTTGACAACATCCACCATGAAATGATGCAGGGATTCAGGATACTTTTATGTATGGTTTTGCCACCTCCTAAAACCTGGGAGTCCTGCAGGGATGTGGATTCTTCCTCTAGATGTTTCCAGGAGAGGCCAGCCCTGGAAATGCACACATTATAATTGCCCACATTTCACTGGTCAGAACTCAGTTACATGGTCCCACTTAACCACAATGAGACTAGAAATGTAGTTTGGCTATGTGTCCAGGAAGAAAAGAAAGGATCTGGTGAGCACATAGTTTTGATTTTAGCACTAGTAATTTAATACTGTTTTATAACAAATGAAAATATTTTCAGTGCTATTTTTCTAAATAGGTGCTGTTTTTATCAGCTTCTTATGTGTTTATCTACTTGGTGTTCTTTCTAAAACTTAATTAAGCTTAAGAGAAGAATGGAGTTAGTTTATTAGTGCTATACCCATGAGCTTTAAAAGCAAAGGGAAACTACTTTGGAATGTAAAAGTGAGTCATAAAATATTATCTATTGGCCCCCAAAAAGTTGTTTGATATGAAAAAAATAATTTGTGTGAGGACTAGTTCTATGCATGTCTCCCCATGTCATTTCAGTATAAACATATTCTTGATATTGGAATGCTCCCCTGTAGGGTTAAATTTGCAACTCCTTTCTGGCCACTTTGTGTGTTAATTCAGATTTCTCCTATTTTTTAAATATGCTCACTTACTTTTGTTGCCTAATATAAACAAGTAAAAGCAATATAAAATATTATTTAATAATTTAAAAATACTTAGATTAAACATTTTCATAATAAACTGGCAACTCTGGTTACATATTATTTTAGACACTACATTTGACACAGTTTGGCTGTGTCCCACCCAAATCTCATCTTGAACTGTAGATCCCATAATTCCCACATGTTGTGGGAGGGACCCTGTGGGAGATAATTGAATCATGGGGGTGGTTTCCCCCATACTGTTCTTATGGTAGTGAATAAGTCTCATGAGATCTGATGGTTTTATAAGGGAAAACCCCTTTCACTTGGTTCTCATTCACTCTTGTCTGCCAACATGTAAGATGTGCATTTCACCTTCTGCCATGATTGTGAGACTTCCCCAGTCACATGGAACTGTGAGTTCATTAAACCTCTTCTTCTTTATAAATTACCTAGTCTCAGGTATGTCTTTATCAGCAGCATGAAAACAGACTAGTACAGTAAATTGGTACCAGTAGAGAGGGATGCTGCTGTAAAGACACCCAAAAATGTGGAAGTGACTTTGGAACTGGGTAACAGGCAGAGGTTGGAACAGTTTGGAGGGCTCAGAAGTCAGGAAAATGTAGGAAAGTTTGGAACTTCCTAGAGACCTGTTGAATGGCTTTGACCAAAATGCTGATAATGATATAGACAATGAAATCCAGGCTAAGGTGGTCTCAGATGGAGATGAGGAACTTGTTGAGAACTGGAGTAAAGGTGATACTTGCTGTGTCTTAGCAAAGAGACTGGTGGCATTTTGCCCCCACCCTAAAGATTTGTGGGACTACAAACTTGAGGGAGATGATTTAGGGTATCTGGTGGAAGAAATTTCTAAGCAGCAAAGCACTCAAGAGGTGACTTGGGCACTGTTAAAAGCACTCAGTTTTAAAAGGGAAACACAGCATAAAAATGCAGAAAATTTTCAGCCTGACAATGCAATAGAAAAGAAAAACTCATTTTCTGGTAAGAAATTCAAGCTGGCTGCTGAAATCGGCATAAGTAATGAGGAGCCAAATGTTCATCAACAAGACTATGGAGAACATGTCTCCAGGGCATGTCAGAGACCTTTGCGGTAGCCCCTCCCATAACAGGCCTGGAGGCCTAGGAGGAAAAAATGGTTTCATGGTCCAGGCCCAGGGACCCAGCACTGTGTGCTGCCTAGAAACATGGTGCCCTGTGTCCCAGACACTCTAGCCATGGCTAAAAGAGGCCAAGGTACAGCTTGGGCCATGGCTACAGAGGATGCAAGCCCCAGGCCTTAGCAGCTTCCATGTGGTCTTGAGCCTGCGGGTGTACAGAAGTCAAGAATTGAGGTTTGGGAACCTCCACCTAGATTTCAGAGGATGTGTGGAAACACCTGGATGTCCAGGCAGAAGGTTGCTGCAGGGGTGGGACCCTCATAGAGAACCTCTGCTAGGGAAGTGAAGATGGGAAATGTGGGGTAGAAGCCCTCAAACAGAGTCCCATTAGGGCACTGCCTAGTGAAGCTGTGAGAAGAGGGTTATCATGCTCCAGACCTCAGAATGGTAGATCCACTGAAAGCTTGCACCATGTGCCTGAGAAAGCTGCAGACTCAATGCCACCCCATGAAAGCAGCTGGGAGAGAGGCTGTACCCTGCAAAGCCATAGGGGCGGAGCTGCCCAAAACCATGGGAACCCACCTCTTGCATCAGCATGACCTAGATGCAAGACATGGAGTCAAAGGAGATCATTTTGAAACTTTAAGATACAGCTGCCCAGCTGGATTTTGGACTTGTATGGGCCTGTAGTCCCTTCATTTTGGCCAATTTCTCCCATTTGGAATGGTTGTATTCATCCAATGCCTGTACCCCCATTGTATCTAGGAAGTAACTAACTTGCTTTTGATTTTGTAGGCTTATAGGTGGAAGGGACTTGCTTCTCTCGACTGTAGACTTTTGAGTTAATGCTGAAATGAGTTAAGAATCTGAGGTACTGTTGGGAAGGCATGATTGGTTTTGAAATGTGAGGATGTGAGAATTGGGAGCAGCCAGTGGCAGAATGATATGGTTTGGCTGTGTCCCCAACCAAGTCTCATTTTGAATTATAGCTCCCATAATTCCCACATGTTGTGGAAAAGACCTGGTGGGACATAATTGAATCATGGGGGCAGTTTGCCCCATACTGTTCTTGTGGTAGTGAATAAGTCTACCACAGATCTGATGGCTTTATAAGAGGAAATCCCTTTAGCTTAGTTCTCATTATCTTTTATCTGCCACCATGTAAGACGTGCTTTCACCTTCTACCATGATTGTGAGGCCTCCCCAGCCACATGGAGCTGTGAGCCCATTAAACCTTTTTTTCTCATAAATTACCCAGTCTTGGGAATGTATTTATCAGCAGCATGAAAATGGACTAATACCGCACTTATCTCACTTGGATTCAAGAGGGAGATCATTTTTCTGATGACTGCTTTTGAGATGAGAATGTTTGTGTGTATGTGAAAGCCAGACCAAAGACATTCCCTGGAGAAATTACGTTTTTTTTACCCTGTTTCTCTTCTTTTTAATTTCTTTTTGAGAACTCCTAAATGGTAGAACTTATGCAAGCATAAGTGAAAATGTGACTATTATTTTCTGTATTATTAATTTTCCTTCCTAATTTTCCTACCAAGTGCCAGCATCTTTTGTTTACAAGGTGCTTTGTGTGGCATCAATTTTGATAGTCATCTTCAACAGCTACATATGCTCATACCCAAAAACCTGCTTCCAAGTCACATATTTAAAGAGAAGTACAAAAATATTTTCTGGAATTAAAACTGTCTTGTATCCAGTGAATCCTGGTCAAAACAAACAAACAAAAAATGCAAAGATCACAAACAGATCGTATCAAAGAATGAAGAGAAGAGACGTTATATACCTGTCTATTTAATATAATAGCTATCTTAGGCTATATATTGTCAGCCACTGGCTATTAAATCATCAAAAAAAGTGCTCTTATTTACAGTACAGGTGTAAAAAAAAAATCTGGATTTAAACCCAAAAGGTGTCAAAAAGCTTTGCCAAGCAAGAAAGTATTCAGCTGGTTAAAATGAGAAGTTCTAGGCTGCTCTGATGAAATGCCCCAGGAAGCTTTGTGTAGAGTGTTTAAAAAGCAAACAGTTTTCCTAATTTTCAGAGCAATGCTATTTGGACTTAAAAGGCACTCTTCCTTGTGGAAAACACACATAAGATATACAAACCTGTTCTGACCACCAATCTGGCAGGACACAACTATGCATTCTGGGAAAGCTTTCATGGATACGTAGGGGGAAAGGGAATTTCCTTCCACCCATTTGAATGTTTAATAAATTGACTCCATAAAATCAACCAACAATAGACAGAGTAACAGGAGAAAAGGTATACAAGTTTATTACATATGCATGTGTAGAGTAACTACACAAAATATGAGACTCAAAGAAGGGCCAGATGACTAAGTTGTATACCATACAGAGTAGAATAAGGACTTAGGGCTCCTGGGGAGCCTGGGGATGGGTTGTGGGAGGGTGGGGGGAGGAAACACATGGAGAGCAAAGGCTGTCTTGTTATGCAGATGAAGTCTCACAGGTAGCAGTCCTCAGAGTGAATAGAAGGCAGCTTGTGGTTAACAGTTTCTCTGTCAGAACTTCAAAATGTCAGACTTAAGTCTCCTTTTTCTGTGAGTTCATCTTTCCTAGATCTGGATAAGGTGACCTCAGAGAAAGCCTCTGTTTGTATCTCCTGTTTGCTTTACTAATGTAGATAAACATACATTTTTTCTTTTAACAAAGCAATAGCTTTTCAAATCTATTCAGCTTCTCTGAATAAACAACTTGAAATATACCAAAAAAGTATATTTTGGAGAGGCATATTTTGGATTCCAACAAATACAATAGCAAGGACGTATTTTCTGACCTAGAACTTGTTTTTGTCCTTCTTAGGTCTACCATTCAGAGTGTTGGGGCTCAGAAAACAATATCCCAAAATGAAGGCCTCTGCAATACCTTCAGAAGCAAAAGGTTTTTCTCTGACCTCTTCCTGCCCTCCTTTCTCTCCATCCCATTCTTCCCCAAGGCTAGCCATAGAAATGAGAAACACTCTTCTCCAAGGCAGGTCATAGAAACCTGAACTCCTTTTCTCCAAAGACAGCTATAAAACTAACAATATTAATCTAACCTTCCCTTAGCCCTATCCATGTAAAAATGGCCAGAAAGAAATTCTCTGACCTACCTTGTTTGATGATAGGTTATAAGACTCCCATTCTGGAAAGGTTCCTGCCCCATACCCAGAGGGAAGGAATGCTGCTCAGAGAAGCCAAGAGGAATCTAGATGGACACGCCTTGCTGGGTTCCCCCACGCAGACTATTAGCATTAGATCACACACTTTTTGTCCAATCATATTTCTACATGGCTGTCCATACTTGGTTGAACCAAAGCAAAAAATAGACCATTTCCCCTGTGTCTTTGGGTCTTCATTCTGAGGGCTCCTGGGTACACATGTTAAATAAATTTGTATGCCTTTTCTTCTATTAATCTGCCTTTTGTGAATTTATTTTTCAGCAAACCTTCAGAGGGCCAGGAGGAAAGCTCTCCTGTAGCCCTTGCAAAGGGAAAAATGGTGATAAGGAGTAAATTTTACTGAATACTCCTGTTTTATTTTGTTTGGCACCTATCAGATGATTTGCAGGGGGCAAGTAGAGTTTTCATGATAATAGTATGATTTCTCTCCAGAGTTCTTGAAAGTCACTCTTTCCAGCCTAATATGCTGCCTTCACCATCTCAAAATGAATAAAAGAAATGAAACAAAACAAATCAAAACAAAACAAAACGCAAACATCATGCACAAAGCTCTGAGCTCCAGCTCCTTTAAAGACCCTACAGGTTTGTACACACAGCAGCAGACCTTTGGAAATCACTTCACGGACTTACTCCAATTAGCTTAAACATGTGAATCAGGACCGTCTTTTTCTCTTTCCTTGAATGTTGCCTTCACTAATAATATCTACATTATCAGTCAAAGGGAGTTATTCATTACATATTTTTTAGACATGTCTTTCATCTCTCATCACTATTCACGGTCTCTTTTTGACATGCTGATTCTACGCCCTTTTTTCTGGTTCTTTGGTCTTTCTAAAAACATTTTTTTCTCCATTATTTCTTATAAAGAGATCTGGATTTCACCTGATGTTAGAACAGCTTCTGCTACTCAAACATTTGAATGAACCTAACTCTAACATGAAAAGCTGTATTGAGAATAAGATGGGATTCATGAAGAAATCTATGGAGATAGGGGAGGCAGCATATTTTTATATTTTCATCTACTTTATAGATGTTTTCTTGACATTTTTGTGAATAAAAATGAGAAGGATGAAATATAATACCTTCAAGATAAAACTGCACTGAGGTTAACAAGAGCTCATTCTTCTTTTGGCTTTGGCTATAATATTTGAAGTAAGCTGGAATTTTAACAGTGGTTTATCTCATACTGTTTCTATTGTGAGACCTCACCAGTGATTTTTCATTTACTAACTAGAAGAAGAATGTGGTCTTTTAAGTATTTATCAGACAGTAACTAGATAAGAAGTTGATATTATTTTCTCAATAGGATTCATTCTACATTAGTTATTTTCTGCTTTAAATAATGCATTACATGAAAAGATAATTTGTTTTATTTAGACACTTGCAATTTTGATTACACACACACACACACACACACACAGACAATATAATATGCAATGACATAGTTACTTGACGTTTCTGAGAAACTAAGGTACAAATATATAAAATTCCAGACCAGTTCACAAACTTGCCAAAGTACAAGTCTTATAAATCCAAGAGGAAGATTTTTTGAGAGGATTTATTAGAAAAAAGGTATTTTCCTCCTGCAACTTAAATCGAGAGAAAACAGCTTCAGCTGGACCTTGCAGGAAGATTTTCTGTGATCCTTACAGCTATGAGACAGGGTGATCCCCACCTGGCCCTGAATGGAAACTCCAGATACAAAGAACTAGGCGAACCCAGGTGTAGGCAACAGAGCAGAGCCTGGACTCGGCTGCCCTTGGTTAGGCTGGGACAAAGAACACATTTCCTTGTGGACTGTCTTAAGTCCCTTCCAAAACACATCTGGAAAAGAGATGTAATCTCAACAGAAGCTGGAGGTGGACTTCAAGATTCCCAGGATCTTCACGTAAATGAGTCCAGCCAGAAGAACCACTCACTGAAATCAGGAGATTGCATACCAGAGATCAGAGGTCCTCAAAGAACACATGAGGGAGTCCATGACCTCCTTCAAACTCTGCTGGCTCTGAGGGCACAAAACCAGACACAACAGTTCTAGATAAAGCCAAGACAAGGCAGAGATGCTCCCTATGGACTTCTGCCCCCCATCCCCTGGAAGAGCTGCAAACAGCAGCCAGGCAGGAGAGAAGGAAATGAGAAAGAAAGACGGGCAAAACCAATACTCCTGCCTCAAGGCAGTTTCCCCTAAAGAATGAGAGAGAGTAATCTTACCCTTAAATGGAGTTGTAAGCTTAATTATTATATAAAATACATAATAATATATGCCCTACATATATATAGATCTTACATGTGATGTACGATTATATAAGACAACGAAGTAGATATTGCGACAATGTGACAATATTATTAACGATATTACCTTAGGAAGGAAAAGAAAAGTCACAGACTAGCGATTGAAGGAGAAGTTCTCTTACCTGATTTTTTTTTATCTAACATATTACATAAATGTAATATTTATGGGATACGGTGTAATATTTCAATACAATATGAAATGATGAAATCAGGGTAATTACCACATCCATCACCTCAAACATTTATCATTTCTTTGTGTTAAAAACCATTCGAAATCTTCTCTTCCAGCTATTTGAACATATACAATAAATTATTGTAACTGTAGTTACCCTACAGTGCTACACAACCAATCTATTTCCATCTTTTCCTCCCCCTACCCTCTCCCACCTCTGGTATCTAGTATTCTACTTTCTACTTCTGTGATCAAATTTTATTAGGTTCCACATATGACTGAGAACATGTGGTATTTATCTTTCTGTGTCTGATTTATTTCACTTAACATAACATCCTGTAGGCTTACTCATGTTGCCACAAATGACAGGATTTCATTTTTTAATAGCTGAAAAGTATTCCATTGTGTATATATACCACATTTTCTTTATTCATCCATTGACAGAATAGGCTGATTACATATCTTAGTTATTGTGAATAGTGCTGCAATAAACATAGGACTACAAATATTTCTTTGACATACTGATTTCCTTTTCTGTGGATTTGTATCCAGTAGTGGGATTGCTGAATCATATGATAGTTCTACTTTTGATTTTTTGAGGAAACACCATACTGTTTTCCACAACGGTTGTACTAATTTATGTCTCCACCAACACTGTATAAGAGTTCCTTTTTCTTTGCATCATTGCCAGCATTTGTTATTTTTTATCATTTTGATAATAGCCCTTCTTACTAGGGTGACATGATATCTCACTGTGGTTTTGATTTGCATTTTCTTGGTGGTCAGTGATGTTCAGCATTTTTTAATATATTTGTCGGCCATTGTGTCTTCTTTTGAAAACTGTCTATTCAGAGCATCTGCACATCTTTTGACTAGATTATTTCTTTTTTTTTCACTTTTGTTGAGTTGCTTGAGGTCCTTGTGTATTCTCAGTATTAATCGCTTGTCAGATAAATAGTTTGAAAATATTTTCTCCCTTTTGTGAGGTGTCTCTTTACTCTGTTGATTTTTTTTCTTTCTTTTGCATTGCTATACAGAAGCTTTTTAGTTTGGTGTAATCCCATTTGTGTATTTTTGCTTTGGTTGCCTAAGCTTCTGAGGTCTTATTCATAAAATCTTTGCCCAGAATAATGTCCTGAAGTGTTTCTCATATGTATTCTTCTAGTTGTTTAATAGTTTTAGACTTACATTTAAGTCTTTAACCCATTTTGAGTTGATTTTTGTACATGGCTAGAGATATGAATTTAGTTTCATTCTTCTGCATAGGAATATCAATTTTCCTAGTGCTACTTATTGAAGAGGTTTGTCTTCTTCCCAGTTTATGTTCTGGGCATCTTTATCAAAAATCAGTTAGCTGTAAATACAGTAAGTCCTCACAATGTTGTCAATGGGGTCTCAAAAACTGTGACTTTAAGTGAAACAACATACTGCAGGTCCTTGGATAATGTTGTTTGATTCAATGTCATTTTGTTATAACATTGATGAGAAAAAAATGATTTTCTTACACATCATTTTTCTTACAGTCACAGTTTCCAAGAATGAATTATCAATGTTAAGTGAGGACTTATTGTACACAGATTTATTTATGGGTTCTCTATTCTGTTCCATTGGTTTATCTGTCAGTCTTTATGAAAGTATCATACTGTTTTAGTTACTATAGCTTTGTAGTATAATTTAAAGTTAAGTAATGTGATTCCTCCAGTTTTTTTTTTTTGGAGGTGGGTTGTTTTTGGCTATTTGGGGCCTTCTGTGGTTCCGCACAAATTTTAGGATTTTTTTCTATACCTGTAAAGAATGTCATTGGTATTTTGGCAGGATTGTATTGAATCTACAGATTGTGGGGGGTAGTACGGTAATTTTAACAATATTTATTCTTCTAATTCATGAACACAGGATGTCTTTCCATATTTGTGTGGGTCTACACAATTTCTTTTATCAATATTTTAATAGTTTTCATTATAGGGATTTTTTACCTCCTTTGTTGAATTTATTCCTAGGTGTCTTTTGTAGCTATTGTAAATTGGATTGTTTTCTTTATTTCTTTTTCAAATAGTACAGTATTAGCATATAGAAACACTATTTTTTTTTTTAACTTTTAAATTCAGAGGTACATGTGTAGGTTTGTGATACAGGTAAATTTGTGTCACGGAGATTTTTGTACAGATTATTTCATCACCCAGGTATTAGGCCTAGTACCTGTTAGTTATTTTTTCTGATCCTCTTCCTCCTCCCACCCCTCCACAGTCCAGTAGGCTCCAGTGTCTGTTGTTCCCTTCTGTGTATCCATGTGTTCTCATCTTTTAGCTCCTGCTTATAAATGAGAGCATGTGGTATTTGGTTTTCTGTTCTTGCATTAGTTTACTAGGGAAAATGGCCTCCAGCTCCACTCATGTTCCTGCAAAGGACATGATCTTGTTCTTTTTTATGGCTGCATAGTATTCCATGGTGTATATGTACCACATTTTCTTTATCCAGTCTACTACTGATGGGCATTTAGCTTGATTCCATGTCTTTGCTATTGTGAACAGTACTGCAGTGAACATACATGTGCATGTGTCTTTGTGACAAAACAATTTATATTCCTTTGGGTACATACCCAGTAATGAGATGACTGGTTCAAATGGTATTTCTGTCTTTAGGTCTTTGAGGAATTGCCACAGTGTTTCCCACAATGGTTGAACTAATTTACATGCCCAAGTGTGGGAGTGTAAATTTCTCCAAAACCTCACCAGCTTCTGTTATTTTTTTGACTTTTTAGTAATAGCCATTCTGACTGGTGTGAGATGGTATCTCATTGTAATTTTGATTTGCATTTCTCTAATGATAAGTAATGTTGAGCTTTTGTTCAGCTGCCTGTTGGCCACATATACGTCTTCTTTTGAAAAGTGTCCATTCATGTCTTTTCCCAACTTTTTAATGGGGTTATTTGTATTTTCTTTTAAAATTGTTCAAGTTCCTTACAGATGCTGAATATTAGAACTTTGTCATATGCATAGTTTTCAAAAATTCTCTCCTGTTCTGTAGGATGTCTGTTTACTCTGTTGATAGTTTCTTTTGCTGTGCAGAAGTGCTTTAGTTTAGTTAGATCCCATGTGTCAAGTTTTGCTTTTGTTGCAATTGCTTTTGGCATTTTTGTCAGGAAATCTCTGCTCAGTCCTATGTTCAGAATTTTATTGGCTAGGTTGTCCTCTTGAGTTTTCATAGTTTTGGGTTTTACATTTAAGTTTGTAATCCATCTTGAGTTATTTTTTGTATATGGTGTAAGGAAGGTTCAGTTTTAATCATCTGCATATGGCTAGCTAGTTGTGCCAGCACCATTTATTCTACAGAAACTTATTTCTCTATTGCTTGGTTTTGTCAGCTTTGTGGAAGATCAGATAGTTGTAGATTTGTGGTCTTATTTCTGGGCTCTTTATTCCGTTCCATTGGTTTATGTGTCTGTTTTTGTACCAGTACCATGCTGTTTTGATTACTATAGTTTTGTAGTATAGATTGAAGTTGGGTAGCATGATATCTCCAGCTTTGTTCTTTTCGATTAGGATTATCATGGCTATTCAGGCTCTTCTTTGGCTCCATATGAATTTTAAAATAGTTTTTTCTAGTTTTGTGAAGAATGTCATTGGTAATTTTACAGGAATAACATCGAACCTATTAATTGCTTTGGGCAGTATGACCATTTTAATGATATTGATTTTTCCTATCTAGGAGCATGGAATGCTTTTCCATTTGTTTGTGTCCTCTCTGATTTCTTTGAGCAGTATTTTGTAGTTCTCTTTGTAGAGAACTTTTAAACCCCTATTTAGCTGCATTCCTAGGTAATTTATTCTTTTTTGTGGCAATTGTGAATGGGACTGCATTTCTGATTTGGCCCTCAGCTTGACTGTTGTTGGTGTATGGTAATGCTAGTGATTTTTTTATGTTGATTTTTTTTATCCTGAGACTTTGCTGAAGTTGTTTATCAGCTTAAGGAGCTTTTGGGCTGAGACTATAGGGTTTTCCAGATAGGATTATGTAATCTGCAAACAGGGATAATTTGACTTCCTCTCTTCCAATTCAAACACCTTTTGTTTCTTTCTCTTGCCTGATTGCTCTGGCCAGGACTTCCAATACTATGTTGAATACTAGTGAGAGAGTGCATCCTTGTCTTGTGATAGTTTGCAAGGGGAATGCTTCCAGCTTTTGCCCAGTCAGTATGATGGTTTGCTGTGGGTTTGTCATAGATGGCTCTTATTATTTTAACGTACATTCTTTCAATAACTAGTTTATTGAGAGTTTTTAACATGAAAGGGTATGAAATTTTATCAAAGCCTTTTCTGCATCTATTGAGATAATCATACGGTTTTTGTCTTTAGTTTGGTTAATGTGATGAATCACATTTATTGATTTGCATATGTTGAATCAGCACTGCATCCCAGGAATAAAGTCTACTTGATCATGGTGAATAAGATTTTGATGTGCTGCTAATTTCAATTTGCCAGTATTTTGTTGATAATTTTTGAATCAATGTTCATCAAGGGTATTAACCTAAAGTTTTCTTTTTTTATTGTGTCTCTGCCAGGTTTTGATATCAGGAGGATGCTGGCCTCACAGAATGAGTTAAGAAGGAGTCCCTCCTCCTCAATTTTTTGGAGTAGTTTCAGTGGGAATGCTACCAGCTCTTCTTTGTATATCTGGTAGAATTCAACTGTGAATCCATCTGTTCCTCAGCTTTTTTTGATTGGTAGGCTATTTATTACGGATTGAATTTCAGAGCTCTTTAATGGTCCATTCAGGGATTCAATTTCTTCCTGGATCAATCCAGGAATTTATCTACCTATATTTAAGGAACACTAATTCTATTCAATTATTCCAAAAAATCAAGGATAAAGAAATACTTCCAAACTTATTCTACAAGGCTAATGTTATCTTGCTATCAAAACCAGGCAAAGGCACACCAAAAAAAAAAAAAGAAGAAGAAGAAGAAAGAAAACTACAGGCCAATGTATCTGATGAATACAGATGCAAAAATCCTCAACAAAAACAAAAAAATAGCAAACCAGATTCAACTATACACCAAAAAGATCGTTCATCATGGTCAAGATGCAATCATTAAAAAGTCAGGAAACAACAGGTGCTGGAGAGGATGTGGAGAAATACGAACACTTTTACACTGTTGGTGGGACTGTAAACTAGTTCAACCATTGTGGAAGTCAGTGTGGCGATTCCTCAGGGATCTAGAACTAGAAATACCATTTGACCCAGCCATCCCATTACTGGGTATATACCCAAAGGACTATAAATCACGCTGCTATAAAGACACATGCACACGTATGTTTATTGCAGCATTATTCACAATAGCAAAGACTTGGAACCAACCCAAATGTCCAACAATGATAGACTGGATTAAGAAAATGTGGCACATATACACCATGGAATACTATGCAGCCATAAAAAATGATGAGTTCATGTCCTTTGTAGGGACATGGATGAAATTGGAAATCATCATTCTCAGTAAACTATCGCAAGAAGAAAAAACCAAACACTGCATATTCTCACTCATAGGTGGGAATTGAACAATGAGATCATATGGACACAGGAAGGGGAACATCACACTCTGGGGACTGTTGTGGGGTTGGGGGAGGGGGGAGGGATAGCACTGGGAGATATACCTAATGCTAGATGACAAGTTAGTGGGTGCAGCACACCAGCATGGCACATGTATATGTATGTAACTAACCTGCACAATGTGCACATGTACCCTAAAACTTAAAGTATAATAAAAAAATAAATTAAAAATAAAATAAAATAAAATAAAAACAACAACAAAAAAGATGCAAGGATGGTTCAACATATGCAAATCCATAAATGTAATACATCATATCACAAAATGAAGGACAAAAATCATATCATAACTTCAACTGATGCTGAAAAAATATTCCATAAAATTTAACATGTCTTCATGATAAAAACTCTCTAAAAAATTGTATAGAAGGAATACTCCTCAACACAATAAAAACCATGCATAATAAACCCACAGCTAGTATCATACCAAACAGGGAAAACCTGAAGCCTTTTCTCTATGATCTGGAAGAATAAAAGGATGCTCACTTTCACCACTTTTCTTCAACTGGCCAGAGCAACTAGACAAGAGAAAGAAATAAAGAGCATCCAGATTAGAAAGGAAGACGCCAAATTATCCTTGTTTGGAGATGATATGGTCTTATATTTTAAAAAACCTAAAGACTCCACTAAGAGACTTTTAAAACTTATAAACAAATTCAGTAAAGTTGCAGGATACAGAATCAATATACAAAAATCAGTAGCATTTTATACATCAACAGCAAACAATTTGAAGAAAAGAAACTAATTCCATTTACAATAGCTACAAATAAAATAAAATATATAGGAATAGACTTAACTAAAGAAATGAAAGATTTCTAAAATGATCTCTAAAATAAAACATTACAGAAAGCAATTGAAGCAATGACAGAAGAATGGAAAGATAGTCCATGTTTATGAATGGAAAGAATCAGTATTGTTAAAATGACCATACTGCCCAAAACAATCTACAGATTCAGTGCAATCCCTATCAAAATACCCATGACATTCCTCACAAAAACAGAAAAAATAATTGTAAAATTTATATAAAACCAGAAAGAAAAACCAGAATAACCAATGCCATGCTGAACATTTTGAAGAAAACTGGAGAAATCACATTATTTGACTCGAAATTATACTACAGAGCTATCGTAACCAAAACAGCATGATACTGGCATAAAAACAGACAAATAGACCAACTGGACAGAATAGAGAACCCAGAAATAAATCCACACATTTATAGTCAACATATTTTGATGAAGGTGCCAACAACATACAGTAAGAAAAGGACAGTCTCTTCAATAAATGGTACTGGCTGTGGAAACTAGATATCCATATCCAGAAGAATGAAACTAGCTTCCTTTCTCTTATCATATACAAAAATCAAATCAAAATGGATTAAAGACTTAAATCTATGACCTCAATCTATGAAACTACTAGAAAAAAACTTAAACACTCTAGTTACATTGGTCTTGGCAATGATTTTTTGAGTAAGATCTCAAAAACACATGCAACCAAAGCAAAAATGGACAAATGGGATAATATCAAACTAAAAAGTTTCTGTGCAACAAAGAAAAAAAAATCAACAGAGTGAAGAGGCAACCCACAGAATGGAAGAAAATATTTGCAAACTACTCATCTCACAGGATATTAATAACCAGAATATATAAGGAGCTCAAACAACTCAATACAAAATTTTAAAAGCAAATACACAAATAATCCAATTAAAAAGGGACAAGTGAGCTGAATAGACCTTTTTCAAAAGAAGACATACAAATGGCCAACAGGTATAAGTAAAACAGATGAACATCACTAATCTTCAGAGAAATGCAAATTAAAACTATGATGAGATACCTTCTCACCTCAGTTAAAATAGTTTTTATCCAAAAGACAGACAATAATGAGTACTAGCTAGGATGTGAAGAAAGGAAACTTGTTCTTTGTTTGTAGGAATACAAATTAGTAAAGCCTCTACGGAGAACAGTATAAAGGTTCCTCAAAAAACAAAAAATATACTATACTACTATATGACCCAGCAATCCCCTTGCTGAGTATATATTCAAATGAAAGGAAATAAGTTTATTGAAGAGATATCTGCATTCCCACATTTATTGCAGCACTATTCTTAATAGCAAAGACGTGGGATCAATCTATGTGTTTATCAATGAATAAATTGATTTAAAAGTGTGACACACAAACACATATACAGCTGAATATCATTCAGCTATAAAAAGAATAAAATCCTGTCATTTGCAACATCATGGATGGAACTGGAGGCCATTATGTTGACTGAAATAAGCCAGAGACAGAAAGGCAAATATCTTTGTCTTTCTCACTCACATGTGGGAGCTTTCATTTAAAAAGAACTCTTGGAGATAGAGAGTGGAATGATGGTTGCCAGAGTGTGGAAATGGCAGCAGGGTGGGGAGTGGGGGAGGTGGGATAAAGTGGGGATGGTTAATGGGTAAAAAGTACAGTTAGATAGAAGGAATTGGTAGCACAATAATGTGACTATAGTTAACAATAATTTATTACATATTTTAAAATAAGTAGAACAGTGAAATTGGGATGTTCCAAACACAAAGAAATAATAAAGGCTTGAGGTGATAATGGATGCTCCAATTACCCTGACTGGATGCTCCAATTACCTTGATTATTACACATTGTATGCTTGTATCAAAACATCACATGTTCCTCTTAAATATATGCAACCATTATGTACCATAATAAATAATTTTTTTTTTGAGACGGAGTTTCACTCTTGTTGCCCAGGCTGGAGTGCAATGGCATGATCTCAGCTCACCGCAACCTCTACCTCCCGGGTTCAAGCGATTCTCCTGCCTCAGCCTCCTGAGTAGCTGGGATTACAGGCATGTGCCACCACGCCCCGCTAATTTTATATTTTTAGTAGAGACGGGGTTTCTCCATGTTGGTCAGGCTGGTCTGGAACTCACGACCTCAGGTGATTCGCCTGCCTCGGCCTCCCAAAGTTCTGGGATTACAGGCGTGAGCCACCGCCCCCAGCCAATAAATAAAAATTATTTAAGAAAAAAAGTAAAACTTTTAAAGACAAAAAGTGACGTAAAAATGACATTCTTATAGTCATAAATTGGTAAACACCCTGCTCTCCACACAATATATATAGTCTTTGGCCTTAGAAAATGTGTTTCAAAAATGACTCTGATATCTTAATAAGGCTTAGGGTTTATCATTATTTTACATTTATTTACAATTTGTTATTCTTTATATGAAAGAATATAGGCCACTAATGATATCTCTTGTTTTCTCTATCTGAATTGAAATGGTAAAATCTAGATGATCCCAGGTATGTTCAGGAAATGCTTTACCACCAGGGCCTCATGAAATTTAATAACATATTTAGTCATCATTCAAATATTGAATGAACTATTCAAATTTATCAAAAGTTTACCTTAAAGCTACAGCTCTGATAACAGCCCTAGTGAGGAAAAAATTTACCAAGCTTTTATATCATGTTTTATAATTATTTTCTACATTTTTGTTTTTCTCTGAACTACTCCAGAAAACATTTCTTAATTAAATTCTTCTTTAAAATTTATTCTATCAGGAAACAAATCATCACTTTAATTTTTCCAACAACTTTTAGCTTTGGGTTGAGCTACAGCTACCCAAATATTTCTTGGAGTTAGGGGGATATGTCACTAGCCTATTTCAACAGAATAAACTGAAAACTTATATAATTTTTAAAAATATTATTATTCCAAAAGCAGTACTACAAAACAGTATTTTCCCATAGAGCATTTAAAAAATAAAAAAGGATAAAATCTCCCTACCCACATCCTACAGTTTAAAGACTCTTCCTAGTTAATCGAGTTGAGTCACTGTCACACTGGTTCTGTGGTTCAAAGTTTCTGGAACACTCCTGACTCATAGGCCCAATATAGCCACACTTCATCAACAGATACCATTTTCTGTGCTCTTGTTGCCTGCATCTGAAACAAACCACAGTAGCTTCCCCAGCCACCTCCTTCATGCAGAAGAAGAGAAAGAACTGACGACGCCCCTTGAGTGCCTTCTCCTGCAGGCCCTTGACTGTTGAGGATACCCAGTTGTTTCAGCTTCAGCAGACACCCTCCTTTACCCCTTCCTGATGGTTATTCTGCCCCAGATATTTTAGAAGAAGAACAAAATTATTAAGCCTGACCATTAGTTAAAAAGGTAATGCTAAAATAACTAATTCCCTAGAATGAAAACTGTATAGGCAGGGAAATAAAGAGATGTTGGTCAAAGGGTGCAAAATGCAGGTAAATGATGAATATATTCTGGGGATCTAATACACAGCATGACTGTAGTTAACAATACTGTATTGTATACTTGAAATTTGCTAAGACAGTAGATCTGGAATGTTCACACCACACACACAAATAACTACATGAGATGATTGATGTGTTAACTAACCTGATTGCGTTAATCGTTCCTATATATATAATATATATATTATATGCATATCAAAAACTCATGTTGCACACCTTAAATATACACAATTTTGTCAACTATACCTCGATAAAGCTAGGGGACAGGGAAAAAGCAAAGTTCCTTCACTTAAGAAACAAAAAGAAATCTGTATCATCCTCTTGATAAAAAAATTTTCCCTTTTCAGTAGACTGAGAAAACACTTTTCAAATTTTTGACCAACTACTCTTATAATAAAATATATTTTATTTCATAACCATAGGCGTGGCCTAATTCCTAAAACACGTTGACATATATGTAGAGAAAAAAAAGTTTCACAGTACAATCGTAAAGCTTGGTTATTAGTCAGTTTTGCTGTAATAATCCTGCATAACAAGCAGCCTCAAATCTTAATGCTTACAGTAACAATGAATTCTTTCTCAAATATGATTGTGTTATCAACTGTGACTCTGCTGGGATTGGATAGAATCTACTGAGTCAGGCTCCAGACTGAGAGTTGCAATCAGGTTTATTTAACTGATTTTCTCATTCTCAGACCAGGGTCTTCTCTTGTGGAAGTACATGGGTATCCAAGAGCATATGTGGTGACAAAAGATGCTCTTAAATCTTCTGCTAAAAACTACATACTAGTACTTCTTTCTATATATTGTTAGTCACAGCAAAGTATATAGCCAAGCTCAAAGTCAAAAGACAAGTCAACAGGAGAGTGGGAAAAGAAGAAAGAATTATGTAAAAATACCCTCCACCACAACTTACCATCTGTGATTTGTATTTTTCTCTATATTTTCTCTCATTTAAAAAATTGATATTCACAACCACCCAAACTAATTCTACAACCTATAAATAAGTCATGGTCATACCTTACAAAACACTGGACTAGAGCATCTTTGAAATATGAAACCAAATTATAAACAATTAATGGAAATTGTGTGAGTAAAGTCCCAGTCTGGGAAGTTCCAAGACCTGAATCCACCATTAACTAATTATGAAGCTATAAGTAAAGTATTTTTCGACTAAGACTTCAGATTGCTTTAAAATAAATTGTATCAATAGTGTTTTAATGAAATGCTATTATTTTTTCATTATTTATGGAAATAAATGTTTATCACTCTATTATTATTATTGTTATTATTATTATTATTGACACAGACTCTTGCTCTGTCGCCCAGGCTGAAGGGCAGTGGCGCGATCTCGGCTCACTGCAAGCTCTGCCTCCCGGGTTCACGCCATTCTCCTGCCTCAGCCTCCCTAGTAGCTGGGACTACAGGCGCCCGCCACCACGCCCGGCTAATTTTTTTGTATTTTTAGTAGAGATGGAGTTTCACCGCGTTAGCCAGAATGGTCTTGATCTGACCTCGTAATCTGCCCGCCTCGGCCTCCTCAAGTGCTGGGATTACAGGTGTGAGCCACAACGCCAGGCCCATCACTCTATTATTATTTAACAAATATACAGAAGCTTGCACTGAAGTAAGGAGGACAATATCTATTGCAAAAATCAGGACTCCTTTAAATGGTGGAAGAAATTAGGACTTGTAAATTCACTGTGTTGTAAATTACTTTTCCAGTTTTCCATACGAATGAAGAGAGTATGTGATGGGGCCATGAGAATGAGATTCAATAAGGAAAACTAATGGTATTATTGGATTTCAATTAGTTACATAATCTGAATCTTGTGGTTAATGTATGCCTTTTTTGACAATCCATTTCTTTGTTAAATAGTATTTGCAATTATTAAGTTCCTTCATTTTAATTTCCTAAAAACATTAATCTGTAACAATTTATTAGTTTTATTGTTAGTAGGTGCATTGAGAATTTTAACATTTTTTCAACTTTGTTAAATTTTTTAAGTGGCAGGATAAAAAAATTAACAACTTTATTTAAACAGAAAGCATTCACCCTTTTTAACTGTACAACTTAATAATTTTTAATAAATCTATACAGTCATACCATTATAACAATCCAATTTTGGAACTTTTTCATCATCATAAAAAGTTGTCTTGTGTCTACTGCAAACAATTTCTGTTTTTAATATCAGCCCCAAAAAACTTTAGATCTGTTCTCTGTCTATATAAATTTGCCTTTCCTAATCTTTCTTATGACTATTACCATATACAATGTTGCCTTTTTCTCTGGTTTCTTTCCCTTAGCACAAAATTTTTGATAATAATCTGTATTGTTTTATGTATGAACAGTTTATTTCTTTTTATCACCAAGTAATTTTCCATTATACAGAAATATCAGTATGTTTCCATGAACAGATTGATGGACATCTGAATTGTTGTTGATCTTTGACTTTTATAAAAAATGTTATTATAAACTTTTGCTTACATGTCATTGGGTAGATACATGTTTTCATTTCTCTTGGGTATACCCTTGACATGAAATTCCTGAATCATATGGTAAATAATGTTTAACTGTCAACGTTTTTTCCAAAATTATAATATTATTATACTTTCCCTTCAGCAATATTATAGGAGGGTACCAGTTCCTCCACATCATTGTCAACATTTGTTATTGTCGGATTTTTAAATTGTAGATATGATGGTGGGTATGTAATGATATAGAATTTTGGTTTTCACTAATGTTTATAGATGTTGAGCATATTTTCATATTTTATTATCTATTCAAACATAATTATATTAGCTATTTATATTTTTTTGGTAAAATGTGCAGCTAATTTTTAATTTATTTGTCTTCTTGATAATGAGTTGCAGGAGCTTTTTTATATGTCTGTATAACAAGTCTTTTATGAGATAATTTTTGGAACCATTTTCCTGTAAGCCTCCTCACTTCTCATTTTGTTAATCGTGTCTTTTGGAGAAAAAATGTTTTAAATATTCAGAAGTCTAACTTATTATTTTTAATTGGCTATGCTTTTAGTGTCTTATGTGAAAAAGTATTTTCCTAACGTAAGGTTACAAATACATTTCCAATGTTTAATTTTCAAAGTTTTATAGCTTTAGCACTTATATATATAATAATGATACATTTTAATAAATGTTATGGTTTGAAGGGTATAAGTTCATATTTCTACAGATTTCCATTTTTTTCAGTAGCATTTGTTGAAAATAGCATGTTTTCTTCATTAAACTAGTCTTGATGCCTTTTAGCAGCCTATTGACCAGAAAATTAAGAGTTTATTTCTGGACTCCCTAAATTGTTCCATGATATAAATGTGTAAATATTCACAACTCATGCCGCAATGTCTCATTACTGTAGCAATATAGTACTTTTAGGAATCAGGTAGTTTAAGTCACTCAACTTTATTCATTTTCAAAAATATTTTGACTCTTCTAGGTCTTTTGCATTTCTATATAAATGTTACAATTGACTTGTGAATTTTTACAAAATTTCTTGAGATTTTGTGTTGAATCTATGTATCAATTTAGGGAGAAGTTTTATCTAAGTAATATTGTCTCTTTTAACACATGAACTTGCTATATCTCTCCACTTACATATTTTTTCTTTAATTTCTTTTACTAATATTTTTAGACTTGTCAATGTATAGCTTTTATATTACTTAAGTTAAAATGTATTTGTAAGTATTAAAGCTATTGTAAATGGAATTGTATTGTTACTATTTTCTGACTCTTTGATGTTAACATATAGAAATAGCATAGATGTTGTGTCTTGCAAATTGCTAAACTTATTTACTAGCTGTAGTAGTTTTTCTGTAGAATCCTCAGGGTTTTCTGTGCACAGAATCATGCAATCTGCAAGCAAAGACAGTTGAACTTCTTCCTTTCAAATCTGTATTCTTAGGCATTTAGTCTTTCAGCATTAAATGTGATGTTAGCTGTAGCTTTTTCATTGCTGCACTTAGCTAGTTTAAGGATGTTACCTCTGTTCCAAGTTTGTTAGGGATTGCTATCATAAACGTTTAATTTCTTCAGTTTTTTAATGTGTTAGTTGAGATAATCATGTGTGGTTTTTTTTTTACCTTTTACTCTACTATATGGTGCACTAAATTAATTGATTTTCAGATGTTAATCTAACCTTATTTTCTAGGGATTACTATCATTTAGTCATAAGATATCATCTTGTTTGATGTACTGATAGGCACTTTTTTTTTTTTTTTTGAGATGGAATGTCGCTCTGTCGCCCAGGCTGGAGTGCAGTGGCACGATCTTGGCTCACTGCAAGCTCCACCTCCCAGGTTCAAGCCATAATACTGCCTCAGCCTCCCAAATAGCTGGGACTACCGGCACCCGCCATCATGCCAGGTAATTTTTTGTATTTTTAGTAGAGGCGGGGTTTCACCGTGTTAGCCAGGATGGTCTCTATATCCTGACCTCGTGATCCACCCGCCTCGGCCTCCCAAAGTGCTGGGATTACAGGCGTTGATAGGCAATTTACTAAAAATTTGTTAAGGATTTTGCAATTAGTTAATGAGGAATATAGAACTGTTATTTTCTTTTCTTATGACGTCTTTGATGTGTTTTTGTTTCAGTATTATACTTGTTTTATCAGGGTTCAATGTTAAGTTTAAAAAGTTTTTTCCTCCTCTACTGTCTGAAAGAATTTATGTAGTACTTCATAAATGTGAGAGTACACAACTGAAGCCTCTGAGGCCTGGGCTTGTCTTTGTGGGAAGATTTTAATTATGTTTTTTTATTTTTATTTTTTTATTGTACTTTAATTTTTAGGGTACATGTGCACAACATGCAGGTTTGTTACATATGTATACATGTGCCATGTTGGTGTGCTGCACCCATTAACTCGTCATTTAGCATTAGGTATATCTCCTAATACTATCCCTCCCCCCTACCCCCACCCCGCAATAGGCCCCATTGTGTGATGTTCCCCTTCCTGTGTCCATGTGTTCTCATTGTTCAATTCCCACGTATGAGTGAGAACATGCAGTGTTTGGTTTTTTTTCCTTGCGATAGTTTGCTGAGAATGATGGTTTCCAGCTGCATCCATGTCCCTACAAAGGACATGAACTCATCCTTTTTCATGGCTGCATAGTATTCCATGGTGTATATGTGCCACATTTTCTTAATCCAGTCTATCATTGTTGGACATTTGGGTTGGTTCCAAGTCTTTGCTATTATGAATAGTGCCAAAAAGACATACGTGTGCATGTGTCTTTAGAAGCAGCATGATTAATAATCCTCTGGGTATATACCCAGTAATGGGATGGCTGGGTCAAATGGTATTTCTAGTTCTAGATCCCTGAGGAATCGCCACACTGACTTCCACAATGGGTGAACTAGTTTACAGTCCCACCAACAGTGTAAAAGTTCCTATTTCTCCACATCCTCTCCAGCACCTGTTGTTTCCTGACTTTTTAATGGTCGCCATTCTAAGTGGTGTGAGATGGTATCTCATTGTGGTTTTGATTTGCATTTCTCTGATGGCCAGTGATGACGAGCATTTTTTCATGTGTTATTTGGCTGCATAAACATCTTCTTTTGAGAAGCGTCTGTTCATATCCTTTGTCCACTTGTTGATGGGGTTTTTTTTTCTTGTAAATTTGTTTGAGTTCATTGTAGATTCTGGATGTTAGCCCTTTGTCAGATAAGTAGATTGCAAAAATTTTCTCTCATTCTGTAGGTTGCCTGTTCACTCTGATGGTAGTTTCTTTTGCTGTGCAGAAGCTCTTTAGTTTAATTAGATCCCATTTGTCAATTTTGGCTTTTGTTGCCATTGCTTTTGGTGTTTTAGACATGAAGTCCTTGCCCATGCCTATGTCCTGAACGGTATTGCCTAGGTTTTCTTCTAGGGTTTTTAAGGTTTTAGGTCTAACGTTTAAGTCCTTAATCCATCTTGAATTAATTTTTATGTAAGGTGTAAGGAAGGGATCCAGTTTCAGCTTTCTACATATGGCTAGCCAGTTTTCCCAGCATCATTTATTAAACAGGGAATCCTTTCCCCATTTCTTATTTTTGTCAGGTTTGTCAAAGATCAGATAGTTGTAGATATGCGGCATTATTTCTGAGGGCTCTGTTCTGTTCCATTGGTCTATATCTCTGTTTTGGTACCAGTATCATGCTGTTTTGGTTACTATAGCCTTGTAGTAGAGTTGAAGTCAGGTAGCGTGATGCCTCCAGCTTTGTTCTTTTGGCTTAGGATTGACTTGGCAATGTGGGCTCTTTTTTGGTTCCATATGAAGTTTAAAGTAGTCTTTTCCAATTCTGTGAAGAAAGTCATTGGTAGCTTGATGCGGATGGCATTGAATCTATAAATTACCTTGGGCAGTATGGCCATTTTCACAATATTGATTCTTCCTACCCATGAGCATGGAATGTTCTTCCATTTGTTTGTATCCTCTTTTATTTAATTGAGCAGTAGTTTGTAGTTCTCCTTGAAGCGGTCCTTCACATCCCTTGTAAGTTGGATTCCTAGGTATTTTATTTTCTTTGAAGCAATTATGAATGGGAGTTCACTCATGATTTCGCTCTCTGTCTGTTATTGGTGTATAAGAATGCTTGTGATTTTTGCACACCGATTTTGTATCCTGAGACTTTGCTGAAGTTGCCTATCAGCTTAAGGAGATTTTGGGCTGAGATGTTGGGGTTTTCTAGATATACAATCATGTCATCTGCAAACAGGGACAATTTGACTTCCTCTTTTCCTAATTGAATGCCCTTTATTTCCTTCTCCTGCCTGATTGCCCTGACCAGAACTTCCAACACTATGTTGAATAGGAGTGGTGAGAGAGGGCATCCCTGTCTTGTGCCAGTTTTCAAAGGGAATGCTTCCAGGTTTTACCCATTCAGTATGATATTGGCTGTGGGTTTGTCATAGATAGCTTTTATTATTTTGAGATACGTCCCATCAATACCTAATTTATTGAGTTTTTAGCATGAAGTGTTGTTGAATTTTGTCAAAGGCCTTTTCTGCATCTATTGAGATAATCATGTGGTTTTTGTCATTGGTTCTGTTTATATGATGGATTACATTTATTGATTTGCATATGTTGAACCAGCCTTGCATCCAAGGGATGAAGCCCACTTGATTATGGTGGATAAGCTTTTTGATGTGCTGCTGGATTCAGTTTGCCAGTATTTTATTGAGGAATTTTGCATCCATGTTCATCAGGGTTATTGGTCTAAAATTCTCTTTTTTTGTTGTGTCTCTGCCAGGCTTTGGTATCAGGATGATGCTGGCCTCATAAAATGAGTTAGGGAGGATTCCCTCTTTTTCTATTGATTGGAATAGTTTCAGAAGGAATGGTACCAGCTCCTCCTTGTACCTCTGGTAGAATTAGGCTGTGAATCCATCTGGTCCTGGACTTTTTTGGTTGGTAAGCTATTAATTATTGCCTCAATTTCAAATCCTGTTATTGGTCTGTTCAGAGATTCAACTTCTTCCTGTTTTAGTCCGGGGAGGGTGCAAGTGTCGAGGAATTTATCCATTTCTTCTAGATTTTCTAGTTTATTTGCATAGAGGTGTTTATAGTATTCTCTGATGGTAGTTTGTATTTCTGTGGGATCGGTGGTGATATCCCCTTTATCAATTTTAATTGTGTCTATTTGATTCTTCTCTCTTTTCTTCTTTATTAGTCTTGCTAGCAGTCTATCAATTTTGTTGATCTTTTCAAAAAACCAGCTCCTGGATTCACTGATTTTTTGAAGGGTTTTTTGTGTCTCTATTTCCTTCAGTTCTGCTCTGTTCTTAGTTATTTCTTGCCTTCTGCTAGCTTTTGAATATGTTTGCTCTTGCTTCTCTAGTTATTTTAATTGTGATGTTAGGGTGTCAATTTTAGATCTTTCCTGCTTTCTCTTGTGGGCATTTAGTGCTATAAATTTCCCTCTACATACTGCTTTGAATGCGTCCCAGAGATTCTGGTATGTTGTGTCTTTGTTCTTGTTGGTTTCAAAGAACATCTTTATTTCTGCCTTCATTTCGTTATGTACCCAGTAGTCATTCAGGAGCAGGTTGTTCAGTTTCCATGTAGTTGTGTGGTTTTGAGTGAGTTTCTTAATCCTGAGTTCTAGTTTGATTGCACTGTGGTCTGAGAGACAGTTTGTTATAATTTCTGTTCTTTTACATTTGCTGAGTAGTGCTTTACTTCCAACTATGTGGTCAATTTTGGAATAGGTGTGGTGTAGTACTGAAAAGAATGTATATTCTGTTGATTTGGGGTGGAGAGTTCCATAGATGTCTATTAGGTCCGCTTGGTGCAGAGCTGAGTTCAATTCCTGGATATCCTTGTTAACTTTCTGTGTCGTTGATCTGTCTAATGTTGACAGTGGCGTGTTAAAGTCTCCCATTATTATTGTGTGGGAGTCTAAGTCTCTTGGTAAGTCTCTAAGGACTTGCTTTATGAATCTGGGTGCTCCTGTATTGGGTGCACATATATTTAGGACAGTTAGCTCTTCTTGTTAAATTGACCCCTTTACCATTATGTAATCGCCTTGTCTCTTTTGATCTTTGTTGTTTTAAAGTCTGTTTTATCAGAGACTAGGATTGCAACCCCTGTCTTTGTTTGTTTTCCATTTGCTTGGTAGATCTTCCTCCATCCCTTTATTTTGAGTCTATGTGTGTCTCTGCATGTGAGATGGCTTTCCTTAATACAGCACACTGATGGGTCTTGACTCTTTATCCAATTTGCCAGTCTGTGTCTTTTAATTGGAGCATTTAGCCCATTTACATTTAAGGTTAATATTGTTATGTGTGAATTTGATCCTGTCATTATGATGTTAGCTGGTTATTTTGCTCGTTAGTTGATGCAGTTTCTTCCTAGCCTCGATGGTCTTTACAATTTGGCATGTTTTTGCAGTGGCAGGTACCGGTTGTTCCTTTCCATGTTTAGTGCTTCCTTCAGGAGCTCTTTTAGGGCAGGCCTGGTGGTGACAGAATCTCTCAGCATTTGCTTGTCTGTAAAGGATTTTATTTCTCCTTCACTTATGAAGCTTAGTTTGGCTGGATATGAAATTCTGGGTTGAAAATTCTTTTCTTTAAGAATGTTGAATATTGGCCCCAACTCTCTTCTGGCTTGTAGAGTTTCTACCTAGAGATCAGCTGTTAGTCTGATGGGCTTCCCCTTGTGGGTAACCCGACCTTTCTCTCTGGCTGCCCTTAACATTCTTTCCTTCATTTCAACTTTGATGAATCTGACAATTATGGGTCTTGGAGTTGCTCTTCTCGATGAGTATCTTTGTGGCGTTCTCTGTATTTCCTGAATTTGAATGCTGGCATGCCTTGGTAGATTGGGGATGTTCTCCTGGATAACATCCTGCAGAGTGTTTTCCAACTGGTTCCATTCTCCCCATCACTTTCAGGTACACCAATCAGACGTAGATTTGGTCTTTTCAAATAGTCCCATATTTCTTGGAGGCTTTGTTCTTTTTATTCTTTTTTCTCTAAACTTCTCTTCTCGCTTCATTTCATTCATTTTATCTTCCATCAGTGATACCCATTCCTCCAGTTGATTGAATTGGCTACTGAGGCTTGTGCATTCGTCATGTAGTTCTCGTGCCATGGTTTTCAGCTCCATCAGATCTTTTAAGGACTTTTCTGCATTGGTTATTCTAGTTAGCCATTCGTCTATTTTTTTTTCAAGCTTTTTAACTTCTTTGCCATGGGTTCGAACTTCCTCCTTTAGCTCAGAATAGTTTGATCATCTGAAGTCTTCTTCTCTCAATTTGTCAAAGTCATTCTCTGTCCAATTTTGTTCCATTGCTTGTGAGGAACCGCATTCCTCTGGAGGAGGAGAGGTGCTCTGATTTTTAGAGTTTCCAGTTTTTCTGCTCTGTTTTTTCCCCATCTTTGTGGTTTTATCTACCTTTGGTCTTTGATGATGGTGACGTACAGGGGTTTTGGTGTGGATGTCCTTTCTGTTTGTTAGTTTTCCTTCTAACAGTCAGGACCCTCAGCTGCAGGTCTGCTGGAGTTTGCTGGAGGTCCACCCAGACCCTGTTTGCCTGGGTATCAGCAGTGGAGGCTGCAGAACAGCGGATATTGGTAAACAGCAAACGTTGCTGCCTGATTGTTCCTCTGGAAGTTTTGTCTCAGAGGAGTACCCGGCCGTGTGAAGGGTCAGTCTGCCCCTACTGGGGGGTGCCTCCCAGTTAGGCTACTCGGGGGTCAGGGACCCACTTGAGGAGGCAGTCTGTCCGTTCTCAGATCTCAAGCTGCATGCTGGCAGAACCACTACTCTCCTCAAAGCTGTCAGAAAGGGACATTTAAGTCTGCAGAGGTTTCCGCTGCCTTTTGTTTGGCTATGCCCTGCCCCCAGAGGTGGAGTCTACAGAGGCAGGCAGGCCTCCTTGAGCTGCGGTGGGCTCCATCCAGTTCGAGCTTCCCGGCCGCTTTGTTTACCTACTCAAGCCTCAGCAATGGCGGGCACCCCTCCCCCAGCCTTGCTGCCGCCTTGCAGTTTGATCTCAGACTGCTGTGCTAGCAATGAGCGAGGCTCTGTGGGCGTAGGACCCTCCGAGCCAGGGGTGGGATATAATCTCCTGGTGTGCCGTTTGCTAAGACTGTTGGAAAAGTGCAGTATTAGGGTGGGAGTGACCCGATTTTCCAGGTGCCGTCTGTCACCCCTTTCTATGACTAGGAAAGGTAATTCCCTGACCCCTTGTGCTTCCCGGGTGAGGTGATGCCTTGCCCTGCTTCGGCTCACACTCGGTGTGCTGCACCCATTGTCCTGCACCCACTGTCTGACACTACCCAGTGAGATGAACCGGGTACCTCAGTTGGAAATGCAGAAATCAGGTGTCTTCTGCGCTGCTCACACTGGGAGCTGTAGACTGGAGCTGTTCCTATTTGGCCATCTTGGCTCCACCGGCTGATTTTAATTATTAATTTAGTTTACTGAATACAGATTTACTGAGATTTTCCTTTCCTTCTTGAAATATTTTAGGTAACTTATGTCTTCCTATAAATTTTTTCCAATGTTGTCTAATGTATTGGCATCAGTCATTCATAGTGTTTCTTTATAATCATTTTCATTCTTGTAAAGTTGTTACAGATGTACCCTCTTCTATTTCTGATTTTGGTAATATATGTTTTTTCACTTTTTTTGGTAAGTCTAGATGAAGCTATATTTTTTTTAAATTTTGTAAAGGATTAACTATGATTTTATTGTTTTTCACCATTATTTTTCCATCTTTATTTACTTTAATTATTTCATTTCTGATTACTTCCTTCTTGCTATTTACTATGCATATAATTTGCTCTTCTCTTCTATTATTGAAGTTATAGCTTAGATAATTAATATTAAATCTTTCTTTTTTTCTAAGTGTTTAATGCTCTAAATTTTCTTTTGAACACTTCTCTAAAAGCCATTCATAGATTTTGATATGCTGTTTTCATTTTCATTAAATTCAAAATATTTTCTTATTTACCTTGTAAATTATTCTAATTAGTTTTTTAGAGGCATATTGGTTAGTTTGCAAATATTTGAGGAGTCTCAAATTTAATTCAGTTGTTTCATTTTATTCAGAGAACATATTTTTGGCATGATTTTAATGTATTTTAACTTATTAAAATTTGTCATGGAGTTTAGCATATGTTCTACCCAGGAGAATATTCCAGGCATATTGAAAAGTATGTGTATTCTGCTATTATTTAGTGGAGCATTCTATAAATGACAATTAGATTGAGGTAACTGAAAGTGTTCAAGTCTTCTATACCCTTAATTTGTTCTGCCTAATTCTCCTGTCAACTATGAGAAAGCTGGATTCAAATCTCCATACTGAAGGTTGAGTTGTCAATTTCTCTTTTAATTCTAAAAATTTCTACTTCATGTAATTTGAAACTCTGTTGTTAGGTGCATATGCATAGGTACTTGTTATTAGATCCCTGATATATTAACTCTTTCATCATTGTCAATGTCTCTCTTTTTCTCTAGTAACACTGAAGTTGGCCCAATTTTAAACTTGCACCTTTTCTCAGAAAACTGAACATCAGACCTCCCAGATGATTTCAGGGAGGTAAGGATTTCCAGATCACTGCACCTGGACAATAAGAAGAATCAATTGCCTGTTGATCAATTCCTTTCTCCTCCCTCCCTACTTCTGCCTTTCTGCATGTGGTTACAGTGCTATGCTGGACCACTGCTGCCTGTTGATCAACTCCTCTTCCTTGTCCCTCCTGTTTTCCTTCTTTGCTATACAAAAACCTAACTTTGGTCGGAGAAGGAAGGCGGATTTGAGGTTTTGCTCCCTTCTCTCTGGCTGACATCACCCATAAAATAGTAAAGCCTTCTTCCCTGGTAATACTTGTCCTCTCAGTGATTGGCTTTCTGTGCCGCAAGCAATGGGACCTGGACCAAACCTCTGGTAACAACACTTCTCATATTAAAGTCTATTTTGTCTGATAATGATATAGCTGCTCCAGCTCCCATATAGTTCTGGTTAGCCTGTTATAACTTTCCATGCTTTTACATTCAAAGTTCTGTTACTTTAAACCTAAAGTTTTCTCTTATTGAAAGCATATAATTAAACCTTGATTTATCATCAAGTCTGACACTGCCTCTTAAAATATATACATATTATATAAGATTATATATGTATACACAGTCCAGCCCTTGTGGACACTATGCCTGCTATAAAAATGTACCTTAGACTGGGTAATTTACAAAAAATAGAAGTTTACTGCAAACAGTTCTGAAACCTGAAAATTTCAAGATCAAGGTGAAGTGCAAGCAAATTCAGTGTCTGGTGTGGGCTCACCCCCTGCATCAAGAGGGTACCTTTTAAGCTATGTCCTCACATGACGGAAGGGGGAAAGTGTCTCACTCAGCCTCTTTTATAAGGACATTGATTCCATTTACAATGTTGAAGACCTCTTGACTTAATCAGGCTTCACTTCTTAATACTATCACATTGTGTACTGGGTCACAGCATAAGAATTTGGAAGACACATCAACATTCAGACCATAGAAATACAGTTTTTGATATTTAGTAAGAAGTGATACAGAATAAACTATACATATGTAACATGTACAACTTGATAAGTTTGACACACACACATGAACCTTTGAATCCACCAACACAATCAAGCTAACAAATATAATCCCCACGATATTCTTTATGGCTACTCTATAATCTCTATTTCCTTCCCCTCCCACAACCACGTCCCTGGGCAACTACTAATCTGTAATTTACTATGCATTGTTTTCTGCTTTCTAGACTTTTTTTTTTTTTTTTTTTTTTTTTTTTTGAGACGGAGTCTCGCTCTGTTGCCCAGGCTGGAGTGCAGTGGCGGGATCTCGGCTCACTGCAAGCTCCGCCTCCCGGGTTCACGCCATTCTCCTGCCTCAGCCTCCCAAGTAGCTGGGACTACAGGCGCCCGCCACTATGCCCGGCTAATTTTTTGTATTTTTAGTAGAGACGGGGTTTCACCTTTTTAGCCGGGATGGTCTCGATCTCCTGACCTCGTGATCCGCCCGCCTCAGCCTCCCAAAGTGCTGGGATTACAGGTGCGAGCCACCGCGCCCGGCCGACTTTTATAAAAATAGAGTCATACAATATATCTTCTTCTCAGTGTATTTTCTGAAGATAACTTTTGAGACTCATATTGTTGTGTGCACAAATAGTTCATTCATTTTGTCTGGCTAAGTAATATTCAATTGTACTTTTATAGCAGAGTTTGTGTACTTGTTGATGGGTATGAGGTTTGTTTTAACATTTTAGCTGTTACAAATAAAGCTGCTTGAATGTTCATGTCTTTGCTACTGCGAATAGTGCTGCAATGAACATACACATGTATGTGTCTTTCTGACAGAACTTTGGGTATATACCCAGTAATAGGATTGCTAGGTCAAATGATAGTTCTGTTTTTAGGTGTTTGAGAAATTGCCACACTGTTTTCCACAATGGTTGAACTAATTTACACTCCCATCAACAGTGTATAAGCATTCCTTTTTCTCCTACAAAAAAATATAAAAATTGTCTGGGCATGGTGGTGCATGCCTGAAGACCCACCTATTTGGGAGGTTGGGGTGGGAGGATAGCTTGAGCCTGGGAGGCAGAGGTTTCAATGAGCCAAAATGGAGCCACTGCACTCCAGCCTGGGAAATAAAATGAGACCCTGTGTTAAAAATATTTTAAAAACCCCACAACCTGGCCAGCATTTCTTATTTTTTGAGTTTTTAATAATAGCTATTCTGACTGGTGTGAGATGGTATCTCATTGTGGTTTTGATTTGCATTTCCCTAATTATCAGTGATGTTGAACTTTTTTTCATATGCTTGTTGACCATGTGTGTGTCTTCTTTTGAGAAGTGTCTGTTCATGTCCTTTGCCCACTTTTTAATGGGGTTGTTTTTTCTTGTAAATTTGTTTAAGTTCTTTATAGATGCTGGACATAAGACCTTGTCAGGTGCATAGTTTGCAAAAATTCTTTCCTGTTCAATAAGATGTCTGTTTACCCTGTTAGTTTATTTTGTTGTTCTGAAGCTCTTTAGTTTAACTACATCCCATTTGTCAATTTTTGCTTTTGTTGCAATTGCTCTTGGCATTTTTGCAATGAAATATTTGCCCATGCCTGTGCCCTGGATGGTATTAACTAGGTTGTCTTCCAGGGTTTTCACAGTTTTGGGTTTTACATTTAAGTCTTTAATCCATTTTGAGTTAATTTTTGCATATGATGTAGGGAAAGGGTCAAGTTTCAATTTTACACATATGGCTAGCCACTTATCCCAGCACCATTTATAAACAGTGAATCCTTTCCCTGTTGCTTGTTTTTGTCAGGTTTGTCAAAGACCAGAGAGTTATAGGTGTGTGGTCTTATTTCTGATTTCTCTATTCTGTTCCATTGGTCTATGTGTCTGTTCTTGTATCAGTACCATGCTGTCTTGGTTACTGTACCCCTGTAGTATAGTTCAAAGTTGGCTAGCATGATTCCTCCAGCTTTGTTTTTTTTTTCCCCCTTAGGATTGCCTTGACTATTCAGGCTCCTTTTTGGTTCCACATGAATTTTTAAATACTCTTCTCTACTTCTGTGAAGAATGTGAATGATAGTTTAATGGGAATAGCACTGAATCTATAAATTGCTTTAGGTAGTATGACCATTTTAACAAAATTTATCCTTTCTATCCATGAGCATGGAATGCTTTTCCATTTCTTTGTGTCATCCTTGATTTATTTGAGCAGAGTTTTGTAGTTCTCCTTTTAGAGACATTTCACCTCCCATGTTAGCCTTATTCCAAGGTATTTTATTCCTTTTGTGGAAATTGTAAATGGGAGTTTGTGATTTGGTTCTCAGCTTGACTGTTGTTGGTGTGCAGGAATGCTATTGATTTTTGCACATTTATTTTGTATGCTGATACTTTGATGAAGTTGCTTATTAGCTTAAGAAGCTTTGGGGCTGAGACTATGGGGTTTTCTAGATATAAAATCATGTCATCTGCAAACAGGGATAGTTTGACTTCCTCTCTTCCTATTTGAATGCGTTTTATTTCTTTATCTTGCTTGATTCTCATGGGCAGAACTTCCAATACTATGTTAAATGGGAGTGGTGAGAGAGGACATCCTCATCTTGTGCCAGTTTTCAAGGGGAATGCTTCCAGCTTTTGCCCATTCCATATGATGTTGACTGTGGGTTTGTCATAGATGGCTCTTACTATTTTGAGGTATGTTCCTTCAATAACTAGTTTATCAAGAGTTTTTAACATGAAGGAATGTTGAATTTTATCAAAAGCCTTTTCTGCATCTACTGAGATAATCATATGGTTTTTGTATTTAGTTCCGTTTATGTGATGAATCACATTTGTTCATTTGCATATGTTGAAACAAACTTGCATCCTGGGAATGAAACTGACTTGATCTTGATGGATAAGCTTCTTTACGTGCTGCTGGATTCTGTTTGCCAGTATTTTGTTGAGGATTTTTGCATCGATGATCATCAGGGATATTGGCCTGAAGTTTTCTGTTTTTCTTGTATCTCTGCCAGTCTTTGGTATCAGGATGATGCTGGCCTTGCGGAATGAGTTAGCAAGAGTGTCTCCTTTTCCATGTTTTAGAACAGTTTCAGTAGGAATGGTACCAGCTCTTCTTTGTACATCTGGTAGAATTCAGCTGTGAATTCCTCTGTAGACCTGGTGTTTTCTTTACGGAAAAGTTTTTAAGTGATGTTCCACTCTTTTACACACACATACACACACACACACACCCCTCACAGCTGACTTCATTAAGCTACCTTAAGGGTGAAAGACTTGATGCTTTCCACCTAAAATCAGGAACATCATAAGGATTCCTGTTCTTACCACATTTATTAATAGTTGAAGAGGAAGCTCTGGACAGGACAACTAGGCAAGAAAGATTTTTAAAAAGGCATTCAAATGGGAAAGAAAGAAGTAAAATAAATTATCATGATTTGTCTATATCATGATGATGTATATAGAAAATCAAAAGGAATCCACAAGAAGTCTACTAATAAACAATTTCACCAGTGTTGCAGGTTACAAGATGAATACATAAATATGAACTGTAGTTCTATACTCCAGTAATGAACAATTCAAAAATGAAATTAAGAATACAGTTATATTTATAATAGCATTAAAAAGAATAAAATAATTAGGGAAAATTTAACAGAATTACTACAAAATTTTCACACTGAAAGCTACAAAACACTCTTGAAAGAACTTAAAGAAAACCTAAATAAATGAAAATACATGTCAAGGTCATTAATCAGAATACTTAATATTGTTAAGATGGTAATACTCCTGTGTTAGTCTGTTCTCACATTGCTATAATGTGAGAACATTACCTGAGACTTGGTAATTTATAAAGAAAAGACATTTAATTTGCTCACAGTTCTGTGGGCTATACAGGAAGCATGGCTGGGGAGGCCTGAAGAAACTTATAATCATGCGAGAAGGCAAAGGGGAAGCTGGCACATCCTACATGGCTGGATCAGGAGGAAGAGAGAGTGAAGGGGGTGGTTACTACAGTTTTAAACAACCAGATCTTGTGAGAACTCTATCTTTAGACAGCACTAGGGAGACAGCACTAAACCATTAGAAACCATCCCCATGATCCAATCACCTCCCACCAGACCCCACCTCAAACACTCGGGATCACAATTCAACATGAGATTTGAGTGGAAACACAAAGCCAAACCATATTATTCTACCCTTGGCCCCTCTCAAATCTCACATCCTTCTCCCATTTAAAAACACAATCATGCCTTCTCAACAGTCCTCTAAGTCTTAACTCATTTGCATTAACTCAAAAGTCCAAGTCCAAATTCTCATCTGAGACAAGGCAAGTCCCTTCCACCTATGAGCCTGTAAAATCAGAAAGAAGTTAGTTACTTCCAAGATACAATGGGGGTACAAGGATTGAGTAAATGCTCCAGTTCCAAAAGAAAAAAAAATGCCCAAAACAAAGGGGCTACAGGCCTCATGCGTGTCCAAAACCCAGCAGGGCAGTCAATAACTCTTAAAGCTCTAAAATAATTTCCTTTGGTGCCATGTCTTATATCCAGGCCTCACTGATGCAAGGGGTGGGATCCCAAGTCTTTGGGCAACTCTGCCCCATGACTGTTTTCACAGACTGGCATTGAGTGTCTATGGCTTTTCCAGGCACACAGTGCAAGCTGTTTGTGGATCTACCATTCTGGGGTCTGAAGGACTGTGACTCTCTTCTCACAATTTCACTAGGCAGTGCCCCAGTGGGGACTCTGTGTGGGGGCTACAACCATATATTTCCCCTCTACACTGCCCTATTAGAGGTTCCCCATGAGGGCTCTGCCCCTGCAGCACACTTCTGCCTGAATGTCTAGGCATTTACACGCATCTTCTGAAATCTAGGTGGAGGCTCCCAAACCTCAGCTTTTGCTCTCTGTGTACCTGCAGGCTTAATACCAGGTGGAGGCTGCCAAGGCTCCCATCCTCTGGGGCAGTGACCTGAGATATATCTGGGGACCTTTTGGCCATGGCTTCAGTTGGAGTGACTAGAACAAATGGTGCCATGTCCCAAGGATGCACAGAACAGCTGGGCCCTGGGCCTGGCACACAAAACCACTCTTCCATTCTAGAAGCACAGGCCTGTGATGGGAGGGGCTGCGCTGAAGGTCTCTGAAACACCTTGGAGGCATTTTCCCGTTGTCTTGGCTATTAACATTTGGCTCCTCTTTAGTTATGCAAAATTTCTGCAGCTGGCTTGAATTTCTCCAGACAAAATGGATTTTTATTTTCTTCTACATGGCCAGGCTACAAATTTTCCAAACTTTCATGTTCTGATTCTCTTTTAAATATGAGTTTCAGTTTCAGGTCATTTCTTTTTTTTTTTTTTTTTTTTTTTTTTGAGACGGAGTCTCGCTCTGTCGCCCAGGCTGGAGTGCAGTGGCGGGATCTCTGCTCACTGCAAGCTCCGCCTCCCGGGTTCACACCATTCTCCTGCCTCAGCCTCCCAAGTAGCTGGGACTACAGGCGCCTGCCACTACACCCGGCTAATTTTTTGTATTTTCAGTAGAGACGGGGTTTCACCGTTTTAGCCGGGATGGTCTCGATCTCCTGACCTCGTGATCCGCCCGCCTCGGCCTCCCAAAGTGCTGGGATTACAGGCGTGAGCCACTGCGCCCGGCCTCATTTCTTTATTTATGCAAATGAGTGTAGGCTTTTAGAAGCAGCCAGGCCACATCTTGAATGCTTTGCTGCTTAGACATTTCTTCTGCCAGATAACTGAAATCCTCTCTCTCAAGTTCAAAGTTCCTCAGATCGCTACAGAATGCCTCCAGTCTCTTTGCAAAGCCATAGTAAGAGTGACCTTTAGTCCAGTTCCCAATAAATTCTTCGCCTCCATCTGAGAACTCATCAGCCTGGACTTCACTATCCATATCACTACCAGGATTTTGGTCAAAACCCATTCAACAAGTCTCTAAGGAGTTCCAAACTTTCCCTCATCTTCCTATCTTCTTCTAAACCCTCCCTCACATTTCTGTCTTCTTTTGAACCCCCCAAACTGTTCCAACCTCTTCCCGTTACCCAGTTCCAAAGTCACTTCCACATTTTCAGGTATCTTTATCGCAATGCCCCACTCCCAGTACCAAATTTCTGTATTAGTCCATTCTTAGATTGCTATTAATAACTACCTGAGACTGGGTAATTTATAAAGAAGTTTAATTGGCTCACAGTTCCACAGGCCATACAGGAAGCATGGCTAGGGAGGCCTCAGAAAATTTACAATCATGATAGAAGCCTAAGAGGAAGCCAGCACATCCTACATGGCCAGAGCAGGAGAAAGAGTGTGGTGGGTGGGGGTGAGAGGTGCTACATACTTTTAAACAAGTAGATATCATCAGAATTCTACCGCAAGAGAGAACTAGGGGGATAATGCTAAACCATTAGAACCACCCCCATAATCCAATCACCTCCCACCAGGCCCCACCTCCAAAATCTGGGATCACAATTCAACACGAGATTTGGGTGGGGACACAGAGTCAGAAATCCCTAAATTGATCTTCAAATTCAATGCATTCCCTAACAAAATTTGTTTTTTTTGTTGTTTTTTTTTTTTTTAATTTGACAAGTTGAATCTAGAACTTGTATGGAAAAGCAAGTGTCATATTGTTTTTTCTTTCTAATTTGGTTTTGAAGTGGGCTCCAGGGGTTTCTAATTTGGTTTTGATGGGGCTCCAGGGGATCTGGTCATGGATACTTACAGTGTGCCTTTTATGTGATGCTTCTTCATCCTGGCAGATGGCCTGTGCCTAAGTGGCTGACCCATGACCAGGTGTACCTCTCACAGGAAACTTGCTCACATTGGCAGGCACACTGTGTCTCTTGTCCGACCTGTGTTCAGTTTATTCCTACTCTTTAGGAGAGCCCTTACCAGAGAAAAATCTATGTTTCAGTATGCCTGTCAGGTGAAACAAAGAGGAGGCAAAGCAACAAAACACATGAAATAACAGAAACAGATTATTACCTACCGATCATAGAGAGAAGAGAGCAGCATGCCTCATGGGGCCAATGGGAAGGGGAGAGCTATCTGGGATACACACTCAACCAGAAGATGAGGAGCAAGAAAGACAGAGGCAGGTACCTCTGGGCCAATGCCTTAATTGCAGTGCAAGGTGTTACATAGGCAGATTTCCCACAAGGATTTCTAACTGGTGGGTTTACAGCAAGCAGGCACAAGTTATGTGGAATCATACTGTGACTGAGAGGTGATCACTGCAGCATATCTATGCAGTTCATACAGGGGTGGGGGCCAGTGCAGTGAGTAAGTAAGTAGTACCTAGCTGTTTCCTCCCCTGTAAGACAGATATTTAGATTGGCCACATTGAGGAAGTGAGAGGAGGTGGAGAAGGAAAACTGTGTCAGAGATGACTATGGTCTGCTTCTGGTATGGGAGTCTAATTTATATTCAAAATGAATGCTGAGGCAAGATAAAATTATAGAAATTCAGCAAAGGACCAAGAATTGTCAAAATAATCTTAAAAAAAAAGCAAATTTAGATGACTCATACTTTCCAATTTTAAAACTTATAAAGCTACAATAGTACAGTGTACAGTGTGGTATAGGGATAGAGGTGAACACAAAGATCAATGGAATATGATAAAGCGTCCACTAAAAAGCCCTCATATTTATGGTCAATTAATTTTTTTTTTGCAGGGGAGGCAGAATCTAGCTCTATTCCCCAGGCTGGAGTGCAGTGGTGCCATCTCAGCTCACTGCAACCTCCACCCCCCTCCCAGGTTCAAGCAATTCTACTGCCTCAGCCTCCTGAGTAGCTGGGATTACAGGCATCTGCCACCACGCCCAGCAAATTTTTGTATTTTTAGTAGAGACTGGGTTTTGCCATGTTGGCCAAGCTGGTCTCAAACTCCTGACCTCAGGTGATCCGTCTGCCTCAGCCTCCCAAAGTGCTGGGATTACAGGAGTGAAGTTGTGAGCCACCACGCCCAGCCTGGTCAATTAATTGTGGACAAGTGTGCCAAAAATGATTTAATGATCAGGAATGGTCTCAACAAATGATGCTGGGACAACTGGGTATTCATACGCAAAATAAAAACGAAGTTGGACCCCCACCTCACAACATATGTAAAACAACTCAAAATTCATAATAGACCTAAATGTAAAAGCTAAAACTATAAAATTCTTAGGAAAAAATACAGAAGTAAATCTTTGTGGCCTGGGAATAGGTAATGGCTTCTTTGATGGGAATACAAAAGAAAAATTGTCAACATGATAAAAAATAGATAAATTGGACTCCATTAAAATTTAAAAAATTTGTGATTCAAAGAACACCATCAAGAAAGTGAAGAGACAATCATAAAATGGGATAAAATATTTTCAAATCATATATCTGATAATAGACTTTTATTCAAGATATATAAAGAACTCTCAGGACTCAATAATTAAAAGATAATTTATTTTAAAATGAGGAAAGAATCTGAATAAACATTGTTTTCAAATAAGATATAAAAATGGCCAATAAGCATAAGTAAAGTTGTTCGATGTTTTATCCATTAGGGAATTGCAATCAAAATTGCAATATGATACCACTTCACACCCAGTAGGATGGCCAAAATAAAAAAAGGCAGAAAAGAACAAGTTTTGACAAGGATGTGAAGAAACTAGAACCATCATGAATTGCTAGTGGGAATTTAAAATAGTAGCTACTTTGGAAAACAGCATGAAATGTCCTCAAACTGTTAAACATAGAGTTACCATATGACCTAGCAATTCTATTCCTAAGAATACACTCCAGAAAAATAAAAAATATGTAAAAATAAGTGTCCATATCAAACCTTGTACATGAATATTTATAGCTGTATTATTCATAATAGCCAAAAAGTAGAAACAAACCAAATTTCCATCAACAAGAGCCACCTAAGACCATATTTTATAATTCCTTATACAAAAAAGTCCAGAATAAGAAAATCTGTAGAAAAAAGAAGAGTAGATTTGCAGTTGCTTCAGTCTAGGAGTTGGGAGGGAAATGGAAAATGACTGCTAATGAGGTTGGGGTTTATTTCTGAAGTGACAAAAATGTTTTAAAATTAATTATGATTATGCAACTCTATGAATATTCTGGAAAACCTTGATTTTTATACTTAAGCAAATTACATCGAATATAAATTATATCTCAAGCTATTTAAAAATGACTTTTAAAATACAGGGCAATTCAGTTTATCTATTTTCACTTTAGTGAGCTTTGGTAGTTTGTCTCTTGCAAAAGAAAATTGTCCATCCATTTAATCTAAACATTTAAATTAATTGGCAAAATATTGTTTCTTATATTCTTTTATTTTCCTGTAAGTATCTGTAGAATCTGTAGTGAGATAAGCACTCTTTTTCCTGATACTGACAATTTGTACCTTCTCTCTCTTTTTTCTCTTTTTATTGTGATAAATCTGACTGTTAGTTTTTTCATTGTATTGGTCTTCACAAAAAATGAGTTTTTAAGTTTCATTGATTTATTGTTGCTTGTTTACTATTTAGTTAATTTCACTCATTTTTAAATTTCCTTTGTTCTTCATTGTTTGGGATTCCTATCATCTACTTTTTCTAGTATCTTAAGGTGATAACTTTAGTCATTTAGCAGACCTATCATAAGGTCTACTTTTCCAACATAGTATTTCAGTACTATGAAAAGTACCGTATGCCCTTTTTGAACCATTTCACAAAATTTTATACTCTATGTTTTCACTTTCATTTGGTTCAAAACAGATTTTTAAGTATCCTTTTGATTTCTTTTCTGATCCATTGTTTATTTATGTTAATGATTTACTTTCAAAATATTTAGGAATTTTCTAGAGGTCTTTGTTGTTGATTTCTAATTTAATTCTATTACAGGGTCAGAGAATATATTCTGTTTAAAAATAATTATTTAAAAGTTGTCCAAACTTATTTTGTGACCCAGAATATAGTTCATCTGGTAAATATTTCCTGTTCCTTTGTATATACTGTATATTCTGCTGTTATTATATAACATAGTCTATAAATGCTAATAGGTCAAATTTGTTTATAGTGTTTTTATGTTTCTGCTAATTTCTCTTCAATTCTCATATCCATTTTTAGAGAGGGCTATTAAAATACTCAATTATAGTTGTGGATTTTTCTATTTCTGTTGGCAGTTCTATCAATTTTTAGCCTTATGGGTTTGCACTGTATGCATACAAAGATTCATATTCAGTCAAAGACTACTAGGGACCCTACACAGATTTCTCAGATGCCTTTCTTCTTCTCTCAGGTGGTCTCCTCATATGTTCTATCTGTCTTAGCCTCTCCCAACTCCTCATTCTGTCTCCTGTACTCCAGACATCACTGGGCACTCTGGGATGCCCTTCTCAGGGCTGCAGTCTGAAAATTGCTTCCAGGCAGAAAGCTTGGCAAATTTTAAATTCCTCCCTTATTTGATGTTCTCCTCAGGGGTCACAGTTCTACACTGGCTGTAGGCTGATGCCTGAAGATAGTTTTTTTATTCCTATACTTCATGCAGTTTTCTCATTTTCTTGCTTGTCATAGCAGGAGTTTAGCTACAAGTGGTTGTTACTCTCAATGATCTGAAAATATTGGTCTTTACTGCTTCTGTGTAATGCCCATCTCTCTCTCTCTCTCTATATATATATATATATTTATTTGAGATTGAGTCTGGCTCTGTCACCCAGGCTGAAGTGCAGTGGTGCAATCTCAGCTCACTGCAACCTCCACCTCCCAAGTTCAAGTGATTCTCCTGTCTCAGTCTCCTGAGTAGCTGGGATTACAGGCATGTGCCACCACGCTTCGCTAATTGTTTATAATTTTAGTAGAGACGGGATTTCACCATGTTGGCCAGGCTGGTCTTGCACTCTTGACCTCAGGTGATGCGCCTGCCTCAGCCTCCCAAAGTGTATCTCTCTCTTTAAACAATGGTGGCTACTTTGAGGTCACCTTGAGGTTGGGGCAACCTTCTTAGTATGATCTATGCTAGTGCATTGGTTCCCATTGTTTGGCAAGGAGGCCTCAATATGATGCCCTTGAGAAGAGCCCAGAGCTCAGGGCCAAAATCTTACCTATTGTAAGGAGGCCTTATTACAAAAAGTCAACACCCTGAGCTAATTTCTCGCAGGGAACTTTGCTAAAAATTTTAAGTAGTCACTTATATCTACCAACATGCTTTGATTTTCCAACCAGTTACATGAAATTGAAATGTATTCTCAACACATTTTGTCTCCCCTTCAAGGCACAATTCTCACCAAATATTTTGCCACAGTAACGTGTTCTCTGCCTGTACCCAACCATCGAGTTAATCGGTTAGCTGTTAAGGCAATATTCCTCTTCCGTTACCAAATGTTGATCAAGTTACTATGACAAAGTCCAAGGTAATAAAAGCTTCAAAAACACAGACACTCCTCCCTCATATAAAGACCAGGATTGATATTGCAGTTCCACACTGTTGGCATTATAGGCTCTACCTTGTTGCTCTGGTTTCTGCAATTTAGGATTTCGTCTTGTAGTATAAAATTGCTGCTCCACTTGTGACAACTGTGTCCGCATCCTCGCAATTGAGGACAAGATATGGAAGAAAAGAAGGGCACATTCCCTTACATTTAAAAACACATGCTAAAAGTTCTACATATTATAGTAACTCACATCCCATTCACCAGAATCTATTACATAGTACACCTAGCTGAAATAATATCTGGGAATTTTCATTTTTAGTTGAGCAACTCTGTAACCAGATAAAATTTCTACAAATGAAGACATCAGAAATAACAGATTCTTGGTGTGGGAGAAAGAGTAGTCAGCTAGCTGTCTCGGCCATCATATCTTACTTTCTTGTTTTGTTCTCTCTAATCCTTGAAGGTATGATAAAAACACCTCAAAGATGGTGTCTAGGGCATGGTGTCTTTTGGAGTGGAGACTTTGATAATTGATTCAATGTTTTAATTGTTATTGATTTTGTAAGGCTTTGTATTTCTTAAGTTAATGTTAGTAAAAATGGTTTTCTGGGAAAATTTTCCACTTTCATTCTTTAATTATTATTGCTAAAAGAGTGCTTATATTTTTTTCTTCAAAGCACAGATTTTTGCTGTTTTTCTTTATTGCTTTTAACCATGGTTTGTAAAATTTTTATTACCTGTGTCTTTTAATCTCTCCTTCACCTTGATCATCATTATTGTTTTGCCTTCTCCAGATTTACTCTATTCTCTTTATATTCTTGAGTTCAAAATTTAACTCATTATGTTCATCCTGATATGTAAAATCAATTAACTTCAAGTTACAACTTTTCTTCTAAAGAGCACTTGATACCTTTCCTCCCTTTGGCTTACAGCCTGCAGATTGATCTGAACAAATGACTTCAAACAACCCTTTGCTTTAAGGATTCCAGTTGAGCTGGCCAATGTCAGGCTTTGGAAGAGACCAGAGGCAGGGCAGGAAGGAGAGTAAGTTCAGGGGATTTACACCACTGGTTTCTTTCTTGCAAGATCCCGTTAGGCTAGTGTGTCTCCCCGCTGAACGTATGGACTTCCCAAGGCAGCCTTTTCAATGATTTCTTCTCAACAGAATCTGGAAATTGCTCTCTCTCCTGCTCCCTTCTGTTCTAGGCACGGTGACAAGTTTACTGATCTTAGCTTGGGGTATGTCCAAGGATTCCTGAAGATTTCACCTAAACCCACCCCTTTCTAAATAGTGCCTTTGTAAATTACCATCCTCAAATCATCCAATTGTATTGACATTTGTTTTCTGTGAGAACTCGAAGCTGTATCCCACAATTTTTAAAATTTTTTGTTCAAACTAAACATATAGAAATAGTCATTGTGATTTCTCCATTAAGCATTAGTTACACATATTAGTTTTCTGATAGACATGCAATGTGTAATCTGTCAATTTCTCCTTGTAATTCTGCCAACTTTGTGTACTAGATGCTTTCTACCAGAATATAAGATCCACAAGGGCAGGGAGTTGTCTCTCTTTTGATTATTTCTATATTCCCAGCCCGGCACATAGCAGCATATAAATATTTGTTAAACAAGTAATTTTTATAACTTTTCAGTGATTTGAGCTTTTCTATAATTAGATATTTTACCTTCCCTTTATTTTCAATCTTCCTGGGTAGTTTTTTTTTTCTTTATTGTAAGACTGTCTCTTGTAAACAGCATATACCTGTATTTTATTTTCTCCAATCGCATAATCTAAATCATTTTACTCATATTGGTGTTTTTGATATAATTTATACTTTCTTTGTCAGTTTATAGTCATCTTCTTCTATTTTTCTCCTTTACTGCTTTTATATTCCATTATAATTTCTTATCAGATTATGAATTTTGCCCTTTACAAATCACAGTAAATAATATATCTTATAGAAAATAGTCAACTATAATCTCTTGTTTACCACAGGTTTCATTTGGACCTTCTTCCTCCTGAACTAATCCTTCATATCTTAAAATAGAAAAGTTTTTCTCACTGTCAAATGAGTTGTTTTATTCATTCTAATTTGCAGTTTAGCCTCTGTACTTTTCAATTTGATTTTTACTGAATCATCTGTTATTTACCTGATTATTTTTTCTTTATAAATAACGTTTATTTTCTGATAACTATTAAGATTTTTCCAAGAACGTCAATATTCTAGGAGTTCACTGTGATGTAACTATGTATTGTGGTATCTTCATCCATTCTACTTGTGAATTGGGATGGGCTTTTGATCTGAGCATTCTTTCTTTCCTCATTTCTGCAAAATACTGAGTTGTTAATCCATTGAATTTTAAATATTTTTCAGTCTTCATTCACACTTTTTCATCACATTGCTTATAGGGATTTTTCTGCGATGTTAACAATGTCTTCTTCATCATCACTATTATCATGATCACCTTGGATTCAGAATCATTTCAGCTATTTCACCATTAGTTCATGAGTCAACATACAGAATTTCTATTTGGTTATAAAATAATGTTTTAATCCATTCCCTTTGTCTACTATTGTTTCTTAAATAAAATATGCTTGTGTTGTTTTACTGTGCCGATTTCGAGTGCAATACTTCACAATCTCTTTCAGTTCATTAACTCTGTTTCCTAAGTATAGTTTGAGTATCCCTATCCAAAAAGCTTGGGACCAGAAATGTCTCAGATTTTACATTTGTTTGGATCTTGGAATATTTGCATATACATAGTGAGATATCTTGAGGATAGGACTCAAGTCTAAACATACAATTATTTATGTGCTGTATACATCTTTTCCATATAGGCTGAAGGAAATGTTGTCTGACATTTTTAATAATTTGGTTTATGAAATAAAGTTGGTACATACTGAACCATCAGAAAGCAAAGATGCCACTATCATACCCAACCATGTGGACAATCTGTGGTTGTTTGGCATCACCATCATTCCTGACTCTGAATGTATATACTACTGATAAGCAGTCATTTTCTTACATTTATTCACATGTAAGTACTCAACAGTAAAAAATACAACATACTATTAACTGAGTGAAAATATAATGTGTTCAGAATAACTCAACAGCACAGTGGCATCATCAGAATGCCTGTATCAGCTGTTTAACGGCAGCAACAACACACAACAGCAGACTTTTAGTCTCCACCTGCCATGCTGTGTTTTGACAAAAAGATTACTATACACTATATTTTATTTTTTTTAGGTGAAAAGAAACATCAGAAGCAGTTTAGAGACTAGGAAGTGGATCTTCTAGGGATGAAGAGACATTCTGCTGGATGACTTTTTTTTTCTTTTATTATTATACTTTAAGTTTTAGGGTACATGTGCACATTGTGCAGGTTAGTTACATATGTATACATGTGCCATGCTGGTGCGCTGCACCCACTAACTCGTCATCTAGCATTAGGTATATCACCCAATGCTATCCCTCCCCCCTCCCCCCACCCCACCACAGTCCCCAGAGTGTGATGTTCCCCTTCCTGTGTCCATGTGATCTCATTGTTCAACTCCCACCTATGAGTGAGAATATGCATTTGGTTTTTTGTTCTTGCGATAGTTTACTGAGAATGATTTCCAATTTCATCCATGCTCATCATCACTGGCCATCAGAGAAATGAAAATCAAAACCACAATGAGATACCATCTCACACCAGTTAGAATGGCAATCATTAAAAAGTCAGGAAACAACAGGTGCTGGAGAGGATGTGGAGAAATAGGAACACCTTTACACTGTTGGTGGGACTGTAAACTAGTTCAACCATTGTGGAAGTCAGTGTGGCGATTCCTCAGGGATCTAGAACTAGAAATACCATTTGACCCAGCCATCCCATTACTGGGTATACACCCAAAGGACTATAAATCATGCTGGATGACTTTTTACAAATGTTTTCTCCAGAGTCATCTGTCTTATTAACAATGGTTTTTTGCATTCAACTCCCTTTGGTTTTTAAACTGACATGATTTCTTATTCTGTTATGAATAAATGCTGCTCTAGTCTTCCAATAAGCCCATCACACTTTTTCATCACATGGCTTATAGGGATTTTTCTGCGGCGTTAACCATGTCTTCTTCATCATCACTATTATCATGATCACCTTGGATTCAGAATCATTTCAGCTATTTCACCATTAATTCATGAGTGAACAACTGGAGCCTCATTATTGATGTTAAAAACTGCTTTGATATCCACTTATTCCAGCTTACTCACGAACTCTGAAAGTATATTTTTTGCATATGTAAAGTTGGGCATCATGTTTTTCTCATTTGACATATGAATTCCTTGAAGATCACTGCTTTATTCATTATCACCACTAAACATAGTCACAGGCCAGAGGTTGTGCCAGATGTGCACAGCTGTATCTTTAGTCACTATATTCCAGACATTGGCAACAGCACATATCATGCTAAGCTCCTTTCGTAAACTTTGAACAACCATGCCTCTGTTCACTGCTGACAGCATGCTCTTCAAGAAAGTGTTCTTATATTCAGTCTGCATTGACTAATTATAGGTCAAATGACTGAATTAATACACTGACATTTGAGAGAAAGTTCATGGCATAAAGATGATTTTTGATGAACACTTCAGGATGAGCAGAATTGTTGTCAAAAAATAACAAAATCTTGCAGTCTTCATCCAGTCCAGTTTCTCTGCAGAAAGTGTGAGCCACTGGTACAAAATGTTTGCAAAAACAATCAGAAAACATGTCCCTGGTGATCCATGCCTTTTTGTTAGCATAATAATGAACTGGTCATAAATTCACTCCTTGAAAGTAGCAAGAACAAAAGCTTTTGCCTATCATAGCAGAAATAGTCATTGTAATTTGCCTGGTGCATTAGCACAAACCAACACAGTTATCATATCCTGGCATTCTTAATTTTTGTACAGGCAGTCTCATCAGCTATAGCCAGTGTCTTTCTAGTACAACAATGTCAAAATGGTCATGTGCCATCAGTATTATAGACTTCTTCTGGCCTCAGATTTTTATCAGTGATGACCCTGGCAAAATCAACAATGAATTTCTCCACTGCTTCATGATCAGCAGATGCTTTATCACTACAAATCTTTAAAAATTTAATGTTGAACTTCTTCTTAAATTTCTGCAACCAGCCTGTTAAATATTCATGGTTCTCTTCAATTTTCAACTCACACTGACATATCTTTACTTGTTTCATGATTAGCATACCATTAATTGGCATGTGTTCACTGCCACTCTGATGGATGCACTCTTTAAATACATAATTAATATCTTCATTTTTAGCTTCTGGGAGTATTTTTCATAAATTTCTGTTCATAACTTTTATCATAGAGTTTCAACAGTTTATTTTTATATTTCTTCAGGTCATATATGGTGGTCATTCCAACATCATACTTTTCTGTTAGACATTGCACATGTAATACCACTGTCTAATTTCTCCTACAGTTTAAGTTTCTGTGCTATAGATAAACATAAATACTTTCTATTTTTATTATCACCATTGACAATACGGGCATCTGCAGGCCTTTTGATATTTTTAATAATATCTTTATACTCCAGAGTAGAGAATAAGCAAAAAAATAAAAAAAATAAAAAAAATAAGTCATGCATGCAGGTCTTGACTCCACGTGGGGCATCCTGGGGAACCTGCCATTGCTGTTATCAGCCTACAAATGTGCCATCATATTACCTTTGTGAAGTGGTTGTGTCGGGAAACCTGGGAATGCATTAAAATGCTGCAGCTGACCCACTGAGAGGGTCTTTTTTCTCATAGGGATGCTGAATAAGCTTGTGTTGTGTGCCTGCATTTTGACTGTGACACATCACATCAGGTCATGTGTGGAATTTTCTACTTGTGGCACTCAAAATAATATGTTGGCACCAAAAAGTTTCATATTTTGGAGCACTTTGAATTTTGGATTTTCAAATTAGGGGTGCTCAGCCTGTACATAAAAATATTTTTATTTAAATCTTAAATTTTCCATTTCTAAGGTTTATGATCAGCTTTTTCTCTTAACCAGTTTTTCATGTTTGCCTATATATTTTTGGTCTATTGTTCATCTTGCTGGCATGTCTTCATGTCTTCATTTTTAACATTCCTAAATGTGTCGAATGTAAAGTCTTTATCAGACTCTTCTATAAAATTAATTTCATCTGACATAAATTCCCATTGCAGTTGTTGAGTTTGTTGTATGACTGTTTTTTGCATTACATCTATTGATGTATTCTGGAATTTGAATTTGTAGGCTCATTTAGGTAGAAAGTTATTTTTATTTAGTTGCTTTGCTTCATCCTCCTGCCCCCACTCCCCTAGACCCCTACTACCATTTATCAGTTCTGCTGTTTTATTTTGGCTTTAACCTGGCCCTCCAGAAGGAGTTCTGACCATGTTTATCTTGATCTATAATGACACGAGGTATTACCAGTTCAGCCTTGGAAGTAGCTGATGGTTTGTCTCAGTTCCTGGCTTAAGGCTAAATCATTATTTGTCTCCACAGCGATAGCTCCATATAAAGTGATAGCCCCAGAGGGCAAATTGATCCCAACCCCTGGCCTAAAGGAGTAAGCCTGGCTTCCCTCCTCTGCCTCTCACTGAGCACTACTGACTCCAGCAGCCCAGCCGTCACAGCCTACCTGACTGCTTCAGGCTTTGGAAGGAGGCAGGCCATGGCTGAGTTCTCACTCATCACTTTGCATTTCAATTGTTCCCTCCCCCTATACCACACAGCCCATGAAGATCATTTTCATGGAATGTGGCTCTATCTTAATAATCATTTTACTTTCATATGTTATATTTTGGCTCTATCTTATTTATACATGTTTTGAAATGGAAAAGACGTTTTGAAAGTCTATACATTTATTATCCATTTAAAAAATCAATTGCTTTAGGTGAACTTTTATTTGATTTTCAGAAATCAATGTAAAATGGAGTAACTACAGACTGCCTCTTTGGTAGGACCCTGCATGACTCTGTCTACTTAATATCTCATATCCACACTTCTTGACTTTTGCCAATACGCTTTTGGGTTATAGACACAGATGATCATTTCTATTTTTTGCATTATATATTCCTTCAGAGATGTTGATATATAGATATAGATAAAGATATAGATATACACAAACACATTTATTTTTCATGTTGGTTTGTACTTCTCCTGTTCTTTCAAGGTCCAACTCAAACCTCACCTTCTCCAGATGTTTTCTTTGACCCTCTAGACTGATAAAAATATTCTTGTCATACTTCCTTAAACATAATAACCACACTATGTACTATAAATTTTAATCTATGTAGACCCAAACTAGACAAAATTTCTTAAAGTCAAGACTTACTCATCTTCATGTTTTTTAGTGCCATACATAGTCTTGAGAATATAATCAAAATAAAATAACATATTTAAATAAATTAATATTATAAATAAAGCTAATTATTTGAGAAAGTGCAACCTCAGATATAGAGGTAAGATTCTCGATTTGCTTATTATTTACTTTATGACCTCATGCAAATAAATCTCCTGGAGACTGCGTTTGGTTTTGTTTGCTTTTAAATCTGTAAAAATGAGAAAGGCATACTCCATACTGCAGTAATGTCTCTGCCAGATCTAAAACCACATAGAAGTTGGACAGACTACTTTTAGTATCATTTCATTATATACAAATCTAAAAATATTTCAAATCACAGGCTGATAGCATATGAATACCTATCATTGGTTGTAAATGATATTGCCACAATATAGCTTTTAAAAGTTAAAAACATGATTCTTATGTAAATATAAAGTAAGTACTTGTCAAAAAAATATTTAACTCTCTAATAAAGGAATCGTCACAATGCTAAATCTGGTTCAATGGATAATTAGAAACAATCTGTGTATCTGGAATAATATTGCAAATTAGATATAAAACTGGTGAGTGTACTATAGGGCAACAGGATTATAGCATTTAACTTTATATTTCTTTTGACTAGATGGAAATTACTTACATCTTTATTTTTGAAATTTACAAGGTAACAACATGTAACTTCACAGAGTCTAGGGTCTAACCAGTAGCTAATAGTAATTCAAAGATGCATTCTCCTAGAGACTTAATTATTGGGTAGGCATGTTAAACAATGCTCCAAGACATGCTCTCAATATTTTATCTTAAATTCAAGTTTTTTGTATTTTTAACTGTATTTTCCTTAGTTCTTTAAAAGGAAAACTCCATCTGAATCCCAGAATGTGTGCATGTATCAATTTCCTAGGAATTGAATCAAAAATCGTAGATAAAACAATTGCCTTGATCCTTAGAAGTAATATATTTCCAAGATTTTTAAATGACATCAAAATATTGCTATGTAACAAACTTGTAAGTTGTTTCACATATCTAGGTTTTATTTTAACTGCTATGATGTTTCAACAGGGATCACTGGTGTGTTTGGCACTGTATATTTCATATTAAACCTTGAGTTAAAACTGGACAGCTCTGAACCCTCATTTAGATATTTTGTTTAAGTGGTTAAAGTTCCATAATATTTAAATGGCTGTTCAATTAACTAAAATTTAAGCACTTATTGTTGAATATTTCTCATAACCACTTTGGCTCTTATAATGAACCATATAGTGAACCAAATTCATGTAGGTCAGTATTTGAAAAATGCATTTTAAAACAAATATACTGAAATCTGTGTTACCAGTATGTCTTGGAAAGATTCTCACAGAAATAGGTTTTCAGAGGTGACATCTGATTCCCTCCGAGATTCTATATTTAGGAAGGTCAATACAGGTAATGTCTTATGCTGGAATGTCATCATATCTCTCAAAATTTGTGACACTTGTTCTGGCCAACATACTAAAAGTTGACATGTTCACAAACTGAATTTTTTTTTTTTGAGACGGAGTCTGGCTCTGTAAACTGATTTTTTAAAAAGGGAACAATTGGCTTTATACCAATCTAGTTAAAACTTGAAGTGAATCAATAGAATTAAAAAATATAGAGGAAACTAGATAGTCACACATCTATTTTTCTGAATGTGCATCTACTTACATTGCTGCAACAAATAGAGACATTCACTGTATTTGTATATTCAGGCATAAAGATTAAGAATGAGCAGTCCATATTAATTCAAAGGCATAACAGTAAATGCAATTGTTCATGGTGCATGCAAAAATAACAATTGTCCCAGGAGAGAATGTTGGGGACACTTTAACTTAAGAGAGAATCAGAAGAAACAAATCTGAGGATGGAAATCACAAAGGAGCTAGAGGAATGGGGAGAGAATTAAGTTGAGGCTTCAGTGTCGGAAACCATGTTAGAATTTTAGAGGAATGGCTTCTCAATGTGGTTATACTTATAGCATGATATCACATCTGATAGTAGGAGAGCTAATAGAAGACCATTGGAGACCTCTGATAAGCAGTGAAAGAAACCAGGGTTGTGGTTCAGTGATAAGCAAATGTGGAGAGTGGCACCGTGAAAATATGATTTCAAGAAATATGGCAGCCAGTGGGAAGGGGGCAATGGAGGAATGGCTTAAAGAGAAACATAAACAAGAAGACCCCACTTTAAATTTTTAATTGTTTTTCAGAAATAGGAAATATAAATATGTTTATTTACCAATGAAGCAATGAAGAAGCTGATGGAGAGAGAGAAGACATTTATCCAAAAAAATCAAGAGACATTTGAGAGAAGGCCATGGAAGATAGGGAAGGAAGAATCACTATGTTTTGTGTCTATTATTAAATAATCATGTTTAATCTCTATTTCTATCCCAGGTGGACAAACGAAGGCTCAAAGAGACCAAGGAGCCAATCGAAGAGAAAGCAACAAGTAGTGGCTCCAGAGTCCACATGCAAGACTAGATGACTCCATGACCAAGCTCTTCCACTACCAATTTCATAGTGGAAGGATTTCCAACGGAAAGGAATAGCACCGCAGCTTCAATTTGAAAATTAGAAAGTAAATAGTTAACTATAAATGGAGATATGCATAAAATGTAAAATGAAAGGATGAGAATTTAGAGGGTTTTCACCTTTTGTTGAAGTCTGAAAATGAAGGATTATTGGAGAGTGTGTTGAGGAAAGTGTGGGTATGATAGACAGGAACTTCAGGGGAATAATGCAATCTTGGAATGGCCTTGAGAACCACTCAAATTTATCAGCAGTTCTGGAGGAAACCTATAACAACAGTTTACCATTTCACTGATTTTAATTGTACCACAGGCAAAATAAAGTCCCGTAAATATGGACAACTTCTAGGAAAAACTTGTCCAATCTGCACCCTAGGATGGCTTTGAATGCGGCCCAACATAAATTCATAAACTTTCTGAAAACATTGTGAGTTTCTTTGTGATTTTTTTTTTAGCCCTTTGGCTATCATTACTGTTAGTGTATTTTATGTGTGGCCCAAGACAATTTTTTTTCTTCCAGTTTGGCCCAGGGAAGCCAAAGGATTTTACACCTCTGTCCTAAAACTCACGTTCAGTGATGAATTTTAAGAGTTTCACACTTTTTTAAAATTTTATTTTTGACAGAGTTTCGCTCTTGTTGCCTAGGTTGGAGTGCAATGGCACGATCTTGGCTCACTGCAACCTCCGCCTCCCGGTTTCAAGCAATTCTCCTGCCTCAGCCTCCCAAGTAGCTGGGATTACAGGTGCTCGCCACCACACCCAGCTAATTGTTTGTATTTTTAGTAGAGATGGGGTTTCACCATGTTGACCAGGCTGGTCTTGAACTCCTGACCTCAGGTGATCCGCCTGCCTTGGCCTCCCAAAGTGCTGGGATTACAGGCGTGAGCCACCGTGCCTGGCCGAGTTTCACATTTCTTAATGAAACAATTATGAAATATACATGGCAGGTCTCTCAAGCCTTATATTAAGGAATCATAATAACTTGCACTATAAAATGTTCATGTACAGGAAAGAAACAATTATGTTTGAAAGTTTTAATGACATTATGAGGAACATAATTCATATCAAATTACATTTTTCTGTAACACTCACCTTTCTAGAAAAAGACATGTTGGAAGGATATTTTAAGTATTATTGATTTAGTCATTCTTAAAGCAGTTGAAGGTAGAGAATTTGTCACCAATTGGCTTCCAATTTTGGTTATAAAACGCCTCAGTGAATAGCTTCAATCTGAGGAGATCATCTACTAAACACTGGATAACATAGAGGAAAAGCAAAGCTGGTCTGATCTTCAATGAAGGCATCAAAAAAAGCCATCTTTGCTCTGCATCAAGGAGTTTGAGTGAGCAGACGTGCAGATGTTACTGATTTAGAGTCCACTGGTCTAGACCTCTGCTCCTCCATTCTCACATGCTGGAGAAGGCCTGCCTTCCGGAGAGTCAGAGCCAGTCTTGCGTTTCTGACAAGGGCCACTCACATGTGAGAATGAGGAAGCAGAAGCCCTGCTTTACACAGCCTGGTGTGAAGCCATCTGGAACACTTTTGGCAGTTCTAATCCCCACTGGATAAAAAGGATATGGGAAAATCTAAAAAATATTCAAGTATAATTCTAAAAAATGACATAGAGCTTAGAATATTAGAGCTATAAGATGGTTAATATGGAAATTAATAGCATATTGGTAGGGGAACAAATTCTAAAAAATGTTTTCAGGCTTCTGTGCCCTCAAATGGAAAGCAAATGGTGCAAGAAAAGGCAAAGTACCTCCACAACAGCTGGCCTTGAAAATGTCCCCCTTTTAGCCCTGAAGCAATAGCAGATGGTAGTATCTGCTTGTTGTTGCTGGTATTGTTTTTATTGTTATCATGCGTTAATAATTAAATGCTGACAGCACACTTGGAGCTGCTCGAACTTCAAACGCAAAGCAGCTTCAAATCCCTTGGGCTTATCACCTAAATGAAACAAAACTTCAAAATAATCAAGGAAAAGGAAAGAAATCATGTAAATCAAAGATTATTGCCTATTCTGTTTGCATATTTCCTTCAAGTTTTCTTCTCATCCTCATGACCAGGTGCCCTCAGACTGGGAAGTAAGCTGTCATAGCTAGTCTACTTGCTGAAGAAAGCTGCTAGAATAAAGCAATTAGAAAGATAGAAGAAGGCTAGTTTGGAGGCTTTCAAGGAGAAAAGTAACGTCAGAGCAAAATGGAAAAATAGTCACAAAGGAAGAGTTGAAGATTGGGGCAGATAAAGACCCTGAGGCTAGACCCATCACAACAAAGCATGGTTGTAGCTGCCTAGTAAGGGGAAGTAAAGGAAGAGCCAACCAGGTGAGGAGAAGACCTCTGTGAGTGTGAGTCAAATATAAGCAGAAGAATGTTTGTATTACTGTGACTAAAATAGCCATTGGATTGAGGCATAGTATTTGCAATTCTCTGGAAAGGCAGTATGACACGCAGGTTATCAGGATAAGGCGGGGATTATGCTACCAGGGTTCTAGATCTGGAACTCATGCAAAAATTGGATCTTTGACTAGGGACAGGTGAACCATGATATAATTGTTCCCTAATCTGGCTATCAAAGTATCACTGGGCTATGAATCATCCTTATTCCATAATTCTTCATGGAGTAGCAGAACAATTAAGGCTGGTTACTTCAGTCCGACCCAAGTCTGGCTCACTCAAAAGCTGACTGACTCAGATTGAGTAATTAGACTTATTGAACTACTTACCTCTTAAGAACTTCATTTTCCTCATCAACAAATATGGTGATACTACTTTGTAAGAGTAAATATTTAATGAAGACATGTGTTAGGCAACTGTGCTATGACTATATTCTCTCATTTATTCTTTCCAAATACACAATAAGGTAGGGAACTACTAAGGTAGATTGAGGCCAAGAAAATAGAAAGTTTTGCAAGCTAGTAGACTTTAGACTTTTTTTCAAGGAACAATAAAGAGCCATTGAAAGTTACTGGTGAGTAAGTTTTTCAAGGTAAGAAAATATAGCATTATTGTGCTAGATACATTAAGAAAGAAATATTAAAGCAGAAATAAGTAGTTAGGAGATTATAATAGCCCAGGCATCAGATAATAAAAGAGATACCACTTGACACTAGGATGGCTATAATTGAGAAAACAGAATAATAAATGTTTGCAAGGATGTGAAGTTGGAACCCTGTACATTGCTGGTGGGAATGTAAAATGTTGCAGATGCTATGTTGCTTTTTTGCTTGTCAAAAATACTAAGTGAAGAATGTTATATTACCCAGCAATTCCACTCCTAGGTATATATCCAAAGGAACTGAATCTAGGGACTTGAACAGATACTGGACACCATGTTCATTGGAGCATTATTCACAATCGCCAAGAGTTGGAAACAATCCAAGTTGTCCATCAACAGATAAAGGAATAGACAAAATGTGGTATATGCACACAATGGAATACTCAGCCAAAAAAAGGAATAACATTCTGATACATTCTACAATATGACTGAACCTTGAAAACATTATGCTACATGAAATAAAGTAGACAGCAAGGACAAACATTATATGATTCCATTTATATGGGGCACCTAGAATACGTAAGATCATAGAAAGTAGATTATAGGTCACCAGCGTCTGGTGAGAGTGGGGAATGGGGGAGTTACTGCTTAATAGCCACAGAGTGTCTGTTTGGGATGGTAAAAAACCTGAAAATACATGGATATGATGGTTGCATGACATAATCAATGTAGCTAATGCCACTGAATTGTACACTTAAAGTGATCAAAATGGCACATTTTATGTTATATGTATTTTGCCACAATTTTGAAAATTAATGATGTGATATACCAAAAACCATTACACTGTAACACTTTAAATGGGTGAATTGTTAGGTATGTGAAGTATATCTCAATAAAGCTGTTTAAAAAATGAGATGGAAAGATGCAGGGTATGGGCAGTGGGAAAAGAAATACTAAATACTTTCCCAGACTATGAGTTGATGACTAATAAAATTTTGGAATAAAATGAATTTATAGATGTTTCCACTCCATACTTCCAGAAACAGAACAGTTAGAAGAAGACACTGGCAGGTCTGGGGAAATAAAGGTGACAGTTTAGGACCCACTGCATTAAGCAGGATGCAGACTCTAGGGAGAGAGGAATGCATGTTTATATGAGAAGAGGGGGAAGACAGGTGATAGAGAGCTGAGGTCATTTAGAGAGGTCCTTGCTAAAGAGAGGAGGATGCAAGTGTGGACACAAAGGGCCCAAATGCAAACCTGTAGTGAACTCATCTTAATTGGAAAGTGGGAGAGGAAAGAGGACTCAGAGATGAAGACAAATAATTGATGTCAGAGTCAGAGAGAGGAAAAGTGAGAGAGAGCTAGGAGTACGTCAAGAAGCGAATGCTTAATCATGCGGATGCTGTGGTGAGAGCACAGAAGAACTGAAAGGACCTGCCCAACAGTTCAAGAAGGAGGCCTTTTGTGACTTTTGTGGGGATGATTTCAATTGTTCCGTAGAGCAGAAGCTAAATTCAAAGAAAAAAAAAACAGAACAGTAAACTAATTGGAGTCAATAAGAGCCAATTGCTTTGAAAATGTTGGCTGTGCATTGAAAAGGTAAAATGTGACAATACTAGGGGGAAATGTTGCACAAAAAATGACCTTTCCTAACAGCCATTTTTTGTTTGATTTTGGAATTTATTTGCAAGTTTTGTTTCACAATTTGGAAAACCTTGACAAGCTTATAGTAAAAATCATTTGAAAGGGAGAATGGAAGATTTAATAGTGGTGATGGGGAAAAGATACTTTTTTCTGAAAAAAATTAGAAAAACCAAGATCGGTTTTCAAAATGGAAGTTAGGTATGGCAAAGACAATTGGTATTTCTCCAGAGCATGGCAAAAGGAGAGGTAGGAGGTGCTGTTTTCAGGGAGTGGGCTAATGAAGGAGTTCCTTCCTAGGTGTGTGCTGAAATGCGAGAAGGAACTTGAGAGCAAAATATGTTTCTTGCCATGGAAAAGCCCACAAGAACTCAGGAGAAATAGATAAAAGTATTACTGAGCAATCCAGCTGTGACTAGATATTGGAATAGGATTCCAATCAAGACAGAGCGCATATCTACATTGCAGAGAGCTATGGTGGTCACAAGCAATCCCAGAGCTCTAGCCATGTTTGCTCAAAGAACAGGACTCTTAGTCCACCCAGGATAGAGCCAGAGACAAAAAAGTGACAAAACTTCACCACCCTTTAAAACTGACTTTTCCAAACTATTTCCTGCCATTGTCCACCAAGAAGGCTGTGCCATGACCAAGCCAGAGTCCTCATTTTCCTCCAAATATGATATCCCTTGCATGCTGTATTCCCCAGGGCTGGTGTGTTCTTCATTCTCTTTTATAACTAACCATATTATATTCATATGCAAGATTCAGTTTCAGGAGCTCTTTGTGACACAAACAGACCTTTACTCAAGCTATTTGCTCCTCTCCCCTAAATTCTTTCCACATGCATTGTTTTATCATTTTTCCTCTGACAAATCTCCCCGTCTCCCCAACAGTACTGTAAGTATTTTGAAAGCCACCTTCTCTTTATTGCAGATCACGTGTCAGGAGGAATAATTCTGCATGCTCAGAAGAGGACACAGATATTCACCCCTGGAGTGCCTGTCATGGTGCTGTCCACCGTACAGATCCCCAGGACACATCCTCATATTTGAACTGAACTGCCTTATTCCACACATGACGGTTTCCATTGCCTGCAGGAGAGGTAGAATCTCTTTTAATATTTTTTAAAAGAATATTAATCAGACAGCCGAATAGGAACAGCTCCAGTCTGCAGCTCCCAGCGAGAACAATGCAGAATGCAAGTGATTTCTGCATTTCCAATTGAGGCACATAGCTCATCTCACTGGGACTGGTTAGACAGTGGGTGCAGCCCACGGAGAGCAAACTGAAGCAGGGTGGGGCGTTGCCTCACCCAGGAAGTGCAAGGGGTCAGGGAACTCCCTCCTCTAGCCAAAGGAAGCTGTGAGGGACTGTGGTGTGAGGAACGGTGCATTCTGGCTGAGACACTATGCTTTCCCCACAGTCTTCACAACCCTCAGACTAGGAGATTCCCTCAGGTGCCTACACCACTGCTGCCCTGGGTTTTAAGCACAAAACTGGGCGGTCATTTGGGCAGACACTGAGCTAGCTGCAGGAGTTTTTTTTAATACCCCAGTGGCGCCTGGAATGCCAGCGAAAGAGAACCGTTGACTCCCCTAGAAAGCGGGCTGAAACGAGGGAGCCAAGTGGCCTAGCTCAGCAGATCCCACCCGCGCACAGTCCAGCAAGCTAAGATCCACTGGCTTGAAATTCTCGCTGCCAGCACAGCAGGCTGAAGTCGACCTGGGACACTAGAGCTTAGTAGGGGGAGGGGCATCCGCCATTACTGAGGTTTGAGTAGGTGGTTTTCCCCTCACAGTGTAAACAAAGCCGCTGGAAAGTTCTAACTGAATGGAGCCACCTCAACTCTGACAAAGCTGCTGTAGCCAGACTGCCTCTCTAGATTCCTGCTCTCTTGGCAGGGCATCTCTGAAACAAAGGCAGCAGCCCCAGTTAGGGGTTTATAGATAGAATTCCCATCTCCCTGGGACACAGCACCGGGGGAAAGGGCGGCTGTGGGTGCAGCTACAGCAGGCTTAAACATTCCTGACTGCCAGCTCTGAAGAGAGCAGCAGATCTCTCAACACAGTGCTCAAGCTCTGCTAAGAAACAGACTGCCTTGTCAAGTGGGTTACTGACACCTGTGCCTCTTGACTGTGAGACACCTCCCAGCAGGGCCCAACAGACACGTCATACCAGAGAGCTCTGGCTGGCATCTGGTGGGTGCCCCTCTGGGACGAAGCTTCCAGAGGAAGGAACAGGCAGCAATCTTTGCTGTTCTGCAGGCTCTGCTGGTGATACCCAGGTAAACAGGGTCTGGGGTGGACCTCCAGCAAACGCCAGCAGATCTGCGGGAGAGGGGCCTGACTGTTAGAAGGAAAACTAACAAACAGAAAGGAATAGCATCAATATTAACAAAAAGGACATCCACACAAAAACCCCATCTGAAGGTCACCAACATGAAAGACCAAAGGTAGATAAATCCACGAAGATGAGGAAAAATCAGAGCAAAAATGTTGAAAATTCCAAAAACCAGAATGCTTCTTCTCCTCCAAAGGATTACAACTCCTCACCAGCAAGGAAACAAAACTGGATGGAGAATGAATTTGACAAATTGACAGAAGTAGGCTTCAGAAGGTGGGTAAAAACAAACACTTCTGAGCTAAAGTAGCATGTTCTAACCCAAAGCAAGGAAGCTAAGAACCTTGAAAAAAGGTTACACAAATTGCTAACTAAAATAACCAGTTTAGAGGAGAACATAAATGACCTGATGGAGCTGAAAAACACAGTATGAAAACTTGGTGAAGCATACACAAGTATCAGTGGGGGAATTGATCAAGCGGAAAAGGAGGATTTCAGAGATTGAAGATCAACTTAATGAAATAAAGCATGAAGACAAGATTAAAGAAAAAATAGTGAAAAGGAATGAATAAAACCTCCAAGAAATATGGGACTATGTGAAAAGACCAAACCTACATTTGATTGGTGTACCTGAAAGTGATGGGGACAATGGAACCAAGTTGGAAAACACTCTTCAGGAAATTATCCAGGAGAAGTTCACCAACCTAACAAGACAGGCCAATATTCAAATTCAGGAAATACAGAGACCACCACAAAGATACTTCTCGAGAAGAGCAACCTCAAGTCACACAATTGTCAGATTCACCAAGGTTGAAATGAAGAAAAAAAAATGTTAACGGCAGCCAGAGAGAAAGGTCGGGTTACCCACAAAGGGAAGCCCATCAGACTAACAGTGGATCTCTCTGCATAAACCCTACAAGCCAGAAGAGAGCAGGGGACAATATTAACATTCTTAAAGAAAAGAATTTTCAACCCAGAATTACATATCCAGCCAAACTAAGCTTCATAAGCAAAGGAGATATAAAATCCTTTATGGACAAACAAACGGTGAGAGATTTTGTGACCACCAGGCCTGCCTTAGAAGAGCTCCTGAAGGAAGCACTAAATATGGAAAGAAAAATCCAGTACCAGCCACTGCAAAAACATAACAAATTGTAAAGACCATCAACACTATGAAGAAACTGCATCAACTAACAGGCACAATACCAGCTGGCATCATAATGACAGGATCAAATTCACACATAACATATTAATGTTAAATGCAGATGGGCTAAATGCCCCAATTAAAAGACATAGACTGGCAAATTCGATAAAGAGTCAAGACCCATCGGTGTGCTGTATTCAGGAGACCCATCTCATGTGCAAAGACGCATGTAAGCTCAAAATAAAGGGATGGAGGAATTTTTACCAAACAAATGGAAAGCCAAAAAAAAAAAAAAAAAAAAAAAAGCAGTGGTTGCATCCTAGTCTCTGATAAAACAGACTTTAAACCAACAAAGATAAAAAAAGACAAAGAAGGGTATTACAAAATGGTAAAGGGATGAACGCAACAAGAGCTAACAATCCTAAATATATATGTCCCCAATACAGAAGCATCCAGATTCATAAAGCAAGTTCTTAGACACCTACAAAGAGATTTAGACTCCCACATGATAATAGCGGGAGACTTTAACATCCCACTGTCAATATTAGACAGATCAACGAGACTGAAAATTAACAAGGATATTCAGGACTTGAACTCAGCACTGGACCAAGCAGACCTAATAGACATCTACAGAACTCTCCACCACAAATCAACAGAATATACATTCTTCTCAGCACCACATCACACTTATTCTAAAATTGACCACATAATTAGAAGTAAAACACTCCTCTGGGAGAAAATTTTTGCAATCCATCCATCTGACAAATGTCTAATGTCCAGAACCTATAAGGAACTTAAACAAATTTACAAGAAAAAAACAACCCCATCAAAAAGTGGGGGAAGGATATGAACAGACACTTCTCAAAAGAAGACATTTATGCGGCCAACAAACATATGAAAAAAAGCTCATCATCACTGGTCATCAGAGAAATGCAAATCAAAACCACAATGAGATACCATCTCATGCCAATTAGAGTGGCGATCATTAAAAAGTCAGGAAACAACAGATGCTGGAGAGGATGTGGAGAAATAGGAACACTTTTACAATGTTAGTGGGAGTGTAAATTAGTTCAACCATTGTGGAAGACAGTGTGGCAATTCCTCAAGGATCTAGAACCAGAAATACTATTTGACCCAGCAATCTCATTATTGGGTATATACCCAAAGGATTATAAATCATTCTACTATAAAGACACATGCACTCGTATGTTTATTGCAGCTCTATTCACAGTAGCAAAGACCTAGAAACAACCCAAATGCCCATCAATGATAGGCTGGATAAAGAAAATGTGGCACATATACACCATGGAATACTATGCAGCCATAAAAAGGATGAGTTCATGTCCTTTGCAGGGACATGGATGAAGCTGGAAACCATCAATCTCAAAAAACTAACACAGGAAGAGAAAACCAAACACCGCGTGTTCTCACTCATAAGTGGGAGTTGAACAATGAGAACACCTAGACACAGGGAGGGGACCATCACATACCAGGGCCTGTCTGCCAGTGGGGGCCTAGGGGAGGGATAGCATTAGGAGAAATACCTAACATAGATGGCAGGCTGATGGGTGCAGCAAACCACCATGGCATGTGTATACCTATGTAACAAACCTGAACATTCTGCACATATATCCCAGAACTTAAAGTATAATTTAAAAAAGCAAATGAACTCTTTAAAAAAGAATATTGATCTATGATGGTTTAAGAACCTCTTAACTATGTCCTCCCAATCTCTCTCCCCAAGCGCACTTCAGAGCCATCACTAACTGACTCATGGAAAAAGGAGGAGAAACAGAACATGGAGAAAACAGAAATAATGAGGAAGACAGGAAAGGAGGGAGGGAAGAAGAGAGGGAGGAAAGCAAGGAAACAGGAGAGGAAAGAAAAAGGGAAGGAAGAGAACAGAGGAAGAGGAGGAGAGAGGGAAAGAGAGAGGGAAGGAGAGGAAGAGAAAGGAAGAGAGAGAAAAGAGGGAGCAAGAGAAAGAAAGAGAAAGGGAGAGAGAAAAAAACGAGAGAGAAAAAAGAGAAAGAAGAATCACGAAAGAAAGGAAAGAGAAAAACAGAGAGAGAGAGAAAAGGAAAAGAAAAGAAAGAGAGAGAGAGAGAAAAAAAGAAGTAAAAATATTGACTCACTTGGATAAAACACCAGAGGTTTGATGAGCAGCATGAGGCATCCCCAGAAACATCAATTACTCATGGAACCAAGACCAAAGAGCAAGGGTGGATTGGTTACACCCACCAACCTGTAACACACATGCAGGCCTCACAAACAGATGGAAAAATGATTTGTTCACACCGCAGTGAGCTGCACTATGCCAGTGCACGGCTTGTTCCAAAGCTGATGTTTTTCTCTGGTCTTCCTGCCAAGAAAGTGGAGCAGCATAAGACAGGCCTCTCCCAGTGCCAGCTGAGGCTCAGCCCCAGCCAGAAGCAGCTGGGGACACACATGGTTCCTGTCCTGCAGTGCTCCGCAGGCTGCGAGGTGTGGAGGGGGATGTGCTGAGTCTCAGGCTGCCAACTCCAGTACTGTCTCCACCAGGTGAGGGCTCAAAAAAGCCAAGAGACCTACAGATTTTCCTGCCTTATCTCCAGCTGTTTCTCATGTTTCTCATACTGGCTGGAGCTGAAGCACTGGCCTCATACTAACTTTAGTGTTCAGTCTGATAATGGGTCCATAACAAACCTCCTGGGTCCCATATTTCATCTTCTCCACCCACGACAGAATTCACTTGAGTGTAGGATTCCCCTGGCAACTTCAGTTCAATTTCAGTATCAGTCCAACGAATGACAGAGGAAAATAACTGAGAAGTCTGGACATTTTTTGAAATTTTTAAATGAAAAAGAACTTTCTTTTTCTCACCATCTTCCAGGAGACTGTCTCTCCATATTGCTGTTGGGAAAGGCATTGTTTCCTGTAGCTGCAGCTGACCTGCGATGTGACAGACTGGCAAGGCCTGAATCCTTGCTCCTTTGGCTTTCTGGGATCTCCCTAGAATTTAACATGGGATGGACTAGAGTCTTGAAATAAAGCTGGGGTCTTAGATTTCCAAGTGTTTGTTTTCTAGGGTTTTTGTAACAAACTAGAACTAATTTGGCAGCCTAAAAACAACAGAATTTTATTATCTCACAGTTCTGGAGGCCAAGTCCTAAATCCAGGTGCCAGCAGGGCCACGCTCCTTCTGCAGGCTAGGGAAGAATCCTGCCTTGTCTCTTCCAGCTTCTGGTGGCCCCAGGCCTTGCTTGGCTTGTAGACACATCACTCCAATCTCTGCCTCCATCGTCACATGGCTTTCTCCTCTGTGTCTTCTCCTTTTCTGTCTCTTAGAAGGACATTCACCATTGATTTTAGGGACCACCCTAATCCAGAATGATCTCATCTTAGGATATTTACCTTAATAAAATTTGCAAAGCATCTATTCCAAATAAGGCCATATTCTGAGGCTCTTGGTAGACTTTTTTTTTTTCAGGGGAGGGGGACACCACTCAAACTATTAAAACCTTTACAGCAACGTGACCGTGGATAAATTATACAATTATAAGTGCTGAGGATTCTTAATAAAAAATATAAGGATTTGAAATTAAATATTGCAAACATCAAGAAAATAGACACATATGTAACAATAATCCAGACTAAAGAAATGTCAGCATTTGTCATATTTATTACATTTTTTAACTTTTTTAAAAAATGAGATATTATAGATAAAACAACTCTCCATCTCATTCTCCTCCTACCCTCTCCAAATATAGTCACTATTCCTGAAGTATGTTTGCATTCATAGCAATTTTATTATTTTAGTATTGCATACTTGATGATGCAAGTAAAACTAACTTATTTTAACTGCTACATCAGAGAGTTTAGAATTGAAATTGACTTCTCTGAGCCTCAGAATCTTTCATAATATTCTTGCCCTAGCCACCCCGTAACATTATGATAACCAAAGGAAATGACTGTGTGACTGATCCACATACACTACATAGTTTACATGATTATAAGGTAGGATATTTCTTCTTTCTCCTAAAATGGTCACCCTCTTTGCTGATGTGCTGCAATTCAGTATGCCTATTGCTATTGTTTCTAAATCATGAAGATTTTAATAAATTGTCATCATACTTTCTTTACTAGCAAAGTGGATATAAATAGCCTTTATTAAAAGCTCTTACATTAATATTGGCATCGTCTTATTTTAACTTAACATGCTACAGAAACTTAGGTAACCCATTCTATCATCATATCCAACTGGCAAAACCAAAGATGTTTCTAATCTCTCACTTTCTTTTACTGGACCGTAGATGGTGGCACAAGCAATTGGCCTTTGTCATGCTATTTCCAAACACAGGTGGCATTTTAGCAAAGCTTCTTCATCTGGTCCCATGATACAACAAAACCAACGAAAGGCAGCTAACCCCTTTAAAAATAGCGTCATTGTTCAGGATTTCAAAGGTTGCATATTCCATGGATTCTAGTTTACATACAACATTAATTTCATTTAAACCTTGGTGTATTTTATCGTAATTGTTAAGACTTCTAATACTATCTTGGACTCCTGTTAATAAAGAATAAATGTACTACGTGGCAGCACCACCGTTTATTATGTATAACCTTGCCTATGTTTAGGTCACTAAATATAAATGTGTAAAAGTAAATAGGATTATATTAATTAGGATAAAATAGAGCCAAGGAAGAGAGTGGAGGTTGAGGTGGGGTATGAAAAGAGTGGAGTTGAGAGAATTTCACCAGAAACATTAAGTTTAAAAATACCACTTCCACTGAGCCCCAAAAATAATTCTAAGCTTCCTGGTAGCAAAAGCAAAGAGGGAATACCCTATATAATTAGAGTCATCTATTAAATGATAGCCTAATAGTTCTTGACAAGAAAAACTTTTCCTTTCTTGGCACATAAATGCCCAATAAATATGTCTTGAATAAATAAGAAGCAACTTGTTATGTAGACTTAGAATCACCTGTGCTTTCAATAACACCAACAAAAAATTGTTCATCATTATTTTTTATATCAACCTTTAAGAAAAGGCAAGAATTGAATTGTAGTTCTGTAAAGGTTTCCCCATGGAAGTCTAAGGGAATAAACTCCAAGTGACTTTCTAATACTCTAATTGATATAATGATAGAGATTTTGGAATTTAAAAGAATGACGAGTTAACATGTCACATGATTTTCTCTTTGAATGTTCATTTTCTTAGCTGGATTTTTAGCAAAGAATAAGAAGCAGAAAGGTGACTGGAGTATAAGTATTTTGTGCTACTGATCAAAATAAAAGCCAAAGCTTGAAATGTCAGGGGTATAGATGTTTGTCTTGAAGTGTTTGGTTCATACTAAAGGAAGAGCACTCACCAAGTGGTACTGTGATCCTTTGATTTACAATAGCTGCTCTTCCAAGCATATTACAGTTGAATATGCTTTAGGACAGGGCTGTTACTTCTTTATCTTTGTATCTCCATTGCCTAGCAAAGTGCCTGGAATTTATAGTATTCCATAAATATGTATTGACTCACAGGATGAAGATTTTTTGTTTAAAAAAGAAGTGGAAAATGCTAAAAGCTGATAATACAATGTCTAGACTTCTAACTAGGTTTTTCTGAGAATTTTATGTTAAACAAATCCAAATCCATGTACAAAACTGTCATGTCGATAGGCACTTGCAGAAACTATACATGGCGTTTTAGAGAAGGAGGAGGTCTAGACTTCAGTCTAGACAAGGTTAAGTCTAGACAAGACACTAGTCGTGAGTCTAAAGTAATCTTAGCTGCCTTTCAGGACATTGTCCAGCTCACAACCAGAGTCATCTTTTAGTCAACATTTTAGGTCCATTCCTCAATGTTTAACTCTGGCCAAGTGTTTTAGCCTCTTTAAATCTCATTATTTCATTAAAAAAAAAAAGAATGTGTTGAATCAGATGTTGTCTATAATTCCTTCTAACTCTAAACTTGTGTAATTCTAACTTTCGTTCTTCAATGACTCCTCTCTTTTTATAACTCTTTCAAACTGAACTTATTTATTCATATCTTCTGTAAATTGCTTGAGTAATTTATTTATTGTTTAATCCCATTAGAACAACACTACCTTTAAAATTTAGTCTACTAATAAAATGACAAAGTTATGTTTTCATTTATTATTTTCACACTTTTGAACTTTATTTTCATTATCTTTTATCACCATGCCATTTTGGAAAAAAAATATCTACTTCTGGTGTTTCTTACTTTTATTTCACCATGAAGATCATTGTCATATTTATGAATTATTCACTTACTCCATTTATATTATTCTCCAAAAACAGTTTTTACCACAATTGATATATAAATGAATTCCACAAGATTACATTACTAAGTGTGATTATATTGATCACAAGGGATAAGACCACTAATTATATATCTTTCAAAATAAGAGAATATACTCGGTGTATGTTAGAAAAATGTAAATCTAAATTGAAATGTTAAACTAATAAATATTACATTTAAGATAAATGTAATGGCCCTGTGAAAGGCCATTTAAAAATCAAATTATAAAGTGATATTGACAGAAATGGCAGAAAAATAATTTTGAAAATTCTCTCTTTCATGACATCAAGAGAACACTAGCCAAAATTATCAGAATCTACTTTTTAAAAACTCTGGAAATAATAGGCTTACAGCAATCCCTGATGTGTATTCAAGAAACATGGGTGCATCTTAGTAGGAACAGCAGACTACAAAGAACTTAAACAAATGTACAAGAAAAAACCAAACCCCACCAAAAAGTGGGCAAAGGATGTCAACCCCATCAAAAAGTGGGCGAATTATAATGAACTTCTCAAAAGAAGACATTTATGCAGCCAACAAACATATGAAAAAGAGCTCATTATAACTAATCATTAGAGAAATGCAAATCAAAACCACAATGAGATACCACTTCATGCCAATTAGAATGGCGTTCATTAAAAAGTCAGGAAACAACAGATGCTGGAGAGGATGTGGAGAAATAGGAATGCTTTTACAATTTTGGTGGGAGTGTAAATTAGTTCAATCATTGTAGATTACGGTGTGGTGATTCCTCAAGGTTCTAGAGCTAGAAATACCATTTGACCCAGCAATCCCATTATTGGGTATATACCCCAAAGGATTATAAATCATTCTACTATAAAGACACATGCACACATATGTTTATTGCGGCACTGTTCACAATAGCAAAGACTTGGTACCAACCCAAATGCCCATCACTGATAGACTGGGTAAAGAAAATGTGGTACATATATACCATGGAATACTATGCAGCCATAAAGAAGGATGAGTTCATGTCCTTTGCAGGGACATGGATGAAGCTGGAAACCATTATTCTCAGCAAACTAACACAAGAACAGAAAACCAAACACCGCATGTTCTCACTCATAAGTGGGAGGTGAACAATGAGAACACATGGACATGGGGGTGGGGGGCATCACGCACTGGGGCCTGTCAGGGGCTGGGGGGCTGGGAGAGGGATAGCACTGGGAGAAATACCTAATGTAGATGATGGGTTGATGTGTGCAGCAAACCACCGTGGCATGTGTATACCTATGTAACAAACCTGCACGTTCTGCACATGTACCCCAGAACTTAAAGTATAATAAAAAATAAACACCATTAACAACTGTATGCCAACAAGTTAGATAAAACAGATGATATGAAAAAATTCTTAGACACAAACTACTGAAATTGATTCAAGATAAAATAGATAATTTGAATACACATATAGTAACTAAGATATCCAGTTAGTAATTTGAAAACATCCCACAAAGAAAAGCTCAGTATGAGATTTCTTCACTGGTGAATTTTTACCAAATATTTAAGGAAAAATATACTAGGTGCATTCATTCCTCCCCTCAATAATTTTTCTTTTTAGAACCTCAGAATGTGATCTTATTTGGGAAAAGAGGTGGTTCGGCTGTAATTAGTTAAGATGAGATCATACTGGAGTAGGATATCCCTTAATCCAATATGACTGGTGTCCTCATAAGAACAGGAGGAGAGACAACAGATGTAGAGGGAAGATGGCCACAGGTAGAGATTGGCATTATGCTGCCACAAGTCAAGGAATGCCTGGGACTATCAGAAGCTTAAACAGGCAAGGAAAGAACCTCTTCTAGAGGCTTTGGTGGAAGAATGAATCTGCCATCATGTTTATTTCAGATATCTAAACTCCAGAACTGTGAGAGTATAAATTTATGTTATTAAAGCCACCAATTTTGTGGGCTCAGCTCTTGTGGGCTCACCTTATTAGGGCAGCACTAGGAAACCAATACAAACAACTAACACCAATTCCTTATAAATTCTTATCAAAAAACAGAAGAAGAAACACTTCCCAACTTGTTCTAGAAGAACAGTGTTTCTCTGATACCCAAACCAGACCAAGACATCTCCCCCACCCTCACACATACATAAAACCATAGATCAATATCCCTTATGAAAATAGGCATTAAAAAATCTTTTAGGAAAGACTAGCAAAGTGACTACAGCAACATACAAAGTGAGTATATGCCTTAACAAAGTGATATTTATTCCAAGAATGCAAGGATGGCTCAACATTTAAAATCAATCAATATAGTAGATGGAATTAATGAAATGAAGTAGGAAAACTGCATGATCATCTCAATAGATGCACAAAAAGAATTTGACAAAATCCAATAACTTTTCATCCCAACAAACTATGGATAGAAAGGACACTTCTCAACCAGATAATGGACATCAATAAAAATCTCACGACTAACATCATGCTTAGTGAGGAAAGACTGACTGCTTTACCCCAATAACAGGAACAAGATTAGCATTTCAAACTCACAGCCTCTCTTCAGAATTATACTGGAAATTCTAGTCAAAGCAATCAGGAAAGAAACAGAAATAAATGGTATACAGATTTGAAAGGAAGAAGTAAAATTATTTTCTGATTACAAGTTCTTATATGTAGAAACTCCTAAGGAATACACATACATACACACACACACACACGCTCAACCTGTAAAAGTTAATACACAATTTCAGTAACTTTGCAGACTACAAGGGTAATATACAAAATTAAGTTGTATCCTACTGTAACAAAATTTGTTTCCTATTAGATCAGATTATAAACAATGACAAGATTTCTATCCCAGTTTTCATTTCTTATTTTAAAATTTGGGTTAAAACTAAATAACACAAAGCCAAATTAGAGTCTCCTTTAAATGCACAAAAATTACAGTTGCTTTTGTGTAATCTCTTAATGTTGGAGTGATGTAGAGCTCCATCCTAAGCATTCTTCTCTTTTCTATGTAGAATTCAAGCCAAAGTGATGTCATTCAGTGTCATAGTTTATTACTCTATCTGTATCTTAACTCTTAAATGTACACCACCATCTCCAGTCTTTTGCCCAAGAATCACACTTGGATGAACAAATATATGTTTTCATCTCCAGCTGTTTTTTAATAGGAGTCTCAAATTTAACATGACTAATATACTCCCCTCACTCAAAATCTAACCTTTTTCTTTTTATCTCTGTTTATATGTCAAGATCACATTGTAGCTTAAACCAAAAACTGAGGAGTGTTCCCAGATCTTGGTTTTTAATATCTCTCACCTCTAATGGGAACAACACAGCAGCTGCTCTGCTGTAGCTCTGTGTAGCTCTGCCTACAAAGGACCTGTATCAGGCAATCTAACTTAAATGTAATTTCAGTCTTAGACAGAGAAAAGAAAGCTATTAGGATGGGAAAAAAAAAAAGGTTTTTTTTTGACAGGGTCACACTCTGTCACCCAGGCTGGAGAGTAGTGGTACAATTATGGCTCAATGCAGCCTCTGTCTCTTGGGGTTAAGCAATCCTCCCACCTAGCCTCCCAAGGAGCAGAGACTACAGGTGCAAGCCACCACAATCAGCTAGATTTTTCCAAAAATATTTTGTAGAGAAGAGGATTCACCATGTTGCCCAGCCAGTCTCAAAGTCCTGGACTCAAGTGATTCACCTGCCTTGGCTTCCCAAAATGCAGGGATTACAGGCATGAGCCACTGCACTCAGCTGAAGAAAAAGTTTGAAGAAACAATTGCCAAAACACTTCCAAATGTGATTAAAAATATATAAACTGATATGGTATGGCTGTGTTCCCACCCAAATCTCAACTTGAACTGTAGTTCCCATAATACCCACATGACATGGGAGGGACCTGGTGGGAGGTAACTGAATCATGGGGGCAGTTACCTCCATGCTGTTCTTGTGGGAGTGAGTGAGTTCTCATGAGATCTGATGGTTTTATAAAGGGCTTTCCCCACCACCGTTTGCTCTGCCCTTCTCCCTACTGCTGCCATGTGAAAAAGGATGTGTTTGCTTCCCCTTCTGCCAAGATTGTAAGTTTCCTGAGGCCTCCACAACCCTATGGAACTGTGAGTCAATTAAACCTCTTTCCTTTATAAATTACTCAGTCTTGGGTATGTCCCTATAGCAGCATGAGAATGGACTGATACCGTAAGCTGGTACCAGTAGAGTGGGCTGCTGCTGTAAAGATACCCAAAAACGTGGAAGCAACTTTGGAGCTGGGTAACAGGCAAGGGTTGGAATAGTTTGGAGGACTCAGAAGAAGACAGAAAAATGTGGGAAAGTTTGGAACTTCCTAGAGACTTGTTGAAAGGCTTTGACTAAAATGCTGATAGTGATATGGACAATAAAGTCTAGGGTAAGGTGGTCTCAGATGGAGATGAGGAACTTGGGAACTGGAGTAAAGGTCACTCTTACTATGCAAAGACACTGGTGGCATTTTGCCCCTGACCTAGATATATGTGGAACTTTGAACTTGAGAGAGATAATTTAGGGTATCTGGCAGAAGAAATTTTAAGTGGCAGAGTGTTCGAAGGAAGTAGAGCATAAAAGTTTGAAAAATTTGCAGCTTGATGATGCAGTAGAAAAGAAAAACCCATTTTCTGGGGAGAAATTAAAGCCAGCAGCAGAAATTTGCATAAGTAACAAGGAGTCAAAAGCTAATCACCAAGACAAAGGGGGAAAATGTCTCCAGGGCATGTCAGAGACCTTCACAGCAGCCCTTCCCATCACAGGCCCAGAGGCCGAGGAGGGAAAAATGGTTTCTTGGGCTGGGTCCAGGGACCCCCTACTGTGTGCAGCCTCAGGATCTGGTGCCCTGCATCCCAGCTCCTCCAGCCATGACTAAAAGGGGCCAAGGTACAGCTCAGGCCATGGTTTCAGAGGATTCAAGCCCCAAGCCTAGGCACTTTCCACATGGTGCACAGAAGTAAAGAACTGAGGTTTGGGAACCTCCACCTAGATTTCAGAGGATGTATGGAAACCCCCGGATATCCAGGCAGAACTCTGCTGCAGGTGCAGAGCCCTCATGAGAACCTGTGCTAGGGCACTGCAGAAGGAAAATGTCAGGTTGGAGCCTCCACACAGAGTCCCCACTGGCGCACTGCCTAGTGGACCTGTGAGAAGAGGGCCACTGTCCTCCAGATCCCAGAATGGTAGGTCCATCAACAGCTTGCACTGTGTACCTGGAAAAGCTGCGGGCACTTGACACCAACCTATGAAAGCAGCTCAGAAGGGGGCTGTACCCTGCAAAGCCACATGGGCAGAGTTGCCCAGGGCTGTGGGAGCCTATCTCTTGCATCAGCATGATCTGGTTGTAAGACATGCAATCAAAGGAGATCATTTTGGAACTTTAAGGTTTAATGACTGCCCTATCAGATTTGGACTTGGATGGGACCTATAGCCCCTTTGTTTTGGCCAGTGTCTCCCATTTGGATTGGGTGTATTTGCCCAATGTCTGTACCCCCACTGTATCTAGGAAGTAACTAACTTGCTTTTGATTTGACAGGCTTATAGGTGGAAGGGACTTGCCTTGTCTCAGATGAGACTTTGGACTTGAACTTTTGAGTTAATGCTGAAATGAATTAAGACTTTGGGGGTGTGTTGGGAGGGCATGATTGGCTTTGAAATGTGAGGACATGAGACTTGGGAGGGGCCAAGGGTGAAATGATATGATTTGGCTGTGTCTCCACCCAAATCTCACCTTGAACTGTAGTCCCCATAATCCCCACGTGTCATGGGGGGTAGCCAATGGGAGGTAATTGAATCATGAGGGCGGTTACCTCCACGCTCTTCTTGTGATAGTGAGTGAGTTGTCGTAAGATCTGATGGTTTTAGAAGGATTTTTCCCCCTTCACTCTGCATTTCTCCTTGCTGCTGCCATGTGAAAAAGGACGTGTTTACCTCCCCTTCCACCATGATTGTAAGTTTCCTGAGGCCTTCCCAGCCCTGCAGAACTGTGAGTCAATTAAACCTCTTTCTTTTATAAATTACCCAGTCTTGATTGTGTCCTTATAGAAACATGAGAATTGACTAATACACTAACAGATCCAAAAATCTCAACAAGCCCCCAAAACGTATAAAAACAACTACATCAAGAAGCACCATAATAAAATCACTTAGAGAAAATTTTAAAAGCTTTTTTCTAAAATATAGACACAGTATATACAGGGGATCAAGAATAACTACTTACTTCTAATCAGAAACAATGCAAACAAGAAGACAATAGTACATATTCAATACATTAAAATAAAAAAAACTTGTCCTAGAAGCCTATATCCAGTAAAAATATTTTCAAAACCATAAGTGATATAAAGACATTTTAGACAAACAAATCTGAGATAATTTAGGTGCAACAAATCAGCATTATATTAAATATTATAGAAAATGCAGATCTAAATAAAGGAATGCAAGAAATGATAAATGTGTATTAATAAAAAAGCTTTTTTCCTCACTTAAAAAATACTTCTTAAAATATAATTAACTGCTCAAAGCAAATATAATAATATTGTAGCAAGGGATATATACCATATGTAAGAGTAAAAGTAGGATAACAATAGGAACACAAAGGAAGGAAGGAAAAAAGGGTATTGGGCTGGGTGCAGTAGCTCATGCCTGTAATCCCAGCACTTTGGGAGGCCAAGGCGGGTGGATCACCTGAGGGCAGGAGTTCAAGACCAGCCTGGACAACATGATTAAATCCTGTCTCTACTAAAACTACAAAAATTAGCTGGGCGTGGTGGTGGGTGCCTGTAATCCCAGCTACTCAGGAGGCTGAGGTTGCAGTGAGCTGAGATCGTGCCACTGCACTCCAACCTGGGTGACAGAGCAAGACTCCATCTCAAAAAAAAAAAAGTAAGTGTATTGTTGTAAAATTCTCATATAAGTGGTTAATAGTATTTGAAGGTAGACTGTTATAGCTCAAAGATGAATATTTCTAGGGAAATGACCAAAATAATTGAGGACACTACTATAGCTAAGAAGCCAGTGAGCATAATAAAAATAGAATACTAAAAATACTCAATTCAAAAGAGAAAAAGAACAAGGAAATATATAAAACACACATGGGACAAACAGAAAACAAATAGTAGGATGATATCCTTAAAATATACAAATAATTACATTAAATGTCAATCAAGTAAATGATCCAATCAAAAGGCAAAGATTATGAGTCTGGATTAAAAAATAAATAAGACCTCACTGTATGCTGTCTGCAAAAATCACACTTTAAATATAAATACATAGGTTAAAAGTGAAGGAAAATTATATACATTAATTTTATAAAACATGGAATTGATATATTAACTTAAAACAAAGATTTCAACACTCTGTGTAATACCTGAGATAGTACAGTAAATTTCTTAATGAAAAAAGGTTCAGTTCATCAATTAAAAACACAACAAAATGGCACACACCCATCCTTATTATTCTTCATTCTCTTATGTTACTTTATTTTTCTTCTTATGGGTTTATCACCATCAGAGCTATATAAACTCTGTTTATTGATAGTCTCTATTAGAATGTAAGCTATCCAAAAGTAGAAACTTGTACTACTTTGCCTATCATTGTGTCCTCGCCACCTATACAGTGCCTGGATTATAGAATAACTCAATAATTATTTGTTGAATAATTGAAAAAATATCCCATTTAACCTGAAATAGGTTAAGGTTATTAGGTGCTTGGAATCAAACCACGGTTACATAATAGATTTTTCTAATACCAAAATAACAAATTTCAATACTTAGAAAGTCTGTAAATATAGATTGTTAGGCATGAGATAATAATTGTTTTTACTCCCTTTTGAATCAAGTTGCTTTTATTGTTTTAAATAGTGTAGATATTTACTGGAAACACAGGATTAAACAAAAGTACTAAACACTTGGCTATTGACTTCGTAAAACTTGGGATGGATGGGTAAAAAGATGACATAAGATAATGGAACTCAGCTACTGGATTTGACTCCTATATAATCTAGAGCCATTTAATTGAACTTTCTAGCATTATGGAAAATTCTATATCTGTGTTTTTCAATATGATAGCCATTATCCATATGTGTCTACTAAGCACATGAAAGTGGCTAGGGAAACTGAGGAAGTGAATGTTTAATTTCATTCCATTTGAATTAATTTAGATATAAACTTAAATAGCCACGTGTGGCTAGCAGCTCCCATTTTGGCATGGCCAGCCCAGATATTCGCATGTGCTGGATTCTCCTCACTGGACCCTTGCTTTCTTTTATGTAGACTTAGACATCCTTTTTTTGTAGCATTTGTCATGACAGAAATAACTTAACATCTCTATTTCCTACCATTGAATGGGGCCAGTGTCTGTCTCTTTCACAGCTTTTATCCATAGCATGGTTCTATGATCTGTGCCCGGTTTACAGAAATTGCCCCAAAAATATTTGTTGAATGAATGAATCAACAAAAATACATTTCACTGCCATCTCTATGGAAGGAAAGATGATCCCATTAATTATGTATGTTTATCTCAATGTCATAGGTGGCTGAGTAAAAACGAAACATGGCCCAAATTTTCCCCATCTGTGTAATAAAAATGATGAGTTCAGATACAAGAGTTTCCAAACGTTGAGGAGCCTTTGGAGAACCTAATAAGAGAGGTCCTCCAAAAACAACCTTCTTCTTCAGACTTCATTTGAAAATAAGGAGAGTCAAATGGAAGCAAAGTTAGGCCACGTGTTTCTATGTATGAGACCCAAGTGGTGTGACGTTAACTAAATTCCAGATTAGACAGAATTACTCACTAATTCACTGGCAATTCTACACTGAACTAGTTCTTTCACACAGGTGGGAGGTGGGAGGCTATACCTAAGTAAGACTTAGGAGATAGACATAGAGTGGCTTGTATTCTCTGAAGATAAGTTCCTTTTCAAGTAGAACAAGATGAAAGCTAAGCAGAAAATGCCCAGCTTTTATTTCCAACTAAAGTAGCCAGTTTGTGTATAATATAATTGAGCTAAATAAGTGTTCTCTTACTCATGTGCATTTATCTGACCAGAAACAATTGCTAAAATAAATTGCAAATGAGATTGCCCAATAACTAGATCTCTCTCAGTGAGTGAGCCATCTTCCCCAGAGGTCTAACGTGTCTCCATTAATATCTCCGTAATACACAAAATGAAATGCTCCGGTAATTTCATGATATCTAGAGTTGGCCATTTTGTTGAATAAAATATTTGATATTTATGGTGCTTTTGAAAACAGGAAAACATTTAGAATCAAATAAAAATTATGGCAAAGGGGAGGGGTACGTGTCACTAGGGCCTTGAAGTGAAACTTGAATAAGATGAGTGAGATGAAGTTGGCATTTGATAACAGGAAGTCAGAGGTTAGTCAGAGAGGGAAAAATTGAAAGAAAAGATTGGTTAAAAAAGAGAGTCTCCGCAGAACTCAGCAGTTCTCTGGAAAATGGAATGACATCTAAAGCTCCCATCTACCCTCTGATGCCAGCAAGAGAACTCCTCTTTGCTTCTGCCAGCTCTCATAATGAAGACAGGGGGTGCTAGAGGATTCTTTTTAACTGCTTCTTGATTGGAGTAAACCTGTCCAGAGAAGATAGGTATAAAAACCACGAATGACGAGGGAGGAAATATATCAAGTTTACCCAGAATTCAAAGACACAAATGAATTATTCATTAGACTAGGGAACAATTGAAGTGCTTCCTCTAGGCAAGGAGTAGCTCCAGAATACAAGTGGGATCTGGCCAAGAGACAGGATGAAAAAGAGAGAAAAGAAGAATCAAAATGAAAAGAGTAAGTAGTAGTATGCCTGTTGCCATAGAGTGAGCCAACTGGGAAAATGATAGGAATGGCAGCCAATGTCTACATCAAAGAGATAGTGCCTCAAACTTGTGCAAGAAAACTACTTGAGTGTTTTTTAAATAACAATTTTAAAAAACCAAATTAGAATTTCATGTTTCCTTGCCAAAATTCATTTACCATTAAAAAACAATTGCACATTTCAGGCCAGGCGCGGTGGCTCACGCCTACAATCCCAACGCTCTAGGAGGCCAAGGCGGGCAGATCACGAGGTCAGGAGATGGAGACCATCCTGGCTAACACAGTGAAACCCCGTCTCTACTAAAAATACAAAGAAAAAAAAAAGTTAGCCAGGCGTGGTGGCGGGTGCCTGTAGTCCCAGCTACTTGGGAGGCTGAGGCAGGAGAATGGCGTGAACCCAGGAGGCGGAGCTTGCAGTGAGCCAAAATCGCATCACTGCACTCCAGCCTGGGCGACAGAGCGAGACTCTGCCTCAAAAAAAAAAAAAAAAAAAAAAAAAAATTGCACATTTCAAAATGCATCTAAAAATAATTTTCTGTTCCTGAATTTATGTGTTTCAAATTAAAAAATGTCTAACATAAAACAGTAACAGTCCCTTCAGCCTGACTTAAAGAAACTTAGTTTTCAGATCCATTTTTCTCTCCCTTATTCTTGCCCATCTTATTTTTCTTTTCATTCCTTGTTTCAAAGCATTCTGTATACAATCTCTGCCAATAAATGTGTGTTGTTCAATAAATGGTAGTCGTGCATGTAAATATAACTAATGTCATGCATGTAAGTGTAACTAATGTAGGGGTGTATGGTACTTACCAACTTTTTAGGATAAGCAGTTTTAAAACAAATCACATATCCTCCTCTCTACCACGGTAGTGAAAGTAACAGAAAATCTGGAGTCAAAAGGATATATTTAAAGAGGACTTTTATTTTACTAAGTGGTGGACAATTTATCATTGATTACATGGCCTCAAAAAAGAGAAAGATGATAAAAGTAAAAATAAATGTGAGAATCAAAGACCTCAGGGTCTGAAAGAAATATTGATGTTGCTACTCCTTTGCCTTTGCTTAGGACTTTACTAGAATGAGCTCAGATGCATGAAAATGTCTCTCCCGTGCTAGCATGGTCCTGGGAGAGGGAACTCGTGCACTTCTCATGGGCTGATCATGCCTTGTCAAGCTCTCTCAGGACACAGCAGGCTTCCCTTTGTCAGATGTACTCAAGCACATGCTGGACCACCTTCTTCCAAAAAGAGAAGATGGGAAAGAGAGAACTCATAGGTAAATTTTCAGAGCTTTGGAATCAAAGCACTATCACCATTGAATGTATTACAATTTTGAAAGCACATTGACATGATGTGAAAGTTAGTCTAGAAATTCCTCAGGAGCAGAGGATGTTACTTTTCCATTTCAGTATCTTTTATGTCTGGCAGGAAAAATAGTTTCTCAATAAATGTTTTTTGAACTAAACAACTGAGTTGCTCTAATTTGTGGGTGCCCTAATCTTAAAACTCGTTGACTTTAATATGAATCTATGAGGTCAAAAAAAAGATGAAAAACACCTGTCTTTTAATGCACACTAAGAAAAAGGCTACACAAAATTTCCTTACAGTTAATTTGGATATTCAGAGTGGTCGAAAATTACAAATGATATGGAAGTATGGCACATAATGTTCCTGTTGCCATGGATGAGGAGAATTACTGTCCTAAAACTCTGCTTCCCTCATCTGATTCAGTGTGTCTGAGCCAACTATGAGTGCTGTGTTACCTCCAGGATGGCTCACTATGATCTATTACTTCTTAAGTTCACAGTGCTATCTGGCCATCTGAGAAGAGGGATTTCCATCATGCAGCGACTACCAGAAGCTCATAGCCCTTTGAGGCACCTTCTGTCTTTGAGCAATCTAGGTCACACCGATCCTCATTACAACTATCCCTTTGCTATAATCATCACTTCCACAGAATCACTGTCCTTTCATTTAATCTATGTGCAAAACCCAAATCATAGAAAAACTAGGTCTGATTTAGCTCTTCCTATACAAGGACTACTAAATCCTGCTGTTTTAACAACTACAAAGCTTGGGGGCTTTGTGCTACTGATAATTCAGTCTTCAGTACTGCCTAACAGTCTCTAAGGGTCAATACTCAGTTATCTCTACTAATCATTTTCAACTTACACCTTTAACTTACTGTGTCGCCATCACTTTTTCTTCTTATTCTTGGTAGATGATTTTTTTCTGGTTCACTAATAGATCAAGATTCCTCTAGGTAAGGCTTCACTAAGTTTCCTCCTTCAGTACCTGCACGCCTACATGGTTATCCTCCCATCCACCTACACACACCATTTGGATCCCATCTCTGCTGTTTCCTTGTAAACTTTGTTCCAAAAACCATCCCTTTCTTACCATGGAAGTAAATTTCCATCACTGTTTCAAAAACCAAATTTCCATCACTGTTTCAGAAATGAAGAACTCTGGAGTCAGATAGATCTGGGTTTGAATTAAGACTTTCCACATCCTAGCTATGTGTCTTCCAACAAACTACATTTATATACCCATTCAACAAATATTTTCTGCTCTTCTACTTTGTCAGCTACCAAGTCAGACATTATGACACAGTCCTTGCCCAGTAGGAGATAGAGAAAATAATGCCATCATTATGTGTGACAAGAAAAATACATTAATTTATAAACTCTTATTATCCTTCTCCTCATTGTCACACCCACCCTTTTATAGTGCCGGCCTAGAATGGGAAAACTGATGGGGATTTTCATGCAAGCTGTGATATCAATGCTTGTCCAGAAAACCATAAGGGAAACATGTAGCAGGAAGCACAGAACAAATGCAGTGTGGCCAAGAGGGCTAGAGAAGGGTTAGAAAGGAAAGACGTCACACCACTGTGACTGAGAGAAGAAAGAGACTTTCTGAAAAGGGGGTTGAAGAGAGAGAAATGAAGGAGTGAACTTAAAGCCGAGGGAATTTGGGATAAAAGGAATGTGTGTAAAGATGCCATTTAGTGAGTTTGCTGAGCAACGAGCAGGTTATCCGCCTTCTCAATCTCTATGGATAACAATCTGTTAAGTCTCACTTCTTTTATAGTCAGAAATCTGCTTTGAATATTATAACCTTTAAGTCTAAGAGAGGCCAGCATCAGCCCATATGGGTTGTGAAAGTATTTAATTATAACTGTGATCAATGGTTTATAGAAAAAGTCAGAGGCACTTAAAATACAAATAACAGGAGACCAAAGTCAAAGATGTGATCCCTGAGGTTTGGGCATTTAACCTGGAAAAGAAAAGAGTTTGACTTCAGAAGCAAACTCTCTAAGCCTAACCTGTAAAATATGTGTCCTAGTCTGTTTTCTGCTGCTTTAACAGAATACCACAAACTGGGTAATTAATGAAGAAAGGAGCCTTATTTGGCTCATGGTTCTGGAGCCTTGGAAGTCCAAGATCGAGGGGCTGAATCTGGTGAGGGCTTCTTGCTGCAAAACATGGCAGAAGGCATCACATGGCGATGAAGTGCACACTGAGAGCAAGAAAAGAAATGGGGGCCAAAGTCCTAAAATAACTAACCGATTCCAGAGATTACGGTAATCCATTCATGATGCCACTATACGTCTATTAGAATGGCCAAAATCCAGAACACTGACAACACCACATGCTGGTGAGGATGAGGAGCAACAGAAACTCTATTCATCACTGGTAGGAATGTGAAATGGTACCGCCTCTTTTGAAGACAATTTGGCAGTTTCTTACAAAAGTAAACATACTCTTACCATATAACTCGGCATTTCTGCTCCTTGGTACCTACCCATAATTGAAAATGTATGTCCACATAAAACCCTGCATATGGATGTCTATGGCAGCTTTATTCATAATTGTCACATTGGTTTGGAAGCAATCAAAATAGCCGATGAATGAATAAACTTAGTACAAATGAGCTTATCAAGTCATGAAGAGAAACAGAAGAAACTTAAGTACATATTACTAAGTAAAAGAAGCCAATGTGAAAAGGCTACACTATGATTCCAACTTTATGATATTCTGGAAAAGGTACAACTATGGAGAAAATAAAATTATTAGTGGCTGCCAGAGGTCAAGGAGAGGGAGAGATGGGTAGGCAGGGCACAGTGGATGTTCAGGGCAGCGAAACTATTCTGTATGATGCTGCAATGGTATAAACATGCCATTAGACATTTGTCAAAACACATAGACTCCAGCACCAAGAGTGAATGCTAATGTACACTATATACTTTGGGTGTCAATGTAGGTTCATCAGTAATGACAAATGTACCACTCTAATGGTGGATATTAAGAGAATTTGATAGTGGGGAAAGCTGTTGAGGGGAGGGAGAGAATATATGGGAACTGGGTACTTTTCACTCAATTTTTCTGTAAACCTAAAACTGATCTAAAAACTGAAAAGTTTATTAACAAAAAATTCTGTGAACAAAAATGGAGTAAGAAATGCACTTAAGTTGACAGAGAATCAGATTTTAGAGTACTATAGTATCAACACTTTAATATTCATGCTGTAGCTGAGCATTTGAAATCAGAATACCATTGCATTAAATAAAATGTAATAAATGTTGGTACAAAACATATACCATTAATTATTTGTAAGGAAGATAACAAATAAAATAATTCCATTAAAGTATGTTTTACTTAAAATCATAGAAGAAAATAGAGCACAGAAAAATCCGTAGAGAGGAGCGACACACGCTGGAGCCAGTCGAAGGGTGGAGGATGGGAGGAGGGAGAGGATCAGGAAGAATAACTAATGGGTACTAGGCTTAATACCTGGGTGACAAAATAATCTGTACCACAAATCCCTGTGACATAAGTTTACCTATGTAGGAAACCTGCACTTCTACCTCCAAACTTAAAAGGTAAGTTTAAAAGAAGGGGGTAATACATGAAAAGTAAAAGAAAGAAAGAAAGCAAAAAAGCAAACATTCGCTTAATGTAAAAAATATAAAGGAAGAATGGAGGAACAAAGGAACAAAAGACATGGTATCTACAGAAAACAAAAAGCAAAAGGCAAGCATGAATACAATTGTGTTAACATTAAAATAAATGTGAATGGATTAAACAATCCAATCAAAACAAAGAGAAAGGGTGTTCGTTTAGTTTTCTTTTACAGAAGGAACTAAAAATCTAAAAATGTTCTGATTTATTGACTTTGACGATACAACAGTCATCAATTAAGAGTATTTTGAAATGTGGAAAGATAACTATTACTATAAATAGCACATTATGGACTTTGCACATAACTGCAGAAGATACTAGCAAACAAAATATATTTTATATATATAGAAAGACAGAAATTAAAAGTAAGAAAGTTAATAAAACAGGAACTAATGGCATGCAAAAACAGTCACAATATATTTTAAATTAAAAGTGAGATACCAACTATACATACAGCATGAATGTAATTTTGTAACATATATTATATGAAATGCATAATTATATATGTAGAAAAAGGCTGGAATGGAAATTTTAAAGTTAATGCTGTTATCTCTGAGTAATGGTTGATTCTAATTTTGCACTCATTATTTATTTATGTGTTTTCTACACCTCCTTTAATGTTTTTATGTAATATACACAAACACAAAAATGTAAACATAAAAACTCCAATTCAAACATAAATTGAGTATGGGTCATAATAATTCAATATTATTTGGCCATCAATCTTAAGCCATGAGAGCAAATAAGGGGATTAATAACAACCTAAAATCACGACCTCAGCCAAACCTGTACAAAGCAGGAGACAACGAACTAATGGGAGCCAGGAATTGATAATGCCAAGATAAAATATTAAAAAGTTATTAAAAGCATTTCTGCCAAGTTGAAAGCCATAAACATAATACAATAACTGGAGCATGATTCATAGAAAGCATCAATTCTCCCTTATATAGAATGAGCCCAGGGAATTCCTTTCAAATTATCATGGCTTCACAGAATGCAGTCTCTCATGTGTACAGATCCAGGAATTTGGTGTTGCACACAGCGCTGTGGTATACTGCAACTAGTTTGGTAATTACATCTTTCTCCTTGGTTCCTCTAGCAGGTTTCAGCCAAGGAGATCAAATTCCTTTACTTTCACAGCAAACATGCATTGTACAGTTATGCGTCACCTTTTGATGAATAAGTGAAGTTGGCAGCTTCCTCATGAATAGAGTGACTTTGTTAAGCATCACTTTTTCCGGGAGGGCTTGGAGAGGACATTTGTCCCCCTCTTTTGTCTGCTAGTCACAACATAGACTAAGTTGGATAGGCAAGCCTGCTTATAACTGAATTCGCTTAAACACCCTACTCCCAACTAAATTCTCTAATGTTAAAACAGGTGAGGTGCAAGTAAATGTGCTTGAATGAAGTGTAGTACTGGTTAGTAAAACCCTTATGATTGTTTAAATAACATTTAAATGACATACTCAGAAAAACCATTCATTTTTTTTTAACCTCCTTTCTATCTTTTAGCTTCAGAAAACATCATTTGCCCCAAATTAGGCCAAAGGACTATGGCAGCCCAGCCTTCTGATTTTCCAGTCAAAGACGGACTCAAAGGCTCGTTTCTAAGACCATACTTTACCCTGCAAAATACTCAGCCTCAACCATTAATTGGAGAAAAAAATTGTCAGAACACCTCTCCAAACGTCATACAGGGGGGAAAAAATTATTCTAAAATGTGACTAAGTACTTTGCCATAAGAACTAATCCAGAATATATTTTTTCTTTTTCTTTAGTCTGGACTCCATATGGCATTCCTGGCTAGTTAAGCCATCCAATACACACATTTATTTTGTTCTTAAAATAATAGTAACCAAAATAGATGCAAAAATTATGTGTAAAAAATAATGGCTAACTCAAATTTTCCCAGAACTTCAGCTACATTTAAGACGTTAGTTTCCAATGACAGTAACCCATATAAAAATGCATAATATATGAGATGTCAGTGACGATTCTGTGGCTTTTAGTACATTAACAATACAATGTTGTTTAATCATATCTTTATCTAGTTTCAAAATGTTTTCGTTGCTCCAAAATAAAATGCTGTACCCATTAAGCAATTACTTCCCATTCCCCTAGCTCCAAGCTCCCGGCAATGACCAATCTGTTTTCTGTGTTTATATATTTACCTATTTTTGATATTTAATTAAAAATTGTACAATATGTAATCTTTTCGTCTGGCTTCTTTTACTTACATTAACCTTCTTCAGCTTCATCCATGCTATAGCATGCATCAGTACTTCTTCTTTTTTTTTTTTTTTTTTGAGACGTAGTCTCGCTCTGTCGCCCAGGCTGGAGTGCAGTGGCGCGATCTCGACTCACTGCAAGCTCCGCCTCCCGGGTTCATGCCATTTTCCCACCTCAGCCTCCGGAGTAGCTGGGACTACAGGCACCCACCACCACACCAGGCTAATTTTGTTTTTGTATTTTTGGTAGAGATGGAGTTTCACCGTGTTAACCAGGATGGTCTCGATCTCCTGACCTCGTGATCCACCCGCTTCGACCTCCCAAAGTCCTGGGATTATAGGCGTGAGCCACCCTGCCCGGCCAGTACTTCATTTTTTTATGACTGAAGAATATTCCATTGTATGGATATTCCACAATTTGCTTATTCATTCATCTGTTGATGGATGTTTCAGCTGTTTCTATCTTTCGGCTATTCTCAATAGTGCTGCTATTAATATTCATACACGAGTATTTGTCTGAATGTCTGTTTTCAATTCTCCGGGGATTATACCTTGGAGTGGAATTAGTGGGTCAGATGGTAAATTTGTTTACCTTTTGAAGGAACCACCAAACTCTTCTTCACAGTGGCTTACCCATTTTACCTTTCCACCAGCAATGCGCAAGAGTCCAGTTTCTCCACATATTAACCAACATTTGCTGTTTTCTATTTTCTTCTTTACTTCTTTTTAAACTTGTAGCCATATTCATGGGTGTAAAGCGTTCTCCTTGTGGTTTTTAATGTGTATCTCTCTAATAAGAGATAACGCTGAGCATCTTTTCATGTGCTTATTTTGAAGCCATTTGTGTATCTTCTGTGGAGAAATATCTGTTGCAGTCCTTTTCCCATTTCTTAATTAGTTTTTTTGGGTTTTTTTTTGTTGTTGTTGTTGAGTTGTAAGACATCTTTATTTACTCTGGACATGATACTTTTCATATTAATGATTTTCAAGTTTCTCCCATTCTGAAAATTACCTTTTAACTTTCCTGAGAACGTTCTTTGATGTACAAAAATTTGGAATGTAGGGGTGTTTCAACATAAGAAAATCAATCAATGTAATAAATTATATTAAAAGCATGAAGGGGAGAAATTGCATGATTATCTCATTCGGAGAAACACACACAAAAAGTATTTCACAAAATAAAGCATTCTTTCATGATAAAGACACACAGTAATAGAAGGGAACTTCCTCAACATGGTAAGAAGCACTTGTGACAAATGCACAGCTCATATCATACTCAATGTTGAAGACTGACAGCTTCCCCTCTAAAATCAGGAATAAGAAAAAGATCCCTGCTTTCAGCATTGCTATTCCGTTTTACTGGAAGTTCTAGCCAGAGCCATTTGGCAAGAAAAAAGGTATTCAAATTGAAAGGAAAGATGTAAAATTATCTTTATTCATGGATGGCATGATCCTATATATAGAAAATCTCAAAAATTCCACACAAAAACTGAAGCTAATAAACAATTTAGGAAACTTGAGGGTATCAGATCACCACATAAAACACCACTGTCTTTATAAACCGGTAATTAACAACCCAGAAAGGATATTATGAAAATAATTCTACTTATATTTTCATTAAAAAATAGAATGCCTAGGAATACATTTAACCAAGTAGGTGAAAGATTCGTACATTGAAAACTATAAAACATTACTGAAAAAAATTAAAGGAGCTCTAAATAAATGGTAAAAAAAAATCCCATGTTTATGGATTAGAAGAGTTAATATCATTAGGACAGCAATCCCTATACTGCCCAAAACAAACTCTAGTAAAAATTTAATGCAATCCCTATCAAAATCCCAGCAGGTTTTTTTTCTTTTTTTGCAGAAATGGGAAATCAGTTTTTCAAATTCACATGGAATTATAAGGAGTCTCAAATAGCCAAAACAATCTTGAGAAAGAACAACATTGGAAGACTCATGCTTTCCAATTTAAAAACTTGCTACAAAGCTACAGTGTTACAAGACTATAGTATTGGCTAAAGGATAGACAAACAGACCAAAGGGATGAATTTCAAAGTCCAGAAATCAACCCATACCTCTATGACTAATTGATTTTTGATGAGGGTGCCGAGACCAGTCAATGGGGAAAAAATAGTCTCTTCAACTAGTGGTGCTGGGACAACTAAACAGCCATTTTGTATTACTCAAATGACTGTGATAAAAATGTCATTGGTACACTTAAAGCAATATGCAGAGGAATTAGAATAATTGGCAACTACTTTCACTTCAAAATTACCTTGAGCAGACACAGTCAGTGCTCTGCCCACATTCCTGGCACAGCCTTTGACTGCCATTGCGGCTGGCTGCTGGGCATCTTTCTGCCTGGCTCTGCATCTCTGTGCCAGAGGGCACTCAGTTCCTGAGCCAAGAAAGGCCACTCTGGTCACAGAAAGGCAGGCTGGAAATGATAGAATGAACACCCCTGGGAGCAGCCTTTAATTCATTTTCAGAAGTCGGTGTTTAAATAGAGCAGCGCCATTGTTTCTTGGGTGGGAAAATTCTGAGACATGTGTTCTGCAATATGCCCCAGAGTTTCTCTGTGTGATTACACTCCCACATGACGCTACTGCAGAAGTAGACTGAATAGTGCACATTCTATTGGCTTCCTTCTCTTCTTTTATATCGCTTCCTCACTCCTCTTATAATGACCCTGAACCCTCCAAAAAAGCATTTAAATCTTTGTCTTAGGATCTAATTCTGTGGGAACCTAAGTCCCAGACTAAACAGCAGCAACAACTTTTCATTGAGTCTCATCTAATACAAGGTTTCATTCTAAATATTAGGAATACAGTAATGAACGAGATACTGATATCATTTGGCTGTGTCCCCACCCAAATCTCACCTTGAATTGAAATAATCCCCATGTACCAAGGGCAGGGCCAGGTGGAGATAACTGAATCACGGGGGCAGTTTCCCCCATACTGTTCTCATGATAGTGAATAAGTCTCATGAGATCTGACGGTTTTATACATGAGAGTTCCCCTGCACAACCTCTCTTGCCTGCCGCTATGTAAGACATGCCTTTGCTCTTCCTTCACTTTTCACCATGATTGTGAGGCCTCCCCAGCCATGTGGAACTGTGAGTCCATTAAACCTCTTTCCTTCATAAATTACCCAGTCTCAGGTATGTCTTTATTAGCCACATGAGAACAGACTACTACAGATACTGATTGATCTTGAGCTCACAGTGTAATTTAGTATTATTGTAGTCCTTGATGTTATTAAAACAGTAAAATTTTAGACATGAATGGATCATATAACATTCCTATAAGAGTGTTACATGCTGACCTCAAGCATCTAAACTTATAGATGTTAGGTAACCAATAGTGTCACATAAAAACCTAGTGTTCAGAAAATGATGTGAATCTAGCATCTGCTTTCTTGTTCTAGATTTGCTGGAGAAACACCAGCCTGAAACAAACCAATTTAAGATGCATGAATGAGAAACAAGATTTTATGTAATGGAAGAGTGAGCGCAACAGCTGTGTGGCTTAGAGAAAAGTGAGTGTGCGCTTTATGTTTCCTTTGTCATGGCACATTGAATTCTATCACATGCCCAGAAACACAGCAGCAAGATGAAAACATAGGCCAATAACCGGAGTTGTAGGCGTGTAAGGAGAGGTAGTCATTTGACAGAGTTAAGTCCTCAACACAGTGCCTGAGCTTGTAGATCCAGCACTCTAGCTGCATTTTCAAGGGTCCGAGGTCAAACATAGGTGCACGGTTCCACACCACAGCCTGTCATGCCTGCTCAAAAACAATTCTCAAAACCTCCAACTGCTTCCCTTTTTTCAACAGGCCAAAGATGCAGAAGAAGGGGACTGGGGGAATCATAAAACACTATGGAAAATTCCAGGAGCCTCCATTCCTGACCAGTCTGGAAAACCAGGTTCCTGCCCCGGCCCCTTGCCTTCACCATTTGACAATCCCTTTCTCCTGTGAAGAATTCAGGAAGCAAAGACACTTGTGCTTGTTTAAGGCAAGAATTGAGCAACAAAGAAAACTATGAAATATGAACAGAAGTCTAACCAAAATCTCAATTACTCCGATTTAATCAGTACACATTGTATGCACGTATCAAAGTATCACCTGCGCCCCATGAATATGTACAGTTTTAGGTATCAATTCTTAAAAACAAGAAGAAAAGTTAAATTTTAGAAAAAAAAAAAAAAAAAAAGAGGTGAAAAACTCTCCAAGGCTGGGGAGGAATTCAGACGATTCTTTCAAAACTGTCATCCTTATTTCCTTTATTCACAGAACCAGTTTCACAAGAAACAAGCTCTTTACCATCTCCCTTTACTCAACAAAACCTGTATTTTTCTTTCCCTTATAAAAGTTTGATCAGTTACACAGACAGAATCACCATAAAAAGACAATAAAGTGTTTAAATATTTCTTTGGTTTCAAACTCTGACAAAAAGAAGTAGTCCCAGAAAGTGTATATAATCGTCTTCATATGAATTCTCAGGGTATAAGAAAGCCCTGGGCCGGGGCCAAAATAAGAAGTGTTGAGCTACCCAAAAATGACTTGGCTAGTCAGGAGGGTAAGAAAGTCTGGGATTAAAGCAGTTTTCATAAAGTGTTCATTGGCTCAGTTAGAATAGTTGCCTTCCTGTTGGCAAAGAAATCATAAGGGAAACAACATGCGAAGACCCTGCTGTTTCTCCCACCCATGACTGTTTTTCTTTTGATTCGTTTATTATGTAAGAACAGCAGAACTCTCCAGATGGGAATGAGGGACAGAGTCTAGACATCATTTATTGGCCACTGAATAGTGGAAACAAGTCTGCAACATCGACTATTTTTCTCTTTTGGACTCCTCCCCCCACCCCAATTTACCACTTGTTTTACACTGCACACTCTGAAAAGTTAAATGATCCTGACACTTAGAATTACTCAAAAGCTAGAAAGATATTCCCAACGGTGTCAGAAACGGCTGCTCCCTTTTCCTGAGACAGCTACTCGGGCCAGTTGCTCCATCAGAAAGGCCTGTGATTGCTATCATGTCTGTGGTGTGTTTTCCTGCTACTCCTAGAAGGTTGCTTGCAAATGAGTAGTAAATGAAGCAGCAGTTGATCACAGTACCCCCAAGAGCAGCTTTTCCCCCCACTGGCAATGTTACTGAAAGACTCCTCCAGTCTTCAACTTGTTTTACTTCCTCTATTTCATAAAACTTTACCAAATGTTCACTCGGCACCAGGTGACAAAGTAAGCCAGAGAAATACAGTCAACAATACAAAGCCACTTAAATGAATCTACATTCAGGTTAGTAGGACAGATAAATAAGTTAGCAGTTTCAGGTCGCTTCTGTGTGACCTGGCCACTGCTTACTGCTCTGTCCTCGTAGCTCAGCACCTGTTTCTCGCAGTCTGCCCCACCACACCGGGCTCCCCCAGTCCCTCCAATGCCCATGCTGCTTCACGCTGCCAGCTTGGGACGCAGGCTGCTCTCCATGTCTGTGGTGGTCTTCCTTGGCTCTTCATTTGGCAAATGTCTATGAATCCTTCAGGTCTTGGCTTAGAGGACACCTCACCAGGAAGCCTTCCCAGAGCCCGAGACTGGGCTCAGTGCTGCTCCAACATGCTCTCCCATAGAGTGTGGTGTTTCTCACACCATATCATAGATGCTGAGGCTCAGAGATACAGGGATTGTACCAATCACTATATCTCTGAGACATGATGTCATGTCTGGTACAGGGCAGATGTCCAAGACATGCTTATTCAATGAGTGAATGAATGGATGACCAGACTAGAGCTATGAAGGCATTATTTTTCAATGTCTGTTTACCCTAAATCCTTACCTAAGTAGTTTTATGGAATTGTGTAGAGTTCCTCTGGTGTTAGAAATTATTTTAAGGCTTTGTGTGACTATTTCCAAAATGGTAGTTGGTAATAGGGTAATAAAACAAGAAGCTTCTGTGGTTAAATACATTTGTCAAACTCTGGCGTAAACAAAATGAAATAGATTTATCGCAGAAAAGTCTCAGAAGCTTCAAAATACTCAGATGAAATGTAAGTCTACAAAAGGGGGCTGTGTGAAGCATTGCCTAAGCTTTCTTGGGCCAAAGAACCCTTTCATAACATACACACCGTGCCAACACTTCTCACGGGCTGCATGTCCTGCCCTGGGCACTGCTCATGGCCCTGAGGAGAAACAGTGAGTGAATGGGATCCCTGTCATCAAAAAAATGGCTGTCCAGTCAGGACAAACAGACAATAAACAGCCCAACAAACACATAATCAAATGATCAAATACAAAGAGGAGTTTAAAAATCCTTTCATCAGTGCTGCTAAGAGTTTATGATAAAATAATTAGTGAAATCACGATTGGAAGGGGTGGAAGAGTGATTAGGGAAGTTTCATGCAACAGGTACATAAAGGTGAGAAGAAGCTGGTCTCAGCACCTCACACCTGTAATCCCAACACTCTGAGAGGCTGAGGTGGAAGGATCACTTGAGGCCAGGAGTGCCAGACCAACTTGTGTGGCATATAGCTAAATTCCATCTCTATACAATTTTTTTTAATTATCTGGGCATGGTGGCATACACCTGTAGTCCCAGTTACTTGGGAGGCTGAGACAGGAAGACTGCTTGAGCCTAGGAGTTCAATGTTGTGGGAAACCATGATCACATCACTGCACTTCAGCCTGGTTGACAGGCTGATAACATTACGTGGAGTGAGACCCTGTCTCTAAACAAGTAAAGAAAAAAAAATGATGAGACAGAGTCCTCAGTGCAAACATCTGAACAAAAAGTATCCCAGGAATAGGGAGCAGCAGGTGTAAGGGCCTTGAGGTAGAGCAAGCTCAGTGTATCCCCGAACAGAAAGGAAGTTCAGAGGGGGTGAAGCCTGAGGAACAAAAGGAAGTTATGGTGGGAGGTAAGGGCTGAGAGTCAACATAGGCCAGGTAGTACAGGGCCATGTGGTTCCAATTCAATATGGATTAAAACAGGAAGCCATTAAAGAATCTTGAGCCAGGGCCGGGGAGCGGTGGGGAACGTGGGTGATCTTTTTTAAAGATCATTCTGTTACCTCTTTTTGTCATCTTAAAATTTATAGTTAAAGGATGAAGAGAAATTTCAATTAATGAAATACAAACAAAAGTGGCAATGAAATCAACACATATTATTCTGACATCAAGAAGCAAATTGTAGCAGTGGCAATACTAAAAATTCAGATCATACAAAAGTTGTAACTCATTTAGAGGAAGAAACAAACTGCAAAAAGAAATAATAAATAACTTTTTGGACTGTACCAATGACTAAAGAGAGTAAATTGCATGAACACATTGGGAAAAGATGTGAGTTTCTCCCTGACTTTCACAAATATAGTGAAAACTCAAAATACACCACTTCCATGAGTGAATGGATGTTGTCAGTTCAAAGACTATGTAAGTTTAGTCATGGACCGAGAATGCTTGAAATGACTTGAACTCTTACAGCTCATCTATGAAAGAGACTCAGTAGAGGATTATCCGCATTTGACAACAATCCTAATAATCTACGTGTAACCAGAGATGCGTTGTGAAGCTAAAAGTAACTTTTCCAAATTATTTTAACCAACAATGCTGGAAAAAAGGCTGAATTATTTTTTTTCTATTTTCCCTACAGAACATACTTTTACGAAATTTTTGTTACATGTCAAGGCAAAATACAAGTAGCCCCCCGAACCCCTAAAAAAACAGGAGAAAAAATGTTATGAAGTTGTGTTAGGACATAAAGAAATCTTACTTTTCTGGATTTTATGTTTATAGCCTTTGAAAGCTTTTTAAAATGTATAATTTGTTATGTTGTTTCTGTCTCTCTAAACAAATATTTACTTTGGTATTAATGATATATTTCTAAGTTTATACTCTGTTTCTTAAAGAGGACCTTGCCAACCTGGGTCTATGCTTGCATGGAGGTGTGAGACAGTCAAGGAGCATGAGGAATTGGATGTGCATGGAAGATGAGCGACTAGAGATGAATAATGGACATAGGGAAGCAGAAAGGAAGACACAGGAAGTCCAAACTACTAAAATTGCTGGGCAGGGTGGTGCAAGCCTCTAATCCTGGCTACTTAGGAGGCTGAGGCGGGAGGATCCCAGACCAGCCTGGGCAACACAGTGAGGCTCTGTCTCAAAAAATAATAATAAAATAAAAATAAATTGAAATATCCTTTTGCAGATTTAAAAGTTACATATAAATTAAGAAACAGGTCAGAGAAGACAACATAGCTTTGGAGGGCTGAGCAGGCTATTTGAAAATAGTCTGGAATAAAGACCAGCCATATTTCCCCATGAGGCAGAAACTTTAACTTTTCTAGGCATTGTGATATTAACTTTCCTTTATAGACTCCACATAATGCATCATGAGAATAGTACCATCTTATCAGTTAAAAGAACACATACTCTAAAAGCATTTACTAAAATTTAATTAATAGCATTTAGTAAATTTAATTTAGCGTAATAAAACCTGATAATGTAGAAAGTTATTGCCTGGGTTTTTTAAATTTTTATGTCATTTTCCCTGAAAAAATATTAAAGAGCAAAGTAATGCCTATATATGCGTAATAGAATTAAAAGTTTCTAACAGAAAAACTTAAAAGGCATCTCTGAGGATTAAAATGTAGAGACTATGATCATATTTTAAAATTTATATTTACTTATTTTTGAGTAAACAATAATATATTTACATGTTTCATAAATCAATGAGAACAAAACTTTTTACAATGACACTCTCTGTCCTGTCCTTATCTCCCAGTTGCCAGTTCTCCTCTCCAGAGGAAATAAATGTTATGATTTTTTTTTTTTACAAACCATCTCAAAGATAGTCTATTCATTCTAAAAATGTATATACATTTTATACCTGCTTTTGCACAACTGCTCAAAGTGTCCTGCACCTTGCTTGTTTTCACTGAACAACACAGAAGAAATAATTTTAGATGAGTATCTGAAAATCCAATATTTGTAATGGATGCAGACTTGTACATAACATTAATAAAACAAGCTTCCTATTCAGAGACATTTACACAGAACTAGATTTACTAAATATTAAAACATATTATAAAGCTATAATGATTAAAAGTGGTACAAGAATTGTTAAAGAGATCAATGGAACAGAATAAGAAAGTCCAGAAATAAGCCAGGAACGGTGGCTCACACCTGTAATCCCAGCACTTTGGGAGGCTGAGGTGGATGGATCATGAGGTCAGGAGATCAAGACCATCCTGGCTAACACAGTGAAACCCCGTCTCTACTAAAAATACAAAAAATTAGCCAGGCGTGGTGGTGGGCACCTGTAGTCCCAGCTACTCGGGAGGCTGAGGCAGGAGAATGGCATGAACCTGGGAGGCGGAGCTTGCAGTGAGCCAAGATCGCACCACTGCACTCTAGCCTAGGCAACACAGCGAGACTCTGTCTCAAAGAAAAAAAAAAGAAAGCCCATAAATATAACCTTGTTGTTTTTAGCACATTTTTCATTAAATTTATTTCAAGGTACTTTATCATTTGTATGGGATTGTAAATTGGGTCTTCTCTTGCTGTATAGATTCTGTATATATTCTGCATATTCATTTTGAGTGCCTCTAATTTATGGAAGAGTTTTTCAGTTAATTGTCTAGACTATTTGAAGATATGCTACTATACAATTTGCCAACAAATAAAATTGTACCCTTCCTTTTTTCAATTTTCAGTTTTTAAACTTTATTCTCTTGTCACATTGCATTGGCTTATAGCTCCAGAAAAGTGCTAAAGACCAGAGACAGCAAACACCCTGGTCCTATCTCTTATTTTAATGGGAATGTTTCTAACATTTTTTTCTTGCTAGTCATAATACTATCTTTAGCATTATTATAAATATATTTTATCGTGTCAATGAAGAATTCATCTACACTTGTTTTATAACAAATTTTCTTTTTATTAAGATTGGCTATTACTTATTCCTTTGTAATATCTGGGGAGATTAGCATATAATTTTTATGCTTAAATTCATTAATGTGGATGAGAATAGATTTATAAATATTAAATAGGCTTGCATTCCTGAAATAAACACATTGATCATGGTATTTTTTAATGTTATGGAATCCTATATGTTAACATTGTATTTGTTTTCATATTATTATTTATAAATCATATTGGACTCGCCCATTTTTAATGGATATTGGTTTTGTGGTCAGTGTGAAAAGGACTCCCTGGCAGGGCGCTTGGCCTCCCCACTGAACCCAGTTGTCCCCAGATGGAAGAAGAGAGTCCCTTCACACCTGCAGAAACAGGATCACTGCCCTGGCCCTGGCCCTAGGTGTCGGCCCTTGGCATAACTCTTGTTCAATCCTTGATAGCTGGTGCTCCAGCCCACCTGGTGTTTTCAGTAGGATTCCCATTGGATCCAAGGAGAAATGGGCCTATCTGGGCTGCCTTCTGCCAGGCCTGGGGTTCTCTTTCTTGTTAGGTTAGATGCCTGGATAAGACACAGGACACTGGCTCTGCGTTGTCCCTCACCCGTATGGATCCCTCATCAGTCCCCACCTTCCTCTTCCTTTTTTTGGTACCCTCCTTTGGTTGTCTCTTAGGTTATTTCCAGAGTTTAAAGTTGTATTTAGCAGGGAGGAGCAGGAAGAGAGGACTTGTTCAGACCTCAAGTTCGCAGTTAACTGAATAGATACTAGATGAAATCGCAGCATTCATAATAGTGATGTCATTAATACCAATCTCAGTGACTGCAGATTTCAGGACAAAAAAAACAAAACATGTCCTTTGCCTAACCCTTCAGTACACTTATTTTTAAAGTGGGCCTCCATTTTGTAAAGCTGGCGTCAACAGAATGATCAGAGATGTGCGCAGCTTCCACTTGTTTCTAAACATTCGTGAATTTGGCTTCTTGTCTTATTTTATTTTTTCCCCCCAACACCTCTGTGTCATCACAGTGAACACATATGGCTTTTTTCTTTTCTAGTAAACAACTAAAGATTTTCTACCCCCATTTCTTTCTCCCGTATCTCTTTTCTGCTAACATGATATCCCATAATAATTTTGATAATGTGATGTCACAATGGCCTCCTCATCTCATTGAGGCTCTATAAACTCCATTAATCTTCTATTCCTACAAACACCAGATCCTTCGTAACAAGCTCTAAGATGTAGGCTTCAGCATCACACAGGTGTTTTGATACTTGACAGTACTTAGAAGAATTGGGCCACCAATTATCCTGGAAATCTGGGCATATTTTGGTACAATTTTTGAGCCATGTAGAAGGTTCACAACTGTATACTTTAGGGTGAGATGTATGAAGACAAGTGGAGCTTCCTTGTTTCTTGGGGCTGATCCAGTTTCTCAGTTTGTCAAACTTAGTCTGATCCAATAATTCAAATATTTCCTTAAGGAAATTCTGGGTGTTCTATATCTTTTGCTCTTCTCCAAGGTAACTTCCAGGCCTTTTAGGTGAGCCTGTTGCAGTCTGGCTGTGGCATGAGTGCCAGAGAGCAGGGCCCTACAAATGCATAGCATTCTGCAATCTCCCCTGTGCTCTAGGTGAGCTGCCCCCCTGCCTTGAGCCCACAGCACTGCAGTGTGCCTAACTCCACAGCCATCCAGGCATCGTGATGGCACTTCTTTCCAAAATCCTTGGTCTCAGCCACCTGCCTCATCCCTGAAGAATTTGCAAACTGCAGCCTTGGTCTCAAGCCTAGGAGTTTTGACTCCTTCATCATTTTCTGCAGGGACTTTAAAAATCTCCTGCACACCACACACAGGCTGTGGGACCAGGAGCCTGCCTCAGTCCTGTTTGTTTTGCCTCCTCTTTCGGCCAACCACACATCATGCTGGATGCCAACTGACCCCAGCTTCTCCTGGGAGAAACAGCTTTCCAGCTACAGTACTTCTCCTGGAATGTCCTTGGGGTTTTGCCCTACCTCTAGCTAAAACTCTCCCACTCCCAACCCCACTGGGGTTCTATCCATGAAAGGAGAGATAGGATGCACACTGACTTTTCTACCTTAGCACTTTCTTTTTTATTTCTTCCATCACCTTCCCGGCCAGGAAAATGGGGCACTCTTATTTCTCCTTGCATTTCCTCAATCTCATACTCCCTCCCTTCTTCATATGGAATTCAATCTCTGGGACCCTTATTCTCTGGGACTCACTCTTGTGTCAGGAGAAGTCCCCCTATCAATAAAGGAGTACAAATCAGTGATTTTCAAAGTATTATACCTGTAATACACAAAGACACTTACTGACCTATTTTGTCCTCTCTGTTTGAAGCACATTCTTCATCACATCTTGCTCACTAGAGAATGCTATCAGCAAAAATCTTCAGCTCATGTAATATTGATTGGGGTGGATGAAGGTGTATGTGTGCATTTCAACTTTAAGACAAGTGAGAATTAATAACCAGATAAAATTAGCAACATCGAGTCTAGTAATAACACATACCACATTGTCATTTCCTGCCAGAGGAACACTGGAGGCATGTTCAAACATTTATCACTATTTAGTATCCAGTTTTCATGAAGTATTTTACTGTCATCCCTAATTAATTCTACCTTTCAACAAGAAGCTTGGGATTGGCTGCTATTGTTATTCTACTCTTATATGTCAGGGAACTGAAGCAGAGGTTAATTAAATGACTTACTCTTATACCCATAGGCTACGTTGGCAAGGCTGTGTCTTAACAGGGTTGCTGGCACAGATGGCCCAAAAGATGGAAATTTAAGTAACCCTGTTCCAGCAGGGGGCACCAGCTACATTACAAATTTGGGTACACCCTAGTATTCTGCTGGTTCAAAATCTTACAAGATGGTATACCCAAGAAAAGTATAGACTCCAAGTGTTGTGAAGAGGACACCGTTCCCTAGTATCCCTCGCACCGAATACAGTTCTTGGGATATAGACAGACTAACAAATCAATAGTCATCTTCCTAGCATGTTTTAAACAGTTCAAGACAGGAGTTCTTACTCCCAAAGTTCAACCCATGATGATTTCTATAATCTTATAATCACAGTTATACTTTCATTCCTTTCGGTCTTAAGAATTTGAAGGCCTCATTTTTAAAACCCTGTAATAAAAATCTCTTGGAAAGGCAACTCCATTAATGGAAATGCTCCGGTCAGTGCTTACGGAATTGGAGAAGCGCAAAGCATAAGAAGGAAGAGTGTGTGGTTACAGGATGGGCAAGACGGTCTCCAAGAAAGTGATGCAGGGACACCACCAATCAACTGACTTCCTGCGTCACGCTCTTATTTAGAGTTATGTCTTCTAGATTTAGTGAGTTCTAAACTCTTGCCTCTTTATATATCCCTTAGGTGATACAGTTTAAAGAAAAGCACTTAGGCAGAATTTAGTTCTAATTTTGGGTCCATTGTGAGCCACAGGAAGCAGTTTAAAATTTTCATTGAAAAGAAGGTGTTTTCAAACAGCCAGAAAAGTTCCCTTTAATTTTTCATATCTATTTGCCTAAATAGATACAATGAACTCATCCAGTGTCAAATCAGTAATATGAGTACGAATTATTTGAAGATCTTATTAAAATGCAGATTCTGGTTTTGTAGGCCTAGGGAGGGGTCTGAGATTCCTCATTTCTCACCAGCTCCCACTGTTGTTGGTCCCTATGGAACATATACTGAGTAGCAAGAAGCTAGATGACAAAACAGGATCCATCTTCCTCAGCTTTCAGAGATGGATTGTGCAGAAAGCAGTCTAGAATTCATTAAGATACCCTCTGCCTCTCCACATCAAAGAGGCCATTTCAAAAAAGGGTGTCACATAAGCAAAATGCTTTAAACTCCAAGTGAAAGACGATCTCCAATGAAGGAGTTACTCCTGGTTCTTCTAGATGAGGGAAGCACAAAAGTTCCTAGAGACATAGAAAGACCCTGTCTTTTAAACCTTCTATATTCTTTGCAGTAAAATCAAGATGTAAAAGTTGAGACCTCTACTTCTTTGGGAGGATTGCTTTTAACCTAGAAAACAACACAGCAGTTGTTCAGCATTTTGTTTTAAAGGTGTACTAATAGAAATAGCCTCCAAGTGCATTGCACCAAATTGATGCAAGATCTACATTGAAATTTTTATGTTGACTAATTCCTTATAAAAACAGAATTGATATATTATTGGTCTAGAGGCAGGTGAGGGGGAAGAGGGTAGAAAGTGCTCTGGATGGGGAAGAGGAAGAAAACACTTATTAAGTGATACATACAGCGTGTTAGACAATGTATTATAAACTTGGTGTTCCTAATAGTCCAATGAGTAAATAATACTAGCTTCATTTTACAAGTAAAGAAACTGAGATTTAAGAAAGTTAATCATCTAGTTCAAGTTTGCACAACTATTGGAAGCAGTAAAGCCTGCACCAGCATCGGCCTCACCCTGTTAAAACACAGATGGCTAGGCCCGCCCCTGGAGTTTCTGATTGAGTGGGTCTTGGGTGAAGCCCAAGAACCTGCCTTTCAAAGGAGCTCCCAGTGATGCAGAGGCTGCCCGTCTGGGGACCACAGTAAGAGCCGCAGCTGGTTCTAGGCCAGGTGGTTCCACGGATGAGATCAAGCTTTGTGGATCTCAGGAAACATGGATGCACTTAGAAGAACAATGTTAAAAACCTGGATCCTAAACAGAGTGGCCCAGGAAGAATCCAATTTAAGCCACTATGCATGCTATTGTGTTTGAAGACATTATTTGTAATACACTTTAATGGAAAACAAGGAAAGAAAAATCAGAAATTCTCTTTGGCATCATTTTCTGTATTTTTACTGTTGATAACAAAGAAATCAAAAAATAAATGTTATATGATACACACAAACACACACACGTCTATCTTCAGAAAAGAAACATACATATATTTGGAAGGAGTTGTAGTTTTTCATTTTCCATGTGAAAAATTGAGGATATTCTTCTCCAGCTTGATTGTTAACCATCAACTAATTTCTCGCTACCCTCATACAGTACAAAACAACGTGGAGAATTTTTATGAGGCAAAATTTATACCAAAAACTCCCCTCCATCTCTCCTCCATATTGTGAATGAGACCCTACAGTGACGAAGACTCCTTTTCTATCTTTCTAGATTCCTGAGGCATATTTCCGAATTTGGAGTCAGTCTATTTGACAAGTAGAGGCACATCTCTACCACGGGGCCCCCATCTGTGGGTGTGCATGCGTTTCAGCCATGAGAGTGACAGAGGCCAGAACACGTGGCTAGACTCTCGCCAAGTCCATCAGACCGTTGTTAAGAGGGCTGGAAGAGCCAAACCACAGCACCATCAATGCTGTGATTTATGCTTTGAAAACACTCCAAGTGGAGCAGCCACACATTTATCAATACTAATGCAGGAACTGCATCTGTGAGAAAAATAAGAAAAACAGACAAACAAAAGGGGTAGTAGTGCTTACACTCTGTAAAGGAAGGGTGTCCCGTAGTTTAATAACCTTTTCTATCCCAACTAAACCCTATCTCAGCATATCTTTTTAAAAAGTGGTGATTTCTCCTGAGCAATAAGCAATCTAGACCAAAATCTCCTTGATGATAAGAGGCCATTTCTGATATACTTTGGTTTTCCTACTTTCTGAACTGGCTCAGATGTGCTTACAGGTTGCAGAGGCAGTGCAGAAGTCAAACACAACCTTGGATGCGTCATCGCTTCTGGCTCTGCAGGCCCTCTCTGGACCAGTGTTTTCTGCTGTCCTTCCTTCTGTGCCTACTTGTGTCCCTTTGCTGGGAACTGACTCATCCAGAGCCTTTGGATTTGCACTTGATGCCTGGGTCTGGACTCTGCTTTTGTTCCTAGGCATTGTCTCCAGTTCTCTCTCTTCCTTTCCAAATGCTACGGCCAGCTCTGCCCACTGGGGATCCCTGCATGGCTCCTAGAACCCTGGTACTGATGCAATCACTGGCCAAGTGGCCCAAATGGAAAAGTGGGTGAGGGGAGACTTCAGACGCTCACACAGCACCTAATAAGTAACTGCACAACGAGGGTTTCATAAGGGATGGAGGAAGAAAGGAAGGAAGGAAGGAAGGAAGGAAGGAAGGAAGGAAAAGAGGATGGGAACACAGGGTGCAATGAGGAAGGGTACTCTAGCCTGCCTGGGCAGGTCACCAGCAAATGTCTATAGAAAGCCCAGAAGCAAGTGGGGCCACAGGCCTCAGAGCTGATGTCCACGTGATTCCTTTATTCTCTTTCCACCACTGATCTCAAATTACAGTTCCTGTGCAGATATTTAATAAACTTCTAGAAGTATGTTAATAAAATCTTCATACTTTCATACTCCCTAATATGCCTTTCATTCCATTCTATTTCAAGAAAGCCATTATGTTTTAGTAATTTTACTCAGATAGGTCTTCATGAAGATACATATTTTTCTTAATGGAAGATGTTTTTGAAAGCTTTTCTTCTCTTCTACCTCCATTCGCAGTCACTTTAGAACCAAAAAAAAGAAAAGCTAAGTTGAGGAATCTCCCAGTTCTTCTATTTGCTTTTGAATGGCAAAAGTTCCCCAGTTCTTATCAGAATAGCTCATCCGTTCACCTATTAATCACAGGAGGACCACTGAATGTCCAGATTGCTGCAGGCCACCTCCTACGACACAGAAGATCCTTCTGTGAAGAAGCATAAACGAACAATTTTGACTCATCGTCCATTCTAAAGGAAACAGCACAAACAAAAAGTGCGTGTGTCCATTATGGAGAAATCCGTAATTTTATTCTCAGCAATCCAACTCTGTTGAATCCTGTGGAGTACATGGAAAAAAGATAGGATCATTGGAAATGCTACAAAGAGTTTTCGAAATGAAATTTTAGCTCAGGCTTTGACACTTACCACACATGTACTTTTTTAAAAAGCTGCATGACATGATGTTACAATTAAAAAGAAAACATCAAAACATGTTGTCACATGCAAATATAAAACAATGGGCCGTGTCTTAGAGCATCTGCTTCAAGTTAACTACAGATGTGAAATGTTGATAGAAATTATTATCATTGGTGGGTGTTTTGTACTTTACATTATATCACGATTTACTTAATTGGTTCAGACATATTTTAATAAATTTGATCTTAATCCAACCAGGCAGAAGTGTTCTGAAAAATTTACGTAATTGTTATTATAATACCTGAATGCGCTCAAGTAAAGTGCTTTCAACAGTGTCTAGGTATTTAGGAATTTGGAGTTTGGTTTTCAGAGTCTATGAAAATCCCATAGACATTACAATATAAGGCTCTTTTTCCATCTGAAGAAATTTTTACTCCTTTAATGGAAAATCTCAGAGAGAATTTTGGAAAAAGACAAAAAAGGGAGACAGAAGGCCTTTAATTAACATATTTTACATCAAATCACATGTATCGTTCTCTTGGCTCTGCACCTAGGACCTGTCCCCACTGGATGGTGACAGAGGCAGATCACAGCAAGACAGCCTAGCTACTGAAGGCATGTGGCTGAGAGAATCCTGGTGTTCCAGGTGAAAGTTCCAAGACGCTGCATCTTCAGGTCACTCTGGGGTCAAAGATAGTTTCCCATGAGGCTTAGTGGCCAATTGCAGTTCAGAAATAAATAAAAACAATAGAAATAGATAAGCATCCATGTTGATGAATATTGCACTGTACCTGGCACATAATAAACACTCAACAAAATGAAATAAAGCAAAATAAGATTAAACACCAAGAGAACATCGTGAAATCTAACTGAAAAGAACAATACATTTAAAATAAAGCATGCATTATCACTTTGTTATCTAGACTGAACTGTTCAATATAGTAGCCACATGTGACTAATTTAAATTTTAACTAATTAAAATGTGATGAAATTTAAAAATTAGTTCCTCCATTGCACTAGACACATTTCAAGTGACTAACAGGCACTTAGGACTGTATGTACACTGCAGTAGACACAAAGATAAAGAATATTTTCATCATCAAACAAGGTTCTGTTTAAAAGTAGCGCTGCTCTAAACAATTGCCTGGAAGACCCTTGAAGGAATAAAACACGGCTCTGAAATTTTTGATGGAGGAAATACACAGAAAGGACAGAGCAAATGGTACTTTACAGAAAAGCTAATTCATGTGATACCCAAATTGAGGAGAAAAAAGGCTGGGCGTGGTGGCTCACGCCTGTAATCCTAGCACTTTGGGAGGCCAAGGTGGGCTGATAACCCGAGGTCAGGAGTTCGAGATTAGCCTGGCCAACATGGTGAAACCACGTCTCTACGAACAATACAAAAATTAGCCAGGCATGGTGGCACGTGCCTGTAATCCCAGCTACTTGGGCGGCTGAGGCAAGAGAATAGCTTGAATCCTGGAGGCAGAAGTTGCAGTGAGTGAGATCATGACACTGCACACTGCACTCCAGCCTGGGCAGCAGCGTGAGACTCCATCTCAAAAAAAAAAAAAAAAAGGAGAAAAATATACATTTTTATGGGGACATACAGAATATCTGGAGATTCGTTTTGAGGGTGAAATCCCAGGGGAAAAACCACTGAATCATCTAAATCCATCTGCTTATTTTTTGTGTTGTAAAATACAAAGAGGGAAAAATCATTGTTTTAAATCAGGTTAATAAGACACTATTTGATGTTATTTTTAGTGTTCAATGTAGACTTACAGTCAACACATCAAAGAATGAAATGATCTGTGATACTTGGTGACAGGCAAAAGTACATGGAAATAAAAATTTATGGTATAAGGCATTATTTTCAATTTGGTTTTTCATATTTTTCTTTCAGTGGGAAGATAGCAAGTCTCATCACTTACAGCTTTTTTGTATGACTTATGATGACAATCCACCTAAGTGGTTGAATGCACCATTAAATTTTATCTTCAGTATATTCCCAACATGAAACCTAAATCTCTATTAAGCCTCAGCAATATAATGCAGTAAATTTCTCCAGAGTAGGGATAACCATTACGTCTCTGTAAAAAAACATCATTTTTTCCACATATGAAAATGGTTAAACTAAAAATTTAATGACTGAATCTAGAAAAGCTCCTTTAGGCCACAGAAAATGAGTTTAATCTGTGAATGTGATTTATGGCTGTCGGGGCAGCAAACTTCATCATGCAGCCATAGCACACAATAAAATATGTTGCAATACTTGCCCTTCCTAATGATGCCTGTCTTTGTCCTATGCATGTATTTAGTACCTTGGTGATTCTCTCCGAGCTATAAGAACATCTATATCCACCCTGCTAGATGAGGCAGATGTAACACCAGCTATCAAGATTACTGACCTATGACTGAAATATTGCTCAGAAGTAATGTTTTTCTATCCTTAGAACTACAGCATTCTATTTCATCCTGGAGGTAATTTGAAATATAGAGGGGGAGGGTGAAAGTATTAAGTTAATGAATTAAACAAGACAGCTACTTAAATTAAGTCACATCCACCCAATTAAGCCAATGTACTGGGAACTACAGCCACTTACCATGTAGTTGTGTATGCAAAATTATAACACAAATTTTCACTGAATGAACCAACACTGTGAGTTTTCTCAAGGAATCTGGGGCATTTTTGTTACACAGGAAATGCTAATCAAGGTAAGTTCAAGGGACACTGCTTTGATCAGTGTTATAACTATAACTTCCTGCCAAATAACTGAGGTTTAATTTGGCCACATATTCTCATTACTTTATAATTAATCAAAATTTATGTAATTTCTTAGCCATTTAAATATGCATTTATAATTTTCATATAGTTCTTCATACCAAGAATGAACATATTGAAGAAAAATATTGTTGGTACATCAAATGCTGATAAAAGTTAAAATATGCTATTTTGATATATTTTATATGAAGAGGTATTCAAATATTATCACTAAGAATTTCCTTCATTAACATTCACATATTTCGAAGGTAAAAATTCATAAATTTTCACATAATATTTTGCCATTGTCTTATTCCCTGTATTGTTTATTTGCTGTGTAACAAATCAGTACTCCAAAACTTATGCCCTAAAATAACACATATTTATTGTTTAATACTCCTGTGGGTCAGAAATCTGGGCACAACTTAGCTGGGTCTTCTGCTTCAGGGTTTCTGACAAGGCTGTGATCCAGGTGACATTTAAGACCATAGTCATCTTGGGGCTCAAGTGAGCTGGAATCAGCTTCGCAGCTCTCTCGGTGGTTGCAGGCAGAATCCTGGCCCTCAAAGACTGTTGGACTGAGGGCTTCAGCCCCTTGCTGGCTTAGCGCCATGCCATCTGGCCCTGTCCATTACAGCAAGCTCGGGGCAGAGTGAAGAAGAGTATACCAGCAAGATGGAAGTCACAGTCTTCTATACCCTAATCCCAGAGGTGACATCCCGCCACTTTTATTTACTCCATTTGTTAGAAGCAAGTCACCTGGTCCAGTGCACATTCAAGAGAACCTGAATATGAACACTCAAAAAGACCGATTGACTCCCACAGCCTAGGGGAGTGAGTAAAGAGTTAAAGAGCGGAGTTACCAACCTATGTAGGAAGTAAAGATGAAAGGATAGGTTTGAGGGAGGAGGCGATAATGAATTCAGTTCTGTTTAGTTTGAAGTCTCTATGGGATGGTCAGGTGGAGGATGTCCCGTAGGCACTTGACACAGGGTCTGTGAGAGGCCAAGCTAACCACATAGATAAGAAAGCCATTAGCACACGAGAGGTAGGTTTGGGAGCAGGGACAGAGATAGAAAATATGAGGACAAGGACAGAACACTAAGGAGCTCCAACATGTAGGACCAGGCAAAGAAAGAGGATCCAGAAAGGGAACTTAGAAGGAATGGTCACAAAGATAGAGTTGTCATCATAATAATATTAAAGAAAAGACAAAAGCAGAAGTGAAGAAATAAGAAAATAAGAAAGAAAAGACTTCTGTTCCATTGTTAAACTGATACAAAGAGAGAAAATAAGACAAGGAATTAAATACATCCATGTGATCTGATAATTCAGAAGTCATTAGAGACCATTAACAAGTGCATTTTCATTTGCTTAATGGTGTGGAAGATAAATTGTAATAGGTTTAGAAGTGACTAAAAGGTGATGAAATGATGGCAACCCGTACAGGCTACACTTCAAGCTTAGTCAAGATATGATTTTTATTTCTCCTGTCACTTTGGTAAATTTTTGTAAAGTATGTTGGCAATGGTGGAAAAACACGGTACTACCATCCAATTCTGGTAGAAATAATTACAAACTGAAATATTCTTTCTGAAAGGCAATGAATATTGACAGCCTCTCATAACCTCCACATTTCACACTAGGAATGTATTCCAAAGAAATAAGCAGGGATGAGGTCGGGCACGGTGGCTTGGCTCATGCCTGTAATGCCAGCACTTTGGGAGGCCGAGACGGGCGGATCACAAGGTCAGGCGATCGATACCATCCTGGCTAACATGGTGAAACCCCGTCTCTACTAAAAATATAAAAAATTAGCTGGGCGCGGTGGCGGGCGCCTGTAATCCCAGCTACTCAGGAGGCTGAGGCAGGAGAATGGCATGAACCTGAGAGGTGGAGCTTGCAGTGAGCCGAGATCGCGCCACTGCACTCCAGCCTGGGCCAAAGAGCAAGACTCCATCTCAAAAAAAAAAAAAGAGTTCGAGACCGCCTGACCAACGTGGCGAAATCCCGTCTCTACTAAAAATACAAAAAATTAGCCAGACGTGGTGGCACATGCTTGTAATCCAAACTACTCGGGAGGCTGAGGCAGGAGAATTGCTTGAACCCAGGAGATGGAGGTTGCAGTGAGCCGAGATCGCGCCACTGCACTCCAGTCTGGGTGACAGAGTGAGACTCCATCTCAAAAAAAAAAAAAAGAAAGAAAGAAAAGAAATAAGCAGGGATGAATCCAAAACTTCATAGGTTAATATTGTTGTAACAGTAGAAACCTAAAAACATCTAAAATGCCTAACCATAGAAGACATTTCAAATAAATTAAGGAACACTTTATATGTTGGTAAAGGTAAAACTTTATATTACCATAGCAGATAAGCCCTAAATTCTCAGTGGCTTAACAAAATATACCTTTATTTCTCCATCCAGCTGTTAAGGGATCCTGTCTGACACAAGTCCCGCCCTATTAAACATGCAGAGCCCAAAGTCATCTTGAATATATCTAGTCAGAAGATGGAGGAAGAGAGAAAGGAGAAGGCATATGCACTTCTTAACCAGGTGGAAGTAAAATACATTCCTTCTATCCCCTCCGGATGCAAGGGGAAGTAAAAAATGCAGTCCTTAAATAGGCAGTTACTCCCAGCAATCATTTTCTAGTACGGAAGGGGAACAGGATCTCTGTGCATAGCTAGCCTTCTCTGCCACAGTCCTCTTCTCTGGTCAAAATGTATCCATGTGCATCCTCATTCCTACATACAGGATCTATTCCCCACACCCTAGTAGACTTGGAAGCCCCATGTTCAATGTGTTAAGATTCCCTGCTCAGTCTGGCTCCCCACGAGACCGAATGCAGCAGCATTCTGCTTTTCCAACAAACTCCAAACATGTGTATTATTTCTATTCCTTCTCAATTTTTGCCTACAAACAGAAAAATTTTGCCTGAGGCCATGTAATTTTCCAATGTCCATTTTGTGGGTTGAATTGCGGAATTCAACTTGAATTCCACAATTGAATTGAATTTGGAAAAACTGTACTGAAGACCTAATCCTTGATATCTGTGAGTGTGACCTTACTTGGAATTAGGATCTTTGCAGATATAATCAAGTTAAGATAAGGTCATACTGGATCAGGGTGGGCCCTACCTCCAAGGATTGGTATCTTTGTAAGGAGAGAGAGATTTCGACACACACACACACACACACACACACACACACACACACACACTGCGATAGACATGTGAAGATAGGTGAAGATACAGGCAGAAATTAAAATGATGCGGCTACAAGCCAAGGAGTGTGAAGACGCGTCAACCGCCACCACCAGCAGCTAAGAGGCACAGAGGGATTATTTCCCAGAGGTTTCAAGGAGAATGGCCCTGCCAACCACTTGATTTTGGACTTCTAGGCTTCAGAACCATGAGGGAATGAATTTCTGTTGTTTCAAGGGCCCAGTTTGTGGCAGCCCTAAGCAACTAATATAGCCTGCATTCAACCAACACATCCTACGAATATTCTATTTTCACTTTCTGCATTTACGGCTACAGGCAAATTGATTACCTTTAAACTTATTTTTGGAGACAGTGTAACCAAATGTTTCGTTACCCCATACACTGGACCTCTGTCTTCCCATGCTTCAGCGCAAGGTTTTTTACTGTTCCCTGCCTGGCATCTAGAAGCAATGTCACATGTTTTAGGATATTTACTATACTAGCACTCACTTTAAGATACTAGTTTCTATATTTAAGTAACACTAATCAATATAACAGAGAAACTCCATATTTCAGTAGCTTAATCCCATGAAATTTTGTTTCTCACCCTGTAAATCTAGCGGGCAGTGAGGGGGTGGGGGTGTGGAACCGTGTTCTACTCTGTGGGATCATTCATGACCCTACTTTGATAGGGGCTCTGCCAATCCTCAACACATGGCTTCCAAGGTGACCTTGGCCATTGTGACCCAATGAACAGATGAAAGAAGTCATAGAGCTTGGAGAATACCTACTTCTTCACTATTTTGGCCCATAAGCTACACACACCACTCTTAATGAGCACTAGTCGCACGGCCCTACTGTGATGAAGGTGTCCTGGAAGGACAGCCACACCCCAGAAACAACTTTACAGAAGGGAAAAAGAGCATTGCAATGGGCTGAATGTTTGTGTTCCCATAAAATTCATATGTGAAATCCTGATGCCCAATGTGACAGCATTAGGAGGTGGGGGCTTTTGGGAGATAATTAGAATGTAAGCATGGAGCCCTCAGGAATAGGCTGAGTGTCCTTACAGAAGGGACGGGCCTCTGTCATGTAAGGATACAATGAGAAGTTGGGTCTGCAATTCAGGACCATTAATTAGCACAAACTTTGCATTCCAAGACTATTCAAGAGGGTGAGAAACATCTCATTAAAATACTTAAAATAATTACAATTACAAACTTAAAATAATTTATATTGTAAGGCATATTTTGTATTTTTACTCTACCTGTATCTAGAATACATCATTACCAATAGGCAGCAGTACATATGTGGTTGGTTATATATTGATATTACCAGTGTTGGGCATGTGAGTAGGATTATTTATAATTTTTATTTATTTTTTATACATTTCTATATTTTCCCAATTTATATTTCTAATTTAATACATACATGCTTTTTGAGACTGAAGAATAATAACTGTTGTTCTGATTATAGAATTAAAGAAGTTTAGCATTGTACCTGGCACATAATAGCTGCTCAACAAACTTTTATTGCATTAATGAATGACATTGGATGAGAAAGAAAAGAGAATGGATAGTAATTAGGAGAGAATTTCAGGGTCACAAGAGAGTTTCTGTAAGGATAGGCTATTTGAGCATGTGTATAGGTTGAGGAAAAGAACTTAGTAAAGAAGGAATAAATCTAAGATACACTGTTGGAACATAAGAAGCTGAGATCAAGGGCCTGAGGGGAGACTGGTCTTGGGCAGAAACAGAGACTAAAGAGCAGAGGTTTGCTGAGCAGACAGGCAAATAATAAGGAAGGCAAGGAATTGTTTCATAGTTTATGTATATAACTTTATCTCTGTTCATATTTTATGTATATAACTTTATATACTGTTACCAATATGGCAGAGTTGGTGTTACTCAACCTGAAAAGTCTGTACTCTGACTCCTGTAGCCTCTACACCTCTAAAATTTTCATGTAAAATAGAAAAGGTTTTCTAGGGAGACTGAAAGACTAGGAGCTACATAGAAGGCTCCAGTGGAGTTTTGGGGAGGACAGCACAGTAATGAATAGTCATTGTGTTTAAACTAGGGAGCAATGGAAGATTTAATTACTAAGTGTTCTGTAATGCAGTATTTTAGAAACTTTGTCTCAAGTTATATGCTACTTTCTGTAATTATAGAAATCTAATGTTATTTTATCTAATTTTGATCTGGGTGCAGACAGTGTCAACATCTTGGCTCTAGAATCAATAACATGTGTTCAGGTTTTGTGATTGGTAATACTCCCCCTCGGAAACCCCCTTTCTCCTGCATCATTCAGGCCACTACAACAGCAGGTGGATCTTCATGATGTTTTTTGTTAGTCTCTGATGGAGAAGAGACTAGTACAGTTTTGGCACATGGACTGAAAATACGTAAGATATAGTTTGCAAAGCCGGCATGTAGAAAAGTTCTGCCTTTGTTAAAAACAAAATCTTATCTCAATAACTTCAAATAATTTCACACAATTTCTTATGCCCTGAATGAGTCTTGGTCTTAGGTATGCATATATGACTTACCTACTTTTTTCCTGCTATTAGCCAAGATCTGCACCACCCCCCCACCCCCACCCCATGTCAGATACACTCAAATTTGCTAGTTTCCATACTAAGAGTTCCACCTACTCCTTTTACACTCAGGGGAAGGAACAAGTACTCGTTGTACTTTCCACTTTAAATAGAGAGCACCTGCCAATGCACTTGGCACATAAAGCTTGTGCTCAATAAATGTTAGATACTAATATACGGAACATAGTGGTCTTCGTACACTGCTAAGAATTACCAGTAGTCCAACAATACACTTCCTAGCTCGCTAATGACGTGTGAGTTTAAGAAAGGGCTCAAACCAATCAAGGGAGAAATTTCTTACATTAAAGCATTATACAAGGAGTGAATTCATTATTCAACAATAAATGTTCTGCTGGTTATTAATCCAGGTCCTGGGGATGGTATTTAGAGCTACCAAACCAGCTAACTTCCCTCAGTCATCTACTGCTATAACAGAGTTTGTGCAAGCACAGTTATAAAGACCATAAGAAGGAAGAAATCCAAGTTGTGCCAAGGCTACTTGGAAGAGAATTATGATGGAAATGTTTATTAAGATTCTCAATAAATAAAATGCCATGCATGGGATGGCTTATTGGTGAATTTGAGCTGTTTCAGGCCGATTTTCTTATAATCCCACATGTGCTCACCAGCTGACCCGTATCTTGATATCATCTGCTGGACGTTACTGAGATAATAAGAACATTCTCCTGGGATGGGAGTAGGGATACAAATCAGTTTTCTCAAAGTAATGTCAGTATGTGTGAAATTTACCATAACCACGGGATTGTCAAATATATATATATATATATATATAAAAGAGATAATCATTGGCTAATCTTATTTTTACAGTAAGCATGGGATGAAAAAGGTTAGTGTATTCATAACTACTATAAAAAACATTAAAATTATCTAAAAATATCATTACTAATGCTTAAATGTAAAGTTAGCACAGCAGTGAACACGAACATTTTAGAGTTGTAGAGGCTCAAGAAGTCAGAGTCCAGAATTTTCAGGCTGAGCAACACCAACTCTGTCTAATTGGAAACAGTAGCAATTAAAGTAGAGGACTATTAAATCCTATCAATATCTCTTTCAACCAATCATGATGCAATTTTCACTGTCAACTTTGTAATCTGTATTAAAGAATAATATCTTTTTCTTTATTGTGTTACAAGTGATGTCCTGTAGGTCATGTAAAAATTTAAAAAAAATAAAATGAGAATTAAATCAATTTTGTAGACAATTTAGTTCTTATTTATATCTACCAAGATTTTTCTCTTTTAATATTCAGATAAAGATAGGTTAGGGGACTTGAATCACACAGATAAAGCTTCGGTGTTTTACTTCATTGTGTTTGGATGAACATACACATATTAAAAGAAAAGACAGACATAATTTCCTGTCATTCATCTAAGGACAATTCAGACTTAATACATGGAAGCAACATTTTTTAAACAATCATTTAAAAAGCTAAGTGCTCCTTGAAAAACATTATTGACCTTTTTTAATCACCAGGGCTTGTATTCTCATCCTTATTTGCACTATTTGTACTGTGTACATCATCAGTCTTAGCGCATCTCCATCCTTGATGCCTGTTTATGAACAAAAACAGAGTTAAGCAATACCTAGTAAGTCCTTCACGTGTGTGGCCCTAAGCGTTCTGTCTATTAAAGGCAGCTGGATTTGAAACCCCGTAGGACCCAACTTGCAAAGATAAGGAAACTAATACAGGGTATGGCCATAAGCATTGATCCACCTTTCTGGGTCAACAGCTGCTCATCTGTTGATATCTCTGATGAAAGCAGGGGAGCATGACGAAATAGCCATGAACGTATCATGCATCACTCCTTCCGCCATCCCCACCCACAACACCAGAGGTTGATTTTTTTTTTTTTTTTTTTTTTTTGGAGATGGAGTCTTGCACTCTTGCTCCGGCTGGAGTGTGGTGGCGCCATCTCGGCTCACTGCAAGCTCTGCCTCCCAGGTTCACGCCATTCTCCTGTCTCAGCCTCCCAAGTAGCTGGGACTACAGGCGCCCACCACCACGCCCAGCTAATTTTTTTTGTATTTTTTTAGTAGAGATGGGGTTTCACCATGTTAGCCAGGATGGTCTCGATCTCCTGACCTTGTGATCTGCCCGCCTCAGCCTCCCAGAGTGCTGGGATTATAGGCATGAGCCACCGCATCTGGCCCACAGCTTGATTTTTAAAGGAATAAACTGCTGCACCCAAAGGATTGTTTAATTTTACTGAGAAAGTCCAAAGTTATAACAGCAATAAAAGTCAGAGTTTTATGGTAAAGAATCCATTTGGATTGTTCACGAAACATCTTTTTTCAGATTCCTCCAACCTGCTAAAATAAAGGATAGGAATCCATATATTTTGTAATAATCAAGAAAAGTACCATAGTGCATAGTGTTTCCTAAGGGAAGGCTCTGATGGAATCACAATATGCCATCATCAATGAAGTAACATTTCATCACATTCATTTGACGATGTTAACCCAGCTCAGTGGGATACCCCTTCATTTGGCCAGTTGACAGCTTCTGGTGGCTTCTTAAATGTGAAAGATGTATTAAGTTCATACCTACTGAAGACATTGGCAAATCATTCCTGACACTGTGCAATTTCACTTGGTAAATCCAGAGAATGTGTCAGCAAGCTGAGTGTAGTCATCTGTGAAAAATACTCTGCTTTCAAATAGAAAAATAAAACTTGTTACACTTCCCTTTGCATCTTTAAAACTTATAGGCTTACACGTGAATATGCAATTCTGCATTTCCATAACTATAAAATACATATCCCACTAGAAAATTTATTCTTGTTAGATCCTAGAATCACTAGATTCTGGTTGCTTGGGAGAAATTTCTTAAAAAGCATTCTGGCTCAGCTTGGTATTCTCTACGGTTGTCTTTTACTGACAAGACAAGGCACTTTGTGATATTTTAACATCTTATATCCTATACCCCATTCACTCCACTAAATATCTGCTTTCTTCACAGCCCATAGACATAGCTGTAAGAAAGTCTAGCCACAGAAAGAAATTTTAATTTTTAAGCAGCTGATGAGATGGCAATCTGTCTTGGTTGCTGCCATAATCTTCCATTTACAGCTGACATGTTTATTCTTGGGCATTTAAACTGTGGCCCAGAAAGCCATGAAGGGAGGCCAGTTATAAATGTTAGATTTGATTGGAAATGACATTCCAAAATAAACATGCCAAAGTGCAGCAGAGCATTCGCCTATGCATCTACGCTGCATCACACTCAGCACACAAACCCACAGACACACAAACACACACAGAGCATTTGCCTTTGCAACTCCACTACACTCAGGCATACAAACACACAGAGACAAGTGCATGATTTCTATCTGATTCAATAAGAGGAAAGAAAATGAAGCGAGCACTGGTCAAAACAAATGTCATTCTACTCAGCAGCAAAGCATGTAAGGAAGGCATTAAGCCTCATCTTCCAACATCATAGAAGAATATTTTTAAAGACACAGAAGGAAGTATTTCTCCTGAAAGATCAGCTGGGAGGTCACCTTTCCACATCACTCAATTCTCTAATGAGAAAATAAATGAATGAGAATAATAATTATAAAGGAAGGAATCACTTTGAGAAGATATAGATGCACAATAAGTATAAACCAGACTGGGCCTTCTGCCCAGAAAATGAAGCAAACGAAGGCAAAATCTGGAGGGAAAAAAAAAACGATTTTTTTTTTAAGAGAATACTTGAAAGGCATATTTAGCAAACTATGGGGGAAAAAAAAGGAAGCAAGAAAAACAGCATGAACAAGTGTGTTTACACAATGGGAAGGCCTGGGAAATGAAAGAACAGAAGGGAGAGGCAAGTAAAACACTGAAACACGAAGCCCACCTTTCTCCATAAGGCTCTGCCTTCAGGAGCCAGCCTATTATGTCAAATGTCCTGCAACAGGAGGAAACTGAGGTGGAAACCCTTAATTAGAAATCTTTAAACCCCTGGCCTGTTTTTTTTTTTTTATTACTGTGTCTGGGTGCCAGAAGGACACATAATAATTTTCATCCCATTTCTCCAATTTGTCTTTACTTTTTGACTGGGCCAAAAAAAAAAAAAAAAAAAAAAAACAAAAAAAAAAACACACCATTAGCCTGTATCTGCTAGAATTATCCCCAGTATGGTTAGAAGGAGATAATATTAGAAGATACAAATTGCCAAATGGTCAATTTAGTCCACGTGGCTGTGGGCATGGAATGATGAACTGGTGAAATTTTAAGCTGCTAAAATTTCCAGTAATGTTACACAGGCAAAATCATAAAGTTCACGCTTCTGAAGGGTAAAGAAATTTGTTCTGCCTGGACTCAAATGTTAACTTACTCTTCCTGCCTAAAGAAACAATGTATAAATCCCATTTATCTAAGTGTGGGCTGAGCTCCTGGAGTCCTCAGAAAGCAAGAGTGGACCTTGTACCACTGTGAAAACTGTGAAGGATCAGATATTTTACCCTACCTGCAAGCTAAAAAGTTAGCCTGCCACCATTTCATGGTTACCCCTAAAGGTATGAGACTCCTGGGTTACAGACAAAAAATTTTATTACTTCCAGCAAAAGTAGTAGTCAGTGACTGTGTAATTGCACCAATTTTCCAAGCCCCGAGTCCCACACGAGCTTAAACAGACAAAAGACATCTACACTGACCATGGGTGGCTTTACAAAAGATAAACCCTGAGTTTGGGGTATTCACTGCTTTTAGAGTTAGCAAAAGACAGACTTCTTTTTTCTGCAGGGAGATAGTATCTCGTGCCTCAAAGTTGCTCTCGCTGCAAACACAATCCTGAGCCCAGGTAAAGATCAGTCAGGGACTTGCATTTTGGGGACATCATAAGACACAAATGAGCACAAGACTCCCAGTGAGGAATGTCTCCCAACAGGCACCATGAGCCTCATGAAACCACTGTTTGGATAATCATCATTGGTGGCAGGCATTTTGAAGAAATCAAAGCCCTTTTAGAAATATAGCTAGTGGTAAAGATTGTGCTTCAAGTTTGAACTTGAAGAAATTGCAAATTAAAATAGTAAGTAAGAGTTCTCTGAAATGTTCACTAAATTCTCTGAAACTCAGGAGAGCGACCACATCTGCCTTAGCTCAAAGCTCAGCTGAAAGACCTTGGTGAAATTATTTAGTCTCCCTGTGCATTAGTTCCTCATCTGCATTAAGGAAATAATGATAACTAATTATTAGATCATCATGAATATTAAATGACTACATTTCTATACATAACACCATATAGGTGTTAGCCACTACTATCACTGTTACTATCATCATAATAGTATACTGGATGGAATATGGAATGTACATTTAATAGGACCAGGATAATGATAAAAGATATCATACATATTAGAATTAGAACAAAGTTTTCTTAAGCATTTCACTAAGTCTTGGCAAGGTTGAATAAGACGTTAATATTAGACTTCCACTTCCAAAGAGATGAAATAGAAGTACTTTTTCTCATTCCTTCTGCTAAGTACCATTTAAAATCCTGCACATTGTGTATAAAACAAACATAAAAAGCCCCTAAAAGACAAATGAGAAAGCTCACTGGCTAGAGATGGTAGGATACAAGGAACAACATCATGGTGAGTTCCTGGGGGTTTTAGTTTGGGTTTTAGCTGGAGAAGCTGACAAGACCAAATGTCAACAGGAGCAGATAAAAGTAACCCCCCAATAAAAATGCCTGCTATCCTTAACCAAAGCACCAGAAAGGAGCAGTTTAGCAAGACAGTAAACTTTCAGAGTATAACTTCTCTGCTCCAGCCAAAGAAAAGACAGTGGCCCCATCATCATGCCAGCAAAGACAAAGTGAGAAGCCTAGACTTCCACTTACTCCAGGGTGAAAGGAGACACCTCAACGCCCCTATTGGGGTGGTGTTAGAGAAGGCAGAGAAGGGAGCTGGGATGTTCATCCTTGCCACATGGTAATGAGGCTGCCTCACTACAGGGTCAGTGGAGACTTTGTGGGAAACCTGGACTTCCACCCCAACCCAGTAGTAATGAGATGCCCCTCCCTCTCCTTGATATGTTGGTGTCACAGGTGGCCTAGTGCTAGATAAGTGCACTAGGTCTTTCGCCATCACTCAGTGATCATAAGATCATTCTCCATGGTGTCAGTGGGACCATGTAGGGAGCACTCATGATGTATTCCTTCCTCTCCTTTCCAGGGGAATAAACAGGGGCCCAGGGGCTGGAGGACCCAGAACTCCCATCACTTTCCAGCAGTAACAGGAAACTCTCCACTTCAGGTATCAGTGAACGCCAAGGGACTGGATTGGATTTCTTCCCCTAACTGGAGATAATGAGGCAACTCACTCCCCATTTTTCTGTCAGAGGATGTCAGAGGAAGCCAACTGATACAGGTTTAAATAAGACCCTGAGTCTCATAACGTAATACCTAAAATGTCCTCACTTCAATATAAAAAATCACTCATCACAACAAGAATGAGAAAAATCTAAACGAAGAAAAAGACAATCAATGGAGGCTAACACAAGGATGACAAAGATGTTGCAATTATCTGATAAATACTTTAAAGCAGCCACAATAAAAATACTTCAGTGAGCTATTCTGAACATACATGGAACAATTGAAAAATAGAATCTCTCAGCAAATAAATAGATAGAAGACATAAAAAACCAAATGGAAATTGTAGAACTGAAAAAACACAAAAACAAAATTTTTAAAAAAACTTAGTGTATGAGTTCAACAGTAGAATTAAAGGGGCAAAAAGAAGAATTAGTGAGCTAAAACAGAACAACATAAATAACCCAATATTAAGAATGGAGAGTAAACAAACTGGAAAAAAATAATAAACAAGGCCTCTGGGACCTATGGGACTATAACAAGAGACCTAAAATTCTTACCATTGAGACCTTGGAAGGAGAGGGGAAATAGAGTGAAGCTCACAAGTACTCAAAGAAATAATGGCTGAAATGTCCCAAATTTGGCAAAAGACCTAAACCTACATGTTTAAGAATCTAAGAGAAATCCAAACAGAAAAACTCTGAAGAAGTCCACCCCAAGACATAGCATAGTCAAATTTTTGAACACTGAAGACGAAGAAAAAGTCTTGAAAAAAGCAAGATAGAAATAAGCAATTATCTATATTGAAAAAAATAATTTAAATGACGGCATATTTTTTCATTAGAAATCATGGAGCCCATAAGGAAGTAACCTACTTCTCAAGTGCTGAAAGAGAACTGTCAAATGAAGAATCTATATCCAGTGAAAAATATCCTTCAGTAATGAACAAGAAACCAAGACATCTTCTGAGGAAGAAAAAGTAATAGAATTTGCTGCCAACAGATCTATCTTAAAAAAAAATTGTTGCTAATAAAAATTCTCTAAAAAGAAATCATAACAGAAAGAATCTTGGAACTTTGAAAAAGAGAAGAGAACAAAGGAAAGTTAAGTATAAGCAAATACGTTTTCCTTTTCCTCTTAAGTTTCTAAATTATGTTTGAGGGTTTAAAAAATATAATATTCTCTAATGTAGTTCTAAATATGTGGAGACAAAATATTTACAACAATTTTATTATGAATGGGAGAAGGTAAAGAAATGTAAAGAGAAGCAAGGATTCTATACTTCACTTTAACTGGTAAAATATCAAGACCAGTAGGCTGTAATAAATTATGTACATATAATGTAATATCTAGGAAAACTACTAAAATAGCTATACGAGATACTTAAAAACACTACAGACAAATCAAAATGTTACTCTAAAATGTGTTCAAGTGACCCACAGGAATGTATGAAAACAGAGAAGTCAAAACAAGACAGAACAAACAGAAAACAGAAATAAAATATCAGACTTAAGCCTTAACATATCATTAATCATATTAAATGTAAATGGTCCAAACACATCAATTCAGTAACAGAGACTGGCATAGTGAATTTGAAAACATGACCAAACTATACGTTGTGTATAAGAAACTAAGGTCAAATATAATGATAGGAGTAGCCTAAAAGTAAAAAGATGGGGAAAATATATTATGCAACCATTAATCTAAAGAAATTAAGAGTAGCTATATTAACATCAAGTAAAGTAGACTGTGGAGAAAAGAAAATTACCAGAGACATACAAGAATATTACATAATGATAAAAGGGTAAATCCACCAAAACATACGAATTCTAAATGTGTATAAATGAAACAACACAGCTGCAAAATATGTGAGGCAAAAACAGAACTAAAAGGAGAAATAGACAAACTCACAATTAAAGTTGAAAACTTCAACATCCCTCTCTCAACAATGATAAAACAACTGGAGAGAAAAGCAGCCAGGATCTATAAGAACTCAAAACACATCACCCAACAGAGTCTAACCAACATTTATAGAATACTCCAATCAGAAACATTTTTTACACTTACAGAACCTTAACCCATGAGAGACCATCTTCTGGGCCATTAAACAAACCTCAACAAATTTAAAAGAACTGAAATCATACAGATTGTGTTCTATGGCCCCTGTGGAATCAAACTAGAAATCAATAATGGAAAGATAACAGAAAAACCTCCAGACATTTGGAAATATATATATCTAATAATCCATGGGTCACAAAGGAAGCCTCAAACAAAATTAAATATATATATATATTTATTTACATACTTGAATAAAAATAAAAACACAACATGTCAAAATTTATAAGACACACCTAAAGCAATGCTGAGAGAAAACCTTAGGAAATTAAATGTTTATAACAGTAAAGAGGAAAAATTCAAATACATAATCTAACCTCCTACTTCAAGGACCTAGAAAAAGAACAACAGAAACCTGAGGCAAGCAGAAGGAGAAAAATAATAAAGTTAAGAGCAGAAATCAAAGAAATTTAAAACAGAAAACAAATCAGGACGAAATGTTAGGTGACCTAGCTCCTAAAAATGATGTGGATTCAGTGGCCATAAATAGCAGTATCCAATTATCATCTTTCTTCTACTTTGTAATATGAAAGATAAACAGAAGCAAAAGGAGGCCATGGTGTGCATTTCTAAGTAACATTTTGATGTGAGCTAGGATCTTTAGCTCTCCATATAGACAGAAGTTTCCATCTACTACCACATGGAAAAATGACACACAGAAATGTATTTATTACTTTAGTGTATCTTTGAATTACATGCATCCTCTCTCAGAGTATCCATGCATGAGCTATCAGATGAAAATAAAAAAAGAATGTCTGAAAATTAAAATACGAAGAAAAAAATTGAAAAAGGAAGTCTGAAAACATCTTCCATCATGGAAGAATATTGTGGTGGCATGCGATGAAATAGACACGTGATTGCCTTCCCCAAAGTATATCAGAAATTGCTAGTGTTTTGATGCATTGGGTTGGTACCATGAGATTGCATATTCAAGTAAAAGAACAGAATTCCAAGAAAAATGAGGCATATGTAGTTGGAAAAAAAATTTGTAAACTTTGCAGCATGAGGAACACCCCCTTGTGGCTGCCAACCTGCCTGCTGCCCCAGCTGCCAAGTTCTCCCTTATTAATGTACTGATTTTAATGATGACAGCAAAGAGAATAACATAGAGACTTGTTTTGTTTTGATTTTGCTGTGTCAGCATTACTTAAATATTAGTTTCACTATTCAGCTATAATATCACATTCTCCAAATTGTTCCACAACTAGTAAAATTAAAGATAGCATCACTCATGCAGCTGGTAATAAAGAGAACTTTTTTATGTCTGAGTGGATCAATATTTATACATCTAAATTGTAGCATAAAGTTTTCAAATTCTAATCTGATATCAATTAAACGGAATAATTTAGACATGCCAACTTTTAATACTACATAAAATTATGTCATTTAATTAATGCTAAACTTAGTCATATTAGAAGCACAGACAAAGTTGTAATCTAAAAAGAGGAAGTCACCTTTTATTTCTAAATATCATGGTAGTTGAGGTTGGAAGTTTTTAAGATGTATATATGATATACATCATAAATATATAGATACTATTTCATATATATAAATATATATAAATATACATATATAAATATATTTTATACATATAAAATAGTATATACACAGACACACACACACAGTACAGGGTTAAAAGAACACAGGCTTTGGAGAACGCAAATGTGTGCCGAACCTGTTTTGGGCTAACCATGCCTGTGGTATTTGGAAAGTTACATGAACTCTAAATCAGAGATGTTTCAAGTGTCAAAAAAATAATAGGCCAGTGGGAGACAGAGCGAGACTCGGTCTCAACAACAACAACAAAAAAATAAAAATAAAAAATAGGCCAGGCGCTGTGGCTCACGCCTGTAATCCTAGCACTTCGAGAGGCTGAAGCAGGTGGATTACTTGAGGTCAGGAGTTCAAGACCAGCCTGGCCAACATGGTGAAACCTTGTCTCTACTAAAAATAAAAAAATTAGCCAGGCGTGGTGGCGGGCGCCTATAATCCCAGCTACTCGGGAGGCTGAGGCAGGAGAATCGCTTGAACCCGGAAGGCAGAGGTTGCACTGCACTCCAGCCTGGGTGACAGATCAAGATTCTGTCTCAAGTAATAATAATGATGATGATGATGATGATGATGATGATGATAATAACACACCTTGTTAATGTTAATTCACTGTGTTAAATCAATTAACTCATTTTCTCATAATTACCCTTGAACGAGTAAGTTATTGACATTCTCTCCATGGGAAAAAAAACCCTTGGAGAAAGGTAACTTGAATATGGCCAAATGGGCAATTTGGATAGAACTGGGATTTGAACCTAGGACATCTGATTCCACATCCTTTTCATGAGCCACAATGCTCTACATGTGGTTTTATTTCTTGGATCACATGTAACACATCCATAAAAGTGCCTGGCCCATAATAGCTTCCCACAATTAATAATTTTATTCTTATTACTATTGGTATTAACGTATCAGTGTATCATATCCCAAAGGCTTTCTGAAATGAGCCAACATCCCCATTTATTATCAAATGATAATAGTGTCTATAGCCCTTATCTAATATAATTTATGCTGTCATCACATGCGCGTAACTTATAACTTGATATAATTTGTTCTCAACATTTTAATTTTAGTCCTAACCGTTGCTCCTACTTTCCCTTTTTTCTGCCTCTTCTGTAGTACTTACTATGCTCCAGTTAAGCAACGTTTTTCTCTCCCAGTAGACATCAAAATCCTTAAAGGCAGAAGTGACACGTTTTTATCCTTATTTCCCCAAAGCTGAGAACATCACTGTCCAGAGTTAACACGCAATGAAGACGTGAGCAATGAATGAATGGCTGTTTCCTTTCTCTTAAGTATCATTTTTCAATTTTGATGTGGTAAAAAGTCTAATAAAATTGTCAGTGTTTGGAGAAATCAGGAATTTCTACCACATTTGATTTTTTTTTTTTTTTTTTTTTGCAATATGAAGAAGATAGATTTTGAAAAATATTTAAAGTTAAGAAAGCAGCTTTGTGCATAGGACTCTATATACCTATTCATGTCCTTGGCACAGCGGAGAAGGCTGAACATCTACCCTAAGAAAGAAGACAGTGGTCTGCAAACACTTAGCTGTTTCTACACACGGAGTGATAAAAAGATCAAAAAACCTTCCCATGTATTATATCATGTTTAGATAAAAGTGATGAGAACTAAACCATCTCCACGATTTTATGATTAGAGAAGTTCAAGTGTCCGAAACCTTAGCCACAATACATTATGTCAAAAGACTAAGGTCAACAAGCTTGATGGAAAATGAAGAGTAGAACAGCCCATGGATTCATTCTGTGGCTGTCTGTGTCTCTAAGTGCTTTCAAGAACCTGAAGCCCATTCTAATTGTTCTATATTATACAGCTATGTATGCATATTATTAAACAAGCCTAAGGCTATTGATACAATTCAAAAGCTAGAAACAAATAAAAGAAATAAAATCTTAAGTGCCATTCATGAGAATGTTTGCTCTATGTGAGTGGAACTTATATTTTAACTTTTTACTAAGTTCTTAATTCAGAAGTTAGTGATATAAAAGATATTTTGTAATTATAGGTTCTCATACGACATAATAAAAAAAATGAAATTCCTAGACCATAAAGGCCTCTGGTTACATTTCTTGGCATATACTATAGAGGGTATTGTAAAGATTAGGGATAGAGATTAAGAATCCTGCACATAGGACATATGCCACAAAGAATAAAGTTTGACCTCCATTCCAACATCCTAAGATTAAAAAATTACCCAAATAATGTAAGCAGCTACACAGACAGAAACCAATGTACTATAGCTACAAAACTCAAATAGGTTCGGCTCCAACTCAGGCTATCAGTGAATCAAAACGAAATACACATGGTGTCACAAAATCAGTTCTGCATGAATGATTTCATAATTCTAATTATCCCACTGATCCGTTTTGCCACATTTATTGTGAACTGACTACACAGTCATGTCTCTCAATCTTTAAAACACCACTCTGCTGTTTTCTTTATTCCTCACACTTCCATTCCTGTTGTCTCAGACTTGGAGTATTATGATGGATTCCCCACCCACACCCTACTTCAAGTGCTGCCTCACCTCCGCCATGATATTCTGATTGCTTACATTTCCTAAATTGCAACCTCATCATTTTACCCTCTACCTGAAATACTCCAGTTGTTCCTCACCCTTTTCAGGATAGACTCCATAATCCTTATATAACATATTAGGCCAGGTGCAGTGGCTCATGGCTGTAATTCTAACACTTTGGGAGGCTGAGGTGGGTGATCACTCGAGGTCAGGAGTTCGGGACCAGCCTGGCCAACAAGGTGAAACCCCGTCTCTACTAAAAATACAAAAAATAGCTGGGCATGGTGGTGCATGCCCATAATCCCAGCTACTGGCTATTCAGGGAGGCTGAGGCAGGAGAACCACCTGAACCCAGGAGGCAGAGTTTGCATTGAGCCGAAATGGCGCCACTGCACTCCAGGCTGGGCAACAGTGTGGGACAAACAAACAAAAAGCCCACATCAATTCCCACATAATCTGACCTCTGCCCTTCCATGTTTCTTTCCTCACCCCACTCCCCACCCTTGCCTACGCACCAATGGTGCAGCGACCTTGAGCTACCTAGTAATGACATTCTTGCTTTTTCACAAACTATTCCTCTGCTTCCTGGGCCTGGGAGGATGATTAAAGCTGCACTAGGGAAGGGCCAGCCCCACCAACTCTGAAGGGGCGGGGCTCCCACTTGTACCCTGGCAGTCGCTGGCTCTCTACAGAGCATGCAGCCCTGGGGGTGCCTTTGAGACTGGAGCAGGCACCAACAGCAACAGCAGGGAAAAGCCAGGCAGCGGCAGCAGGCACTTCTGAGCCTGCAGGGATTTGTGGCGGGGAGGAGTCTTCCTGGCCCCGCAAGAGCACAGAGATGACGGTGTCTGGAGCCATGGCAGGGCGGCTGCTGTGTCACCCGGAGCGGGAGGCGCAGCCCAGAGGGGCAGGGCCACTGCTTGCACCATGGAGCATTATAGCCCCAGGCATGCATCCCCCCTGAAGCCTGTGTCTTGGCAGCCATGGCTCTAGATGGGCAGCTGCTGCCATCATTAGGATTTAAAAAGCAAAAAGAAGCAAAATAATAGTAATAAAACAAAGAAAACAGGCTGGGCGTGGTGGCTAACGCCTGTAATCCCAGCACTTTGGGAGGCCGAGGCGGGCAGATGATGAGGTCAGGAGATTGAGACCATCCTGGCTAACACGGTGAAACCCTGTCTCTACTGAAAATACAAAAAGTTAGCCGGGCGTGGTGGCGGGTGCCTGTAGTCCCAGCTACTGGAGAGGCTGAGGCAGGAGAATGGCATGAACCTGGGAGGTGGAGCTTGCGGTGAGCCACGATTGTGCCACTGCACTCCAGCCTGGGAGACAGAGCGAGACTGTCTCAAAAAAAACAAAAACAGAAACAAAAAAACATGTTCATATATCAAAGTAAGTTAGTAAGTTACTATGGTTAGTAAAGATAATAATAATGACTATTAAGTGGGGTTGGAGGATGCTCAGTAAATTATGTGCACCTCTTGCACCTAACTATTGAACTTGTTAACAAATAAGACAAAAGCATTAGCAATCGAATATCAAATATTGCCTTCCTTGCTTAACAAGCTGATATTTGAGAAAGTAAGATAGTGGCAACAGTGGGCTTCTTCATACTGAACCGCAGAATTGTACTCATTCACGGCGACAAGCACTGCTTCCCATGTAAATAAACGCGGAGGAGCAGCCAGCTCCCAATGAGAAAGAAGAAGGGAAGAAACTGCTTTCTGTGCTCACTTCCTCTCCAGAGCTCATCCGTGAGGAAAGCGTTGCCTCCGCACCTGGGATGGACAGATAAAGGGGTGAAGACAGGCCAAAGCTGTGACAAGTCTATGTTCCTGCCCTCAAAGAAAACATTAGGAGTGCACATTATGTATTTTACCCTGCAAATGACTAAGTTAAAGGCATTTGTTAAAAGAATAAGAATACGAGACAGCAATATTAAGATGTGAAGTCTTTAAGTTGCATTACATTTAAAATTCAAAGGTAACTACTAAAAGAATACAAAGGGAAAGTCTATACCAATACAGATAAAAAGAGGAATGATGTAAATCCAATTATCCAATAAAGAATGTTAAATAATAAAACAAAAATCAAAGAAAAGGTTTGGTGTATAAAAATAGATACACAGAAGTCTTGATCTATTAGTAATCATAACAAATGGTATTGCAGACAAAAAGCTGAATATAATCATAAGGAAATTCAAGAGAATTCCAATTTAGAGACTTCTGATGAAATGAGTGACCTACGTGCTTAAAAAAAATGCAAACATAATAAAAGACAACAAATAACCGAGGAATATTCCAGATAAAGAGATATGATTATTAAATTTGGTGCATAATCTTGGGCTACACTGAGTCTTAGCAAAAGCTGTTATAAGAGACATTGTTGGGACAAATGTTGGTATAGAAACAGTAGATTAGAAAAAATATATCAATACTAAATTTTCTAAATTTGATAAGACACTTATTCTTGTACATTACAAAATAAACAGTAAGGTCAAGGGACATAATGTATATAATCTATTCTCAAAAGCTTCAAAAATTGCATATGGGGGGATGAATATGTGTGTATGAGTGTATATGAAAGGAAATCATAAATTCATGTGGCAAAATATTAAAAATCAGTGAATCTAGATTAAGTATATAAGAGAATTATACTATTCATGTAACTTTTCTTTAAATTTTAAAGTATTAACAAATAAAATGTTTAAAACTGTTAAAAGAGAGTTGACAATAGAGTTTGTGATCATTTTAAAAACAAAAATAGCACTGTTGTACTGTGTGTGGACATATTGGTACGTAGGATGAGTATAAGTTCATGAGTGAGAAGGATTCCACTAACTTCAGAATGCAGTTGTCCCCCCTTCCTTATCAGTGGGGGATATGTTCCAAGACCCCCAGTGGATGCCTAAAATCGTGGATAGTACTGAAGTAGGAAATGTCCCTGACCCCTTCACAGGCAGGATCTGGAGTGCACAGGCACCAGCAGGGGCAAACTCCACTAACTCGCTGCTTCACCTCTCACAGGAGGCGGAGTGCAGGGGAGCAAGTGCAAGAGCTGGGGCGAGCACTTTTGGATGCCAGCAAGAGTGAACTCCATGCCAGCCCTGCAACAGCATCTAGGGGAGGGTGCCCACAACCCTTGAAGCCCCAGAAAAAGTGTTACACTGCCCTTGTAGCTTTGCCATCTGCAGATGGTTTATGTATTAACAGCTCAGTGGAGGGTCAGTGTGACAGCCTTTTGCATTTTGCACCAGCACCTGAGTTCTTGTCGTGCATCCAGGAGGAATGAAGTTGCACAAACAACTTGAAGACAGTAAATGTGGGGGTTTTTATTGTGATTAAAGTGGCTCTCAGTGGGAAGGGGAGCTGAAAAGGGGATGGAGCGAGAAAGTAATCTTCCCTGAAGTCGGGCCATCTGCAGCCAGACTTCCCTTTAAAGATATGCTGTCAAGCCATCCCTCTGAAGTTAAGCCACTTTTCTCCAATGTCTAACCATAGTCTCCGACATCCAGCTACATCTCCTCTCTCTGCCAGTTCAGCCTGGAGTTTTTATGGGCACAGGAAAGGGGATGGGGCGGGCCATGGGTGGTTCTTGAAAAGGCAACATTTGAACAGGAAAACAAGGATGTATGTTCTCACTTTGGGCCACAGCTCCAGGCTTGAGGGTGGGGCTCTCGCTGGGGACCTACCCTCTTCTGCCCAGAATTTCCCTGCCTTCTGTCCCTATCGCTACCGAACCCTATACACACTATGTGTTTTTCTGTGCATACATACCTGTGTTAAACTTTGATTTATAAATTAGGCACAGTAAGAGATCAACAATAACTTATAATAAAATAGAACAATCATGATGATATGCCAGCATCACTACTCTTGAGCTTGGGGCCATTGAACATAAGCCCTGGGATACTGAAACAGTTGATATGATGACCAAGACAGCTACTAAGTGAGTCTACTGGGCAAAGGAATGATTTACGTCTGGGTGGCACAAGATTACATCACACTACTCAGAAATGTGAGTGAATTAATACTTATGAATTATTTATTTCTAGAATTTTTATTTAATATTTTCAGGCTGAGGCTTACTGCAGGTAACTGAAACTGCAGAAAGCAAAACTATGGATAAGGGGAACTACTGCAGTGAATATTTCTGGAGAGGGAGGAAGAAGGGAGAAAAGGAAGCAAGGAGTGGGATGGGGAAGGGTACAAAGAGCATGGCAAATGTCTTTTCCTTTATTCAAAAAGAAAGAGATGTGAATCAAAAGGGTCAAAATGTTTCTACTTATAATCTGGATGAAAGTTTCTTATCTTATTCTCAGCTCTTTCTGTATGCTGAAATTCTTTATTATTAAAGATAGATTTTCAAAAACTATATATAAAATATCACATTTCAAACAAAGATTAATAAAATAATAAAAAGACCAATAATTCCATAATGATATGGACAGCTTTCAGATACATACGTATATTGTTAAATGAAAATGGGTGCAGACAAGCAAGTGTATGTAGTATAATTCCATTTGAATCAATATTTTTTAAAGATGCATATCATAACGTCTAATGTCGGATGCACCATATTTGTCAGTACTGTGCCCAAATGCCACTTACACCAATGAAAATCTAGTGAGCAATCTTAACATAAAAAGCTTTCTTCTAAGTACTATGGAGAACACGAAGATGCGTTTACAATCTCTCCATTCATGGAGTTTACACTCTAGTAAAAGACTTTGATGAAGTACTAACAAGAATTGATCTAAATCTTTGGAAACCTTGGTAGCAAATGTGCGGAAATCATAGCAGTGGAGAATGTTCTAAAACCTCCACTTCAAACGTTTTAAAGGTTTTAAAGTGTGAGTAACTGTGGAGTAAGGAGGACTAATTTGGTCATAAAGCTGGCTCAGAGGGCAATAGACAATGGCCAGGATACCCAAAGGGAAATTATGATAGGAGATCTGATTTTGGTGAGATCAACATCCAGGATGTCGGGGGTAAGAAGAAGCAAAAGGAAACAGCAGATTGTATCAGTCGTGACTCCAGAACAAAACAGACAGCCCCACTCTCAAAGGGGAGACTGAGGAGCTTTAGAAATGTCCTATTTGTAGTTGTAAAAGAAGCAGCAAGGGATGGTGAGGGATCTAGGGACAATGTCAGTAGAAAGCCACTGCCACCTGGGACCGTCAGGGAAGGGGAGAAGGTAATGTTTCAAGTCGTGCAAGGGCTGTAGCCCTGGAAAGGGGCTGCCCTGTAGGAACTGTGATGACAGCTTGAGAAGGCACATCACTACCAAAACGACAGCCTGGCGAAAGCGCAGCAGAAGTGAATACCCCAAACTCTCTCATCTGTTCCCCATTCGCCTGCCAGTGTTTCTGTTTGACTAAACCCAGCCAGAAGCCAAACACCAGAGGAGCACAGGGGATGCAGTCTGACAGGCCAGCCTCCTGGTCATGAAAGACAAGGCCTAAGAATACATCAGGAGGGACAAAGGGAAGCAAAGGGAAGGTGACTCTGAAAGTCTGACTCAACACAGAGGTTACAGGTGATCAGTTAATTGGCCAGTCTTGGACATTAGCGTGGGGCAGGGAGATAAGGGTGAACTGCGAGTGCTGTCATGGGCTAGGTGCCTTTGTTAGAAAATAGATGTTCCAAAATCTATGGTCTCTACTCCATAAGGGTGACAGATGCCAAAAAACAGTGCTATTATTGATGTCAGTACAGACTGTGCAACGAACAACCACCAGAGGTACCGTTTGCAATTGATGTCTATATGATGGTGCTCCCTGGATTAGTGCAACCACGACCTGTGTGGACGTACATGAGAGCCTTGCTAACTCATTTAAACTGCGAGAGCTTATAAGGCATAAAGAAAAGGTGATGAGTATTTCATTATTTGGAGAGGTTTGCTGATTTGTAATCCTCACCTGTAATTTTAAGAAACAAGTAGTCTTAAAGATTGCCCTCTCCATCACTAATGATCCTAGAAGGAAGTATTACAGAATAGTCTCAGAATCTCAGTGTAAGAATTCTAGTAAAACTAGAATCCTGCTGTAATATACCACATAAGAGATTATTATTGCATGAAAAAAGGACTTCAGAAATATTCTCTTTATGCAGAAATCTCTCTAATTCACTGTGCTTGCCATCTAAGTGGATCAAGACTCAGCTTTTTCTCCTAAACCAACACTGTCTAGAAGGCAAGAATGATTTCCTACCCACACCACACACACCAGCAGTAAAGCATGCCTCCTTCTTTTATGAAAGTATAACATGACATTGTGAACCCTAGGGATTGAAGAGTAAACTAAGAAAAGACTTCTGGAGTACTTTGTTCATCTACCTAGACAAGAACAGGAAGCCATTTCGAATGGCCTTAGTCCCTACAAAATAAGTTATGTACCATCCAGGACTTGGACTCTAGATCTCATTGATTCAACTTAATATGGCTTTCACTGGTGAAATCTCCCACTCATCTTGGCTCGAGGGCTGATTGAGGAATACCTCAGAGTTATCTATGCCTTCTACTTAACCAACAATTCCATGAATAATACTTGTGAGTTGAGTTTTCATTATACGGCATTTTAGATGAAACAGGGATCCCTGGTATTATGGATTGAATATTTGTTTCCCCCCCAAATTCATGTGTTGAAATCCTAACCCCCAATACATGATATTAAGAGGCGGATCCCATCATGAATGGGATCCTTGCCCTTAGGAAGCAGGCTCGGGAGAGCTCTCGCACTCTCTTTTGGCCACGTGGGGACAGAATGTGAAGATGGCAGCCTGCAATCTGGAAGAGAGTCCTCACCGGAGATCAGCCATGTTGGCACCCAGATCTCAGATTTCTAGCCTCCAGGACTAGGACAAATAAATGTTTGCTGTGTAAGCCACTTGGTCTATTGTCCTTTCTGATGGCAGCCTGAGCTGACTCAGACACCTAGGAGTTGAGGTCTATAAGCAGAGAAGGGGTATATTCTGGTACATTTCGACTCCCTCATATAAATTCTGGTACATTTAGACTCCCTTCAATAAACACATTCTTTCACAAATTCTCATTGAACATGTACTAATTGCTAGGCCCCCCACTAGGAGCTGGGGATATAACCTACCTTTAAGGACTCTGCTGGAGAATTGACAGGTAGGGATGGCAGAGACTCCAGTCAACACTGCCTGTGCTCTGCCAGGGTGTGCAGAGCCGGGTAGCAGCAGGGAGCTGGTGGGAGGAGAGGGAAGGCTGCTCTGCCCGAACTGGGGCAGGGATCCTGCATCTCTCACAATGATAGGGACCACTAAAAGAGTCCAGTGACAAAGTGAGAATGCCTCACTCACATGCTGTCCCCACATCAATCATTGTTCCCTCTCATCCAATAAATAGGTCTTGCCAAAGTTACTACTACACTGCGAAATATAATGTACTAGCAGCAACAGAGCCTACAGATCTGCTTCATACACTTACAGATTCTAAGAGGGCATCCTGAGGCCCTGAGGCTGACTTTTTAACAATGCTGTTATTATTTGATCAACAGCTATTTGTAAAGAGGGAGATAGATAGATACATACATACATACATACGTAGATACATATGTAGATACATACATTCACAGATACCTATGTAGATACGTACATACACGGATACACAGATACCTAGATAGATAGATAGATGATAGATAGATAGATAGATACATAGATAGAGGTTCATGATAGATGATAGACAGACAGACAGACAGACAGACAGACAGACAGATAGTATATGTGTACACTGTTCCCTGAGGCTATGTTTATATTTCAAAAGGCTGAATTCGAAATACCGAGTAACAAAAATCATAAATGAATTCTCATCTTAAGTGTGTCCAAACTTTTACAGGGTGAAGCAATTTTCTCTTTTAGTTTCCCAAAGCAATGTGGTCTCGGAATTTAGTGCTGGCTTCTAAGAGATTTTGGGGCCTCACTCCGTATGTCTTGAATTGATGTCTATGGAATTTGGTCCCTACATTCATATTTTAATGTAAGAATACTAAACTTTGAGAATCTGCTCTTAAGCCTGAAAAGCCTTTGACAAGGGCTGGGAGATGGGCTCAAGTCCCCTGAGGCCTGAAATACAGAGGCAACCACTGACCACACCCCGTGCTCCCACTCCTCCAAGGACACCAGAGAACTGCAGCCACGGGCCTGGCTTTGACTGTGAACTGGCAGGAAGGTCTACAGATAGCCTTTCTGATTTCCTCAGACTCTAAGGCACTCGATTTTTTCTGTTTGTTTTAAAATATTTTAAAACCCTCACTTACAGTTGCAATTGGAGGTAATCGAGAACCATGTAAGTATTAATATAAGGAAACTGAACTGATAGATGTATCAAACCAAAAGCAATAACACACACACACACCTTTAAGAAAAGCAGTGAAAAGGGTATTGGGATATATTTTAAGGCCTTAGAGTGAAGAGCAACACGAAGGTAAGTGTCAAAAGACAAAATGACAACAGATTTAGTTTAATGAGCTCATTGGCTTTGATTTGTGACTGTGGAATCCAGCAACACCTCATTCTATAAAACAGAATGGGTGTTCCAATGAACGAAGCAGAGGAGTTCAGCTTCATAAGCAGAAAAGAGCTGAGGAGAGCAGACATAGAGAACAAAAAGCAACTGGTCATTTATTTCAAAGTTAACCTCCTTAGGGCTAAAGGTTGACTGGAATCTTCTGGTTTGGGGGAAAACTGGCCCATTTCAAAGTTCCCTTTGATGAGTGCCACTTAGCACCAGCAACTCCGTTCTGATTTGGTTTGATCTGCTGGATCCCAGTCCAGCAGCTCAGTCCCATAAACTTTGTTCAACACAAGTAAAATGAAAAGCGGAGTATTCTACTGCTCAAAACCACCTCAACCCAGAAAGGAGCTTCTGTGAGAATCACAAGGCTTGGAAATTCAGGTTGGAGGGTGGGATTTGCGGGTGAGGGATGAAGTGGAACAGAAACAAGAAGCCGGAGACAAGAATGAAAATGGTGAGATGGCCTCCCCTGTGTGGCTTCTCACAGCTGGGTCTGGCTAGGCCCGCGGTCCCCCAGCTGAATCCCTTCCACCCTACGAAGGGCTGACAAGGGAGAGGAAATGGGCGAAAAAGACGGGAGGAAGGGTAAATGGAGCAGCGCTGAGTTCAGAGGGGACCAACTACTGGGGACTCTGAGAGTTGGAAGCCCACCCAGCCATTCTCAGATCCCCTCTTTAAACCTGTTCACAACCTCGGCAGCCACATCCCCTCAGGGGAAAGCTGTGTTAAAACTGGAGGTGTAAGATGAAGACAGCAGCCTAATTAAGCAGATCACAATCTGTTCCTGCCTGGGGTCACCAGTAGGCCACTTCTAACCTTTCTGTTCAATGAGTCTGGGGCTCTGGGGAGGCGGGGCAGGAAGGCAGGAACTAAACACTTCAGATAACCCATGGCCACTCTAGTTCTCCACTCACATGTTAATTAGGAAACCACTGGAATTATAGCTTTGCCGGCTCTTAAATCAGTTTCCACGCTTAAAAGTTCCTGAAATTCTGACACCAGCGCCCTAAGATGGAAGGCCTCTTAGCCAGGCTGGCCCAGGGGTGTTCAAATGGGCACCCGTCAAGCAGCTGAGATTTATATAAATGAGGGCATTGTGTGTTCAAAAGGAGATTGGTATGTTTGATCTCGGCTGTTATTGATTTACCTTTTCCACATGATAACATTCATTAAGTCAGATAAGTAAATGTTGATGTGTTCCCTTTCAATTGTCAACAGCTAAAACATAGAGCAACCATCACACCCGGTGTAACTTCCATCCATTATCAGTGGGCTGAGACCAAAACTGTTTTCCTACCTCACCATTACCTGAGATGACTTATGACTCCCGAAACAAGAAACTGCTCTTATTTTTCTTGACTTTCTGTGTGCATGGGTTTGCATTGCAGTTCAAAGGAACAAAAGCAATAGAGAAAGGAAGCTACACCACGACAGTTTCTCAAGGTGTTTAACGCTGGACTCTACCAGCTAATTAAAATCTACACTGACCTACAGGGAGGTTTCTTTTCAGTGAGCCCTTATTTATTTAAAACCCTAAAACTGCGGACCCTCAATAATTTGGAAAACCAGTAACTTTTTATAACAACCCCATGCCTAAAGTAACTTCATTGTAACTGAATAGTGTTGATGATTCAGTCAGTTGAATTTCTATCTAGTAATTTTTTAAAAATCAGGCTGAGATGTTTTAATGATGTTTAATGTCACTGCTGTTTTTTTCCATTAAGTACACAAGTACTAATGGCTGATTAAATTAGGGCATCCATTTTTTGACACAACTACAAGGTAGCATCAGGTGGGACCTGGCATGCAGGGCTATCTGGTCTACCATCTGACTGCAGGCTCTGGAAGGAGGCTGGAGATGACTTGGCTCGCCCATGAACTCTATTGCTTTTGTAGAACCTTATACAAATGGGTAGACGCTTTCATTATTCACAAACACTATTTATTTTAGAAATGAGAAAACTGTTAATCAGATAAATTAGAGATTACCCAAATCAGTCTCTTTTAAAGAACCCTCCCTCAATATCTGTGCTGTGTTCTCTATTGGACTCCTACAGCTTTGGAATTTTCCTCTGCATTACACTTACGACCATTACATTGATAATATCTTTTCTTCATCAGTTCCCCCCAGAGAATATCCATTCCTGGAGATAAGCTGCCTTGTATTATTCATGTTTGTATCTCCAGCGCCTAAATTAGTACCTGTTACCAATATATGCTGAAGTGAACTGGGAGCTAGAACAAAAACAACAAAAAGAAAACAGGTCTTCTGATGATATGGGACCTAAAAAGAAGGGTTCCTCTAGTGGAAAACAATAAAATTTTCCCCGATTCCATCTCCAGTGAGATACATGCAGACCACAAATTAGTATGACAATGTAAAGCAAGCCCGTGATGCCCATCTTTCCAGCAGAGACCAAAATTAGCTGAGGGGAAAAGGGCTTCAGGCAAAGGGTCCGAGAGTAAGTGGAGAAGAGCAGGTAGATTGCTCAACTAACTCTCTTTATTCTACTTCATCTCCACAAATTGCAACTTGCAATCTAGAAATATACATGTACTTCTTCGTAGGCCCTGTCTTTTGTGAGGTAAGCTAAAGAATAAAGAGAATAAAACTGAATTGCAAGATTTAGGTTCTATATTAGGTTCTGCCACAAATATGCTCTGTGACTTCTGGAAAGTCACTTCATTCCTTAAGGCCTCAATGTCCTTAAGTGTATAAGGAAGACTTTTGATCATGCCCTTCGATGCACACCTACTGGGCTCCTCCATCCTCCAGGCCCCGTTGAGATCCTAGATACAGAAGTGACCAAAACAAACAAAGCCCCTGCCTTCAGGGAGCTCACCTTCTAGGGAAAACACAATATGAAGTAAATAGCTAAGATTTTGAGATGTGATGAGTACCATAAGGATAAATAAAGGAAAGCATTTGCAAAATTAAAAATAAACTTCCTCGGCTAATCCATGAATCAAGTGATTCTGTGAAAAGAAATATTATATGTAGAATCACAAAAAGTTAAAAATGGAAAGTACCTTATTATCTGTTCCACACAATTTTATAATTGAGGACTATGAGGTAGGTAGGTAAGTAGATGAGTGGATGGGTGGGTGGATGGATGGATGGATGGATGGATGGGGGATGAATGAATAAATGATGGATGGAATGGATGGATGATGGATGGAATGGATGGATGATGGATGGATGGAGGATACATGCATAAATAATGGATGGATGATGGATAGATGGTGAGTAGATAATTAGATAGATAGATAGAATGGGTTGAAGTCATGCTACGTATACAGGCTTATATCCAAATTTTCCCTCTCCACAATGGCACATGAGCATTTCCTATCACTCTCACATGGTCAGCAGTGGAGTCCTGAGCTTGTACCTGTGCATTGCAGCTGATCTTTAGTCCTTCTTCCCAGCTTCACCATCAGTGGACTAGTGACTTCATGCTGGTTACTTAAAATCAGCCATCGTAGGGTATTTACACCATAAAAATTTCCAAATGCTACACACCAGGCCTTTTTCCTTTCTTTCATTTTTTTTGGAGATTCAGTTGTTTAATATTTAACAGCATTCCACTGATGGTAAGGTCACTTCTAACTCTATACTGCTGGGATTGGGCAGCATTTGATCTATGAAGAGAGTTAGTATCTCTTCCAAGAACTATCATAATTGTAGTGACTGAGGGGCAACTAGGAAAAAAAAAAAAGAAAGAAAGAAAAACTCTCATCCCTAAACGGATGCTGAAAAAGGCTGCTTGTTTTAGTCTTGAGCTAAAGTGAGCATTTGTCCACTTCAACAAAAGCTTCCTTCAGTCTCTAGAACTTGTCTAGTAGTTAGTGTGAGAATCCTTTTTTTAGTTTCATTTAATTGCCTCCAGCTGTAGGAATCCCTTTTGCCTCTGATCTATTGAAACCAGCCTTTTGGTTAACCTCCCTGTTTATTTAAACTCCAAACCCACAGACTGTTTTCCTTCTTTTGTTTTATCTTCTGTTTCAGAAACCAGGAAGGTGGGATGGAGGAGGTAGCCCAGGGGCTGTGGGGGCAGCTCTGGGAGCTCAGAGGGCCCACTGGGCAAGTGCCAGGGCTTATTTTGCTGCGGGGGGTGGGGTGTGAAAAACTTTTAGGTTCAACTGTTAGGTGAGATGACTGCTCCAGCAGCTCCAGCGAGACAGGGAAGCCCAGAAACGGAAGGCCATGGTGCTATTGGCATTTTGATGCTACATGACTTTGAAGAACTCACCTGCCCCATTATTAAGCTTGGATTTCTCTTATTGATACAGAAGTGCTGGGAAGGGAAGAGTGGTCCCTTTAAATGATTCAGAAGTGAGGAAGGGGAGTGCTGGGTAGAGGAGGGCATGGTCCCTGGCTAGGGCTCCAACCCCATGGACCTAGGTGAGGACAGGCATTTCCTGCTCAAATGTTGCATTTCCCAAGACCACCCTGGGCTGCCACACCCCCATCCAGCCTATAAAACCCCCCAAGACCCTGGCAGGCAGACACACAGGTGGCTGGATGTCTAGAAGAGCACATCAGCAGAGGAACACACAGGCAGCTGGACGTCAAGAGGAACACACTGACTGACAGGCAGCAGCACCCTGGCAGCCCACTGACCGCAGAACTAGCAGCGTTTGGCTGGGGCAGTCAGAAGAGAGGCCAGGCAGCTGAGTGGCCCGACTCCCGGGGAAAACCTTCCCACTCTACCCACTTCTGACTTCCCCCGAGCTACCTCCACTCAATAAAGCCTTGCACTCATCCTCCAAGCCCAGGTGGAATCTGATTCTTCTGGTTCACCAAGGCAAGAACCCAGGATAGAGAAAGCCCTCTATCCTTGTGACAAGGTAGAGGGTCTAACTGAGCTGGTTAACACAAGCTGCCTACGGACAGCTAAACTACAAGAGCACCCTGTAACACACACCCACTGGGGTTCAGGAGCTGTAAACGTTCACCCCTAGTTCACCTCTAGACACTGCCATGGGGTCGGAGCCCCACAGCCTGCCCTTCTGTATGCTCCCCTAGAGGTTTGAGCAGCAGGGTGCTGAAGAAGTGAGCCACTCCCCTGTCGCACACACTGCTAGGGGGAAAAGGGAACTTTTCCTGTTACAACTGGGGACCTTGCCCGTGATCCTGGGAGGTGAATGTGAACGAATGCAAAACTGTCGGGCCTGTCTCTCTTCCAAAACCCTGCCACTTCTCTTTCCTGCAGGTAAGAGGCTCTATTTCCCTTCACGGAGTTTCAAAAACTCCACCCTAACTGGGCTGGTCAAGACCCCTCGATTTTGGGGGACAAGGGAACTTTTCCCATTTCATTATGAGAATAACGGGGATGGAATTAGACAAAATTGGCTCATTTGGCTCTAAAGTTCTATGCTTCTCAAGAGGGCAACACAACTTTCCTAATTCAAGGCTCCGCTTATGCAGTGAGGGATGGCCACCAATCCCACCACAGTCCTGTGAGCCCCAGGAAGCACTGCATTCACACAATCATGTTACCATTTCAGGAAAGCCACTGCTGTAGAATGACCAGAACCTAAAAGAGAACCCAAATATAAGTGGATGGTGTTTCTTAATAAAAGAAACAGAGACAGCAGAACCAAGTCCGTAATGATGTGCAGTCTCTCCAGCCCTCTTTGCAAGCGCATATCCTTCATATTACCTCTAAATGCCAATGCAGTTACATGTGTTCTCATATCTCACAGATGGAAACAGAACATTAGAAGGACTCTAGGTTGCTACAGTCAGGCATAATAAGACATGCAGACATAAAAAGAGACAGAGTTTGACCATGTGAACAGAGGGAAAAAGATGAAAGTAAAAAACTGGCGCATAAAGCCAAATCCTGAGGCCATTTAGTTTAGGGAACAAGAGTCCTCTGAAGCTGACTGCGTCATAGTGCAATCGATTTTAATAATGAGTAGTTCAGAAATAGCTTAAAATGACCCACATACATTTAATAAATAGGAAATTTTGTTTTTTAAAAATTATAGCTATATTTCAATATGATCTCCTTAGCTAACTTGTCTGTGGCACTCACTGTGTTAGACCAAGGACTTTACATATTAACTCATTTAATTCAGAAAATGACTCTATGAATCAGTTACTGTCGTTATCCCCATTTTGTAGATGAGGAAACTGAGGCACAAAGACATTAAGGAACTTACTCAAGATCACACAGCAAGTAAGTGGCAGCATTCAGATGAATGCCATACTATGCCACCAGGTGAAGGGAGGCGGGTTTACTCCAGAAAGCAGTCTCCACAGTAGCACTATGACCGACCCCCAACCACACACTCACACACACTCACACACTCTCACACTCAGTCTCTCTCACACACACACATGCACTGACACACAGAAACTCATTTTCACACACGCACTCACACACTCACAGTCATACACATGCTCACACACTAACACACTCATATACAGTCTCACACACACTCACACACACATGCATACTCATACACACATACATACACACATTAAATACACATAGTTGTCCTTTTTCCCAGCACCATGATGGCTCGACATTGTTTACTCCTTCAGTTGCTTGTTAGTTGCCTTTCTTTCCTCCTGGAATGTAAACTCCATGAAGACAGCGCCCAGGAAGGCTTGTTCAGGATCCTGTCCTGTGCATTGATCAGGTACAGCTGGGGGACATGCCCTGTCCCTGAGCAGCTGCCATGAAGCCTAGGTCAACTACCTCATTTCCCTGCCTGTAGAGAGCACCTACTTGTGGAAGATAAACTTTTCTACTTTTTAAAGGGATCTAATTTTTCTGAGAAAAAACAAAAGCCAGACTAAAAGATAAGACCAAAAGATAATCTATCTCCACAGGTGTATGAAGACTGACAAATACACTTCATGAGGGAAGGTTCCATAGATTTGCTTTGCATCTGAGAGGAGTAAGTGAGATGCTGCAAGTTTGACTTAGCTTCCTGCATTGTAGACGTAGCTCCGTTTATCGACATAACCAGGCAATAAACAGGGTGACTTGCTACCCAGTTAGGCTGCCATGATTCCATATGGTGCTAAATTGATCTCAGCTCTGAGTTTGTGGATTGAGGAAAAGAGTGGAACAAGGTACTTACTGCTCTTCCAGATATTACCTAGAAAAGCCCATGCTTTTCTAAAGGGTAGCCAACATGTAGATGAAAAATATACCCATAATATTTTAGGCATTAATTCTCAGCCTGGTGGCACAGTATGGCAAGAGGCACACCAGCCTGGGAAAGCAGCAAGCCTGTATTTGAATCCTGGCTTTAGCACTTGCCAGCTCTGAAATTCATTCCCATCATCTGTATCATGGGACTGAGGATACTGACTTGACAGTTTTGTTGGGATGATTAAATTAAGTAAAATACTGCTTGTGACATTCTTGGGACACCCAAGAATAGGATTTTGGTAAATGTGGGTCTACCTTCTTCCAGCCACAGTAAATTTTGTAGCTAAGGATAAATCTTTCCAAAAAAACCCCACTTGCTAGTAGATACACTTTTCGATCCATAAACAAGTTTTAAAGTTTAGAATATTTTACAAGTTACTTTAAATCTAAATGCCCATGAATCTTACTCCTGGAGAAGACAGGAGTCCTGCATTTGTACACATGGGTGACTTCTGTTTGGAGAGCTGCCGGGTGCCCTCAAGGCCTGGGGCATGCTGGCTGTCTGAGAGACCCTTCCAGGGACAGGGTCCTGTGTGCAGGCCAGGGGTACACTACTGGAGGGAGCCCCAGCTGCTTCAGCAACTCTGGAGAGAATGCATCAGCTCCATTACACTTGGCTCAGGGTATTTGAGGGCCCCAGGGAAAGCACACTTCCCCACCTGAGTGGTGGATAGGGACCTCACGCGCCAGCCATCAGCCCGGAAATTCTTCCTGGGCCCTGCTCCCTAATATCCAAGGCCAGCCCTTGATGAAGCCAGTAAGCAAGTGGCATATTTCTTCCAGATCTCTCTATTTATTTAACTCTTACATCATTTACTGCAGCTTGTAGCCCCTTTTGTGCTCAGAATCTTACACCAGGCTCGCACCTCTCTGCTTTCAAAATTATACTTATTTTTTTCTCCATTAAGCTGACATTTTTAGCTTGATGTTATAAAGTTTTTCATTAGGCTAATTGATTCTAAGATACCTGTGGCTTCTAGCCATTTAAAAGCAATGTCTGCCTGTTAAAAGAGAACCTTGTTATCTGTAAAATTATATCATTAATGATAGAAATTCTGGCAGCAAAAAGTGAAATTAAGAATTTTCACACGATCTGGAATGGATTGTTTTGCAAGGAGACGTGTTGGAACCTCTTAACACCCTCCACGTGGGGGACCACCTACTCCTCTGTTGTCCATGGTTTTGGCACTGCATCTCCTCTGGGTTCCCCACTTTCGCCCCCCACCCCTCACTAAGAGCATACACAGAGAATCACCTGCACACATGCATACACACACACACACACACACACACACACACACACACACACGCCATCTGTGGTGTCATATGGTCAGCAGGTACCCCCAGCAAATGGGTTTACCTATTACCTATTATGTGGTGAGAGACGATGCACAGTATCACTCTGCTCTTCTTTGGATTTTGCTTCTGAAGCAAAATATTTCATCTCCCTACACAAACTGACCTTCAAAAGAAAGCATGAGTTCAGTTTCCTGGCTCTGTGTAGGAGAGGCTCTACTCCTGCAGACAGAGAGGCTTAGCTGAATCGCCCTCCCCAGGGGTGCTGGAATTTTTGCCTGGCCTCCTACCACATATCTTCTTTGTATTCTCTCAAGATCAAAACAAGAGAATCCTTACTGAAAACACTTTGGTGTTTTAGCTATTTTGGCCCATTTTCCCTCCTCTGCACCTCTCTCAGCCAGGCCTGTGGTTTGAGACGAGGGAAGAGGGTGAGAGCTGTTCATCCCTGTGTCACTGGCAGGGTCCTGTCTACCCATGAGGAGCTCGATGGCATCAGTGATGAGGAAGCCCATGTCCTCTGCATAACCTGGCCTGGTGTGAATCACACTGCAGTGACATCCTGCCTACAGAACTCCCTGCAAGCTGCTTCCCAGCCACCCACTCTCAGCCCCACAGAGTCAGCCCTTACAAGGGCCTAGAGTGTCAGGGCCTCCCTGGGGAAAGGAAGCCCCCAGCCTTTGGAGAAGCTTGGGTTTAGGAAGCTATCACCCAATTCAGTAAAAAAAATGAAAGCATCTGTTGTTGGTGGTTTTCTTTCTTTCTTTCTTTCTTTCTTTTTTTTAAAGTAAGAGGAAGAGGAGAAAGAGCTCAGTAATGTGATCCTTTCCTAAACCCCACCCTGCTCTGGTGCAATCAGGTAATATCCATTACACAAGAATTTCAAAGGTTCTTTTTCTGAGACTCTCAGCCACAATGCTGCCCATTGTTTACACTTTAATTAACTTCTGTTTTACTGATTTATTTTTTAAAAAAAGATGAATTAGCCTTATGCTTGGAGTTGAATTATTGCAATTTGAAACTCCTCATACCTTTCCTAAGAACTTCAAAGAACAGCAAAGGTTGTTTATGTGCAGGAAATCAAATTAGCAAAACTATTACAGTGGCTTAATGGCTTAGGGTGGTCAGGTTGATGAGAAACAGTAATTGGAAAGCCTTCCTCCACACCCCCCAGTCTCAATCCGTCTGTTTTAAAGCATCATCAACTGTAAGTAGGTTTGTTGGCTTCTGACTGACTGCTCTTCTGTTTGCCCATGTAAAATTTCATCTATTTCACATGGAAATATTCAAACGAGAGAGAAGAAATGAATTTGGGAGAATGAAAAAAAAAAGTGTCATGAATGAAGACAGTCAGCTGAAAACAAGAAACATATTTGAATGTGTAACGAAAAATAAATTGCATAATTCAACAAAAACAAACGCTGGTCCATTCAGAAATAAAACACCACAGCCTGTGGAATAGGCACTGGAAATCTAAAGAAGGCTGGCTGACCACATTTGAGGCAGCCCGGGAGAGGAATAATTATATTCTAGTGTCAGCACATCCTCTTTCCACAATGGCCATACACATAGAAAATAAATAGTTATTTTGGGCTGTTTTACAGCTGTGGGAAAACTTAAGCACTGAAGACTTAGAAATGTCCCAGTGGAAATCATATCACTGATGAACAGCCTTTTTCAAGTTTGTGTGAATAAGAATTTAACAAGAGGATATATTTATCTGAGCCATAATGATACCTGGTAAGGATTCTAAAGTTATCTAATAGAATAATTAGATATTCAAAAGCCTTTTGCTCTTTATGACCAGAAAATAACTGCATTAACTCTGATGTGAATGATGTACTCGCTCCAGTCAATGGCAATGTCTGTACAGTAGTAGGTGCCAAACCAAACCTTCAAAAGCATCCACACAGCTCTCCCAAACACTCAGGTGGCTAGCTGTAAAAGGGAGTACACCAGAACAGAAAATAAACTTTCTAAGCACCAAAGCATAAATTACCACACTCTAATCCTTAGTTGTTAAAATGAACAGATCCTCCGGAACAAACCTTTTCCTGTAACACTAAAATACGTAATTCGGTGTCTTAGACTTCTATAAAGAGTGGCCAAAATTCAAGCCTTAATAGAGGCGGTCAGACAGCAGTATTCCAGAATCTGATACAGACCTTAAAAAGATTAAGCTATAATAATATTATAGGTTGGTCTCTGTATAATTTAGACTAACATGTGCCTAGAAATCAGACCGAACCTGAAGAATTCTATGTAACGGGCTACAGAAAAATTTCATAAGCTGTTTCTCTTTGTGGCTATAATAAACGGACTGTTAGAACTGAATGTAGGTATTTGAGTTCTAGTCCTGGCTTCCCTCCACTTAGCTGTGTGACCTTGAAAAATTTTATACAAACCTCACTATCTTCATCTATAAAGTAGGTACAAAAAACACATCTGCCTTCTTCTTGGGGCAGTTGTGAAGACCAAGTGAAAGGACATTGTAAATTAAGCATTGTACACATGTCAGGGTTTTGTGTTTATAAGGAATTTGGGTTGGTAAAGATATTTTTAAATTGTTCTGCTATTCAATTTGCATTTTGAAGATTAATTGTATAGGGGATTAAGAAAAATATATTTTTTTGGAACAGAAAATCTTTTGGCAGGCCAAATATTTGGGGGCTTATCTTACAGTTATTTTAAAGACTAAATTTTTTAATATTGATATTTACATAATGTGCAGGCATCAGAAGTGTATGGAAGAAAGTGGCAGCTGGTATCAAGGAGGTTTAATGATTCACTGTTGCTTTTTCTGTATGTTTGAACCTGAATAAGGTCAGACTTTTTCAGAAAATTTTAGGAAGAGCAAATTTAGAGACTCGGATAGTATTTTATAATTGACCTTTTAGTTGCGAAAAAAATTTAAACTCATGCAAAATAAAATAGCAAGTACAGGTTTTAAAATAAAGTATTAACCTAGAAAACACACTTAGTAAAACAGACAACGACTTTTAAAAGTTAGCATGCAGGTTATGGCTAATTCTAGACAAAAATTTAATTACGTGCTTTAACAAATAATAAAATTAAGAGTGGATTCACATTGTTAAAGAGGATCGAAGTGTTTTTCAGTCCAAGAGCACCTTATTAAAAAGTAGAAAGTGGTGTCATCTTCATTTACCAAATGAATAACACAGGTCTGGCAGATTTCAGAAATTTGCCCTGAGTTACATGGTTAGCGTAACTTTGAGTCCAAAGTTGTTTCTTGTTTTGTTTTTAACTTCTGCTGCCTTTTCAGCTATCAATTTTCAAATGGAAGGAAACAAGGCCATTTGATGCACTCAAGTATTATTATATATTTTTTACTTCCTCATATAGTTCAGTGAGAGAGCATTTTGAAAACTATCTCAAACCAAAATGAAACTACCATATGTAAAACACCTGGAATTAGGGTCCAGGTCTCATTATAGGTAGCTAAGGTGAACATGTACCCCTCTGTTAAAGACTATCTGAGAGTTTAATTCATATGATGAGAGAGGGAGAGAAAGAGAGAGGAGTCTCACTCTGTCACCCAGGCTGAGTTGAAGTGCAGTGGCGTGATCTTGGCTCACTGCAACCTCTGCTTCCTGGGCTCAAGCAATCCCCACACCTCAGCCTCCCGAGTAGCTGGGACCACAGTTCTGCACCACCACACCCAGCTAATTTTTGTATTTTTCATAGAGATGGAGTTTCATTATGTTGTCCAGGCTGGTCTCAAATTCCTGGTCTCAAGTGATCCACCCACCTCTGCCTCCCAAAGTGCTGGGATTACAGGCGTGAGCTACTGCCACATCTCTTTTAAAACTGAGAAGATTTGGGTCCACAGGGGAAAATGTCTAGACAATAGAGAGACAATTGAAAATAATTTTCAGCTGGGAGGCAAGTAGTGTGGACCAGTAACTATGGAAGGATGGCAATAGGCACAGGCTGGCCTGAGCCCAGAAACCAGCTGAGCTAGATGAAGCACACTTCCTGCAGCAAAGTGAAGGACCTAGGCCAAAAACAGGTCGCTAGTACTTAGGAGGTTGCACGTTTAGCAGGACTAAGAGAGCTTTGCAAGATAGCTCTTAAGTGAACTAATTTGCTGTTACACTGAGTAAGAGAATAGAGTCAGAAACAATGACCATTCCAACTCTCATTATCGTTAAGGCTATTTGACAGTGTTGCACAGGAGGTGCCCTAGTATCAATGTTTGCATCCAACAGAGGGTCCCTCTTCAATTTAGACCTCATTCAGGAACGGACCCATCTGATCAAAAAGCAGATGGGAAAAGGGAAAAATACAATCCTTCTCATGCTTCTCAGAATGGCAAAGACATCAAAAGCAAAATGCTGTTGGGCCAAGCTTGCATACACCAGACACAAAACACTGAAAGGGCAGCCGGCTGAGACCCCACTACAGGGAGGAACATACACAGCCTCAGGTGTTGACCAGCACATGCTACAGGGAAAAGCCATTTCCAAATGTGCATATCATCAAGATTTGAAATTCAAGTGAACTCAGAGAAATAAAAGACCATCCACAAAGCATGATGAGGGCTTTGAAACTAGAAAGTAACATCCCAGTGGGAGAAAAACAATTTGAGCAGAAATTAGGTCACCCACAAAGCATAGCCTTGACCAAATCAAAAGGAAATCTATCTCTTAACCAAATGTGGCTAAAGGTTTTCACAATTTGTTTGGTGAGACTAAACAAATCAGTATTTGTTTATCCCTAACTATACCTAGGTTACCAGTATAGTTATTGCTATGGTGTTTTCTTGGCTTATCCTTCGTTTATCTGGACAGATCATATAGTACCTAGTTAAAAGACCCGTCCGGCTTTTGTTGTAGATAGATATTGATACTATGTCACTCAAGGTCTGGCAAAACCAGATCAGCAATACCTGAGGCTACACAAAACCCAACTCTTTTCTATTCTATGAACTTCTTCATACAGATGGATGGATGGACGGACGGACAGATGGACGGATGGATGGATGGATAGATGAATGGGTAAGTGGATGAATGGGTAAGTGGATGAATGGGTGGGTGGGTGGGTGGATGGATGGATGGATGGATGGGTTGATGGGTGGGTGACTGGATGGGTGAGTGAGTGGATGGATGGATGACTGAGTGGGTGGATGGATGGATGAATGAGCATATAGATGGATGCATGGCTGGGTGAAGGGGTAGAGAGAAGGGCAGTTAGATGAATAGTAGAATTAGGAACTCGTACAAAACCACATGTAGGGAACAGATTTGTTTTAAATTTGGGGATTGATGGGATGATACATCTAATACCAATTAAGTCACTGAGAGACAATTTGGCACTAGGTTTTATCACAAAGGGCAGAGATGTAGTAGAATTAGATGACAGAATGGGAGAGAAGATGGACAGGGAAGATAAGCATCATTTTTGTCTGCACTTCAACCGTTGACTTATTTTCCAGTTTTTATTTAGCCCATGTTCACATGTTTAATGTGTCTGTGATTGATTCTGTTTCCTTCACATCACTTTCAAACTATAAACTCACAGGTGGCAGGGCCAGGTCTCTATGCATTGTCTCCATAAAGGAACTAGTACAAAACCACATGTAGGGAACATATTTGTTTTAAATTTGGGGATTGATGGGATGATACATCTAATACCAATTAAGTCACTGAGAGACAATTTGGCACTAGGTTTTATCACAAAGGGCAGAGATGTAGATTCTAAAGTAAAATTTCAATGTAAAATTACTACCAGAAGGCAAGTTTATGGAAGCAAGAAATATCAATAAGAACTAGAGACATAAATAATCCTAAAAAACTCAACCAGAATATGGTGACAAGAGCTTACCTCCATATTCCCTCAAATAGCCCCTCTTGAAATGAAACCATATAAAATAAGAAATTCAGCACAACCAAAATAATAACAGATGTACTTTAAGTGTTCCCAGACCTAAGCACCTTGGAAAGCTGAGGTCACATTGATTAAAAATGATTCCTCTCTTAAACAACTTTGACACATCGTCTTGGCTTTAGTAGTGAGCAAAGGAGGTCTTTGAAGAAATCTATACCAGGCCAGCTCAGCTCTATCATACATGGTTTTTCTGACCTTTTATTTTTATATCACTGTTCCAATTTTGTCAAGATCATGGAGGTTTTCAAGTGATGGTTCATTGTAATGACAGTTTAAAGCAAAGCAGGTCTGTGTGGGAGCCTGTACTTTAGAAAGACAGCATTGTGGGTTTCAGTCAGCCCCACTGCTTACCGGGAATTCCTCTCGGGGTGGTGCGTGGTTTAGAATGCTAGCACGTGGATTCTCAGTAGAAACCCTCTGTCCAACCCCAATAGCAGTTTACTTCATTAACATCAGAAACTGCAGTTTACTTCATTAACATCAGAAGGTCAATTCTACCTGTTATCACGTCCAGAGATGGTGAGTGCTCCATACACATTATTTACTGATTTTTATGCACCTGACGGCTTAGGAAATGTCTTGAAATCCACTTTAGAATGTTGCTGAAATGATTTCAGTGCTGGGGGAGGAGCAATGGGAAGACCTGTGGGTAATCAAAGGCCTGGGATCGAAAGCCACACCTGGGCAGTGTGGTCCCAAGGTGACAAGGGATTCTAGCCAAGCAGGAACGGGTTTGTGCAGAGGGCTGCCTTTGTCTAGGAATTCTGTCTTAGGCTTCTTATTAACACTCTTGCTGTCCATCATCATGTGACCTGACAGAGATGGAATCTCCCACATCTGGGGACAGCATCCCCCAACATCAGTTCACAGGAAGCCTGTCCCGCAAAGCATACAGTGCACACCTGCCTGAAAATACTGACTGCCAATATTTTGGCAAGGAATGGAATTCTTGTGTTTTTGTTTGCTTGGTTGGCTTTTTCTCTCCTAGAAGTCCCTGTAGGAATAATTAAACCAAAAGTTATTTAATCAATCAAGCATTTAATTAATCAAAGGTATCATGTGTATTTTTTTCTAATAGACTGGATAGTCATGTGTTGTATTGCAAGTGCTCAACAGCCTTTTAAGTTGCTAGGCTCTTCAGGCACAGACACTATTCTTCCAGAAGCCGGCCCTGTCCTAGGACTGTGGGTCGCACCTGCACATGTGCGTATTGTGTGCATAATCACTGAGCTCAACCAATAGCCATGGAGCTTTGTAACAGTTGACCTGGGGCACATATGTGTGTGTGTGTTTGTGTGTCCACACTCCCAAAGGAGTAATGGCAGCACATCCAGGAGACAATCAGAAGGTACATCATCCATTAGTTTAAGTTCCACTGAGAAATCAGCACCCTCAAAAGGCCACACTGCAGGCAGTTACCATGAGTGTCAGTACCAAAGTCCTTAGCTTGCATCACCAAGTTGCTCAATAAATCCTTACAAGTGTTGAGGTTTTGCTCTGATATAGGAGCTCAAACGAGAGGATGAGCACAGTGGTTCATGCCTGTAATCCCAACACTTTCAGAGGCCGAGGCTGGGGGATTAATTAATTGAGGCCAGGAGTTTAAGACCAGCCTGCACAACATAGCGAAAACATTTTTTTAAAAAATTAGCCAGGCACGGTGGCATGCACCTGTAGTCCTCACTACTCGGGAGGCAGAGGCAGGAGGATTGCTTGAGTCCAGGAGTTCAAGGCTGCAATGAGCTATGATTGCACCACTGCACTTCAGCCTGGGCAACAGAGGGATACCTCATCTCTATTAAAACCAAAAAAAAAAAAAGAAAGAAAAAGAAAAAGAACTCAGACAGAGGCTGTGTCTTCTTCATGCTTCAATCTGCTTCAGAGTCAGGCTGGCCGGAGGTCCAGCAGCATCAGTGTCACCTGCAGAATTGCTAGAAACGCAAAGTCAGGGCTCCACCTCAGGACTCCTGGAACAGGGTCCATATTCTCACAAGATACTCAGGGGTATGTTGGGATGTTGAAATTTGAGCCTCACTGCTCTAAAGTAGACAAATAGGACTCAGGATTTGGGAGCCACCTGGCAAATCCCAGAGACACGACTCCACCTGTCATCCCTGGAGCCGAGAACCAGCAGAAGTTATGGAGTGCTTACGGCAGCTTCCTCACCCACTCCTTTGCTAGTCCCAGTTTTCACAGGGCAGAGAGATGCTCCCTGGGTTGCCAGCATATTCCAGGGCTCAGACTGGAGAGAAAGTAGAATGAGAGGTGGCTCTCAAAGGTTTGCAAAGTCTTCTCAGGCTGAGCAATGAAGTGTGCCTTCTTCCTGTATCTTCCACAAACCCACATACAGTTAAGAAGTTGAAGAAAAAAAGAGGAACAAGGGACAGTTGAAGCAAGCCTACTGAAGTGTCCGATGAGATATATTTTTAGGTTTCTGGACAGAGGCTCAGGTCAAAAGGAGTCTGATGAACCTGAACATCATTGATTAAATCATTCACTCATTCACTTGATATTAATCAAGTAGCTACCCTATGGGAGGCCATGTTTCAGGTGCTGTTGTGCCAGCACCATCCCTGATACAAGGCTGGACATCCCCAACATGAAAACAGGGTCCCCAGAGACACCACCTGCTACACAGAGTTTCCCTCCAAGTTGGAATCCTCTCAGGAAAGGCTGGGCCAGGTACAATAGGCTGTTTCTCCCAGCAAGGTCAAGGAGTCATCGGGGTGACTGGTTTTCAAAGCGGAGCCTGATCCACCCCTGGGGAAATGCCCTTGCTGTCTACTGCTATCTGTTTAAAAGGTGGCTCCTTAAAGGGTTAACATCATCCTCAGTGCTACTCTCAGATCCTACGCACAAAGAATATTTAAAGCACATCTCCTCCACTGCTATTTATCCACACGCATTCCCCACCCCAGCCTAATCACATTCCTACTTCAGTCTATTCATAAAAATGTTGGTGTAACAAATGGCTATTTAAAGTCCTCCTTCGGGAGCAGATGCCTCTTTGCCCTACAGGCTCCTTGAAAGTAGGCACCTGTCTGAGCCCCCCGGTCGGCCTGCCAGTTTGTCTTGTTCATTATTTCTTAGTTCAGCGAATTACCTTACTTCATGAGGCAAGAAAAATTCCTGGCACTCTCTCTCATTATTAAGAATGATTTCTTTTTATCCTTAATCCCAATGCCCAAACACTCAGTTGCCCATGGCAGGAGCTAATGTGTGTGCATACCTGAGATAAGGGCCAGTCCTCTTGGCCTTTTTATTAGGACATTATGTTAGATGGCTCTTCTCCCTTCAGTGCTTCGATACAATTTCATTCCATGTGAATAGGGGTGGTTCTCCAGAAACCCCAGCCCTAGTGAGACACACGTTCAGATTTTATGAGGTAGGTGCTGAATTTGGCTCATTCCCACTGGGACAAGGATTCAAGGGCAGCCTTTCAGAGCACATGGCTTTCTCTTTATGTCGCATAGGTTACAATGCAGACTGCAAGGACCACAGTCTTCAGAGTAGGATTTTCCTCCTATCTGAATAGACATATTTGCAATCATTTCCAAATGACACTGTAGAAATTACATATTTATCAAATAATCCCGCTTGGTTGGTTGTACCAATTTGTACATCCTGAAATCATTTCTATAACAACATGGAAAAGGGAAGGCTCCTCTTTGGACTATGAGAACTAGGAATTCATTTCTAGTCTATTGAGACTTTCCAAACTAAATTTTTTTTCTTTCCTATATCAAATAAAGTGATTTTTGTGATCATTTTCATGTAAACAATTTGCATAACAAGAGCCAACATTTAAACACTGTGTCTGTGCAGTTGTCTCCTGGCATAGACCGAGAATGTATGAACTCAACATGTTTGCCCCTCTGTCATTCAATGATGTGAGTGGACAAGGTTGGGATGGAGACTGGAAGTAGAATTTTCCAGAAGGTGTTGCATATAAATGTGGAAGTATATATATATCCTCATTATAATGGGTGAATTTTATAGCTATGTCTACATGTGCAAATTAGTCTATTTTAAAGTGCTATACTATTACCAACATAAGGCAGCCGGAGTGGAGATGAGTCCCAAGATTAATTAAAAGGAACTGGCTATTTAAGAAAGTAAAATAACTGTATCTAAGTTGGAGAAAGATGAGTTTGGAAGCAGACAAACGAGTGAACCAAGGGAGAAATGGCTGCTGGCTCTCTGCCTGCAAGTCTTTAGAGGATGTGAGTGCCACTGAGGAAAAAGGGGACTGTTGTTTCTCATGGCACCAGGAGGCTGTGACTCGGAGAAAAGAATGAGATTAAAACTTTAAAAGCAAAGACAAACCTTCAGCTCCAGAAGAACGTTTCCTAGAGATTGCTCTAAGCTGAAGAAAATTATCCCAAGGAAGTATACTCATAGGATTGTAAAGGGAAAGTCTTAGAAAACCTGAACTCATATGTCTCAAGCAAAGGACTTGATGTCCCAGTAAGATGTGTGTTGCCCTGAATTTCCACTTTCTGCCTAATGTGAGGCTCCTGGACATGGGAGAGAATCACGTGCTGCCATGCCTCTACCCCAGTGTGCTGTAACATGGCCCAAATGCTGCTCAGCTTCCCGCATCTATGCAGCTCAGAGCTGCAGTGGGTCTGTGTGTGAGTGTTGGCACTAACCCAGCAGGCTCCAGCCTTGAGGGATGTTTCCCAGGATGTGCAGCCACCAAAGAGGCCCCATGAGAGGATGATTCCCTATACCTCTGAGTACCTTCACCCTAGAGAGCCCTGTTGTCCCATCCGTCTGTGGGGAAATGAGTGCTCCCTACCTCAGTACCTTGCCTGGGGAGTTACCTGTGATGGGCTCTGTGACAGACAGCAGAAACACGGTTCTGATCATCAGACAGCCTCCTCAGTGGTTCTTGAGCTGAGAACACAGCCACTGCTTGATAAGGACTGAAGGTACCACAAGCAATGCAGACTTCACTGCCGCATTAGCTGCCTCTGACCAGTTTTCTCAAGGTAACTGTACCAAGAACACAGAAGGACCCTATTCACCCTAAATCCATGCATTTTTGCAACTGCTTCTCCCACCTGGAACTGCAAAAGAAGCAAAGGTCCAGCGAGAAGCACCCAATGCATAATCCTTCTCTAGTGACCCATAAGGAAGTGGAAGCCATGGGGCTTACAGACTCACCATACCAGGCCAAGAATTGGCGTGGCTTGCAGAGCTCAAATCAGATCCACATCCATTCCTGGCCCGTCACACCCACATGCATGCTACCTGAATCCTGCACTACATCCCTCAGAAGCTTTAAAGCTCATGGTGAGCTTTAAAACCAACTCCCAGACCCCATTCCTAGAGACACTGGATTGAATCAGTACCCCAAACTAGAATGTGCAGACACTCAGAGCCACTAGGGCAGCTTATGGCCATCAGATGCTTATATGCCAGAAGGTCTAGAGATGACAGCCAAATCTTGACTAGTCCGTATGTCAAGGGATCCCAGGTACTAATTTTCATAGAGAAACTGCCACAGAGGATGCCACATACTCTGCCTACTTGATTTCTATTTGGAGGGCAGCACTTTGTAATGAAAATCATGTTGGGCCTGAATCCCCAGGTGTCGCTTTAGTCACCGGAAGTTCCTAAGCCTGCTTCTTTACCTGTGAAATGGACTAATACTTATGCAAAAGGTTCACTCCAAGAGTTAAATAATAGACAGCATATACAAATGCTTGGTAGCCAATAGGTTAGCTGGATGTTGGTCAACTGAAAGCATATTAAGTAAAAGAGAGGTGTCAGATACTTAGAAGGTTCAGTTTTTACACTTTGGTTTTGTTTGGTTCATTTATTGCCCATGTGTGAGGTCAAGGTCAAGCTGATAGGTTCCTGATTCCATTGCCCCTGGCTGGAATGTCAGCATCACCAGGGCAACAGTTGTGTCTGTTTTTTTCATGTGCCTAGAACAATGCCTAGAACATTACAGACACTCGATAAATATTTTCTGAATAAATTAATATGAAGGTAGACAAGTGACTTTGCCTCCCTGCATCTGGTCACTGTCCAGAGGAATCTGAGCAGTGTCCTGGCATCGTGCCTGGAGGACACTGACCATGGGGATGCCTGTGATGCTCAGACACAGCCCCGCATGCAGAAGATCCTAGAGAGGCGGCCCAGAAGCACCTCTCAAGTGCCAGGCAGTGCTTTAAGGCTTCTGGAAACATCCGATGTCATTATTTAGGGGGAGATTATGAAACAAAGCAATCTTAATTTTCTTCTATTGCTCTTTTTTGGGGCTTAGAGCAAAGTTAGTTCAAATATTTTTAAGCGGCTCTCATCACATAGGACTAAATGCCTTCAGATCCTTCTGTGATTCTGCAGGGAAGTTGTTTCCGGCTCTGTCATTTTCTGAGAAAAATTACTTGCCAAGGTGTCTCTTGCAGTGTGTGGCCTGGTATTCCAGGTGGGATCTGGTCTGAGCAGAGCAGTAACATCTGCCCTTAGACGGTGCCAGGCCCACTCGAAAACGCTTTATACAAAATCCCTCAATGAATCATCTGAGCAACCTACAGGGGGGTGGGTACTGCCATTATCTACTCGTGCTCTCACTTTAGAGAAGTAAGAACTGAGGCACAGAGGGTTGTTTGTTGTTTTTCATTCTTTTGGTCGAGGCCACACAGCTCCTAAGTGGCAGAGCTGCAATAGGACTGTTAAAAGAAAAACCTTAGCCAAATTAAATTTAACAGAGTTTAATTGAGCAAAGAACGATTCACGAATTGGGCAGCCTCTTGAACCAGAACAGGCTCAGAGAGACTCCAGCACAGCTGCGTGGTGGAAGGAGATTTACAGACAGAAAAAGGGGAGTGATGTGCAGAAAACAGAACGGAAGCACACAAACAGCTGGAATGGTTACAGCTCAGCGTTTGCCTTATTGGAAAACGGTTTGAACAACTGGATGCCTCTGATTGGCCAGAATTCAGTGATTGGCACAAGCGTAGGTTACAGTTTGTTTAAACCTCCATGTAGGTTATAATTCACTATATACAGAGAAATCTTTAGACTGAACTTTAAATATGTAAGGAGGTAGCTTTAGGCTAAACTTGCTTTAAGAGAACCCAGGCCATCTGGTGCCATGATCATGCACTTATTACTGAAATCCGCCTTCTCCCCACAGAACAGGACTGCTACCTCCCCTACTCTGGGTACTGCATGCCTATCCGTGAGGCTACATCACATCTTGGAAAGACAGAATGGCTTGGTTTAAAACACAAGACAGAGACTTTAAGAAACATCACATTGCCTCTCATTTGCTGTCTGTAGTACCTTGGCCAAGGGACTGGACTTCTCTGAGCCTCAGTTACCTCATCTGTAAAATGAAGATGGCATCCACCCTGCAAGGTGGGCCTACACAGTGAACAGGAGAAAATGCTCATGCTGTGCATGGTGCTCAGCGATGGGACAGTGTTGCTGTGGGCAGAAACAAGGAAACATGAGTAGAGCGCCCAGCTCAGCTGCTGGGCCCTGACAGTAGCTGCTTAATTCAGGTTCACCCTCTCCCCTTCTCCTCTTTCACTCTTGACTCATTTACCCAACAGGTTTTGTTTTGTTTTGTTTTGTTTTTGAGACGGAGTCTTGCTCTGTTGCTCAGGCTGGAGTGCAATGGCACGATCTCAGTTCACTGCAACCTCTGCCTCCCGGGTTCGAGCAATTCTCCTGCCTCATCCTCCTAAGTAGCTGGGATTAAAGGCACCTGCCACCACATCTGGCTAATTTTTGTATTTCTAGTAGAGATGGGGTTTCACCCATGTTGGCCAGACTGGTCTCAAACTCCTAACCACAGGTGATCCACCCACCTTGGCCTCCCAAAGTGCTGGGATTATAGGCGTGAGCCACCGCATCCAGCCCCAACAGGCTTTGCTAAGTAGTCTGCTGAAAAATATTCGCCCCATTAGGCAATTAAGCATTTATATTTTAAGACCTAAGTCTGGTTCTTATTTTTGTTTTCATTAAATTTTGCTCTGTGAGAATCAGCATTCCAACTTGTCATACTCTTCTTAGGTTCTTATTCATGGATCCAGCATAAAACTATACCTGAAACTTCATGCCATCTGCAGATTTGAGAATTCTACTGCTCATAGCTTTATTTATTCTACAAATTGTTTTAAAACCTTGAAAAATACATTGCTCACTGCTATATCAAACAGTATACAGCATCTTCTCCATTTCCAATGAATATAAAGTTGGCCATTATAAATTATTGGTTATGTTTTAGGGGTCAAGTGTCTGGTTCCCCAATCAGATTATACACTTGCTGGAGCCGCAGAAAAGTCTGTATGCATTCTCTGGTTTCACAGAGTACGTAATCAATACAATTTTACAGAACCAAGTATACACTGCTAACCGATTTGCCATTGAGATATCATCATTTGCTAACGACACTGGCCCTTACTTTAATCCGATGACTTTGCCTCTCATGCCTGCATGTCTGTAAGAATACTGTTTTCAACTTTACCCTGAACTCCCAGATCCCACAAAACATGGAAACAGTGCTTGGTACCAGCCAGGAATGTCAGTCTCATCTGCCAGGATATTTGTCTTATGTACCTATCAGCTAATATGCAATCACTCTACCTAGTCTTTCCAGGAACAATCTACCATAGACATCCTTGGAAACGCAAGCTGTTATTTTCACAAAATGTTGACCAAATCTAAACTTTGCAACACTTGCTTTCCAGGATAGTTGCAAAATCTAGTTCTTTTTCATAGGAGGACGTCAGAAGATTGGGAATTCATAAGCAAACAATTATTTCAATAATTGTCACTTCTGCCACGACCGCTGGTGGTAAAACTATTTTGGATAAGCTTGCAATATTAATCGCTCAGTTCCTCACCTATAAAACAAATGTGTTCCATCGTTCTTGCGTCATGGCTTAGAGAAAAAATAGATGATGTGAAAAGTACTTGGTTCCTGAGATGCTGAGGAAAATGCAGGTAGGTTCCGTTAGTACCTACACCTTGCTAATAGACAGTATGTTCTGTTCCACTTCCTAGAATTTAAAAATCCTTTGTATTTTCTGTTCTGATAGGGCCCAGTTTCAACGTAATTTGGATGTTTTTCAGTGAGTCATTACCTGTTGAAACTCGAGGGTGAAAAATGGAAACCTTCACACAATCTCAATTTTGTCAACTCAGATGACATTGCTCTAATTTTTGACATAAAACTTCTTTGGATGCAGTGGTGACAAGAGTGTTTCTTCACAAGCTGGGTCCCAACAATTACTGCTGATGCCAGATGAACCCAGAGAGGGAGCGCAAGAGGTTCTGAAGGCACACCTTTTCATACATCTTTTTATTTGAAGTGGCTGCACGATCCCCCAGCCCACTTAGTAGTCCCCTACCAGTTCTCCTTTTAATTAATAGACTTGTGAATAACCACAACTGCCTTGTGGGACATGCCAAACACTAAACAGATGACTAAGTTGCAGTGGGCAATCTGCTGAACACAGGGTGCCTTAATTTAAACCATACGTGGTGAAAAACGAAGGCACGGCAAACATGCAGCTCAGTGTATATAGCTTTTGGTCTGTTTCAAGTTAAGTAAGTCCCTGGTGTGCAGAAAGTAACATCCATAAAAGCGAAAGCAATGGCTCTGATTTATTACCACCTGTTAGCATGACTCTGACCTGCTTGAATGGGGCAGGCATTATAGTCCAGAAGGAGAATAGGGCTCAGGTCTGGGCAGGAGCCAAGGCCGGTGAGGGTGCAGTAAAGTCCGCTGGGCAGGAGCCCCAGCGAAGACTTCCTGCTGCGTGCCGATGAGCAGGTAACTGCAGATGCCTGTCGCAGGGTGGGCAGCACTCAATGTGCCGCCACTGTCATCTGGCCCAGTTTATGGACAAAATCCATCTCTTGGGGGCTGCAGGGAGGGGCTGGGGTGGCGGGTCGTTCATTAGAACCTGGCCGGAGGGCAGCTCCGATCTGTAAAGGACAGCTGTCTAATTAGATTTGCTTGTGTGTACTGTCTTAGCTTTTACAATGGGAATAGGCTACCCGGCCTTTCTAATTAGATTGTTAAACATAATAGCTGAATGGCACAGCAGTGAAGAATTTGCCCTTCTCTTTGTAAGCACAAAATAGGGCTCAGAAAAGATTCAGGGTTTTTCCAGCCCATTTCCCCCATCATTGTATCTGATGGTAATGAGATGAAGTTTATTTCTTTTTAAAAGCTCCCAAAGGAGCACAGGCCAGGTTGAAGTTCAAACTAAATGTCAAAACACACACAGGCAATACAGTAGCAAACTTCTGTTTTCCTTGGGCCTCTTGTTTCCCCTAATTGGTGCCTTGTTGGTAGTCTCTACCGAGAGACTGAGAATGAAATGGGATTGGAAATTGAATTACCCTGTTATCCCTCAAGGTGGTCTTCAGACCTGGGTTGAGAAAAATGAGTAGAACAGGGTGGGAAAGACTCACTTGCTGAGGCTCTGGGTCCAGTCTCCTGAGTCTCCTAGGAAGCAGCAGGAAGTGGAAAGAAAACCAGGGAACAAAAGAGAGGAGCGAGGAGAAAGACAAGAAGGCAAGGGGAAAGACAGTGGCGCTGGAATGATGTCATCACCCAACCCTGTGGGTCCTGTGGCTTGAAAGCCATTTTCATCCTCATCTTCCCATTGGAAATGACATTTTCTCTTTAAGGTCTGTGGTTCTCCAAGATTCCATCCTGCACCTCATTTCCCAGTTGTCATCCTACAATTGTCATCCTTCCCTGACGTTCATCATCTAGGGAACACTGATCAGACACACAATTCAGGTTTGATATCAAGAGGACCTGCACATAAGTTTTTATTTTTTTTACTGTAAAAGGAAATGTATTTCTCTGTGTCTGCTATGCTCTTTAGAATGTAAAGTGCCAGCATGATGCAACATTATCTTCTGTAGGGTTCATAGAAGTCAACCATCTGATGTCTGAAAAGCCCTCACAGCTTCAGCCACTCACTGAAGTTGTCCTTCTCTTTAGAAAGTGCAGAATAAGAAGATTTTCCTTCTTCTGAGGCAGCCACATCAACACTGTGTCCCCAGAGTCCCACCACCCAACAGACACAAAGTCTCTGCAGCAAGAAAATAATTTTCTTCTTAAATGCATTCAGGAAAGCAAGGAATGACCCCAGCAGGGCAAAGGACAGATTACAACGCTGAGATCACGTTTGCCATTTTTATTCTGTTTTGACATCATCCCAGGGAGATGACTACCTGGTTTTTAGGAATATGAATAATGAAAGCAGGCAATATATTACTCAAAACCAGCAACAATTTAAAAAAGAAAGAATAAATGAGTGGATAAATGAGCAATTGTCCACCTTCCTGAAGCATTTGAGCTGTTATTTTCCTTCTCCTCCTCTTGCTCGTTGGATGCCTTCCCTCTCTGATTGTGATCTTGAGATCTCTTTGCCAAGATTCAGCAGTGACTCCAGAACTCGGCTCTATTTATAGCCCTTTGTTCACTACACAGAGTTCAAACATTCTGTCTGTGCATTTGGGTGGTTCGACTGTGGGGACACACCCTGCACCCAACGAACACTTGGTTCATGGGTTACAAATCATAGCCTACAGGTGCATTTTTGTCTGGCCTGCACATTTATTATTTAAAAATTGGATCCAAATCCCTGGAGCCATGACAAATGTTCTCTGGATTGCCAAGCCTCACCGCCACCTCTGTATTAAGTCTGGCTACTTCCCATGGTCAGTTTATCTGCCCAGGTCCTGAAAGCCTTGAAGGTTAGGACTCCTTTTTGTCTCAGTCACTTTGTCCCACTGTCTGCCCAAACCTTACGACAAATGTATCTGCAGATTCACATGAGTATACCCTCAAAACTTGGTAAATCCTCCTGTGTAGTGATTCCCAGAAAACGTTTATTCTGTCAATCTTTGTAGTTGTTTTATAACTTTCCTTAAAACTCACTTCTTTGAGATGTTGCTAGGCTTTTATTTCCCATACACTCTATATTGAGAAGGATGATCAATGGAGAAATGTGAATGAAAATTCACTAAAACAGAGACAAACACAACTCTATCCCAGCAGGGTGAGCCATACTATGTCTCTCTACATGTTGCTGTGTTTTATTCAGATGATGGGTGCATGGATTGGGTGGGACTGGACCCACTTACCCAGTTCTATGTGATGCCCACCTAGAACAAATGATTACTATGAAGTACATTTTTCTAAAGTGATGAGAATAAATAGCATTGTATGGAAATTGTTTAAAGAAATTAGAATCATCTCTTCCTTATATCATACAAGTTTTAAAAAATTGATCCATAAAATCAGCACAGACCCTGACCCCCGCTCTAAACCTTTAAATAAAAGAACGATGTGCCTGCAACGAAGACACCTGTGCAGAAGTACAGTTGTGCAGTCATGGCAAACCCAAATACTGGTTTTGTTTTGAAATGAGAGATCCCTCTGCATTCTGCTGCTGTGTGATGTTTCTCATTCCATTCTTCATTCTGCACACATGGGTGACTTTAAATCAGTATTCATGGAAACAGCTCTAAAAGGTCCTGAGACTGAGAAGTGGATTATGTCAAGGACTAAAATTACTTGAGAACTGTTTGATCATGCAGATTTTGGAGTATGATCAATTTGACACATGTGTCCATGACATGAGTGTGTGTGCGTTCTGTATTCCTGCAGCAAACATGAGATGTGAGCAGAAGTTGCTCCACACGCTCTATATAATGTTTTATTTAGTTTGGAACAGGTGTTGCAAATAGTGTCTCAAATATTACTAGAAATGCTCCATCACACTCACATTCCTAGCAATCCTTTCCTTTCCTTCTAAAAGCTTATTGACAGCTGATTTTGCTCCTTGAATTTCTAAGAAAATAACTTTCCATCTATATGTGAATGCATCGTTCTCATTTTTCAGGCGTAAGTATCAGATAATGTGGCTGTGTGTGACAAATGGGAGTTGGAACAGAGGACTTAGCAAAAAATTGGAAAAAAAATGCAGGTAAATCTTTCCTTAGACTTACTCTATTTTTTTGTCCAATTCTGGAATGAGTTCTGGAAAAATATTCCTGAAATTAAAACATCATGGGATGAAGTTGGTCTCAGATGACTCAATGTTGTATTTTCCCTCTATCTCCTTTCATTTCGAAAGTAATTTTATAAAAAGAAAAAAAAGAATTAGAGGCTAAAATCCCAAGGATTGGTTTCTTATCAATTCTTGCAGGCATGAAGTCCAGACTTTTACCTAAGTAATGATAAAGGCATTGGAATATGTGATGGCTTGATTAACTCATTTAGAGCGTAAAAAAATGCTATTATGAGACGGGCAAAAAGAACCTCTTTTACCCTTTCCCTTTACGTTATTAGTACAAATAGGACAGCTGAGACCCCACACAAAGACTAGAGAAGACCTGTAACCCCTGTAAGTGTGCAGGCGAACACTGTGACATTAAAGTCCAAGGAAGTTCTTGGCTGGCACTGCCTGATCCTTTTCCTCTCAGTCACTCCCATGGAGCTGCCCAGTGGCGTAGATGCCAAAGCATACTTTTTTCCAATCCCAAAGCATCTCTTCTCTGTAGCCAAACTGACAGGGACAACAGTCATGATATAATCTTACACAGAAAACAGGATGCTGGCAGAAATATGCCTTCTGCAGAGACGACTCTGGGACTTTGAAGTTCCAGCTCCCAGCCTGTTAAAGGTCACACAGTCTCAGAGGGCAACACAACCAAAGGTAGAATACTAAAGTTAAGAACGGCCTTAAGAACCACCAACAGGGCTAGGCACGGTGGCTCACGCCTATAATCCCAGCACTTTGGGAGGCTGAGGCGGGCAGATCACAAGGTCAGGAGTTCGAGACCAGCCTGGCCAATATAGTGAAACCTCATCTCTATTAAAAATACAAAAATTAGCCGTGGTGTGCCCCTGTAGTCCCAGCTACTCTGGAGGCTGAGGCAGGAGAATAGCTTGAACCCAAGAGGTGGAGGTTGCAGTGAGCCAAGATTGCGCCACTGCACTCCAGCCTGGACGGCAGAGAGAGAGACTCTGTCTCAAAAAACAAAAACAAACAAGAACCACCGACAGGGCCAGGTGCGGTGGCTCATGCCTGTAATCCCAGCACTTTGGGAGGCCGAGGCGGGCAGATCACGATGTCAGGAGTTCGAGACCAGCCTGGCCAGCATGGTGAAACCCCTTCTCTACTAAAAATACAAAAATCAGCAGGGCATGGTGGCATATGCCTGTAATCCCAACTACACAGGAGGCTGAGGGATGAGAATCGCTTGAACCTGGGAGCTGAAGATTGCAGTGAGCCAAGATCGCACCACTGCCCTCCAGCCTGGGCAACAGAGTGAGACTCTGTCTCAAAAAAACCCCCAAAAAACAAACAAAAAAACCCACCAACAACTTGTTGGAAGCCAATGGAAAGGAAGTTTATGGTGAACAACAGTACTGTCCTTCACAACAATGCTGTCCTTTCATGCAAAAGGCTTCCTCAGTAGGGGTGCTGTTTTCATCCTGCTCCATCTCACTGCAGTCTTCTTATGGGTCCCCCAAAGTACAATAAGTACGTGTTGTCCCCGCCTTGCAGGGGCAGCCAACTACAGTCCACGAGGTAAGAATGGTTTTTACATTTTTAAATGATCAGCGGAGGGAAACAAAAGTTGAATAATATTTCATGACATGGAAAATTACAAGAAATTCGAATTTCAGGTTTACTAGAACACACCATGGCCATTTTGCATCGTCCAGGTCTGTTTTTCTGCTACAACCGCAAAGTTGAGCCACTGTGACAGAGACCCACAAGGCCGCAAGGCTGACATGTTATTACCTTGACACTTGCAGAAAAGTTTGCAACCTGTGATGTATTCCATTGCCAAGCCACTGGTGAGAATTCCAACACAGCCTTGATTCCCTAACTCTAACCCTCACCCCCACCCTCACCCTAACCCTCTACCCAACAAATATTAAACAAAATACATAGGCAGCCTGTTACCCTGGCAAACAATTCTGCGAGGAAATAGCAATAGGTCAGGAGCTGAGATAAATCCTTCTAGCATATGTGGTGGATATTGGTGCCCCAGGCAAAAAAGTTTGGTGTGCCTCTGTCAGTTACAGAACACTGGGGCTGTACTGTTCAGACCCAGGAGAAAAATCTTTATGTGGTATATTCTTTTTGCCATAATTAAGAAGAGATGCAGAGAGCGATCAGAGCAAGATGCCCCAATAAGAAACAACGCAGATTTTCCTGAGATTTTTCACAGAGATGCCTCAGTAGGTACACATATGGCATTAGCGAAGTCCCCAAAGACAAACGTCATTTACTATTCACTCATTGATTCATGAAACTAATGTACCCATTTGCTCATTCATTCATTCACACAGCAATGTTTTTTTTTTTTGTTTTTTTTTGTTTTTTTTTTTTGAGATGGAGTCTCACTCTCTCGCCCAGGCTCTGGAGTGCAGTGGCGCAATCTCGGCTCACTGCAAGCTTCCCCTCCCGGGTTCACGCCATTCTCCTGCCTCAGCCTCCTGAGTAGCTAGGACTACAGGCACCCGCCACCACGCCTGGCTAATTTTTTGTATTTTTTTTTAGTAGAGACGGGGTTTCACCATGTTAGCCAGGATAATCTTGATCTTCTGACCTCGTGATCAGCCCGCCACAGCCTCCCAAAGTGCTGGGATTACAGGGGTGAGCCACCGCGCCCAGCCACACACAGCAATTATTTTTTATGCACAGGTGATTCATAGATGACATAGTAAGGCCCCTACCAACAAGCAGCTTAGAATCCATTGAAGAAAACAGACACATGAACTAAATAAAATAAAACATAAATATTCCTAAATAGAAGAGCACAAGTGTAACACACCAGAATCAATTCCCTGCTTCTTTGTCTAACAATGAGTTCCTACTCCCTGCCTTCCCCAGGCTAGAAAAAAACTGTCAGACAATACCAGCCTAAAAACAGTGCATTTGAGAATTCAACAACTCAGGGGTAATTCAGAACAAACAAGAAATGTATCAGCAGAAGTCTAGAGAGGGAGAGGCTGGAGGGATGTTCATACGCACACACCACCCCCATCCCCTAGTTCCCCTTCAACAGATGACAGGAAATAAACTTTTTTTTTTCCTTAGCTGCTATGCACATAAAGAATATGCACGCAGAACTAGGCCTCAGGAGAAAAGTCGTGCTGGATCTTAATTCATGGTATGTGGTTAAACATGTTTTCATGTTGTCAAAGATTAAATAATTAGGAGAACATGGTCAAGATCAAAAGGCAGCACCATGTCACAAGCAATTAGGAGGCTCCTACAGCTGTGACAACTAGGGATCCCCACTGGTATGGTACCTGCTTTAGCAAACCATGTGGGCGCAATATGAAGTCTAGATTGGGCACTTCAGGACTTTTCATTTAAATCTCATTAAGAGGGTTGCAATCCAATAAATACAAAAATAACAGCTAAAATGGGTTTTAAGTTCAGCGCAATAGAAGAGGGGAGAAAAAGAAAACGCAAGTCAATTGACTGTAAATGAAAAATCTTTTCTGGAAAAATTCTAAATCGAAATGTATCACACGTCTTAGAACGGATCTCCAACCCAAGATACATGCAAAATCCTTTTTTCAGTGTACGTTCTTATGAAGAAAGACACATGTTGATGATTCAAGTGAGTTTACAAAGGGGCGTGTAAGTCATCATAGCAATATTAAGTGGGTTTTTTGTAGTGATCCTATCTGTTGCTGAATTTTATGGATTAGAATGTCAAAGCGTGAACCAGAGAATCTCACCTGAGAATCCCTCTACAGTAAAATCCTTATGAAAGTGAAATTTGGCAATAGGGAAACAGCACGAGTAAGTCTAAAATGAAACATTAAAATGGTCTGATTTTCAAACCTTAAAGTTAAAATCAAGCTTTAAACATCTCTGTGGTCTGACCTGGGCACCAAACAGTTTTTATCCCCAAGTCTTCCAGAGTGTGTGGGGAAGTCTTCCATTGTCTAGGCTGGGGATCCCATGCAGGAGAGCCACACACGCTGAGAGGAAGAACTGAAGAGAACTGCTAATAGCCCCAGATGTGGCCTAGTCCACACAATCCAAACACGCGGGTCTGCCCTGGACCCAGCTCGGTTCAGGAAATCACAGAATTAAATGGCGATTTTACTCTGTGATTTCTCACCATAAAGCTTCTATTAAAACAATGTTCACATGGTTAGTTTAAAACATTTCTGTGGATAAGAAAAGCCTTGTAACCCCCAGGCCAGATTATTTGTGGATACCACTAAGGTCCCATCAACAGCCCAAATGGCTCTTATCTGCCCTTGGCAGGACCTCATTTGGCCCCATTCTGAGGTCCTCTCATTCCTCCAGCATCCTCCCGGAAGTCACAGAGAAGCTTCTCATCTGCCTTGATATCCTGCACTTGGGTGGGGCTTTGTTCGAGGCATGAACTGCTCTCCTTTTAGACTATCATCTCTAAGAAAATAGCCAGGCAAGGAAGGACTGCCCTCATCCCAGGCCACACGGACTGTGGCCCTCGAATCACAACACAGCTGCTGCTGCCCACTTACATGTGACTGAGTGGCCACTCAGTCCCTGCACTAAACTCAAGGCTGTCGCCTGCTCTGTGGCTCTTCACTGCTCCAGAATTCTCTCCAAGTCCACTGTGCCTCTTTAGACAGCGGCCATGTCCCCAACGCTACCCACTCCCTGACACCTGCCTCTGTCCTCCCCTCCACTTGGCTTGCCTGGCACACCACTGCCTGGGGCTCCCGGTCGCTGTGCTCTGCGTAACCTGCCTTTCCACAACGAGGATACTTCAGCCCCTCATGGCATAGCTTTTAGAGTTTTGTTGTTTTTTGTGAGACAGAGTCTTGCTCTATCGCCCAGGCTGGAGTGAAGTGGTGTGATCTCGTGTCACTGCAGCCTCCGCCTCCTGGGTTCAAGTGATTCTCCCGCCTCAGCCTGAGTAGCTGGGACTACAGGCGTGCGCCAGCATGCCTAACTAATTTTTGTATTTTTAGTAGAGACAGGGTTTTGCCATGTCGCCCAGGCTGGTCTCAAACTCCTGACCTCAGGTGATCCACCTGCCTCGGTCTCCCAAAGTGCTGGGATTATAGGCATGAGGCACTGCACCCAGCCGAAGCTTTTAGTTTTTGCACAACTCTGTCATCCCTACAGTGTGCACTCACCTAAAGGGGCACTGGCTCTGAAACGACTCTCACAGCAGGTGCGGCTCCATCATCCTGCAGGCCCTGCTGTCAGAGAGCCGCTCCTCCCTGCTGGCTCCTCTCCTAGGGTCCCACATGGTGACTGCCTTAATGTCCCCTGACACCTCCACACAGACACAATGGAAACGTCTCCCCTGACCCTGCTTCTGACTCACTCGATGAGTCTGAGATATTGGAGCAGAGATGACCACAAAGTTAATGTAAGCTGACGGTGCGATGTAACCACTGAAAACGCGAATGCTGCCCTAAGCTGAAAACCCTCGTGTATGGCACCCGGATGGAGAGAAGGAAAAGTCCCATGCAGTGCACCGCCCGTGCCCATGCCCACTGCAGGGCGCCATGCTGGGCTCCAGGAAATACACTTTTCGAGGACAATTTGACTATGATTAGTTTAGAAGGAGGTAACTTGAGTGGTGAGGAGCTAAAAGCAAGCCTGTTTAATGAGGGATTGAAGGAACTTGGGGTGTTGACAATGTGGAAATGAAGAGGAAGCATGATTCGGCTCTCAAAGAGGAGAGGGTGCCAAGTCTGTGAAAGATCGCCTGGTTCTGTGTGGCTCAAATGGGAAACCCAGCCAAACATCTATCAAATTCAACGTATTAGCAATGTTTTCTATTCCTTCTCCATCCTTCTCATCTTTACCTAACCCCACTGTTTTTCATTCTTTTTGTTTCTAACAATAAAGCTGCCCATGAAGGGACTCTGTGGCCTGGAAGGTGGTGACCTCCCTCTAACTGGGACTGTTCAGGCACGGGTGGACAGCATCGTGGAAGGGCATTCAGGAAAATACCAGCTTAAATGAGGCAGGAGCCTGGACTGGAAAACTTCTAACATTTGCTCAAGAGCCCAGATCCCAGGACCTGAAGTGTGACTCAGAGCAGCGTCCCCAGGCTGGTGTGCAATGACACATTTCAGAATGTGTCCTTTCCATGGTCTATAAGTATGTTCCTCACAGAAAAATTGGAGACATAGAAAAGAAAATGAACCACTATTAAATGTATTAGGAATGAACACAGTTAGCGGGAGACATGAAGTGTATATGTATTTTTTTCTCTTCATTTTTCATTTACTGTAAATTTTATTAATACAGTCTTCTGACCACCCCACCACCCAGGAGTTTCCTTTTGAATTTGTATCTACTGAAATGCATTGTGTTGAGTATTTTCTTCCAATGCAAGTATTCCTAGGACATTTCAAAGCAGAGTACTCCACGGGCAGGAAGGCAGCATGCGGAAATTCCAAATAAAAATCAGTGAGAAAGGCTTCCTCCCACCAGAAGGTCTTGCATAGGAGACCAAGCAGGGAAGGGAGCCGCAGACACCAGCAGTATGATTTTGCCCATGACCTGGTACTTGTGACACACCTTTAGTAGGTGACAGTGAATGAAATAGCTATTTTTCCATAAATCCAAAATCTTAATCTGAAGATGGTGCAGGTTGGGGGTGCGGATCCACACGGACAGGAAAGAAAGGCGAGTTAGCTCTGAAGAGGTCACACGGCCTCACAGGCTGGGCAGGCTGGACGCTGAGGTGCCCTTCCAGGCATATGGGTACTCCTTGGGGCTAGAATGGGAAGCCCTGCTGGTGTCTGCTCCCATCTGCAGGGCATGGGGGTGTGAGCAGAGAGAAAGAAAGGTGCACAAAGCTCTATGTTGGGGGACGCCAAAGAGAGACAGAGCCCCACACTTCAACCCTCCCCCATGCCTGCTCCCTCCACAGGAACTCAGAAGGCCAGCATCCTAAGGCCACATTACCAGGGGCCCCCGTCAACCACCGGGGTTCCCAAGGAAAAAGGATATGCAGAAACTCACCCTGAGGCCTTTGCTAAATCCTCAGACACAAAGAAAGCTAAATGAGAGACAAAGTTTGGCGGGAGGATCAGAGAAGCCCGGGCTCCGTGGCAGGTTTTCTCTTTCAGGCCATAGGCAGGCCCTGGGCCGGCCCGCCCAGCCCCTGTGGAATGTTCTGGGGGCTCTCTCTGGCCCTGGCTTTCAACTCTGCTTCTGAAGTTAGTCTGAACAATGGAAACAATTCCTTTCCATGATTAAAATCTTCCACCCTCTAAAATTAGTCCCAGGAAATTAGAACACCAGTAATTGTAGGAGGCTACACAATCCCAGCAATTTAAAGTGGAGTCATTTACGGAAATCACCAAAGTCCTTAGAAGATACTTCCTCAGTAGTTTTTGTCCTATAACTTGAGGCCACTAAAGGGTCATCAAAGCTCAATGGCTCTCAGTCTCCCAGTTATTAAATCCATTTCAGTTAAGAGATAACATGGAATTGTTAGCAAAGGGAAATTGTGACATAGTGGTCTTTCCTCATACAAAGGGAGATGGATTAATGTGTACCTTGTGTCTATGTGTGTGTGATTAGAGACTTAAGAATTCAAGATTTTGCCGTTTAAGTTTTCTTTGTCATTATTTTTTATTACAAATAGAAAAACTGGGATCAGATTTTCTCCTTTTCACACTGTCCTTGTTTAAAACCTAATCACAGGAGCGCTTCATATAGCAACACACAAGCATAGGATCAATTCTCCTAGAAGACTCACAATGCAGCCTTGCAAGGGAGCCATGGGTTCACCAGCTCAGTAAACAACGGATCTGCGTTAAGCTTGTATGTGTTTTTCCTGAATGTGCTGCATTTTCTTATGTGAATCTTTTCTGACTTACAAAAAAAAAAAGAGGGCCTGTGAAAAATTGCTGACAAGGGGCAGATGAATGAACCCTGAAACTACATTTCCCATCACTAGAACCGGGAGTGCTTTCACACTGTTTGTGGAGTTGAGGCCAGAAAATGGTGACAGATATTTGTAAGGGGTTCAACCTCGACTCCTTCCATAGAGTTGCAGAAACACACTTCAGAACACCCTTCCCTCTCTCCAATGCCCTGCCATCTCTTCCTCATTCCCCTATTTCCACCCTCACCAATGGTCTCACCTTCTCTTTATAAGATGGTTGTTTCCAAAATGGCAGCTGCAGGACTGAAACCCGAGCACGGTTACCTCACCCAGCCCCAGCCTACCTTTCCAGGGCATTTCCTTGCATGCCCCGGTGGGGGCCATATTGTTCAGTGACTCTAAAACACCCTCTGTGTCCTAAATGTATGCGTTCATCTATCCAACAAATATTACTGAATTTTTTCTTTTTTTTTTTTTCTTTTGAGACAGAGTCTCGCCCTGTTGCCCAGGCTGGAGTGCAATGGCATGATCTCAGCTCACTGCAACCACCACCTCCTGGATTCAAGCGATTCTCCTGCCTCAGCCTCCAGAGTAGCTGGGATTACAGGCATGCGCCACCATGCCCAGCTAATTTTGTGTGTGTGTGTGTGTGTGTGTGTGTATCTTTAGTAGAGATAGGGTTTCACCATGTTGGCCAGGCTGGTCTCGAACTCCTGACCTCGTGATCTGCCCACACTGGCCTCCGAAAGTGCTGGGATTACAGGCGCGAGCCAAGTCTTTGCCCTCCGAGAGCTAATGACCTAGAGGAACGGACACGACCAGCCATCATATTACAGAAGCAAGTATAAAATTACAAATTGTTCCTAGTACCAAAAGCAGAGTGACAAAGTGCTGTGAAAATCCACATAATTGAGTGCTTTTACTCAGTTTGACTGGGCAGGGAGCTTCTTGGGAACACAACAAGCAGCTAAGGTATCAGAGAGGTGTGGACAGCTAAGAAAGGCAGGCAAGCCAACAGTATCCCAGGCAGAGACGATGGCTGCGCAGCCTCCTAGGACGTCCTTCCCAGGCATCCCCGCATGGAGAGCCCTGCTTCACCTTGATGCACCATTTGAATGACACCCTTTAGGAAGCCTTCCTGGATTCTTTCAAACCCCTCCTTCTTTCCTCCAGCCAATCACTGAATAAGTGCATACTAAGCACCTACTGTGTGTCAAGCACTGTGAGGACAGCCGGTGCCATGGGAAGAAGACAAAGCCCTTGCCTGTTTGACAATGGGGGTTGCATTCTTATTCAGGTATGATGAGGCCAACTGCTCAGGAGACAACACCATTGGAGAGTGTGTTACTCAGTTCCCAAGAGGAGGGGGCACTCCAAACCACACAGGGCCACATGGGAACCACCGGCGTCGGGAGCAAGAGGACATGGTGGGGAGGAGGCATTACTGTGGTTTCCACGGGAAGGAACAGGCAGAGCAGGGTGGGCAGGCTTAGGACTGGCTGGTTTGAATAATTTCAGCAGGCCCTGGTATAGGGCTGTTCCTAGTTGTCTGGTCCCTAACCTTGGGGTGATCAGAGGAATAGTGGCCCAGAGGATGGGAGCCTGACGGAGGAGATGTGGGGTGTGGGCTCTGGATTGGTTGGTTTGCAAAAGAGGGTGTGTCTGCAGGCAAGTGTTTTAACACTACAGACACTGGCTCACCCTGGGAGGGGCAGCCTCTCAGGGTCCACAGGACCCAGATGTCAAAGCATCAGAATAAAAAGACACAGTTAATGCATTGCCGTTGAGGTTTAGCTGTTTACCTGGGGAGATGAGCAAGAGATGACCATGCAACACAGCTAAACACACAGCCGGGGCCCCTGGCCAGCCTCCGGAGGGATGGGCTTCTCTGTGGAAGCTTCTCTCCAGCCCTGAGGGGTGGACAGGAGTCAGTCAGGCAAACAGGACATCTAGACAGAGGAAGCACAAAAAACAGAGACAGAGGAGGAGGGGAACAATTCAGAAAATGAAAGAAGCTCAAAATTGATGGAAAGCCCAAGCTTGTGGGAAAAAGCGCCAGTAAGAGAGAAGGCTGTCAGGACCAGATCGTGGAGGGTGGGGTTTAACCCAGAAGCTGGCTTTATCCTGAAGGCAAGAAGAGCCACAGAAGGGTTTGATGGAGGTAAGGGATGTGCCTGGCTTTACATTTTGGATCATTTGGAAGGGAATGAGAATGCCATAAACACGTGTAACTCGCAAGGCCACTGCAACCATCCAGGGGAGAGATAGTAGTGGTGGTAGAGATAGGGAATGAACAGATGTAAGGGATATGAGCAAAGAAAAATAATGGGATTTGCGAGCTCAGGTGAAGGGGCAGGGATGACCCCACCTCTCTGCAGTACCAGCTGGCAGAGCGTTCACTACCACAAGGGATGCCAAGGCAGCCTGGCCCAGCAGACAGCAGGCAGATTTTTTACTCAGATCCCAGAATGAGGGACTCATCCCTTATGGATTGAATTATTTTAGAAAATTTACATTATACCATGAGTGTCCATGGCACTGGGATACTGTTCACCTCAGGACATCATTATAAGGACTGATTGAGATAATGGCTCTGAAAGTGCCGGCTCTGGAAAACACTGCTCATGTGTTTTCTTAATTTCTTGCTACCATTATTATCCTTGTGCGGCCCAGGCCTCTCTATGCCCAGAGCCAGAGTGACTAGCCACGGTATGCATATGGTACACAAAGGAACCAGCGGTCCTCGTGGCCACAAACATCTCTTCTCCCTCTCTTCCTTAGGAGCATTGCACAGCATTCAACAGAATTTATTCTGGACAGTATTTCACCCCACTAAAAGATCATACTCTTCAGGATCCCAGGAATCTAGGTGTAAATTCTGGCCAGTGAGATTTAAGTGCAAATGGATGCAACTTGCGGAAATGTTCCTTGAAAGGAGAAAGTATGACATTTTTCACTACTTTATTCACACTTTTGATCAGAACTCAAATGAGATGGCTGGACTTCTTGCAGCCACTTTGGACTATGAGGAGGAGGTTTTTTACCAAGGCATCAGTCTGCATTCCACATGGCTACAGAGCCACTTCCAAGTCCTGGACTCCTCTGCTCTGAGCAGACTTACCTGAGGAATAAACGTTTTCCTATCCTGTTTAACCTACTGTTTTTCAGGCCTTTGTAACTCACAGATAAATCTAATGTGAAGTGATACATCTGATATCCTAATAAGCCATCAGTATTTTTACCCTAATACAAAGAGTGTGAAGGAGTAAAATAGGTTATGTATTCATGAAGAATGTGATCATAATATCTATACGTTTAAATGAGGGGAAAAATACCTGTTAAACCTTTAAACAATGCATTTCATTTACTTTGTCAGACTCCTCTAAGATGAAATTGAACATTTTCTCAGAAAAATAATACTAAAACAATCTCACTTTTGGTGTAAAAAAAATCAATATCCACTTTTTTAAAACTATCTTTACTACAAGACTAGTTGTAAAAAAAAAAAAAAACTTTAATTCAGCTCCTATTAAAAGTATTTTAGAGCAAAGCTGCTCCAGAGAATTCTCAAAGAAACAGGAAAAACAATATCATTTCTCTGGATCTACTTGAAAGAGAATTGGGTGACTTTTACTTGCCCTTTCTTCTCAAAACAAATTTTTGGACTAAGACAAAGTACGGAAAATTTCTATGAAGTATTTGATACTTCAGTGAATGAGAAAGCAAGCAAGCTGTAAATGCAGTGCAAAGTGTACATTCAGGCTTCAGGGATACAAGAAGTAATAAAAGTTTTGTGTTGTTGTTTTTTGTTTTTAAAGGCAAGCACTCACTTGGAACATTTAAATAAAACTTTAAAGATAGCGAGTAAGACATTGCCATTTTCTAACAAGAAACATTCATCTTCTTGTTAGATGAGGGAACTAAATTGTGTCCCTCAAAATTCAAATGTTTCTGAACCTTAACACCCAGTATATCAGAATAGACCTGTGTCAGGAGACAGGGCCTTTAAAGAGGCGATTAAGGTTAAATGTGGTCATTAGGATGGGCCCTAATCTAATATGACTGCTGTCCTTATAAGATATTAGGGCACAGACACATATAGGATGACCATGCGAGGACACGGGGAGAAGACGGCCATCTATAAGCCAAGGAGAGAGGACACAGAAGAAACCAGCCCTACAGACACCTTGATCTCAGACTTCCAGCCTCCAGAACCTAGAGAAATACATATTTTTTTGCTTCAGCCTTCCAATCGGTGGTACTTTGTTAGGCAGCTCCAGCAAACTAAGACACTACCTCATGCTGTTTCCCATCCTAGCTACAGTTGCAAAGCAACAATTTTTAACCATGCAGACAAGATTCTGGAGCAGAGATGAGAACAGCCGCTGTCTTCAGCAGATGTTCTGCCATGACACCTGCCTAGTCAGTAAGCCCACTGACCACTCTGATTGGATGGTTCAGTTCTTCTCGCCTCTCCTCCAGCGATAGTCACCTGAGTCCTAATTTACATAAAAAACTTGGAGTCATCAAATGGGAATTCCCACTGTCTCCAGACACCATGCTGACAATTCCATTTAATCTGTCCCCCTTTCCAAGGCCTGTGCCTTGGAGTTTGGAACTTTTTCTATTCATTGACTCTTCTGTGTCTTCAGTGCTCACCCCATGGCTATCAAGTGGCTCCTGGTTCCTCCCTGCTCTTTCATAACCAAGCTTCTTTAAAGATCTTGGGAGCTGCCATTTTTGTTTCTTAGCTCCCTCTCACTTCTCAGCCTGCTCCAGCTTGGTCCCTGCCTTCATTGCATAAGTTCACAACTCTTGCAGAGCTTGCAAATAAGCTCCCCGTCGCTGAACCCAGGAGACTTGTCAGTCCATTCCCAGCAGCATCCAATGTGCTTCACGTCCAATGCTTTCTCTCCTTATTGTCCGGTTTCCCCATTTTTCCCGGCCTTTCCTTCTCTGAGTCATTTGCAAAGTCATCATCTTCCACCTGGACATTTAATTCTGAAGGTCCTCAAAGGTTAACTCTATATCTGGGCCCAAAATTCTATCTATGCTGAGATAAGTATCAAATTGAGACCTGCAGTTCAGCCCTTCCTCTGTCATTCATCAGGGAACCACACAGTAACCTCACAGACCGAACCCCTGATTCCTCCTCCAGTCTCCAGCAATAACCCGGGTCCCCTCCCAAGCTTATCCGTTGTCTGAGGTGGTGCCATCTGCAGTGTTTTTGTTATTCGGACAGAAAGCCAGGAGTCAGCCTTAGAACCTTCTTCTCCCTCAGTCTCACCTCCGAACTATGACTAAGTCAGTTTTTCCTCCTACCATTCAGTTTCTTTCAATGCCACAGGGGTCCTTCTCCTGGAACTCCCGGCTTCTCTAGCACAGGCTATTATTCCAGCCCCCTCATCCTGCTCTCTCCCCAAGAAAGAAATGTTTGAACTGCAGCTGCAATGTCACCTTCTCTTCCATCCATCCCCAACACCCTCCCTTCACAATCTGCTCTCTACACCAGGAGTGAAGTCAAAATGCCTGGACTCACCCCTACAGGGTGCCACACCAATAGCCCCAGCTCACCCCCTGACTCTTCTCATGGATGCCGGCAATTTGGGCCCAAAACATGGGAACTTTATTTTACTCTCACAACTCTAGTTATATTGTATCGATTTTAAAGAGCTCTTTATGTAGCAACAGTATTAATTTTCTGTTACAGATTTTGCAAATATTTCCCCGGATTTGGGCTTTTAGGACTGAAATCGCCATATTCTCTATGCTCTTGCAGAAGATGGCAAATAATACATCAGGAGTTACTTCTGATGTTGCGGCCTCCTCAGCAAATGGAAGCACCTGGCCTGCCTCACCTGGTGAATCCACCCAGGATGGACCGTGCCTTGGAGAAAAGGAGAGAAGCTGCAGAACAACCCTCAAAGCCAGCAGCCTGATAAACTACATTTCAGAAACAACCACCTTTTAGAGACAGGGAATAGCAGACATTCTTTGTGATGAACGCACTGAAATTTCAGGCAAGCAGCACTACAGGGTTTCTTAATTGAACTTTTGTGAATTTTATTCAAAGCAGACTATAACAATATGGTTCTTGATTGCTGTTATTTCTCTACCTCGTGAAGAATGTGGGCCTGGTGGAACTGGCTATTGTTCTGCATATCACATGCTTCCCCATTATTTCTCTTTCCATGTCCACACTGAAATTTGGTCGCAGCGAGTGGGCAGGTAAAGGGACCCAATTTTCGAAGAAAATTAATGAAGAGAGAATGGATGGGCGAGCAGCTGCCCTTTCATCCCTGATGGCAGAGTAGGCTCAGGTACAGGTGGGTGGGCTGCTAGGCGTTGCATTGAAATTCCTTTATCATCTCAGCCTTTTCTCCGAAGGCCTTCAAAGAGCTGAGCCCAGCTGCTCCCATCCCCTCGCCTCTGCCTCCTCTACTGATGACAGGACACAGAAAGCATCCCAAAACCTGAAGCCACAGGGGCAGACTGGGGTGGGTGCTGATGTCCTTGTAGAAAGTGAAATGTTGTACTTATATTCAAAGACAGCCATCTTCACACCGGGTGCCTGGGAGGACAGTCACACCAGACATTGCAGCTATCTTATATCATTCCATCTTTTCTGCTCAGCCAATGTACTCATCGCTCATTGTTCAAGACACTCCCAAGTCAAACCAGCAAGCCGAATTTCACTGCTCTGAGTTTAAAATGTATTAACTGCTGTCATGATCTAATAATAAGTATTATATCTGCTTTAAGATCTCCCAGCAGGGGACAAGGGAAGCATACATGGAGCTGGAAATTCACTGATTCTGCTCTTCAAGAAACATCAGGCCTGAAGAAGGGCAGTGGAGCTCTCGGGATGGCTCCTGCAGTTAATGAGCCTGACACTCTTTGCCTTCCATGACAGGACACAGGTTCCCTTCACAGTAAGGCCAGGCAGTGTTGTCTCATAGCCAAGCAGCAGCCTGAAAATCAACCAGAACTTGGAAGTGAACACACACTCTGCCTCTTAATACAGCAGTGACACTTTGCTACTCTGAGCCTCCTTTTCCTCTCTGTAAAATGAGAATAATTCTCACTTTTCCTGAGATTGTATAGAAACTAGAAGAAGCAAAGCATGAAAAAGCAACGGGCAACCTGCAGACCAAACAGTAAGTTAAATTATGCTGTCAGGGAAATTGAAGATAAAATTCTGAACTTACATAACTTAAAGATATTATTTCACCAGAGTGAAATTTACTTCAGGGCTCCTAGAAACATTCATTCTTTCATTTCCAAGTATTTTTGGGGCACTAACTGTATCCCAAGCACTGTTCTGGTACCTGGGGTATCCTAAGTGGAGTGCTAGTACGTGTTCAACAACCAAATGACACTCTGAGAGGAGGCAATGAGGAAGCCCTGATTTGTAGCATTTGCCAGTTACTGTGGTGTAAATTCTTCCACCACAGGCAATGTCCAGCGACCTGTGAGATGCAGAATTAGGAAGAGAATGTGCACCATCAGTTCTGGCTCCAGCCCAGCTCCCAGATGGTTTATTTATGAATCAATAAATAAACCACCCTCAATCCCATCCACCCTCACAGACCTCCCTTTCTGACATTACCCCCTGAAGGTGAAATATGATCCAATACCTCTCCTTCTCCAATTTCTTATAAGTAGGTTTTCAGAGATGTGGTGAACATAAAAGAAGTGATATAGACTTTAAACTATTCCTATTGTCATCATGACATTGTTTTTTTTTTTTCTTCCCAAAGCAAAATAAAACATGGGCTCCTGCCCAAACTTTACTTACATACAAGGGACTAAAGCTTATTTAAAAACAAAAACCCAGCCAAAAAAAAAAAATTGCACTTCTCCAAAACTATAAATGACTTACTCTCTTTGCTTTGGTCTTACCCAAAGCAAAGGGGATCCCGCACAGAATGAGGGAGAATCCACCATGGTTTCTTCCTCTTGGGGACCACTGAACTGTGGAATAAGCTGTCCCCACTCAGTGGAGGCAGAGGCCAAAAGAGAATGTGAGCTTTGCAGGTGCTTTGCTTTTCTTGAGCCTTTGCAGATACATAACACAATGCATAGGCCTTCCAGCATAATCTTCCCATTGTTACGGTGTGTGGGGATGACAGAGAGTAAAAGGCCAAGGATAGTAAATTTGAGAATTCCCAGGGTATAGCTCTACAACTGTACTAAATATTTCCTGGACTTTCTTTTTTAATACAAAGCAGTAAAACTGGGGGAGAAAATGAATAGGACGAACTTTTTGCCAATTTGGGAATTTGCAGCTTTCTGTATTTGCCACTCTCCACTTTACAAAACTAGGCCTGGTCCCCTGTGGCTAAAGATTCAAGGCAGTGCCTGGGCCATGCCAGGCCTCCTGCGTGTAGGAACAAGCAGGCCTACAACCTCTTGTAAGACCTTTCTGGGCAAACACAGGGTGGGTCCCAAAGCAACCATTTTTGACTCGTATTTTGCCATAATCCTCCTGTTTTACTTGGGCTTATATATATATATATTTTTTAACCTAACTTGATTATTCCATTATACTCAACCTGCAATGAACTCCTTTCGTCACACGGTGGCTTGTGGCGTCAGTCTGTGAATGTGCCAATCACAGTGAGATGAAACACGCTATGCCAGGTGCAGATTTGATGAGTAAACAAAGGAAAACCAGAAAACACAATGCACCTATGTCTACTGCCAAAGACCTGGGATAATCTAGTAGAGCCTCAATCACCCCTTTTCCTCCCATGATATCTTATGCTAATTGAAGACCAGCATAGGTAGCAGTAGCCTCTCAGCTGCGCTAGCAGGCACCCATTGACCACATCCATTCTCAGGGAGTTTTGCATGGTCAGCAAGAGCCTGAGGTGGTGGAGTTGGACAGGCTGGACTCAAATTCTGACCCCTTATTGACTTGCTTTGTAAACTTGGGCCAGTTGCTGGGGAAGATTCAATAAATTATTGTGTAAAGCATATCATCCAGAACAGTGTCTGGCACTGAATATGTACTATGGATATGTTAACTACTGTGGGGAAGATTGTGGAAGATTTTGAAATAGGCCTAAAGGATTTTTGGATAGCCCTCAATGGAATGCTACTATTACAAGGATTATTCGATTCTATAGGGTGTGCACATCTGCTTGGTTGCTTTTCTTTGACTAGGCTACTTTACAACTCTGCTAAACGCAAGTTGATTTGTAGAAAACTCTTAGTTATACAAACAATTCCTGCCTGTAGACATACATACTGTGTCTCATCTCCTGGTAGTCAATTCTGTGTCACCCTGTGGATGGGGACCAGTTTTGCCAGGTTACATCCATTTGTAAATTCATTTCAGCAATCCCTGTCTGACTATAAGGAATATAGTTCTTTGAGTTGTCTTATGAACCAATTGTAATATTATCATATTGGTTTCTTCATTAATTTACACATTAAATGCAGTTTTTGACTTGTGCTGATTGTATATTTGCCTGAGAATCATGATCTTATCCTCTTTTAAAGTTTATCCTTTAACACCATCATCACCATCACCATTTTTATTTATTCATCATTCACTCAACAGGTATTGTTGAGTCACCACCAAGTACTAGACACCATAAGCTCCTTCAATTCCTACAACACCTCAGAAGCTGTGCAGAAGCTGGAATTTGACATTTAAAAGCCTCTATTTATCTCATAATATTTTAGGCATAAATGTTTCTTTAAAGGTTTGGTACTAACCACATTGTTCAGATACAGGCATAGCCGCTGAGTATTCCTCTAACAATCAGAAAGGGCTGTCCCTTTTTTTTCAAAAATGTACACAGAGTACAGAAATACACAATCTGTTTCACCATCACTTCACTTTTTCTACCCTCAGTATTTTTTTAACCAAGTGCCCATTTTTACAGCCCACACTGACCAGTAGGGAAGATACCTCTCTACTGTGCAGAAATCTTCTAAAAGGACCTAGCACCTAAAAGAGCATATTGAGAATATTAAATTGCTTTTACATAACAGAGTCCTACCAGGGGGTCACTAGGCCATTTGATCTCACAGATTTCAAGCATGTGAGTTAAAAGAAAACGCACACCCCAGGAGACGCAGTGCCAGTGGACTCCGTGATAGCTTTGATTCCCTTGTCAACTCGGATTTCACAGGTGAGCTAAAGTTAATCCAAACTTGCTTTTGCCACCCAAGTTCATCATAATGGGAAAACCGGGGCGGTGGAGGGGGGCTGGGGAGAGGAACTGGCCTGAGGGCGGGCCTTCCACCACCAAGAGTATGGCCTTACTCTGAGGGGATCTTTGTGGTTTGCCATCATCTGAAAGAAATCAGCTGATCCAGCAGTTCCCAGAGTTACAGACCATGTCCCACAGGGAAGATGCAGAGGGCCCGGATACAGGCACTGCAGCCTGAGAAAGGTTCAGGTGGGACATTGCTTTCAGACATCCTCCTCAACACATCTCAACCTTCAGGACTGTAAACGCTCATCCTGGTGGGGTTATTTTAAATCAAAGGCCAGCATGCCCACAGCTGCACAAGTAAGGAATGCCGAAGAAAATAAATACTAGTTAGAGGGTGATTTAATGCAGTTAGCTGCAGTGGGTGGAGGCTGGAGGCAGTAGCTTTTAACAAGTTTTATTTGAAAGACTAACTCGGTGTGGTTGTCACGACAGTTGTGTTTGTGGCCGGGCTTGCCTTGCTGACAGATGGAAACCTGGCAGCCTTTCCTAATTCATGCAGACGCTCTACAGGAGTGACCCGGCTAAGTAATGCCAACGTTAACCTTACACAAACCGTTCTCCTCTTGTTAATAAACAGAACATTTTAGGGCTGTTCTGGTCAAAACACTAGCAGAAATATTCAGCTTTTCCTCCCTTTTCATCTCTGTTTGCCCTCTGAGAATTCATTTAAAAAGAAAAATGCTTCTGCAGAGAATCACTGCCTGAAAAAAAAAGAAAAAGAAAAGGGAATGTTTTGCAGACATCCTCATCTTTGCAAATGCCCTCTCTAGTCATCAAGTCCCCTACAACATTAGGATCTCCAGAAAAGGAAGATAAACCAGCGGGACACCTAAGTGGCAGTTTAGTATTTAGGAAAGCCAGCGTTAGAAGAAAATACACTCCCGTCATTCACTCTGGAAGATCAGTTTCAGAAAACTGCTTTGCAGTTCAAAAACAAACAAAAATGCCCTGTGGAAAAAAAGCTCAGTATTTCATATTTGAGCACCAAGTGTGCTTTTAAGGAAGCAAAACTTCTTGAACTTTGCTGTATTTTAAAAGAGAACATCATGACACATGCAGACATACACCCAAACAGAATCAGCCAGCCAGCAGTGGAAATAGAGGAGGGAACACCCAGGAACAGTTCTGGGAACTCCTGGTACAACCGTATGCAAATCATTTCACAGGCGTGCTGGCAGGCTGAGTTCCCAGAGTAAATGATTTTCATTTCTGTATCGGCACTATCTTCGCACCAAGGTAACTGACCACCTGTCTGGGGAACACAGACAGGTGGGGTCAGATCTTTGTTAACCCTCTATTATTATAAGAGGTAAAACCATCACAGAACATTGTGTATACATTGTAAATGAATCTCCGTGGGTAGATAATAATCGTTTTTTTTTTTTTTTTTCATTTTTAAAATAGTTTTGGGTAATTTGCAGAATGACAATACAACCCATTGGAACAAATGACTTTCCAAATAGTTTTCAAGTACTCCACCTATATTTTCAAAGACCAAATAGCTGCGCCCAAAGAATCTGGTGATTTTAACCATTTCTCAAGATGAAACTTGTGAAGGATTTCTCCTTCAGCACAGTTGACATCTCGGGCCAGCTAACCTGCAAATAAAAAGATTTCCTGGGAAATCTATCAGTGGGTGTTGCTTTTTAAATAAATCACAAAAGAAAAATTACTCTAGCAAAAGGGAGGGGGGTCAATTACTCTTAATTCCACATATGGTTTAAAGTATTTCTAAATATTTGCCAACAAAAATAAAGACCGAGTTATAGCGAAGGCACTTTTTACTAATATCATCTGCACTTGGTGATTCGTCTCCTTCCCTGCTCCACCTTTTCATAATGCTGTATATCCACTGGCAGGAGGTCGGCCCGTATGGGGATTGATGGGCTTGGGCTGGCTCTGGCTCTGGGACATGAGAATTCTTGCAACCTAATTTGATTTACATTTTTTTAAAGTCTGCTTAATGTATGGCACCTCTGGGGATCCCAGCAGATCAGGCGAGGGGTAAGGAGAGAGCATATATGCTCCTGACTCCCTCTCTGTAAGGGTCACCTGTGGTTGGCCCAATCTCAAGATGAGTAACTTCTCTTCTGAAATTACCCTCCTTCCAGTAAATGCTGCCCCTCTTTCCTTTGGATCTGGGGTTGATCATAGGCCTGCCTTCTCTGGAAACATGCACTGCATTGCACTTCATGGTTTCCCCATACCTGCCCATGCTTTGTAAATATCTTTTTATGAAATCATCCTCAAATTATCCTAGCCTGAGTATGCCACCTGTTTCCTGCAGGGACCTTGCTTGGTGCTCAGCCCTGTGTAACAGTGATTCCTAACCTGGGCTCCCTGAATTCCCTCCCCTGAGCCATCTACTGGTAGAAGTCTATCTCAGCATAAGTCTCTTTTATAATTCTTTGTCATTTATATTATGTATTTAAAAATATTTTCCCATGAAGGGGGTCCATGGGCATTACCAGATTGGCAAAGGAGTCCATAGTATTAAAAAAATGGTGGAACAAAGTGAGCAGACACCTATTTTGCTCTCTTCTCACCTGCTCTGTATTGAAGGTAGTATATAATGGAATTCACTGATCCCTATGGGGAAAATGTCAGAGACTCCTGTCTCCTTCACATATGCTTCCTCTTAGTAAGCCTCTAGCATAAGCCCCTCATTTTACCCCAAGGTAAAGCTTTCAAACTGGTTGAAAGGGTGAAGGTTTGAGAATTATTTTCTTAGATATCAAGAGAAGTAAGTAGATTCTACTTCCCTTGAAAGAAGGTCTGGCCATCTCTTTTTACTTGGTTCTCTTTTTCTGTCCCTGTCTCAGTCTCTCTTTTTTGTTTCTCTTGGTGTGTATGCGCACGTGCACATATGTTTGGATGAAGAAGTACATAGTCTGGCCTGGGCAACTCCTCCAATCCAAGGAAGCAAGACTGATGAGTCCTCATATTTTTTTCTCTTTTGCTTGAATCTGTTCATCCAAGAAACCTGGAGACTTTAGGCCTGGTGGTGGATCTCCTCTTTGGAGAGACCTGGCCACCTCTTTTGCCTTTTACAGTGTTCTCTTCTCTGATATGGCTAAGTCAGGTGGACCTAGGAAGCAACATCCTGTTTTCCCAAATCCTTCCCCCTACCGAGAAGAGTCTTTGTATGTACATATGCATGTATTTATTTATTTATTTTAGTGACAGGGTCTCACTTTGTAACCCAGGCTGGAGTGCAATGGCGTGATTGACCTGAGTGGCCATGAGCTACCGTGTCCAGCCACCAACCGAGAAGAGTCTTGATAAATTGCAGCCATTTCCTTTTTCTGATTTGGATCAAACCGTCTTGCTCACTGATCTCCTCTGGCTTTCTCATGGGCAGATCTACTCTCATTTTTCTGGGCAGTGGACTGGAAAGATGGGGACAAGGCCAGCTCATGGGTGACTGTAGGCAGACTAGCACCTGTGCACTGTTAGTGTTCATTCGGAAGGACTGCTGAATATCATTCTCCATGGAATTTCACCTAGCCTACTAGAGTTTGTAACCTAGGGGCTAAAGGCACTGTTAGTATGAAAAGTTAAATTATTTTGCTTTTTTCTCTGTACAGGGACCTGGTTTGATGAGGTAAATTATCAAGGGGAATGTTCAGTATTTCAGGATTCTCTTGCCAAATACAACCAAAATATTACACTTACATTTTCATCTTTATAAGCATTTGATTCAGGATGTTTGCACTCTATATTGTTAAGAATCCATCATTCTTGATCAAGTAATTAACACTAAAGAAGATGAACTAAAAGTGGTAGTATATAAAGTAAGTTAAAATTGCAAATCAGGACAAGAAAGTTTTCACAGACAAGATGATGTGGAAACAAAAAAGCAATACCTCAAGTGTCAGAACCTGATTGTGTAGAATTAGGGCTGAGTCTTTTAATTGGCAGCCAACGAATAAGAGTAGGTAATATACAAGATGAGGAACTGTCAATGACAAACCAGTCTGTGACTGAAAACTGAATTTGTGGCTAGCAAGAGTTTTAAAGAAAAAATGCAAAAAGCATAAAAGAGTTACATAAAATCGATAACTATCCCAGAGGCAATGGAAAAACTAAGCATATAATATACTGGATAGGGTAAAGATAATTTGACAGTTGAAGGCCAACTAGAAGGAGAAACAGAAGACATCTAAATGCATCAAAATATGCAACATACCTGACATCGCAGAGCAAATCCCACAAGCCTGTATTGACAGGCTTGATTTGCACAAAGCAAGCATGGCCAAAGTTTATTTTAATTTTCTTTGTTAAAAAATTGCCCTTCCTCCTTATCTTTGGCTTACATAGCGTGAAAATATTTGTTAAAGGTTGAGGATTTTAAAAAGACTAACCTACTGCCAATTGTAAGAACTTGTGTGGAAAATGCCTCTTAATAGGTGGGGGAAAAACGGTCATGGGACCAATATTTTAATACAGTTATTATTAAAAGAAACAACTTATTATAAACAAATGCTCACAGCTGTGTGCCTCACAGAATTTCTTTTGAAAACATGGGTTTGCAATTGGAGAGACCAGGAGAGGGACCCTGTGGAAGGAAGGCTGCTCATCGTCCTGGGATCTGGTCCTCCCCCAGGCTCTGTTGTCCCCGTCCCCGCGCTACATGATTGGGAAGAAAATATGACCCTGTAGAGCAGCCACTTGACTTGTGCTCTGTCATCCACTCCTCCTCCAAATGCCAACAAGGCCATGTGCCAACTGTCTTAGCTCAGGCAAACGATTTTGACTCTCCAAGCCTCCAGATGGCTCCTTCTTTTGACAGCTGCCTTTGATTTTTATTTGCACATTTTCCTCTTGTTCATGCTTATTTCTACCTGTAGCTGCAGTTCCCCAAGTCGAAGTCAATCCATTCACTGTGGTCCCTTGCTCAAAGCAATAGGCTCAGGAGTGAGCAAATGACCAAGTTGAATCTCATGCATTCTGTTGCTGCTGACAACAAAGATGTTTTCTCTTCCTCACTGGACACGAAGCTTGGGGTGAGTCAGGTTTTGCCCTGGAAAAGCTGCCTCAAGGGAACAGAGCCACTGCAGGAGAAGCAAGGCCGAGAGCAGGAGAGAAGCCAGGTCACAGCAATTTCATCTGCGCTGCAGCTGAAGTTGGAACTGCCACTGGACCTAGATTCTGTTATAGGAGCCAGCACATTTTCTGTTTTTGTTTAAGCCAGTATGGATTGGTTTTCTGTCACTTGCAACACAGAATCCTGGTTCAAGTCTATTGGGAAAATTACATAACATAAGCCTAGATAACACTTAGTATAGTACCTGTGCCTAAGCAAATTCACACTAAATGCTTGCCATCTTATCATCACTCCTAATGCTGATCAAAGCCTAGAGGAAACAAATCTTCTACCAATGCCCTGGTTTAGTAGTGACAATATTGGACTATCTCAAATCAAATATTCTGTCAGACTCAAAAGCATGGGAGTATCAAAGACAAAACTACTACCTATTACAAAGTTTGTAATCTTGGATAAATTTTGACTCACCTAACTTGGTTTATGGGACACCTAAACTTTGGTAATGTTCTCACCTAAACTTGTTTGGGTTAGAAGCGAAACAAACACAGACAGATAAGTTTCTTATCTGTCTGAGGTGTTCTTGGGCAGTCATTATGTCTTTGGGTGGTGCGGCCTCGGTTCCTTTAAGCCTGGATACAGTTCCATGGGGCTTGGGTGGCCATTTCCTCCTCTGAACAACACACCATTAGAAAACATACACCTCCCTGGTCCTCTCTGTGTCCTTCCTGATGCCTGGGTGTCAGGATGATGATGCCATTCTAGAATCTTCTGTACCTCATGCCTTCAAGTGCTGAGCTTAGAGCCCCTTTCTTCACCTCCTCCTGAGGTCACACTAGTTAGGACCATTGAGAAAATTTCCTGTCCTCATATTTTGTTGAGTTAAGGCTGATTCTACTTGTCAGCAGCTCAGCTTAATTTCTGGACTGTCTTGTTAGAAGCGGTGTTGCTTAGAGGGCAGTGTAGTCATCTTAGAAGACAACACAGTAGCTCGTTTAGGCAACACTTCCTGAGGCTTGTGGTGGGCCACACTCTATACTAGGTACTGTCCCCAGTTGAGTGCTGAATTGGAGAAACAAGCTTTGCTTTTTTTCTTGTTTTAATAAAAATGTAAAAAGCCAACAAATGCAGTAGAGTAGTGGTTTTCAACCCAAGGCTGTGTATTAGACTCTCCTGGGGAGCTTTTTTTTTTTTTTTGAGGCAGAGTCTCACTCTGTTGCCCGGGCCGGAGTGCCGTGGCGCGATCTCGGCTCACTGCAAGCTCTGCCTCCCAGGTTCACACCATTCTCCTGCCTCAGCCTCCCGAGTAGCTGGGACTACAGGCGCCCACCACCACGCCCGGCTAACTTTCTGTATTTTTAGTAGAGACGGGGTTTCACCGTGTTAGCCAGGATGGTCTCTATCTCCTGACCTCGTGATCCGCCCGCCTCGGCCTCCCAAAGTGCTGGGATTACAGGCGTGAGCCACTGCGCCCAGCCTCTCCTGGGGAGCTTTAAGGAAAATCCACTGACCAAGTACTCCCTCGGAGCAGGGAAGTCAGGGTGTCCAGTCGTGCGTACTCCCCCAGCCATTACAATGTGCAGCCGCATAAAGAAGCTGCAAAGGACCGTGATCAACTCAAGAGGTAGGCAATTAGATCAACAAAATACGATTCCGTACCTAATGAGCACCACTCAAAATACAGTTGCAAATCTGGGCACAATGTCTGAATTATTCACCATGAGCCATGTAAATTCCATTATTTAATGATTCAAACATTTTCTTTTGTTTGTATTTGCTTGAACAACCATCCAAGCGATCAATTTAATTCAGTAGTTCAATTTATGTAATTGATTTTGTATCTGTTTTTGAAAAACTTGCCCAGTAACACAGATTAGAAATCTCATTAATCTAGCATCCATCTAAAAACTCATTCATTAGGACTTCTGTATAGAACCATGATTTAATATCTGCAATGCGACCTTCCCATAATACTGCAGAAATCAGTAAATCTAACATAATTTATTGAAAATAAGCAAATGTTACTCCATTACATTTACGCAGACTTCATAGACCCAGTATGTTGCAAGTCTAATTTTTTCCTCTATTTATATGTGTATATGGCATATTTTCCCCCAACAAGAACTCATTTTATGGCCAATTTTATAAAGCTATTTAAAATATTATTTTAGCACATTTAATGAAAACAATTAAATCTAACTGCACAGAAGGGATTTAAAAAAACCAACTGAGTGAAATATCATAGTAATAAAAAGCCTGAACTGATATATGAAATCAGCTTGAAATAAAAAAATGCTAGTGTCCTATATTTTAAAACCTGTTATAGTAGCAGAAAATTTTCAAATCTAATTTAACACAGATGCCTAACCATGTTATATGGACCCCCAGAGAAAGGTCAATGTGACTACATTCATGAATTTAAGAACTCTTGTAGAAAAATGAATTTTCATGGAAGGCAGTCCTTTTTCTCCTGCACATGGCAACCTGTCTATATACATTAAAGTGACTAAACAAAATCACGATCCACAAGATGATGCTTGTCTACTGGTTTGATTAAAAAATATATTTTCCTCACACCTTGGGTTATAAGTCTGCATGAGCTGGGCCCCTTTTATATGATTCCTATCATTTAAAAAGCCAAAGTTATTAAAGGTTTGAAGATATAAAAAAAATTTACATCAGGACAATGGACAATGTAAACTACTCACATATTTGCATATTAGATCCATTATTCCTAGAAATGTGCTTACTTCTTCAAACTCTTGCTTCAGCTCTCTAGGAGGCTGCCACGTCCTCTCTCTGTCTTTGGGGACAGCCCTGGAGCCTGACTTGTCTCCCAAATGACCAATCAAGGCATTTGTAGTAACAAAAGACCATCTTTTTTGGATTCATACAGATATGAATATGAATATCTAAATGGTTTTAGCATTATACATATGACTTTAGCTTGGTATATGTAAAACTTTTAGGTTCATATAATTTTTAAGTATGCTTGTAAATTCTGAATGCTGAATAAATAAAACAACTATCAGCCTAATTCTCCCCACCAACTATGGGCAGAGAAATGTTTTTACTGTCAGGAATACATCCAGGACATTATGCAGATGTGCAGATTATTCTTTTTTCCATCTTCAAAGATATGGATTTTTATGTGTGTTCTCAGCAAAGAAAAATTTGAAATATAAAGTCAGGCAACCTTCTATATATCAGGCTCCTGTAACATGCAAAAGTAACTTAAACCAACAAAGATGTTATCCTCATAAGGAAAGTGCCCAGAGGACCTGAACGCATGGGCTTGTGAATGTTCTCCCATGGACGTCAGCTGCCATCAGGTCTTCAGCTGAAATAGGCTGGAGGGAAATTCTGCAGAAGTAGAAGATTCTGGCAAACCAAAAACAGCTTTTAAAAAAAGAAAACCTGCACTGTAACACCTTTCTAGAACTTTCTCTCCATCTCAAGGGATGTGCAAAATATTTATCTTTTATAAAAATATGTAAAAAGCCAACCAGGTTGATGGAGAATATGTTAGTCCTCAGTAAAATCTATTCTTGTTTCATACCTCTTATAGATCAAAGGTGTTTCAAAAATGGGGTCTGTTTTATGTGTACTTTTATTTAAAGTAAGTGTTTAAACCATATCCATCAAACTAACAATCAGTAACTCAATATCTACTGCTCTTGGGAGAACAGAGATATTTTGATGCTTAGAGCAGCTTTTACCCGTATTTTAAGAGGCTACAGAGTCCAATAAGTGTGTGCTGTCTGTAATGCATTACTGACACACACTGCACACGATAAGGGTTAACAATGCAGTCTGTCCAGCAATAAAAAATAATTTCACATGATTTTATCCAGAGAGAAATACAAAGGTACCACATTGCTTTTTAGAAACATTTTTAAAATAAAATAAAATAAACATTATGATATTTTCTCAATATTCCCAAATGCCTGAAAAAAAAAAAACTGTTGGAAAACAAATTTGAGACACACAGTGTTAGGACTCAGGGGTTGCTGGTCCTCTCAACTTCATTCAGATAACCAGTTGGCTTGAAAACACAACCCTACAGAAAGAAGTATCTCCTCAGCTTGCTGCTTATGAGCTGCACTGCTGAAATGCACCATCTCAGGCTGATTTTTATAAAGGTCAGTAACAGGCTGCTGGCTGTGAATGCAGACCGAGGAGGTGTTGAGTACTGAGGAGCACGGCCAGAAGCACAGATGCACACTCACACCCAATCTACTTACCAAATAGAGCTCACAAACATCAAAGCTCTGCCCCTACTTTTTCTATACCTTTAAATTTCTGTTGGACTTTTGAAAACAAGAAAAGGCAGACAGTGATGTTCTTGCATTTTCTGAAACTCTTTGTGACTCCACACTTGTAAAGTAATGAGTAAGCATCTTCTTTTTCTCTGGTTTTCAGGTATCCCCAATTCCCCACCCCAAGCACACACATGGAGTCTGCTCTTCTCTGCTCCACCACAAGCAGCCACTCAGTCCGCACAGCCTTGAGTCGCTCTGTTTCCCTGCTCAGGCTCAGTGCTCTCCTGCGCCACAACTCCTGGCTCCTTTGCTTAACTCTTCCATCCTCTCCAATATCTGGGCAGACGGCCAAGATCTTTGCCATTTTAGTGGCTCAAGGAGTCTACCAGATAGTGTTCAGACTGGAGGGATGACCTCACAAGGAATTTATTTTTCCTTCTGGGTCTAAATTTTGTGAGTTGGACCCAGACTGATATTTTCTAAGTCGGGCCAATGGAACTGGAGCTATTGAACCAGAGTTGAAGTCTGACAGTTTTCTGTAACTTTCTATTAAGGGGGAAAGAATGTGTTAAGTTAGACTGACCTTCATCTGAAAGTGAGACATATATTCTACCCTGCACACCTTCCTCAAACATGCTGACACAACACTAAAACTTTAAACACAACGAAGTCAATAAATGCAAAGCTATGGTTTTCACAGCAATCGTAACTCATGTGTCCATAGCATTTTCCACTCCTGCAATAGGTGATAGGTTTAGCAGTGTGATGCAGATACAGCGTAGCCCAGTGAGCTGCCCAGTTCCCTGACTTTCCTTGACCTGCAAACCAGTTGGGCCCATCATTGTATTCACTGTGTAAATAACACTTGTTAAATCCCTTCCTATCCTAAGGAGCACTCTAGTTCCTATTACCTGGACCTGAACAAAGGACACTCTCACAAGGCTAACAACCTCTCCTATGTAATCCGGAACTCAATCACTCTACATCTCTTTTAGAAGCTCAGAATTCCCCAACTAATAGACCCACTTTGCTTCAAACCCCTGTGTGTGGTTTGAGTTTTCGTTCTCAGTAAACATGTGGGAAAGCTGAAGTACAAATGGCACACTGGGATATTTGGGGTAGTTAAGTTGACTCGTTTATAGATCTTTGAAGTTTTACAGACTTCCCAGGTATCATCTCAGGCACTGAATTGAGTTTCACCAGAAACATCAAATATCAGCAATAGGAAAGCTTACAGTTTGTAGCCTGATACTTTACCTGCTTAGTAAATATTATAGTCTTTTTTTTTTTATCAGTAGCAAGTAGGTAGCTGATAACATTTTCAATGAACTCTGAAGTTTCTTTATAAAAGTACATAATCTCAAGCCTAGATATTGAGTTCTACCTGAATGGGACAGAGGCAATTTCCAATGAAAATCGCATTTTTCCCTCATGACTTAGCTGAAAAGTTATAAACTAACTTTGGGATTTCTAAACTCCTCCCTCTTAAGCCCTGATCATACCCCAGGCTGATTTTATAGGAGAGCTGGATAAGACAGCAAGGACTATGATCCCAAGGTAGGAATACATGTGAAAAACCCAGCCAGGCTCACAGCCAGCACATATGGCATCTTTGCATGTGCTGAAAAGGCACCCCTCCAAAAAGCCTGGGACAGTGTCCCCACTGGACATTCCAGTTTAAGTTATTCCTCCCTGATGACTCTGACACGCCCAAGGCCTGATGAATCCAGCCAGTAAACCTTGGGCTGATTTCAGCCTAGCCAATATCCAAAGCTAGGCACCTTTATGCAGGGCATTTCCTAAGCAACCAAATGAAGTGACCTTGGTCTTGGAAAAATAGCTATGGCCAAGCCACAGAGGTGTTAGAGCATGGCTCAAAGGTTGGACTCAATCACATCCAAATATTAACCAGCTTTGGGATTTATTACTGTATCATTTGGAGAGCATGGCTTTATCTCTCTAAGCCTCAGTCCCCTCATATGTAAAACTGGCATTAAATAACGTTTCAAAATTATGAGTTAATATATGCAAAGTCCGTAGCAAGTGCTCAATACCGTGTAGTCCAGTGGAGTGATCCTGGTTTAGGAGACAGAAGCCTGGGTTCCACCTCTACAAATGTGTGACCTTAGCTATCATCTTGTGATGCTTAAATTTTTTGACCTTTATCTCATGGGAATGTTGAAGTAATCAAAAGTAAAAGTACTTGCAAAAAAATTCGATACTATTGTCTTTGAAAGTAATTATGCACATCTGAAGTTTTAAAGAGAGAATACCAATAAATAAGGTTAGAATGTAGGTTTACCCAAAGAGGGCAGGAGAGAACCAGGGTAAGAAGACAACAGTAAACTTTTCAGGAAGAAACAGCCTGGTTCATTCCAGCAAGGGTAGTGATTTCTTAAGAAAGAAATAGCCTGTTCAAGCAATTCAATGCAATTAGCAGACCGGGTTCTCAGGACTGTTCTACTACACTGGAGAGAAAGTTCCCACCAAAAAAGCTGATAAATGTTCATGATAGCCCAGGAGTGCTCAAGCTTGACTTTGAGAGGCTTTTTCCATGATTCATTCATGGCTGTAAAACATTCTCAATAACAACATTTCAAAGGATCACAAAGACAATCAGGAATGCCCTAGAAACATGGTTGTGATCCTTGATTAGGTTAAGTGTTTTACAACAGGCGTCTTCATTTTTTAAGAGTAGGAACATTTGGAAGTCCTCCTGAATTTCTGACTCATAATATAAAGAAGACTGAAGGAGGCCTAAATGGTCACTTCTTTCTTGTTATGATTTCATTGAAACTTTGTTGAAAAGATTTTTTTGCTCATTATTCCTGCTCTGATTGATTTTACAGACTCAAGATGGTGCTACTCATTTTAGACCTCTTAAACCTCCAACAATTACACAAAACACATTTTCCTGTTTTACTCCTCCTCCCTGAGATAGGAAAGGACAGGCTGGAAATGGGATAGGAGAATCTGACCTCAGAGCCAAGACAGGGTTGTTGAAGCAACCCAAAAGTCTTGCACTATGTCAGCATGTTTATGGAGCAATACACACATCTAATCCATATTTCTGGTGGCCCAGACAAGTGATAAAGTTCCAAATCTACCTTCTCTGCCCTTCCTCGTCCTGAGGGGTCCAGAGGTCAGAAATCTGTAGCTGCATTACTAATAAAGCCTACCAGCTTATTAATTTAAAATAACACCACAAATAAATGGGGATTCCTTTCTATGTGTCACCATCAGCACTAGCTTTATATCACTAAAATATTTCAGCATTCTGCTGGTTGGCTTCAAAACATGCTGTGCCTGGAATTAATTTTTGTTGCTTTCATCAAACAATTATGAATACATACATGTGTCAAGCAGAGAACTAAGCATTAGCTATGGAAAGAATAATGAGAATAACTAACTATCATTAAATAGCAACACCTTGGGGACTACAATTATAAAGAGAGAGAAATAATTCAAAAAAAAACAAATGATTCTGCTCTCGAATGCTTACAGTGGTGAAACTTAAAATACATCAAAACAATGTATCATCATAAGTTCCATAATAACAGACAAACAAAAAGCCAAATCATGAGTGAACTCCCATTCACAATTGCTTCAAAGAGAACAAAATACCTAGGAATCCAACTTACAAGGGATGTGAAGGACCTCTTCAAGGAGAACTACAAACCACTGCTCAATTAAATAAAAGAGGATACAAACAAATGGAAGAACATTCCATGCTCATGGGTAGGAAGAATCAATATCATGAAAATGGCCATACTGCCCAAGGTAATTTATAGATTCAATGCCATCCCCATCAAGCTACCAATGACTTTCTTCACAGAATTGGAAAAAACTACTTTAAAGTTCATATGGAACCAAAAAAGAGCCCGCATTGCCAAGGCAATCCTAAGCCAAAAGAACAAAGCTGGAGGCATCACGCTACCTGACTTCAAACTATACTACAAGGTTACAGTAACCAAAACAGCAATGGTACTCGTACCAAAACAGAGATACAGATCAATGGAACAGAACAGAGCCCTCAGAAATAACGCCGCATATCTGCAACTATCTGATCTTTGACAAACCTGACAAAAACAAGCAATGGAGAAAGGATTCCCTATTTAATAAATGGTGCTGGGAAAACTGGCTAGCCATATGTAGAAAGCTGAAACTGGATCCCTTCCTTACACCTTATACAAAAATTAATTCAAGATGGATTAAGGACTTAAACGTTAGACGTAAAACCATAAAAACCCTAGAAGAAAACATAGGCATTACCATTCAGGACATAGGCATGGGCAAGGACTTCATGTCTAAAACACCAAAAGCAATGGCAACAAAAGCCAAAATTGACAAATGGGATCTAATTCAACTAAAGAGCTTCTGCACAGCAAAAGAAACTACCATCAGAGTGAACAGGCAACCTACAAAATGGGAGAAAATTTTCGCAACCTACTCATCTGACAAAGGGTTAATATCCAGAATCTACAATGAACTCAAACAAATTTACAAGAAAAAAACAAACAACCCCATCAAAAAGTGGGCGAAGGACATGAACAGACATTTCTCAAAAGAAGACATTTATGCAGCCAAAAAACACATGAAAAAATGCTCACCATCACTGGCCATCAGAGAAATGCAAAGCAAAACCTCAATGAGATACCATCTCACACCAGTTAGAATGGCAATCATTAAAAAGTCAGGAAACAACAGGTGCTGGAGAGGATGTGGAGAAATAGGAACACTTTTACACTGTTGGTGGGACTGTAAACTAGTTCAACCATTGTGAAAGTCAGTGTGGCGATTCCTCAGGGATCTAGAACTAGAAATACCATTTGACCCAGCCATCCCATTACTGGGTATATACCCAAAGGACTATAAATCATGCTGCTATAAAGACACATGCGCAGGTATGTTCATTGCGGCACCATTCACAATAGCAAAGACTTGGAACCAACCCAAATGTCCAACAATGATAGACTGGATTAAGAAAATGTGGCACATATACACCATGGAATACTATGCAGCCATAAAAAATGATGAGTTCATGTCCTTTGTAGGGACATGGATGAAACTGGAAATCATCATTCTCAGTAAACTATTGCAAGAACAATAAACCAAACACCACATATTCTCACTCATAGGTGGGAATTGAACAATGAGAACACATGGACACAGGAAGGGGAACATCACACTCTGGGGCCTGTTGTGGGGTGGGGGGAGGGGGGAGGGATAGCATTGGGAGGTATACCTAATGCTAGATGACGAGTTAGTGGGTGCAGCACACCAGCATGTCACATGTATACATATGTAACTAACCTGCACATTGTGCACATGTACCCTAAAACTTAAAGTATAATAATTAAAAAGAAAGAACAAAGGAAAAAACAAACAAACAAAAGAAACAGATAATGTACCTGTATCCAAAATACACAGAGATCTCCTAAAACTTGACAATAAGAAAATAAACAATCCAGTTAAAAACGGGCAAAAGATTTAAACAATGACCTCACTAGAAAAGACACACAAATGTCAAAGCATATTAAAAGATGATCAACATCATTCGTCATTGTGAAATTGCAAATTAAATTATTAATAAGATATCACCACACACCTATTAGAATGGTTAAAATCCAAAAAAAAAAAAAAAAGAAAAAAATGATGATTCCAAATGCTGAGGAGGATGCAAGGCAATAGGAACTCTCATTCACGGCTGGTAGGAATGCAAAATAGTGCAGTTCGAATTTCTTACAATGCTAAAATAGTCTTACCACACAACAAAGCAATCATGTACTTAGGTATTTACCCAACTGAGTGGAAAACTTAGGTACTCCCCTCACACACAAATCCTATACAGAAATATTTATGGCAGGTTTATTCATAATTACCCAAAACTGGAAACAACCAAGATGTCCTTCAGTGAGTGAGTAGGTAAACAAACTAGTGTATTTATACAATAGAATATTATTCAATGATAAGAAGAAATGAGCTGTGAAGCCATAAAAAGACACGGAAGAAACTTAACTGCATATTGGTAGGTGAAAGAAGCCACTCCAAAAAGGCTACATTCTGCATGATTCCAATTATCCAATTCTGGAAGACAAGACCATAGAAAGAGTAAAACCATCAGTGGTCGTCAGGGAGCGTGGAGAGAAAGCATAGGTGAAATACAAGGTATTTTTAGGGCAGTGAAACTATTCTCTATGATACTACAGTTGTGCATATATGACATTAGGTATTTGTTAAAATCCATAGAACTTTACAACACAAGAGCCAACAATCCCACTACTAGATATCCACCCATAGGAAAAGAAGTCATTATTTGAAAAAGATGCTTGCACATGCATGTTTATAGCAGTACAATTCACAATTGCAAAATCGTGGTACCAACCCAATGCTCATCAATCAATGAGCGGATAAAGAAACTGTGATATATACATGATATACTCAGCCATAAAAAGGAATGAGTTAACAATATTTGCAGTGTTGGATGAGATTGGAGACTATTATTCTAAGTGAAGTAACTCAGGAATGGAAAACCAAACATCATATGTTCTCATTGATATGAGGATGCAAAGGCCTAAGAATGATACAATGAACTTTGGAGACTTGGGGGGAAGAGTTGGAAGGGGGCAAGGGATAAAAGACTACAAATATGGTGCAGTGTGTACCGCTTGGGTGATGGGTACACCACAATCTCACAAATCACGACTAAAGAACTTACTTATGTAACCAAATACCACCTGTACCCCAATAACTTATGGAAAAATAAAATAAAATAATAAAAGTTTTAAAAGAGTGCATCTTAAGGTAAGCGAATTAAAAAAATAATTTAGGGAGTTAGGGCATCCAAGGAAAGAACGCAGACTGACTAGAGAGTCTAACTGTATTACAAATGTGTGAGACAATCTAAATGAAGGGAGTGGGGGCAAGGGGCTGAACCAATACCTCTGGAAATGAATGGAATCTGTAGTACTGAAGGCAAAAGGTGCTGCATATAAGCAATTGTATTGTAGTTGACAGAGTTGCTCCCCATGGGGCGAGGGGTTAATGATTCTGATAATGCTACTCATGTATACTGTAATTGATAAATTAAGTAAATAGATGGTGGATAGTAGGAGTCAGGTATCTCTCTGTTGTAGTGAGAATTTACAGATGAGCATGGGGAGAAGGGTGTGGTAATGGATTAGATTTGGGGATATCAGTATGAACTCATGTCTAGCTTGATGTTGATAGTTATATGTAGGAATATTTGCAGACATGTCTATACATGGATTAGCATATATACACACATTTCTTTGCTCTGTCAGTTGAGATGGCCTAAAAGAAATGAAATCCAGTAGCAACAAATGTATCTTGTGCCAAAATCTTGGTTTCTAATTCCAAGGGACCAGGACCCCTTGGAGAAAATGGATGAATCTAGGACTGCAGCAGAGAATACACTAGGTGAGCCGGAGGCATCTTATAATATCAGAAAGTAAGAAAGTACTAAAAAAAAAATGCACACACCACACGTTGATTGATAGGGGTATGTCAAAGGAGGCATAGAAGCCAACTGTAAGGGTTCCTGATGATGAAAGTTGGAATAATTTGACCAATGAAATAAATTAATTAGTATTGGATTGTAATCCAAAGACTAAAATTAATACCCTTGAGCCTTTACTGGTATAAATAAATAAATGAACACATCCATAAATGGAGAAGAGACAAATCTCCCCTGCAGAAGAATTTTAAATAAATCATATGTATTCTTCACCCTAAAAGAGAAGGAATATGTGATGGTTAATACTGAGGGTCAACGTGATTGGATTGAAGGATGCAAAGTATTGTTCCTGGGTGTGTCTGTGAGGGTGTTGCCAAAAGAGATTCATATTTGAATCAGTGGACTGGGAAAGGCAGACCCACCCTCAATCTGGGCGGGCACAACCTAATTAGCTGCCAACATAGCCAGAATAAAAGCAGGCAGAAGAACGTGGAGAGATTAGACTGGCCTAGCCTCCCAGTCTACATCTTTCTCCCGAGCTGGATGCTTCCTGCCCTCGAACATCAGACTCCAAGTTCTGTAGCTTTGGGACGCGGACTGGCTTCCTTGTTCCTCAGGCTGCAGACAGCCTATTGTGGGATCCTGTGATCGTGTAAGGCTCCTTAATAAACTCCCATTTACATACATACATAAATATATATGATGTATGTATGAGATGTATATATAGGGTGTATATATAGGGTGTATATGTGTGTGTGTGTCTATATACAGGGTGTATATGCATGTATACACACACACACACACACATATCCTATTAGTTCTGTCCCTCTAACACGGAACATAACTTTCCCACTCTGTAATGGTATGTTGTGCATAGTGACTTTTTACCAAAGAGTACAATATGAAAAGGGGGAATAAAACACTAACTTTACAGTGGAGAAACCTGACAAACACTACTTCAACCAGGTATCAAGATCAACATCATCATTCATAAATCATGTTGATAGCATGTACTCTTAATATAATGAAAATGGCTCTTTGTTCCTGTGACCTTCTTCCTCAAACACATAGCCCTAGTCTAAACATGAGAAAAACATAATACAAATTACAATAGAGGGCATCCCACAATATACCTGATCATTACGACTCAAAACCGTCAAGATCCTCAAAGTAAGAAAAGTCTGAGCAATGTTATAGCCAAGCAGAGTTTAAGGAAACATGATAACTAAATGTATTGTGGTATTCTGGAAGGGACCTAAAACAGAAAAAAGGACATCAGGAAAAACCTGAAGAACTCTAAATAAACTATAGACTTCAGTTAATAATTACGGAGCAATACTGGTTCTTCAATGCACCACATTAATGTAAGATGTTAGTAACAGGATAAAGTGTGTATGAAAGGTGATTATTTGATATCTGAACTATCTGCTCAAATTTCTGCAAAACTAAAAGTGTTCTAAAATAAAATGTTATTAAAAATAATTGATTATAGGGCCAAAAATACAGTGTTCAGTAATAAATTTGACAAAAGATGAGCGAGATATGCTCATTAAAAACTGCAAAACATTGATGAGAGAAATTCAAGACCTAAATAAATAGAGAAATACACATTTCAAGGTTAAGACCCAATTCTTAAGACCCAATCACCCCCAAATGGAGCCATAGATTCAAGGCTTTTCCAATTGAAATTCCAGCAGGATTTTACAGAAATTGGTAAGCTGATTCTAAAATTTATATAAAAATGTGAGTGACCTAGAATAGTCAAAACTACTTTGAAAAAGAACAAAGTTACAGCACTTACGTGGTTTGAAGGCTTATTATAAAACTACAATAATCATGACAATGTGGTTCTGGCATAAAGGTGGACAAATACATCAATGGCAATGTATAGAGGGTCCAGAAATAGACTCCTATACATATGATCAACTAACTTACAACAAAGTCCTTAAAGCATTTCAATGAGGGAAGGATAATCTTTTCAACAAAATTGTGCTGTAAGGTGAATAGCCATATGCAAAGAAAAAAATGTAACCTTACAAAATATACAAATGAATCTTAAGAGAAAAATGTTAATGTCCTTGGGTTTGGCAAATATGTTCTAAAGAGGACCAAAAATCAAAAGGTATAAGATAAAAATCCATAAATTGAACTTCATCCAAATTAAATACTCTTATTCTTCCAAAAACATTAACTGCATAAGAATATGAAAAAAAATGCCACAGAATGGGTGAAAATATTTGCAAATCATATATCTGGCAAAGGACTTTGTACAAAAGATTTATGAAGAACTGATACTTAATAAAAAAGGAGATAAGTCAACAATAACAAAAAAATGTTTAGATACTTTACCAAAAAAATACAGATATCAAAAACCATATTAAAGCATGCTGAATGGCACTAGTCACTAGGGAAATGCTAACTAAATTACAATGAGATGTTATTACACACTAACTATAATTAATAAAATTAAAAAGATTGGCTGTATCATGTTTCAGAGAGGATATAGAGCAACTAGAACTCTTATACAATTCTCTTGGGAAGGTAAAATGATACAATACACTATGACCTTGGAAGTCAATCTGGTCATTTCTTACTAAGTGAAGTGTATAGCTACCATGTGACTTAGCCAATCAACTCCTAGGTATTTATCCAAGAGAAATGAAGGCATTTCTCTACACAAGGACTCATATGTAGATATTCACAGAAGCTCTATTTGTAATAACCCAAAACTGGAAACAACCCTCAGGTTTATTAACAGATGAATAGATTACAAAATTGTGGCATAACCAAACAATGGATATTACTCAGTAGTAAAAACGAATTAACTATTGATACTTGCAACAATGTGAATAACTCAAAATAATTATGGCAAGTGAAAAAATCAATGACAACCAAAAAAAAAAAAAAAACATGTGGTATGATTTAACTTTTGTAAAATTCTAGAAAATGCAAATTAACCTATAGTGACAGAAAGCAGATCAGTGCTATGGTCTGAAAGTGTGTTTCCCTTCAAAAAGCTCATGTGTTGAAATCTGTACTCCCAAGGTGACGGTGTGGGGAGGTAAAGTCTTTAAGAAGTAATTAGAGTTAGCAAAGGTCATGAGGATTGAGCCCTCAGGAATGGGATTAGTGTCCTTAATAAGATTCCTGAGAGAGCTTGCCTCCTCTCTCCACCCTGTGAGGCTACAAAGAGAAGACTGCCATCTATGAGCCAGGAAGCAGATCCTCACCAAACACCTAATCTGCCTGCCCCTTGGTCTTGGACTTCCCAGCCCCCAGAACTGTGAGAAATAAATTTCTGTTGTTTATAAACAAACTTCTTTATGGTAGTTTGTTATAGCAACCAGAATGAACTAAAACAGTGTTTCCTTGGGCACGGGGTGGGCAGAGTGAAATGGGAAAGAGTGAGGGGGGATTGCAAAGAGGTGTGAGGAAACTTTTGAGGGTGATGGTTAGGTTCATTATCCTGATTGTAGTGATTGCGTCATGAAATATACTATGTTGAAAGCTATCAAATTTTACACTTTAATACATGCTGTTTATTGTACACCAATTATATCTCAGTAAAGCTAAAATATAAGTGGTCAATCCAGCCAACACCTTAACCTTAGAGTAGTTTCACTTGTCTGACTCCACTTCCCTTCAGCAACCCCTCCAGGGTTTGTTTGTTTCTGATCTGGTTCATTACTCTTAAGTCTTGCCACAGCCACATTCCAGGTCACAGATACTCTCTGAAGATGCCCATCCCAGACTCCTTCACATCGTGAAAGAATATCTGAAGCCACTGTTACCTTTTTGAGTTTTAATTTTCTTTCCTTTAAAGATTGGACTTCATGGTCTATTATTTCAATCAGTGGTAGTACTTCCAAATTTGGTGCTCCACGGATGTATAAATGCATAAAAGAATGGGTCATGGAGGCAAAACTTTGGGTTCCAGCTCCCCTCTGTCAAGACAGTTAATATCTGTGCCTCAGTTTCCTCATCTGTAAAATGAGGGTGCTAATTTTACCTGACTTATAGGGTGATTTTGAGGATTAAAAAAGTCAATACCTTTCAAGTAAATTCCGATCGGAACACAGTAAGCACACAATGCATGTTAGCTCTTTCCTCTACTTTAAATGTTATTTCCATCCTCAAGCCTCCTTGCTACATATTCTCAACAAATCAACTTGCTCCTGCCTAACAGAAACAAATATAATGTATCAAGAAAGAACTCTTTTCTCCCATCATTAAAACAAAACATATTTATGCCTGCACTGGTCTTTCCTCACTCTCTTTTGTCTCACGGAGGTGACCTTTCTAGCTGGGCCCTGCCATCACTCATGCTCTGTGACCCTCCCCTTCACACATCCTCAAGGGCTGCATCCCATCGCTTATTTCAATATTTCTACTTCTACTGGATTTTCCCTACAACACACACACACACACACACACACGCACACGCACACACACACAGTGTTCTCCCACATTTCTACTCCAAAAATAAATAAATTGAAAGTAAAAAGAAAGCAAATTTGAATTTCTTCAAATTCAAATTCCTTTCTAAATTCCATTCTCTACGCCTCTCCCTTTTTCACTGCAAAGCTTCTTGAAGCAGTAGAATATATTGGATACCTACCCTTTCTCACTTCCCACATTCTTTCAACGCACTACGTTCAGGCATTCCTCCCACAGTGCCCATAAAATTGCCCTTGCCAAGGTCACTAATGGCCTCCATGTTTCCAACCCAGTGGTCAGTTTTCTCTTCTCTAACTTGATGTGGTCTGTGTCTTTTGACTACATGACTCAGCCTCTCCTTTGCCTTCTGTGACACTGAACGATCTTTCCTGATTCTCTCTGGGGTTCCATGGCTTGCTGGTGTAGGCTATGTCACCGACTAGTTCAACATCCTCCTTCTTTTGAGTGCCCATGTTTCCCAGATCTTGGCCTTGGCTCTTCTCACTCAACACACAACTCTTCATCTGAACACACTACTCCATTTACCATCTCCTGGATGTTGGTTCCCTACCTCTGAAAGAAAAGAAATGGCCAGACCTTATTAGCCATCTCTCCTCAATTAATCTAAGAGAAAATTCCTTGGGTCCCAAACTGGGCCCGTTGTCAAGATGTTTTCATCTTTCAGTATTCCATATCTCACTGAGTGATGCTACCGTGGACTCATCCATCCACTTGCCCAGAGCAGAAATTTGGCAGGCATCCCAGATTCTCTTTCCTCATTTAGCCCTCATCTAAAGTTACCAAGTCCTACAGATTCTACCTCTTTAATATCCACTCATATCCACACCATTCTCTCTATCTGCGAAGTCACTGCCTTAATCCAGGCCCTCAACAAGTCTTGCCTGGATTACTGCAACTGCCTCCTAACTAGTTTCACCGCCTCCAGCCTGGCATGACTCCAGTGCCTACTCCACACAGTTGCCAATGTGTTATTTCTAAAATATAAATCTGATCATGCCATTCCCATGCTTAAAGCCCTGTAATTGCTCTCCATAGCTTCCAGGATAAAATTGAAACTATTTAGCTTAACACAAAGGTACATGATGATGTGATGCCTGTGTACATTCTACCTCCCTATCTCCTCACTTATCCGCACAAAGTCTCACTCTCAGTATTACACTACTTAATGTTTACCAAATGCCTGTGCTATTTCATGCTGCCTCCTCATACCTTCACAAATAGAAGAATAGAAAACCCTTCCTTCTTTCTTACCTGGCTGGCTGCCTCTTGTCTCTGAGGGAGGACCTCAACAGCTCTGTCTCTATGACGCTGTCCCTGATGCACTAACACATAGTTAGGTGTTCCCATATTTATTTTACACATCTCTTTCACAACAACTAATATTATTGATCTCAATTATATAGCATGCATTGTTTATATACTTTACAACATCATCCCATTTTATTCTTGCAATGACACTTCAAGACAACAGTGTTATTATCCAACCTTTGTGTTGGAAAAATGAGGTTTTGAGAAGTTCTGTAACTCGCCTAAGTTCATACAGCTTAAATGTGCCCCAGCCTTCCCTTCTCCAAAGTCCATGCTCCTAAAATGATGCTAAAGCTGCTTTATCACTGAGTGTGTTAAGTGGTTGGATCTGGTACACAGCATGTTGTTGATAAGCAAATGCATGAATAATCCTGATTTTGGAAATACTGACTTTGAGGTACCTTCAAGACCTTCAGGCTGGCAGGCTGGCTCTGGAGTCAATGCAAGCTACAGGTGAAGGCGAGCAACACCTCAGCCTGGGAAGCATCACCACTGGGTGGAGGGTTGAGGGAAATGCAACAAGATCCAAGATATGGACTTGGAGAAAGGCAGCACTGCAGGAACTCAAAAAAGGTAGGCAAATATGCGGATGGGGAGCTGAAAAGAGACAACCCTAATAGTATCTCTCTTAATAGTATGGAACTATCAACAGAAAGACAAAAAGGAAAGGGCTCATTCCCATTCTGGTCCTGTCCCCTAACCACGTGGCCTAGGTCCCTAAGTCTGAAAGCCCTCAGTAGACAACAAGATACTTCAGCCCTCCTCCCGGTGTGGAGCACCCCCTGGAGGCTGCCCCCAGAGAAAACGCATTCACCCTCCAGAGTGGAGGAAGGAGGGCAGAACTGTGACTTGACGTTCTTAACCGTCACAGAGCCCACAGACCATATATGATGCGATTTACATTTAAACAGTGAGAATATAAAGTACAAAGGATTTAGGTTCTCTACACTGGATCATATGAAAAATTGGGATTTCAGTTTCCTGCCCAATTTTTTTTCACTTTTTTTCTATTTCTTTCTTGGAAGGTGAAGGTCATATTTGGCTTAACATAATAAGGAGGTCTAAATCTGCTTTGATATTTTTGCCTCAGGTAGGATTACCACAGAGAACTTTTGCCACATTCTGAAAAATACATTGGCTTCTTCAGCCTTCTCCTCCAGTTCTCTCTGCCTCGCTGCAGCTCTTTCAAATATGAGAGTGGTTTCTGCTCAAATGCTCAGGCCTCATGTGTGCTCTCTGGCAGCGAGCTGTGCTTTTGTGGAAAATTCTCCCCTTCTCGCACGTCCTTTCTTTGACATACCAAATGTTGCTCCTTCTGAAGTGCTTGAAATCACCAAAGTCGGGAGGGGTACTCTTCGGGTGTGAGTCGCCCTCCAGGGGGAGCATCTTACAGGGCTTGGAAGTGCAACTTGCTCAAGAGCGGAGGAGCTTTTTTCTTACACACTAGTTTCCTCACACACTGTTCTCATTTTAATTAGGTAATGGAAGGCCAATAGCAAAATTTTCCAGCATTAAAAAAATAAAATAAAAAGTGCATGAGCTTTAGAAAATAAGAACAAGAGATTTAAAAGCCTTTTCTAAGACCACATGGCATTCTGCCACTGCTCCATCAGTTGTCCTTGAGGGCCATAGAAAGGCTCCACGTGGATGTATCCTACACAGTAATGGACTCAGCTGGCCCACAGGATTGCAGGATTTCTTGCTAAATTTGGTGCCAAATATCCCTTCACTGCTTCAATTTGTCCTGCGTGACCTCCTCTCCCTTTGCCAGGCTCAGCAGTGCAGTAGGGCCACGAACATCCAAGGCTTAAGGAGCAGGCGCTGGGGAGAAAGCAGTCTTGTTCCAGCTTTGAATTCGAAAGAATTTGCCAGGTTTTGCTGAAAGAGAGAAGAGAAGGAGGAGGAAAAGGAGGGCAGAGAGAGAGAAGGCCAGTGGGGTGGACCATTTTTCTTCTCAGCTCTGGCCGTTGCATATTGGTTTGATGTAAATGTTTTGTTTCTTTTTTTCCTTTTCAAATCTAGGATTTATCAAATGTGACAGCCTGACAATCCCAGAGACAAGAATTCCACAGGCACGTGCGGCACAGGACAGGAATCCCTGCCACTGTGGGTTTCTGCAAGAATGCATGAGTGCACAGGCAGGAGTTTGGAAAGAGCCACCCCAAGATTAGAGCATCCACAGGCAGCACCTCCAGGTAACTGAAGTCATACCAGGGAAGTGTCTCAGTGGAGACATTTGACTCTGTGGAGAGAGCTTTCTCCTCCAGAAGATAGACTTCTTTGTCTCTCAAGGGCAATTATTTTAACAATCTTCTCGCTGGTCAATTTCATTTATTTCCCTTAACTGACTTTACTGCAATGTTCTCAAACTATAGGATCTAAAGCATTGTTTACCAAAGTGCTTAAACTGCTGCAGTTGACCTCAGTTGCCACCTTCATCACAGTTGTTATCAATTCCCAACTGACTGACCTGTTCTCACCATGACTATCTGGAGGCACTCTTTGGATGCTCTAATTGCTGCTTTATTTTATTTTATTTTACTTTTTTGAGAGAGAGTCTTGTTCTGTTGCCCAGGCTGAAGTACAGTGGAGTGATCACAGCTCACTACAGCCTCAATCTCCTGAGCTCAAGCAATCCTCCCACCTCAGCCTTCAGAGTAGCTAGGACCACCAGCATACATGGGCACACCTGGCTTTTGTTAGATAAAAGGTCTCACTATGTTTAAAATAAAAGACAACCAAAAGAATTTATTGTTCTATTATGTGACTTAGACACACACACACTTCTTGACTCTGTTGACCTGAGTATCTTGCTAATATGACTAACATCACAAATCCAATCCATATGTTCCCAAACAATGCAATGAGATCCACGGGCCCAGAAAGCTCGTACCTTCATTCCCAAAGAAATCCTTGGTGTAAAATCCATACTTGTCTCAGTGCTCCTCTGTATTTCTCAGGAAATATTTGTTGACTTGACTGTAACCAGCTGAGAGTAAGGATGACTCATCAAAGACTCATCATCAGTCCTGGAAAAATAACTGAAGTCCCATTCCCTACTGAAAATGGATCAGCCTTATTCTCTGCACTACACACATTACAACTACTTGTATGCCTTACTCTTCTTTTCATTAGAAAATCAATAATTCTGTGCTGATATTTCTAGGACAGTGGTAACTGCTACAAAATGGTCCCTAACTATTATTGCTATCTCTTCTCTGGATAATAATAACTTTTAAAGATCTCTGTAAGCAGTTAACCCCAAAAATATTATCCATGAATCTGGGCCATGGGTTTAGTTTGTTTCGCCTAACAAAAGGCCAATAATTTTTATCAGGAGAGTTAGTAGCACAAGACTGGAGTTATTTTCTTACAGCAAAAAGGGGATGGATGGGCAGGAGGAGACAAACTGTTTCATGTGGTTACACAAACACAAAGAAACGAAAATCTCTTCCTCTCAATCTGGTCTCAAAACTACCCAAGAAGTTCAGGGAAATCACCTCTAATTAACTGTAAATGATATACATGGATCCAAACTCCACCAGGAAAGCTGTTCCGTGATCTTTCATGCCAACTGGTGTGAATGCCTGTCAACAGATGGCAAGTCTCTTGGAGAAAGAAAACTAACTTTTCCTAGGCAAAAACAGCAGGAATAATAAAGAATAGTTTTTCAGACAATAAAACAAGTAAATATTACTGGGTTGCAATAAAGTATTATAAATTTCTCTCCTAGAGGGTACAGTCAAACATTTTCCTGTTTGGTCAGCTGACTAGGTCATTAGAGTTTAAAGTGGAGAAGAATGGGTATTACTCTCAAGGTGGTAACTGAGATCAACTGCAGCTGAGAAGAAGTAAACCAAGGATAATTATGTGCAAAGTCATTTATTGACTTATTTGTCACCTTTTCATCTGGTCTCACTATTAGCATTTTATTCCCTGCTAGGCTCACTCTGTGCAAAAATAAGGTCATTCTGACCACGCATTTTTGTTCCTGTTAGGTGAAGAATTACGGTGCTACGTGTGGACAGCTATTCTAAGAACTCCAAAGGCGTTATCATGAGAAAGAAATCCTTTAACCTTGTAAAGATACTAAAAACTTTAAATTTTTTAAAGCTTCCCAGTTTCTAAATCTTCACAGCTCATCATCCCTCATAGCAACACACTGCTACCACACACAATATATGAGTTCGTGAAAATTGAAAAGTAAATTCAATGTCAATACATGAGTATACAGTACATGTCTAAAACTGGCGATGCAGCCAAGAACAAGGGACATGTTCCTGCCCTCAAACAGGCTCCAGTCCTACAGGAAAAACAGACAGGGAACAAATAATTCTCAAACAGAGTAAAGAGTATTATAAAAAGGCAATGTGCCACGCCATGCAGGGTCTTCACAGAGGAAGTTAACCACTGAATCAAGCATGGCTTCCCATGACCTGAATAGACAGCTCTCAAAAGAAGACATCCAACTTGCCAATAGGCATATATAAAAAAAAGGCTCAATATGACTAATCATCAGGGAGATGCAAATCCAAATCATAATGAGATATCACCATATTCCAGTTAGAATGTCTATTATTAAAAGGTCAAACAATAACAAATATTGGTGGGAATGTAAATTAGGACAGCCATTATGGAACACAGTATAGCAATTTCTCAAAAAATAAAAAAACACAACTACCATATGATCCAGCAACCCCATTGCTAGGTATATATCTAAAAGAAATAAAACCAGCATGTCAGAGAGATCTCTGCACCTCCTTGCTCACTGCAGCACTATTCACAATAGCCAAGATATGAAATCAACCAAAGTACCTATCAACTGATAAGTGGATAAAGAAAACGTGGTACAAATACACAATGGAATATTATTCAGCCGTCAGAAAGAATGAAATCCTGCCATTTGCAACAACACAAATGAAGCTGGAGGACATGATGTTAAATGAAATAAGCCAGGCAGAGAAAGACAGACACTATGATCTCACTCATACGTGGAATTTTTAAAAGGCAAGCTCATAGAAGTACAGAGTAGAATGGAAGTTATCAGAGGCTGGGAAGGGTAAAGGGGAGGGGAAATGGGGTGAGTTTGGACAATGGGTCCAAGATTACAGTTAGACACGAGGAATAAGTTGTGGTGTTCTAATGCACAAGAGGGTCATCATAGTTAACAGTAATGTACTGTACATTTCAAAGAAGCTAAAAGAGAGGAATTTGAATATTCTCACCACAACTAATTGATAAATATTTGAGGTGATGAATATGCTAATCACCTTGATTTGATCATTATGTAGTGTATACATGCAACAAAGCATCGCACAGATCCTGTAAACATTAAAAAGGAAAAAGAAAAAGAATGTCTTCTTTGGAAAGAGAGACATTTACGTTGAGAGGCATAGAGTCAGCTAAGGAAAAAGTGAAAAGAAGAAATTCTAGGCAGAGGAATTGGCCTATATGATGGCTCTCACCAAAAAAGAAAAATCTAGAACCACCAAGAAGGCTGAAAGTTGGACACTGGGGAAGAGAGGATTCTTGGATGAAAATGGAGACGCGTGCAGGGGTTGGGCTCAGAGGTCCGCATAAGCAGTGTTTGAGTTTGCTTCTCAGGACATCTGTAAGTTGGCTGTTGTGACTGGTTATGGCAAACCGAACTACCTCTTTGTGTAAAGTGTGATTTTCATCCCCAAGAAACACAGAGCCTTAGAGCTGAAAGTTCTCTTAGAGGATATCTAATCCAAACGTCCATGGATTAATTGGTGCAGAAATTCCTTTCTTGAACACACCCTACGGTGTTTTAGAACACATCATTTGTTTTATCTATAGCTCAAATTGTTAGAAATTTCTTTCAACCCAAACCCGCTTCCTTGAAACTTCCACCCATATTTATGCCCTCTGGAGTTTCACAGAATCTGTCTAATCCTTTTCCCACCTGACAGCTTTTCAAACATTTAAAGACAGCTATCTTGTTCCCATTATGTTTTCTCTTCCCCAGGCTAAAATCCCTAATTCCCTCACCTGCTCTTCATATTACAAGATTCTAGATCCTCTCACCAACCTGGTTATGCTTCTCAGGACAGGCCCTAGTTTGCCAAGAAAAAATAAGTCACATTTGCTTTTGAAAATAAATCTCAACAAAGAAGCTGAGCTACTAACCTATCTTGCTTATATATATTTTCTTTGCCTTAGAATACAAAATCTGGCACACCTGGCATCCATGCATCACAAATTGTCCATAGTTATAATGAACCTTGAAAGGCTTGGTATGGTGTCCCAAAAAATAAGCATTTGATAAATATCATTAGTTAACTTATAGATCTTTCTATATTTACTCCTAATAAATGAAATGGTTTTACCGAGTTTACAAAATCTAAAAGAGTTTGTGCAATGGCATGCAGATTTCAAGAAAACTCGTGTGAATATACCTGTTGACCTCTGAGACCAGCAGAAGCCAGCTAAGTCTTCCACAGCTTGCCTGCAACAACGAGAAACAGCAACCTCAGGCAAAATGCATCCTTTCAGGAATGAGCAATGTGGTCCACTCACCTCTATCACAAAATTGTATTCTTACTATTAAATCCTGCCAGTCCAGCTGCCAGGAGTCAGCCCAAGTGCCAAGGTTCTCTGGTCATCTCTATTACTATGATCACAGTGCTTCATTGTGGGGTGGGGAAGGGGGTGAATGCAGTAGGGGAGGTTGAGTTAGTTTTTGTTTTGACATTACATTATCCATTCCACTTTAAAATGTGGCTGAAATTGCCACCAGGCAACATGTTTATCATGATACAAAATTAAATGCTATCAATTGTTCACAGTCTTGAGGGAAAAGCACATGTAAGTAATTAACTGTGATGCACCATAATGAGATGTACACACGACAAGTTGATGCAGGCTGAAAAATGAATCCAAAATACTTTCCTGTCCCTGTGATAAATGACACTGAGAAGCAGCAAAAATAACTAAGCTACTTCGAAGATAAGACAGGAACCAAGTAAAATAGCTTATTTATCAAGACTAACAGCTTGCTCATGAAGATTTGCTTCAAGCCCTTCACCTCACAGTAGCATCATTCCAAAGCTGTTATGTCATCATCTCTGCCCAATTCTAACCAGCCCTCTACCTTTCATGACCTGCTGTGAAATCACCCTCTTCTGAACCCCTCAGTTGTCACAGTGGTGTGCTTCCTTACTGGAGGACAGAGGGGAGAAGACAGCATTCATTCCTCAAACACCTACTCTGTTCCTTAGTTTAGATCCTGGCTCTGGGCTTGACTTACCTTTGTGAAATTACTTCGTAAATATTTTGTGTTACACTAACATAGTTTGCAAACACTACCAGATTCTCTTAGAAAGCATCTCTTTTCTTTAAATACAACTTTGGCTTCTTCCTCAGTCATATTCAATATACGATGTCAGAAACTTCTGTTGGTTTCTAAAAGCAATAAGGACATGAACAACTGCTTTAAAGAAAAGGGTCATGAGGCCCATAGATAAGGAAAAGATGAAGAACAAACAGGCTACGCTCTCCAAAATAAGAGGAGGAAAGAGAGACAAAAGGGAAAAAGATGAACCAAGAGAAAGAGAGTGAAACAAAGGAAAGACAGAGCCAAGGCACGAAGAGAAAAACGAACAGCAGAGAGAGAGGCAGATTTGACCTCATACCCTGGAACTTTCCCGGAGTTTGCATTGTGGTTTGAACCTACTTCAATCCATTTGTCATTTTATAAATGTGATATAAAGAGACCTCTAGAGCTCATTTAAGATCTCCGTTTCTCCTCAAGCAAAATTGCTCTATATTGAGCCCTGGAGCTCTAAGGAAAACATATTCCACAAACTCCCTTAGTGATCTTTTGGCACCTCACAGTGCATTTAAATTGAAAATACACCCTTATGTCACATTAGAACATGGCAAACAATCACACCACGGTATGTTTGGAAGCAAACTATTTAAAGATAAGAAGGAAAGATCCCATGGTTTTAATTGGATTAGATCATCTGGTCTCACCTGTTTTTCCTCCCCCCATAAGTTTTCCTTAAAGCAGTATTAGTTTCCGAGTGAAATATTTTGTGTTCACTGGATCACACAGCTGAGCAACTGCACAATCCCCTCTGCGCAGCAGCCCAGGTTCCTGCAGCTGTGCACATTCCTGAGTGGAGTCGCCACTAAGCGGGGGCCGGGGCCTCCCATGGCTACCATCTTGGATGTCGACATGCCATAGGGGAAATTCACAGAGACATTTTACAAAATTTCCAGCCAACAAGAAAAAAAGGTTTCAAAGATGGTGGCATCCCAAACAAAAGTTTGAAAGCTCCTGGAGTAGTTCTTAGAATCATATTCATCTCTGAAGAGAAAAATCAAAGGTGGAATTGCTAAGAACTGCAATGAATTTCCATGAGCTCTCCAAGTCTGTGAACGCAGAGTCTGCCTTTTACCCTGTGTGTCTAAAGTGAGAATGAAATGTGTTTTGCAATAGCTAGAAAATTAGTGTCTAAACTGAGAAGCATAGTATTCCAGTTAAGTACTTCCTCCCTCTCAGCTAACATCATCAACATCAATATGACACATGAGCAAATGTTCATGCCACATAATGTTTGAACTGAATCAGTCACAGTAACCTGCAAAATATTTAAAGAGCTGTCAAGAGTCATGGTTTTCTTTAAGGAAAGCTAATATTGCCTCCATTCTGTGAAAAACAAATGTAAATCATGCATGTACATGTGTATACATACATATACAGACATATATCTATAAATTATCTTTATAAAATTTTGTAAGGATTTCACATGACACAGAATTCAGTGGAAAACGACTTACACATACCTAAAATGAAATTTTATATTATGATATTTTTAATTCTCTGTAGTCAATTTGATTTTTATCAAGTTGCATTAAATATTTTAAGACATAAAATTAATCAATACACACATATCGTACACTAGCTTCCTGAGAAACATTCCTCCTTAGGTGAAACATTTGCTTCCCAACAGAGTTAATGAATACAGGAGCTAATTTTTACACAGCATGGCTTTCATCAAAATTTCTTCCCTCTGAAATGCTGACTTGGTTATGAAACTTTAAAAAAATTATCAGGTTGTTTATATATAGTGAGACTCTATGTTATTTCAAATATCTCAAAAACTGACCTCTCATGTGCCAGTAAAACCTAAATCTGCCATTATTTTTGTTTTCTTTTATGCTTATTACTATCACTCCTTTCAAATTATAATCTACTGCATTTATTGTGAATGTGCCCATGTTTTTAAGATCTAATCATAAAATTCACTGGGAAGAAACAACTCAATTGGGGTGTCATTTCAGATTCATAGAAATTGTATGCAAAATACTTACAATTTTTATACATTAAAATATACAATATACTTTATCATTAAATTCAAAAGGACCTAAGACACTAATTGTCCTTACTTAACAAAACATCAAACTGGATTCTTGTTCAATAAGCATTCTGCGGTCTCCCTACAAAATACAGAGTTTTATTATCTCTAAAATTTCCCTCTTGTATATGATTTTTAAATTCATTTTCTATTAGAATTTAGAGATAAATTTAGATCAGGAATTGACTCCCTAAACCCTGTTAGTAACCAGAAAATAAAAACAGTAGTTCACCTCATGGAGATTTAAGAGTATTATATAGTAAAACTATATATGTTAACATTTTTTTTTTACTAAAAACTGAAGAAAAAATTATAAATATCACAAATGAATGCATTTTGTTATTTTCAGAGTGTAAGTAGCAAAAAGTGCATGTATTTTAATACAGACCCTTATAATTTCATTTGTGTGATATTACCGCCTTCTGTCAAGAAACTTGCTGACTTGAAGATGTGTGCAGGAGAGAACAGTATTTCTTTGGAATGGAAAAGCCCCATGATAAGTCATCACCTACACTTTCCCAAGTTTTCATGATGCCTTGTTTGAGCTGTTCTAAGAGACGTTTTATATCATATTGTTCATATTGTAAATTTTTCTTAAACATTCTAGATATGAAATTGTTTTAACTTTGTTCTCTTTTATTGACATTAGTTAATGCTCTTAAATAATGGAGTTTCCATCTATAATTTAATTAACTAACTAAAACACACCCTCCACATTCTCACAATAGTCTTCAAAATCACCTTATTTCTCTACTGTCCCCAGGAGGTTCTGGAGTGCAAAGGAGTAGTTTATCCACCTTGGATGATCTAAAATTCTGATACATTTTCTAGATTCCCACTTGTTAGTCTATAGGCCATAGCAGCAAAATTGGAAAATTAGTGAATGTACCATTTCTACCAGAGCTAAGAGTCTAAACATTGTTTTGGGTTCTTCTTAATAAATAGAAGAACAAACATAATATAGGAGAAGTTACATCACAAAAGATAGTGGAATTGGAAGCTCCAGGAATCTGTCCTTACACACACACACACACACACACACACACACACACACACACACACAGTTCTATTAAGCTGGCTGGCAAGAACTGTAAGGCAACAATTTTGGAGCTCTGTAATCTAGGGGAACACTCTCAACATCCTGGGAGGCGCTTGATGAAGAAACAGACTGGTAAATTTCATTGAATTTTGGTGTTTTGCTTAGCCACTATCAACCCATCCCCAAACCCTGTGACAGGCAGATATGGAGATGGCACCCATGATGCTGCTGTGGCTAGCTAGAACGAGATTGGGAAATAGAGACTGTGTTCCCTCAAAATAGAAATGATTCAGTTTGATCACTGCTTTTCATCATTGAGAGGTCAGCACAGAGGTTAGATATTATATCAACCCCCACTCGCTGGAGTCACTACTCCCACCACATAAATCATTAGAAGTTTTCAAAGACAGGTACCTTTCTTTTCTTATTGGATCCAGGCATTTAAGAAAATACCTGTCAAGTCATTGGCTGACTGTAGAGATAACATAATGGGCACTTTAGAGAACACACATGACAAGAAATACATGCCTTCCATAAAAGAGACAACTGCAGCCTTCATCAAACAACAAAAGCAATTTCTGGAGAAAAGGTAGAATCTTATTTTCAGAATTACCACATTACAATATTCAAAATGTTCACTTTTCAACAAAAATTACAATACATACAAATAAACAGGAAATTATAGATTTATAGGAAAAAAGAGAAATTAAGTAAGACCAACTGAGATATCTGACTTACTAGACAAAGACTTTAAATTAACGGTCTTATTCAAAAATTGAAAGAAACCATGGATAAAGAACTAAAAGAAATCAAGAAAACAATATATGAAAAAATAGAGAATATCAATAAAGAAACAGAAATTATTTTTAAAAAGAACCAAATAGAAATTCTGGAGCTTAAAGTAAAACAACTGAAATAAAATATTTACTAAAGGAGTTAAATTGCACATTCAAGCAGACAGAAGAATCAGTGAACTTAAAGAGAATGTAATTAAAATTAGTCTGACAAGCAGAAAGAAAAATATGAAGAAAAATTAAGAGCCTAAGGGTCCTATGGCACACTATGAACTATACTAACACACATATTATAAAAGTCATAAAGAGAAAAGAGAGAAAAGAGCAGAAACATTTGTAAAGAAATAATGGCCCAAAACTTTCTAAGTTTGATGACAGATGTGAAGCTACACACAAAATACTCAACTTTAAGCAGAGTAAACTCAGAGATCCACAGGGACATATTATAATCAAGCTGTAGAAAGTCCTAGTTAACAGAAAAATTTGAAAACAGTAAAAGAGAAGCAATTTGTCACACACAAAGGATCCTCAATAAGGTTAATAACTGATTTTTCATCAGAAACTATGGAGGCCAAAAGGCAGTGAGATATATTTAAAGTACTGAATTTTTAAAAGCTGTTAAGCCAAGATTTCCATGGCTTCAAAAATGAAGGCTAAATTAAGACCTTCCCCAATAGACAAAAGCTAAAGGGATCTGTCACTAGTAAACCTGCACTACAATAAATGCTAAAGGGAGTTTTTTAAACTGAAACTAAAGGACACTAGATGGTAACTCAAAGCCCTATGAAGAAATAAAGATCACTCATAAAGTTAACTACATATGTAAATATAAAACTCAACATTATTGTACTTTTGGTTTATAAACACTCTTTTTGTTTTCTATATGATTTAAAAGACAATTACATAAAACAGTAATTATAAATCTATGTTAATGGGCATACAACATATAAAGATGTAATAGGTAACAACAGCAAGATAAAGAAAGATGGAGTTGCATAAGAGTAGAGTTAAAGTATATTATTGAAGCTAAGTTGATATCACTTCAAACTAGTTATACATTTAATATACCCCTGGCGACCACTAAAAAAAAACTTTAAAATATACAGAAAATAAAATAAAAAAGGAATCAAAATGGTATATTAGACAAAAGTCAATCAAACACAAAGAAAGCCTGTACTGGAGGAATTCAAGAACAATAACAACAAAAAGATATAAGACATATAGAAAACATATAGCACAATGGCAGAAGTAAATTCCTCATTATCAGTAATCCGTTTAAATGGTTAATAATCAGTAAATGGTTAAACTCACCAATTCAAAGACAGAAAATGGAAGAATGGATAACATAAACATGATCTGACAATGTTCTGCTTACAAGAGACTTATTTTAGAACCAAAGACAAAAATAAGTTGAAAGTGAAAAGATAAAAAAATTCCATGCAAATAGTAACCAACAAAGAACTGGGTGGCTATGCTAATATCAGAAAAAATAAATTTTAAGTCAAAAATTGTGACAGGAGACAGATGGACATTTTATATTGATAAAACGGTTAGTGCATTATGAAGTTATAACAATTATAAACACAGATGTAACAAACAGAGACCTAAGATACATGAAGCAAATATTGACAGAATTGAAGGGAGAAATAAGCACTTCTACAATAATAGTTGGAGACTTACCAAATCACTTTCCATAATAATAGAATGTCTAGGCAGAAGATTAATAAAGAAACAAAAGACTTGGACAATACTACCAACCAATTAGACTAAACGTATATACAGAATGCTTCACCAAACAGAAGAATATACACTTTCTCAATTTCACATGAAACATTTCATAGATAGAACATATGTAAGGCCATAAAACAGCTCTCAGTAAATTTTAAAAGATTGAAATCATGCAAAATATCTTTTTCGACCACAATAGAGTGAAGCTAGAAATCAGTAACAGAAGAAAAACTGAAAATTTTGCAAATACATAAAAATTAAACAACACCCATTTAAACAGCCCAATAAAGGAAATCAATAGGGAAATTAGAAAATACTTTGAGACAAAAGAAAACAAAAACTCAATATACCAAAACTTATAAGAAACAATGAAAGCAGTACTCAGAGGGAAATTTATAGCTGTAAACGTCTACATTAGAAAAGAAGAAAGATCTCAAATCAACAACCTTACTTTAAACTTTAAGGAACTACATAAAGAAGAGCAAACTAAACCCAAAGCCGGTAGGAAAAAGGAAATAATAAGGATTAGGGCAGAGATAAGAAAAGCAGAGGATATAAAAACAGTAAAATTAACAAAACCGTAAGTTTGTTCTTTGAAAGGATAGAATATAATGGATAAATCATTAGTTAGACTGTGAGAAAAAACAGATAAAACACAAGTAACTAAAATCAAAAATGAAAGTAAGGACATTACTGTCAACCTTACAGAAACTATAGAGATTAGATGCCCTAACAATTATGCAATCTAGATGACATGGACAGATTCCTAGAACACACAAACTGAAAATGCTGACTCAAGAAGAAGTAGAAAATCTCAAAGGACCTACAAGAGGATAAATCCATAATCAAAACCTCTCAACAAGACAATTCCAGGACAAGATGCCTTTACTGGTGAATTCTACTAAACATGTAAAGAAGAATTAACACCAATTATACTCAAATATTTTTCCAAAAATTAGAAGAGGAGGGAACACTTCCTAACACATCTATAAAGCCAGGATTATTCTAGTACCAAAGTCAGACAAAGATACTACAAGCAAACTACAGACAAACATCTCTTAGGAATGCAGACATACACACACATACACATACACACATACACACACATACCACAGCTCAACAAAATACTAGCAAATTAATATTAACAGCACTTTTTTTTGAGACAGGGTCTAATTCTGTTGCCCAGGTTAAATAGCAGCGGTGCAATGACAGTTCACTGCTGCCTTGAACTTGAACTCCTGGGCTCAAGCAGTCCTCCTGCCTCAGCATCTGAGTGGCTGGGATTACAGGTGCATGCCACCATGCCTGGCTACTTAAAAAAAATTTTTTAGAGACAGGATCTCACTATATTTTCCAAGCTGGTCTCAAACTCCTAGCCTCTAGAGATCCTCCTGCCTCGGCTTCACAAAATGCTGTGATTATAGGTGTGAGCCACCATGCCTAGCCTTAACAGCATATTAACAGGATTACACACCAAGATCAAATGGTATTTATCACAGGACAGCAAGGGCAGTTCAACATAAGAAAATTAATGTAATTTACCTCATTAATAGAATTCAATACATGCAGAAAATCCACTAACAGCATTCAACATCCTTTCATACCAAAAACACTCTGAAAACTGGGACTAGCAGAGAACTTTTGCAACAAAATAAAGGTCTTTTATGAGAAAACCACAACTAACATCATACTCAATTATGAAAGCCTAAAATTTTGCCCTCAAAATCAGAACAAGAAAAGGATTGCTGCTTTCACTTCTGCTATGCATAATTATACTGCAGGTTCTAAACCAGAGCAAAGGTGCTGAATATCCTTGGTCACTAAAGAAATGCAAATCGAAACCACAATGAGAGATACCTTTTCACGCCGACTAGGATATCTTAAACCAAGAAAATGAAAAATAAGTTTGGCAAGGATATGGAGAAACAGGAACTCTCACACATTGCTACTGGGAATATAAAATTGTGCAACTACTGTGGAAAAAAGTTTGATGATTCCTCAAACAATTACAGATAGAATCAACATACGATCTATGATCCGGCAATTCTACTCCTAGGTATTCAAGAGAAAGTGAAAATGTATGTCCATACAAAAAATTATACACAAAATACTTACAGTAGTATTATTCATAATATTTGAAAGTTTAAAACAACTCAAATGTTCGTCACTGGATGAATGGATAAAGAAATTGTGGCATGTACATGTCATGGAATATTATTCAACCATAAAAAGAAACAAAGTACTGTTATACTTGGATGAATCTAAGAAAAATGATGTTAAGTTAAAGAAGTCAGGCACAAAAGGTCACATATTCTATTATTTGCATTATATGATGTATTAGTTAGGGTTCTTCATAGAAACAAAACCAAGAACCAACAGGAGACAGAGTGTGTGTGTGTGTGTGTGTGTGTGTGTGTGTGTGTGTGTGTGTGTACAAACAAAAAGAACAGGTAATATCTACAATAGAGGTTTCTTCTTCCTAAAATGACATTGCCCTTCCTCAAAAACGCCGGGAAAAAGCTGTATCTCTCATCCTCAAAACACATGAGCAGAAAGCACAAGTTAGAGAGGGCTCTGGGGAACAGAGAAGTCAGCAACAACTATTTAATTGATCTCGTCAATTAAATCTAGTCCACAGTGCGACATACCAACTTCCTACCCATGTAGAAAAATAATGTAACGCCCAAGAGGTGTGTGTGTATGTGTGTTTAAACTAAAGATATTGTATTCACTGTAATGTCAAAGTAAAAATCAGAGAAAATAAGTTTGTTAGTCCAGGCTCTTGCCAATGCAAGATTATTCCCTAAGCTGGGACTGCAAGTGTTTTGTCTAGGACAGTTTCGAATGACTCAGATGAGAAGGGCTCCACGTCATTCTGTGGAAAATGAGGCTACAGCCCAGAAAACTATGGAAACATATCCCATGTCCTTACTTTCAAATTTCACTTTGCTTGGGTTGGATTTCTCTGAGGTATGCTATTTAAAAAGACCCCTAAACACACACACACACACACACACACACACACACACACACACACACACACACGGACCTCTCTCTCTCTCCTCTCTCTTTTCTCCATCTCTCTCTCTGCCCCCATCTCTAATCATCACTCTTAACGTGGTTCTACCTGCTCCTAAGACGGCTAAGATTTACTTGTACATAAAATGCTAAAAAAGAGCATAAAATGCTAATAAATTAATAGACTAATGAATGAAATGAAACGAAATCAGCCTTCACTTTATTCCCTTGAATAGGCACAATAGCGTAGTAGAATGAAACTGCTGGTCTAGGAGTCTTCAATGCCCATTCACTGGACATGCTATCTCATCAAGTCATTGTCCTTGAATCTTAGATCCTTCACGTATACAATAAGGAAATTTATACCCTCTATGCTTTTAAAGTATTTTGGAAAATCAAATGAAATGAGAGACACTAAAATGCTATGTGGGTGAACTACTACTGTTTACATCTCTGTTTCTTTTCATTTTTTGCATTGTTTTTCAAGTTTATTTCTGTATTTTTGGTCACAAGATAAAATTGAACGTATTTATCATGTACAATATAGTGTTTTCACATTGGTGTTTGTTTTGTTTCCTTTTAAAGGGCAACTTTATGAAGTGTCACAAAAGAGATATAAAGTACAAAAGTATAAAGTAAAAAGTATAAAGGCCTGGAACAAAACTGAATCACAACTTTTAAGCTCCTTTCTTAAATTCCATCTTACAGTTACAAAAAGTCATTCTTATTTTTCATATGAACCTCTTCAAAGGTCAAGTTTTATTTTAGATGAAGAAGTATCACATATAGAATAAAGATTATAAATATTAACAGCAACCACTGCTGCTTTAATCTGTGACATAATGCATATGTTCATCCAGTTCCAAGTTAATGTTGTTATTACTACTGTTCAAAATTAGAGAAATTCCATATTGCTAAATATTTTGCAGGTTTCTGCTTTATATAGCTATCTTGACGGATATCAGTCTTCTCTCCCAAATGTGTAATATTTTCAAATATAAACAGACACTAAAAGAAACTAAATGTGGATTGTGGGTAACATTAATAATCTTGCATTACAGATTTCCAAGGCTACATTCAAGAGACTTAAGTGTGTAGCGCACCAATAACTATTATACTGAGTGTCACTATTATAAACACATTGATTGACTCCTCCATTTTTCAAATTTAAACATACTTTAAAGTTTAGCATTAGTCAATTAATCATCCCAAGATATTAAAAGCTAGAAAAGGCTTTGAGAGATATGTTCATCAGTAGCAAAATTCCTGACCCCCTTATTTTAAATAATCTCCCTTTGTCAGTGTCTACTGACACTGTCAGGTCAGGAGGTATACTCCATTTTCCTTCACTCTTAATAATTTCTTTTTAAAAACCGACTATAATAAATAGTATCTCAAAGTGTGTAAGTGTGTCCATTTTTGCTTTTTATTTCTCCTTTTTCATGAACCAGGAACATTTAAAGTTTTATTTTTCTGATCTATTAAAAAACTAAATGTTGGATTAAAGTATCCTTTCTGAAATTTTTACTTGTTGCATTTTTTTATTTCATTAAGATTGGCTGTGGCCTTTATTAATTCTCTCTTCCCAGTTTCTTCAGTTTTTGTTTTTCCGTTTCTAATTCCTTATGATAGATTTCTGTCTTCATTTTTCCTTAGTTCCTTTATTTTTAGTATTTATTCTTTAGTGACAAAGTAATTTAAAATAAAAAATGTCCCTCTGAGTTCAGCTCTACCCCATCACACTTAGTGTGAAGTTTTCTCCTTATTGCTTTCTAGATAGGTTGTGATTTCCCTCTTAATTTTGTCTTTGATCCAAAAATTTTATCCAAGTGTGTTTCTTAGTATTCAAGTAGGAAAATGATTTTTGTGACCACTCAGTAGTCTTTGTGGCCTAAAAAATCTCTATTTATTTTTTCTTCGTAGGTAATTTAATGAGCACTTTTTTTGTGTGAAAGTCATACCAAGTATGTATGGCCTCCTTTGAAAAACGCAAGCTTACGTTTATGGTTATTGTTTGTTGATTGTGTATTCATTACTGCAAGACTAATTTATTTTGCCTGCTAGATCTGTCCATTTTCCAAAACAGTATATTAAAGTTTCCTGCTACAAACATGTTCCTATTACATACTGCATTTTGCATAGTTATTGCCTTGTATATTTTTCTGATATATTTTTATGCGTAGAAATTTAGGAATGTTATAATTTCTTTTTATCATCACATAATACCCCTGCTTAACCTTAAATGCAAGAGTATTTTAATATATTATCATATTAATGATATTGTGATATTAGTATATTGCCTTTCCCACTTTCTACTTTTTAGGGTTTTTAAATAAGTGTTTTGTTAGTTTTATTTTGTTTAATATTGCCTTGTGTTTAATTATCTTCACAACCTTATGTTCTAGCTTTCTGTATTTATTTGTTTTAAGTGTTATCATATAGCATATAACTGGGTTTTGTGTTATAATGCAAAAATAACAATCATCTTTAATGAAAGCATTCAGCCCACTTGCATATACCATAATGGCTAAGATGCCTTGATTATATATTTTTTATCTTACCTTATGATTGCTAAATATTTCAAATTGCTTCTTAGTTTTGTTACTTTGATCCATTCTCTAATAATTCTATTTTTTCCTCTTATTAATTTACAAATTCTACCATACTTTTCCATTTCATTAATAGTTACCTCTCATAATTAGATA